>NC_000003.12:182455574-183705574 GCF_000001405.40 Homo sapiens
ACATTTACCATTTCTTTGTGTTGAGAACGTTCAAATTTCTCTCTTCTAGCTATTTTGAAATACACAACAAATTGTTGTTAACTATGGTCACCCCACTATGCTATATATATAACACTAGAACTTATTTCTCCCATCTAACTGTAATTTTGTACCTCTTAACAAACTTCTCCTTATTCCTCCTCCCTTCCCAGCCTCTAGTAACTATTATTCCAGTCTCTACATCTATAAGATCAATTTTTTTTTAGCTCCCACATATAAGTGAGCAAATGTGGTATTTTCCTTTCTCTGTCTGGCTTTTTTCACTTAACATAATATCCTCCAGGTTCATCTAGGTTGCCACAACTGCAGATGACAGAATTTCATTCTTTTTTATGGCTAAATCATATTCCATTGCATATATATATATATGTATACCACCTTTTCTTTATCAATTTATTTGTTGATAGACACTTACATTGATTCCATATCTTAGCTGGGATATAGTACTGCAATAAACTTAGGAGTGTAGCTATCTCCTCTATCTCTTCAATATACTGATTTCCTATGATTTGGATATATATACCCAGTAGTGGGATTACTGAATTATATGGCACTTCTATTTTTAGTTTTTTTTGAGGAATTTCCTCACTGTTTTTGTAATGGCTGTACTAATTTACATTCCATCAATCAGTGTATAAGAGTTTCCCTTTCTTTTCATCCTCACCAGCATTTGTTATTTTCTGTCTTTTTGATAATAGCCATTTTAACTGGAATGAGATAATGGATTATTGTGGTTTTGATATGCATTTCTCTGATGGTCAGTGATGTCAAGCATTTTTTCTTGTACCTGTTGGCCACTTGTATGTCTCCTTTTGATAAATGTCTATTCAGATTACATGCAAATTTTTAATAGGATTATTTGGATTGTTTGCTGTTGGTTGTTAAGTTTCTTACATAGTTTAAATATTAATCCTTTGTCAGATGGATAGTTTGCAAATATTTTCTCCTATTCCGTATATTGGCTCTTCACCCTGTTGTTTCCTTTGCTGAGCAGAAGCTTTTTAGCTTGATGTAATCTTATTTGTCTATTTTTGCTTTTGTGGGCTTTATGGTCTTACTCAAAAAATATTTGCCCAGACCTATGTTCTGAAGCATTTCCCCAATGTTCTCTTCTAATAGTTCCATAGTTTCAGGCCTTACATGTAAGTCTTTAATCAATTCTAGTCTAATTTTGCATATGGTGAAAGACAGGGATCTAGTTTTGTGCTACAGTAGCATATCGATATCCAGTTTTCCCAGCATTATTTATTGAAGAGACCATCCTTCCCACAGTGAGTGATTTTGGCACCTTTGTCAAAAATCAGTTGGCTGTCAATGCATAGATTTATTTCTGATCCTCTATTCTGTTCCACTGGTGTATGTGTCTGTTTTTATTCTAGTACTATGCAATTTTGGTTACTATAATTTCATAACATATTTTGAAGTCAGGTAGTGTGCTATCTCCAGCTTTGTTCTTTTTGCTCAGAATAGCTTTGGCTATTCAGGGTCTTTTGTGGTTCCTTACAAATTTTAGAATTGTTTTCTGTAAAGAATGTCATTGGAATTTTGATAGGGGTTGCACTGAATCTGTACAGTAAAGGCATTTTAACAATATTAATTGTTCTGACCCATAAACATGAAATATCTTTCCATTTTTTGTATGTCATCTTTAATTTTTAATAAGTGTTTTATAGTTTTTATTGTAGAGATCTTTCATCTCTTCAGTTAAATTTATTCCTAGAAATTTTGTTTGTTTGGTAGCTATTGTAAATGGAATTGCTTTCCTGATTTCTTTTTCAGATTGTTTGCCATTGCTGTATCGAAATGCTGTTGATTTTTGCATCCTGATTTTGTATCTTGAAACTTTACTGAATTTGTTTATTGGTTGTAAGAGTTTTTGGTGAATTTTAGGCTTTTCTAAATATTAAATTATGGCATTTGCAAACAAGACAATTTGACTTCCTCCTTTCCAATTTGGATGTCCTTTATTTCTTGCTCATGCCTAACTGCTCTGGCTAGGATTTCTAGCACCATGTTGAATAAAAGTGGTAAAAGTGGGCATTCTTGTCTTGTTCCAGATCTTAGAGAAAAGGCTTTTTTTCCCATTCAGTATGATGTTATCTGTGGATTTATTATATATGGTATGCATTGTTTTGAGATATGTTCCTTCCATAACTAATTTGAGACTTTTTATTGTGACACAATAATAAATTTTATCAAATTCTTTTTTTGCATCTGTTGAGATTATCGTATAGCTTTTGTCCTTCATTCTGTTGAAGTGATGTATCACATCTATTGATTTGCGTAGGTTAAACCAGCCTTGCATCCTTGGGGTAAAACCCCCTTGATCATCATGGGTAATCTTTTTCAAGTGCTGTTGGATTTGGTTTGCTAGTATTCTGCTAAGTATTTTTGCATCTGTGTTCACCAGAGACATTGGCCTATAGGTTTTTTGTTGTTGTTGTTTGTTTTTTTGTGGTTGTTGTGTCCTTGCCTAGTTTTTAACATTGGCCTCCCAGAATAAGTTTTGAAGAATTCCCTCTCTTTCAATGTTTTGGAATAACTTGAGAAGAATTGGAATTAGTTTTCTTTTTTTTTTTTTTTTTTTTTTTTTGAGATGGAGTCTCACTCTGTCGCCCAGGCCGGACTGCGGACTGCAGTGGCGCAATCTCGGCTCACTGCAAGCTCCGCTTCCCGGGTTCACGCCATTCTCCTGCCTCAGCCTCCCGAGTAGCTGGGACTACAGGCGCCCGCCACCGCGCCCGGCTAATTTTTTGTATTTTTAGTAGAGACGGGGTTTCACCTTGTTAGCCAGGATGGTCTCGATCTCCTGACCTCATGATCCACCCGCCTTGGCCTCCCAAAGTGCTGGGATTACAGGCGTGAGCCACCGCGCCCGGCCCTGGAATTGGTTTTCTAAAAGTTTGGTAGAATTTAGCAGTGAAGCCGTTTAGTCCTGGACTTCTCTTTGTTAAGAGATGTTTTGTTACCGATTGAATCTTGTTACTTGTTATTGATCTGTTCAATTTTTTTATTTCTTCATGATTCTAACTTGGTAGGTTGTATGTGTCCAGAAAGTGATTCGTTTCTTCTAGGTTTTCCAACTTGTTGCCATATAGTTGTTTGTAATAGTCTCTAATTATCCTTAATATTTCTGTGGCATCAGTTGTAATGTCTCTTTTTTCATCTCTGATTTTATTCATATGAATCTTCTCTATTATTCTCACTTTCTAACTAAAGGTTTGTTGATTTTGCTTATCTTTTCAAAAAACAACTGTTCAGTTCACTGATCTTTTGTATTTTTATCTCAATTTCATTTACTTCTGCTCTGATCTTTATGTTCCTTTTCTTCTAATAATTTTTCATTTGGTTTGTTTTTGCTTTTCCATTCTCAAGGAAATGGAAATCATTAGGTTGTTTATTTGAAATATTTCTATTTTTATGTATTTGTTTATTGCTATAAACTTCCCTCTTAGTACTACTTTTGCTGTATCCCATAGGTTTTTGTATGTTGTTTCCATTTTCATTTGTTTCAAAAATTTTTTTAATTTCTTTATTAATTTTTTGATGGACCCATTGGTCATTTCCAAGCATGTTGTTTAATTTCCATGTATTTGTATAGTTTCCAAAATTCCTTTTGTTATTGATGTTTAGTTTTGCTCTATTGTGATCAGAAAATATAATTGTTATTATTTGCATTTTTTTTAAATTTTCTAAGCCTTATTTTGTGGCATAACAATGTTCCATGTGCTGATGAGAAAATGCATATTCTGCAGCTGTTGGATGAAATAATCTGTAAATGTCAGGGCCATTTGGTCTGGAGTGTAGTTTCACTCTAATGTTATATTTTTATTTTCTGTCTGAATGATATGTTGTTTGCTGTAAGTGAGGTGGTGAAACTCCCTACTATTATTGTATTGCCAGTCTATCTCTTCCTTTAGATCTATTAATATTTGCTCTAAATATTTAGGTGTTCAGTGTTGGATGCATAGATATTTACAATTGTTATATCACCTTGCTGAATTGATCCCTTTACCATTATATAATGACCATCTTTATCTCTTTTTACAATTTTTGACTTAAAATTCATTTTATGTAAGTATAGCTACTCTTGCTTTTTTGGAGGGGTTTTATTTGCATAGAATATATTTTTCTATCTCTGCACTTTCTTTTATTTTTTGCACAAAGCTAATGTTTATTCCACCTATGTGTCATATTCCTGGATCCTTCACCAATGTTACATGAGGAAAAGAACAAAAGCAAAACAAATGAAAAACTGAAATCAGAATCACTAATGTTATCAAGTAGAAAAACAAATAAATTATAATCTAGTAGCCATCAGCAAGAGTATAGCAAAGACAATGCTGTAAAAAGAAACAAAGAAAATTGCTAGAAACTATATGCATCATAATCTTTCAAACCAGCAAAATATGTGCCTGCATACAATAGAACACTAACCGTATTTTTTGTGTGTGTAAAGTATAAAAATGCCAAGTTGTTTTCTGAATATTGTGGATAGGTAAAATGTATATGTAATTAACGGTAATTCTACTGAACTATTACAGAGTGGGACAGGAACACATTCATGGATTCTGGGGATGAGTACTGTAATTCTTTGTTTGGGATAGTGGACACGCTAGCCAAAAAAAAGAACACCAAAGTACAAGACAAAGGCGAATGAGACTTCTCTTATATCTTAGCAACATTTAGATGGAAATCAAATTTAAATGCAGTCCACTCTGCTTTTGGAAGAGGCTTTGGTTCAGCTCCCAAATCTCGACTGCTTGATGCAGTCTCCTATGAGAATACTCAGAAGGTGTCTACTTAAACAACAAACCTATTTTCAGTGGTGGAGCCATTCTTAGTAGCTATGTCTGCGTGGGACTGATAACCAATCACTATCTTTCGAGGAAGTCCTAACCTTTTCTTGTATACCCTCCCCATATGTGTAACAGCTTCTCTGTTTTCACATTCAGTAGTCCATATTGCTATCTTATCACCTTTAGCTCTAACATTAATAACAGCACCACATACATCATTGCTGTAGTCATCAAAAGATTCTGCAATAAGGCACAGCAGTGTCTCTAGCCAAAAGCAATCGAGGTCACTTCATCTCTGCTATTTGTTCAATGTAATTAGCCATCGTCCTCCCAGTTTGTTTTTCTCATCTTCCCACATAGGCTCAATACCAGCCTTAAAAAGTCAGTAGTCACAGCCAGGCATTAAATTACTAGGCAACTGGATATGGTTGTACAGAGCCCAAAAGTCTTCAAACAGTATCAAACTTAGAGATCAGCCACAGGTTTGCTTGCCAAGTTTTTGCTTTTACCATTTTTAAAAAACCAGAGGGCCCATCTGTTCTGTAAAGGATGTTTAATATAGTGTTCTGGGTTAGCAACCTCCTGAATAGATTCTGTTTTCTCCTTTTCTGTAGTCACAGGATTAGAAGTAGGGGTGGTTTCCTGTTCGACAGTCGCCATTTTTGATGGATTTCTCTCTTCATTTTCAATCTATGTGTGTCCTTACAGGTAAGGTAGAGCCTCTTGTAGGCAGTATATATTTGGGTGTTTTTTGTTGTTGTTGTTGTTGTTTAATCCATTCAATTACTCTACACTTTTTTTTTTTTTTTGAGACAGAGCCACACTCTGTCACCCAGGCTGGAATGCAGTGGCACCATCTCAGCTCACTGCAACCTCCACCTCCAGGGTTCAAGCAATTCTGCTGCCTCAGCCTCCCAAGTAGCTGAGACTACAGGAACCCACCACCACGCCCAGCTAATTTTTGTATTTTTAGTAGAGATGGGGTTTCACCATGTTGGCCAGGCTTGTCTCAAACTCCTGGCCTCAAGTGATATGCCTCCCTTGGCCTCCCAAGCCACTGGGATTACAGGCGTTAGCCACCATGCCCAACCTCCATTCAATTACTCTACACTTTTAACTGGAGGATTTAATCCATTTACATTCAAGGTTATTATTGATAGGTATGAACTTATTCTTCTCAATTTGTTAATTGTTTCCTAGTTGTTTGTAAATCTTTTGTTCACTTCTCTCTCTCTTGCTTTCTTCCTTGTGGTTTGATGGCTTTCTGTAGTGGTATCCTTTGGTTCTTTTCTTTTTATCTTTTGTGTATCTATTATAAGCTTTTGCTTTGTGGTTTCCCTGAGGCTTATATAAAACCTCTTATAACAGATTTATTTTTGCTTAGAACACTTGATTGTTATTGTATACACGAACTCGTCACTTCTACTTCCCTTCTTCCCACGTTTTATGTTTTTGATTTCACACTATACATCTTTTTATAATATATTCCATAGGTAATTATAGTAGCCTTTTAAAAATAATGTTGTTTTTTGACCTTTATAGTACAGATATAATCAATTTACCCACCACCATTATAGTATTAAACTGTTTTGCATTTGACAACATACTTACTTTTACCAGTGAGTTTTATGCTTTCATATGACTTTATGATACTAATTAGCATCCTTGTCCTTCAGCTTAAAGAACTTCCTTTAGCATTTTTTTGTAATGCAGATCTGGTGTAATAAATTCTCTCAGATTTTGTCTGAGAAAGTTTTTATCACTCTTTTGTTTTTGAAAGACAAGATTGCCTGAATATAGTATTCTTAACTGGCAGTCTTTTTCTTTTAGGATTTTGAATATGTTATTCCATTCCATTCTGGTTTGCAAGGTTTGTGCTGAGAAGCCCACTGATAGATTTATAGAGGTTCCTCTGTATGTCACAATTTGCTTTTATTCTTGCTGCTTTCAACACTTTCTCTTTGGCTTTAACTGTTGACAGTTTGACTGTGATATGTCATGGTGTGGATCTCTTTGTGTTTATCTTATTTAGTATCCTTACAGGGTTTTTAAAGCTATCTTTCTAATTTATTTTTTAGACTTAGGAAGTTTTCTGCCATTATTTCTTTGAATATGTTTTCCATTCCTTTTTCTCTTTCTTCTACTGCTGGCACACTGCTGCATAAGTTGTTCTTCTTGATGGCGTTTGATAAGTCTCTTTAAGCTGTCCTCACTCTTTTTCATGTTTTTCTTTTTGCTCCTCAGATTGGATGATGTCCAGTAATCTGTTTTCAAGTTCACCAATCCTTTCTTCTGCTTAACCTAGTCTACTACTACCATCAAACACCTCCATTGAATTTCTCAGTTCAGTTATAGCATTCTTCAGATCTTTAATTTCTGTTTAGCACTTTTTTATACTTTCTCTTTGTTGAAGATCTTTGTTTGTTCTTGCATTGCTGTCTTGATCTCTGTGAGCATCTTTATGATCATTATTTTGAATTTCCTGTCAGGTAAATCACAAAACTCCACTACATTTGGGTCAGTTTTTTGAAAATTTATCTTGTTCTATTGTTTGGAATATATTCCCCTATTTCTTCATTTTACTTAATTCTCTGTGTTGGTTTCTGTACATTATATAAGACACCTACCTCTCCATCTTGTTAGACTAAGCTTGTATGGAGAAGGTTTTCACCAGTTAATCCAGCCCATCACAGGCCCAGAGACCTAGGAGGAAAAAGTGGTTTCTTGAGCTAGGCCCAGGGTCCCCATGCTGTGTGCAGCCTAGGGACTTGGTGCCTTGCATCCCAGCCGCTCCACTCATGGCTGAAAGGGGCCAACATAGAGCTTGGGCCATGGCTTCAGAGGGTGCAAGCCCCAATCCCTGGCAGCTTCTACATGGTGTTGAGCCTGCAAGTGTACAGAAGTTAAGAATTGGGGCTTGGGAACCTCTGCTTAGGTTTCAGAATATGTATGGAAACGCCTGGATGCCCAGGCAGAAGTTTGCTGCAGGGGCAGAGCTCTCATGGAGAAACTCTGCTAGGGCAGTGCAGAAGGGAAGCCCTACACAGAGTCCCTACTGAGGCACTGCCTAGAGGAGCTGTGAGAAGAGGACCACGTCCTCCAGACCCCAGCTTGCACCGTGTACCTGGAAAAGCCACAGACACTCAATGCCAGCCTATTAAGGCAATTGGGAGAGAGGTGCAAAGCCACAGGGGCAGAGTGCCCAAGACCATGGGAACCCACCTCTTGCATCAGCATGACCTGGATGTAAGACATGGAGTCAAAGGATATTATTTTGGAACTTTAAGATTTGACTGGCCTGCTGGATTTTGGACTTTCATGGGGCCTGTAGCCATTTTGCTTTGGCCAGTTTCTCCCATTTGGAATGGCTGTATTTGCCCGATGCCTGTACCTGTACCCCCATTGTATCTAGGAAGTAACTAACTTGCTTTTGATTCTACAGGCTTGTAGGTAGCAGGGACTTGCCTTGTCTCAGATGAGACTTTGGACTGTGGACTTTTGAGTTAATGCTGAAATGAGTTAAGACTTTGGAGAACTGTTAGGAAGGCATGATTGGTTTTGAAATGTGAGGACATGAGATTTGGGAGGGGTCAGGGGTGGAATGATATGGTTTGGCTGTGTCCCCACCCAAATCTCATCTTGAATTTCCACATGTTGTGGGAAGGATCCAGTGGGAGGTAATTGAATCATTGGGGCAGGTCTTTCCTGTGCTGTTCTCATGATAGTGAATAAGTCTCACAAGATCTGATGGTTATATAAAAATGAGAGTTTCCTTGAACGAGCCCTCTTCTCTTGTCTGCCACCATGTGAGATATGCCTTTTACCTTCCACCATGATTGTGAGACCTCCCCAGCCACATGAAACTGTAAGCCCAATAAACCTCTTTTTTTTTGTAAATTGCCCAGTTCAGGGTATGCCTTTATCAGCAATGTGAAAATGGACTAATACAGTCCCCTAAAACTTAGGATGTACCATGTCTTGTCAGTATCCCAAGACCAGTTTGAGGGATGCCAGACTCTTTAGATGTAGCTGGAAAGCTTGGGGGAGTGGGTGTGAGTTCCAAATCTTTCTGTCTCACAGTGAGGCTTGGTTCAGGTGTCTATATCCCACTCTCTCTGGACTAGTCCAGGAGAAGATCTGTGGCAAATGCCTGGATTCATGTTCAGGCTGCACCTTCTGATCCTGGAGAGATAGCTTCTGGGAGTAGGCCCGTTATACATCCACCTGTTTGTTTTCTATGGCCTTGGGTTACTCCAAATAGCAAAGTCCTCTGAACTTCCAGAGGAAGGTTGTTAAGGAAACAGTCCCTTGGGTAGGAGCTATGGAAGTTGTGACACATGGTGCATGGCCAAACTCCTCCCAGAAAGACTGGATGGGCCTGAATTTATCTCTGTGGCAAGCCAGGGAGATAAGTGCCAAGCTCTGGCTTCAGCTAATGGAGGGCTACTGTTTGCTTGCCTCACGGGCTCCCTGATGCAAGTTTATTAGAGTCCAAGCTGTCAAGTAGCCACTGAGTGTGGGTGTGGTAAGCCTCTTATGAAGAGAAAGGGAGAGCTCCATGTGCCTGCTTCTTTCCTGCACTGCCCCAAGGGGTTATAACCCCTGGAAGTATTTGGATGCCCATTTAAAATCACCTCTTTGTTCTGGGATCAGGGAAGACTCACATATGTTTATTTCCTTCTGTTCCCAGAGCTACTAGGTTTAGGATGGAGCCCTTCAAGAGGAAGCTTTAACAATTTGGTGCTCTCAGTGTGTGTTCTAAACCCCTTCTGGTGGAGAAACAGGGAGTTTCATTTTTTTAGGCCCCTTCTCTGCACCACTCCAGAGGGATGAAGTCCCTGATGGTGCTTGCATGCATGTTTAAAGACACTATTTCTTTCTTGCTATCCAGGGAGATGTGTGTATGCTAGTCCCCTCTGCTCCAAAAGCCATGAGATTAATGATACAGTCTTTTAGGTGGATGTGGTAAAAGTTGGGGTGCTTAGTATGGGTGCAAACTCCTTCCAGACTGGTGTCTGGAATTGGCTGTCTCTTTAACTCTACAATGCAAGTTAGCTTGAAGCCAGGCCACTTGCCTGCTTGGCAGTCACTGAAAGTGTTTTGTGGTGAGAGTAGGCAATAGAGGGCTGTGGTTTTTTTTAAAGCCTCTTCTGTGCACTGATACTAGGGGATGAAATACCTGGAGGTGAATGAAAATCCATATAAGACCACCACTTTATTTCCTATAGCCTGGGGGGACACGTGTGTGTCTAATCCCTGCTGTGTATAAAACAACAGGGAAGCATGAGGTCAAGGCCCTCTGTGTGAGGTCCAGACACTCTTCTCCATGGGGAGAAACTGGGTGTTGGAGACTCCTTTTCCAATTTTATGGCATAGTGCCCAGGGTGAGGTCTATGCCCAAGTGCGCCTGGGCGTCTCCTACCTGTTTTATGTTGTTTTCTTAGTTGCTCAGTGGGTAGGAGTCTCTCAATTGGTCTCTGACTTTCTCTCAGAGGGAATGGATCCATGGATAGATGTTTATTCAGTGCATCTGTGGGTGGAGGGAGACTCAGAAGCTTCTATTTGCCATGCTGGTGGTGTCACTCTCATGACTGTAGTTTTAAACCTGAACCTTTGGCTTTACTTGAGCCAAAGCCAGTGCTCAGTTGTTGAAATATGCAACAGTCTTATAGTACATTCAGAAAAACATTTGTTTTCACATGGCCTCTGGCATGTTTCATACCTTTATTCATAGCACCCTGGTAGCTGAGGTCTCTTTCTCTCCCTTTCTTTCTTTTCTTTCTGTCATTTTAAAATCATTTTCTTTTGTTTTTATGTCTTTCTTTCTTTCTTTTTTCTTTATACTTTTTTATGTTTTCCCCTCCTTTCTGTTCTCCCCTTTCTTCTGTGTCTCCTCCTTCTGTCATTTGTTAGTATTTTCTTTTATGGAGACAATTCTAAGAAACATATTTTTAAAGTCAGCAACATTAGCTCTAGTATTAACACTATAGCTAGCATGAATTGAGAACATGCTAAATGCCAGAATTATCTCATTTATCCTTATTGTAACCCAATGAAATAGGTGTAATTAATATTTTCACGTTAAAGGAGAAAACTGAAGCTTGAATTTCATCTGGAATCCTTAAGTTAATCATTCCACAGAGCCATGATGGCATCTTGGATCCCCTGGTATAAGAAACACCTTAGTCTCTTTACCCAACTGGACTTGAAAGTTCTCAGTATTCTCTTTCCCATAGTGTATATTTACTTTTTTTTCTTTTTTTCTTTTTTTTGAGATGGAATTTTGTTCCTCTTGCCCAGGCTGGAGTGCAATGGCTTGATCTCGGCTCACTGCAACCTCCACCTCCCGAGTTCAAGCCATTGTCCTGCCTCAGCCTCCTGAGTAGCTGGGATTACAGGCATGTGCCACCACGCCTGGCTAATTTGTATTTTTAGTAGAGACAGGGTTTCTCCATGTTGGTCAGGCTGGTCTCGAACTCTCATCCTCAGGTGATCCGCCCACCTCAGCCTCCCAAAATGCTGGGATTACAAGTGTGAGCCACCATGCCTGGTGTATATTTACTCTTTTAAAGGAATTGGCTTAACACCATCTCACACTGAGTCCAATGGGCTCAAGTATTTACCCTGTTACCACAGGGTAAATACTTTTAAAAGGCCTTTCATTGGTTCCCTGACCTATTAAGTAAGAGTTATTATGGTAAAAAGCACCAAGTGGAAGCTCCCATAATTTCACCCCATACCTTAGCTAAGATAGCAAACTAGATGCAACCATATGATCCAGCAATCATGTTTCTTGGTATTATCCAATGGAACTGAAAACTCATGCTCACACAGAAACCTGTATATGAATGTTTATAGCAGCCTTATTTATAATTGCCAAAACTTGGAAGCAATAAAGACATCCTTCAATAGGTAAATGGATAAATAAACTGTGGTACATCCAGACAATGCAATATTATTTAGTGCTAATTAGATACATGCATAGCACAGGTAGAAGAGAAGGCCTATAAAGATTCAGGTGTCTGACATATCAACAAACATTTTTTCCTTTTATTTTATTATAAACATTTCAAACGTACAGAAAAGTTGAGATAGCTTTACAGTGAACTTCTGAGTATTCACCATCTAGATTTTTATCGAGAATTTAAAAAATTTTTAATTTATTTCAATAGGTTTTTGGGGAACAGGTAGTGTTTGGTTACATGAATAAGTTCTCCAGGGTTGATTTCTGAGATTTTGGTGCACCCATCACCCGAGCAGTGTTCACTGTGCCCAACGTGTAGTCTTTTATCCCTAGCAACCCCCCACCCTTTCCCCTGAGTCCCCGAAGTCCAGTGTATTATTCTTATCCCTTTGCATCCTCATAGCTTAGCTCCCACATATGAATGAGAACATATGATGTTTGGTTTTTCATTCCTGAGTCCTAACTCAGGACTTAGAATAAGTCACCAATTGGTGACTTAGAATAATAGTCACCAATTGGTGACTTAGAATAATAGTCACCAATTGGTGACTTAGAATAATAGTCACCAATTCCATCCAGGTTGCTGCAAATGTCATTATTTCATTCCTTTTTATCGCTGAGTAGTATTCCATGGTATGTTTGTATAGATATATATACACACACATACATAGATATACCACATTTCCTTTATCCACTTGTTGATTGGTGGGCATTTGGGCCGGTTACATACTTTTGCAATCGCAAATTGTGCTGCTGTAAACACGCATGTGCAAGTATCTTTTTCGCACAATGGCTTCTTTTCCTCTGGGTAGATACCCAATAGTGGGATTGCTGGATCATATGGTAGTTCTACTTTTAACTCTTTAAGGAATCTCCACAATGTTTTCCATAGTGGTTGTACTAGTTTACATTCCCACCAACAGTGCAAAAGTGTTCTCTTTCCACCGCATCCAGGCCAACATCTATTTTTTTTTTATTTTTGATTATGACCATTCTTGAAGGAGTGAGTTGGTATCACATTGCAGTTTTGATTTGCATTTCCCTGATAATTAGTCGTATTGAGCATTTTTCCATTTGCTTGTTGGCCATTTGTATATCTTCTTTTGAGAATTGTTTACTCATGTCCTTAGCCCTCTTTTTGATGGGATTGTTTGTTTGTTTGTTGCTAATTTGTTTGAGTTTGTGTAGATTCTTGATATTAGTCCTTTGTCAGATGTATAGATTGTGAAGATTTTCTCCCACTCTGTGGGTTGCCAATTAACTCTGCTGATTATTTCTTTTGCTGTGCAGAAGCTTTTTAGTTTAATTAAGTCCCATCTATTTATCTTTGTTTTTGTTACTTTTGCTTTTGTGTTCTTGGTCATAAAATCTTTGCCTAAGCCAGTGTCTAGAAGGGTTTTTCCAACGTTATCTTCTAGAATCTTTATGGTTTCAGGTCTTAGGTTTCAGTCTTTTATCCATCTTGGTTGATTTTTGTATGAGGTGAGAGATGAGAATCCAGTTTCATTCTTCTACATGTGTCTAGCCAATTCTCCCAGCACCATTGGTTAAATAGGGTGTCCTTTTCCTACTGTATGTTTTTGTCCGCTTTGTTGAAGATCAGTTGGCTGTAAGTATGTGGGTTTATTTCTGGGCTCTCTATTCTGTTCCATTGGTCTATGTGCCTATTTTTATACCAGGATCATGCTGTTTTGGAGACTATGACCGTAAAGTATAGTTCGAAGTCGGATAATGTGATGCCTCCAGATTTGTTCTTTTTGCTTAGTCTTGCTTTTGCCACCTAGATTTTATAATTAACATCTTACCACACTTGCTTTATCATATTTGATGAAGTGTTTAGGAGTCCAAGAATCTGGGGCATGTCTAAGATAACATCTCTGAAATAAAAAATAAGTTGATTCATCTCACATTCCCCACCACTAAGAAAAAGACAGAGTGTTTAGTCATCTCTTTTGGATTTCAGAGACAGCATATACTGCTCTGAGGAGTACTACTGTTTATTTGTTGGGTAACTTGGAAGGCTCACAGTTTCAATGGCATTCAGAGCAAAAAGAAGGCTCAACAACAAATCCAGGCAGCACTGCAAACTGCCTTACTCTTCAAACTATATAATCAGCAGTACGGCACTACCCATATCCATGGTGAATATATTGATCCATTGTAAACACGGGTGTAGGGTCTCTGGAAAACGCCAATACAAAACCAGAGCAGAAAGGTCCTTTGTATTTTGGAGCAAGACCGCATCTTCTGTAGCATGAACTACATTCGTTTTTTGCAAAGCAGCCCCTGGCTGCTACTGAGCCTTTACAGAGACTGTCTGACTGAATGGCTATGTAAGTTTTGCTGCCCATAATGAACTGGCCTTTTAGATCTACCAAATCATAATGACAGACAAATACAGCAGCAATCCATCCTAGTATAGAAGCAATTAAAAATCAGGACCAAGCAGAGCCAGAGAATACAAAAATGCTACATGAGCAGGACTTCCGATACTCACACCACCTAACTCTATGTCATCAATGTCTGAACATCAACTCACAACTAAAATCTTATTGAGGGCATGGGAAGTATTTATACAGTCAGCTGATGAAGGAAAAAAATATATCGGTCTCAGTTCACAGCTGGGTTGTATACACTATGTCAGTACAAACTGAAAATGGACTTCCGTTGCACCATAGCCCCACTTAGGGATGGATCTAAATGTCGGTTGTGAGGGACAGTCCTTCCAGTGGACAGAGCTGAGAGCAGTAAATTTGATTATTTACTTTTTATGTAAGAAGAAGTAGCTTAAGAAGGACATACATGGACTCCTGAGTATTGGCAAACAGCTTGGTTGGTTGGTCAGGGCCTGAAAGGAACCAATTTGGAAGATCAGAGAGGAAAAAATTGTCTAGAGAAGCAAGTGACAGACCCATTGAAGTGGGCACAGATCTCATGCTACTTCCCACCAGAGAATATCAAAGTCAGAGGAGACACCAAACAACCAGGATGACTCATCCTGTGGATGTCAGACAGCCACTGTCCTTGACCACCCAATGTGCTTATCCATTAGGTCCAATAATGAAATACCAACGGTAACAGGAATAGAGGCTGTGCATGGAAGAACCCAACAGTTTGGGCTCCCACTTATTAAGGCTGCTGTTGAATACACAATGTGCCAAACTGTTAACAAGCTGGCATGAATCCTTTGATAAAGCAGCAAAACCTAAGATCAGCCAAACACTCGGTAGCAGGTTGATTACATCAAATCCCTTCCACCCTGGAGGGGGCAATGATTCATCCTTACTGGAGTCGATACTTACTCCCATATGGCTTTGATATTCCTGTCTGCCATGTCTGACAGCACCACCATTCAAAGGCATATAATGTACCTTGTTGATTATATGGATTCCCATATATTATCACTAAAAATCAAGGGTTCCATTTTACAGAGAAAAGTTTGCAACAATCAATTCATGACCAAATGATTAATTATTTCTACTATATAGTGCATCACCTGAAAAAAATTCACCTACTTATAATGATGGAATTGCTTGTTAAAGGTTCAACTAAGGTGCTAACTCAGGGCAAAGACCTCTGTGAAGTTGGGACATTGTCCACCAAGAACAAATATATTAATTAAACAAATAGTGATGTTATGCCCCCAGTAACTAAAATAAACAGGTCTATATAGTTGTTTGACCCTCTCACCATCATTCCCAGTGGATTCTCAGTGGTCTACTTACAGAATGTGTGCTTCTTGTCCCTGCACCTTTAGGTTTTATAGGATTCAGAGGTCCTGATACCCAGAGGAGTGCTGCTTTCACTGAAAGGAAATGATAAGAATCTCAATGAGGCGGAAACTATGACTACCGCCTGCCTCTACTTTGGGTTCCTCATGCCAGTGACCTAACAAGCAAAGAAAGGAGTTACTATTGTTTCGGGAGGTAAGCAAATGTGATTATCTTGAGGAGTAGGGTTTCTTACCATACAATGAGAACAGACAGAATCTGGAATACGGGGATTCACTGGGGGTCTCTGGGTACTTCTATGCAAAGTGATACTGGTCAATAGCCAATTTTAGCAATCACAGCCCAGTAAGGACAAGGAAGCTAAGAGCTCAGATCCCTCAAGGATGGAGATGGCATGCCACCAAGCAGGCAGTCTAGAGGAACTGAAGTGCTGGGCAAGGGTGAGGGAAATCTAGAATGGGTGTTGGAGAAGCTAGATGATGAATACCAATTATAACCTCAGATTCAGTTGCAGCAGTGGAGATTGCAGCTTATTACACTAATACTTTGTATTAAGCTCCTTTTTGGAGTGATTGCAGCTGCCAACACTTTGAAGACTCAGTGACAAATTGGTCTTAACATATGCAGAGAATGGATTGAATCAGATGCCTCTCACGTTCTGCCTCACTTCCTCTCAGTCTTATTTCAGTTGCCATTTGCAGTTGTAGCTGTGGTGAACAATTACTTGGTAAAAGGGGTAAAGAGTTCCAATACTGACCACATATTTCCTCAGGCATATCATTGGCCTGCTGTGGCATTTTTCAGGTACTGAAGAAGTGGGATACCCACAGGAGTTTACTGGGCATGGATGCATGCATAGCTCAAGTGCAGGGGAGATCACCACCCAAGGCAACCCTCAATGGGTGATGTGAGCCAATGACAATTGCTTCTACCTATTGATTCCTTGGGTCACTTCCTGAAAAAACTACCTGAATGCAAGCTCTTTTCTCAATCTCTGCTTTCCAGGGTAAACCAGGGTAAGAAAGAAGCCAATGAAAGTCCACACAGCTCTTGCAAATAAGATATAAAATGCTGCAGAGCTGAGCACCATGGCTCACGCCTGTAATCCCAACACTTTGGGAGGCTGAGGTAGGAGGATCACCTGAGCCCAGGAGTCAAGTTCAACATAGTGGAACCCCATCTCTACACAAAACAAAATTTAAAAATTATCCAGGCATGGTGGTGCATGCTTATAGTCCCAGCTATGCGGGAGGCTGAGGCAGGAAGATGGCTTGAACCCAGGAGGTTGAAGTTGCAGTGAGCTGTGATTGTGCCACTACTGCACTCCAGCCTGGGTGACAAAGTGAGACCCTGCCTCAAAAATAAATAAATAAATAAATAAATAAATAAAATAATAAAATGCTGCAGAAAAACAATAAAAACTTTCACTCTGCAAACGTGCTGGTTTCAAGGGTAACAGAAAATATAATTTTTGACTCATTCTAGCCAATTCCTCTATTATCATAAGCCAAAAGTTAGGATAAATACATTCCCTTACAAATTCTTCCTCACCAAAAGTTATTAAAGAGAAATTACTATAGGAAAGAGAGTATATTTTGTATTTGTTTTCTATTGCTGCTGCAACAAATTATCGAAACTTGGTGGCTTAAAACATAAATTTATTATCTTATAGTTCTATAGGTTAGAAGTTCAGCACAGGTCTCACTGGGCCAAAATCAAGGTGTCAGCAGAGGTGAATTCCCTTCTGTAGACTCTGGGGGACAACTGTTTTCTTGACTTTTCCAGTTTCTGACGGCTTCCTGCTTTTCTTGGCTTATGATGCCTTCCTCCATCCTCAAAACCAGCAATGGGAGATCAACTTCTTTTCACATCATATCACTCTGACCCCTCTTCAGTCTTCTTCTTCTACTTTTAAAGACTTTTGCAAGTATACCAGGTCTGCCCAGATAATCCAGTATAATCTCTCTATCATAAAATCACCAAATTAGCAACCTTAATTTTAGGTACAATCTTAGCTTCCCTTTGCCATGTAATGTGACATACTCATAGGCTCCAAGGATTAAGACACGGACATATTTGGAGTAGGGTGGAGAGCATTATTCTGCCTATCACAATATTAAAGAAAGAGAAAGTTTATAAATTTCCTTTTAGGTCTACTGTCATATTTACTTTAGACCCAAACTCTCATTCAATTTAATCCAACTTCAATTTCTTGGCTGTACTTTTATTGACTTACAACATTTGATTACATCAAGTCAGTGAGTCTATTTTCATTTTGTAGGTGAACAGAATGGGATATGAAAAGCAAAAGCCAGAAATTACCCCCCAAAAAAATGGGGGAGGGAAGGAAGGAGGGAAGGGGGGGAGGGAAGAAGGAAGGAAGGAAGGAAGGAAGGAAGGAAGGAAGGAAGGAAGGAAGGAAGGAAGGAAGGAAAAAACTTAGATTTTATTTTTAGGTAAGAAAAATATGCTTAGCTACTCAACCTTAAGGTCATCGGGTTGGAGAAGGCTGTCCCAGGAGGAAGTACTCATCTGCTTGAAATTAATCTCTTTTAAACTCAAAGTTCTGATGAGAGACCCTGTTTGTCACAACTAGTCAAAACTCTAGTCAAGTAGGAACTTTTACTAGCATTATTTGTTAAAAATAATAATAATGAGAGAACTCATTATTTAAAAATCATAATGTAAATTACTTGCATCTTGTCTTTCCAGCTCAAATTTTCTTGATCATGATATTATGAACAATATTAAAGAGTAGATGGTAGACTATAACATCTCCTAGAAAAACAAAAGGGCATGAACTGATAAAATGTATCTTATAGGCATCTTCAGTAATTACCATTCATTGTTCTCATGTGAATTGTTCATATTTTGTAGCCTCCCAAATCTGATCTGTTAGATTAAATGTGATGAAACGTTTCAGTTGACAACATGTAATATTTTATTTTACTATTGATCTCAATCCATGTGATTAAGAGTAATTTTGTAAGACATATTTCTTTTGTACTAGTAAATCCAACAAAAGTGATAAAGAAATGGCAGGGAGGCGACATCCTGAATATGCATTTGGCACTTCAAAACAAATGGATTGTTAAAAAGTTATTTGAGATTAGTTGAGCATGAGTAGGTATTTATTGCTTTCTTTTTGGCCAGAAACTTGTTAGTGAAATAAGGCTAATGGTAGAAATATTTCCTCTTGTAAAGCATAATCATCTCTTCTTGAGAAGACTGGTTTTAAAATATCCTAGTGCTTTTAGATATTGTACCTTTTTGGTTATGCCAAATATCAGTTCACTTTGGAAAGCCGGTAATATGAAAAATGATGTCACTCATCATTAGTACAGAGGATTAAAGAGAAAACTGGAACAAGAAAGATGTTTCAGAAAGGGAAATCAGTGTCTGAGTCTGTGTTGTACTATGCCATTCCCCACCTAATTAAGTGATTTACTTCCTTTTGAAACTATGAATTTCCACTCCAGAAAACATCTATTTATAAAGAACCCTTTTCTCTGCCTCACTCTCAAATTATTTCTTTTTTTTTCTTTTTAGTTGTCCTTATTTCTATCAGCAAAAAAAATCTATTGATAATCAAATATTAAGACCAAAAAAAAGTTGGCCATATTTACAACTAATCATACTTGTAAAGGGAAACTGATGGAGACTACCTGAAATGAAAAGTATTTAAAATCAGAAAATTTGGGTTTTTTTATGATTTGGAGGATCAGGAAGGAAACTATTGGGGAACTATATGCATGCATTATACAAATGATCTTTGGAACCTATATTTACTATTCCATTCTTAAAGAACATTTATCCTTATAAACATTATTAAATAAATTTAAAAAGCAAGCAGATCCATTTCTTATTTACTTAAGGGTCAAGTTCTTGAAAAGTAAAAGGAAATTAAATTATAATTAATTTTGTCCAGATGAAATAAATGTAAAACAGGTAACATATTTCAGTTGAGGACAATGTGAATTGTCCAATTTTCCATATTTCCTTAATATAAGCAGTAACGGAAAGGTTTTAGAGAAAATAAATACATGAAAAAAATTTGTCATAAATTGCATTTTAAAAGTCACTGGTAATCTCTAGTCAATCTGCAGACAACGGTAGCATCTTTAGCTCTTTTACTTTTCATCATATCCATTAAAGAAATTCTCAAACATGAAGTCTTTGACATATATTTGTTCACCAAATTCTAATGAATATCCCTAGGCACAATAAGTAGTACACTACAAGGAGGAGATGTATTTTACCCAGGAAGAAGGCAAGGTTAGTGAATTTCTTACATTGTATAGTTCTCTGTCCACAGAACCCTCTAATTTCTACAATCTTACTTGACAAACTCTCTACAAACTTGATATCACCAGGAAGGCACCCCCATCCATAATTACAGAAGAAGCAACTTAAGTTGCTTCTAAGTGAACCTAAGAAGTCTTAGTTACTTACCAAATAAGTGCACATTTAAATATGAACCCTGTGTTTTATCCAACTCGCTAGGTAATTGCTCAGAGAACTCATTATCTAAAGACATAGTAGCCACTAAAAACACAAATACACCTAAAAAAGGCATAGATAAAATTCATATGTAACAAACCTCTGATGGGTGTTATTTTGTGTGTAGCTATTTAGTTCCTCCTTTAACATCAAAATAATTTCCTTTACTAGATATTTTTCATGTTCCATAGTAAAAAACCATTTACCATGTTCTGGTAAAAACCATTATATTTGCCACGTGATATCTTCCATCAATTTTAGCAGGAGAGTTCTTTAAACATAAGACACATATAATTCTTTTGGTGAGGAAGTAGAAAATTACACTACTATATATTCTTGGTATATTTATTTGAATTAATCATAGCGTATTAGTAATGAGAACATGAAGCATACCTTAATACCAGTACTGACATCTATCATAACATCTGCATTGTATATAGGGGCTTGTCTGTATGTAAAGATTTAATATAACAATCTTCATGGATTCCCATTTCTATTAGAATTATCAGATTAGGAGGTTGGCTGATTTCCATTTCCAAACATCTCCATGTTAAAAAAAAATATTTGTACATTATGATTACTGCCCTTTGTGGTTGTGAGAGTTTTAAATTCAGAATAATATCACCAAACCCCAGCTAGTCAAAACACTGAAAAATGCACACTGCTGTCTAGGATTAATAATAATAAATTCCATGTAATGAATGTCTTTTACTGAGTGTGAACACTAGTCAATTTATTTCATTTAACCCTCATCTCCCTGAGTAAACTCCTTAAGTAGGTGTCAATATCCCATTTTACAGATGATAAATATAAGACTTAGCAAACTCGTGTAACTTGCCCAAGAATACACAACTAATAAATGTTGAAGTTGGCATTTGACCAGCGTCGGGTAACTCAAAATTCTTGGACAACTAGTTTAAATTATTTTTTAAAATTATGTCAGCAATTATCATAGAAGTTTTTATAAGAAAGAGTTTTATTTACCATACTAAAATATCAGTGTAGCAAACCCAATTACTTCGAATTTCTCTGCAAGTGTCTTTTACACATTTTGAAACTATCCTCTCTTCTTAGAAGATAACCTAGTCTGTCTATATTTTGCTTAAATGACAAATCACAAAAGAACTTCCAAACATTGGGTTCAAAACTGTATATAACAAGAGGCAAGAGATGTCCTGGAGCACATATATCATTCGCAATTTTGGCAGATAGCATTAAACCGCATCTTGTTGTAGTGAATCACACAGATATTAAGGAAGATGATCAGTTGAGAGGGACATGACTTTGCTTTCAAATCACGGTAAACCCATCAAAAGACTGCATGAAGTTCTGTAGCAAGTTACTCTAAGCAGGATAAAGCATGACCGACTTAAAGAACCATCAAACTAAATTTCAAAATTATAATAATCCCAAAGCACACATTTGTTGAAGACAGGGACACAATGTACAGTTTAGCAGAATGAGCAACCAGAGTCTTGCCATTTAATGATTTATTTTTTCAGATTTAGAAAGCATAAAGAAATTAGCAATGGGCTTTTGACTCACTTTGAACTGTAGGGCCAATATTATGGCTGGCAGGTATCCCCATGATAGGGACATGTTAGTGCCATAGCCCCACCCACAGACAGACATACCATACCTGTTCTTTTCCTCCCAGTAGGTATGAGTGGCATCTCCCCTGAACATCCCTGAAGATAAGCTCTAGTTAACTGGTCTGGCCTTAAGCTCCCAGTTGGGGGATGCTGAGGTCTCCCACAGATTGAACTCTGGCCTAGTTTCAAGTAGAAATCCTGGAGTCAACGCTGAACAACAAAGCCACCTGAAAGGGGCAAAGGGAAAGACTGGGACAAATAATC
Source organism: Homo sapiens (assembly GCF_000001405.40). Lineage (NCBI taxonomy): Eukaryota > Metazoa > Chordata > Mammalia > Primates > Hominidae > Homo > Homo sapiens. Next base: position 182,477,464 of record NC_000003.12, read on the forward strand.
TAGGTTCAATTCCTGTTCCTGTCCTTGCTAGTGTGCATTTTTGGAGAAATTACCCAACTCTTTGGAGTATGCGTTTGCTACTCTGTAAAATTACAATTGAATAATAAAAGCATAAATGGTATTGTGAAGCTGATAGAATGCCAAAAGACTTAACATAGTGGGTTCTCAGTAATTTTTCCTTCCTTCTTTCTTCCTCCCTTCCTTCTTTCCTTCCTACATACCTGTCACTATATCTGAGGCTCTCCTCCTATCTGCTGGGTGGTAGGACCCAGAAGCTTTAAAGAAAGCACTTTTCTGTCATTTAAAGCTTGCACTCCTCAACCTCCTCATTTGGCTCCATGTCCACGTTTGCAGTTTACCTTTACTACTTCTAACCGAGGAAGTGAAAACTGGTAACCCTCCTTCTCAGTCTTTTTCTATGGAGCCCTAGGGTCATTGTGAGCAGGCCTGGGGAGGATTTTTTCACTAATGCTGAACTAAATGATGTATTAAATTGGGTGAGGGCTGCCTTCAGGTGAAGATGAAAAGTACCTTGGCTGCCCTAGGAAAGAATGCTTCCCCCAGGATGTTTTCAGCTGCACTTTTCCATTCCACTTTAAATAGCACAGGTGATAAGGACTTTATGTGCATAATCCTCTGAACCAGCCCAGCAGCCCAGTGTCACCTTCTGCTACAGAGAAAGAGAGAAGGGAAGGTTGTGCAAGAAGAGATGCTTTAGCTTTCCTTTCAATTTTTTTTTTCTTCCTCACTCCCCTATTGGAAGGAAAGAAAATACGAGCATAAAGAAGGTACCACTTATTTTACCAAAACTTCAAAAGACACCAAATCCAGGTCTCCAGGTAAGTTTCTGGAGTATTCCAGTTATCTTTGATTATGGTTCCAATTAGGATAAGTTTTGCTAAAATGAGTTAGGTATTTCTCTGTGCCTGCCATGGTCATATAATGGAGACAATCAGTCATTTACTGTACACATCAGTGCAGGACTGAGGGAAGGCTTTTAGAAGATGTGGGACTCCACCTTTTCAAAGGGTCAAAGGGCAGACAATTTCACAATAAAGGGCAGAGAGACTTGGACCTCAAGGTTATGGGAGAAAACCTGCTATCTGATCAGAGTGCAAATTGCTCCAAGGATTGGCTGTCAATCACAGAAGAATAAGTAGACCATTATATTTTACTGTCTGCTCCTTGCATAGACTAAATTAGAGCAGTTTGTGTACTTTTTATCACTTTCTTTGTACTTTATGTTGTTAAAAAAATGAATATGGCATATATCCAGTTTTGCCATCAGAGCTTCAAATACAAAGAATATTGACAGAATATTTTTAATAATTTTTTTAAAAATCTTCCCTGGCTATATAAGAGATAAAGCTGTTTTGTTGAACCATACAAATAGAAATTACAGGAATTAGCCATAAAAATATGGATACTGCCTACTTAAAGCTTACATATTTTTACAAGTAAATGATAGAGCAGGGTTTAAATGCAGGTCTGTCCAAACTCATACCGCATAGAAAATTGTGAAAATTAAATACAACGAACTCTAAAAACTAACTTAGGGCAGTGCCTGGCATGCAATAAGCACCCAATAAAGAACACGCACACGCACATTTCATTTCTGCATTTGTCCACAGGGCCCTACTCACTGTATACTCCGCACTCCATGGACTTTAAATACAGCTACCTAAGTGACACAGTAGCCCAGCAGCTGGTTAAACATCAGCAAGTAGAAATGACAGAATGGACAAAGAGGCTATAGAGAAAGGAAGGAATAGTTTTTAAGGTGTGCTACCTGGAGAAAAAGAAGGCTCTGTGAGGTAGCCTAGATGAGGATGGGGGAAAAGTTCTTTAAAAAAGACAACAGGTAAGGGAAATGGTACTGGCTTAGTGGCAAGTAGGAAGATTATAGGATGCAGTGTGCGACTGAGTTCTGCCAGCCACTAGACCTTACTAACAGCCTGTCTCTGAGTCTCTTTTTCTGCAGATGGAGGTCATAGGTGAAAAAAGGATATGTCGAAACCCTGAGTAGATGTACGACAGAAGTAGAAACAAAGTCTCCTCTTTGTTTGCCCTGGGATGTAGCCATATTTCCTTATGACCATATCCCCTGTCTGGCTTGCAGACTACTGTACAGTTTTTGCATTTTTTCTTCAGAAATGACTCACAAATGCTATATTATTTTACCTTCCCAAATTGCTTTCCATAAACCAAAAAAAGGGGGGCTTGGAGTGATATTATAAACATGGCACATCTGTTTTTAATAAATGAAGAAGTATTATAAAATTTTTACTTTGGGGAAATATCCAGAATTTTTTCCTGAAGAAAAATTGTATCCATCTGGTCCCATGAGAGCTGGTTTTTACATTAAGGAATATTTGTTGGTTGGGTGATTGGAGAGTGGGAGTGGGGAAAAGGGGGAAGTTGTTAGATCCAACACTTATCGTTAAGTGGAGTTAGTTTCTAAAAATGTAGCATCCAGAAACTGGTGAGTAATCCTTCTTCGTAGTGCAATATTATGTCACCAGATCTGCTGAGCTAATGCACAATAAAATTAATCCTCCATTTCTGCAAATGCTGGTGATATGGCAATCACAGATGTGCTGAAATAGAAGTGTTCATGCCAGGCAGAGTTCACGAGCCACAGATCTAGCCAATTGTCAAATTTCCGGCCCACACTTCACTCCAAACCCACGCTATCTGAAGGGAGGAGGAAGTGGCTGAAGATTCACTTATCAGCTTTCCAACCCTATCTCATCTCTTTCTCCAGAGTTGTTATTGCACATTTTTGCCATTATTTTACAATTTCCAGCCAACTTGGCAACATACTATTTATGAAGACAGTATGTGGTAGGGCTCGGGCAGGAGAAGTGAAAGTAGGTAAGGGCAAAGAACTGACATTCATGGGCATGGGCATTAAATGGGGCCTTCTAGATTTAAATTTCCCAAAAACCTTGTGGAGCTGGTGTTACACTTCCAATTTTAGACTGGAAGAAACTGCCCAGTAAGCATACCAAAATCAGTACAACCCCAAGCTCTTTCCATTATACCATGTTGATCCAGTCAGCATGTCTATGCTTACATTCTTCTTCTGAATGATCCCTACTGATTTCCAAAAAGGAAGCACTAGGTGAAAGGAATTTAGGGTCAATCTAGTTTAATAACCCAGCCCAACGAATGGCAAAGTAAAGCAAAAGTTACCCTTAACTCACTGGTCCAGTCCATTGTGGCCGTTCATGACTATACTGCGATATCAATGGGGATCTTCTTTTCAGAATCTGGCCACATGCTCATGGAATCAACACCAAGCCCCTCAAAACTCCAGGAAAGAGATTCTGATTGATTAAGCTTGGATCACAAGCCCACTTCCTGGCTAGAGAAAGACAGAATCCCTTGACCAATATAACACCATATGCCAAGGAGAATTGGGTTGCTGTTACCAAAAAGCCAAAATAAAAGATAGCCACTAGAATGGTACTTTTAGAAACCTGCAGTCACCCCGTCTGTTGTTTGAAATTTGTATTACCTCTCCCTCTCCAACAGGAAAATGGGAAACTAAACCCCATGAGGGCAGAGCCATTGTCTGTTTTGTTCCTCTCTCAAAACCAAACATTAGCACGGAGCCTGGTACGTGTAGGGCATGTAATAGCACATGTCTGCTATATGAATGGACCAGTCAAGATCTACATGTTGCCTGAAAGTCTCATCATGAGAAACTAAATGAATTAACTTTGGTGCCTACTTCAAACCAAGTGACTTGGAGGTCTCCCGTGAAACTTGTTCTTCTTTCAGTTGAATCTCAAAATTTATCATGACTCCTAGCAGGCCTTAGCAACAGTGAGGAAAAAGCTGCCCAGCAGTAGCTTTAGCCCTTCTGCAGAAACAACACTCACCAATTCTGAGTGCTTGGATGGCCAAAATCACCCCAGTCAGATGAGCTTTAGCAGTTCTCCTTTCACTGAAAAATCATTAAACATCCTTTATTTTTTTTTTTTCTTTTTTTTTTTTTTGAGACGGAGTCTTGCTCTGTCGCCCAGGCCAGACTGCGGACTGCAGTGGCGCAATCTCGGCTCACTGCAAGCTCCGCTTCCCGGGTTCACGCCATTCTCCTGCCTCAGCCTCCCCAGTAGCTGGGACTACAGGCGCCCGCCACCGCGCCCGGCTAATTTTTTGTATTTTTAGTAGAGACGGGGTTTCACCTTGTTAGCCAGGATGGTCTCGATCTCCTGACCTCATGATCCACCCGCCTCGGCCTCCCAAAGTGCTGGGATTACAGGCGTGAGCCACCGCGCCCGGCCACATTCTTTATTTTTAAATAAGAAGCTTAGCTACCATCTACAGTGCAATATCTCTGTTTCATGTATTTATGACGATTTTAGCTTGTGTCTGAATGTCATCGAGGAAAACCTCTTTTAATTGGGAGGTTGATACACTTTTTAAAAAGAAATTCAGAAAGCAAGGATTTCCCCCACCTCATTTTTATCAACCCACTACCTCCTGAAAATGTCATTTTTGTGTTTCTTCTTACTGCCTTTCTCTGAAGCTCTTTGAATTCAAGGAGAATGTCTTATTTCCTGTTATATCCGTAGCACCTAGTACAGTGCCTGGCACACAGCTGATGCTCAATAAATAGTTGTACTTAATGAATAAGTACATCAGTATGGTTTTTCTTTAAATCAATGTCCAATATATATAACCAATTGTTGAATGCCAGCTCTATGCCAGTCAGGGCACTGTTAGAAACCTAGAGGGAATGTGCGTTTGATGCTTTTGTTAACCAACATAGTTTTTTGTGTTTTTTCTCAAAGACTCACTGTAAGTAGAATCTACAGTGAGAAAACACTAGTAAGGGAAAAAAAACAGGTTGTCTACTAAAGTCATTTAACTTGCTTAAATGGCCTCTTTGGGGCAGGACCACGTGATGACTTTCATGGGCTCCAGGCATTTTGCCGTCATCCCTTCTTCCAAAAAATAATTAAAAGTTATACTTTACAATTCTACTGGTATAAAGATGAATATAAAGCAAACTGAATTCATCATCATCATATATTCATTATCATTCCATTCATTTTTCTTCTTTGTTTTAAATGTAATTAAAACATTAAAAGTACCGCGGGCCCCATAAACACTGCCTGCTGCACCTAATGGATAAGTCAGCCCTGCCTTGGGGGCCACTTGAACAGTACTATTTCCCAACCAGAGCAAGTTCTCCTCCTCCCTCCTTTTCTGATGGAATAAAGCTTCACTCCAAGGGGCTGATCTAGGCTTTCTAGTTAGAATCCTAACTCAGAAAACCTCTCCTTTTCTTGTCTAATTTAAGAATACTATGCTGAGACCTAAGGGGGAAAAGCCTGCCTGCATTAACCTTCTACCAGTTCCGAATCATGCTGACTCTTATCTTTTCTGTTGCTAAGCTGTGGGACTATTATGCCTCCCCAACACTGCAGAGCCCTCCTCTTGTTTATGTAAAGACTCCAATTAAGCCAGAAATAGAATTTCGCACTGCAGACGTCGTTTAAAAAATGTTAAGACATTCAGGCCTGTGTTCCTGTTCATTATTCTCTGCTGAAACCTAATATTAGTAACAGCATGTACAGAGGACCTGGACCATGAATTAAAAATGAAGTACTTGTACTGGAAAATACGTGAGTACCTAGTTACTTTATTTGGCAGTCACCTGTGAGGACAGGAGTTTGCTCTGTCTTACACAGCACTCTCAGTGATAGTTTTGCAGAATAAAACTAGAAATCAGTTATTTCCAAAGGATTACCTGCAGGGGAAAAGATAATCAAACATTAATCTACCACCTACACTCTTCCCTGCTCCAATGCCATAGACACAGGGTTCCTCAGAAAAGTTCTGGTCCAAACCACTTCTTTTCTGAAACTTTGACTTTCCTAAAGCACTTAGTCCTGTTGATATTTTAACATGAGTAATGTCAATTATTTCTTCATCTAGTTTACCCCACCACGGGGAGTAAAAACCTCCTAAGGACAAAGAAAGACTTGTATCTCTATTCAATCTCTAGAAAATGTGGGAGAACAGTTATGAACAGAGTTCCTAGATTAAATCCAATGTAGACTGAAATTCTATCTCTATGGCTCACCACATAACCGAAGCATGATCGTGAGCAAATCATTTATCTTCTTTGATCCTCAGTTTCTCCTTCTGTAAAATGCAATAATTAACTTCTCGAATTAATGTGAGGATTAGGATAAATGTAGAGTGCTCAGTATAGTGTGGTATGCCGTGAGCACTACATAAATGGTAGCTGCTATTATCATTATCGTTGTTATCATATCTCATTACTTTCTTTGTATCCCTATCCTGTAGCATGGTAATTAGTACATACTAATGTTTGTTGTGTAAGTCACGGAATAGAGTTCATGCAATTATTTGATCCAAGAAGAAGGACAATTTGTTTTGTTTGTTTGCCTTGGTTTTTCTTTGTTGTTGTTGTTGTTTGTTTGTTTGTTTGTTTGCCTTGGTTTTTAACAAGATTGGTTTTCACCTGAGTTTTCTCCTTCTTTAGTGCATCATCCCTGCTTCCTGAAAGCATTGTTAAATACCTGATAACAATTTATCAAGGATATTTTTCATTTCTGATGGATTTTACTATATTGAAACAAATTCCCAGCCAGAAACTATCATAGCTCCTCCTGTAGCAATCAAGAGAAATGTAAATCTGAACATGAAAATAGGTTTGTGTACAGAGGTGTCAAGCTTTTGGTTCTGTATATGTTACTGCAACTTTAAGGATTATTTGGTTTATTTCTTGCAAGGCAACTCACTCACCTGTCCCCAAAGACCAGGTTTTTTGTTGCTTCCTGCACATGTAAAAAAAAAAAAAATGCCTTTCTACATCTGCAGAAAACAAGTAGTTGTTGTCATCACTATACTTGCCCTGTGAAACCTTAGCAAGGGGGTAGAGTTACACATTCCGCTCCTTTTAAGAGGAGCAGAGTATTTCAGCTCCATCGATGGGGAGTTGCATCCAGTGGCTCTAATAACCTTGGCTTTTAAGTTTTGTGGATTTAGACATCAAATTATGTTTTAAAATATAACAAAATCCAAAATAGTTTTCAAAACCAAAAAAAAAAAGATGAAACAAAAATCAAGGAGTTAGAATGATCTCTGATGAAAACCAATTCATAGAGAAAGGTCTAGTTTCTGTTTTTGTTTTCTTTTAAGCTATTACATAACTGATTGTAGTATGTGGTACAGGAAATAATTTTGCCCATGCACCTGCACAGAAAAACCCAAATCAACGAGTTTGCTTCAGCCATCAATCTGTGGGACCAAAAGCTAAGCCTGAAAGCAAAGGTGAAATAAAATACGAAAATTGCACAGCAGCCGCAGAGGAGTCAGCTATCCAGAGGCCCTGCTGAAACCCCATCTTTAGGGTAGAGTTTCAGACACATTTTGATGTTTTGGTCACCTGACCCAAGCTCTGGAGCCCAATTGGCCTCCAAATTTACAGGCTAAGTAATGATGTAACTAGAGTGTGTGGGAACCAGGAGGATGAGACAGATACAATTTTTCCCAGTCGTTTATTAGACTTGGCTACTAATTCTGCTTGTTCTTCAGTTTGACTACTGGTTATCAGGAAATTTGAACTACTTAAAGAACATAATCAGTTTATCTATAACCAGGGCAGAATTTAGTCACATTCATGTAAAATTAAACTACAGTAACAGAAAATAGTAATTTGTGAAATTCAACTATTTATATTTGAATTTGATAGCAGATATATTTTAATGTATCTATATTTTGTTTTTCTGTACTCTTTTTTCACTAAACATTATTTACAATATCACTTATAATATCATTCTTATGTTGTCTAAGAAAGAAATCCATCAAAATAAATGTGTTGGTTTATCCACGATTTTTCTAATCCTTTTCTTAATCTTACAGCATTTTTGTCTAAACAGAATAAATGTTTATACTCAAGTAATTTGTCACTATGGTAACTTTTGGCCTTTAAAATGCTGACACTATATCAGAGACAACCAAGAGAAGAAATTATCCTTGTTCGACAAGTAAGCAGAACCAGTTTGGCAAACTTCAGGATGCCTAGGGATGAAAGGCGTTTGTTGTTCTAGAAATACTACTTCATGTCAGGAAAATGAGAGCATATCCTGGTTTCATGACAAAAACAGGAGCTGTAATGCTGATAGCAAAACTTAAAGATTGAAGACTTTTTTCATCTAAATTTCCTATAACACTTCCCTCCCCACTCCCAAGAAATCATGTAAGTAATTTCTAATACTCACACAATATTATCTTTCTAATGTGTAGGCATGAGTTTGTAATAACTTTTCTGACTTGTAATCCTAAATCCCTTGAAGATAGTCTTACAGTTGTACCTCACAAGACTTTGTCCAACAGAAAATGTAATATGTCTCCAAATGGAATGGTATGGCTATTTATAATGAACTCCCTGTATATTTTTTAAATTAAAGGATGTTATATTTTGCTGTCATTCATACGCATAGGAAGTATTTCCCATTCTCAAAATATTTAATCTAGTTAGCAAATATCTTTAGGAAAGAAATCTCTAAAAATCCTTCTTTATCACTCCCCTTGTTTAAGTGTGTATCATGCCAAACACACACACAGTAGATATGGTGTCTGATATCTTCTGAAACCTGTTGGGGACTATATGAAACATTAATGGGGATTAGTGTTAGAACTGGTGTAAACATAGCAAACAATCTGCTGAAAGTGCATACTCACATTTCCATATGTTATGCAGTAAGCGGAGTCATTTAAGAAGCGAGGTACTCAGGGAGATGGTGTTCAGGTAGTGAGTATTTGGCTGGTGAAAAGTAAACACACCCTGGATGTATTTACTCCATAGCACCAGCATATACATATCTACCCGACTCCAGTCCTTAAGCTTCTCCTCAAGAGACAAGTCAAGATTGAGATACGCAATTTCACTACACAAAGCTTCTAAAACATAGATAAAAATGATTTAGTACTTCCAGGTGCACTGTAATTCTTGGCAGAAAAAGTTAATTCCAGGTGTGTAATCTCCTAAAGAAATCTGTTGTCAAAGCTGGATAAAACCATCACATTCGAAAAATAAAAGTTCACCTATGAACAAAGTATAAGGTATGGCTAGGAAAACTCTCTGCTCTATGTAGAAATTAAAGCATAAAAGTGAAACTCCCTTTTACTTATGTAAACATTGCTGGGCTTTGGGCATCATTTCAAAAGAGGTAGAGCCGAACATGCGTGAGCATATAGAAATATGACATACTCTCGGTGGGAGGTTTGGGGTGGGGTTCTAGTGCCAAGCCAGACTCTAACACACAGACAAAGGAAGAAACAAGCTGCATTTTATAGCTTACAGATTTTTTTTTCTTTATTTTTTCAAGCCTCTGAGCCAACCAAATAACTCAATCAACAACAACAAAACCGAGATGGGCCACAAAGTGGAAAATGTTATAACAGCTTAAGTAACAAGGAGGTGGGGTGGGGGGGCCCTGGCAGGGATAGGAATGCTGGTGGAGGGTGCGGGGAGGAGAAACCCCATATTATAGAATATTTAAGCCTTGCAATTCAATGCACATTTATTAATTGGTTTCTTTTTAAGAGACACTTATTTATGACAGGTTTATGAACAATATAGCATGTGCAGCACTGACGTTCTCCCATGGCTTATTTTTATTTCCATATGTTTAGACAAAATGAACATCACATTTAATACTAGTACTAGCAGCTCTTGAAGTGTTTGCCAGTGCTACATCCCTTGGGAGTTGTTACCACTAGATTAATATCCTGTGGGTCACTTAATTTAAAAAACCACATTATAGAGGCTTTATGTGATTAGATGTACTGCTTTTACAAGCCAGTTGGGGTGTGTCCTTGGCATCTGGTTCAGAAAGGCTGGTGAGCGTAACTTATATAGACCTCCAACCTGGAGTGTCTGAGCAGCCAATGATTGTACTGACATATGGACGAGCAGAGAAAAATGTGTCCTCTGTCTACCATCAGAAACTGCCTTGAAGACAGGATCTAAAAGGAACAACTTGCTTAGTCAGAAACCGGCCTAAACAGATGGTAGAAATTGGCTGCTTCAGAGAGTGAAGGGTAGTGCTATCATACCCTGAATCAGGCCTGTTTGTCACAAAATGCTCATAGTAAATAAACAGCCATGCTATTTCCACACTATGCTATCAAAACCAAGTTCTACCAATCAGAGAGTATTTTACTTGAGAATTTAAAATATGCTCTTTATTTTCTCTGTTAAACATTCTCAGGTCTCGGTATTTGGAAGACCACCCAAAAACAACAGGAAGCATGCTTTTTGAGTGAACAAGAGGAATTTGCCACTGGCTTCAAGGACACTTGGAATAAGATGACCAGTATTTCCTGCGGGAGTTTCAAATGGCATCAGGTGCAGTGGCTCCAGGCAACCTGGAAGCATTCATCATCATTTATGGTCTACTCTTGATTCTGTGAGGAGATGATTCACTTAGGCTTCCTACAGGCCAGGCCCAAAGAGGTGGCAGGCTACCATGAGGACAACAAAGCCTAAAAGTCATCCAGGTGGGACATTGTGAACTACAGAACCTATGTATGAGGTAGATTGCAAGTATCTCCGGTCACATTCACAAGCCAATAAAAACAATGCTGTCCTCCATGAGAACAAATCTAATTAGAACAAATCCCAGTCCTTTACAAATACTGTAGACTGAAATGCTTGTTTTAAAGATAAAGACATTTGGCCAGGAGCGGTGGCTAATGCCTGTAATCCCAGCACTTTGGAAGGCTGAGGCAGGCAGATTACCTGAGGCCAGGAGTTCGAGACCAGCCTGGCCAACATGGAGGAACCCTGTCTCTACTAAAAGCACAAAAATTAGCCAGTCGTGGTGGCACGCGCCTGTAATCCCAGCTACTCAAGAGGCTGACGCAGGAGAATAGCTTGAAACCAGGAGGCAGAGGTTGCAGGGAGCTGAGATCTCGCCATTGCACTCCAGCCTGGGTGACAGAGTGAGACTCTGCCTCAAAATAAACAAATAAAAATACAAAAATTAGCCAGGCATGCTGGCATGCACCTGTAGTCCCAGCTACTCCAGAAGTTGAGGCATGAGAATCGCTTGAACCCGGGAGGCGGAGGTTGGAGTGAGCCGAGATTACGCCATTGCACTCCAGCCTGAGCTACAGAGTAAGACTCCATCTCAAAAATAAATAAATAAAAATAAAGACATTTGTTCAGCCCTTCAAACTGTCAATGAGTATGTTCTTGGAAAGGTTCCTTGTCATCAAATATAAATTGCAATGATCAAAGGCGAACTACGTATCAATATGTAATGAAAAATAATTTACTAGGAGTCTACATTGGAGGAGATGAACTCTACAGCAGAAATGGTGCACCTCTGGGTTTGCCAAAGCAGAAAAATTCTTGACAGCCTTTCCAAAAGTACAACCAAGTTCTTGTGCCCCAGAGTGGGGTGAGATCTTAGAGAAGAGAGGCATCTATAGGGATTATTTTTGAAGTCTTGTTCACAGGTTTAAGCAGTTACAATCACAAGTCTCTCTGCTCAACCACGACCATCTAGGTTTGCCCATTACTTTATTTTTTAATCTGACACAAAAGGAAAGACGCAGAGGTGAGAAAGGGAGGGGTAGAAAGGTGAATTATACTCTCTGTATCCTGTTCTACCACTTGCCACATTTCTAAATTACCAAGATTCCCAGGCACAAGAGTATGTGTGAATATTTTGTTCTGTTTTTTTACTCAGTACTAATAATACACAAGAGCTGAATAGTTACTGAAACTATTTCCAGTTTCTTGCATTTGATAATAGATGGAGACCCGATTCGAACTGACCTAGACACTTAAATACTATCCCAGACAGAGCCATCCCCAAGTAGGTCACAGAGCTTCTCTGTGTCTGTTTCTTTATTTGCAAAATCATACTGTATCACCTGTCAAATTCACAGATTGTTAAGAATTAAGTAAGTTCATGGCTATGAAACACCTTTAAAACTATGAAGCACTAAAACAAATTCAGTGGATAGTGGCAATTATGAAGAGGATGATGATGGAAATGAGAGAGACTACAAATGAAAATTCTGTATATTTATGAAATTATGGCTTAGTATTTGTCATTTGAGAATTTCAATGTTTTTGGACATATAGGACTGGGATCATAAAAATTCATGAGCATATTGGTGATCCTCAAATAAAATCTGTTTTAAATACATAATGTACACTTTCCAAAAGAAAATTCGTGATGTGCATATTTATATATTTACTAGCACTATCAAAAGGTACCAAAGATGTTAACACTAAGTGCTAAGCATTTTGCATACTTCTGGAAGCTGTTCTTCCCTGCTTTGCCCACATAAGTCACCTCCCTTGAATGATACTTGGGAAGGCCTGGTCACAATCATCTTTAGACATTTGATCTGACTGAGATAATGTCCCATGAAGGTGCTGTGATTTCGGTCAAAGGTGAAATAAACATTTTTCTCAGTATTATTGTCCAAGAGATTTTACTTTTGACACTCTGGGTCTGCCTCAAGTGGCTGCTAGGTGATAGAGGATGAAAAAGAGAAGGAATGAGTAAAACCTGAAGTGAGAACCAGAAGTTTTCCCTAAAAGAAGCTAAGTTTTTTAGGGTGAAGATAAAGATTTAATTTTGCAATATTAATTTCTACTGCCAGTGTAAAACTTTATCTTTCTAGGTATCTGTACACGTCTCTGCCCAAAGTACCCTCCTGCTACTAAGGCAAAGGAAAAACATATTGATTTTTCTGCAAATTCCCATACCTTTCTTTCAAGTTGACTGCTTGGAAATCTATTCAAATTGGAGACTGTATCCTGTTTAGGTAGCTGAAGTTGACAGCAGAGCTTTAATTAATAAGGCGTGCAAGGACAAAGGCACTAGGCCCAAATCAGATACAAGCGACATCTTCTTGTGGCTGCTCTGAGAAGCACAGCAATTATTTATACTCTACCTTGGTGCTCAGGCAGAAGAAATAAGGCTAGAGCATGAAGAGCAATGCTATCTGCCAATATATGAGAATTATAGCATTCTGGATGAACAGAGTTATATTATCCCTGCTTTCAGATAAGTAAACCAAGAATCAGAGTGCGTGGATTACTCTGCAAATGGAGGTAGAAAGCCTGTGCCCTATTTTCTTGTCCATCTTCAATATCCTGTGCTGGGATTTCAACAACACTTGAAATCCTCTTGCTTTCCTCCTTTTGCCCATTATATTCCTTATCTACAGTGGGCATTTTCAGTGCTGCCAACAGTGCCTATGAATCTACGTTCTAAATGTCAGGACCTGCCAAGATTTGTTAATTATCCTAACTCCCTCTGCTGGCGGATTTAACTACAACCCAGATTCAAAACTCAATGGAACACAGTAACTGTTTAAAATGTTTTTCAAGTTAATTCACATCATAAAAGAGTAGGTCCGAAGAAGGAAGAAAACTACAAGGTGAATTTTAGTTGAGAACGTAACTCACTATAATATAAATAAACTGGAGGTTTAATAGTATTTTTTAAACCAGCATCTGGGATAAGATTTGTGAAATATGAAGTAGATAATGTTGGTATAATTTTTCCCCATTCTCTTTTTGTTCCCACACTCCTTTTCATTTTTGTGGCTTGTGATATTTCCCTTTGTCTCTAAGCTCTAGACTTCTACTTAATAAGTACCAATAAAGATTGTATGTTATCCTTAAACAGTGGTAGCATTCCCCACCTGCTAATTGCTTTATTTGTACTTACTGTTTCCGCCCTCTCATCAACAGGGGCTTTAGTATAAAGGGCAATGAAGTAGAACGTGATGAGGCGAACAGGAGCCAGCCGAGTGAATGCTTCTATAATTACACAGTAGCCTGGAGTAGCTCTTCTCAAATCAAATTATGAGCCTGGATTACCTAAAACTCTCAGGACACAGCCCGGGTTTTCATTTGTCTGTAGGTTACTGTCGACAAGCAGCCTTCTTTCCCCTTGCCATTATTCTTCACAGAGATTATCAAAGCTCCCATTCCACTGCAATATTCCCAGAGCAATGAGATGCCATGGAGAAGGCCATTTTCTTAAATGGCTTGCCTGACCCCATGTGCTTTACCACTTATTTTTTTTTAATTTAAAAAAAAACTTTTTTTCATGTTTATAACCACCTCTGTCATTTGCATATCAAAGTTGATTCCCAGCTGAGCTTATTCATGATTCTTTGGCAAATATTTATGCTTTGTCAATGTCCCAACCACCCATAAGGCAACAGGAACAAAAGTCAATAGGCCTCAGCAATGTTTGGATCCTTGTTTGAACACCTGACTATACCCTCGGAACTGTACACTGCACTGGAAATAGCATAGTAATAGGAGGACCAGACTCGAGGTCAGGCCATCTGGAATAGGGGCACAGATCTGATGATGGCTAGCTGTGTGGCCCTGTGACACCCGTTCACTTCTCATTTTCTCCATCTGAAAGCCAAGGCAATTGAACTAGATAATCTCCAAGGTCCCTTCCAGTTCTGTGGTTTCATAGACTCAGCACAGTGCTGCATGGATCATGTGCACAGGAGACTCAGTACATATTTGATTGCAGCAGCTAAGCAAAGCAAAACAGCAATCCATTTCTCAAGTGGTTTAAATGTTTATTAAATCAAGATTTGATGTGTCCAAGATCTGATCAAAAAGTGAACAAAAAATGGTGAGCTTTGGTTGGTTAATGACTCCTAGAGAGAAAATCCAGGCTCAAGTCTTAGCTGTGTGCAGTGTTGGGGTCGGTCTACTAAAGCTTCTAAGAGGGAAGGGTTAGATGATCTCTAAAGTTGTTTCCAACATTGAAATTACAGCTCAAAAAGATAAAATTCAAGTCACCAATTCCTGTACGTAATAGTCAGTGCACTTTATCTTCTTGAGAAAAAAATGGATAATTTTATGAATAATTCTTTTAAAAATCCTCCATTCTGTAACACTCTATAATAAAGATTTTTCGTTTGGTTTAAAATAAGTATTTAAAACGGGCATAGTGATAGGGAAGACAGGTAAGATTATAATCATTACAAAGTTGAGAATTTTTCATATATGGTCATAGTAACGTAGTCTGATATCACACGCCAATTTGTTAAGGTGACGCTTAGATGTCACCAGAAAGGTAATGAGACTTTTGTTTTCATGGGTAGTATCTTAATTTAGAAAGTTATACTAAACAGAACTTAAAATACTAGTTGTATTTCTATTTAAAAAAAAAAAAAGCCATGTTTCCCATACTTAAAAAAAAAACTACTCATCAGCAAAAATGTTACAAAATAAACTGAGTTTTAAATTGTTTCCACTTGAGAACTAAAGGACTTTGTTAATGATGAAAATTTAATTTAGTTTTACATATTATTGTTCCTAATTGAAAAATTACAAGCATAAGTGCTAGCACTTTCTAAGTACTTCTGTATTTACTTAAAATAAAAGCTATATCCACAGGACTAACCCACCCAACAAGTATGATATCAATAAAACCACACTCTTTTTTTTTTTTTTTTTTTTTTTTAGTGAGCCAGAGTCTTGCTCTCTCACCCAGGCTGACAGCAGTGGTGCAATCTCTGCTCACTGCACTCTCTACCTCCCAGGTTCAAGCGATTCTTATGCCTCAACCTCCCCAGTAGCCGGGATTACAAGTGTGTGCCACCACTCCTGGCTAATTTTTTTTTTTTTTTTTTTGTATTTTTAGTAGAAATGGGGTTTCACCACATTGGCCAGGCTGGTCTCAAACGTCTGACCTCAAATGATCCACCTGCCTCGGCCTCCCAAAGTTCTGGGGTTACAGGTGTGAGCCGCCACACCGAGCCTAGAACCACTCTTAACACTTGAAATGGCAATGGCCCTAACACACACGTGGTACTTGTTGTGAAAAATTATCATCCTTTGTAAAGATAACGGTGAGGATAAAACTAAGATGGATGGGCAAATGAACATCATTTGGGAATGCTAAATTAGATAAGTGGATACAAAAGAATTCTTAACTTCCAAGTGCACACCTTACACACAGATAACAGGAATTTAAATTCTGATCGTTCAAGTCAAACCTGAAGTCCTTCTTCCAAAATTTTCCTGAAACATTTGCAAAACTTTTAAACCTACTTTGCAAACTGGAAAATTTACAAAAACAATGAGATTAGTTCATTCGGGTTTCATCTTAACCAATATTTTTCTCCTTTACTTATGGTTGAAGCAGGCAGAGAAAATAAATTTTACCAATAATTATATAATAGTTGTTGCTTTCCAATTATAATATCCTCTCCTTTTATCTTATTTACTTCCCATTAACAACACTGTATCTGACTTGGTCTCATAAACTGCTATGCATACACACACACACAAACACAAATTTTGTATGTATGTGTATATATGTACTTAAAATATGTATTTTATATATATAAAATTATATGTAATATGTACTTAACATACTGTGCACACATGCACACAGACAGCATGCAAGAGGAAGTATTGCTTGGTTTTCAGGTTATTCCGTTTTTAAAAAACAATGCATTGCTTTTTATACCTCCATTTCTAACCACCAACTTACTCTCAAAACTTTCCCCTATGTACGCCTGTAAAACATTCTTGTATGACATAATGGTTATGCATCCAGTATCTGAAGCCAGACTATCTGGGTTGCAATCCTGGTTTACTTTCCTTTATCTGGATAACCTTAGGAAGTTGCTTGACTTCACTGTGCCTCAGTTTCCTCATCTACAAAATGGAGATCATATGGCATCTACTTTGTAGGATTGCTGTGAGGATTAAATAAGTTCATATGCACAAAGTTTAGAATAGTACCTACCATATAAGAAGCAGTGAACAATTAGATATTACTATTATCGTTGCCATTGGCTTAGTTAATACTATGTGTCTACAACTAAACTACTTTGTTAAAGATTTTCCAAGTACATCAATCTTTCCCTTTACTTCCACCATTCTTCACTAACATAGCAGAAGAGTTTCACTACTGTTATTTTCCACAAATACTTCTGCCAAAGAAAGTTCTCAGCATGGTTATAGAGAAGCACTGTCCAACAGAGCTTTCTTTGATGGAGGAAATATTCTATATCTACATTGTTCAATACTAGTCACCAGCCACGTGCAGTTAATGAGCACCTGAAGTTTGACTAAGGAATTGAATATTTTATTAAATTTAATTTTAATTTTAATAAAAAGGGCTATAATGGCTAATAATTATCATATTGAACAGCACTGTTATGGAGGATTTCGCAGTCACACCAAGACTTGAATATGTGGTTTTACCCCTTACCAACTCTGTGACATCTCATTTTCCAGATCCTCAGTTTCTTAATATGTAAAATAGAAAGAATAATACCTCTCACCTAGGAAAAATGCAATCATTATAAAGATCCTAGTTTAGCGCAATTTCTATTAGTTTTCCTATCTCCCTACCCTCCGTTAAATTGGTATTATTTGGGCAGAATGGCTCTTAGAATGGCCAGACACACAGCAGAAAGAACCTTTTAGCTCTTTTTAGATTTCAAAATTAAAAGCACTACCCCCTCAAGGTTTCCACTTGCTCCACTGTAACTTTCAGTCTTGAGTGGAAATATGATGTTGCTTTTTGTCAGAGACCCCTGAAAATGTCTGAGTGTCTCTCAAACAGCAAGAAACTAAGAGAATCCTCAGGACACTCTCACACTCCTAGAGCTGCATGTGAGGTCCCCAGCAGCCATGGTCATGGAGAGCTCATATGTACAAGCTCCCCCAGATGGTGCGCTACGATCCAGCAGCTTCTTGTTGCTTGCTCATCAAAAAGCAATCATTGAGAGCCTCTGTTCCAATCACCTTGTGATCTGGCATCAATATCTTCATTATATGGAACCAATCTCAAATAGTTGGGGACTTCCAGGAGATCTTCTTTACACTGAAAACCCCTCGCAATTACGTTTTTTAAAGGTGGTAGAAGAAATGTTCATGTATCATGGAAAGAGAAGTGCAGTCTCTTCCAAAGTCTTCAAGGACATGGTCATAGGGGTCGCGAGACACAACCTCAGGACAAATGTGAGCAGTAAATCATAGTCCCAGGTCTACGGTGAAAAACTTGAGGAGTACAGATGGACACATCAGCACCCCTAAAATTGGAACTTGATTTCAGAAGGGCAGGATGGGGGTCTAAGATACTTTACCAGCAGCCTCAGTACTTTTCTGGAGTTTTATCCTCTCTGGTGAGAAAAACTTCTTTTTGATGCTTCAAAAATTTTAGCCAACTTGGCTTCTTACCATATCCTGAGCATAAAGACTTTCTGGATATGCACAACGATATCCAAATGATATGTCATGATTGTACCAAAAACAGGAAGAACCACACATCCACCCAACCATTATAACCTGTATGCCCAGTGAATTGGTGGTTGGGGGACTGCATGGGTGAGAAATATTGATTTCGCCCAACTCTGAGATAATCTATCCCTAAAAGAAAAAACATGTCCAAATTATGTGAGACAGCATGGTGCTGTGGCAAAGCAGTGGCTTGTTGTCATAAGACCCACTCCTTATCACTCAGTGACTTTATGTGGGATTTGGGTCCAGTTACTTGACTTTTTAAGCCTCCGAGTCTGTAATCTGTGGATAATACTACTTTATTTTGAGGATGATAAGGATTAATTAGGCAACGTTGGAGTGCTTAGCACAGTGACTACTATGGGTTGATAGTCAACAAAGATTTGATTTCTTCACTCCTTAGATATTTTGAAATGATGTTATGATCATTCGGTTTAGTTTCCACAGCTAGCCCAGTCTGTCCAAAAGGATTCACTTTACCTTTTATCCAGATTTCAAAAATGGGTTAATTATATATTAAGCTGGGATATCAACGTCAGCAAACTTTGATTAAGATTTGGAATTTAGTAGTCCTAAGCAGGTAATAAGGATTTTGTTTTTTCCTGATGCATGTTAGAGGAGTGAAACATCCAAAATACAGGCTTTGGGCACCATTTGCCTGGATTAATACAATTTCTTCACTGAATTCCAGCCTCTTGTTGTTACTGAAGAGATCATCTCACTATGGGTTTTCATTACATCAACCCTATTCTCCTCTAGGGCCTTCTTAAATGGGCTACAACTAAGGAACAAGACCCTTTGGAGCAGCTTTGAAGGCCTCTTCGGGGTCAGGATGACATCCAAGGAAGGCCTCACTTCCTGTGTCTCCTTCTGTGTCCCTTAGCAGGCTCCTCTCATGCCTACTTGACCAACATCTTATTCTCCACAAAACAAACCTCTGAATTTGCCTCAATTTTTAGGTACCGTGGGAAGCATTGAAAAAATGATTTTTCAGGCCCATTCCAACTCTGCACTTTTGTGATTTTAAAGTTATCCAAGTGTCTCAACCATCACTTGTTCACTCTCCCATCATAGCTATTTTATTCTTTTCAACAAGTACCAAAGTGGGAACACACAACCTCCTTTCATTCCCATCCTATTGCCTCCACAAGGCTTTATGCAGAGTGGAAAGTAAACTTCTTTAGTTTCTCAACTTAAAACTGTAATTAATAAAAAAAAAAAAATTCTTCCTGATTTTTAGCTATTTAACTTGGAGAACACCCAAACCCAGTGCTGAGCATGTAATTACCACAGCATAACTACCTGTTAATTGATTGACAATGTTAATATTATCATTCTTTTCATTTCACATACTTGTTCAGTGTTTTACCTGTTGTCTATTTATCCTCCGTGCCTACCTCCATTGTTGTTTTCTCTTAAACTACAAACTGCAAAGCATAGAAGCCATGTTTCTTTGACTCAGTGTGGATAATAGGCTGTAGAGAGATGCTTAAACAGGCTTTTCAATCGATTGATTAATACAATGATTGATGGATGGATAGAGGAAAGGGTGAATGCATTACAGCATTCTCCATTTGCTATTCCAACAGGATAAATTTACCAAAAGGGTCTCGCTCTGCCTCTGCCCCCTGAACAAAGCGCCAGAGGTAGGTGAGTGAGAGGGGTCAAGGAACAGCCATCCCTACTGCACACAACACAGGAGGATGTCTTGCAGAGGATACGGCTTCTTCTTTGGCTAATTGCTACAAAACATCTTTTGAAGCAAAGTGGTTATTTTCTACTATTTCTTGGTCATTTTTCCCAGGGTAACTTGAAGTTTTTAAATTTAAAAAGGAAAGAAAAAATCCAATGAACCCTACATTTTTTTAACCCTACACTTCCTAACTTTGAGTCACGTTAAGTGCAACTGATTCCCCTGCTATTGATAACGTATTTATTCATTTCCTAGAGTAGTACACATTCCATCCACAGACTGTGTAGGTTTCATAGGTTTTTATATAGGTTTCATAAACCTATAAAAAAGGAAAAAAGAGATAAGTAAAATATTTAATTATTTAAATTGCCAGATTTAATTTATAATGCACTTTAATTGCAAGTTCAAATTAAGGACCTTGGGACTCAAAATTTTGTTTGTTTGTTTGTTTTTGTTTTTTGTTTTTCTCTTTTGACCAAATTGAGGAGCAGGCAGGACTAGCCACACAGGAGCAGAAGACAGATAGATCTCAGGGTTTTCATGCATTCTGGCTAGAAGTATAAAACCATGTATCTGCTCATGTGTGCTACTTCCAATGCAAGAGAATGAGTTCCTTCTGGAGATACGTCCCTGCGGGCATTCCAAGGGCACTAACTAAAAGTCCATTACTCTCTCTGCCACTCAAGAAAATGCAAACTAGGAAACAGTCAAATGTATTTTTTAATTGTTCATTCATTCATTTATTCCACAAATATATATTATCTACAATGTGCCAGGTATGGTGCTAGGTACTGCCGATACACAGGTGAAAAGATATACAAACTCCCTGCTGTCATGAAGCTTACAGTCACATTGTTTGGTCCTTTGTTTGCTAATAGTTAATTAATTGGACACAGCATACCTTGGTTATTCTCATTTCTTCTCTTTGGCTCCTTGGCACTGGTCTGGAGACTGTAGAAAGAAGAGAAAGAAGCAGGATCTAAGCTAATGGAGGGATATGACTCAATCCTCTACAAACTCTCAAAGTTCACCGGGTAGGGAGGAACTGGCCAGGATGGAGCCTGTGTCCTTCCCTTTAGCACTGGGGCCATCACAGTAATGTGGCTCTGTAGTCACTCTAGAAATCGTCATTAACCATTCATGGTCAATGGAGACTCATGGCTCTTAGTAGAGGCTGCCATAATATGCTATTGTAGAAGAATATTTCATGACAAGTTATGGTCGGATTGTTAACTTTATAAAGCAATTTACAAAGCATTATCTGCAGTATGATACAATTTCGGTTAAAAGCAAAAACGTATGTATGCACAAAAAAAGATAGCCAGAATATATGACAACATGTTGGCAATGGATATAGTTCTGTTTAGGATTGTGGGTGCTGTGTGTGCATGTGTGAATACATGTGAACATGTATGCATATGCTTTTCAATGTTTTCTAAATTTCCTACAAAGAAAATGTACTAAATCATTTAATGATGGGGAGAAAAATTGTATCCCTCTCCCCAGAAATCTACATCAAATATTACTGCAACAGAAGGTGGGCTCCAATGAAAGAGGAGCCAGACGCCTATCTAGGCAGCCTCTTCCTCCTCTGTGGTCTAGGAGATGATATTGCTTGACCTGTCCACACTTGGAAGTAAAGCTCTGAAGCTTTTCTTGTCAAATTTTACTCGGACCTATTAGCCCAGAGCAAAGTAGTAACCACAATTTTTCAAACTCTGCTATTAAGTGCAGTTATGGGTGGTATTTCATCACCTACGAATAGTTGGCAATTTTTACAATAACACATTCTACCAAAATAAATTACACATGTATCAAAAATGTCATTAACAGAAACTTATCACAATGATATCAAACATACGACCTTTCAGCAAGTAAGATATATATGTGTGTGCATATATATATATGCATATATATATATATAGTGTATATATATAGTATTTCTAAATCCGCCACGGTATTATCCCAACCTGAGACATATACATTAAAAAGAAAGAATGTGCTAAAACAAAAACAATGGTATAGCATACTTTCTTCCATTTCAGTTTGTTTCTTCCAAACTGAATCCCCACTCCCTTTGCTTGGAGGAAGTACAAGGCCATTCTCCAGTGAGGGGAAAGTAAATGATTGTGTAAACTCAGACAGAATCAGCCTGTCACAAATTGGCAAATACAATTAATGGTTAGTTATCTACAAAGACTTCAGTCCTGTCACTTTTCAATTTTCTGGTCAGCATTCCAAAAAGGAACCAACTCTAATTAGTAAAATAATTCTTCAGGTCTTTATAGAGCCGATTCTCTATAAAGCTCTGTGAAAAGCTTGTTTTTGTTTTGTCGTTTTGTTTTAAAAGTTATTATAATTCCCTTACTCCAATATGAGAGATAAGAGCACTTACATACTTAACCTACCTTCTAACTAGAAAAAATATTTTCAAAGATTACTATTATTTTTTTAAGCACGCCTCTAGGCGCACCGAGTTTCTGCTGTCATTAGGTAATCTGTGCTGAATGGTAAAAAAAGCATGTAAACCTCACAGATGAAAAGTTGTATTTGAAAGCTAATATGAGATTTGCTTCACCCATGTGAATCATCTCGGGATAATAAAAGAATCTGATTGAGAAGATGATATGTATAGCTAGCACATAGTCAAAATTACAGATGTACATGTAAACGGTTAAAATTAATTACTGGCTCCATTTAGAAAAAGAATCTCCTCTGGACAAAAGAGGGTTTGAGTACATCTCCCTGTTCCTCACTCCTCTACCTTTGAGCTTTTGGGGGGCCAGAAATGCTAACCTTAATTAATGGAAGACCTACTAGACCCCAGGCAAGGGTTTGGGTCCCAGGCCCAGGTCTCCTCCTGCGCCTCTCCCGGGAGTAACGAGCAAGCGGGCTTCATTACTGGCAGCTGAGGGGAAGGGTCACTGGGAATGGATTTGCAGGGCCCTCATTGAGCGATCACTCCATGCTGAGAGGAGCTGGCCGTACTCTCGGACACCTGGTCATTAACATTGCTAATTAGCAGCCATTAATCAGGGCGCTCGCTTTTTTTTGTTGTTGTTGCATGTCACCGGCTCAGAGGAACCAAGTGAATAAGAAGATTGTTTCATTACCTCCACAAGAGGTAGAATGAAAGCAGTTCCCATCAGCTCAAGATGAGATGGATTAAGGGAAAGGTTAGACAACAGTTTGAGATGAGCTGGGGAGGGGGTGGACGGAGGGGGCCGGGAGACCTGAGCTGTCTGCCCAGGGAAAATCAGTCACCTATAATTAATGAAATCTTCTGCAACCTAATTCTAATCACCGTGTGAGCGGCTCTTCAACGACCAAATTTTTGTATTTTAAGAGCTTTATTTTTTTTCTGTTAGTACAGGGAATTATCTTTAAGTTATTTTAATTCTGTTTGATACTCAGTAGGTTTTAAGTTTGGTCTTTTCAGCCTTCTCATTCTAAATTCATCTTCTCCTTCCCAAAGATTATGAAGTCATTTAAAATTTTAAGTAGTTATAATTAAAACACTTTTAGAATATCTTCGCTATTTTATGGTTACTTTCCAACCAATGGTCAAAAAGTAATTTTTTAAATAATTTATTCTACAGTGTTTAGAATGAGAATAAGAAGAAGAAATGGTTTATTCTTACTACTGACTGCACCCAAAAGTCAAAAGGGAATAAAAAGACTATCAATTTGTGTATAATAATACTGAGAAGAATAACGTCGTTAAAAAGGGCTACGGAGTGTGTGTGTGTTTGTTGTGTGTGTGTGTGTGTGTGTAAATAAGTTGGGTTCTTCTTGTTAATTCAGATGTAATGTGATAAACATTCTTTAATGGAATGTTTTCTCTTCTGGAATGTAGTGTTTTGTGTATATACCATATTACATTTATCTTAATTTCTGGAAAACGGAAATCTTGGTAACAGATTGCATATCTCACAGTTGTTTTAGTTGTCATTTTCTATCTAGAAAAAATGCTGTGAGAATACTTATTTAATTAGCAGCTAGTTAGCTATGAATTCATTCTTTTATTAAAATGGGTTCACCCAAGAACTGCAAAACAGATCTTGACTTACGTGGGAAGCTCTCCTTATTAAAGAAACAGTGAGCATTTCATCCACCTTTTTGCTATGTTTTGCTCTGAGTTCCATGGTGGCTTACAAAATGTGGTTTGCAAGTGGCACTAAGTGACTAGAAAGCAGAAATTGCCTAAGTATTTAGTAGTGTTGTGACCTCATTTGGACAAGTGTAATAAATATATATTTGCACATATAATATGAACCCCTGCATTTTCAAAGCAAAATTATTCATTTAATGTGCCCTACACTTCAAACGATAAAAGGCTAAACCTGTTTTTTATGTACTAATTTGCTCTGTTTATGAAGAACTACGAAGTTTTGGGGGGAAGGAAGCAAGTATGTAAAACTAATCTGTAAAGCATTTCAATTGGGTTGGAAATCTGTAATATGATTTCTAGGACTTCATGGGAAAGTTGAACGCTCAAGGGGAAATTACACAAAGAACAGCTGAGAAAAAGTTGCATTCTGGCACAGAATCATGCAAATGGGGCACATTCTTCAGTTTTCTCATGACGGATTGCCTCTGAAACCACTGAGCCAAGCTGCAGCAATGCTAATGAGGGAGATGCATCAATGAACAGTGTCATCCCAGGGGCTTCTAAAGGGGACAAGGGGGGAGTGGGGAGGACAAGAGGGACTTGGAGAAGGAGGAAGGAAGAAAGGAAGAAGAGAGGGACAGACAGAGAGAGAGAGAGAGGGAAAGGAAGGAGAGCAACTGAATTTTTAATAATTAGGCCTAGGTTATTAAAAAACAAAACCAACTTAGCAGGTAGGATGGAAGGTACAAAATGAACAGCACTATAATTCTATCCTTTTAAGATGTGAAGGATTTTAAGAAACAGAGTAAGATGGGAGAGAAGACTTTTTAAACTATCTGCCTGTTGAACAAAAAAATTAAAGTTGGAAGCTAAAATGCTTCTGCCCAGAGAATAACTTGTGTGTGGTTTCTTTACAAGGACTCCAGACTATGGTGAAAAAGACTAGGGGATCATCTATCTATGCCAGGAAAAAAAAAAAGTAGCACTGTTTCAGTCTAAACTTCTTTGTGGTTGCAGATTTCTCATTTAAATATTTTTCTAATTGTAAAATCATACATTTGTAGCTCATTTACAGAAATGATAGTTTGCTTGTCATTTCAATGAAGTTTTGAAAGATTTTTTAATCTTCATAAGCATACACAAAAGGATTTGTTTTTTAAAGAATATTTCTCTTGAGATTAGCAAATGATTACTTGTGTAGAGTTCTGTGGGCAGATATATCTTTCTTGAATTGCCAAAACCATACATGTCACTTGCTTCCATACCCACCTAGTAAATATCAAATTGATAATTTGCTTTGCATTTTACTTCTATTCTGACTTCCAATGCAGTATGTTTCTGGTGGAAATTAAATCAATAGCTACTTACTGAGTGTTTATTACATCTAAGGCACTTAAAGGTATTTTTATAAAGAAATTTTAAAAAATATATAACACTGAAGTTTCAGACCTTTAAAGTGACGTCGAGTTTCCAAACATTATGAGTTAACTCCCTTTATAATAACACCACAGTGAGCACAGCCAATTTGGTATTGATGTGAATTGCATAGTTTACTTCCAAAATGTCCCAGTGACATGTACTCAGTGCTGGTTCAATCAAAAGCATAGTTAAAATGCATTATTGTTTTCTCTTCAATATCTTATTTTATGAGCATTTAGCTTTTTAAAAATGTGAACAGTCAACTGTGCACCCTGTTTGCTAGCACTGCTATTTCAGGTCCTTTAGCTAGGTAAATAAACAATTTAAATTGAAAAAAATAAATAAATAACTGTGGCAAATTTAAATTCTTTAAGTAGCAAAGAGGATATAAGGAACTTTGCTCTAACACATCAGTATAGTTGATGCTAGAGTAAGATCCTTTTTATTATTTTGCTCAATTTCAACCAATAGGAGCTTCATGATTCAGAATTAAAGCTAAAAAAATTCCCCAACTCACTCTATTGTGTATTATAGTTCATATGGTATAGTTTCCAAGACCACCCACAGTTCTGAGACTGTCTAATGGAAGATTGTATCAGCTGCTGTACCTAATGACAACTAGATGAGTTAAGAATGAAGTGTTAGCATTCATAGTACTTGTGGGCATGAAACAGATTACTCACATCATTTTAAAGATAACCTTGAATGAATGCAAAATGCATTTATTCGTGTGACACACTACTAATCGAGTACATTATCTATTAATATTAGCTCAAAAAATAAATTTCTAAGATAAAAAGTTAAAATCTATTGTATTAAAGGATCTGTTAACATGTATTTAGACAATTTTAAATTATACATTAATGGAAACTGCAAGGCATGTTTCTGACATCTCTCAAAGTTATTTAACAGCATAGTCATGAACAATGTTATTAATTGATAGTTCACTATTGTCCGTCACACTTCTAACAGATCCCAGAGTGTCTCAAAAAAAAAACAAAAACAAAAACAAAAAAAAACTTGCCCTCTGGAAAATCTCTAAAGGAGAGAGAATACATTTAAACCACAAGACGCACGTGATAAAGGCTGAGGCAGTCGCTTTTCTTGCTCTCCTGCCTTCTTTCCAAGAAAAAGCATTCTTTGAAGTTTCCTGTTTTGTTTATTAAATCCCGATGGTTTGCTCTACAATATGGCCATGTTAGGCTTAATATAAATATGATTTAAATGACTATTTAATTTGCTTGCTTGCTTTTAAATCTTAAAGTAAAAATGATACTCCAGGAAGATGCATCGTGTTAATTCCACTGGGGAATACTGTTATCCAGGATGAGCGGGTGTGGCCATCAGTGAGCTTGCCGCTTGTCAGAAGAAACTCTGGTCCGAAGCCGGGCTGCAGACTCACTGTGTGGTTTTGGGCAGGTCAGTCCTGTAGCTGCTTTGGTCCTCAGCTTCCTCATGTGTAAAATAAAGGAGTTAGATTAGGCTTTTGATCTGTAAACTCTTTTCACTATTTGGATGTTGTAATAATTCTGGTGACATTTTGTTTTTCAGTAAGGGGAATGGCTACTAAATGATTCGGGTAGATTAACTCTGTGAATCTTTTCCAGTTTAAGGATTGTGAAAGTGCATGGCCTCCATATGTGAAATGTAAAAATAAAAGCCTACTTACTGTTTTCGCAAATTTAATCCTCCAAAAGTTTAAGTATCAAAACCTGGGGAAAAAAATCCTACTTGTATTTCCTGTTGCTTTTGCATGTTCAGTAAAACCAAGTTTAATTTGAAACAAGTAGTCATAACCCTTATTAATCAAACCTTTTTCCTGCAGCAAAATTCCAAGAGGAAGATGCAGAAAGAAACCAAAAGACTTTTAATTGTTTGTGTTTGTGCATTCTAAAAATGTCTAATTTGTACACAGTTAATCCTTAGACTCAGTGTCCAATACATCCTTAACTATAGCAGTTTGATTTCTAGCTCAGGCTCTGGAATCAACCCTCGGTTGAAATCCTACCTCTGTCACATAGTTATGGTGTTATTTACCTTCTCCAAGCCTCAGTACTCTCATCTGTAAAATACAGATAATAATAACAAGACCTCATTGAGTTTGGGGAAGGAAAAATGAGATAATACATGTCAAGTGCTCAGCACAGCGATTGCTCCAAAGGAGATACCATACCTCATTAATGTTATCTTTTATTAATACCATTACCAGATGGTGAGAACTGATGCTCCCCTTAACGTTACAGGCTCATTGTCAAAGTAAAACAGGTTCATGAAGCATACTGGACATTTATAATAGGAAAGAACTCAGCTCACTTAGCCAAATGTTGCCCAAAAAAATACTGTCTTTGATCAAAAATCTTCAAAAAATACTCTCTTTGATCAAAACCCAAAGGGCTTCCATACTTCTTACCCGACTCCCCTGCATGATCTCACCCCCAAGCCAATATCATGGTGCTCAGCCTATAGGACAGTCCTCTCTGCTAAGATGGTGATGACCTGCATTTTTGCCATTGGTCCCTGGAGATCACTGCGAGGTTACTGCCTGTCCAGCTGGCCCAGAGTGACCCACCCTGCAAGCACCCTCAGGCTCAATTGGTCAGATTCCTCATCATGCTTCACCCTCCCCTCTGTGCCATCACCTACATTTCCACCTCCTCTCGCGCCTCTCCAGGGCAGCCTTTCTTCCCAGATTTCAGTCCGGCATCTTAACTCCTTCATTAGCTCTCTGTTTCACTCAGCATCAACTCTAAACTACTTCACGTGGCCTTCAAGTCCCGTCCTTCTTCAGCTTCAGTTTCTGCCTCTGCTCTCCACCTACCTCCCAACCTGCAGCCATGGTGAGCTACTTAAAGTTCTCGAAACTCCCCACACACACCTTCACCTCCAGGCCTTCAGGGGTCCTCTCCTTCCCTGAACTTCTCCCTTTAGACTCCCCCTCACTGATTCCTGTTTTGGCCTTAAGTTCTCAGCCTATGTGGAAGCGTGTCCTGACTTTAGAAGATTTGGTTAGGGGCCTGCTCATGTGTTCTATGAAGTTCCAGTACTTACCCTTATCAGAGTTTTCATCAAATATCATTGCAATAGACTACGTGCTTGTACCCCCACCACAGAGCCTTTCACATAGTAAGTCCTCAGTTAAGTATTTGTTAAGTAGGTTTCTTTTGTTTGTTTGTTTGCTTTTTGAGACAGAGTTTTGCTCTTATTGCCAGGCTGGAGTGCAATGGCTCAATCTCAGCTCATTGCAAACTCCACCTCTCAGGTCGAAGCGATTCTCCTGCCTCAGCCTCCCGAGTAGCTGGGATTACAGGCATGCACCACCACACCCGGCTGATTTTTTGTATTTAGTAGAGTCGGGGTTTCACCATGTTGGTCAGGCTGGTCTCGAACTCCTGACCTCAGGCAATCCACCCACCTCGGCCTCCCAAAGTGCTGGGATTACAGGCTTGAGCCACCATGCCTAGCCTAAGTAGGTTTCTTTTCTATCTGTCAGAGTACTTAGAACAATGCTAGGATCATCTTCACTTACCAATATAAACAGACACATTGATCATAAAAGTTATCTTTAATAAGCTTCATCAGGCTGGGCGTGGTGGCTCCTCCCTATAATCCCAGCACTTTGGGAGGCCAAGGAGGGCAGATCACCTGAGGTCAGGAGTTCAAGACCAGCCTGGCCAACATGGTGAAACCCTGTCTCTATTAAAAAATACACAAATTAGCCAGGCATGGTGGTACGTGCCTGTAATCCCAGCTACTCGGAAGGCTGAGGCAGGAGAATCACTTGAACCCAGGAGGCGGAGGTTGCAGTGAGCTGAGATCATGCCACTGCACTCCAGCCTGGATGACAGAGCAAGACTCTGTCTCAAAATAATAATAATAATAATAATAATAATAATAAGCTTCATCAACTTTAGAAACTGCCATTAACCAGCCAACCACAGAACAGATACAGGCCTAAAGAAACACATCAGCACTCACCATCCTGCCATATTGTCCTGGAGAATAAAATCATGGAAGTTGTAAAGAGATCATTTTACCAAGTTTCTACTGAAATTTCTACTGAAGAAACATTTTCTAGCTTACTTATGCATCTTCAAGGCTGTCCCTTCCATCTGAAGGCTGAATAACATGGTGGGAGGAGTGTCATGGGGAGATAAACACCATATAACCATTAAGAATGACTGGAAAGATTTACATAGTGAAGTCACAATGGGCTTGTGGAAGGTTTGGGGACATAAATATTTAGAAAATGTTTTATTTATGATTAAGAAAAACTGTGAGGTTTACCAACCCTTTTACCTCTATATTGCATGTGGGGGTGGGTGTATGGAGGTGAGCTGAGGAGTTCTCAGCCGTTGTGTTTTATGACTCACAATAATTAGCTAAGAATTGCTCTTCTTTCTCTACTCTGATTTTACCCAGTGTTTTACCCAGCCATTCTCTCTCGCACATCACCTGCTACTACATGAAAATCTCAGATATCTCAGCTCTGATCACAAATGCTTTTTTTTCTGGAATATCCATCTCAATCCATTTCTGACTATATTTCACTTTCTCCAGATTTTTGATCCCATTTTGACTCCCAGTTTTAGTTCCCATTATTGCCATTTGGATCCTAGAACTTGTTTCTCCTCGGTTTCCCCTTGATATTCTTTTAGAACTTTGGTATGCTCGGTATTTGACTAATCTACGACTAGACCCCAATTCTCCTGTATGAGCAATTGTTTTTGTCTCTCTCTTACTAGAAATACATAGTTCATACACATCATGAGCCAACTTTAAAAAATAAATAGCCATTCTAGAGCCAAATATTCATGGTGGACTTTTGGCCACCTAAGCCACAAACAACACAGTGGACTATGTTTCCCAAAGTGCAGGACCTGCACTGTGTGGGGACATGCCCCAGGAGGAGAGCAGTATGCAGTGGTACACTGGCATGGCATTAAATGCCACTGGTCCACAAAGTGAGAGAGTCGTTCTCTTTTCAGTTCTCTTTCAGTCCTTCTGATCACGGTAAGAACAGAGTCTCAGTGCTCATCTTGAACGCCTTTCCTACACTTTACAACACCTGTAACACGAAATACCTTTCCTACAGTTTACAACACCTGTAACACGAAATAATGTAACATCAATTGCTTGCATTTATTTAATTTTTGTAGTTACTTTGTCTTTATGGTAAATTGCATTTGTGTACCATTTATAGACGTGATATTTTTGTAGCAATTAATTTCTTTTGCAAGTAGATTATATTTAAAAGGAAAGTCCGTATAAAGAAAATACTATTTAAACAACAGTTTAGGTATTTGTAGCATGTAGCTGTGATAAAAATCATGACAGTGGTTACAAATAGCTGGATTTTGATAAATAATGAAAAGGCCAAAGTTGTAGATGAAAATTACAAATTAGCACAGGCGGCAGTAATAGTTTAGATATTTTCTGGCTCTCAAAATATCAGATTTTTTAAAATCAGTATTTTTTACTAATTGTCTAAGCATTTTTAATGTCATGAAAAAAATAGAATCTCCCCATATTTTTATGCCTCTCCCTTTCTTCCTCAAAACCATGAAATGATTGTTCCATAGTCTAAAGCACTCATGGATAAAACAAAAAAAAAGAAAAAAGACCTTTTAGTCTCATAATTACCAAAGGAATAAGCAGAACCTTGAGAAAACAAGCTGGTGTTCAAGAAAATAATTTTCATTGCCAGCACCTAACCGCCGGCCTCTTTCTTAAGAAGAGGATGAGGCCCACAGGGTAATAAAAGGCTCTATAGAACCACATAAAAGTTCCACATGTGCTACTCCCTGAGTGGCCTTCAAGGGGGTTAGAGCTGGAGGGGGCCAGGGGACAGGGCTCAGAGCAAAAAAAAAAAAAATCTTACTTCCAGAGAAGCAACTCATCTTACACAAAAACTAATTAACATGACAGTTTCCTGTTTGCAGAAGATGTTGTTATCAGTGAAAAACAACAACAATAATAATTGTAATAATAATAATAATATGAGCCCTAGCAGTTGGGGTTTCTGCAATTACAGTGTGAATTGCATGAGAGGATTATATGAAGTGCTCTTGGCTTGGAGGGGGAAGTAAGACGCTTGAGCTTGCAAGTCACAAGCAGCTGCTTCGGGGCCGTGCACCTGCCGGTTCCAAGGCTGTTTTCACCTCGAAAGGAAAACAGGCCCCTTCTCTTTCCCTTCACAGCCCCCAATCCAAAAACCACCGCAAAGAAGGAGGGAGAAATGGAGAGGGAAATGGGAAGGAGAGAAAGGCAGAAAAAATATAAAACTAAAGATGTTCTTCCATAGCAAGCAAGCAAGTTTCCCCACTTAGGAAGAAAATTGTGGGGCTGGAGAGCAAAGGGAAGGGCAGCAGGGAAGGGGGCAAGTGGGAGGGAATGACTTCATTTTAATGCAGCAACAGACAGAGTGCGATCTGATATTGGCAAAGTTTCGACGAAAATGGGGGGCGAGGGGGTGGGAGGAGAAGAAAGGTCTCTTTTACTGTTTCATGCTTCAAGTCTTCCCGAGAAGCATAAGCTCCGCTCGACATTCTGGGAATAGCAATGAGGCACACACAACAATCAAAACACACTAAATCTGTTTGATGATTCAAACACATCATGCATCTGCACCCACAAAATAGGACTTCAATTAAATAACCTTGCAGATTTGAACAGAAAAAGAAGGGAGAGCATGAGGGTTTGTAATTAGTAACTCCGAATACAAGCAGTTTTGTAAAAATTAGGTGTTTGCACACTACACTTCATTCTAAAGTGAGTTGTAAGCGTGTGCTGTTAGAGAGCTCAAGCAGTTCCTCCCTAACGTTTGCTTGAAGTTGTGTTTTCTGTCCTCACCAAGAAAACTATAGGAAGTTGTTTCAACCAGGCCTTTACCAAAGAAGTGAGAAAAAGTCTAAATGAGGCTTTTTTATACCCACATTCACACAAATAAATGCACATACACAGACTATTCTCAGTATTACAGTAAAACCCTTTGTGGTTTACTAAAACAAAACAAAACACACACCCACACACACACAATAAACAGAAAAAGAATAAAAGCCCCACATCCCAGATCAGATCATGTATAAACCACAATTTCTGTTCCCAAGAATTTTTGCTTCCAGGGATTCCTATTTCCACAGTAAGGGATAAGTTATTTCACTACATAAACATGATTTGGTCTTTGCACATGTGACCTATCATATATGTTTGTATCCACACTGAACAATAACACACACAGTCTGCTGTGAACGATGTGCTTGAGTGCCCCAGAAAAGGCCTTTTTTGTTGTTGTTAGAGAGATCCAGATTCACCTATTTTCAGACTGACCTCCAAATAAGCTTGGCCTGGTCTCTGCTTGCTTTGAAAAAATCAAAAGGAAATAATTCATATTGAAAAGTGGGAAAGTGTTTGTAGGGCTCTCTCTTTGGACTCTTAAAAACACTTCTCTCTTTTTTATTGAAAATTTATTCTACCCAGCAACCTAAACAGAAATCTGAAGGAATGGGAAGAAGATTGTGAAACTCACTAGGACTATGCTTCCTCCCCCAAAATGGCTCCAAATGCCACCATTCTCTGATTAAATTAAACCTATTTCAAATATAACCATTTTTCTCAGTCTGGATCTCTGGGATTAATAAACAGACTGTTTGGCACAACAAGAAAGCCAAATTTGGGAATTAGTAAGACATGAAAATTAACTAAATCATTGTTTGGGGTCTGAAAATATAAATGAATCACAAGAAGAGAGGCAAGAGTTCAAGAGAGGGAGCATATAGCTAAAATAACTCAGCACATTCCTGTTTACAAGGAATTATTTGAGTAACTGGGGAATTTGAGCTATGGTAGACTTGATTCTTTTTTAGAAAGTATACAACTTTTGGTCAAAAACAGAGTTTAAAAGGGACCCAAGCCAGGAACATTGGACATGCTCATCAGTCACAGTGAAAATATGCCCATTTTGAAAGCCTGCAAGCCTCGCAGGCTCTTAAAATTGACAATTTGGTTAATCATGGAAGTGAAATTACCTGCACTCATGGTAACTTGTGGAATTTAAGGAGAAAAGCTAGACAGCATATTCTTTTCCCTCTGCCATGATTAAAATCCTCAAAGTGGTGAATCTCCAATAATGCACAGCTGCAATGGAAGCTCTTCAGAAAGTGAAGAGCATTTTTAGTCTACTCACAACTTCTTCCCCCAAATCAAAACCCTCACCCCATAGTAAGGCACTACTGTTAATTGGAGTGTGTCCTATCAGGTGGTAGAAGGAGGAAAAGATGAAAAACCATAGTGCTTCCTTACCTCCCACCCAGCCAGATTCAATTTATCTTTCAAGCTTCCATTTTCCTTCAAAAAGATTTTGCAGCTCATTCCATATTAATCTTTCTCCTTTTCAAATTGGTGCCATATAGAGTCTAGCACTCATCTGGTATTAATTCTACTTTGTGACACATTTTATTTTATTTTATTTCATATTTTTATTTAACTTTTAAAGCAGCATTTGCTCAAGTATATTACTAGGTGTTTCTTAACATGGCTTTGTGGTCAGAATCTAGTATAGCTCGATTAAACAAAGTTGGACAAATTTTACAGTAAAAATATTTCAAAGTAATTAATAAACTGATGTACATCATGACACTCCAAGTGGCATAGGTAGCAGTCAGTCTTCCCAGGCTTATTTAAATTAAAATTTAAAAAAAGCCTTTAGCAGAAAAGATTTTCCAATCTCTATAACAGAGTTCCACTTAAGAATTAAGATCCAAAAGTTCACTTATTTGTTTGATTGTTAAGGCCACAAATACTTACCAAGTATCTGCTTTGCATCAGGCACAGCTATGCTAGGCATGAAGACATCACATGGGTAATTCCCAGGCCTACAGTCCAGTGAGGAAGACATAATAACAGCTTATCATAATGCAATGTGATGAGCTTAGTGACAGTGCTATGCATAGGATAATGTGAATGTCAACGGAGAAGTGCCTACCTAGTAGGAGAAGAATGATCAGGAAGTTAGAGAAAGGTTTCTTCATGGGGTGACCTCAAAAGGGAGAATGGCAGGGAGCTACCAAATTCCTGACATATGTATAACAATTCACAATTTATAACATTTTTCTCATATATTATTACAATACTGCCTTTTTCGTATCCCCTTGAGCACTTGTATTGTATTTGATATCGTGAATTTATCTGTGCTTTAGTTTACCTTTCCAAGAAGGTGAATTTCCTTTAGAGTTTTCTCATATTTTTTTTTCTATCTGTGAAATGCATCTCACTAAACTCAGCCTTCAACCTGAGGTCATAGTAAAAGAGAAATTAAGTTTGGGTCTCCCATATATGTCTTTTTTTTTCCATATATTCCTTAGAGCAAAAATTTTTGAGTGCTATTAAATTTTCAAGAAACGAATAAGATAACATTTTTTCAAAAGAGTGAGATTTAAACATTCAAAGTCTGTGAACAGTTTAAATCACATGAAGAAAGTTTTTGTTTGTTCCTAATGAAGGTTTATTTGGAATTCTTTGCTGAAGTACAAAAGGGGAGACCTTGAACCCTGGAGGAGTCTGGCTTGACAAGGAGAAAGTAGTTTTGTCTATGGAAACCCTTAAAGATATTGCCACTGAAGGTAGGACCAAGGCTCACCTCATTGACTAATGGGTATGGTTAATCTTTCAGCCTACATGGTAATATCATTTACAGCCCATGTTTTAACCATCCAAATCTGTTTGATAATAACCTGTGGTTTATTGACATTCAGTGATACACTGTTATCAGTTCTCATGATGTGTCATCTGCAGAGATGGCACCTCTTATTGCTCCTTTAAAATAAAAATTGAAGAACATCTAATTTTCTTCAGTGACATGTTAGACTCATGACAGCCTACATTCCTCCTTCTTTAGAATAATTTTTGAGAAAGAATATAAGTTAGGTCTTTCCCATCCCTACCAGGTGCAGGAAAGAAGACATCTTTCCTGCTCCCTCATCCCTGCATGTCTGCATGTCTGTGTAGAGAAATCTTCTAAGGATTTTTTTTTTTTTTTTTGAGATGGAGTTTCGCTCTCGTTGCCCAGGCTGGAGTGCAATGGCTCAATCTCGGCTCACTGCAACCTCCGCCCCTCAGGTTCAAGCAATTCTCCTGCCTCAGCCTCCCGAGTAGCTGGGATTACAGGCATGTGCCACCACGCCTGGCTAATTTTGTATTTTTAGTAGATATGGGGTTTCACCATGTTGGTCAGGCTGGCCTCGAACTTCTGACCTCAGGTGATCTGCACACCTCGGCCTCCCAAAGTGCTGGGATTACAGGTGTGAGCCACAGCACCCAGCCTCTTCTATGGATTTTTTAAATCAATTACAGAAACTTGGTGGTGGGATCATGGGGTGGTGGAAGGCAGGGCAGCATGTGGGGAGCATAGCAATCGCTTCTATGCATGTGGCCGACTCTCCATTCATTCCGCAGTGAAGGGAGCAGCACTACACTAGAAGTCAAACAGCCTGAGTCCTAGCCCAGCTCTCCCTCTTACTAACTGTGTGACTGTGTGACCTCTCTGCTCTAAAGCTTCATTTTTCCTTGTCTTCAAATGGAATGATAATGCCCTGCCAGTGTCATCCCTGGGATGCTTAAGAGAGGTTCAAATGAGTCAAAACAGGTGAAAGCACTGTGAAAAGTCTAAAGTGCCAAGTACTGTACCCGAGGCCTCTCTTGATTATGTACACTATTTGGGCAAGAGCTTGGGCCCAGGGTCGAACCCATCTGAGTTAGAATCCTGGCACTGTCTCCTGTCAACCGTATGA
This sequence comes from Homo sapiens, assembly GCF_000001405.40. Taxonomy (NCBI): domain Eukaryota; kingdom Metazoa; phylum Chordata; class Mammalia; order Primates; family Hominidae; genus Homo; species Homo sapiens. The sequence goes on from NC_000003.12 coordinate 182,513,787, forward strand.
CCCTGCACAAGCTTCACTCTCTAAGCTTCATGTTCTTCATCTATAAAATGGAGAGCACTCACCCTCAAAGAGTTGTAAGGATTTAATGAGATCATAAATGTGGCACCCTGACAGTGTCTGGAATAGAGGTTTCTCAATGGATGCTGGCTCATATCATTAGTGAAGAGCTACAGCTGTATGGATCAGATCACCCTTTGCTGCAGTGTGGGAGAATGAGACTCATCAAGTGTGCTTGGAAATCCCATCAGATGTAAAATTCATATGTCACTTCCTCGTTGGAAGATTTTTCTCACTCCCCAACCCCTGTGCAGTTTACTAGTCTCTCTCCCATACCACTTCTGTTTGAATATTCTATTGCGTTTAGTAGGCACCATTTTGTAATTTCTTTACTTACATGTGTCCTCTAGTAGACTGTAAGAAACTTGATGCTGGAACTCTGTACTGCTCATCTCAGAATCGTTCATGCCTAAGACAGTGCTCACCTCACAGTAGGCACTTAATAAATGCTTTGGAATGGGATATGTGAATATATGCTATTCTGCTGTAAGTCAGCCTTCAGATAAGTGATGGAGACATAAATATGAAGTGCTGTGACACAGGGGAAAAAGCAACATCCTCAGGGATTAGTAGAGGCTTCACTCCAGCATTCTCTCCCACTCTCTCTGCAGTGTCAAGTCAGAGAGATCTGATGCCTCTGCTATGCAGTTCAGGCAAATATTCATAACTCAATTATTTTACTGGCCCTATAAAACCAATAAAAATGAAGCAAAATCATGCTGGAAATCAATATTTAAAATTCAGTTAACTCCATAGTTTGCCAGATTTTGTATCCCTGATAAAATGTCACAAAATCCTGAACTCCAAAGAGAACAAACAGTGTCAGAATCAGGAAGGCTAAAGCTATTACTAGATGAAGTGGCTGTCTTCCCACACAGCATGATTTCCAGATATAACCACAAGACCCTGGCCTCTTGATAATTTATTCCCATTAATCTTTCCCTCTCTTCCTATCTAGCCTGACGTTCACGCCATCGTAAGTTTATATGCATTTGTGTGTATCTGAGGTGGGGCAGGCATGGGCTAAATGCAGCATCTTCAGAAAACACTTGGAAAAACTCCTGTTCTCTTTTCACATGCCTTTTCCCATTAGCATATTAACATCATCCGTGGCAATGTGCCTTATAATCATAAATATTATTACTATTAACATAGAATAACTCATCAGGTCAGCTTTTTAGTCCCACAGAAGACAGCTTGGCCTTTAGGGAAAGAGATAGAGAGGTAGAATTTAATCACAGGCCTCAGGTTGCTGTGAGCTTGGAAACAGGTGCAGCCTGGAGAAGGTAGACCAAGGAGAGGTGACTTAATTAGAGCCTGGGCCCTGGGGACCTGGGGAGAAAGCCAAATAATGGAAATCAATGTCAGTATTCAATCTTGTTGTACCTTGCGTCTACTCACGATTCTGGTTTGCTGTTGTTGTTTTCAAGTAAGGCTTACTGAGCACTGTGTGCTAACAGGAGGATGGGCTTGGTGTACAGTAGTATGAATGCTTCTCTTCTTTTAGGAAACTGACCCTACCGCTACTTCAACCATATGACTTTAATAGAAAGTGACAATCACTGTTCTTCCTCCCAATTCCCAACCTCAATTGATAGGCTTGGGAATGGGTTCATGACCCATTTGGACCAATCCAAATCCTACCCCCAGAGTTTTCTAACTGGAGCTCAGAGGGGATTGGCCCCCTCTCTAGTGGTAAAGCTGAGAGATGTGGGCCTGAGAGCACAGAAGGTCATCTTTCAAGCCAAGTAGAAGTGGGGCTGAGAAAATACAGTCAGGAATCTAGGAGAAGAGTGGAGAAGAAAGATGAAGAGTGTCCTGGTGACGGTCCCCCAGAGAGCCCCTGTTTCCAGGTATCTCTGAGACAAGCTGCTGATTGGAAAGGGGAAACAGTAAATTCCCCTCTTGCCTAAGTTAGTTCAAGTGGTAGGTTTGCTACTTGGAACCAAATAATCTCCAATATGCTAAATTTGAATGCCTCCTGTGAATCTTTAATCAAGTATAAGCCACCAAGCTGGATTCAGGGTTGCTAATAAAGAAGAAAGAAACAAGAGCTGACACATACTGAATGCCCGCTACATTCTGGATAATATATATAAGTTACTGTATTCTTCTTCACAGCAACTCTAAGAAACAGGTATTGCTTTTAGGAAATTGAATCTTGTTGTGGTTGGGAACTTCTATGCTAAATTACCAACCACAATAAGTTCTCATAGAAAGTAAATAGAGACAAAATCTTAAATTAGACATCCGACTCTGTATCCATATCCTGTTCTTATTCCTCTGCTACACATTGCCCTTTATGGGGTCTTATAAAATAATTCAGAAAAAAGGAATTTATACCAAAAAATGTAATAAGAGATGAGATGATGCAAATGAGAAGAGAGGAAACATTGAGTATGCATTGACCCACTGTCCAAAGGACCACCCAAATTCTAGGTACCAAATTAGAATCTTGAAGCCCTATTACTGCTTTTAAGCCCTGTCCTTGCCATGAACCTAAAAATGTCATTGTTACAAGATGAGAGACTTAGTCAAGGCTTTTCACCTAAATATGTTCAGATCTGTAAGTTGGAGGTAGAAAATAAAATCTTCAAAGACTTCAGCAATTTTATTGGGAGAGGAGTAATGTTTAACCAAGTCAATAATAAAATGTGGAAAGATCAGCAAAATACAGCCACCCAAAGACAAGGCAGGGAAGATGGGTCTGAACCACAGCAGAAATTACTTAAGTTCTTCCAATGGGAAGACTGCTGGCTGATAGCGAGGGCTGTTAAACAATGAAATGGGTTACCAGGGCAAGCTAAAGAATCTCCTCATCTGGAGGCCTTTAAAATAGTAAAATTTTCTTGGTCTGAATGGCTTTACGTGTGGTCTTCCTTGAGGCGGGGTGGGGTCAGAGAGCTACAGAGGAGGGATGACCCCTCCAAATCCTTTCCCAAAGCCTGGGATTCTCCCTACCTGACTGTCATCACCTTGGGGAAGGGGGGGTTTGCCATTTGTCAACTGCCCCCTTTCTTACTTCTTGCCTACCTTAGTAATGCACTAATTCACAACTGCTGCAGAAATGATTGAAATATTTAGACATAATGGGGGAAGTTTAATAGGGTCCAGTGGGAAACCCAGGTGTTTAGATCAGCTTAAAAATAATAACCACCTCCCCTGCCAGGGGGTTTCCATTCACAATCAGCTCCGCTTTTATTCTTAACCATAAAGGCTACCTCAGACAGGAAATTATTCACGTGATTGGTCTTTACAAGTGCTGTTGGGTTTAAACTGAGGGCTGTAGAGGTCATTAGTGGGCAGCCATGTGATTAACCTTTGCTAGCCTGTTGCTTTTCACACTTTGTTAACAGCTTCCATTATTGCCCCTCTGAGTCTTGAGGAAGCTGTTTATTGACAGTATTAAAAATGCATTGCTACAAATTCTTAAGAGCCTTGTGTTAAAGAAAAAAACACCCTCCCAACATCTTATAGCCAGCCGACTGGGGAAATGGGAAACCTCTAATTTGCCATAAAGGTTTACCAAGAAGCACTAAGTAATACTACATTTAACTCAAAGGTAGCACCTGACATCACTCCTTGTCTTACTTAGTTGTATGTTATGGTGACACCAGAGAATTTGAGGAGTGAGCTATAAAACGTCTGGATGAATTTGAGGCTCAGACTCTGTTATTTTGAAGGAATTTAGATTGTGCATAAGTTTGGGGGAGAGGGAGGGAAAGAGATTTATAAGAAAAATGTTCCTCTTGAGGAAAATAAAGCCCTTGCCCACATAAGATGACCAAGAGTTTTAGGAAGAATTGTGTATGTGTGAGTCAGTACTCAATGTGATGTGACTAAATGATGGTTGTAGTTTTCACCCCACTCCCACCCCCAGCCTGGGCTATGAACTGTTTTGGGAGACATTTCCTATAATTGTCTGGGCAAGAAAGACCATATTGATGTTTCCCTACCAATGATGTGCTTAAAACCTCCTTAAAGGATGGCATTCTTCAAATCATCCTTGGTCCATGACTCCTCCCACTGCCCCCATGACCTTCCTATAAGAATTCAATGGCCTTTCTATGACCCCCTACCTCAGCGTAAGATTTTTTCCCAAGCACTTTCCTTTTACTTTCTGAATTCCATGGGGGGAATCTAACTCCTTGCTTCAAAAGTATCTAAAGCTTTTCCCCTCCTACGTCAGAGTCCATACCCAAGGAAGCGGAAGTAGAAGATGACTCTTCAAGAGATTTATCCCCTGCTGTTACATGTATACATACAAGATACATACATATGGAATGCATGGGAAAGGAAGGCATTAGAATTCCACCTGAACTTTCTGTGCTTAAAAGATTAGAGGAGACAGTGTACAAAAAGAGAGATCATTGATTCTCCGCCCACTGCCTTGACTCTATGTGTGTTTTCTATTTTGATACTGTTGCTCCTCTTATTCACATGCTGTTTAAAATATACAGCTATAGACCCAAATATTTTTCCTGGGAATGATGACACGGCAAGTATTATTTCTCTGAAAGAAAAATATAAAATAATTAATGCTCTTAAAAGAAGAGGAGCATAGTAAGTGGGGCCACTCCCTTCTCCCAAAACTGCCTGTTGTATGTTCTAATGGCCTCTATGTTTGTGTGAATTGTACAGTAGCCGGACTTTAGTTCTCACATACACATTCTGGTCAACAAATCCAAACAAACAAACACGAAAGCTTCAATTCCCTTTTAAAATACCTTTATAACTTTTTAAACTGACAAGCCACATATTCCTATATTTCACGATGGAAAGGTGGAGGGGAAATTTTTGCCAGAATAAGATTTTGTATTTTATGTCAAATTGTATCTGGAAGCTCATTTAAAAAGTGGAATTATACACCACCCACCCCCCAAAAGCAAGGATTTGAGATGAAAATGCCAAAATAACTTTAATTATAGGTTTGTTGGAGGTGTGATGTTAAAATATCAGTCAGTGGAAAACGTCGCATTGTTAACCTGTCACTCAAAAATTTTGAAATTTGTGTTATACCATTACTATTTATTTGTACATTCTTGGTTTCCAATGCACATACTTGCTAGGATAAGAGCCCAAGTCATTATAACAAGCGATCCAACATTTTCACATTTATTTTAAAATTACAATTGAATATAAATTGGTGTAGGCTTGTTAATGCAGAACCTTGGTTTCACTTATTGCAGATTTTCAAAATTAGGCTGAAATCATATATGATTTTTTAATATAAAAAATAACAAATTTTAGGCCGGGTGCCGTGGCTCATGCCTGTAATCCCAGCACTTTGGAAGGCCGAGGCGGGTGGATCACAAGGTCAGGAGTTTGAGACCAGCCTGGCCAACATGGTGAAATCCCATCTCTACTAAAAATACAAAAATTAGCTGGGCGTGGTGGTGGGCGCCTGTAATCCCAGCTACTCAGGAGGCTGAGGAAGGAGAATCGCTTGAACCTGGGAGGCGGAGGTTGCAGTGAGCTGAGATCGTGGCACTGCACTCCAGCCTGGGCAACAGAGCAAGACTCTATCTCAAAAAAATAAATTTAATTTGACCTATAATCTGTCTGTTTTTCTACAAAATTTAAAATAATATTGTGGTATCGGGAGTAAAAAATATATAGTAGCCTCTAACATCAAGCTAGACTTATTGTAGCTAATAATTGGTTTTCTCTGCTCCCTATTCCAAACCGCATAAGAAAGGAAACCATGGAAACTGCGCCACCATAAAGCAAAGCTTTCCAACCTCAGCTGAGCTCTCACTGATCCTCAAAAATGGTTTTACACATCCCTTGTTGACTAATTATTGCAGGAGGCCACAGTGGCTGTTTTAAACATTCGTCAACCTCCAGGGCCCACCCTTAACTTCCTTCAACTTAACCTCACTCCTGGGAGATGACCTATGGGCCAGTTTCACTGAGGAGGGCCAGGCAGCATGAGCTCCTGGTGCTGGTGCGTGACCAAGCTAGACCTGGGCTTTGGGCTGCCTGGCTGGGTCTAGGAATATAACTGGCTGAAGTTCTCCCTGCCTGCATTCCCTGCTCTGATTAGGCAGCCTCAGCTTGACAGTTCATGCTTCCTTAAGGCCTACATGCTGCTGCCTGGTCCCAGCTAACCTTGATCCCTATTCCATCACAACTTTATTTTTTAATTGACACATAATAACTGTACATATTTATGGGGTATGGTGTGATGTTTCAATACATGTATTCATTGTATGAAAAATCAAATCAGAGTATTTAACATATTCATTTCCTCAAACATTTATCATTTCTTTGTGGTGAGAAGATTCAAAATCCTCTCTTCTCGCTCTTTTGAAATTTAGAATGTAATATTGTTAACCATAGTCACCCTACTGTGCATTTTTAACAGCATTTTCTCTCTTCTGCCGGTGGCCCCATTCTTGTGTCTGAGAACACGGCTAGCTCTTCCTTATCCTTACAGATGTCCTTTGAGGACTCTTCCTCTACCATCATTTCCACTTCTCTGAGGCTTTATCTTTGGCTTTCGTCCTTAGTTCTCTCTCTTTTGCAGCCTCTGTCTTCACTCTCTTCCTTAGAAATCTGACTACATATAAATGACAATATTTATCAAAATGAAGAAGTTGAGAAGAAGTACCAGTTTGATGAGAAAAGAGAATTTTAGTTTGAGGGACTAATTTCTCAGTCCCTAAACTCACATTTCTCACTTTCAGAGCCATCAATTAATTCCTCGAACTAAAATTATTTTTCCCCATCAGACTAGCACTTCTCAGCTTCCTCATTTTGATAAATATTGTTACTAATGTTCCAGAGCCATGAGTGTTCTTTCTCTCTCCATGGCCAATAAATTACCATCACACTTAGAACAAAATTCAAACTTCTTTCCATGGCCTAAAGCTCTCTATGTAATCTCTGACTTCATACCCATTTACCAGATGGTTTGATTTCTTTCCATAATTTCTCCATTCTGGCCTTGTATCTGCTTCTCAAACACATTAAACTTGTTCTCTCCATGGGGTTTCATGTGGCATTTCTCTCCTCCAGGTAGTTTCCTGTCATATGGCCAAAATATCACCGCATCAGAGAGATGGTCCCAGAAACTCTGCTACATCACACTGTTTATACTTTCCCCATCACAACTCTCATGACTGGTATTAAACTCTTGTTTATTTTTAAACTTGTTTATTGCTCATCTCTCTTCTCTAGAATAGAAGCTCCCTGACATTAGGAACCTGTATATTTTGCTCACTACTATAACTTTGTGGACATCAGTGTCCCATAGATCTCAATAACTATTTGTTCTAGGAATTAATGTATAAGTGAAGTCTGATGGATTCAACTGTCATAGCACCCCTCAAATCCATCCTGCCTTTGTCTTCCCACTGATACCACCATAGATCAAGCCCTCATTATGCAATACCTTGGCACTGCCTGAGACCTTTCATGTCCCATCAACACTTCATGCTTCTGATCCTATTACCCTCTTGACAAGTGTTTAACAAATGGAACATTTCATAACCCAAATTAAGTATAAACTTATTACCATAGCTTTTAATATCCATCCACTTATTCAATAATCATTTTAGGCACAATTGTACAAAGAAGACACTGTGTGGACTGTTGCACATATGAAGACTAAGTATACCACATTAGAGAGTTCTGTTATAGATACGTGCCGCAGAGTTGAAGATGAGCAGAAGAGAAAACCCTAAGTTAGCCTGTAGGAAGTGATACTTCAGCTGACTCTTGACCAGCCAAGCAAAATACGTGAATGCATGTGTTAGAAATGGGTAGCTATTTTCTAGGAAGAGAGAATAGCATATGTAAAAGTAAACAGAGCATTGTGAGCTATGTTTGATGATTATGACAATTGGTCCAGTTTGGCAGGAGAATGGGGGGTTTTGCCAGAAGAGCAAGAAGTGAAGCAGATTGTTCAGCAGAGACCAGATCAGCAAGGACCTTGAATTCTGTGCTAGCAACAAAAAGGCAGAATAGAGTGGCAGTTAGAAGCATATGCCCTGGACTAAGACTGTCTGGGCTTAATTCCTACCCCAACTGGACAAATTCATTACCATTTCTATGCCCTTGTTTCCTCATCTGTTAAGTGGAGATAAAAATATAATAACAGTTACCTATCTCATAGGATTATTATGAGAATTAACATATGAATTAATATATGTAAAGCAATTAGAACAGTACCTGGCACATAATAAACACACTATTTTCCATTGTTACTCTATAAATAATGGGAAACCATTGAAGAATTATATGCAGGAAAGTGACCTAAGATCAATATCTCTTAAAGATAATTGTACAGTAGTATATAAAATGAGTCTTAAGGAGAAAGAAACTGGACGTAAAAAAAAAATCAGTTAAGATTTAAAATGATGGGTAGCTAAACCACAGCAGGAAAAAATGGGCGGGCAAAAGAAAAGAGAGGCTTGAAAGCCATTTAAGAAGCAAAATCAGGAGAATTTGGTGACGATGATGTACGTGGTAAGGGTGAAAGAGCTATGGATGATTTCCAAATTTCTGACATGGGAGATCAAGTGTGTGGTGGAAGTGGTAAGCAGAATCAGAAGCACAAGAAGAAGGACGAATTTTGGAGGAGAGACAATAAATTCAGCACATCAGTGATAGGCTGATGTTGTGATACCCACAGAGCAGACGTGAAAGGCTTCCACAAAGCAATTGGAATATGGGCCCAGAGCTCAGAATAAAACCTTTTGAAACTGCATGAGCAGAGACATGGGGTATGAAAAATAAAATCAGAAGAGGTACCTAGAGACCACTGGAGAACACCAACATGAAAGGGGAAAGACTCTCATGAAGTAAGAGGACAGCAAGGTAAGAAGGAAATTGTGGAAAGGAGTTTTAAGAATAAGGGGGAGATCGGCTGGGTGCAGTGGTTCACACCTGTAATCCCAGCACTTTGGGAGGCCGAGGCAGGTGGATCACCTGAGGTCGGGAGTTTGAGACCAGCCTGACTAACATGGAGAAACCCCGTGTCTACTAAAAATAAAAAAATTAGCTGGCCGTGGTGACACATGCCTATAATCCCAGCTACTCGGGAGACCGAGGCAGGAGAATCACTTGAACCTGGGAGGCAGAGGTTGTGGTGAGCCGAGATCATGCCATTGCACCCCAGCCTGGGCAACAAGAGCAAAACTCCATCTCAAAAAAAAAGAAGAAGGAGATCAACAATATCAGACCTTAGATGTGTTGCCTAAGATAAGAACTTTAACATGCCCACTAGATTTGCAGTTGTGTCATTAATGAATTCAGTGAAAGCAGTTACAGAGGCAAGATAGAAGCTCACATCAGGCCACATTGAACAGTTCAGAAGCCAAATGTGAGGGTAAGAAAGAAACTTCAGACAGATCTCAGGAAGCTGAGGTATGAAAGAGAAAAGAGAAGGTGATCGTTAAAGAGGAATACAGGATAGAGGTAGGTTCTTTCTTTGTTTTTATTTTACTTTAAGTTTTGGGATACATGTGCAGAACGTGCAGGTTTGTTACATAGGTATATATGTGCCATGGTGGTTTGCTGCACCCATCAACCCGTCATCTAGGTTTTAAGCCCCACATGCATTAGGTATTTGTCCTAATGCTCTCCCTTCCCTTGACCCCTACCCCCCGACAGGCCCCAGTGTGTGATGTTCCCCTCACTGTGTCCATGCGTTCTCATTGTTCAACCCCCACTTATGAGTGAGAACATTTGGTGTTTGGTTTTCCATTCCTGCATTAGTTTTCTGAGAATGATGGTTTCCAGCTTCATCCAGGTCCCTACAAAGGACATGAACTCGTTCTTTTTTATGGCTGCATAGTATTCCATGGTGTATATGTGCCACATTTTCTTTATCTAGTCTATCATTGATGGGCATTTGGGTTAGTTCCAAGTCTTTGCTATTGTAAATAGTGCTGAAATAAACATACCTGTGCACTTAGCTGTGTTGGTGTGTTGAGGAAAAAAATGGCAGACTGAGAGAGAGAAATTCTCAAGTTCTTTCTGTCGGCCTGTCCCAATATTTCCAGTTTTATCTCACACTTCTCTCTATCTCACTCCAAATGCTCCCAAACTGGAACTATGAAGTTGAAAGAAAGCACTGGAAGGAGAGGAGGTAGACAAGAAACCAAGAATCCCTGCCTCATCATTATGCCTCCAGCCAGCGCCAAATACCTGAACTGCAACTGATGGATGATTCAGCTATTTCTCCAGGTGTGTTGTCACATATTTACCCCACCCAGACTGAATGCTGTTTGGGATTCAGAGGGTGTGTAAGGGAATGTGCATGTGCCTTGGAAGAGAAAATGCTCCAAGTGTCTTAAACTTAATGATGAAGCTTAATCCCTCCCTCAACGCCCACAAAAAGCTTCTCTATTCTTTTTTTTTTTTTTTTTTTTTTTTTTTTTTAGACGGAATCTTGCTCTGTTGCCCAGGTTGGAGTGCAGTGGTGTGATCTCGGCTCACTGCAACCTCCCGCTCCTGGGTTCAAGCAGTTCTCTGCCTCAGCCTCCCAAGTAGCTGGGATCACAGGTGCCCACCACCACACCCAGCTACTTTTTTTTTGTATTTTTAGTAGAGATGGGGTTTCACCATCTTTGCCAGGCTGGTCTTGAACTCCTGACCTCGTGATTCACCAGCCTCGGCCTCCCAAAAAGCTGGGATTACAGGCATGAGCCACCGCGCCCGGCCAAAACTTCTCCATTCTAAACAAACATTTGTCTATATATTGAAGATTCTTAGTGCACTTTAAATAAATTTCTAACATTTAGCTACAAATTTATTTAATGCTCATTAATATCATTCCCATTAGGGAAGGAAAAAAAATGAAAGAAAAACTAGTCTTTTCAAAGAAGTCAACATTCTTCTTTCTTGCTCTCATGGCACCTATGCTTCTCATAAAGCATTGTGATCTTATAATCCTCTTCCACCTTGGGCCTTCTGGATCTCGGCCTGCTTAATTAGCTCTCAAATAATAGCTACCAACATGGTGCCTGAAGCAGATCACCTGGCTGTATGACCTTGAGCAAGTCACTTTACTTCTCAGAGTATAAATTATTTACTCAACCTACTTTCAGCTCAGTTACACTGTGATCAAATAGCATGTTAGATCTTTATCACCCGCTCTTCCGCAGGTGAGGCATACTGCAAACCTACTGAAAAAAATCTTTTGGGATAGGTAGGAGAATTCCTGTTTCAGTTTCAAAGTCACAGCAGAAAGTTGAAACTTGCAGCTTCGGAGGAGCTTACAAGGTCATTCTAAATAATGGAAAGATCAAATAATGTTACTGCAAGCTGCTATTGTAATTCATTCTTCCATAAAGATTACTTCTGTTGTACTAGCAAGTTCAGCAAGACCTTGGGTTATCAGCCAAATAAATGCCACTTCAGTAAGTTATTGCTGCCTGGGGCCAGCTTTAACTTGCATCGTCAACTTTTTTCCTGTCTAAAGTTCTACTGTAAGTTTTGCATTCATAAACCATATTCCCTCTTGGCTTTATTGCTTGCCCTCTTGACATTTCCCCTCCTCCTAGTTACTAAAGAGAGCCCCATTGTGTGCACTAACACTTGAGAGCTTCACCCAGTGATGTCAAAGAGTCACATTCAAATAGTTTTTGGGGATAGAACAAAATGCAAAGGCCCACTGAATACTTTCTTACTATGTGAAAATAGCTGTCTGTATCTTTGCACCACAGTTGTGGGAACTCTATTTAAAAGAGATGTGTTCAAAAGTATATAACTGTGGCTCCCATGTGTGATCATGAAACAATAGAGGAAGAATAAGTTCTGTGACAGTTTTTCAGATTTATGGTTCTGTGCAAAATTTACCAACTTTCCATTACTTGAACTGAATTCAAAATGGGTTCGGAAAATGTGGTGCTTGCCTAAATGACAATAAATGATAAATTTTGTTTCAACAGTCTTTCCCCCCAACCCCTTTAAATTGATGGCTAAGTGTATAACAAAAGGAGAAGACAAAAAACAACATATACATACTTGCCTGAAAAGGCCAAAAAATGCCACCCACGTACACAGAATACCACACACAGTTGCTTTATGAAGAAAAGTCAGATGCCATATAGGGTAACTATTGAATGTTGATGACATTTTTCCAACTCCATACAAATTAATCCTGCTAAAGTGCATCCAGCTTGTTTTTGTCAGTTTCTCTCCATTTAATTGTCAAGTGCAGACTCAAGACACATCCTAGGAACGTCCTTCATAAGAACATTTCTCTCAGTGCTACTTAAACATGGCCTCTCATGTACATGCTCTGCGTCACTGGCCTTTGATAGTCAGTAAAGTGTTTTTGTTTGAAGAAAAATGAGTAGAATAAGCCTCTTCTAGGAAAAATCAATGGGTGTAAATAGGTAGTGGAAGGTGAGAGTACGAAGCCCAGAAACTTAATGTGCACTCTTTTTGAGGACACACTGTTCTCCTAGGATATGAAAATGCCTGACATTGCCCTAATATGTTCCCCTGCATCCTGAATTGTTCTAGAGCATCTTCCACTAAGTTGCTGGAACTGATGCCTTTAAAAGCATCACCCTAGTCCCTCATGTTAATAAACAGAAACCTGGTTAATCCCCACAAGGCAGATTATACTGATTTAAAGAAGGGAGGAAGGGATTCTTGTACTTATATCAAATAACAGTATGTCTAGAATGTTTGGGAATTGATAACTCGGCAGAGTTCTCAGCAGAGAAATAAAACGACACAGTAAAGTTTTGTGTTCTCCACTTTGCCTCCTTTGCTTAACTCATTCTCTCTTTGCAACCCCATGCTAAGCATTTATTTATTAATTCAACAAATGTGTATTGAGGACTAACATGTGCCAGGTACTGTTCTAGGCACTGGAATGAAATAGACAAAAATTCCTGCTTGCATTCCCCACCGCTCGGAACTTCTGAACCAAGTCAAAGAAGAGCTGTCTTTTCTCCCTCAGATCTTGCTGATCTGCACTTTCACTGGGGAAGAGGGTCAATCGTTTAAGAAAAAGAGGGTTCTCATTTATTAAACAAAGGTCTTCAACAATTATTCACTCATTCACCCAACAATTATTGATGAGCATCATGTAGATGCCAGGATCTGAGCTTCATACTGGGAACAGCAAGATAAAAAATACTCAGTCCTTGGCTTGACAGGAATTATATATATATATTTGTAATGTCTTTCATGTGAACAAATTAACCATTGATAGTTTTCAAATTAAATTTGAAGTTTCGAAGTCTGCTGATAGCTGGGAGTTAACTGCTTTTCCTTTTTCCCAGGCCAAGTATTTCTCCTGATGCACTTAAGTACAGACTCTGGGGATAATGGCCATGTTTTGAAAATATGCTATTGCCCAGCTTAAAAGGGGTAAGATAGACTTGGATGTGCATCTGAGTGTTCTCACTCCATTTTCTATAGTCACAGCTCTTGCTATGTTTTCAATTAGCTACAGTAACTAAAATTAATATTGCATTACACTTTTTGGATCGTGCTTTAATTTAAGCAACAATAATGATCAGTGCATAAAATAGCCCAAGTCCTTTGTTTAGGGCTTGGTGAATAGAACCATATGCCTGACCTCAACCCTTTGGGGAAAGGACATTCAGACAGTATTTTCAGGGCCCCTCAACTTTTTTTTGTTGTTATTTTCCTGTTGCTTTTTTGGTCTATGTAACTTTGTTTACTCACTATATGTGGGGGGTGAGGGTGGATTTAGAGGGTTTTACTTTACTTCTGGAATTATGGCATTTGAGAATGCTGGCCATTTGTCATCTATTAGTCCTCTTTTCTGCTAAGTGTTTATTCCAGAAGATTTTGGTTGAGTTGTACACGGAAATTAATCCGATTAATCCATTTTTCTTTTCTTTTTTCTGGCTGATTGTGTGTGTGTGTGTTTGTGTGTGTGTGTATGTATGAATTAGCGGATAAACAGATATACTTTAAAGTGTTGAGATCTAGATATTCCACCTAGAGTAGGTGTTTGACAATCTATAATCCCAATGTCCTATGGGAGGCCTGCAGGGCCCTGTTAGAAGATCTCTGTCATTCCTCACCAAGGGATCATACTATGGATTTGAGCCAGACATTCCTGAGAGCAAATCCTGGCTGTCCCTCTTAGCAGTGTGTAGCTGGTCAAGTTACTTATTGACCTCACTGAACCTATCTGCTCATCTACACAATGAAAACAATAAATGTTCCTGACCTTGCTGGCTGGGTTGTAAAGATTAGAGATAACACATGTGTTGAACACAACATGGAACCTCTATGATAGGCATTCAATAACTGGCAGGCATCATAAACATTATTGATTTTGTTTCTTCCTTTTCCTCCATTCTTTTCCTTGCTTACATCACCTGACCTCTCCCATTTCCCTTTTTTCCCTTCTTCTTGCTTTCTCATTATCCTGTTCTCTACTCTCTCCTGCCAGTGTCTCAGCTCTGTGAGTGGTGTCCATAGGCATTGCTCACCCACCAACAAAGCTCAGAGACAAAGGTGTTATGGAATCTATTCTATATCACCAGCTAAAGGAGAAACAACCAGAGAGAAAGCCATCCAGGAAATATTGTCTTATGTAGACAACATCCAGTATATTCAATCAATGCAGCATAGCTGAAATTATCCTGTTGCCCAACAATGCAGATTTTTTTTCTGTGGGTAATATCAATCCTCAGAAATTTAGCATTTATTTGTTCATTTATTGATCCATTATAAAATCTGTTAAAGATATACAATGTGCTGAATTCTCTACTAAAGTTAAAGTTGTGAAAGGTGTGTTTCTTATTTATCTTTGAATCAACTCACTGTACTGATAGTTGCTGAATAAATCGCAAGTGAATGGTGACCCAAAGCTTCCAGTTTTGAAGACACTGAAGAGAAAAAAGTGAAATTTTTATTCATGAATGTAGGTCATACATATTATAGTTTCTTTTTCAATAAAATGAATCAGTAACCTCTACATGTTGGTCTCTGAACTGGATGCCAAAATACAAAGATGAAAAGATAAACATGGTCTCTGCTATTCATGCATTCATTCATTCATTCAGTAAATGTTTTCAAATGCCTACTTTGTGCTAGAATTGAACTACGGGCTGCAGATACAACAGCCCTGACAGAGATTGACTTGTACCCTGACCTCATGAACTTTATTTCCTAGTATGAAAACAGTAAAGTAAAACAAATGAACCAAAAGAAAAGAAATAAAAGAATTACAAATTATGAGGAGAGCCATAAATGAGGCAACAATGGACTAAGATGGACAGGACATCTACTATAGATAGCTTAGTAGGAGACGGGATGAATAATCTGATCATTATAATTCAATATTTGCTTCTCTGCCTGAACCTACTGGTTCATCATTCCCTCCTTCACCCTTAAAAAGTTTTGCAGAAGCAATAAAATATTCTAAGCTCAGTAAAGAAGCAAACAGTACGATGTGAACATGACTGAACGAGCAAACAGATCTGTGTGGGGTCTCAACACTAACCCAGAAATACAAGAGAGCAAGTAATACATTTAGAATAAAGGCCAAAGGGACCACAAAAAAAGGGACAGTAATAGGGGCGGAATTGGTGGGGAGCCATCTTCTAGCCCAGGCCTGTGCCAAGTGGCAGCAGCCCTTATTAGATATTGTCATCAAAAGCATCATTGTGGCACCAAGACCTTGGATCTGCATGTGTGATTTCTTTCTTTTTTTTTAGACAGTCTTGCTCTGTCACCCAGGCTGAAGCACAGTGGCACAATCTCGGGTCACTGCAACCTCTGCCTCCCTGGTTCAAGCGATTCTCATGCCTCAGCATCCAGAGTAGTTGGGACTACAGGTGCACACCACCACTCTTAGTTAATTTTTTGTGTTTTTAGTAGAGATGCGGTTTTGCTATGTTGGCCAGGCTGGGTTCGAACTCCTGGCCTCAAGTGATCTGCCCACCTCGACTTCCCAAAGTGCTGGGATTATGAGCATGAGCCACCACGCCAAGCTGATGTGTGATTTCTTAGTAGCATCTCAGTGACCCTGGGGGTGTCTGTAGCCTGATCTCTGAGACTGTCACTTGTCCTGCTGCCAAAGGAGTGCTATTTTGGCATTGGACGGCCTAGGCTCACAGTCCAGCTCTGACACTCATTAGCAGTGAGATCTTGGGCAAGTCGCTTCCCATCTCCAAGTCTGTTTTCTCTTGTGTGCAATGGATCTATTTGTCAGATCAGAACTACAGAAAACAAAATCCTTGCTAACTAATTAAAATAAGAAGAAATGTATTACTGAGTCACTTTCCAAAGCATGAGAAGAGTTGGGTAAATAGGCCTCTGCTGTTTTCTGAGACAACCACTTACCTCTGGCATCTTCCTTACTAGCAAGATAGATGCCTCATGCCGAATCTCTCTCCCTATATTCCACTTTATTACTAACCCAAGTCTTGTGAGAGTACAAGTGGTAAAATTGGAATTGCATCCAACCTCATAGCTGCAAGGGCATGTGGAAAATATCATTGCTACTTGTACAGCCTCTGCAGATGAAGAAGGCACGCCAGAAGGGGTGGGAAAAAGCAAAGCAAGCCTATCCATACAATTTGTCATAAGGGACAACAATGTATCCATTACAGGGTTATTAAAGAATTGGTATTTATGAATATGTTTCCATTTAGTAAACACTGACTTGACCTGATGACATCAGCTAGCACTCCTTGTCCTCTGACACCAGGTGCCAAAGGTACTGAGTCCAGCCTGGGAGCCCGGCTCTGAAACCCCATACATCTACCAATGCCCTGAGGCTGGACCTTGCTTCCTGTCTGATGGACCTTGCTGGCTTACAACCTGGACCCCACCCAGAAAGCCAGAGATTCCTGCCCCAAGCAACTTTATGTCCACGAGGTAGAGTGATGAGTACTCAAAAACCAGAAACCCAGAAAAGGAGTGAAAACGTAGAAGGGGGGTCACTAATTCTGCCAGCAAGTGTTAGGTAAGACATCACATTTCATCATCCTTGATAATACATAATGCAGTCGGTAGAATAGAATATTACTTACCAAGAAAGACCTCAAAAAGTTTCAGTGCTTCAGCAAAAGAAATAATCAGCAAACAGACAACCCACAGAACAGGAGAAAATACTCACAAACTATGCATCCACCAAAGGACTCCTATGCAGAATCTACAAGGAATTCAAACAAATCAGCAAGAAAAAAAAATGATCTCATCAAAAAGTGGGCAAAAGACATGAATAGACAATTCTCAAAAGAAGATATACAAACAGCCAACATACGAAAAAATGCTCAAAATCACTAATTATCAGGGAAATGCAAATCAAAACCACAATGAGATACCACCTTCCTCCTGCAAGAATGGGCCATAATTAAAAAGTCAAAAACAACGGATGTTGGCACAGATGTGGTGAAAAGGGAACACTTTTACACTGCTGGGGGGAATGTAAACTAGTACAATCACCATGGAAGTCAGTATGAAAATTCCTTAAAGAACTAAAAGTAGAACTACCATTCTATCCAGCAATCCCACTACTGGGTATCTATCCAGAGGAAAATAAGTCATTACACAAAAAAGACACATGCACATGCATGTTTATAGCAGCCCAGCTCACAATATCAAAGATATGGAACCAACCTAAGTGCCTATCAACCAACAAGTAGATAAAGAAAATCTGGTATATATAAACCATAGAATACTACCCAGCCATAAAAAGGAATGAAATAATGTCTTTTGCAGCAGCTTGGATGGAACTGGAGGCCATTATCCTAAATGAAGTAACTCAGGAATGGAAAACCAAATAGCATATGTTCTGGTTTATAAATGGGAGCTAAGCTATGAGGGCGCAAAGGCATAAGAATGATACAATGGACTTTGGGGACTCAGGAGTAAGGGTGGGAGGGGTTGAAGGATAAAAGACTACGCATTGGGCTCAGTGAACACTGCTCGGGCGCACCCAAATCTCAGAAATCACCACTAAAGAACTTATCCATGTAACCAAAAACCACCTGTACCCCCAAAAACTATTGAAATAAAAATAGAAATTAATTTTTAAAAAGTTTCACTGGTAAGAGCTACTTGTATGACATATAAACTGTTACATGAGAATCTAGACCCCACATACTAAGCTTGATCAAAAAGGAGGATCTCTCTGGGCTCTTAATCATTTTTTAAATCAAATTTTTAAAATGTAGTTTTTCTTATTATGAAAATAGTATATGCTTATTAAAGAAATTTTTGAAAATACTGAAAAGCAGAAAGAAAATAACAACTACATTTTATCTCATCACCCAGCATTAATGACTGTTAACCTTTTGGAAATATTTCCTTCTGAGCAAATATGAACCAAAAGAAGCTGGTGAACCCACATTAATATCATGTAAAATAGACTTTAAGGTCTAATAGTGCTAAAAGGCACTATTAGAAATAAGAATGGTCACTACATAGTAATAAAAGCTTCAATTCACAAGGAACATATAACAATTTTAAACTCTAAGGTATGTGTTATGGCTTCAAAATGTATAAATACAAACTTGAGCTATCAGTTAACGGAAGGTTATATGTTCATACACTTTAACACACTTCTCTCAGTAATTGATGGATCAAACAATCCAAAAACAGCAAGGGTATAGATTTGAACAACACAAAATAACAAGCCTGATCCAAAGGATATATTTTTAGAACACTGCATCAAACTACTTGTCAAACACACGAGGGCTATTTACCAAAATTAACCATGCATTAGGCTATAAAGCAAGTATAATACATTTCAAAGACTCTCTATACACCACATCCTCAGCCCACAATGTAATAAAGATAACTTTTCAAAAAGAACATAATAACAATCTATTTCATTGGAAATTTTAAAATACATTTTAAATAACTCATGGCAAAATAAGAAAACATAACGGAAATTATATTATTATATAATTTTAAAATAAATTATATATGAAAAATAAACATCAAAACTTGAGGGATGCAGCTAAGGTACTTCTTGGAAGAAAATGTATGTTTTGCATGCCCACAGAAAAGAAAAGAAAGGCTCAAAATTAAATAAGGTAAACATGTATATTGTGAAATTAGAAAATAATTAGGTTTAAACAAAGCCAGAATGTAGTCATTGAAAAGACTAATAAAATTGAGAAGCTTTTTAATAATGTTAATGAAGAGAAAAAAGAGAAAACAAATAAATAAACAATACTAAAAATGATGCGGCCATAACTACTGATGTTATGTAAGTTAAAAATGATAAATTAATAGTGTGATAACTATGCCAATACATTCAAAAACTTAGGTAAAATAGATATATTCCTACAAATACATAACAAAAGTGAATGAAAAATTTTTTTAAATAAAGAAAAAAAGGTATAAAACCTGAATAGGTCTATAACATTACGGTCCATCCCAAAAATGCAAGGTTGGTTTAATGTTAAGAAATATTATATTTCAGACAATGCAAGTATCACAATAAATAAAAGAGGACAAATAATCTCCATAAGTGAAAAATATCATTTGAAGAGATGTAGAAAAAAATTACAGGAAATAAATGCAGCAGTTATTTATGATTTAGGAAAAATAAAAAACAACTCTTAGCAAACTAGAAATAAAAGGACCTTTCTTAACCTAATAGCAGATAACCACAAACACCTACTACAAATGTCATACTTAATGGTGAAATGTTGGAAATATTCCTTGGAAACATGTTCCCATCACTATTACAGCATTTATTTATGAATTACAATGACCTCTTTACATGTTTGTCTCACCTCTCCCAGTTCCCTACACCCTGCCCCCAATGCTTAGTACAGTTCCTGGCACACTGCCAACATGCCATTCATGTTTGGTGAATGGATGGATGAATGAAGAAAGCAGAGTTCTTTAGTGATAATACGCAGGTTAAATAAAGGTTACCCAGTAAATTCTAATTCCCCAGTTGTATCAATTTAGCATTCAAGGGCTCTTTAAATGACATTTGAGAACGGCAAATGTATTTCCTTGTGACACTTAAGACATTCCAGATGACTGTTGTATCTCCCTAACTCTATTGGGTAAACATTATATTCCCAACTTGTTTTCATTTACTTAGCCTTTCTGAAAATCAGTTCTCTTTCTGTAAATGGGAATAATAATAATATGCTTGACTCAGAGTTGTTGTAAGAGTTAAAAGAATGCTTATGAAGCAATTAGCACAGTTCTTATAATCTAATAAGTACGCAACATATGTTGGTTATTGTTGTGTGGTTGCAATTATTAGTGGTAGTTGTGATTCTTAGTAGCATTAAGGCTATTTCAGATTTCCATGGCATCTAATATAGTGCTTGCACATAAAAGCAACTTCTCAAAAAATGCTTGCTAAATGAATGATGGACCTGCAATGCTGAGATATACTGATGGCTTTCAAAACAAACTGCATTGCTTCATTCATTCACTCAACAAAAATAAATTGCAAGCCTGCTGTCAGATACTATACTAAATACTTGGAATACAGAGATGATTAATGATTAAGATGTGATTCCAGCCTCTGAGGAGTTCATAGTATATCTAAGAACTAGATAGCATGAATTTGTTTTAATTTGAAAAATCTACGTTGACAGATTTCTACTTTTATGCCTATCTCTCATAAACAAGATACACTGACCCTTATCAAGACAGAATCAGCATGGAGAAAAAACAAGCTATGTCAGAGCAGAGACCCTCTCAAAATAATTTGAGCCCAGTACTAGAGAGACTTCATCTAGTTGAAGCAGTTAATCTTAAAGAACAGACAGAGAATCAAGGACATGGTACTCGAAGGGAGTCACAAACTGAGGCATGGCTCAGAAGTTATTAGCAAGTGACAGTTCCATCTAGAGGATGGGCTGTGGCCACTAGGGATGTGGGGTCCCAACTGGAAGTCACCGTTAGAATACACATTCCATGCATTAAGGTCCCCTCAATACACGGGAGAATGAATTTGAGAGAAGAGACAATGTAAGGGAAGTGAAAAATTTTGAAGGCTTTACAGAAAGAAGTGACATTTTGGCCTTTATGCAGGAACAGAATTTTGATGAGAAAATGAAGATGTCCCAGGAAGAGGAAGCAACATAAACATAGACATGGAAGTACAAACTTTCAAATAATTTTCAAGAATCATTGAATACTTTCTGGATTCGAGCATAGTTTGTGTTTGTAAGAAAGGAATGGAGTGATGGGAAGGACAGACTGCTCTCTCAGCTTCTTTCTAAGTAGGAAAAAGCCAGATATTACCCTTATTGATTGAAAGAATATATAGAGTCACTAAAACTTTGAAATAGAATAAAAGCAAAAAAAACTACGGAACCTTCAACCCAATACCTCATATACTGAACTCTTCAAAAATCTCTGACAAAACTCCCTTTTTCTGCATGTATTTTTTTAAACTTTTCTTTTAGGTTTGGGGGCACATATGAAGGTTTTTTACAGAGGTAAACACATGTCATGGGGGTTTGTTGTACAGATTATTTCATCACTCAGATATTAAGCTCAGTACTCGATAGTGATCTTTTCTGCTCCTCTCCCTCCTCGCACCCTCCACCCTCAAGTAGACCCCAGTGTCTGCTGTTTCCTTCTTAGTGTTCATAAGTTTTTATCATTTAGCTCCCACTTATAAGTGAGGACATGCGGTATTTGGTTTTCTGCTCCTGCGTTAGTTTGCTAAGGATATAGCCTCCAGCTCCATCCATGTTTCTGCAAAAGACATGAACTCATTCTTTTTTATGGCTGCATAATATTCCATGGTGTATATGTACCACATTTTCTTTATCCAATCTGTCACTGATGAGCATTTAGGTTGATTCCATGACTTTGTTATTGTGAGTAGTGCTGCAATGAACATTCAGGTGCATGTTTCTTTATGATGGAATGATTTATATTCCTCTGGGTATAGACCCAGTAATGGGATTGCTGGGTCAAATGGTAGTTCTGTTTTTAGTTCTCTGAGGAATCATCATACTGCTTTCCACAATGGTTGAACTAATTTACACTCCCACCAACAGTGTATAAGTGTTCCCTTTTCTCTGCAACCTCACCAGCATCCATATTTTTTGACTGTTTAACAATAGCTATTCTAACTGGTGTGAGATGGTATCTCATTGTGGTTTTGATTTGCATTTCTCTAATGATCAGTGATATTGAAGCTTTTTGTCATATGCTTATTGGCCGCATGTATGTCTTCTTTTGAGAAATGTCTGTTCATTTCCTTTGCCCACTTTTTAATAGGGTTGTTTGCTTTTCTTTTATAAATCTGTTTAAGTTCCTTGTAGATGCTGGATATTAGACCTTTGTCAGATGCATAGTTTGCAAATATTTTCTCCCATTCTGTAGGTTGTCGGTTTACTCTGCTGATAGTTTCTTTTGCTGTGCAGAAGCCCTTAAGTTTAATTAGATCCCACTTGTCAATTTTTGCTTTTGTTGCAACTGCTTTTGGTGTCTTTGTCACACAATCTGTGCTCATTCCTATGTCTGACAAAACTCCTACCTTTGCTTGGTAAAACATGAGGTTTTTTTTTTTTAAGTGGGAGGTTCTTTGATAAGATTTTTGAAGGTATTTTAATTCAGTAAAAAATTAGCATCCTGATGATGGTGAGGAAAGCCCAGAATAGACTGAAGTGCTACTGGACTGTGAAGAGAAAGAGGTCCTGAAAGGGAAATATTCAAACTTGAAATTCTGGACCCTGAAATGGCTAAATGTTCAGATACTCCAATTTCTTCTTGACTGGTTCACACACTCCTAGTTCCTTACCTACCTCACCTAAGCCCTCTTTGCCTCCCAGAAAGTGGGAAATGTCCCTCTTAAAGAGATCAAATGAAACAAGAAGAGAAACTATATATTTTGTCTCAATTCCCAATCAGCTCAGAAAGAAGGCAGAGTTGACCTAACTTAGCACCATAAACCTCACCTTTCAGCTGGTACCTTTGTGTACCCTTTCCTGATGCCAGCAACTCAGCCCATGTCTCCCACTCAGCTCTCCCAGGCTTCTTAGAACTCAGATTCCCAAGACAAAGGACAATTGAGGCCCAGTTAGTGCTCAGGTTTACTGAGAATTAAGCCATAGGCAGATACCATCAAAACACATCTCACTTGTGACCTTTCACAGCCAACGAATTGGAAGGATTTTCCTTTGCTGGGGATTGAATTTAAAACGACTTCCCAGGAGTGAAAGGTCACCCCATGAAACCATGATATCCAGTTAAACACAGCTAAATAGAACGTTTTAGCATGACAATAAATGGAGTTATATTTAGCTGATTTGGGAAACTATCTGGCTGAGGGAAAAGCAGTACAGAGATTCTTCATCTACCACCCCTTCTCCCCTGGCTGGGAGAAGTAATGGAGTAGTACAAAGGTGAAGAATTTTACCAAATCTGTCCAGAGAGACCATTTTTGCTTTCCCAACATCTACCATGTTCTGAGTAGGACGTGTTGGTTGAATGGCATAAAGGCTATATTGTTTTCTTGATGCACACATGAAATTCTTATGAGCATGGCTGGAGCAAGATGGGCTCCAAAGGGAGAACATACCCTCAAATAACTCTCTAGGCAGCTTTGATTTCTAGATACGTATGAGGTGAAAGCACATTAGCCAAACTGGCTTTGATAACAAATGCATTCTTCTTTAACAAGGAAAGACTAAAGGGAAAAAATAGTTGGCACCCCTCTCCCTTAACTTGAAATGCCCCATGCCATTTTGAAAAAGCCTCATATTTTGCTGTTGTTAACTAACAGATGGTTTTGTTAGCCGGTGACTGTTTCTCTAAATAACTCCTGACAATAAAAGGCTGTGACACATGAGAGCAAAATGGGGACCATAAGTGGTAGCCTTTTACCTCCAGAATCTTACCTTGTCGTTCATTCTGAAACTTGATGTGTGTAATTGCAGCCACTGGGAAGGTGTGGAGTGCTACAGCATCACAGATCTGCCAGTAGTTAGAAGAGATTAAAGGTGTATGTTGTTTTTTTAGAAGGAAAAAAAATATTTAATTGAAACCAATTTAGAAATCAGGATCCCTGAGAGTTTAGAGTGAGAATGTTTTCAATGAAACACTGTTTCATCTTGGCTATGAAAGACTCATACGGTTTCTCTCCCAAGCTAAGTGTGCTATTTGATAGGGAATCCACTGTTTATGCTTGTCCGGCAAGACTCTCTTTACTACACAATGAATTGGTACTTTTGGTAAATATAATCCCATAGTGATTTAGCAAAACCCATTAGCCTCAGCCTTAGCCCTGTGGATTCCATCTAACATTCAGTTTCACCTGTAGTGGCCAATCTCTTTGCTAACAGTCTTTTTCATATAAAGCTGCCATCTTCCATTTTATCTTTTTAAAAATCTCACCTAATCTGGCTATCTGTACCTTTGTTACTAATTTTTTATTCTGCCTTTGGACAGTCCAAATTAAGCATGACCCAACCTGTTTGGGCATAACAAGGCCACTTTTCAATCTCTAGCTAAGGAAAAAGTAAAATCAAAGAACTTACTAAACTCATAGAACTGATACTCAGGCTTCGAGCCCTTGGCTCCTAAATGTGTATGCTGGCCTAGCCACTTTGAGTCAACTGTCAATGTGGGAAGACCTTGATACCACATAAACAAGACTACAGTCTATATACAATTCAACAAATATGTCCTACTTAGAACTTGGTAAGTGTTAGGAAAGTAACCATCTTACTTCTCCAATTTTATTTTGTTTTTTTCTCATCTATTGCTGACCTCCCATTGATCTCTTAATACCTTCACCCAGCCTCTAAAGCATGAAGCACTATTCTGTTATGCCTAGAGTCCAAAGCCAGCTGCATTTCCTGTTTAATAATTTAATCTCTCATCCTTGGTTCAAAGAGTTCCAGTGACAACTTTAGCCTGGCACTGAAACAAACTGTGCCAATCTGTACTCTTCACCAATTCTGTGGCAACCCATTATCAGCCAATTTCACTCTGCTGTATGCCCTCTAGGACCCAAGTCACCCCCAAAAGGCCATGGCTCCAAGAGGTGTGGTTATGCATAGACAACATGAGGTATTTCCTTTTAGGTACAGCTAGAATGTTGTTGCAGCAATCCCATCACTGAGGTGAGGAGATGATGGTGCACTGAACTGTAGTGTAGCAGTAGGAAGAAATAAAAATTGTCATATTCAAATGATATGGTGACAAAACCAGCTGACTGATTGACTAAAGGAAATAAAAAAGAGGGAGAAATCAAGGGTGACATTCAGATTTCTGGCTTGGAGAAGGTATTGGATGCTGGATGTGGAAAAAAGCATAAGCGGGTAAAAAGTTTGGGATTTGAAAATGATTGAAACAAGGGCTATGTAGTCATATGTGTTGTTTTTATCCCATTATTTGTCAAGGCTTTTATTTGTTTTGCCAAGTAGGCTTCTCTGTTGAGAAGAGGTTATGGTCACTCACCTGCAGAAATAACAAAGTGCTTATTTAAATCGTGTTCAATATGACGTGTGTTTGAGTGAATCTTCTCCAGACCCTTAAGAAGGCCGGCCATGTTTAAGTAGTGGAAAGAGTTCTAGATCAAGTAAGAAAACTCGTGGCTCAGAATTTGAACCACTACTTACAAGCTGTGAGATTAAAGGCATTAAATAAATAGAGGGTTCAAGAAAATGATACTTTCCAACTCCAGTATTTTATGACTATAATGCATATTTTATGACTCCACTTAGAAAAGAAGACTAAGTGGAGTTTTTTAGTGTGCATCTAGTTCTTAGGACTATCATTCCCAGCCTTTGTTTATTTTGTCTTCTCTCTCCTATCTAACTCACACATAATGAAAAGGAAAATATTTGGGAGACAGTAGTGGATCAGAAATTGCAAGCCAGTTGGGCACAGTAGCCCACACCTGTAATCCTTGTACTTTGGGAATCCATGGTGGGAGGATCGCTTGAGCCCAGGAGTTCAAGACAAGCCTTGGCAATGTGGTGAGATTCTCTACAAAAAAACGCAAAAATTACCCAGGTGTGGTGGCACACACCTGTGGTCCCAGCTACTCAGGAGACTGAGGTGGAAGGATCACTTATGCCTGGAAGGTCAAGTCTGCAGTGAGCCATGATCGTACCAGTGCGCTCCTAAAAAGTTGCAGGCAACAGAAACCCTTTAAAAACTGAGTTCCTAGAAAAATTGGATTCATTTACAGTATTGGCTTTCAGCAAGTATGCACCCACTAGAGAAGCATAGACATACTGTAATATCTCTGTACAAATATGCAGGACCAGGGCATACTTCATTTCAATAAATATCAAAATGTAGGGCATGGGAATTTTTGATAAAACTTTTATCAAATCACAGAACTTCAAATCCCAGTTCCCTTGTCTATAAGTGTTACCACATCAATATCCACCCAAGATTTTGGTTAACATAAAACACACTTTTTACAAAGCACCTACTACAGTGTCTGGCACTATACTCAATAAATGGTAGCTACTATTGTAGCTATGCTTTGGAATCATTTACTATAATCTGAAGATTAAGTCAGGCAATTTAAAAACCAAAAACTAGCCAGGTGCCGTGGCTCTTGCCTGTAATCTCGGCTCTTTGGGAGGCAGGGGCAGGCAGATCCTTGAGGTCAGCAGTTTGAGACCAGCCTGGCCAACATGGTAAAACCCCATCTCTACTAAAACTACAAAAATTAGCAGGACGGGGTGGCACACACCTGTAATCCCAGCTACTGAAGAAACTGAGGCACAAGAATAGCTTGAACCTGGGAGGTGGAGGTTGCAGTGAGCCAAGATCACACCACTGCAGTCCAGTCTGGGCAACATAGTGAGACTCTGTCAAAAAAAACCAAAAACAAACAAACAAACAAAAAAAAAAGAAAACCTGAACCAACAATGGAGTGTTGAAGAATGCAAAAGGTACCCAACCTAGACAGTGATCTCATGGAGTCACTACGATTATTTACTGTTTACCTAGCACTTTAGCCCAGCAAAATTCAAGGTCAGTTATTATTGTCTACAGAACACAGGAAATAAAAATAGCACTTCACAAATGGGAAAAACACAGCACCCTTGCTGGTAGGAGTCATATAGTTCAACTCAAACAAGTTCAAACACTTGATGGCCTAAAGCCATTGTCAATAACCATCCCAAGACATCAAAGAAAACAACCCAAAAGTACCTCTGGCCTTTTCCCCCCCATGAAGACAGAGGCTGAGTAATTATGTTATATATACAGGATACGCAACCTCAGATAAACTTAGGGCCAGGGTGGTGAAGTTACGCAGGCCTTTCTCTCAAAGATGGCCTTATGCTTTCTCTTTGTGAAAATGACAAAATATGAGCAAGCTATCATTTTCATATAAAAATAAATAATTCCAAGAAAACACATAGAAAAGTACATAAAACAGAAAAGCAAAGTGAGCTTCAAAAAAAAAAAAAGACAACATGTGAATAAAAATAACTCACATTTTTCCCACACACCTCGTCATTGACTGAAATCTTCTTTCAATGAACTGATGATGGCATCATGCAAATGATTTTCAGAATCACTTGCCATGGTTACAGTATAAGCTATGGACACCCACATACCCATCCACTAAAATGAGTATCTCAGTTAGGATTCTTTGGTGGGAAGTGACAGAAATGGACCCCAGTTAACTTAAGCAAAGTAATAATGATCATAATAATCATTAACAATAAAAAATAAATTAGAAAATCTAAAGAAAAAGTGAACATTCAGGCTTTGGGAAGAATAGGATCAGAGATGCTCCAGGAAATTAGGAAATAGGTATTAAAAGATTATCTCTTTTAGTCTTTAGGGGAAAGTCATTGGAAAGACTCTTGTCAGTGCTTTGTGTCAATGTCCAAGCAGTGAATATTTGAAATTCTGAGAAGATGGGATAGTCTCACCTCAGACATGTGTCTGAGGAGGCTGAGGATAGCGAACATGACCACCTCATCAGAAAAGCAAGGGAGGAGGGAAGAGAAGTCCCAGAATGAAAAATTGAAGTACTATTAACAAAGAAAGGAGAAAGGGCTGCTGGGGAGACCAATACTACAGATTCAATCATAGCTAATCTCAGAAAATATTGGTGCTGGACAGAAATCATCCATGGTTTACAAAACCTATTTGTGCAGTTTTATTTTTAATGTGAATGCAGCATGAAAACATATAATTAAAATTTTTTAATTGAGAAAAAATGTGATATAAGCTCAGACTCTTAAAGTTTTTCCCAGCCCTGCCACTAAAATAATTCCACCTGCAGCAACAGCAGCACTTGCATGCACAATGTGCCATCAGGAGCACTCACAAAGCACGGATTATGTTTTCAAATCACACTCATAGGAACCAGGACTTGGTAAAAACACCTGACTTCACGTTTTAGGGTAGGAAAAATTAGGATGGCAAGGGTGTGTCTTGCAGTTATAGATCAGCGTGTTTTCTAGGATGCCAGGGGATGTGCCAGAGAGACAACAAATCCAGCTGAAGAGCTACTACTCACAAGGTGTGACAATTCAAACATTCAAAGCAAACAAAAATATGCTAATGATTATGGCTAATTAGAATAGTTGAATCTGTGAAAGGTAGAATTCATTATGGCACTGAAAAAAGTTCATTTCAAAAGTGTATAAAAGTAGTTGTAATACAAAGATAGCATTTTATTTATTTTAACAAATAGTGAAATGTTGATGTAAGTGAGCTTTTAATTATTTCCATACATATATGTGTGTTTTTAAATCATAGTGATATACTTGTTTTTATCTGTGTGTACAGGAAACAGTGAACACAGGAAGCCATGAATAAGTCAAATAGATCCAGAAAAGCTCACAGTACCAACAACAGGACAGGACTGCTTAACACCAGTAGTCACAGATAATAACCAAGTGGGAAAAAAAACTATCAGTTGGTCAGTCCCAGAGATCATACACAACAGAAATTAAAAAGAGGAGCTCACAGTGTGTTACACAATGAATAATTAAAACAAAATCCCAAAGAAGGGAATTAACTGAGCAAATTTGATCCCTCATTGTCTGTGCAGAAAACCTCTGGGTGACTACTTATTAAAATCAAATACTTACGTGATATATAATTTGATTCCAGTAGTGCTAAAACCAGATAAACATATCACAATGGCAGCACAATACCCAATTATAGGCAGGGAAGACTCCAAATTCCAAAAAAAGTAAAAAGTAAAGGATTTTAGAATTCCCATTATTAACCACCAAGTATGAAACTTAACCATGAATAAAAGGTTTCATCCTAATGATCATAGACTTGAGTTTCATTTAAATTGGGTCATACAATCAATTATTGTCTCTGCAAGAATCAGTTCCAATCCTGCAGCCTAAACTGGTCTCCATTTTTTTTCTTTATGCCTGATAATATTAGTACAACTAGGATGATTACTGCAACCCTAGAAATAGTATCTTCTTAGTTATAGCAACCAGGAAGGCAGTGTTGAGAAAGGTATAAAATTAAAATTTAAGAAATGAATAAAGAGAGAGAGGTAATGAAGAAACAAATGCAAATCCATTCCATGGTATTAGAACTTTCATAAACACTTTTAGTGTAAGTTTTTACATGTTTTGTAATCACTGATATTTTGTAATCATTGTGGTATTTTTCATGTTTGGTTTGTTTGGAGACATGTTTAATATATTTAAGAGAGTAAGATATATTAAGTTTCACAGATTTAATTACAATCAAAGAAAGGGATTAAATATGTAATTAATTTTTATAGGTTGGGATACTTATTTTGACAAAGCCATAGTATTTTCATAGTAGCTGGGTCAGCAGTGTGAAAATATTTAAACCAGAAGTCAGCAAACTTAGTCTAAAAAGGGCCAAATAGTAAACATTTTAGACTTGCAGGCCAGACTGTCTCTGTCACAATTACTCAACTCTATTGTTGTAGCATGAAGGAAACCATAGATAATACCTAAATGAATGGGCATGGTGTGTCCTGATAAAACTTTATTTACAAAAATAGGCAGCAGGCTAGATTTGGTCCTTGGGCTATATTTTTTTCAACTTCTAATTTGGAGGAATAGTAATGGTTTTATATTTTAAAGAGTTTTAAAATAAATTCAAAAAATAGGCATTAAACAAGATACAAATGGTACTGAGTATTTTTTCCACATGCAAAATTCCCTGAGATTTGAAAGAAATCAATCCGTCTAAGCCCAAGTCCAATCCACAGCCAACCATAGATTTTTAAAGGCCCAACTCCCCCTTCTTTTCCACTATCCTATGTTGATAACGTATTAGCATTCCCTCATTCTGCCCAAGTTATGAGATATACTTTGCCTGAGATATGCTACTTCATAAGACACAGTCTCAAAATCTGCTTCTGTTTTCTTTCATTATACACATATATAATAAACCATTCTGACAGATGAAAGATGGATGGAAAAACAAGGACAAGGACATGAAGAGACTTTTTCAGACACTAATTTGCTAAGAATTGGAAAATGGTCATGAGCTACACAACCTTATGGAATACTGGATAAATGTAAAAGAATAGTAACTTAATGCTATTATAATGTAAGTTCTATTCAAAATATCAACCTTATCTGCTTTGTTTATTCCCATATCACTAATATCTAGAACAGAAGTGCTTTGAACATAGAAAGTGCTCAAAAATATTTTAAAATAAGTCAAATAAATGAATGAATTCATGGGTGTGGGGACTTGGGTCCAAATTTGCCATAATGGTTGGTCCATACGATAGCTAGTCTGCAGCTCTGTCAGTGCCGGCACTCCTGGAAGCAGACACAGAGATGGAATTAGAAGTGCAAACATGTGTACTTGTCTGTGGAGGATAAATAAAGCAATTATAGGAAGGGAAAGACTTTATATCACAATGCCGATCTAACACCTATGAAAAGAGAGCAGGAAGGAAGGAAGTGCTTCAAACAGCAGTGTAGCTCGAGAAAGTCCTAGCCACGACAAGGAAAGCCACAGAACAAACTGTTTTTTAGAGGAGTCTCTCACTGGGCAGAAGTGGCCTGGCTCACAGAACACCTCCTGTACCCAGTTACTCACTGGGAGCAGTTCTAAAAGAGCACAGACTTGAAGATGAAGGCTGTGGTGGATTCTAAAGGTGCAGCATCTGGAAGCTGTCTGCCGATTGCACTCTTCAGCACGCTCTGTCTTGAGGGAAGGTCTGAGGGGCCCACCTCCATGACCACAGAAACAAAAAGGCTCCCGGTTTCTAAGGGTGAGCAGATCAGATACAATTCCAATACTCAATTTTCTCTCCTATTTTTCACCATGAGCTCTGTGAGCTTTTTCTTCTTGAATATAGGAGGCCATTTCTCATGTCGCTTCACCATCGGTAGCGTAGCAACCCTCAAATCAGTAGGAGAAGGGAGAGCCAATTAAAACAGGTGGAGGTTTTCTTAGAACACAACTTAGGAAGACGACACGTCTAACACGTGTCTTTCTTCTCATTCAAATGTGGGCGTGGATTTGAAACCTTTCACTTATGGAAACGTTTCTTTCATCAAGAAAGTTGACAGATGTCGACTTTTAAATTTACACATAGAAAGGGCATCTCTATGTGCCAGCGCCATCAGAGACTACAAAGCCATTCCCTCATCTGACAGATATCCCCCACTTAAGGGCTAAGTTTCCAGTAAATATCCACATCTAGCTTGTAAACCAAAGATGGAAACCCTTTGCTTCTATACCTAATTCTGAGACACTTCTTTCCTCTATTAGTCCAAATAAAGTGACAATGTACACAGAAAAGTAAATATATTGTATAGAAATATAGTTATAAAATTATGCAAAATGTATAACAATCATACACTACTATTAGATAGTAAAAAGCACTAAAGAAATGCAAATAAGTGCTATGGATGTTCAAAAAAAGAAGATTATTTCCAACTGTGAAAAGTGGGGGAGAGTTTCATGGAGAACATGGCATTTAATCTGGGTCTTGAGAGATGAGTAATATTTGTACACATGGAGATGAGGTAAATGATATTGACAGAATCACAGACAAAAAAGCATGGAGCAAAAAAGCACAATTTTATTTTTAAAATCAGGACAAAATAGTTTTCATGGCAGCAGGATTGATGACCTAATAAATTTCAGGCAGCTCTCTGGTTCCTAAATTTTAAATCTTAAGACACTGTAGGCATGCCAATCACTGAATGATACACCATTATTGTTATTTGTTCATAAGTTTGACATCAGAAAAATTCACCTGAGTGTAGAAGATTGTCTCTTGGCCACAAGGGCCATTCTGTCTTGAGGATATATTTTGTTAGCAGGTATGACATATGTTAAAACAGAACTGAAGACACCCATAAAGTATAGCTATTGCATGACAGACAGAGTGTTTAAAAATAAGTTTAAGAGGGTGTCATTAAGTTCAAGTGGTGGCTCTGACACCAAATAGCTCCTCTCTGACTGATCTAAGAATGAACACATTCTCGCTGTACAGTGTTCCATTAGTGATTTTAATTGCATGCTAAGCTTTATAATTTGTTGCTGGCATTGAGGTTCATGTACTGTACTAATATTTATTCTGCATATTATAAAACACCTTATTAAGTTTATTGCCCGCTTTCTATAAAATTTTTCATCTGACTTGCATGTGAAGAGCTAACTTACATACCTATTAAAAGTAGTGCTGAGTTACAGGTCCTGTTAATGTTCTCAACAGTTTTTTAACTGTTTTAAGTCTATGAAAGGAAAAAAAAAAGGATAATTTGTTTCCTACATTTTAAAATAAACTATATTTACATCCTATTATGTAATATTTATGCCCTGAGGACCACCAATAATATAAATGGTAACTATCTAGTTGGTTTTTTATACCCCCTGACTGCCCCGACCCCTGCCATGGAGCTGTTTCTGACAAATGGGACGAGAATATGTACCCTCCTTTAACTCACATCCAGTAAGTGAAGGATGCTTTATTTTAAGTGCCTAGCACAGTCTCACACATTGTAGATGATTAAGGTTTAATGAAAAAAATAAAATGCGATGTATTAGAGTTACTCTCTAAACCTCCCCAGCATCACATCAGATCTTATGGTGTATTTTCAGTACATCACAGTAGTGGCAGAGACACAAATCTAGAAGATAATTACAGAGCAACAACAAATTCCTCATCATTATCTCACCACACATCCTTGCCTCTCCCATCGACTTGCTTTAATCCTTTCTCTACTTTTTTCTAAACCTAAATCTTTGATGCACTAACTCCTGCTGAACATCTGCCATCTGAATATTAAGAAAAATGTGTGAGCACTCAAGAATATTTCTGTGAGGCTTCTCTCTTCTTCCCTTGCTTTCCTCCAATTTCTTTCTTGAAAAATATCTCCAAAACATGAATAGGTGAGTCAACAGCTCCTATTCTTCCTACCAAACAAAAAGATGTAATAGAAATGTTTTTATTCATTATAGGCCAGAGATAATCACCGCATGACAGGAAAGTTCCTAAGAGGATAGGTGCTCTTTTCTTACAAGTATAAGTTAAATTATGTAAAAGTCTATGAGCAGTAAACATTGTATATTTATGTTCTAGAGATAATGTGATTATTTTGGAGACGCTGATACAGTGATCACTTTTCCATAATTCTACTGACCCACCCAATGTATCATTCTTACCTTCACTGACTTGTTTGGCAAAAGCAGGGTTCAATGGCAGAGAATGGGCTGGCTTGAGTGACTCCCACCAATAAAAATAAAATGTGTCACTGCTTTCCTGGTAATAAGAGCTGTGGGCACAGAACAAGCATGGGCTCTAGAGTCAAGTATACCCGGTTTGAATCCCAGCTCTTCTGTTTAGTATGTTACTCAACCTATCTGCAACTCTGGTTCTCGAAGGTATGAAATAAGGTAGTCATACATACTTGATAAGGTTATTGTTAGGGTTAAATGAAAAAAAATGTATTATGAAGTGTCCGGCACAGAGCATGTACTCACTAAATGATTGTTTTCATTTTTAAGTTATTTTATTTCCTGTCCTTATTTTCCCTCGATTCCTTTAAAATTGCCCTAGAATAGTTTGTTACACACACCTGCAGCGACGGCATTCCTGGAAAGCTCTTGTCATGTCACTTCACCATTGATAGTGTAGCAACCCTCGAATCAGTCGGAGAAGGGAGAAGGGAGAGCGGATTAAAACAGGTGTAGGCTTTCTTAGAATACAACTTAGCAAGGTGACATGTCTATCGCAAAGTATGTGTTTCAGGTGAGTTTTACATCTTAAAAGAACCCAGAATCTAAATTATGAATACATTACTGCTACTTAAATCTTTTTTGAAGTCTTGGGTTTCTTATTATTTTCCACAAATAAAAATGCTGTACAAGTGGAGAGGTGACCGGGAAGAAACTGAATTAATGGCATTAGGTTATGGCACTGTTTCATCTGTTGCTGAAGAGCAAATTCAACAGAGAACAGGTAAGGAAGTACAAGAAGGAAAAGAAGAAGAGGTGCATTGGACAGTGTAGTATATCAAGATATCATTAGCTTATTTTTTCAAAATTTACTAAAGATACACATCATTAAAAGATAAATCTAGTCCTTATTATCAAGGAGCTTATGAGGAATGAATTAATATTTTTGATTAATGCAAATATGAAGATGTGTTCAGTGGAGACACCTAGGTTAATTTCTCACCCCAGATGCTGCCCACATGATTAGAGAGTGGAGAGTGCAACACAGAGAATATTTCAAGCCTGGCTATACTGTCTGTTATAAACCTAGAAGTCTCTTGAACATATCATATACTCCAATGTAATTTCTCCAACATGTATGTTCACTTCATGTCATTTTAAATCTATACTAAGCTGCTGAGAGAAACAAGCTCTTGGTTTAATTCAAATAAGTCTAAGTTGGATGACTGTCCTACCTTGTTGCTTTGAAGTAAAAAGATAAGTAGATGATTTTGGAAAAATTAAACTAGTCACTGAAACCTTCAAAATGAGACCTACTTAATATGTTTGTTGTGGTGGTGGTTGTTTTATGCTCCTGTTCTTAAAAAAGGAAATCTATTTTTTTTTAAAAGATGCCCAGGATGATCTGAGAGTGACTTAGATCAATCCAGTTAAGACCTCATTACAATGCAACATAATATCTTCAAAGAAAACTGCCAGGCACACCTAGCCAAAGCTTAGGGGTTCATTGTTCCAGAGGGTGGAACTGACTGTGATGGTAAAGAAAAACAACCTATGTTATCAAGGCCAATGAACCAGAGGTGCAAATATAGTTAATGATGTGTTTTTACAACAAATTCTTATTTTTCCTTTTAACCCTACTGAGACCATGGTCATTTTGACATTTCCATATTTGGTGCTAACCTAACAGCTAGTGTGTGTTTTCAAATGGAATAGCTAAAGAATTTTAGAATAGAAGCTCTACCACAATGCAGCTTTTAAATATACTTTCAACTATTCTTTGATCTTTTTGCAAGGAAAACTTCTTATGAACTCTAAAGTATTCTTTCATCTATTCTACTTTAGGTGACCTGTTCATTTTATTTCTACCTTCATCATGCATATCCATCACCAAAAGTATATGCTTTATTTGTTTTATCAAGTCACAGCATTTTATTTTCAATTGCCTGATTGTACATGATATTAAAAAAAGATGTATTAATATTTGCATGTCTTACCTGACTTGCAGTTAGAGTTATTAGCAGCACTGTATCCAAGAAACATTCTGTGTAAAATAGGTTCTGGGATCCTGGGTAACAGATTAAAAAAAAAAGAAATCCAGGACATTTCCTTCACAACAATCTCTTTCCATCTTCTTGTCTTTTGTTGGGTCTTTTCATTTTAGATTTTCTTCCCCAGAAAGTAGGTAGATACGACTGCCGGCATCCCTACAGCCTTTTGTTAATACAGTAATGACAGAAGTAGACCTTTCAAAGGTGTGCTTGAAGTATGCAATTTCCAGTTCCTTTTGAATGGTTCAATATACACCCTTTGCTTTTTATTCAGACTAAACACAATCAAAAGTGTACCTTCAGAAATCGTAGATTTTATGCTTTCCAACTCCACATTTCCCATTTATGCTGAACTGGAAATCAGGAGGTTATCAATATTACACCAAGGAAAATGTGGGAAGGGGAGATATCATTTCTTTTAAATAACATCTAAGAACTCTACTATATTCATGGTGATTTTTCTTTATGGCATTTTACTAGGATTCCAAACCACCATGATCCTACTTCATTGTAATAAAGTACCCACAGTATTAGGTGAAGCAACTAGGAGACACATACTTCTTCTATGTTACCAGAGTAATTTTTACCATCCAAAAGATACTTGGAACCAGGGAAAGTAAAGATGGCATGTTGATTCTAAAATGCATTTTACTGCATATTTCCAAGGTCTTCAAAATCTAAGACTTAGTTCTGGAAATTAGCCAGCAAATCATTTTTTTATTAATGATAAGAAAAAATACATAATAAATGAATGCAAGGTTCATTTTTTATCTCTGATTTATTTTATTTCATTTTATTTATTTTTGGTTAGC
Source organism: Homo sapiens (assembly GCF_000001405.40). Classification (NCBI taxonomy): domain Eukaryota; kingdom Metazoa; phylum Chordata; class Mammalia; order Primates; family Hominidae; genus Homo; species Homo sapiens. The sequence continues at coordinate 182,550,244 of NC_000003.12, forward strand.
CAGCTTATTCTCACATTGAAGAAAATGACACTGACTACTGGGATCACTGGAGGTCCTAGTCAAAAATATTCCCCTCTAAATTGAGATTTAACATTTATTTGGTAAAAGATCATTTTCCTAGCTGCTCAGTGGTAACAGTTTGTACTACTAATAGTCACTTAAGACTGAGCGTGTTTTAGAGGATTTTAGAGAATATTTTGGCAAAGAAATGGGAAATAAAACATGAATGCACCAAGAAATCCAGGAGCTCTGGGAAACTGGTGTTGCTCATGTAGGAGCTCCTTTTTTACCGCCAATGGATGATGTGTGTGTGTGTGTGTGTGTGTGTGTGTGTGTGTGTGTGTGTGTGATCTACCAATCATGACACAGGATTCTCTATAACATAATGAATAACTAATCCAATATTCTATTTGAATGTTTCATAAAGTTTACATTTAGGAAAATTATCAAGTCCTGGTGAATTTGAGATGAAGCAAATTCACCATGTGAGAAAATTAAGGATTGAAGATTATTTATTATCAAGAGTTATTTAATTTTCCATTTATTCTTCAGTCAAGTCTGGTAATTTAAATTTTCCAAAACAACTGTTCACTTTAAGATTTCAAAGTTATTGATTTAAAGTTCACATTAGTCATGTTTTTTAATCTCTATAATTAATATCTCCACTTTTGTCCGTAGTATTGTTTTACTTTGTACCTTTATCTTTTCATTTTCTTGATTCATTTTTCTAGATCACTCTATTTTTAAAGTATGTACTTTTAAAGCATATAAAATTTCCCATCTAGTAGGTTACATAGGATACAATAAAAATAGAAAAAATAGATCTCATATAGAGAGTGCTTGGAAAATAATTTCTTTGTGAGGTGCAGAAGCCTATTTCTATATATTAGGTAAAGTGCTAATTTTATTGTTTGAAAACACTTTCTGGCCCACTTGATTCATCAGTTTTTGACAAGGATATGGTAAACCTCACTGTAAATGAAATTCCTTTGTTAATTTAGTACATACAAGTTCGTGGCTAAAATATTTCTCTTCCTAGATTGTTCCATTTATTGTTTGCAATGCCCCTCCTTATTTCTTTTTTTAAAAATTAATTTTGTTTTATTTTAAGTTCTGGGATACATGTGCAGGATGTGCAGCTTTGTTACACAGGTAAATGTGTGCCATAGTGGTTTGCTGCATCTATTAACCCATCACCTAGGTATTAAGCCCTGCATGCATTAGCCCTTTATCGTTATGCTCTCCCTCCCCCAAACCCCCTGACAGGCCCCAGTGTGTGACATTCCCCTCACTGTCTCCATATGCTCTCATTGTTTAGTTTCCACTTATAAGAAAGAGCATGCTATGTTTGGTTTTCTTTTCCTGTGTTAGTTTGCTGAGGATAATGGCTTCCAGCTCCATCCATGTCCCTGCGAAGGACATGATCTCATTCCTTTTTATGGCTGCATAGTATTCCATGGTGTATATGTACCACATTTTCTTTATTCAATCTATCATTGGTGGGCATTTGGATTGATTCCATGTCTTTGCTATTGTGAATAGTGCTGCAATGAACATACGCATGCATGCAGCTTTAAAATAGAATGATTTATATTCCTCTGGGTATATACCCAGTAATGGGATTGCTGGGGCAAATGATATTTCTGGTTCTAGGTGTTTGAGGAATAGCCACACCATCTTCCACAATGGTTGAACTAATTTACATTCCCGCCAACAGTGTAAAAGGGTTCCCATTTCTCCACAGCCTCGCCAGCATCTGTTGTTTCTTAACTTTTTATTATGATCGGTGTGAGATGGTATCTCGTTGTGGTTTTGATTTGCATTTCTCTAATAATCAGTGATGTTGAGCATGTTTGTTGGCCATATAAATGTCTTCTTTTGAGAAATCTGTTCATGTCCTTTGCCCACTTTTTAATGGGGTTGTTTCTTTCTTGTAAATTTGTTTAAGTTCCTTGTAGATTCTGGATATTAGACCTTTGTCAAATGTATAGATTGCAAAAATTTTCTCCCATTCTCTAGTTTGTCTGTTCACTCTGATGATAGTTTCTTTTGCTGTGCAGAAGCTCTTTAGGTTAATTAGATCCCATTTGTCAATTTTTGCCTTTGTTGCAATTGCTTTTGGTGATTTTATCATGTACTCTTTGCCCATGCCTATGTCCAGAATGGTATTGCCTAGATTTTCTTCTAGAGTTTTTATAATTATGGGTTTCACATTTAAGTCTTTAATCCATCTTGAGTTAATTTTTGTATAAGGTATAAGGAAGGGGTCCAGTTTCAATTTTCTGCTTGTGGCTAATCAGTTTTCACAACACAATTTATTAAATAGGGAATCCTTTCCCTATTGCTTGTTTTTGTCAGGTTTGTCAAAGATCAGATGGTTATAGATGTGTGGTCTTAATTCTGAGATCTCTATTCTATTCCATTGGTCTATGTGCCTGTTTTTGTACCAGTACCATGCTGTTTTGGTTACTGTAGCCCTGTGGTATAGTTTGAAGTCAGGTAGTGTGATGTCTCCAGCTTTGTTCTTTTTGCTTAGGATTGTCTTGGCTATACAGGCTCTTTTTTGGTTCTGTGTGAATTTTAAAGTAGTTTTTTTCTAATTTTGTGAAGATGTCGATGGTAGTTTAATGGGAATAACATTGAATCTATAAATTACTTTGAACGGTATGGCCATTTTCATGATATTGATTCTTTCTATACATGAGCATGGAATGTTTTTCCATTTGTTTTTGTCCTCTCTGATTTCCTTGAGCAGTGGTTTGTAGTTTCTCTTTGAAGAGGTCCTTCACTTCCCTTGTTAGCTGTACTCATAGGTATTTTATTCTCTTTGCAGCAATTGTGAATGGGGGTTCATTCATGATTTGGCTCTCTACTTGCCTTTTGTTGGTGTATAGAAATGCTTGTGATTTTTGCACATTGATTTTGTATGCTGAGACTTTGCTGAAGTTGCTTATGAGCTTAAGGAGCTTTTTTGCTGAGATGATGGGGATTTCTAGGTATCCTTATTTCAATGAATGCCTTTGTCTTAAATTATTTTTCTTTTGATATTCATGTCACTACACTAGCTTTCTTCTGGTTGTTTTTTTGTATGGCATTTTAACTTTTTTTTTTTTTTTTTTTTTGGACAGGGTTTCACTCTGTCACCCAGGCTGGAGTGCAGTAAACCCCCTAGGCTCTTTATTCTTCTATGTCTTTGCTGAAATTATTTCTTTTCTGAGGCTTTCTATATTTTCATTTGCTTCAAGTGTCTTTGCAGTTGCTCACTGAAGGATATTTTTCATGGCTGCTTTAAATTTATTTTCAGATCATTCTAACATCTTTGTCATCTCAGTATTGGCATCTGTTCATTGTTATTTTTCATTCCATTTGAGTTCTCCCCAGTTTGTTGTTATAACAAATGATTTTCAATTAAAACCTGGACTTTCTTATATATATATATATATATATATATATATATATATATATATATATATATATACAAGGTCTTACCCTGCTAGAGTGCAATGGCATGATCATGGCTCACTGCATCCTCAACCTCCCAGAATTAATGATTACTGATGTATTCGGCTTTATTTCTACCATTTCATTTTGTGTTTTCTATTTACTATTCTTTTCTTTCGCTTTCATTTTTTCCCCATTCCTACTTTCTGTTAAAGTGATACATTATTTTCTGCTGCTAATTTTAAAACTAAACATTAAGTTTCTACTGATTTAGTGCTTACTCTTAATTTTTACTTCCACATTTAAATATAAAATTTTATAACAATTACTAAATATATTAAACATGCTTTTCACTTTTCCCAAACATTGAGTTATTTAGTGTAGTGATTATAAAACACCACTCTCCTGTTGACTTTTTATTCTCTAGTGTTTTAGTTTGACACATTCGAGTTGTTTTTGCTTTGTTTTGTTTCATTTTTTACTTACTATAAGCTATTAAATTTCGAAATGTATTTCAGTCAGTGTCTGTGTTCATTGCTCTCCCTTGTATCTCAAGCTTTCGCTCTGAATTCACTTTTCTTTTTATGGAAGTACACATTTTACCAGATTTTTTAGTAAGTATGCATGGGTAGTAAGTTCTCTTGGACTATGTCTGAAAATGTTTTAATTTTTCTCTCATTCCTGAATTGTGTTTAATTGAAAATAAAATTATAATTTGTATTTTCTTTCATCATTCTGAATATATTATTTTATTGTTTTAAAGATATTTCTCTTTAATCTTTGTTAGTCTAAAGTTTTGCTATGATTTGTCGAGGTGTAGATTACATTAATTATATGTCTTTATATTCAGAGGGAAGTTTTAATCTAATGACTCATATCCTTATTCAATTTGGGAAAAATTACATGTGTTTACTCTTCAAATACTGCTCTTCTGTTTGCTCTTCTGTTTACCATTCTCTTCTTCTGGGATTTCTACTGTGCATATATTGAAGTTTTTTCATCTCCCCTCCATGCCCCTTTTTTATTTCTTTCCTTCCTCCCTCCCTAGATCCCTTCTCTTTCTTCTTTCCTTTCCTTCTTTTTTTTTTTATCTCCTTGTCTCTCTGTACATTTTATTGGACAAATTACTCACCAGCAATATTAGACAGTTCTAGTTGCTTTACATTTACCCCATTGTTAAGTATGGTCCAATGTAAAGTATTGCTAGCTTTTTAATTTTTTTTTTTTTTTTTTTTTTTAGACATGGGGTTTTACCATGTTGGCTAGACTGGTCTCAAACTCCTGAGCTCAAGCTATCTGGCTGCCTCAGCCTCCTGAACTGGTGGGTCTACAGGCATAAGCTACCACACCTGGCCAGCTTTTAAATTTTAGTCTTTCTAGTAGGTGTGTATATTCATTGTGGTGTAAATTTGCATTTTTCTAATGACTAATTATGTTAGATACCTTTCGTTGGTCATTGACATATCTTTGTTGACAAGTGTCTTTTCAAATTTTTTGCCTATTTTATATTGAGTTATTTGTCTTTTTATTATTGAGTTATAAGATTGCTTTTTCATTTTTATTTCTTTATACTCTGGTTATGAGCCTTTTTTAATGTAAGTTTTATAAATATGTCCTAGTTTGTAGCTTGACTCTTCTTAATGGGGACTTAAAACCAGAAGACTTTCATTTTGTTGAAGACTTTTATTTGAATCAATTTTTTTTCTTCTATGATTAGTGTTTTTTAATGTCCTGCATAAGAAATCTGTGCCTATCTCAGTATCATGAAGATTTTTGTCTATGTTTTATTCTAGGTGTCTTTTAGTTTTAGGTTTTATATTAGGCCTGTGATTCATTTGAGTTAATTTTTATATACAATGTGAAATAAAAGTCAAGATTTATTTTCTCCAACAGAAGAGCCAGTTGTTCCAGCATAGTCTGTTGAAAAGACTTCTTTTCCCATTGAATTATCTCACCATTTCTGTCAAAAATCTATTGACTTCATATGTGTAAATCTATTTCTAGGGTCTTTTTTCTGTTCAGTTGATCTGCTTGTTTATTTTTGTGCTAATACAATACTCTCTTGGTTATTTTAACTTGATAGTAAGTCTTAAAACAAGGTAATATAAATATATCTGCATGCCTACATTCATATATGTTTTAGACTCAGTTTGTCAATTTTTTTTTAAAGTTGCTGAGTTTGGAGGATTTTTTTGTTGAATCTGTACATCAATGTGAGAGAATTGACATTTTAAAAAATTGAATCACCTGATTCATGAACATAATATATCTCTTTATTTATTTAGATCTTCTTTAATTTCCTTCAGCAATGCTTTATGGTTTTCAGTGTATAAATTTTTTAAAGATATCCCTAAGTATTTCATGTTTTTATCTATTATAAACAATATAGTTTTTATAGTTTCTATCTTTAATGATTTGGTTGCTAATATTTTTATATTAAATTTTAATCTATGACTTTGCTAAAACTATTTATTGGTCCTAGCAGTTTTTTGTGGATTTTTTAGAATTTTTGCATACATGATCATGCCATTCTTGAATTGAGTTTTACATCTTTATTTCAAAAATATATGCTTTTTATCTTTTTTTCTTGCCTGTTGCACTGACTAGAACCTTCAGTAGTAGGAAAGCAAATGTCTTTGTCTTGTTCTTAATCTTGTGAGGAAAGTATTCATTCTTCTACCATGAAACATGATGTTAGCTCTAGGTTTTTAGTAGATGCTCTTTATCAAATTGAGAAAGCACCTTTTTATCTTAGTTTGCTAACAGATTTTAGCCTGAGTGAATGTTACATTTTGTCAAATGCTTTTTATAAATATGTATTGAAATAATTATATAAATTTTCTATTTTGTTCTCTTAATATGATGAATTATATTGGTTATTTTTGCATGTTCAGTTAAATTTGCAATCCTCAAATAAATCCCTCTTAGTTATGATATATTGTCAATTTTATATGTTGCAATTCAATGTTAGCTACATTATTATATTTTAAAAATTGTTTCATCTATGTTGCAACATAGATGAAAAATATTGACTAAAATTTTCTTTTCTTATAATGTCTTGGTCTAATTTTAGCGTCAGATTAATGTCGTTATCAAAAAAATGTTGAGAAGTCTTCTCTTGTATATTTTTAAAGTTTGTTTAAAGTAATACCATTTCTTTCTTAAATAGAGGGAATTTATCACTTGAAAGAACCTAGGTCTACTGGTTTTTTGTTGTGAAAAAAATTTAAATCATGAATGCAAATCCTTTAATAGGGCTTCTGGTATTTTCTAATTCTTCTTCTGTCCATTTTTGTAAACTGTGTCTTTCAAGGAAATTGTTTATTACATACAAGTTGTTGAATTTATTGACATTCTGATTTCTTATTATAATTTTAATGTCTATAGTATCTACAGTGTGTCTCCACTTTCATTTTTGATAACTGGTAATATGTGTCTTCTCTCTTTTAATCTTGAACTTTGCAGTTAGAGTTTATACATTTTTTAAAATGTTTTCAGAGTACCAGCATTTGGTTTCATTGATATTCTCTATTGTTTGTTATCTGTTCCACTAGTTTTACTACCTTTTTTTTTTTTTACCACATATCAGTAGCATTTAGAGATTTAACTTTCTTTATTGCTTTCTTTTTCCACTCACTAAGGTCTTCTTTTTCTAGTTTGATTTGCTCTTCTTTTTCTAGTTGTTAGAGCAAAAGCTTAGAAGCTTCTATAGCTTCCGTTTTTCTACTGTAAGTATTCACTGATATAAATTTCTCTCAAAACACTGCTTTACCTATACCCTACCGATTTTGAAATGTTGTATAATATCATTTCTTTTGTGACTTTTCTGACCCAGGAATTGTGGGAAAATGTGTTGTTTAAGTTCTAAATATTTCATGACCTTCCAGATATGTTTTTGTTATTCACTTTTATTTTAATTCTGCTATGAGCAGATAACATATTTTACGTGATTTCAACCCTTTAAAATTTGTTAAAGTTTGTTTTTTGGCCCAGAATGTGACCTATTTTGGTTAATGTTTCATTTGAATTTGAAAATAATATATATTCTGCTATTACTTGGTAAAATGTTCTTAAAATACAAATCAGTTGATTAGTAGTATTGTTCAAGTCATATATATGATTTCTGATTTTTATCTGTGCTAGCAATTACTGAGAGGGAGTCTAAACCGTTCAAATATAATTTTGGAATTGTCTCTTTCTCCCTTTACTTCCAAGAGTTCTTTGATCAGATATGCTAAAGATCTGTCATTAAGCGTATACATGTTTAAGCTTTCTATGTATTCTTGATGAATTGACCCTTTAATCATTATAAAATCTCCCTATTTATTCTTTTAATCAAAGTGTGCAGTCCACTTATTGATATGGCTGGTCCTAAGTCTGCTGTATTGCTATTTGTTTTGCTTTGGTCCCATTTGTCTTTGTTATTATTTTGTGCTGTTATGATTTCTGGAGGATTAATTAGGGTCTTTGTGATTTCATTTTGTCCCTCTACTGGCTTATTAGCTGTAATGGTTTTAATTCTTAATGTTTTCTCTTTTGAAAAAAGTCAAAATATGCATGTTTAACTTTTCACAGTCTGCATGCAAGTATATTATACCATTTCATATATAATATAAGATCATTACAACAGTAATCTTCCACTTACCACTGCCTTGTCTTTTTTTGTGGTATTGTCATACACTTCCACATATGTTATAATCAATCTCCTTAATATATTGCTATTATTTTTGCTTTAGACATTACCTTATCTTTTAAAGAGATTTTAAAATTGAAAATGTCTTTCATATTACCCACATATTTTCTATTCCTGGCAGAACAGAAATTTCAGAACAGAAAATAGAAATTCATTCCTGGTAGAATGAAATTTTCTACCAGGAATAGAAAATATGTGGGTAATATAAAAGATATTTTCATTAAAATTTTTCCTTTAATATTTTCACACTGCTCATGTAATAGTTGGTAATGCTGGTATCAATACTCTCACCTTTGATTTTTGAAATATGTCTTTATTTTACCTCCTTTTTAAAAGATAGATTTGCTTTATATAGAATTCTAGGTTGATGTTATGGATTGAATGTTTATGTCAGCACCCTTCCTCCACTCCGCCCCACACACAAATTACCTATGTTGAAGCACTAACCCCTAGTGTGGCTACACTGGCAGATGTGTCCTTTAAGGAAGTAATCAGGATTAAATGAGATCATAGGGTGGGGGCCCTGTTCTAATAGGATTAGTGCCCTAATAAGAAGAGACACCAGAGTATTCTCTGTCTTTTTTCCTCTCTCTCTCTCTGTCTCTCTCATTTTCTCTCACTCTCTCTACTTCATTCCCTCTCTCTCTCTTTCTCTGTCTCTCTCATTTTCTCTCATTCTACCTCATTCTCTCCCTCTCTCTTTCTCTGCCTCTCTCTCTCCCACCATGCATATGCACTGAGGAAAGGCCATGTGAGGACCTTATTAGAAGGCAGCCATCTACAAGCCAAGGACAAAGACCTCACCAAAAATCTAAGCAGCTGGCATCTTGATTGGAGACTTCTAGCCTCCAGAACTATGACAACATGAATCTCTGTTATTTAAATCACGCAATCTATGGTATTTTGTTATGGAAGCCTAAGCTAACTAATACAGTTGATCTTTCTCTTTTGTATACATTGTAAATGTGTTTTCCCTTTTCTTTTTGCTTGCATTATTTCTAATGAGAAAACATTTGTCATTCTTATCTTTGTCCCCCTGTATATCATGAGCATATTTTCTCTGGCTTCTTTCCAGATTTTTCTCTTTATCATTGGTTTCTGGAAATTTTATTATGTTGTCTCTGTGTGTGATTTCATTTGTGTTTATCATGCTTGGAATGTATTGATCTCTTTCAAATATAGATTTATAGTTTTTAATTTGTGAGTTTTTAACAAGTTTTCTTCAAGTATTTTCTGCATCTTTTCTCCATACTTTTTTCCATCCACATGGGTTAAGTGGCTTGATATTTTCCCATAGGTCATTGAAGTTCTACACCTTTGTTTGCCAGCTATTTCCCTCTCTGTGCCTCAATCTGGAGAGCTACTACTGCCCCACACTTCAAGTTCACTGATATTTCTTCTGCAGTGTCTAATAAGCTGTTACGCTCATCCAGTAAATTTTTCATTTCAAATTTTATATTTTTTAACCCATGAGTTGATTAAATTTTTCAAAAATATTTTTATATTAATTTGGTAGGGCTGCCATAACAAATACCGCAGACTGGGCGGCTAAACAACAGCAATTTATTTCCTCACATTTCTGGAGGCTACAAGTTCAAGATCAAGACGTCAGCATGGTTGATTTCTTCTGAGGCCCCTCTCCTTGGCTTGTAGATGGCCGCCTTCTCCCTGTGTCTTCAGAGGGTCTTCACTCTATGTACCTGGGTTCTAATTGCCTCTTCTTATGAGGACACCAGTTATATTGCATTCGAGCCCACCCCAAATACCTCATTTAACCTTAACTACCTCTTTGAAGACTCTGTCTCCGAATACAGTTACATCCTGAGGTACAGGAGGTTAGGACTTCAGCATACAAATACTCAAGGGACATGATTCAGCCCAAACAACATTCCATTTCACTTTTCACTATTTTTGTATTTTCGTATTTTGATTTAAATCTTTGTGCATACTTATAATAGCATTTTTGATACCTTTGTCTGCTAATTTCATCACCTCTGTCACTTCTGGGTCTATTTCTGTTATCTGATTATTTTTTTCCTGGTTATGGATCACATCTACTGTTTCTTTGCCTGTGGAGTAATTTTTTCTTTTTTTTTTCATTCAACTCTTATTTTAAGTTCAGGGGTACATGTGCAGGATGTGCAGGTTTGCTACACAGGTAAACATGCGCTATGATGGTTTGCTGCACAGATCATTTCCTCACCCAGGTATTAAGCCCAGCATCCATTAGCTATTCTTCCTGATGCTCTCCTTACCTGTACAGTAATTTTAAATGACTACACAAACTTTTTCTTTGTCATCTCAAGTGTCTGGATTTTGTTCAGTGTCTGGATATTGTTTTCTTCCTTTAAAGAGTGTTGAATTTTGTTTTGTCAGTCAGTTCAGCCACTTGCAGATAAGCCTGATCCTTTTAAGGATTACATTTAGGCTTTTCTAGGACAGATCTAGAGTAACCTTTGTTATAGAGCTATTTGGGCCCTAGAGCTAAGGAGTAACCTTCTTGAAGTCATTATTAATAAACTGGGTGTGTGAAGAAATCTCTTTGCTCTGTCTGTTTCCACTTAAACATTTCCTAGCCCCTGGTTGAGCTCCCTTGCAGTTGTTCTTTCCCTAGTAATTTTTCTTTGTCCATCCTCATGGATTCTCCTTCTGTGAGTATGCAGCTTATTCAGCCAGACTCAAAGGAACCCATGTACAGATCTCTGGAGCTCTTTCTCTGCACAGCTCTTATCTCTCTAATACTCTCCTCTGAAAATTCCAGCTGCTTCAAACCCCTGAAACTTTGATTTCTGTCTTCAAATCAGTGAGATGGCTCTGCTCCTCCTCCCGAGTTTCCCATTTCTGTGCTGCAAAATTTAAGAAATCCAATGCAGTCATCAAGCAAATGTCATTTGCTTCCTCCTCTCAGAGATCATAGACCCATGTTGCCCTATTGTCTAATATCTGAGAACAATTATTTCATATATTTTGTTCAGTTTCCTGTTTTATAGAAGAAGGTGAGTCCAGTACCAGTTACTCAATTATAGATTAGTCAATGACTGTGTAATGAAGTCAATGACTATGTTTTTATTTCACTTGATACAGAACAATCCTGCTCTTGGAATGTTCATTATTCCAATTGGTAACAAATTGATTTTTATGATGTTTAAGGATGATTTGCTATACTAAATAATTTGCTTATCAACTAGAAAATAAGTTACAGGCATTACTATAAACCTGTGAATCACCCATTGTTCCAATGTGGGTGAAAATTAGCAACCCTGAATGAAAATGGCCTAATAAGTTAATCTAGTTAGAGGCTTATTTGTCCTGCTCACCAACGCTAGGGAAGTGAGGAGGACTGCTGACTGACAGGTTTTCTATACGTCAGCTCTCAGTATTTAACACTACATCATTGTGGCTTGATGTGGAATGGCATAAGCACCACCAAAATATTACAAAATGGCACAAGCTACAATGATAATAACTTTTCCCAGTTTATCTCCCAAAGTAAAATAGTATAAGGAAACCAAAGTTTGCTTTTAGTCTTCACCCAGTGGAGACCTTTGGGATAAAGCAATTTAAAAGTTTATCATACTAAGTGTTTGAGAAGTGTACAGAAAAAAAAATCTATTCTAACATTCATAAAAGATAAAAAGTTGGCCAGGCGCAGTGGCTCAAGCCTGTAATCCCAGCACTTTGGGAGGCTGAGGCGGGCGGATCACGAGGTCAGGAGATTGAGACCATCCTGGCTAACACGAAACCCCACCTCTACTAAAAATATAAAAAAAAATTAGCCCGGCGTGGTGGCAGGCGCCTGTGGTCCCAGCTACTTGGGAGGCTGAGGCAGGAGAATGGTGTGAACTCGGGAGGCAGAGCTTGCAGTGAGCTGAGATCGCATCACTGCCCTACAGCCTGGGCGACAGTGTGAGACTCCGTCTCAAAAAAAAAAAAAAAAGTTACCAAAACTAGTACATAAGAACATAAGATTTCTTTGGTCTTAATGAGTAAGTCCTAATGGAAACAGAGTCACTAATACTGGCAGTCACCCTGCCAGTATTAGTGGTGTATGTGTGTTTGTATGTATGTGTGTTAAGCCTGCTAATAATGAACAAATACCAAGCAATGTCTCCACTGTGACTAGCATGGCTCACTAGCACATGACTAACAGTAACTCCTTAAAATCTTTCAACCTTCACTTGTTTAACACTATGAGAAACTTTTATCATCCTCATATTTCAACATCTCTGCAAAGAGTTGTCCATATAAGATCAGAATAAGAAGAAAATGATCAGAGGAAAAGCAAAGATGAAATATGGTATTGGTAAGAAGCAAAAAGAATAATGAAACATTTGTAGAGATGCTATTTGCTCTCTGTTTTTGAAAAAGTCTGAAAGCCAAAGCTAATTGGATTAGTGTAAAAGATGAACCACCATTTGGGGAAGACTGATAAAATAAGGCTCAGATTACCTGGATTTCAAAGGCTGGCTCTACATTTAATATTTGTGTAATCTTGGCTGAATCACTTAACTTTGCTGAAATCCTGTTTCTTTATAAAATGACAAAGTGTTAATGATTTTCAAACTGCTCTACGGAGGCCTAGGAGTTTTTTGGGAGCAATTTTTTGGAGTTCAGTAGGAAGGGGTGATGAAGTTAAGAGGAAGGCCCTACTCATCCTCAACTTCAACCAAAGGAGCTCTACTTTCTCATGCATTGGGCTTCCAAATATAATTTTTGTTTCCAAAAGTATTTTGAAACCACTAAACTGGCAAAGGTAAAGAAAAAAAATCAGCATGGTATTTCGTATCTGGATTGAAGAAGAGCTATCATAGTGCAACAGTAGAAAATCTAGATGAGCTCAACATGTGAATGTCAAGAATTTCCGCTATATGAAGATGCTGAGATGGAGACATCTTGCTGAGCTCCAGCTGAGACACAGGGATGGCTCTAGTAATCAGACAGTGCTGGGAGAGGGAGCTAGCTAGGATGCAAGAAATGAAAGCCGCCCTGGGAAACTTTTCTGTTTAAACATTTTAAATTTTGTAATAATGCGGAAATAAATTACTGTAAGAGTCAAATAATATAGAAATATGTAAAATGTAAAATTTTCTCTTTATCTGCCCATCCCACAATACCACTCTTTTCACCATAGGTAACCACTATTTTCATTGAGTCTGTGCTTTCACAAAGCTTTTTTTCTGTGCATATGTATTTTATATATGTATATACACACATTAATCTTTTTTAAAAAATAAATGAAACCATATGCATTGCTGTGCAATTTGCTTTATTTACTTCTTAATATGTCTGGGAAATTTTTTGTATCAGTACACGTCTATCTGTCTTATTCTTTCTAAAAGAATTTTATTGTATTTCATAATATATACAAACCATATTCATTTAATGATTCCCAAATGAATGGACTTTATGATTGTTTCCAGTTTTTCATTACTATAAACAATGAACATCACTGTACATAGATCTTTATGTACAAATGTGAATTCTTCTGTAGGAAGAATTATTAGAAGTGGAATTACAATGTTTAAGAGTGTGAAAAAAATTTAACTGTATCTATTTACACAAACACCAATAGGGTATTTCTATACATATTTTCCAACAATTAAATTGTCTTAATTTTTATCAAATTGATAAAGAAAATCTTGGTATTTTAATTTGTATACCTCTGATTACTAGTGATATTGATAATTATTTTATCTATTTGTTGACCATTTATGTTTGCATTAGTTAAAGAGAGCACTAACTATGGGAAAGTAAAGACTAGGTTTGGTGCTACATTTATAATTAGGTTTGCAGACTTTGATAAACTAAACTCACCTTTTTGATCCTCATTTCTTAATCTGACAGAAATAATAATTCTAGCTCTACCTTACTTTAGAAAGTTATTGTGTTTATTAAAATAATGGATGGAAAAGCAAATATAAAACCCTAAAATTCTAGAAATGGGATTTCTTTTAGTTTTAAAAATGTGCAACATTGTTGAGCAATTCTGTAACTAGGAGTTTTCTAAACAAAAGGTGGTTGATATGTGCAGCTACTCATTTACAGACCAACTGTAGTGTCTCCTCAGAAAAGTTTGTGAGCAGAGTAGAAGGCAAAGATACTTGTTCAGGTCCAAAATTGCTCCCCATCCCCACCTGGCCTGGATAAACACAGGAGAAAGCTTTCTCCTTATGAGATTTCTAATCTAAGTTTGGAGTTTCAAGGAGTAAGGGTGGGGGTGGATACCCTCCCACTTCTTTGGTTCATCCATCAGCAACAACAATGCCATCTGGTTACCGGGGACCAGTGAGGCATAAAAACCCCAGAAAAGCAGCTGTCTTCTCCTTTACCTGTGTCAGAATTACTAATTAAATGACAAATTTGCCTTTAGCCATAAATGAAATTTTGTGCTGCTGAAACTAGCACAGCTCTTACTCTTAATTAACTATACTTTTTTGTAACTACAATGCTTCCCTTAAAAGAAATGTGTACCTCAATTAAACAAGGATGAAAATTCCTATCTGACTCTCTTTTTTCTTTCTTTAGGATGATGTATGCAGTAATTAGTATAAACTTTTAAATGTCATCCTGCCTTCATGTTTTACCCTGAGGTAAAACCAAATTGCCTGTTTACGCTGCTTCCTTTCCCCAGTTTGGGTTTCTAAGATTGCACATGACAGAATTTTCATTTCCATTTTTTGTTCCACCAGTTCAAATTGCCAGCATATCACATATACCTGGATGTGAAGGTGGTATGACTGAGACCTTAGTCATATGACCCTTCACAAACTTTGTAAAATTTCATATAAATATAAATAGGCTATCTCATACTCCCAAAAAGTCAGCACTAAGATTAGTGGAATTCATTGGTAAACCAGGAATTACAAAATCTGAATTGGATTAGATTTTAGATAATTTCTACAATCAACAATTCTACCGAACAATCTAAATATTTTTGGTAACTCATATGCAAAAAAGAGCAATATATTTTTCAGTGTCCAGCACAAATAAAATTATTTCCCAAATGTCAACTTCTTCGTGTGTAGCAAACTCTTTCACCTCATGCTCCAGGTCGCAACTCTGGTTTTTCTTACACCTTAATGGAAAGTTAACAGAGTCATGAAAACCGTGAAAATAATATCTCCTTCACTCAAGGTTTTCTCCTTCATTGTAATAATTTTGGGTAAACATGTAACCTTTGGATGCCCAAAATCAGAAGGATGCCCTCAAATTATGATATCTTTTGTTATTGCCTTGAAGACCTTTTCTATTTGGCAACTTCCCTCAAGGCAAGATTAATTTTGATCAGACTGTACATTTTGTGATGTAACCCAAATCCCTAGAGTCAGCAAGGCACTTTCCTCCCTGTGTTTTGTGTTATATAATTATTGAGCACTGTATTTTCCCTTGAAAGAGCAATGTTGCGACCCTTTTAAACATACTGCATCTACAGGCAGTGGATACCAATTCAATGCAACCATCGCTTATTGAGCTTTGGTTATGATAAAAAGTCCTGGGCTAGTCAGTTGAAGGGGATAAATATGAGTACTTTACCCACTTCAGTAACTTTATTATATAACAAAAGAGCTGTCCTGCCATATATATATTAAAAAAAAAACAAGTGTAAGACAAAATGCAGAATTTTCCTTAAGATGGGTGCTAACAAGATGCACAGCGTAAGAAAGTCATCTGATCACCTACTGGATCCCCTGGAACTACTGGGTTATCCTCTGCAAACACCAGTTAGTGCTTGGGCAGTCTCTACCTCTTTGCTCAAGTCTCTTTTATTTCACTTCTATGGCTCAGCCTCTAAGTTCACCTCAGTACCATTGAGAGTGGGGAGTGTTTAATGGTGTTTTAGAGAAAATGTCAGTAAGAAGATTCATTTTCAGCTAGCACTCCCAACAGGAAGCAAATCATTAAACCAAAAAGACTTACAATGCTTCTCAAACTTCACTGTGCATATGAATCATCTGAGTAACTCATTACAATAAAGATTCTAATTCAGTGGTTCTTCGGTGGAGCCTGAGTCTGTATTTCTAACAAGCACCCAGGTGATGTCAATGCTGCTGGTCTGCAGCCCACACTTTGAGCAGCAAAGATTGTGAACATTGCTCCCACAGCTGCAGAAGATGCTGATCATGTCAGAGAAAATGTTGTCAAAGAGAGTTCAGACTGAAGAGAAATGGAAGAAAGAACCCCACAGTCACTCTCATTAACAAATAAAGCCGCAGTCAACATTTCACATGCATAATGGGAGGAAGCAAAGGCTTGTACATAAATCAACTGAAAAGGACTCAGTACTTAAAAGCTACATTTTGGGCAAGACATGGGCAAACGTTCAGAGCAATTTCATCATTAGAAATGTGGCATATAAAGCAAAAAGCTGGCATCCCGGACAACAACAAGCCTATGGACACAGGAACCATAATTTAAACGGTATCACAACAATTTTCCCCACCACAAGTTACCAAGCCTCACTAGTTCCTTGGTAAGCAAGAGTTGAAGCCTGATCTAAGAACATACTCTACATTCTCATGCACCTATTGTACATACGTGGAGTAAACTTTACAGGGTTGTTATTGAAGAGTGAGGAGTCAGTCACCTTCAACAAATTGTTTTGCTGTCTTCATGACGTACTGAGCTAAAGGACCTCCTCTGTTATTAATACAGAGATATGAACTTGGTAGACTTTAAGTACTAAAAATCAAGATCCTGGTGGCTAGATTATTAATTTGATATATTTGTGTTCACATATGGCTATTTACTTCAGAAACAAGAAAATTAAAATCTTATAAGATGTTTTTAGATCTAGTCTTTTTGTTCTAAAGTACATGACAAAACAAAAGGATCTTGTTGTAAGATTCTTATACCTCTAAGGAAAAAGACCATAGCGAGGACCTGGAGGTGGATATTATAACTCCAAGTTCCAGAGTAGCATATTTTCTTAATGATAATAGCTATTATGCCTGGCTGCTAACTCTGAGTAGAAGTCAAAGCCAGACAAAGCAGATTTACTCTCTTTCTGAAGGGAGATTTTTATCAATATTATTTTCAGGGAAGAGGCTAAGTATAATCTTCAGTTGAATTCTGAACTTATTACCCAATAGACTTAAAGTTTCTTACACTACCCAAAGGTTGAGACTATTTTATCTAATGTGGAAAAAGAAAGGGATAGTTATATCAATCTTAGATTGCTTTATTTAAGACAACTACTTTAAAAGTTCAGTTTAAATAGTTGCAATGAGAACTGGCCCATCATCACATTCTGTTGAATCCTTTCAACCTCCAATTTACAATGGGCATTATGTTTTATTCTTTAATGTACATTAATTTGGTTCAAGCAGGATCCAGACTGCACATCTCAGCATTCTACTTGAATAAAGAAGAAAGCATTCAATTCCCCTCCATAGCAAATTCAGCCTTCCACAAGTCAGTTCTGCCAGTCAGTGATGGCTGCATTGCAAAAACTGCTTTGCGAATGTTTTGCTGGGTTTTGTTGCTAGGTGATGACTGGGAAAACTTTGCAATTCCTGCTGAGAGGTTTAAAAAAATGTGCCTGTAACCAGTTTCATATTAAAGAGGAGGAAAAAAATAGGGCAGCCTGCACCTTAATTCCTCAAGGTTTACTCCTTGCCCTATACTCCCCCTTAGCTGCCATGTAGAGAAATTGTGACCATCAGGAAATGTTAAATATACAACACTGGAGGGGGGGGAGAAAAACAAGAAACAATATTCAATTTATTGCCAACCAAACCAGAGTAGAGTAATAACACAGAACTTGTCAAATGTCTTCCTTCCTTTTACTCTGAACTAGACCTTAAATAATGGGATGCGGGAGGGAATAGCAGAGCAAGCGGGTGAACAGAACAGAACCAACCCATTCTCCCAACATTCGTTTCTATTCTACACATTAGCAAAGACCCTCTGCTTAAGAAATTGGCCTGAAGCTAGAGTTAGCTTGTACCTGAGCTGTGTTTCAGAAACCCTTGGCCTGGATGGGACTTTCCAGCCAAGCAGCAGGGATTCCTGGGAAAGCCTGGAGGCCTGTCTGAGGCCTGGTCCTATGTCAGTGATTGATGAGGACAAGTGCGAGAGGTGACGCACTGTGAAATCAGACTGTGGCACAAAGAGTTAATCCTTGGTCTTTTTCCAAACTGGATCCTTTGAGAGAAAACATAATATTTATTCCTTCCTTTGTTAATTTTGCAGCAAAAAAGCGCTCTTGATATCTTATTCACTAGGCAAGATGCCAGCCTGCAACCTCCATAAAATTTCAGGAGATAAATACCACACTAGTGGCAGTAATTATTTGTCCTTGCATTATCATCATCAAATTATTTTAAACTGCTGATTTAACAAGTACTGTATTATAACCAATAGAAAGAGAAAAGCAGTTGTTTCTGCATACAAATTTCTTTCCACAAATTAAAGGACCTACCTATAAATCACAAAAAGGAAAAAAAGAAACTGAGAAATTACAACTCTGCCACCTTGGGCTTCTCTATTCTTAGAAACTTGGAAACAGCTTGGTAGTAAGAGTCCCCTTTCTCTCCTGCACTAACTCATTCACTCTTTCTCACTCCCCACTGGGTTCTCCCCTGGGAGGACAGGGAAGGCCATGTGTGTTTTTGACTTGGCTGCAAAGGCGAGTTTCTTGTACTTTCGCACCCTCCATAGCAGATGCACAAACTTTAGCAGAGTCTTTTTAACACTTCATTAATTATTGAGCTGTGCCAAGAGTAATTATTGGGCTATGCCAGGAGTCCTTTTCTCCCACATCAGTAAACAGTAATTTAGAGAAGGGGGGTTATAACCTTAGGGTGAGCAACGTTTTCCCCCCACAGCTGTGTGGTGAGTCCAACAATACTGCATATGCTTCAACAAATGAGGAGGTCCACAGCCCAGCCTCTGTTACATGCAGGAAATGTTATGGGCCAGCAAAAAGAACCCACCATGCTAATTCTGTGACGCAAAATTTGGAACATCTCATTTGCTAACAGATCCAAGATATCTGTTCTGACTTTGTGCTTTTGCCCTCATTTAATAATAATAATAATATCCAATAACAGCGAGGGAATTGACTTTCAGGATATTCCCGATATGTTGTAACAGAAACATGCTAACATTGATATAACACTTTCTCTTAATTACTAAGATTTCTTTTCTTTTGCCATTATTCAGTAAAATTTTAATTATCTACATGTCCTTCAATTAACAAATGTCATTTCATGGTCACTTGACAACCCTAACCAACTCTGAGACTCGGCAAAATAGAAATGCCTTTTTTCAACATTTTAAGAGACAAATCAGACACAGGAAAGGTTAGTTTGAGCTCCTGTTCCTCAGGCTACTTAGAGCAGCGGTGAGAGTTTGCAGTCTGCATTTCAGAAAAACAGAACCAGGGGGTTAGAAGGTTACTTACTGCAACACTCTTGCCATGCCATATGACAGTAAAATTCCCTCCAAACAACCCCCCAAAATGTGATTATCCAGTCTCTGTTTCAATGGAAGAGAATTCTTTTCTGTAAGATACAACTCATTCTACTTTCAAATGTTCAGCATTGAAGTGTTGTTCATTCTCCTAAAGTAAAATGAATTTGTCTTCTTTTAGCTTCAATTCATCAGTCCCTTAGTGGAGATGTAAAACAACTTTGTAAATACTTCATGTCAGCTAGCCCTCCCTATATTAGTAGTTTTCAAACTTAACGGTGAATAAGAAACACATACTGCTAAAAATGAAGATTCCCGGGCCCCATAACCTAGAGGTTTGATTGTAGGAGTTCTTCAGGTAGTCCACAATAACACCTTGAGAAACAACACTCTAAGGCTTTTCTTCCCAAGGCTATATTTCTTTTGATTAATTCTGAGGAACTGCAGGTCACCAAAGAGTTCCACATTGCCATATCCAATGACCAGTTTTCTGTTCTCATCTTATTCATGTTGGTCATTCTGTACTTCTTGAAATGCTTTATTTACTTCTCCTCCTGCATCATTGTCTACCAACATATCACAATGGCTTCCTTGGGTTCCCTCCAGAACATATGAAGCAAACTCCCACCTCAGGGTTTTGTACTTTCTTTTTCCTCTGCATAAAATTTTCTTCTTCCATTTATCTTTTATTTACGATGCCCTCCCTTAGCTATTGAAGGTTTCTGATCACATAGCAACTCTTCAGAAATGGCTTTCCTGAGCAACTTATCTGCAATAGCTCCCGACTCATTCTCTACCCCTTTACACTGCTTAATTCTCCATCACCAGTCATCGCTGACATAGTATTTATTTGTTCACATGTTTATTTTTTTGCCTCTCCAGTGAGAATAATGTAAGCAACAAAGACGCTGTTTCGTAAACTGCCATTTCCTCAGTGCCTAACGCACACCTGCACATAAGCCCTCAAAAAAAAATACATGTCGAAAAAAATGAAAGAAAAGTGGTACTGAGTCCTTTCCTGAGTCTGTTTAAGCCTGTCTATGTCCCCACAAAGGTGTGCTGCCGAGAACTCCTCACAAATTCCACATATGGCCTGACCAGAATAAAACGGAATAATCTATCCCCTTGTTTGCAATACTAGATTTGTACAAATATGGCACCCGTTTTCATTCACTTTTAGGGCAGCTATGTCACATTATTGAATCACATTGAGCTTATGCAGCTGCTAAGCCACATTGCCCTGTGCAGCTGGATATTTGGAACCAAGCTCAGGATTTCACATGCATCCCCTGTTAAATGTTCTCTGATTAAATTTGCTCCAGCCCATTAAAATTCTTTGGGATACTAATTCTGTCGTTAAGCACGTTCCCACATCAGTAGCTCTTCCACATTCATTTCATCTGCCTACTGATGCATTTTCTTGCTCTAATCATTAATGAAAAACCTAGGCAGTGAAGAGGAGTTAAAAACCAAAGTTTGTATCTGGGCACTGCCATTTACTAGCTGTGTGACCAACCTTGGCCAAGCTAATTCAGTTCTCTGACTCCCTTTTCCTCATATATAAAATGGAGATGATAACTGTGATAAGGTTATTGCATAATTAAATAAGATCATAAAATGTTTAGTACAGCACCTGACATGTATAAGCCAGTGTTATCCCAGCACTCAGTGCAGTGCCTGACACACAGTGTGCACTAAATAAAGTTTTGTTGGTTTTTGACCAGGACAAGGACACAATCTGTGTGGTAGGACCATAGAATTGTATATCAGGGTTATCAACTATCCATTAATTAGCATGCTTTGACATTCAATTAGTTCCTTGACTGGTTATGAATACATACCTTCGTGCTATCGTCCTATTTGCCTTTCTCCATTTTATTTTTTAAAAGTTCAAGAGAAACAGCCAAATGCAATCTTGAAGTAAGGATACACTATGTTTAGTGCAGTCTCCAGAACTACCAAATATCCCTGTCGAAAAAATAAAATTTGATGGACAAGGTCAACAAGTTCCTAACCAGGGGTCCCTGGCACTCATCCTCCCCCACAAAAGAGGACCAAGGCAACAAATAAACAGCTAAGATTTGACTGGAGTGTTGAAGGGATAGCACTGGAGTGCAGTGGAGGAGTAAAGGACACAGGTGTGGTGACTGAAAGCCAGAGTGCAGCATGAAGGTACTTGGCCTCTGCAGCACCATCTCCCCTGCCTGGATCAGATTTTCCTGGAGTCAGGAGGGAGGTAGGAACACATCAAACAAGCAAATGTAAGCCGAAGAATCCCACCTGCCCCCACCACCACCACAAATGCCTACCCTCCTTACTGTAGCAGAATCCCACAGTCCCCGCAAGCCCTGAACCCAGTTAGGAGAGCTGCTAGGAATTTGTGCAGCTGCATTGCCCCAGATTAGAAGCACATGGTTGTGCACTATCCCCCTCCCACCCAGGCCCTGTGGGCCAAGCTGCTGCAGCATAGCACCATTTTGAGACCAGAGCCACCTCGGGGGTGTGCCATGCTCTGGGGCCTAGTAGCCACTGCATCTCTCCAGCATTGGGCCTCCATCTTCTTTCTACCAAGCCCAAACTGGGGGCTGAACACCACAACCCCAGCAGTGCAGAGGCTGGGCCCGGTCCTGCACAGCAGGGAACCAAACCTTGCCATCCACACTTCCAGCTAGAGAAATAGTCTGGCAGTACCACCCAAGGCAAACCCACCCTTGAGCTGGTCAAACTGTTGTACACCTTCTCCAGAGCAGGAAAGGCCCTCAAGCCTCCAAGCAGCTGACACTCTCCAGGCCAGCACAGCAGCTATATATTCATACCCAGGGCTTGATTAATAGCCCTGCAGGGCCCCCACCCCCTGCCAACAAGCCTCTGTCATGACCAATGACTCTATACCTGCAATCAGGGCCTGAGAAACAGCTCTGAGGGCAGCCCCTGGCAGACACAGCCCCAGGCTGGTCAAGCAGCTGTGCATCCACATCCTGGGCCTGAGAAACATTTCTGCAGGCTACTCCTGGCAGGCAGGTTCCCAGGTAAGCCAAGCAGTGTGGTGCCCACATCTCAGGCCTGAGAAGCAGCCACATGGGCCATCCCTGGAAGGCATGCCCACAGGCCAGCCAGATAACTACATGCATACACTCCCAATCAGAGTAACTTCCCTGTAGCTCCAACCCCAGCCCCAAGTTGGTGGACCCACTATATGAACACATGCACCCCTGACCTGAGAAATAGGCTGGCAAGCCCACCCATGGAAAAGCCACACCACCTCTGCCACAAAGTCTCTCAGCCTAGGCCACTGAGACACTCACAAACATCACTAGTGTGGATTACAGCTAAAGAAATTACATGGAGAATATACTACTGCATCCACATAGAACCAAAGCCAATACACCCCAATGAAGTGACACTTTAAGACCCATTTACATAAATGAGTCTTTCCTGATGAAACCTACTCCATAATATTGGAAGAAGCAGCTCTTTCACCAGATGCATAGAAATCAACATAGGGACACATCTAACATGAAAAAGCAAGGAAACATGACACTTCCAAAGGAACACAGAAGTTTTTGGTAACAGACCCTGATCATAAGGAAATATACAAACTGCCACAAAAAGAATTCAAAATAATAATCTTAAGGAAATTCAATAAGATACAAGAGAACACAGAAAATTTAATGAAATCAGGAAAACAATTCATGCATGATTTGAAGGAAAACGTTCAATGAAAAGATAGATATCATTAAAAAGAACCAAACAGAAAATCTATAGCTGAAGAACTCAATGAATGAAATAAAAAAATACAATTGACAGTTTCAAGAATAGGTCAAGCAGAAGAAAGAATTTTTGAAACTTAAAGACAGGTCATTAGAAATAACACAGGCAGACAAAAAGAAAAAGCATGAAGAATGAAGAAAACCTACAAGATTTATGGGACATGGTTAAGTGAACAAGTATTCACATTTGGGCATCCCAGAAGGAAAAGAAAATGGAAATGGTGTAGAAAACATATAAAATGAAAATGGTAGCTGAAAACTTCCCAAGTCATGGGAAAGAGATGGACATTCAGATTCAGAAAGCTCAAAGAATCTCAAATCCATTCAACCTACACAGATCCTCCCCAAGGCACATTATAATCAAATTTTCAAAAGTCAAAGACAAAGAAAGAATTCTAAAAGCAGCAAAAGAGAAGCATTAATTCATACATACAGGAACCCCCATTAGATTAACACTGAATTTCTCAGCAGACACCTTACAGACTAGAAGAGAATGGAATGATATATATGTTCAAAATACTGAAAGAAAAACACTCTCAACCAAAATATTATACCCAGCAAATATACCTTTCAGAAATGAAGGAGAAATAAAATCTTTCACAGACAAGCAAAAACAGGAAATTAATCTCCACTAGACCAGCCTTGCAAGAAATGCTGAAGGGAATCTTACATCTGGAAGTGAAAAGACAACTACCACCATTATGAAAGCATGTGAAACTATAAAACTCACCAGCAGAACTAATACACAAAGGAGAAAGAAGAAAGAATCAAGTCTTATTGATACAGAAAACCACCCAACCACAAAAACAAACAATAAGAGAGAAAGTAAGGAAGAAAGGATATATAAAACAATCAGAAAACAATCAACAAAATGACAGGAGTAAGTTCTCACTTATCAATAATAACCTTGAATGTAGACTGATTAAATTCCCCATTTAAAAGATATCAACTGTCTAAATGGACTTTTTAAAAACCAAGACTCAATTATATGCTGCCTACAAGAAACTCACCTCAGTTGTAATGACACACATAGGCTGAAAGTGGGGCAATGGAAAAAAATATTCCATTCAAATGGAAACCAAAAGCAAGCAAGAGTAACTAATATCAGGAAAAAAAAAACAGACTAAGTCAAAAAGAGACCAGGAAGGACATTATACAATAATAAAGGAACAAATTCAACAAGAGACTATAACAACTGTAGATACATATGCACCCAAAACTAGAGCACCCAGATATAAAAACAAATATTATTATATTGAAAAAGAGAGATAGACTCCAATACAATAACAGTTAATGACTTCAACACTCCATTCTGAGCATTAGACAGATCATCTACACAGAAAATCAAAAAAGAAACATCAGATTTCAGTGACACCATAGACCAAAAGTACCTAGCAGACATTTATAGAACATTTCACCCAATGACAGCAAAAGGCACATTATTTTCATCAGCACATAGAACATTCTCCAGAATTGACCATTTGTTAGGACACAAAACAAGTTTCAAACATTTTTTAAATTGAAATCATACTAAGTATCTTAACTGGCTACAATGGAATAAAATCAAAAATCAATAACAAGAGGAACATTTGAAACTATACAAATACATTAAAATTAAACAGCATGCTCCTGAAAGTTAAAACATCACATGTTCTCACTTGTATGTGGAAGCTAAAAGAAAAAGTTGGTATCATAGAGGGAAAAAGTAGAACAGATAATATTAGAGACTGGGAAGGATGGGGGAAGGGTGGATAGGGAGACTTTTGTTAAAGGCTACAAAGTTACAGCTAGATGACAGGAATAAATCCTATTGTTCTATAGCACTATAGGATGACTTATAGCTAACAATAGTATATTATATAATTTCAAGTAGCTAGAAGAAGGATATTAAATGTTCCCAACACAAAGAAATGATAAATGTTTGAGATGATGGATATGTTAATTACCATTATCTGATTACTTACATTATACATATCACATTGCTACCCCACAAGTATGTAGTATTAATTTATTTATTGGGTATTAATTTTGAAATTTTTAAAAAGAAAGAAAATTTAATTTATTAGGCATGACTTAGTGAACCCACTGCTTTCTTTTCTATATATTCACAAATCATACTTGTCTGGATTACTAGTCTGTCACTAAGTCATATGTCCCTCTTCTAATGCTTTTTCCATTCTCCACAGTTCCCTAAGAACTAAGCTCATGTACGGTTTTTCTCAGTGCCCTGGAATAGGTAGCCCAAAATAGAAAACTAGTACTTATTTGTTGCCACTAAGATGCTCCCTTACAAATTTCACATACCTGAAGTTTCAAGAGTCTCTTACCAATATCATTCCTGCATTTGTTAGTTTATTCCCAGCCATTTCTAAGAAAAGTATGTATCTACACTGGCACTTCAAGAATATGTATCAGAGAAGCAGAGTTTGTATAGTATGAGCTTCCCTTCCCCTTTTCATCATACTTCAAAAACAGGAAGGCAGAGACCTTCCTATTTTTCTGAATAAATATTTTGAATACATAGTCAGAACTGTTTATTTTATTAACTGAGACTTAAATCTTCATGCCAGGCTGCATTGTTGAACAACCTCTCTACCCAGAGGCAGGGAAGATTCCTATCAGCTTTGGTGGTAAACCTTCCAGATCCAGGCTTTCCAAGAGTAGTCACTTACTGGGTGATATGGTTTGGCTGCGTCCCCACCCAAATCTCATCTTGAATTGTAGTTTCCATAATTCCCTCGTGTTGTGGGAGGGACCCAGTGGGAGACAATTGAATCATGAGGGCAGTTTCTCCCATAAAGTTCTCTCTGTAGTGAATAAGTCTTATGAGATCTGATGGTTTTATATATCCCTTTCACTTGGCTCTTATTCTCCTCTCCTGTCTGCTGCCATGTGAGATGTGCCTTTCACCTTCCACCATGATTGTGAGCCCTCCCCAGACATGTGGAACCGTGAGTCCACTAAACCACTTTTATTTGTAAATTGCCCAGTCTTGGGTATATCTTTATCAGCAGTGTGAAAATGGACTAAAACACTAGGCACCCTATAAATGTTAGTTTTCATTATTAGGACCAGCTAGTCTTCAGAAAACCTAATATTGATCTCTTCTAAACTCTCATAACATTTTATCCATACTTCATATGAGAGCTTAGTCTGATATTATTTCTATGTTGTAAGAGCCTCAAGTACAGAGACTGCAATTTATTCTTTACATAAAAAATTCCATTAATAAGTGAATCCAAAAATTATGACTGTGACTTTATTAATATCTTTATTGTCTGCAATAACTGAATATTTCTAAATTATCTTAAAGGATATTCTTTCTTTGATTGTTTTAAACAGCTAATCTTCATTTACTTGGTGAATAGTTTTGTGACACAGACTACAAAAGTGAATTTTATTTCAGGATATTCTGAATTATAGTAACTGTTGGAGGTTAGTGGACTGCTACTGGCTACAGCTTATTTATTTACATGGCTTTTAAAGGTGTACCCATTCAGCCTCTGGGCTCACCACCAGAGGATGCAAATTTTTGTCACTTTGAAACTTAATTAAATTAACTAGAAGGATAAAAAAATGTTTTCCATCACCATATGGTAGCTTTTTTGTTCTTATTAATGGATTTTAACTTTGATAGAAAATAGTCTGCATATTTCATTTCACCTCTCCAGAGCAATTAGGAGCCAATTTACAAGAAATGCTCCTACTAATAGTAGGCCATTGATAGCCATGTAATTTTATGAACCTGTATTTGTAGGCAAGAAGAACAAAACATGCATATGTATGAACAGTCAAGTTCACCTCAAAGAGCTAACACAATTCTGAATGATGTTTCTGTGACTGTTGATTGGTTTGTTCTCTGGGTGATTTTACTCTAAAGCCAAGGACCTTCCCACCAGACCACATTAGCACTCTGAAAGAATGCAACATGGCCTCTGACCACCAGAAGCTTCATTCATCTAAAACAACATCAAGAAAATCTGTTAAAACACATCAACCAAAGGAATAGAATAGAGAGCCCAGAATAAACCCACACATTTGTAGTCAATTGATTTTTGTTAAAAATGCCAAGAACACACAATGGAGAAAAGACAGTATTTCCAAAAGTGGTGCTAAGAAAACTGGATATCCACATGTAGAAGAATAAAATTGAACCCTTATCTCATATCATACAAAACTTAAGTCAAAATGGATGAAAGACTTAAATGTAAGACCTGAAATTGCAAAACTACTAGAAGAAAATATAGGGGGAAATTTTCACAGCATTGGTCTGCACAATAATTTTTTTGACATGATTTCAAAAGCTCAGGCAACAAAAGCAAACCTAGACAAATGGAATTGCACCAAACTAAAAAGCTTCTGAACAACAAAGGAAACAACAGAGTGGAGAGACAACCTACAGACTGGGAGAAAATACTTGCAAACCATACATCTGATAAGGGGTTAATATTGAAAATATCCAAGGAACTCAAACAACTCAATAGTAAGAAACAATCCAATGAAAAAATGGTCAAAAGGCCTGAATAGACATTTCTCAAAGACATACAAATGACCAAGTATATGAAAGAATGCTCAACGTCCTTAAATATTAAGGAAAATGCAAATTAACATCATAATGAGACATCACCTCATACATGTTACAATGTTTGTCATCAAAATGATGGAAGATAATAAGTGTTGATGAGGATGTGGGGGAAAAGGAGCTCCTATACACTGTTCATGGGGATGTAAATTAGGACAGCCATTATGAAAAATGGTATGGAAGTTTTTCAAAAAAAATTAAAAGTAGAATTACCATATGATCCAGCAATCTCACTGCTGGGTACGTATCCAAAGGAAATGAAATCATTATCTCAAAGGGATATCTCCACTCCCATGTAGATTGCAGCATTATTAGCCAAGATATGAAATCAACCTAAACGTCCATCAGTGGATGAATGTATAAAGGAAATGTGGTATATATACACAATAGAATGCTATTCAGCCTTAAGAAAAGGAAAGAAATTCTGTCATTTACAACAACATGGATGAAACTGCAGGCCGTTACGCTAAGTGTAATAAGCCAGGCTCAAATCTTACTTACATGTGGAATCTAAAAAAGTAACTCACAGAAGTAGAGAGTAGAATCCAGCAGGGGAGGAATGGGGAGATGTTGGTCAAAGGGTACAAAGTTTCAGCTAGACAGAAGGAATAAGTTTTTGAGATCTATTACACAGCATGGTGACTATAGTTAAAAATAATGTAATGCATATTTGAAAATTGCTAAGAGAATAGATTTTAAGGATTCACACCACAAAAAAAGTATGTGAAGTGATGAATATATGTTAGCTTAATTATTTTATGCCGTATACTTGTATCAAAACATCACATTGCACCCCATGTACATATCACTTGCCAATTAAAAATAGAAGTTTTAAAAGAAAGTCTGTGAAAACATGCCTTATTCTCAGCGACAATTATTTAATTTTATGAGAAAAAAAATTTGACCACTTAAACACACACTTCAAGATGCCAGGTATATGGTGGTGTGTAGTCATTTAAGATTTTGCATTGTAGTTACGATGTTTACAGTAGTGGACAGAACTGTGTCTTCACTGCTTTTCTTAGAGTGAGAATTATGGTTTAAGTAAAATTTTGCATGCATTAACATGAACAAATATTTGGCGCTTTTCTTGATATCTTATTTGCGTTATTTTGTTTTGCATTGCTATCAATAAACACCAGAGACTGTATACTTTACAAAGAAAAGAGGTTCTGCAGGCTGTACAAGCATGGGACCAGCATCTGCTCAGCTTCTTGTAAGGCCTCAGGCAGCTTTTACTCATGGCAAAAGGTGAAGGGGGAATAGGCATGTTGCATGGTGAGAGAAGGCACAAGAGAGAGGGGAGAAGGTGCCAGGCTCTTTTTAACAATCAGATTTCACAGTAACTGATAGAGTGAGAACTCATTCATTACTCTGAGGACAGCACCAAGCAATTCCTGAGAGATCTACCCCCATGACCCAAACACAGACACCTCCCACTAGGCCCCACCTCCAACATTAGGGATAATATCTCCGTGAGATTTGAAGGGGACAAACATTCAAACTATATTACTATTACTGTTAATTTGTCCTTGGAGTTTCCCTGCTTTATGTGTGGTCCAGGGTCAGTTAAAGATTTCAGTGGAGTTTATGTGCAGATTATGACATTACATGATAGAGAGAAATGATGATAGGAATGATAGGTGACTTAATTTTTCTGCCTAGATGCCGTAAAGTTCAATAACTTAATCATTATATATCTTTGTATAGATGAATTTGTGTCAGTTTTCTCTGGTATGTGATGTGCGCTTTTGATCTTCAGATTCAGTTTATGGGGCATTTCTCTGTGATCCAGTTTCTTGGATTTCCCTTCACTCCCTTCTTCACTTTTTAGCTGCTTTGGTAGCTTCAAACTCCATTCTCTGACTCTCGAGCCAGGAAGACGGTGGCTTCTTACTTAGAAATAGTTGTGATGTCCTGTGTAGAACAGATGGTGATAATAAGCGATAAGATACATATAAATGTAAATGTTGCCCAGAAAATTTTCCTTTTATCAAAGGTCAACTCCTCTCTAGTTTTTCCTACCTCTTCAATATATTAAACTCATTAAAATAACTTTTGCCTATATTTTGTAATTTTATCTGTGGAAGGGTTAATCAGATATGAGATACTCTGCTATTACTGAAAACAGAAACTAGATGTTAATTTTCACAATGTCAGTTATATTATAATATTTTCATTTATTTCTGCATCCAAAGTTCCCCAAAAGAATAGTCTTTGTTATATATTTAAATGAATTAAAATATCACCATCATTCCTTTTACCGTATTTTATCTAATGACGATTTCATTTAGGTTTCACACTATGAGTATTTTATCTCCTGAGTTGTTTCATGTTTAAATATACATGGCCTGCAAACTTTCTATTTGAATGGTAACATGGATGGATATAATATTCTTTGTCATAGATATTTTTTCCCTTCAACTTTGCAGCTTTTTCTTCATTCTTCAGTCATTGAATGATGATCAAAGGTTGCTAAAACTAGAGGGCAACATTTTGGTGAGTCATAGAATATAAAATAATCTCAGAATATTTCTGCTCAATATACTTAATAATTAGAAAGGGGGAAATGTTACTTTTACAGAAGAAAAATTTAGTGAACACCATCTTAATTATGTAATCAAAATTAGAATTACCAATGCTAAGACAAACGGACATCTTATGCCTGCTAATCTGATGCCCTGAGAAAAACACATTGGCTCATGGTATTCTTGCCAAAAATACATAACCTGAATCTAATAATGAGGAAATATTAGACAAATCCAAGCTGAGAGACATTCTACAAAATAACTGCCCTGTACTCCTCAAAAATGTCAAGATCAAGAAAACTGAAAGGTGGAAGAACTGCTTTGGTTTAAAGGAGACTAAAAAGACAGGATAACTAAGCAATGCATAGTCCTAGATTGGATTCTATATGAGGAAAAACAGGTCGATAAACAGTACATTATGACAAATGACAAAATTTGAGTATAAACTGCAGACTCGAAAACAGTGTGGTAACAATATTAAGTGTCCTGCTTTTGAAAATTGCCCTGTGATTATTTAAGATCATCTCCTTGTTCTTTGGAAATATATAACTATGTATCAAGCATGCTTCGGAGAAAAAGTATATACCTTTATGTAAAATATATAGAGAGAATAATAAAAATGGGGCAAAATATTAAAAATTGATAATTTGGGGTAAAGCATATATAGAAGTGCCTTTCATTATTCTTACAACATTGGAGAAAAGTTAAAATTATATTAAAATTTAATAAAATCAGAATAAAAAATATAGGTGAAGGAGAGAGAGGTAGAAATAGGGTAAAAATATTAAAGGTTTTACCTTTCATAGGAGGAAGTCAGTCGGTACTGTCAAAAATTGAAATATTTCCATTTCAAAAAGTAATATTGCTGATGTCTTAATGGTTTTTAAAATCTTTCTTTAAGCTTTGGATCTTTAAGGAAGTAGTATGTCTTGAGGAGAAAAGCATCAAAAACTCAAAAATCCTGCATTTCAAATTCTAGTAAATTAGGATAAAATTAAATGTATTTTTACTAGCTGGTAGACTGTGATTCTATTCTTATGAAACTATTTCTGCATATGTATATGCATCTATCTATTGCTCTGCCTATCAATGCATCTGTCAATCTCTATATGTGCATATACGTTTGACTGTAGTAATGTTCACCAAATCTTATACTACGTTATTTCTAAGTAATTTTTTTCTCTATACTTTTCATACTGCTTAAAATTTTGAAAAGTGTGTATTATTTTTATAAAAATAAATTGTGTGCTCTAACATATATAAAGGCACTTACATCACATTTACATTTTTGATTCTTAAAACATAATGGTGTTAATTTTAATTTGATAAAATATTAACATGCTAAAGTCATTTCCAGTTCTATAAACAAACTAAAAACCCAACACAAAGTATCTGCACCACATTTCAAGAGTAATGAGTTCAATCATGTTAAGGTTATAATTTTGTTAGTCTGTTCATTTTTTTCCTCTGAATGCAACTAGAAATTAATTCTTTGTCAGTCTTAACAATTAGTGTTCTTATCTTTTTTTTCTGAAATAAAGATGACATTAGATCAAAATCTTTTTATTTTTCTTCTTTTAAAAAAAATTCACTGTAATAGCCTAGTCGTGACAAGCATTTGATAATATCATCTGCATAGAAAAATAAAATTCAGTGATTTTACAATCATTCTTACCAACTGCCCCGTTTGGTATATGGCTAAACTAAAAGTTCTCTCTCAGATTCATCTTCAATTCATCCTTTATTTGAATTATCCCGTGTCTAAGTAAGCTACGGCACACATTTTTGAGTTGTAATTTCCTTTTGCATCCACCCAGTGCATCTGATAAATTCTAACTGGACTCTAAGTTCCTTGAGAGGAGGCACCTTATCATAATCATGTCTATACTCCCAGAAAATTAAGATAAATTCTGACATTGAAAGGCCTCTTTACTGGTTGACCAAGAGCAGTCTACTTGCAAAAATTAACAGACACAATGGCTCTATGTAACTCCAGTGTTGGAGCCAAATTTATGTGTCGCCTTCTGTAAAATGAATATCACACGTTGTGGGAACTATGTCCTCCTAAACAGATCAGAGAGGTTTGAGTGACCAATTACTGCTTCATTTTGTCTGTGTGTCTGTGACAGAAACTTGCTCTGTTGCCCAGGCTGAAGTGCAGTGGTGTGATCGTAACCCATTTCAGCCTCTACCCATGGGTTCAAGCAATCCTCCCATCTCAACCTCCTGAGTAGTTGTGCCCAGCCAAATTACTGCTTTTATGTTCAGCCCAAGAAACAATTGAATGTCCGCTGTATACCAGGCACTGTGTAAGACACAAGGAATATAGCTATAACTAATAGTACTTTCCCAGAAGGACTTCCCAGGCTGGTGAGTGAGATGGATAAGTAAAACAGTTGTCCTGACCAGGTCAGAGTCTTAAATGGCTCCCTCACTGCCCATAAAGCCTACAACCACCCTTTAATAAATAATTGTGCTTGCCCTCTGTAGTCTAGGAAATCCTGGAAATTAAGCAAGGCCTGATAAAGTGACTCCTTCAAGAGTCACCTGTGATGTTCAGTGAATCAACAAAGCCTTGGCAGTTTTCTTACAGCCTCTACATCCTATCTACAGCCCCATTCTCTCCAGTGTCTCTCCAATTCCTCTTAGATTCATTCCCTCTTTTTCTTTCCCACTGATACTTTGCAACTTTATAACCTTGTATCTCCATCACTTCAATCCTTTCGTGACAACGTAATGTTCATGTTTTGATTCACCCTCAAGATCTTGTTATTAGAGAAGAGGGCCCATGCCTACTTTGTCTCTGTCCCCTGGCAGAGCCTGTTCCAGAGTCCTGTGTTGTGTAAGCATTTTATAAACTCTGTTGAATGAATCAGAATTCTAACATAATATCATCTCCAATAATCAATATTGATTATGAAGCTGATAAAAAAATGGGTTTGTCCAACTGGAGTCACCTGGAACATTTGCAATGACCCCAAATATGAGAATTACCACATGTACTGCTAAGCGACCATAAAATCCAGCAAGCAAAAACCATCCAAGCTGTCTCATGACTCACAGCTCAGTCTGTCAGTAGGATTGCATCTTTGTCTACTCAAGTTGTTGACTCACTTTCATCTCTGGATATCAGATTATTGGTTCCCTTATAAAATAGCTTCTAGTATCTCCTCATACGATACTCAGAACCCGTTGATGTACCCATTATGACACTACCTCCTAGATCTTCGCCAAATCCTGATGTTGGAAGGAATACTAGGTACTAAATCATCATGCCTTTGTATTTTATTTCTCTCACATTCCAAGTCTGGTTTGCACTTATTGATAAGAATTGCCCAGTCTTCAGTTTTAAATACTGATTTATGTGTCCCATTAAAATATCCTGGGCAAACATTGCGCTTGATGATATAGAACACAGAATCTTCAAATCTTAAAGACCTTTCATCAGACTTAAGACAATAATTATTTTCTTTACCGATACATACTTTTATTTATAAAATTAATTCATGAAGATGTACACATATAATCTCAGAAATATAGAGAATAATAGAGTGTCTAATTTCACCAGTCAATCCTATTCTCAGAGGTAACCACCAATAACAATTTAGTATATATTCTCCCAATCATTGTACTATGCATTTAAATATATAAATAAATATTCATAATGATACACGCAACCTGCTCTACATAACTTGTTCCTATATAGTTATTTTATATAAACATAGTAATATGATACATTATTCATTTATTCATTCGTTCATTCAACATGTTACATTGGTTCCTACTATGTGCTATGGCACTGAGATACAACAATGAACCAGTGAACAAAAGAATGCCCTTGGCCTCAAGGAGCTTACATTCTGTTCAGCGTACTTACACACTGAAGTATACTTACATGCTTTACATACATATTATGCATAAAGGGTTTTCTACCAAAATAGATTATACTACATCTTTTTTAATACTCTTGAAGCTCTTTCAGAGCATATCAGCTCTATCAGAACTTAAAGTACATATATATCTATATCACTATAAACAAATAATAGATTGATAAAAAAATTGCATCATATAAAATAGACTAAGATTTTATATCCATAATATATGTTTAAATCCTACAAATTAATATAAAAATAAATAAATAAAAACAGGTAGAAGCAACCTAAGTGTACACCAATGGATTAATGTATAAAGAAAATTTTATATGGGTGCATGTATACATATGTTACAAACCTGCACATTTTGCACATGTACCCTACAACTTAAAGTATAATAAAAAAAAGAAAATTTTACATATGTATACACATATATAGACAGTATACACACATATATAAATAAAAAATATATAAACATTTTATATATAGTATATACATATAACATTTATATATATAGTATACACACATACACACACACAATGATATACCATTGTGTGTGTATAAAAAGCCACCAAAATAATGAAATTGTGTCATTTGCAGCAACATGAATGGAATTGGATGTCATTATATTAAGTGAAATAAGCCAACCACAGAAATGCAAACACCACATGTTCTTACTCATATGTGGAAGCTAAAAAAGGTGAATCTCACAAAGATAGAAAGTAGATTGGTGGTTGCCAGAGGCCAGGAATGGTAGAGGGGAGGGGGGATAAAGAGAGGTTAATTAATGGGTACAAATATACAGTTAGATAGAAGAAATAAGACCTAGTATTAGATAGATCAGTAGGGTGATTATAGTTTGTAATAATCTATTGTACATTTCAAAAGAGCTAGAAGATAGTTTAAATGTTTCTATCACAAATAAAAATTAAATATTTAAGGTAATGAATATCCCAATTACCCTGATTTGATCTTATACATTATATGAGTATATTAAAATATTACATGTACCCCCAAAATATGTACATCAATTATGTATCGTTTAAATAAATATATGAATAAAATCCAAAAAAACTGAAAAATATGAAAAAATAATTCACATTTTAAAAACTAAATATATAAATCTCAAAAAATACCTGACATTACTATAAATAAGGAAAATTAAATTTAAATTATTTAATTTAATTAAAATTTAAATCATAACACTTGGAACTTCTACTTCTAACAAAGATGGAGTAACAGGGACCAGAGTTAGCTTCTGCCCAAAACAACTTTAAAAACTAGACAAAATATATGCAGGTAAAATGACAGCTTTCAGTCATTAGAATCAGGTGGCACAAAAAATAGGGGAAATAAGGTAAGTCCAACAATCATTCCAGCTTACTGTCCAGAGGAATATTCCAGGTCAAAGTGCAGGGAGAACTCAAATGTTGCCCGGAAATCTTTCTGAATAGAAGACAATGAGGAAATGGAGTTGACAGTCTGGGAGATCAAGGTGAAGTACAGAGGAGAAAGCTGAACAGAGAGAGAACTCTAGAGATCTTCTGAGGGTCCTCTTTGAGTCTTTTAGCTAAGTACTGATCAGCACATGCTTGTGAGGAAACTGAGGCCAGGAAAATAATAACCTGAAATGATTAAAAGGTATAAGCCCAAGAATTTACACGGGGCTAAAAGCAGTTCCTGTTCTCATCACCAGATTGCATTAAAAAAGTAAAATCCAACTATACGTTGTCTGCAGTAAACTTGCTTTGAATAGAAAGATACAAGTAGATTAAAGTAAAATGATATACCAGGCTAACACTAATTGAAAGCAATCTGGAGTCCCTACATTAATATAAGAAGGTCAATACACTAAAAGGACATAATAATCCTAAGTGTTTGTGCACCTAATAGAGCTTCAAAATATATGAAGTAAAACTGATGGAATTAAAAATAAATAAATGCTTTGTAAATAATTTAATTATTTAAATAAATATTTTATTTAAAATGTTAAACAAATAAATCCACAATATAAAATTTAAGTTTTAACAACTTTGTTTTCAGAACTGATAAAAGAAGTAATAGAAAATCTTTAAGGACATAGAAGACTTGAGCAACATTATCAATCAATTTGACTTAATTAACATTTGTAGAAGACTCCAACCAATGAAACCAGAATATATTTTTTTCAAAGGCATAAAGAACATTTACCAAAATATGCCATATTCTGTGCAACAAAGCAAGTCTCAATACATTTTAAAAGACTCAAATGATACAAAATATTTTCCCTGTCTAAAACAGAATTAAATTAGAAATCAACAACATAAAGACAACTGAAAAATCCTCAAATATTTGGAAACTATATAATATACTTCTAAAGAATCCATATATCAGGAAAAAATCAAAGGGGAAATCAGAATGTAATTTAAACTGAATGAAAACAAAAACATGCCATATCAAAATTTGTGGTAAGCTACCAAAGCAGAACTTAGAGAAAAATGTATAATACTAAGCATTTATATTAGAAAGAAGAAAGATCTCAAGAAGTTCAGCTCCCATGTTACAATGGGCAAAAAAGAAAGGCAAGTTAAACCCAAAGTTGGCAGAGAAAAACAAATAACAAAGAAAAAAACAGAAACAAATTAATTGTAAACAGAAAAACTATAGAAAGCAATCAATAAGATACTAACCTGGTTAATCTTAAAGATAAATGAAATTAACAACACTCTAGCTAGGCTGGTCAGGAAACAAAAAGAAGACACAAACTACCAATAGCAAGAATTTGAGAAATGACATAATTACAGATAGTTTAGATTATAAAAGAACAGAAAGGGAATGTTATTTAAAAAATTATGTCAATAAATTTAACCACTTACATAACATAGGCAAATGCATTGAAAGGTGTAGACTTCCAAAGCTCACTGAAGAAGAAACAGATAGCCTTAGCAGCCCTATATCTATTAAAGAAGTTAAGTGGATAGTTTAAAACCTTCTCACTAAGAAAACCCCAGGCATAGAAGGCTCCACTGGTGAACTCCACTGATCATTTAAGTACTCTTTTGGAAAATTAAAGAGGAGGTAATGTTTTCCAATTTATTCTATGAGGCAAGCATTGCCATGTTATCAATACCTAATAAAGACATTGCAAAACAAGAAAATGATAGATCACTATCCCTCACTGACATAAATGCAATCATCCTTTACAAAATTTTAGCAATTGCACTCAATATAAACAGAAGAGATAGCACATCATGGCCAAGCGGAGTGGGCTTATTCCAGGAATATAAAGTTGATATACCATCCAAAGTCAATCAATGCAATTTATCATATTAACAAACTTTTTTAAAAGACCATTAATAATCTTAACAAATGCAAAAAAAAAAGAATTTGTCAAAATTCAACATCTATTACTGATTAAAATTTCTCAGAAAACTAAAAATAGTAGAGAATTTCTCAAATTCTCAAAAGGGCATCTATGAAAAATCTATAGCTAACATAGAATATATGAATATATCTATATTATATAGATATATATTATATATCTATATAATATAGATATATAATATATATCTGTAGCTAACACAGAAAAATCTATAGCTAACATTTAATGGTGAGAGGCTGAATGCTTTCCCCCCAAATCAGGAAAGCAATAAGGATGCTCACTCTTACTACTTCTAGTCAATATTATACTAGATATTCTAGACAAGACAGTAAGTCAAGAAAATGAAATAAAATCTTCCATATTAGAAAGAAGTCTACAAAAAAGCTATTAGAGCTAACAAGTTTATCACGGTTGAAAGAGACATGGTCACTATAAAAAAATCAATTTTATTTTTATATACTAGAAAAGAAAATCAGAAACCAAAATTAGAAACAGTTCTACTGTTGCTGTAACAAATTACCACAAACTTTGTGGCTTATAACAACATAAATTTATTATATTAAAGTTCTGTATGTTAGAAGTCTGACACGGTTCTCATTTGGGATAAAATGAAGGTGTTGCCAAGGCTGTTTTCCTTTCTGGAAGCATAAGGAGTAAATCTTTTCTAGCTCCAGAGGCTTCTGATTCCTTGGATTGCAGACCTCATTCTCTACCTCCAAAGCCAGAAAGTGAGCTTGAAGTTGGCAATAATTTCTTAAATACAACACAAAAGCACAAACTATGAAAGAAAATAATAAAATAAATTTGATTAAAGTTAAAAATAGTTGCTCTTTGAAAGACACCATTACAAAAAAAGAAGACAAGTCACAAATTGGAAGAAAATACATGCAAAACATAGATCCAACAGAAGACTTGTATCTAGAATATATAAAGAATAGTTAACAACTCCATAATAAGACACACAGTTGAATAAAGCAATGGGGAAAAGATTCAGATACATCACCAAAGAAGATATATGAATGAAAAATAAGCACCTGAAAAGATGTGCAATATAATTAGTCTTTGGAGAAATACAAATTAAAATGACAACGACATACCACTACACATCTACTATTAATAGGATAGCTAAAATTTGAAAGATTGACTGAGTGTTGGAGAGGATGTGGATCAACTGGAACTCTCACTGTGGGAATGTAAAATGTTACCATCACTTTAAAAACAATCTGACAGTTTCTTTAAAAGTTCAACATAAACCTGCCATACAACCCAGCCCTTCCACTCCCAGGTACCCAAGAGAAATTAAAGTATACGTACACACAATTCTAATAGCAAAGAGATTTGAAAACAACCCAGAGGTACATGAATAGGTGAGTGGAAAGTAAATTGTGGTATATCCATACAATGGGATACTACTCCTCAATAAAAAGTTATAAACTATTAACACACACAATATGGATGAATCTCAAAATAATATGCTGAAGGGAAGAAGCAGACTATCAAGAAAATGTAAGGTTTCATTCCATTTAAAGAAAGGCTTGAAAATAGACTAGTGACAGCAGCAAAAGAAACTACCATCAGAGTGAACAGGCAACCCACAAAATGGGAGAAAATTTTCACAACCTACTCATCTGACAAAGGGCTAATATCCAGAATCTACAATGAACTCAAACAAATTTACAAGAAAAAAAACAAACAACCCCATCAAAAAGTGGGCGAAGAACATGAACAGACACTTCTCAAAAGAAGACATTTATGCAGCCAAAAAACACATGAAAAAATGCTCATCATCACTGGCCATCAGAGAAATGCAAATCAAAACCACAGTGAGATACCATCTCACACCAGTTAGAATGGCAATCATTAAAAAGTCAGGAAACAACAGGTGTTGGAGAGGATGTGGAGAAATAGGAACACTTTTACACTGTTGGTGGGACTGTAAACTAGTTCAACCATTGTGGAAGTCAGTGTGGCGATTCCTCAGGGATCTAGAACTGGAAATACCATTTGACCCAGCCATCCCATTACTGGGTATATACCCAAAGGACTATAAATCATGCTGCTATAAAGACACATGCACGCGTATGTTTATTGCGGCATTATTCACAATAGCAAAGACTTGGAACCAACCCAAATGTCCAACAATGATAGACTGGATTAAGAAAATGTGGCACATATACACCATGGAATACTATGCAGCCATAAAAAATGATGAGTTCATGTCCTTTGTAGGGACATGGATGAAATTGGAAATCATCATTCTCAATAAACTATCACAAGAACAAAAAACCAAACACTGCATATTCTCACTCGTAGGTGGGAATTGAACAATGAGAACACATGGACACAGGAAGGGGAACATCACACTCTGGGGACTGTTGTGGGGTGGGGGGAGGGGGGAGGGGGGAGGGATAGCATTAGGAGATATACCTAATGCTAGATGACGAGTTGGTGGGTGCAGTGCACCAGCATGGCACATGTATACATATGTAACTAACCTGCACAATGTGCACATGTACCCTAAAACTTAAAGTATAATAATAATAATAAAAAAAGAAAAGAGCTAAAAGTAAGAACAACAACAACAACAAAAAAAAGAAATAAAAGAAGAGAAGGACTGACATAAAGGCTATATCCTTTATGAGAATTACAGACATGTGGTGCCTGTTTACAGGATCAAGTACTTTTTCCCCCTGGTCTTTATAAGTCTTGGTTATGTAAATGGAGAAAATGTCATGGTTAGAACTCTATATGTTAGTCACAGTTGGGAAACTCAAGTCAAGGTTTAGAAAATTATAACATTGGATTTTACAGCAATAAAGCCACAATGCAAGGCATAAAAAAAAAAAAAAGAAAATAGACTAGTGACAGAAAGGAGATCATTTGTTACCTGGGGACAGTGTGGGGAGGGAAGGGAGGAAAAAAGAAGAATTACAAAAGGCACAAGGAAACCTTTAGAGGTAATAATAATGTTTATTAACTTGGTTATGGTAATGTTTCTCTTTCTCTCTCACACACACCCACACAAAAACACACACACACACATTAAATTACAAGTCAACTTTATTGTATGTCAATTATACTTCAGTAAAATTACAAAACAAAAAATAAAACTACGGGAAGTTGTATTCATTCATCAAATGATCAAAACCTAAGAGTCCAGCAGTGGAGAATATAAGGGTATGAAGATTCTCATGTTGTATTCATGCAAGGTTAAATCTCAAAAAATCTGTCAATTAAAATACACAATCCCTTTAAAACAGCAATTTCACTTTCAGAATTGAATCTTATAGAAATATTTCCACCTGGGTACAAATATAAACCTTGTCTATAATCATACAATAGATCACTCTTAAATGTCTATCAATAACAGAATAAATAAATTATGAATAATTACATGATGGAAAACAATTCTTTTCTAAAATAGGTTTTCTTTTACCTCACTATATAAATACCTATTTTATTTTTATAGTCATTGCATAACTAAATTAGTTTTGTCCCCAAGTGGATTTTGTTTAATAGGTGAGATGTGTGTGTGTGTGTGTGTGTGTGTGTGTGTGTGTGTAGGATCAAATTTTATTTATCTGACAGATGTAAGTTACTTGGAAGAGCTCATTTTGAATTATTGGACACAATGATATGCTTTTCAAAAAAGAAACATGTGCATGTATATTTGCTTGACAGATTGAAAGGCTGCACAACTAGCACTTTTTTCATATATATATGAATGTGCTCCTGGCCTAATCATTCAAATAAACCCAAAGAAGTTATTTCAGCATCTTGAATAAATATCACCCATTTTATAACTTTTCATTAAAGCAAAATATAAATATCACCTACACATTGTATACATCATCTATAAACCTGTCATTGGAGTACAGATATATGCAAATTATTTACAGTCATGTATTCATACCTACTATCAAAAAGCCAAACAATAGCTAGAACATAAGAGTGGAATTTTCTTTTTAAATTCTGAGGCTTGTATCACTTTTCTTTTTGCATATTGTTTCTCCTGTGCTATGTCTCAAACTGGCAACCGTGTAAATTTTGCTTTTCTTCATTTGCATCACCAGATTTTGCAATTTGATAAGCCTTAATATATTTAATTATATGATTGCTCTTCCTCAGGAAGGGTCAAGAGAAAATAGAACACTTCCTGATTCACTAATTTCCTGGAGAGGTGGTGGTGAAATATCCACAATCCTAATTGCAGTGGAATTGCACTTGAGATGAAAGTGAACCTGTCTTCCTTAGCCTCTGTTGGAGTTTAGCTTCACACTGCTTTTTCTTGATGCCCTGTTTCTCCAAAATGTGGTAAACAGCCCTAGAGAATCTTGTAAGACCTGATAGGAGGCCAGCACCAAGGAGAAAGAGAGACAAACCAAATTCAAGACAGATGTGAGAAGCAATGATCGAAACGGATGCCACAGCCTGGGGCTTGCAGCACGGATGAAAGCCAAAAGATTCCAGTGACAAACCAGAGGGCAAAGCTGTTGTAATTCAGCTTTGTAGACTCAGAGGTGAAACACCATAGTTCTCTTAGCCACACAGAGCAAGACAAGGCAAAGTGAAATGGGCCTCAGAAAAGCAGCTCCAAAGGTAATTGTAGATGACTAGCTAGAAGTTAGGCGAGACTTAAGGGCAGAGTTCCTAATTATATTGAAGACAAAGGCAGAGAAATGAGTGTTAATAGGTGCACGCTGGGACCTTTCCCCAACTAGACAAAGATTCTGGAATTTATTTATTCAAATATTTATTGAGTGTCTCTTACATGCCAGTCATTGTTCCAAGCACAGGAGATACAGCTGTGAACAAAACAAAGGCTGTGCCCACATGGAGCTTACTTTCTTACAGAGAAAGACAGATAATAAAGGTGTAAACAATCCAAAACAACTTTTTAGAAAGTCAACAGTGATTCATACTAGAGAGGAAATAATACAGGATAATTTGAATAAGAGTGACTTTAGATAAGGTTCGGGAAAGACCTTTCTGAAAAGGCGATGTTTGAGTTACAGCCTTAACTACAAGACAGAGGCAGCTGTGCAATCACATGGGGAACAGCATTCTGGAAGAAGGAAGCAATAAATGCAAGGGCTTTGCTGTAGGAGAAACCTGACCATTTCAGAGAGGAGAAGAAAAAAAAAAAAGCATGAAATGATACCAGAAAGTGAGAAGGGATTGGATTAGGTGGGGCCCGTGGGTGCCTGAAGGTGTTCAGATGTTATTCTAAGTGCAGTGGAAAGCCATGGGGGTTAAAACAGGAAATGATTGATCCTGATTGATTTTTGCTTTTAAAAGAGCACCCTGTCTTCTCTGTGGAGAACAGACTGAGGGAGCAAGAGCAGAATCAGGAAAAATTAGTTAGAAGGCTATTACCATAGTCCAGTGGAGAGACAAGAGTGGCTTGGAACTAAACAAAAGGTAACACACTGGAAATACATTTTGGGTAGAGAAACACCAGGACTCACAGATGGATTGGATATGAGGGTAAGGAAAAGAGAATAATAAAAAACGATTCCTAGGTTTTTAACCTTAGCAGTTAGATGCAGCTATTAACTAAGAAAGGGGAAGAAAAGAGCAAAACAGTTTTCAGGAAAGAAAGTCTAAGTTCTTTTTAAGCTAAGCTCTTAAGCCTAAGTTCCTTTTAAGATGGCCATTCTACCCTAACATATTGATTATGATTTTGGCTATATGTGTCTGAAGCCCGGGAGAAAGTTTTAGATTAGAGATACTACATGGAGAGACATCAGTGTGTACAAATGGGATTTTTTTTTTTTTTTTTTGAGACAGTGACAGTGTCTCACTCCATCTCCCAGGCTGGAGTGCAGTGGTGCGATCTCCACTCACTGCAACCTCTGCCTCCTGGGTTCAAGGGATTCTCCTGCCTCAGCCTCCTAAGTAGCTGGGATTACAGGCGCCCACCACTACGCCCAGCTAATTTGTGTATTTTTAGTAGAGACAGGGTTTCACCATATTGGTCAGGCTGATCTTGAACTCCTGACCTCAGGTGATCCGCCTGCCTCGGCCTCCCAAAGTTCTGGGATTACAGGCGTGAGCCACTGCGCCCAGCCTGTACAGATGGGATTTTAAACCCTGGGGCCAAATGAGAGCACCTAGATGGAGAAGGGAAGAAAATTTTTAAAATAATAATAATGAGACTGGCATAGGACTAGTTCACGGTCTCCCCAACCTTTAGAGAATGGGAAGAAACAGCTAGTGAGATAGGAAGAAAACGCAGCAATTCTGGTGTCGAGGAAGCTAAGAAGGGACGATCGCAATGGCAGCCAATCAGGAATCCAGAAGGGCCATCTGAACAGAATTGTAATCCTGTGTTTTGAAGAGAGCTGAAGGGAGTCTGTGATTGAGGTGACAAATATATGGAGCCCAGGTTTGCTCTAAGAGAAGCAGTCCGTGGGTCTCTTTGGCAGCCGAAGAGAGTTAGTGAAAATGGAAACCCAGGAATTGTAATGTGACGTCCAGTAGTTTAATTGTGACAGCAGA
The DNA here is from genome assembly GCF_000001405.40 of Homo sapiens. Lineage (NCBI taxonomy): Eukaryota > Metazoa > Chordata > Mammalia > Primates > Hominidae > Homo > Homo sapiens. The sequence goes on from NC_000003.12 coordinate 182,594,404, forward strand.
ACTTTAATAAAATTATGCATGGGCAATTTAGGGAGGACTGATTACATACATCCTACCTTGTGGACATCAGCTTTGGAATTGGGCTATGTTTGAGCCTACGTTAGTGGTACAGATTGGGGGTGGGAGGGCCAGCAATAGCTAATCTGATTGCCAAAATTCAGGGGAAGTGGCAACAGGAGAAATGAGAGAGGAGATGACACAAAGGAATTAGAATGTCTAAGCCCTGGCCAAGAGAAACCAGGAGATTGGCAGGATGTTAAGAGAGCAGAACAGGTGGGCAAGCCTACTGGCAAACATCCAGGTGCCAGGTAGTGCTCAAGAAGAAAGGATGATTAGCCAGTTGCCTTAACCTGAAGTTCTGTAATGAGCCCAAGAAGGGAAAGAAAGCCTGCAATTAGAGTTGGGAAGGAAGAGACCACAATGGCAAACATACAGCATGTAGCACAGTGCCAGGCACATTGTGGGGCTTCAGTTTATGAGTCACGTATATTAATTATCGTTACTGTTTTAGTCAGAACAAAGTCCCCCTACATACAAGATAATCACAGATTTCTACCCTAACTCATTTCCATATTTAAAGCCTATAAGAGAATAGCCTGCCTACAATTTTGACCCCAAAATTACTTTCTTTACAGAAAAAAAACTTTGAAATTCTATTTCAGAGTTCCTACTGGGTCATTGTGTGCTAAGAATACATAAATATGTTCATGCTCTCTTCAAAGGTTAAGATTCTCTTCTTCCGGGCATACCTTCAACTTTACGTCCAGCACCTAACGATGTTGCTAGGGGAGAAGATTAAATCAAAAGGCACTGGTGAGCTTTGAGGATTACTTACAGATTTCATTCATGAAGGCTCTATTTCCTCCCATTAATATTGGTAACTGAGAGACCCCTGCTCAATATGTTGTGTGCGTGTTATATGAGCCTGCTAATGTTCTAATGGGCCAAGGAAAGAAATCCAGAGCTTGGTTGTAGTGGAATTTAATACAGTCTTTAGTTCCACTAGTGTGCACCCCAGCTGCACACGTGTATTTGGAAACACTACTAACTAGGGTGAACCACTGAGCTTTTCTTTACCCAGTCTTAAAAGGCCTCCCTTCTCCTCACATTGACCTACAGTATCCTTTTAATAGTCTTCCTCTACAAATAGAGAATGACAACATTAATTTTTTTTTTTCCGAGACAGAGTCTTGCCGTGTCACCCAGACTGGAGTGCAGTGGCGCCATCTCAGCTCACTGCAACTTCCACCTCCCAGGTTCAAGCAGTTCTCCAGCCTCAGCTTCCTGAGTAGCTGGGATTACAGGCATCTGCCACAATGCCCGGCTAATTTTTGTGTTTTTTAGTGGAGACGGGGTTTCACCATGTTGGCCAGGCTGGTCTCAAACTCCTGACCTCGTGATCTGCCCGCCTCTGCCTCCCAAAGTGCTGGGATTACAGGCATGAGCCACCACACCCAGCCAACAACGTTTTAATTTTCAAAGGCAGATTTCTAAGTTCCTCCAAGGACTAGAAAACATTGAGAATCTTTTGGGAAACAAACTTCTTTGTAGCCGAACTCTCAGCCTGAAATACTACCCAGATTTCTATTTCATCATGTGCCCAAGGTTTGAACTAGATACAGAACCGGCTTCTCTCTTCTGTGACTATCAAAACTCCAAGGTGTCATTCAGTGCAATGCATTAACCTATTGGCCAAGCATAGCTAAGTAAAGCAATGGCAAAATCGAGGTGAGCTACGTGTTAGGAGGCATCTGAACGACTGCATTTGTCCAGCAAAATCTATGCGGATGCCTTATACCTCAGAGAGGAGAAGTACAAAGGACATGGAAACAGCCGGCGGGGAGGCTGCCATGGATAGCTGTGCTTCCTCAAGCTAGAAAATTCACATTATCGTTAAAAGGTAGCAAGTGCAGAAAGTTTTGAAGTCAGCATTTAGCCTTTTTTCTAAATCCTGCTGATAGTGAGCAGAGTGGTAGGAAATCCTAAAACAGCCACTGTTTTCTTTATGTTGGCATTAACAGGCAACATGAAGGGTTTAAGAAAAACTTTGTTGGAAAACGTCCACTTTGAACAGCAAGGGATTTGGTGTCTATTCCAATCTCTTTCTCGCCCCCTCCCTTTCTGAGAGGGGAATTCACTCTAAAGTTGAAAAGCAAACAGCCACAAAAGCATTTCCAGGTACAAAGCCACTGGGTATGTTCTAGCCTTTTGGTAGAGTCTCCTAGGTCTCTAGCCACAGTCGGTTTTATGTTCCAGGCATCAATCCACACTCATGATTGTTACCGTACACCTGTATGTCATTCGGAGGTTCACCCAGCTCAAGCAAATTATATTTTAAAACTGCACTGATCAAAAAAAAAATCAGGGGAAGGGATTTCCTAGCTCTCAAATAAAAATGTGCAATGGAGCGCTTACTAAGTAAACAGAAAACATGGGCAGCTGAGAAATCAATTTAGCTGAACAAACAATGTTCCATGTAATGAACTACTAATTATCCTTTTATGCCATGTCAGTCTGAGTGATTACAGAGCTGTGCAGTTTAATTTGACGTTTGAGCATTGCCTTGCTCCATTAGCTTCATATAAAGCTACAACACATTCAAAAGCGGGGGGGTGGGGGTTCTGTATTTATCTGGAAGTAAGTAAGCACCTGTATTAATAATAAGACTAGAATCTCAGAATCTGTTTAAAAATATGCTTTTAATATGAGGATGAATAAAGCACGGAGAACCCGAGGGAGTGTGAAGATCAAATCAGGTGTCTTTCGGTCAGTGGAGGAAACACCCGGAAGCAGTGAAACGCACTGGGCTTATTGCAACAACCCCAGCTACTGAAAATGCCACCCTCTCCACGACGAAGCACCGCCAGTCCCAAACTCCAATCAGCCGCTGGGCTGGGAGGCCGAAAAGGCAAGAAGACACAGAGCGGGGTTGAAATGAAGAAGGAACTCTTTTTCAACGAGACTCATTACAGTATGCAAAACCTAAAAAACTGTACCCTGTGTTGTAATGAGAATATGACTGCATGGGAAATGTGGGTTACAACTCTTGACTTTACCTGCTTTTCACATATTTTCACATAGTGAGTAAAATCGCTGTGGGAGGAAATGGCAATGTGGGAATTTTTTTTTTAATTCCATCCAATTCAACAAATAACTCATTGAGTTCCTGCCATGTGCCTGGCCTGTGCTAAGTGTATGGTGAATGAAGAGAGAAGTAAAAATACAATGCAAATGCTTCAAGGATTGGACAGTCTTTATATCTGAGCCACATTCCATTCTTTAACTTGCTGAGCAAGAAAAACTGGCCTTCTAAGGCAGTGGTTCTCAACTTTGGCTGTACATGGGATTACCTGGGGACGCTTAAAAAACCCAAAACCTGGATTCCGTTTCCAGACATTCTAATCTGATTGCTCTGGGAGAGTCATCATTTTTAGAACTACTTAGGTGAGTCTAATGAGAAGCCATTATTGCAATCCACTGGTGTGTTGACTAAAGTTTTATCTTCAACTTATGGCATTTACTCAACCCACAAATATTTACTGAGTACGTATGAGGCACTTGCACTGCACTGAGACTTGTGAAACTCTGTGCAGTGTTTTCATCTGAGCAATAGATTATACCTCCAAAGGGTTGGCTCTGGTCACTAGACCACTGAAATTAGGATATTCGGTGAGCAAGGGTTTCATAACTCACTTTTTTAATCCCCAAATCAGATGAAGATTAAGAAAACAAATTCACTGCTTAGCACTCAGTTTTCAAGCCAATTTGTTTAAAAAGTAAGTAAATAGAATAATACTGTCAGTTTAATCTATGATAAAGAGGCATAGGAAAGATATAAAGCCGTAATACAAGGATTCCCCAACCAAGAGAGGAAAGAATCACCCATCTTTTCAGAAAATGTTACAGCTAGAATTGCACAGCACTTCAGAAAGAAAGATCTCAGTGTCCACAGGTATTCCTATCCCTACTTAACAGATAGACAAATGGGTATGGCAGGATCCAGTGGCTCCCTTGAAGTCAAACATTTAGTAAGTAACAAACTGGGATTTTAAAGGCAGTTTTGGGCCCAGTGCGGTGGCTTACACCTGTAATCCCAGCACTTTGGGAGGCCAAGGTGGGTGGATAACCTGAGGTCAGGAGTTCGAGACCAGCCTGGCCAACATGGCGAAACCCTGTCTCTACCAAAAATACAAAAATTAGCCGGGCGTGGTGATAGTCACCTGTAATCCCAGCTACCCGGGAGGCTGAGGCAGGAGAATCACTTGAACCTGGGAGACGGAGGTTGCGGTGAGCCAAGATCCCGCCATTGCACTCCAGCCTGAGCAAAAAGATCGAAACTCTGTCTAAAAAAAAAAGAAAGAAAGAAAAAGAAAAGAAAAGGCAGTCTTCTGACTCCTTGAATCATAGAATCTCAGAGCCGGAGGAGATCTGTCATGACCTAATTCCTTAATTCAAACCCTTTCTGGTGAGTTCCCTGAGTTCCAAAGAATATGAGTGACTCGGTCAGCCAGCCAGTGGCCAAATAGCATTTAAAGCCTTAAGACTGAAACTCTGTCTCCCAACCCTCAGGGGAGTGTTTTTATCTGAGCAATAGATTATATTAATACCTCTGATGGGCCAGCTCAATTAGGATATTCAGTGATCAAGGGCAACGCGCTCGTTTGAATCCCAAATCAGATGATGATTAAGAAAACAAATTCACTGCCTAGCACTCAATTCTCAAGTTGAGAAAAGTAAGTAACTAGAATAATACCATCAGTTAAATCTATAATAAAGAGGCTTTTTCGGGATTCCAAATCCCAAATCTTTGACCAGTTTGCGTACTTGGAGCCCACTCTTCTCAATGGCTGTATCTAGGACACGTAGGCAAGTATGTTCCTTATTACTAGTTAAGTCTGAAGTTCTCCATCCAGGCTGCCCGTTAGAATCACCTGGTGTGCTGTTTTAAAATATCCATGCTGGACCACATCCCCAGAAATTTTGATTTAATTGGTCTTGGTGGGTTCTAGGCATCAGTATTTTTTGAAAAGCCCCCCAAGTGATTCTGACATGTAGTAGGGTGAGACCACTAACCCAAGGAGTTGCCCTCAAATATATTGGGCCACCTATGATTTCAGGTGCTCCTCTTCCCCCTGAGCAGACAGTCAGTATGGGAGAAGCTCCAGTCTCCTTCTCCAGGCCTTCTCTCCTCCAGGATCTACCAGGATTTGGCCTTTTAAGACAGAAAATAGCTTCTCCCAAGCAAGGGATGATCAGGCCTCATGTTAAAAGAGAGACTTTTTTTGAAATTCTAAAAATATCTGACCAATACTCCTTAAAACTGTCAAGGTCATGAAAAACAGGGAAAGACTGAGAAACCGCCACAGACAAGACAGGACTAAGGAAAAATGACAAATAAATAAAATACAGCAACCTGATTGGATCCTGGTGCAGAAAAATAAAAGACATTATTAGAAAAATGGGTGAAATTCAAAGGAAGTCTAGAGTTAATAGTAATGTATCAAAAAATTGGTCTCTTACTTTTGATAAATTACCAAGATAATGTAAGATGATAACATAGGGAAAGCTGAAACTGGTTGAGGGGTAAAAGAAAATGTTCTATACTTTCTGTAATTTTTCTGTAAGTATAAAACTATTTCAAAATTTCAAAAAAAGCTTATTTAAAAAAAAGAGGGGGTGGCTGGTCACCGGGGATCACGCCTGTAATCCCAGCATTTTGGGAGGCCGAGGCAGGTAGATCACTTGAGGTCAGAAGTTCGAGACCAGCCTGATCAATATGATGAAATCCCGTCTCTACTGAAAATACAAAAATTAGCCTGGTGTGGTGGCGTGCACCTGTAATCCCAGCTACTCAGGAAGTCAAGACAGGAGAATCACTTGAACCTGGGAGGCAGAGTTTGCAGTGAGCCAAGATCGCACCACTGAACTGCAGCCTGGGCGACAGAGCAAGACTCCGTCTAAGAAAACAAACAACAACAACAAAAAAAAAGAGGGAGCAACTTTTTTAGGTGCACTCAAATATATTGGGCCACCTATGATCTTCAGGGACTCCTCTTTCTCCGAGCAGAAGGCCAGTATGGGAGGAGCTCTCTCAAACAGGAGAATATGAGAGATTGCTTACCTCACCTGGTTTTAGTCATGATACCATTTGCTCTCCCTCTCAAAGCTTTACCCCTTGGTAGCATAGCTAGTTGCCTGTGTCTGAGGACTCCATTTAGTCCTTAAACTATTCCGTAGCTCCAGGAGGAGACCTGAGTTCTCCCCAGAGGTTAGAAACTATCACAGACAATTCTATCAGTGTTGTGTATTAGTCATGTGGAAAAAGCAGAGGATTGTAGCATTATACCGAATTTCAACTCAGAAGATAGCCAGGCTGCCATACTCTGAGACATGAAGCTACATGGTGTAGTCATTGTAACAGTAGCTCCATTGTGTTGGCAGCACCATTTCTACTGTCATGTTCTTACCATGCTCGCATGCATATTTTATGATCTTACTGAATGCAATGTGTTCTGTACATATTACATACGTAGTCTCCAAGCACATTAAAAACAGCTGCTGCCTAGCTTCCTGTCTGTTTTCCCAGCCTATGAGCCTAGTTCCCAGGCTGACTTCCAAGACTCTTCTCCTTAAGAAAAAAAATGAATGAACTATTAGCAAGTAATATTTGGCCACTAGATATTCAGAATGGTCTTCATGGGAGCTTACTGAAGCTGAAAGGAGTATAACTTCCTAATAGAAGAAAGAAGAGCTAGCTCCCTTCATTTCTATTCAAAGAGAAACCAGCTCGTGGTCAGTGTAGTAGTTTTGTTACTAAAAATACAAATCCACTTGGTTCTGATCTGACACCCACTAGAATTATACTACCTGTATCCCACTGGCAAAGAATGTCCTAGGAGCTTGCTAGACAGTGTCTCTTGGAGGTGAAACAAAAATAAGAGGCTGGGAGAAAAAGATGCCAAAGTGTGGCCTTAAAATGAGGCTCTTTTATCTAGTCGAGACTGTTCTTCTCTCCCTTGAGCAGAACAGGGTGTTTTAACTTTGAGCGGGGCTGGGATACTGTTTTAAATTAAACCTCTCTATTGGGCCTGCTTCTGACTTTCCATCGGCCAGGACAGGATTTCCGTTACAGTATGTTCCAATGCGGAACCTAGAGGCTAGGTGGTCTGTAATTGGACCACGCGCAAATTGTCTCTCCATTCAGCCTCCTGCATCCTTGTGTTGTGCCTATCTACATTCTCCACTAGATTATAAATCCCCATGAAGGAAAGAATCATATATTATTCATTTTTGTGTCCTTTGCTATGCCTACCACATGCCTGTCAAATAGCAAGTGTTCAACACGTTTGTGAAACATGTCTTGTATTTCCTTAAGTGGCAAGGCTTCCTATGGAGCTTGTTTACAGCTGCAGTCAGGATCCCTGTAGTCATGGCCAGCAGGGGAGGTCAGGGCAATGCTCAGTCAAAACTCAAATGGATGACCCTGTGTTTCACTGCCCACCCTGGAGAGAGTATGGGTTGATTCACTGGAGACTAAAGGGAATGCTTGAAGCATCTCAGAGGCGTGCACCATGGTCCCAAATGTTTTCTCATCTTTAAGCCAGAGGGAAATCATAGTTATTTTACTCCATGGCGCAGAATTCACTACCCAAAATGTAATGTTACAAGTATGTGTCATACAGGAGACACAGAATACAAGGGCACTGGGGACTAAGGCAAAGAAGAGACAGAAACTCTTTTAGCACAATGGCATACAGATGACTTGGAAGTAAGAGGTTGGGGTGACATCGTCCATAACCAAATGGACTTACAGTAAAGCACACAAAACAAAGCCAGGAGAAAACACATTCTTTTTTCTTTTTTCTGAGAAGACGTCTCACTCTGTTGCCCAAAATTTTTTTAAAGAGAAAGAGAGTAGAAAATAATACCGCCCAGGCTGGAGTGCAGTGGCATGATCTCAGCTCACTGCAACCTCCACCTCCTGGATTCAAGCGATTCTCCTGCCTCAGCCTCCCAAGTAGCTGGGACTACAGGCACGCACCACCACGCCTGGCTAATTTTTGTATTTTTAGTAGAGATGCACTTTTACTGTGTTGGCCAGGCTGGTCTTGAACTCCTGACTTCGTGATCCGCCCGCTTCAGCCTCACAAAGTGCTGGGATTACAGGCATGAGCCACCGCGCCCAACCAAAATCACATTCTTTTACTGTTAAGTTGGAGACATCATCCAACCTGAGTCTACGAGGGATACAGATTAAAGAAAGGAATTTCTATTCTATTCCACCCATCTCCAACCACTCCAACTGGCATAAAGTTTTAGTTTTATACTCTAGGACCTTCCCAGGAAGGTCCCCCCTCCTTTCCTACAGAGCCACCCACTCAATCTTTTTTCTTCCACACCTCTTTGGCTTTAGAAATACTTTATTTCCTCCCACTAGGGCTCTACCATGGGCTAAGCATCCAGGTGGCTTGTCAATCACCAGCAATATGCATTTATGTTGCTGGACTCTGAAGGTGGCCAACTAAAGAACGTAGAGAACCCTTAGTAATTACCTGGCCTCAGGATAGGGTATTTATAAATTAATCATACCCATCATACTGCCAGGTTAACCTCTTGCTAGCATATCTCCTTTACATCATGAAGCTAAAAAAGCATCAAATTCTTTCCTTACTTTAAATCCTGCTGCTTTCTTGTGTTCAAGCACTCCCCTTGTATTTCCTGTGTACGTATCTATCTTGCTTATTCAACTGACTGTACAGTTGTTTGAGGGAAGACCCATGTCCCTAATGTTTATTCTAGATTTGGTATGTGCTGGGCCTCATAAAAGAGTAAAATACTTTGGGAGGCCAAGAAGGGTAGATCGCCTGATGTCAGGAGTTTGAGACCAGCCTGACCAACATGGTGGAATTCCATTTTTACTAAAAATACAAAAATTAGCCAGGCATGGTGGCAGCCGCCTGTAATCTCAGCTACTCAGCAGGCTGAGGCAGGAGAATTGCTCCACCCAGGAGGTGGAGGTTGCAGCGAGACGAGATCATGCCACTGCACTCCAGCCTGGGCAACAAGAGCGAGACGCCATCTCAAAAAATAAATAAATAAATAAATAAGAGTAAAGTAGTGAGGAAGAAAAGGAAAAATACCTGAGCCATTCTGTGCTTTTATTCCAAGTCCTTAATTTTGTATATTTTTAAATAAATCCTATATAAGATGCTTGTAAAATAATCTTGGCCATTTTGGCTGCCAAACCCAACAAAGTCTGAGTCATCTTATTCATTATTTTCATGTGTAAAGTTAAAATTCTCCACACACAGGTGCAGGCTTGCATGTATATTCTTCAGCCAATCTAGACAACTAGTTTCTCTTCTAACTTGGCCTATCCTTTTTGGCCTAATATTAATCAGATTTCTGCTGAGATTATTCTGCATAACAAGCAACCCCCAAAATCTCAGGAATTCATAAAAACTAACATTTATTTTCACTCACAGGTTTGTACATCTGCTGTCATTTGGATGATTTCAGCTGTGCTGATCCGCGCAAGGCTGGACTTAAGCCAGAGCACTTTCAGGTTTGCTGCTACGTGCCTTCATTCCAGACCTCAGGCTGAAGGCACAACATTTGCCTGAGACGAGCTGTTCTCGAGACAGAGGGAAGAAGCTTCAAGAGGGCTGGCAGAAACTTATCATGAGTCTTTTGAAGTCTGTACTCACAAATACCATGCTGCTACTTCCATCCACATTTCAATGGTCCAAGACAGTTACAGGGCCAAGCCCAAAGTCACTGGAGGTAAGGGAGCATGCTCCTCCCTGTACAGTTTGGAAAATAAGATGAATATCTGCTGTTTAGTGATGTAGTCTATCACAAGCCTATCCAATTTTATGTTTACTATTTCATTTGGCTGAAATGCCCCTACTATCCGCAAACATACCCATTTAAATCTGGCCCATCCTTCAAGTCTCAGTTCGAATGTCACCTCTTCCATCAAACTCTCTCTGGTGTCACTGGGCAAATATAAGCATTCTTTTTTCAAAACTCCAAAATCTGTATAGCTCTGGAAGAACTGCACTGCAGCCCTCTTTATGTGTAATATCCCCTATACACCTTTAATATCCTAAACACCTTTAATCCTATAATATTCTAAACACCTTTAAAAAAAGATGGGGGATGTAAGCGATTCATCTTTTTAAAACCAACATCATCTAATGCCTCTAGCATGGTAGACAGCATATGTGACATAAAGAAATTAATATGGGCCGGGCACAGTGGCTCACGCCTGTAATCTCAGCACTTTGGGAGACTGAGGCGGGTGGATCACAAGGTCAGGAGTTTGAGACCACCCTGGCCAAGATGGTGAAACCCTGTCTCTACTAAAAATACAAAAATTAGCCAGGCACTGTGGCTGGCAACTGTAATCCCAGCTACTCGGGAGGCTGAGGCAGGATAATTGCTTGAACCTGGGAGGCAGAGGTTGCAGTGAGCCAAGATAGGGCCACTGCACTCCAGCCTGGGTGACAGAGCAAGACTCTGTCTCAAAAAAAAAAAAAAAGAAAAAGAAAAGAAAAGAAAGAAATTAACATGTATGCCTGTGTATTAACATATGACTGGAGGGTGGGGGTGTCTACATAAAAGAGAAAATGTAACAATGATTAAAGATTCCAGCTCTGGCATCAGACAGATCTCAGTTCAAATCCTGTCTTCCTCTCTCCTTGGCTGTGTGCCTTCTGGAAAGGTAGTTAACCTATTTGTACCTCAGTTTTCTCAGCCATAAAATGGAGATTATAACAATCCATGTAAAAGTTGAATACAGGATAAGCACCTAATAAGTGGGGCTATTTTATTATTACCATATACATTATGTTAAAATGTTATTTCTCTTATTATATTCAACATGATGAAAATATATTTTCAGTAAGTACATACTGACAGAGACTAAAAGGGAACATGTGTTAGGGCAGTAGGATTGTAAGTAAAACATCCTCTTTTGTATTTCCTTCATGAATAATATGGTTTTGTTTATGTAATTTAAAAAATTAAACATCTATTTTCCTTGGTATTCAGCCAACTCCGGGGTGGGGACACCCATATGGACCTACCCTGCTCCATAGAAATGACTTTTTGAATAGATGTTCTGTGTCAGGCCCATTATAAATCCTTTTTCTTATTCTCACAATAATCATGCGAGGTAAATAATATGCCCATTTTATAGATGAGAAAGGTGAGATTCTGAGAGGCTAAATTATTTGTTCAGGGCTCTGCAGTTAGCAAGTGGGAAATATGGGAAATAGATATCAGGCCCGACTCTGAAGCTCAGACTTCCTTCTCCACCCCACACTCCTGTCCGGACTATTTCACAAGTGATTTATAGTGTGAAAAACAAACCAGGAGAACTACACAGATCCTGGCTCCCAGTACCATTCTCTAATAAAATAAAAATAAAAATAAAAACAGGGCTCCTTGGAAAAATGGCTGATTCCAGAACTATAGCAGGAAAAATACAAGATCAGCCTGGACCATCTTGTAGGCCCAAAAAGTAAGGAAGTACTGAAAAAAAAAAAGTTTGAAGAAGACACACACACACACAAACACACACGGATACACTTATGTCTAAGGGGCGTAAGAGCCAACTGAAAGAGCTTCTAGCCAAAGATAGAACAATTTGGGACACAAAGTTAAATAGTGTTGGATTATAGCCCAAAGTATAAAATAAATATCCGTGAGTCAATACTGATATAAATAAATGATTGACTAAAGAAATAAATGAGGAAGAATAGACAAGTTTCCCAAGCAGGAGACTGCCAAATAGCTTGTGTGGATACTCCACCCTCAAGGAGGTGAAATATAACTCCTTAAGTACAGACTGCACATGGTAACTTCCTTCAAAAAGCACAGTATGAAAAGGGGTGGGGAAGAGTAACTTTATAGCAGAGAAACCTGACAAACACTACCTCAGCAGGCAATCAAGGTCAACATCAACAATGATAAGCAATGTTGATAGTAAGTACCCTTGATATGATGTCATGAGAATGGCACTTTACCTCTGTAGTTTCCCTCCCAAAAACTCGTAACCCCAGTCTAATCATGGGGAAATTATGAGGGTTCTCCTAGTGAGACATCCTACGAAATGCCTGATCAGTACTTCTCAAAAACCATCAAGGTCATCAAAAACCAGAGAAATCTGAGAAACTGCCAAAGTCAAGGAAACTAAACTGGACAGGATTCTGGAGCAAAAGGAACATTAGGTGAAACCTAAGGAAATATAAATAAAAACATGAACATGAACATCAGTTAATAATAGTGTATCCATATTAGTTCATTAATTGTGACAAATGTACCATCTTAACATAAAATGTTAGGGGAAACTGGGTGGGGTGTATATGGGAACTCTCTGTACTATCTTCGCAACTTTTCTATACATCTAAAACTATTCTAAAATTAAATTTTTATTTAGAAAAACAAAAACCAGAGCCTGAATGTAAAAACGAGTTTCAACTATGGAATTGGCCCTGGAAGAATCTGGAGTACAGGCCAAAAAAAGAATTTCTCATTTTCTTGGAAAACAAGAAAGTACCACCTGACAAAATGCTTGCCTTCCATCACATTTTAAAGCTGACTTGCCTAACCGAGTGGCTATCTGATGATTCCAAATGAGGAAGCAATTTGCCAAGTCATAAAGCAATCTATTCCATGGTTATCTGATGACATCTATCAAAGTCCCCCCTGTTATCTTTCTCATAGCACACATTACTCACTTTTCTTTTAGAACTTACCTCTTGTGAATAAGTATTTCAACAATTATCTGCTCAATGTCTATCTTCCCCAGTACACTGGAGTTTTAAGAGGAGAGAAACCTCTTTCTGCACTGTATTCCCGGAACTTAGCAGAGTGGTACCTCCTAGGTGCTCAATAACTATTTACTGAATGCTTGAATGCCAGTGCAGTCTAGAGGAGCAATGATCAACACTGCTAACTGTGGTGCAGAAAGAATGACAAGCCTGAGCTTTCTGAAGATTGAGGGGCCACTGGGACAAATATAGCTTCTCTCTCAATCTTTCCATCTCTTAGTTCACCCTCCAATTCACCAAATACAATTATTTCTCTTTTTTTAACTTAAGTTCAGGGGTACATGTGCAGGTTTGTTACATAGGTGATAGTGTGTGTCATGGGTGTTTGTTGTACAGATTATTTCATCACCCAGGTATTAAACCTAGTACCCATTAGTTATTTTTTCTGATCCCCTCCCTCCTCCCACCCTTCACCTTCCAGTAGGCCCCAGTGTGGGTTGCTTCCCTCTATGTGTCCATGTATTCTCATCATTTATAAGTCCCACTTATAAGTAAGAACATGCAGTACTTGGTTTTCTGTTCCTGTGTTAGTTTGCTAAGGATGATGGCCTCCAGCTCCATCTGTATCCCTGCAAAGGACATGATGTTGTTTGTTTCTGGCTGCATAGCATTCCATGGTATATATGTACCACATTATCTAGTCTACCACTGAGGGGCATTTAGGTTGATTCCATGTCTGTGCTATTGTGAATAGTGCTGCAATGAACATACGCATGCATGTATCTTTATAATAGAATGATTTATATTCCTTTGGGTATATACCCAGTAACGGGGTTGCTGGATCAAATGATATTTCTGTCTTTAGGTCTCTGAGGAGTTGCCACACTGTCTTCCACAATGACTGAAATAATTTATACTCCCACCAACAGTGCAAATACAATTATTTCAAAGGCTTTCAAATAAGATCAAGGAGTGAAATTTAACCTGTTTTAATCAAATCTAGACCTAGAAAACACTAAAGTTTCCTAAAATGCAAGCAAATTATAAGATCCACATATTTTCTTTTATATGGCTCATCTATGCCCTCAGAACTGAGTCTAGTCCAGGCATTACAAGGAAAACCTAGACTCCTAAAAACCACAGGAAACATGTGGCCAAAAGCACTGTGGGGAAAAACCAAAAGCATAACACAGATTTCAGTAGGGACACTTGGTATGAAGTCTCCCTGGTATATCAATCTTCATTATTATTTTATTCTATAAGTGCATTCCAGATCACAGCAAGTTAGTAGTTTTGCCATATCTTTCACTGCCTGGCTTTATGTAAGTGCTGCTAAGAATAAAATTAAGCAGTGGGAGAAAAACATCAGTTTGGTGTCTAAATTTAGAAAACTTGATGAATAAATCTATTAAATCCATCATGGGGAGAGAGAAGAGCAAATCATGTCTTATTGGAAAGATAAAATAAATAGAAAATAAAAGGTGATTGTCTTTATAATTTAGAACAACGGATTTCAATGTAAAGCCCCCCCCCCTTTTATTTACAAATATATTGGTTGATTGTGTATTTTCATTCACGTAACCCTCAACTTGAATTTTTAAAAAGACATACTGTGAGGCAAGAAACCATACAGAAAATCATTACTGGAGCCCTGAATTCTGTATTTATTGGGGGAGGACCTTTATGAGATCCTACTTATGTGATATAAATCATCCTCTGAAGATCATGGAAAGCAGGTGCCTAACATTCTGCACTACAGACATCTGGCAGGCTTTTATCCTCACACTCCACCCTCCCGCTCAACATCTGGCAGCCCCTTCATCCCTGCTCCCCACCCCCACCCCCAACTGCCTCCCAACATCTGCCACACACTTCTCTTAACCTCAGAAGCAAATCCAGTCCAAAGCTCAAAGACACAATGTTCCAGGGGTGGTGACCTAGAGTTACACGCTGGGTGGGAGTAAAGCAGGGTTTGTTTTTATTTTTTTCCTAAACTTTAAATGAATACACAATTCACTTGGAAGTATGCTTTAATGTCAAACTGGTTCTCACTGAGAAGCTTGTTTAAAATTGAAATCCATTGTTACTATGAACCTCTTTTTATAAGTTTTAAATCACCTTGGGAATTGGAGGGTACAATCAAAAAAGTATGGGGAGGAGAATAATTTTATGCTGATGACATGCATCTTATGAGCAGAGAGAATTAATTCTGATTGGAGAAAAATGGGCAGAATACTTGTGGCTTGTCTATGAAGTACAAATCATTTAAAGGAGCTGTCTTAAACCTAATCCAAAATGTTTTGAAACCTATTTAAGGAAGTGAGTGCCATTTGAATTCCACATTAGTTTAGAAATTCCTCCTTATGGCACTCACTGGTTTATAGAGCCATCTCACTCATAATCTCCCTGGTTCTGAACAGGAAGACAACTTCTTAGTTAGGGCTCACCCTGAAGTACTTCTCCTCACCTGAGTAAATCACCTGACTTAACGCTTCCTACTAACACATTTGTATTCCGGCTACACTACTCTGACAGTTTGCTGTTAACCATTTCACGGTATTTACCTTAGGGTTACCTGAATGAGTAAACTCCCCAACTATTTCCTCCCACACCCACTCTCAGCCACCCGTACACACATAATTCTCCTTCTCCTCCCTTCTTTAGACCAACCCTATTACTTTCCTTCAAATGAAGAAATGCTCGCTGTTTCTTTTTCCAGAGGAACATGGATAAAACCACATAACCCTGAGTGATCTGGGCACAGGTGACTTCCTGAGATGGTCCTGGCTTCTGATGAAATAAACATTCCAAACTCAAAGCCACTCTGGGCCTTGGATGGCTGCCAAGATGCTGGATGTATCACAGAGACTCCGCAGGCCAGAGCTCTATGAAAGCATTTTATCATTTTATTACACACTTAAATTAGTAATTACTTCTGGGACATTATTTAGATTCTGTTGTAGTGTGCAATTTCTTGTTTAAAAGTTTAAATATGTTTAGTGACTATTCCTTATTTGGAATTCCTTGCACATATGTTTGTCTGGGTTTTTTTCCCTAACAATCCTCTATTTTTGTTCCAAAGAATGCTAGAACAAAGAGATACATCAACATTGTTTTCTCTTTTGATAGTTACCTGGAGTCGGGAAATTTTTATGCTTATTAAAATCACAGGGGATGGTAAACTAAGTTAGGTTGGAAGTTGACTAGAATTGTTCATGGCCTTTGCATGTTGAAGTTATTATTACCAGGATGATGATGACAAAAATAAAGTCTATAGGGAGAGCACAACAGGCTGAACTGATACATGGTTTACCAGAAACAGCATGTCAATGGCAGACAGAGGACTTGCCTTCTAGTCCCA
Source organism: Homo sapiens (assembly GCF_000001405.40). Taxonomy (NCBI): domain Eukaryota; kingdom Metazoa; phylum Chordata; class Mammalia; order Primates; family Hominidae; genus Homo; species Homo sapiens. Next base: position 182,610,544 of record NC_000003.12, read on the forward strand.
GTCTCCGTTTTGTTAGCTCTGCGATGTTTGGATCTTGGTTTTTTTCATCTAGAATGATTAAGTTTGTCTAAATATATTTTTCTTAACTTTGTATTATGAAAAAATCTAGAGTAGCTGCAACACTAGAAAGATGGCGGAGCAAGAGCAAAGAAAAATCCCTTTGGTTCCAGAAAATCTCCTGAAAAAGAGGAAGGCTTATCAAGCCCTCAAAGCCACCCAGGCAAAGCAGGCACTTTTGGCAAAGAAGGAGCAGAGGAAAGGAAAAGGGCCAGGTTTAAGCAACTGCAATTATTCCTACATGATTCCTGGCAGCAGAAATATGGCAAGGTGAGTCTTTGACGACTAGAAGTGAAACCTCATGACTTGGAATTGCCAGATAAACATTCCTTGGCCTTTGTTGTACTCATCGAAAGGATTGATGGCATGAGTTTACTGGTGCAGAGAACCATTGTAAGACTTTGCCTAAAGAAAATTTTTAGTGGTGTCTCTGTAAAAGTCACCCCTCAGAACCTAAAAATGCTGCATATAATAGAACCTTGTGTGACCTGGGGATTTCCAAATCTGAAGTCTCTCTGGGAACTTCTTTTGAAATGTGGACAAGCCAAGGTCAAGAATAAGACCATCCTTCTGACAGACAACACAGCGATTGAGGAGCATCTGGGGAAGTTTGGTGTCATTTGCTTGGAAGACCTCATTCATGAAATTGCGCTCCCAGGGAAGCATTTCCAGGAGATTTCATGGTTCTTGCACCCTTTCCACCTCTCGGTGGCCTGCCATGCTACCAAAAATAGAGTGGGCATCCTCAAGGAGATGGGCACATCTGGCTATTGGGGTGAACGCATCAATCAGCTCATCCCCCTGCTGAACTAGACCCAGGTGCCAAACTGCAGTCAATTTGTATCAATGAAGTGGAAGCCAGTGATTTTGTTCTTTTGGGAATTTTTATCAAGTATCTTCAGAGACGATTATTTCCTGCTTTATCTTCAAAAACTGGAAAGGAAGGGTCAAAGAAAAGACAGTAGCTATGTTCATGGCAAGCACCTCTCATCACAGTCCAGTTCCGAGGAAAAATTCCAGCGTTTTCCACATTGGCTGCCTCCTCGTCTGAAATCAGCACATTCCATGGAGGAAGGAGTCTTGCTTTGTTGCATCTTCTTTCCTAAGGTTTAATGCTGCTAAATGAGTAACTCTAGCATTTGTACAAGGCTCCCTAAGACTATTGCAGGGGTCGACCAAGCCCAGGGACATAATTAAATCTGGAGATTCTTGGGGCCTTGTTTTGAAAAAGACTTGAAATGCACATAGGAAGAAAGGCACAAAAATAAATGTTCACTTGACTCGGCAAAAAAAAAAAAAAAAAAAAGAAAGAAAGAAAAAATCTATTTATAAAAGTACTGAGAGTAATATAAGTAATCCAGCTTCGGTAATTATCAATATATCTGGCCTCATCTCTATTGCTTTAATTTGCCCCTTGTTTCCTGCTGTCTTTTAAAGCAAACCCTAGAAATCGTAATATTTCATCTGTAAATATTTGAGTATTTCTAAGAGATAAAGACTTTTGCCTTAGCCACATTAATTAATCATTACATCAAAACAAACTAATTGACAAGACCAAAAACAAAAGAACAAAACCACTTAACAATAATTCCTTCAATCCCTTTCAACTCAGACATTTCAAGACCCAAAGCCTACAAGCTAGACCTGAGTCAGTTATAGCCACAGAGTCCTAAGAACTGACGCTTTTTACTCTATTCTATAAATTACTAAGAGTTTTAGCATTTTTACCTGATAGACTTCACTGGTCTCCAATTCTGGACTTCAAACCAAAAAGGAACATGAAAAACATAGAGAGCATTAAGTAAAGAGCCAACCAAAAGGTTTTGGTGTTCAAAAAGAAGGTAGATTCCTTATAAAACTTGAAAGAACTAGAATTATTCTGACTAAAAAGGAGACATGCCAATGGAGTACATTAGAAGCAAAAATCATTCACTCATTCATTCATTCATGTACTTTTTCATTCATTCATTCGTTCAACAAATGCTAATTGAGGGACAATGGTAAGTGACGGGGATGCAATGACACAAAGTGTCACCACAGGAAGTGTGGCAATAAGCTAGTCTCCATCTTCAATTAGGGAAAAAGTAACACCAATGGGGCTAAACATGCAGCGGTGACACTAGCAAAATATTGAAGAGGGTTTTCAAGGGACACTGGGAATCTCCTATCAGAGACAGGAGAACTTCATTTTTGTTTAGGATGGTTTAAATATGCACAGAGCATAGAAAACATTTTAGGGATGCTATAGGATTTTGTAGACCCCAAATTTATCCTTTGTCAAGAAAAGTATAAAATACAGAATAGATGCCGTAATGATTTCTATTACCTGATATTTGCATCTGTCTGGTGTTGGGAGTTACCCTACATGTAAAGACAAAATCACCCTAAAAATTTAGGTTTGCTGGCGGGGCACAGTGGCTCACGCCTGTATTCCCAGCACTTTGGGAGGCCAAGGCAGGTGGATCACGAGGTCAGGAGATCGAGACCATCCTGGCTAACACAGTGAAACCCCGTCTCTACTAAAAATACAAAAAATTAGCCGGGCGTGGTGGCACACGCCTGTAGTCCCAGCAACTTAGGAGGCTGAGGCAGGAGAATCGCTTGAACCTGGGAGGCGGAGGTTGCAGTGAGCCGAGATTGCGCCACTGTACTCTAGGCTGGGCAACAGAGCGAGACTCTGTCTCAAAAAAAAAAAAAAAAAAAAAAAATTATGTTTGCTCCTCTCTGAAATTGAAAATGTAAAATATAACTTAACTTCACCTCTCCAAACAGAAGTCGAAGGTGTGCGAAACACAATTGGAAGATAGAGAGGTCCATTAAAATTTATTTCAGTCTTATTTCCCCTCAACGCTCCTGCTACTAGGATACCAGCCTCTATCATCTGATAACTGTAAGATTTATAAGTTGCTGCATCACCACAGTAATTTTGATATTGGCAATTTAAAAGCCCAGTGACTGAGAAAGACCACCTGAAGTAACTCAGACACCTGCAAAAAGACAGCCCTGAGACAAACAGTGAAGTGATTGACCCCCTTATTACTCTTCCCTTTTCTCCCACCCCACGGCCTTCACCTGGGTTAGCCATTCACAACCTCCCTTAGATAAGATTCTGGCTCCTGACTTCATTCTCCTCCTGCCTCCCACCTACCCCAGCCAAAGAAATGCCCCTACATACTTCCCACTCACCCAGAGTCATTTTTAGCATGAAATTAATGTTTTTAAAAGATAATGTGAATATAAAAATAACTGAATTTGTTTGCTCTCCCAAAATGTATATTTTCATTTTTATGTACACCTCCTAAATTCGTCAATTGATCATTAATATAAAACAGGTGGGTACATACCGCTGACTTTACTAAGAGCTTTCAGATGCATTGTCCAATTTAATCTAATCTCCACAGCACCCCACTGCCCTCCCAACCCAGATTTGTAGCATTTTACAGATGAAGAAACTGAGGTCCAAACAGACTAAGTCGCTTTTCCATGATCACTCAGAACTAAGAGACAGAGGCATTTCTGACTTCAAATCCTGCCTCAACATCTGGAAAGCTAAGTGCTTATAGTCAGTCTCCCTTGTGGAGTACAGGCAGGGCCATCACCTGCTTAACTGGGAAAGAAGCAACACTCAACACTCACCCTAAGGTCTTACCCTTTGTAGACCAGTCCTTTAGCTTTCTGATTCCAAATGATTTGCTGCTGCTGTTGTTGTTGTTCATTTATTTCATTTTGTTTCCACAATCTCAGCATACTTAGCTAAGAAAATGCTTTAACCCTAAGAGACTTTTCATTGAGACCATCTTAGACACCTGTGGTCCCCCAGTAGAGGCGAGGCCTCTCCAAATGGCACTACACACTCAAAAGATACCCGGGCTGGCTCTTAAATCCCTGCTTGCCATATAAGAAAGCAAAGTCAGTCAAAATGAGGGACTGTCTCAGTCTTCGGTGCATGAATGGTCAACTTTGGCACCCTTGGTTGACTTGGTCAGTGATCCAGAAAGTTCAGTATAAATAAATCATATAGATGCCACATTGAAATGAGTGTCACTGGATTAGCCAATGAGTGAAAAGAGAAGCAATCAGAAAGCAGATAGCACTAACACCATCCTAGGGTTGGCTAAGCCACCTCTGTCTTTCACTATACATAGGGTTTATGTTAAAGGGAAACTGGCTAGATCCATGTATATTCAAATCTGTGTGATAATGCACCATCTTCTCACAGGAATCTCCTAGACTGGGAGTCCAGATGCCTACAGTCTAATCTCAGATCTCATGAGTTCTGTGATGCTAATAACTCACTTAACCTATCTGGGCCTCAATTCCTTCATCTGTAAAACAGGGGCACTGAGAAGGTTTGAGCTGAATTAGAATTCCCACTTCTAACACTGCACAAGGGACACTATACTGCATTCTCTTCTGGAAGGATGTAACTTTGCACAAAGAGGCAGTAGGACATACACACTGGAATTAGTCAACCTGCATTTGAATCCTGGTTCTGCCATTTACTAGCTATGTGTCTCTCAGCAACTTACTTAACTTTTCTAAGACTCAGTTTTGTTATTTATTATAAATAACAATAATAATTATTGAGAAGTCAAATGAAAGAATGCATATAAACTGATGAGCAGAGTGCCTGGCACACAAGAAGTGATCTTTAAAAATGCTAGTTCATATGACATTTAAACATGTTTCTTATTTTTGTGCATCAAAAATGTTCATGTGTATCAAAAATGGAAATGATTCATTTCATTCTGTTTTTTAAGCTTTCTGGTTTTTGTGTAAACCTGGAAAAATTGTTCATAAGCTCAAGTTCAACTCCAGTTATAAATTCAAAGATGTCTGATTAAAAACTCTCTACCTTGTTGTGGAAACTCATTTGTTGTAATATTCCATTAAGCCAGCTGTGAGCTGGTCAACTGAGCACCCACTGTGTGTCAAGCACATCTGAAAGAATGTAAATGCTTGAAAGGATCATTTAAGCAAAACCTATACAAAGAAATATACTCCTAATTCCTTTATTTTTTGATTCTGTTATTTTATATCATTGACCCTTAGACACAACCATTGAAATTAGTCCAGAAAGAGAGTGTGTATGTTTTATGTCATTCGTTTACTCAAAAAATATTTATAACCATGTATTCTGTACATGATGCTGTGCAAATCTGAAGCAGATGCAGATTATCTAATCCCCAGCTCCTAGGAGCTTGTTATCTTGTAGAAAAGATGCTACATACAGATATACCTATCAACCAAAGCAGTATTCATGTGCCATTAAAAAACACAAAGTAAAGAAAAATGAAAAATTATTTCTAGCTGGAGACAGAGAAGAAGTAAGGTGAACCTCTTGAAGAAGGTGGTATTTATACTGGTCCTTTAATGGCGAGCAGGATTTCAATGATTAAGAGATAGGTTTTAGGGAGGAGAGTCCCTGAGGGCCTCCGAGAAATTAGGAATGACAGGCATCAGCAAAGACTGGGAGAGTCAGATCCATGACATCCATCCATGAAACGTGGCAGAGTCCCATCTGGTCAGCATGTGAGATACAGGCAACAGTGAGCACCAGGTTGGGAACGCTTTGCCTCAGCGGAGTTTAGGCATCATTTAGTAAACAAGGGCAAAGCATGGAGGATTTGAAGAGCAAGGGGAAAATGCTCTCAGAGGTGTTTTAGGAAGAACGATCCGGCACTATGATCTATTTCTCCTTTCCCAGAGAAAAGCCCTACAACCTATGTCCCTCAAAACAATATGTTTATCCTCAATGTCTCTAAAAAGTGCTATGGCCATCCCTAGTAGCATATTAACTGTTTAAATAAAAGCATTATGTGAAAGACTGCAGTCCTTATGTCAGGGTAACATTGAAGGTGCAAGGCACGTGTCAGAAGATGAAATAAACTCAGAGTAACCTATCCCCTCTAGAGTCCTGGCTTTAAATTCAGGTTGCATCATAAATGAATAGGGTTTGGTGGCCTCCCGCCTATCTCCTGGGAACATTTGTTTGATTTACAAAAGTACGACACAATTTGACACACTCAGTATAATTAGCATTCGCTATTTGGGAGAATGCCCCCAGACAGCTAGAATTCAAATGCACCGAAGCCAGACCTGAATTTTTTTTCTCTGTCCTCCTCTTCCATTTTTTTTTTTCCTGCTCTCTCCTTTCTTCATCAGAGGACCATGCAAGCTGGAGATTCGAGGAAGCAAATCCCAGATGTCCCGGGTGCTCTACACACCAAATCAAGCAACAAAATGCATGTTTCAGCCTCTACCGTTCTGCTATGCGTAGAGAACAGAGGCTGTTGTTATATGTTCTGCTCCCCAGACTTCTTCATGCAACTGTTGATTACACAGTGTTGGTTTCACATAAAGAGTTTTTCTGGAAGAAGTCCCATTTCAGAGAGAGGTGCTTAGTATTTAACAGTGCTCCTGCTAATAATGATTAAAGTTATTACTGTTACTTAAATAAAGCAGGGCATAAATACATAGAAGACATTGGGTTAACTACTGCTCACAACATATGAAAATATCCTCTTTTCTCAAGCACAGGAGTTTGCCTGTTCATTTTAAATCTGTTTAATTCCAATTTTAGGGGGCCTTGTGACAGTCATCCAAAAGTTAGCTGCCAAAACTGTGACTATATTAAGCTGTTTATCACACACCAACTAAAGGTGGTGCGTGCTGGTAGACACACAGAAAAGCAAAGAAAATTGGAGCTCATTAGCCAGGGAGGCCAGGAAAGCTTTAGGAAAATTCTGAACTGGGAAATATTTGTTAGAGAATTTTAGTTGTGTTTCTTCTAAGGACAAAAAAAAAAAAAAAAAAAACAATCTAAGTTTATAAACAGAAGCAGCATAAATGAGTTAATTTTAAAGTTATAATAGACAATGAAGAGGTGAGGATAAATAGAAAACACAGACCTCAAACTCCAAGGCAAGTGAACGGAATCTTCAATTTCTTGATCCTTTGGTTTGACATGGTTGACACGCTTCCCATGGCTCACAGCCTGAAAATGCAAGGCAAGAAATTCATTTTCTATTTTTTTTCTATCCAAAAGTTACATGTGTCATTTTAGAATCATCACAAGTTTCAATTGGATGGGATCCAAAAAAATGTCATCTTCCTGTGAGTGCGTAGCAATATAGCAATGCAGAAATGGAATCATAACTGACCTGGAAAACAAGGAGGGCCTCTCCAAACTCCACATCCGAATGGACACACCACATTTGGTTTCTTCTCAGCAGTGACTAATTTTGATTAGATTTGAAGGCCCAATTTAAGCTTAGCCTAGAAGCTGCTTCCACTGCTTATTAGTGGTCTGTGCCCTCATTAACTATCATTGAAGAATGAGGTGGAAACAATCATTCAAGAGCATCTACTCAACTCTACATTCAAAGCCACAGCAGTTTATTTTATCCTTTGGTTTGGTGACGGCTTGGGAAGGGGAAGTCAATTTTCCTTCATTTCTTGGAATAGAATTGGAAACTAATTGCATGTTGCTCTTAAAATTCGTTAAAAAATAGTTTGAAACTAGCCCATAACGTCACATAACCATAGATGACAATTGGCCCCTAATTGTACCTCAAAGTTTAGCCACTGACGGTTCATTTGTATTTTCCTTCTCAACACGCTTTCCCCCTCCCCAGCACCCCAAACAAAACATGCTACTTTTAAATAAGATTTGTGGAAAGTCCTAAATGGGGTACCATAGACGAGTAAACAGTGTCACCTAGTGGGCCAGAGGACACTAGGAAAAGAAGAAAACTAGTAATCTGTACAAATGAAAATACCGGCCAACTGACAGCATTAGGCCACATTTTGCCTTCATTTTTGCCCTCTGTTGTCAACCATGAGCAAAGAAGAAAGTTTCCTCCAGGACACACTAATAAATAATCACAAACAAATAAACGCCAAACCCCACAGCTTTCCCTCTCTAGTTCCCTAATAAAGATCTTACCTAAGTAAAAATAACAGCTGGCATTAATTCAGCATTTACAGAGAGCGGATATTTTGCAGAGAGCTTTACCTGGGGCATCTCACTTGGTTACCCAGAGTCCCATTATTGGTTAGGGAGCTTTGGTGACTTGCTTGAAATCATAGACTCTGACACAGCCCCTGTGGTAACACCTGCTCTGTAGTACCCCCCACACAGCCCAAGGGCAAACAATGAGATCTCGGAGGGACAAATATATGTAATAACAGAATCATTAGACACATATTAAGCATTTACTGTGCCCCAGACTATTTAGGGGATACTAAAATGCACTGACATGGATCCTGCCCTCTAACAAGTTGTCATCTAAAGGATCCATTTGTAGAGTACTTTAGAGTTACTATCATTTCAGGCTATCTTCATGTGCCTACAATGTAATCAAGGTCCTGATTTTAGAAATGAGGTTTTGGGATTCATCCAAGTTCACACAGGTAAGAAGTGGCAGCCCTTCAGATTTAAAGGTGAGTGGATCACTCCACCTCTTGCTGCCTCTTTCACCAGTGCAGCTGCTAGAGATCTCTGGTTTCATGACGAGGTATGGAGGCCACAGACGGCAGAGAGCTGACTCAGAGAACAATTACCACAGGGTTCAGGGGTGGAATGTTCTTTCCCTCTACCATCTCCAAACCATCCCAGCCTGACAGGAATGACCATAAATCAAATCTCTTGATAGATTAGATTAAAACAGATAATTCCCATTCTGTGGGTCTCAAAGAATGAGAACTATAAGGAGATTTTCTTAATTTAAAAAGGGGTGCCGGGCGCAGTGACTCACGCCTGTAATCCCAGCACTTCGGGAGGACAAGGTGGGTGGATCGCCTGAGGTCAGGAGCTTGAGACCAGCCTGACTAATATGGTGAAACCCCATCTCTACTAAAAATGCAAAAATTAGCCAGGCGTGGTGGCAGGCACCTGTAATCTCAGCTACTCAGGAGGCTGAGGCAGGAGGATTGCTTGAACCTGGGAGGCGGAGGATGAAGTGAGCCAAGAGCATGCCACTGCACTCCAGCCTGGGTGACAGAGTGAGACCCCATTTCAAAAAAAAAAGTGGGGGCGGCAGGAGTGGCATACATGAGAAACCTACAGCAAACATACCTAATGGTAAGAGATAGCATGCTTTCTGTTCTCACTCATAGGTGGGAATTGAACAATGAGAACACTTGGACACAGGGTGGGGAATATCATACACCGGGGCCTGCCGTGGGGTGGGGAGAGGCGGGAGGGATAGCATTAGGAGATATATCTAATGTAAATGACGAGTTAATGGGTGCAGCACACCAACATGGCACACGTATACATTTGTAACAAACCTGCGCGTTGTGCACGTGTACCCTAGAACTTAAAGTATAATAAAAAAGTAAATAAATAAAAATAAATAAACAAAAAAATAAAGAGATAGCATACTTTCCCCTGAGATCAGTAACAAGATAAAGATATTCTCTTTCACCAACCTATTCAAGGTCCTAGCTAGTGCAGTAAGATAAGAAAAAGAAATAAAAAGTATACATATTAAAAAGGGACAAGTAAACTGTCTTTACCACAGGTGACATGATTATTACAGTAGAAAACTCCAAAGAATCTTTAAAAAATTATTGGAACTACTAAGCAGGTTTAGCAAGGTTGCAGGATATAAGGTCAATATACAAAACTCATTGCTTTCCTACATACCAGCGATGAAAAACTAGAATTTGAAATTAAGAAATAATACCATTTACAATACCACCCAAAAAAAGAGGAAGAAAAAGTACTTGGGCATATGTCTAGCAAAATACATATAGGATCTGCATGTAAAACTTACCTTCAGTAGGGAGGAAAAAAATCCTTCTGTTTTATAAAAATAGGTTAACAGAACAAGGAACAGTATATTCTTCATCTTTGTACAGAATGGGAAATTCTTCCAGAGGCCAGACTCAAGATTTCAAAATCCTGGGATTAGTAGCCCACCTGGGGCCATCTGGGCTCCTTCTCTCTTCTGCGGTCTTACAGAATAAGGGAACCAGGGTGTGGCATACTCAGAGTGCCTTAACTCACTTAGGAAAGCTAAGGAGAGAACAAAGAAGGGAGGGGAAAAAAATAGCGTTTTTCATTAAAAGCCTTAATACCATCAGATGATAAAAAGAAGTAAGTACAGCCTTTCTCCTGACTCTAAGGACATAATGCTTTTTCATTCTTCCTGCAGTTAAGATCACAGATCTAAAATCCTTTGAGGATCTTTTTTAATTAAAGAGATCACTTTAGCTTATTGAATGAAGCTGAGAGATGCAGCTCAAGTTTTCCTACTTCCTACCTTCCACACTCTCAGCAGCACAAAGTTCATCTGCATAAACTATGCACCCTAAATCCAGACAAGGCCTTGCCTTGACTTGTATGATGCTTACTCTGTGTTACTCTGGGCCAGGCACTTCTCTACTAATGCACTTTACACCTATTAGCTAATTTAATCTCAATACCTCCATGAAGGAGGTGCTATTGTCAGTCCTATCTAGACAGCTGAATAAACTAATAGCTAATACATTTTTTAACATTGCAAATTTTCTTTTAGGAGTTTTACTTTGGGCTTGCTTATATGGCCAACAACTTATAACATATGTCAACTAAAATATCTTATAATAGTCTGACTGCTTCAACATTTCAAGAAGCTATTGTTTGTAAAAAGCAAAGTGTATTGGTGAGGTGGGATCCTGGTGTGGAGGTCAAGAGGCAGGGAGGGTGACTGAGTTCAGGAGCATGTCTGTAACCCCAGTGTTGTGCTGATTAGTGTTCAACAACCAGCTCTTCATTTAAATAAAAGGAGGGGTGGGGAGAAGAAAAAAACAACAGCATAGGAAGCCCTGATTTGTTGTGGTTGCCAATTTCTGTGTATAAATACTCTCACCATTGCCAATTTTGAAGCTCATGAAGTTCCTGAAAATTTAAAAATAGGCTTTCAACGAGCCAGTAGGGGCTGGCTCTAGCACACCTGCAAAGCTCCATGAGGACAGAGTCCATGGCTGTTTTATTCAGCCTCACAACTAGCGTAGTGCCTAGCATGTAGTAAGCACTCAGGAAATATTTGTTGAATGACTGAATGAGTGGATTAATGAGATGCAATCAGGTAAATTAAACAGAGGTAAGTGCACTGTCTTCCTTTGGCTATACTATAATCAGAACCTGGTTGCTTCAATGACATCACAGTCTTGATTTATCATGATGGTTATGATTTGTGCTACAATTCTGTGGGGGAAAAGGAGTGTTATCTCAACATTGTGCTTTGTTAATCATAATAGGAGTGCTAAGGGAGATAAGACTCTTGAATGTGTGTTTTCAAAAGCAGGAAAAAAAGAGACATTAGATTTGTTTTTGTTTGATTTAATCAAACAGAATATACTTATAATTTTAAAATGTTATTATTTAAACTCCTATAAGGAAAAAAATCGTTCTGTTATATGTATCTGAGACTCTAGCCTCTAACCCCTTGAAACAATAATTGAGACAATTATTTTGATAACCAAATATTCTTAGGAACTCAATTGTTTCACTGGAGCCAAACAGACAGGGGACTAGCTCTCTACTGCCCCCAGACAGTTTTCTCTGCTCCTGGAAATGATTTTCTTGCAGCACACATTGGACAAAATGTTAGAAGGGAATTAGTTATCCACACGTGTAAATAAATTAATTTATTTCAATCTAACACCAGTTGTATGCTCAAATTTCAGAACCTTTAAGAGATGCATGCAGACATTCTAGAAAATACCATTAAGCTTTTAAATAGCAAATGAACAAAAGTAGCAGAGCCCTGATATAACCTAAATTGAGATTCAGCTCAAACTGAAGTATCTAAGCAAATGGAATAGTGGCTCCCAATGTAGGGTTGCCAGATAAAATACAGGATGTCCAGTTAAACTTGAATTTCAAGTAAATAATGAATAATTATTTAGCATAAATGTTTCCCAAGCACAGCTCCCAATATTGCATGGGACATACTTGTACTAAAAATGTATTTGCTGTTTATCTGAAGTAAACATACGTATTTTAATTTGTGAAATCTGGCGACCCTATCCAAACAACATATTTGCTTGAAATGGTTTAAAGAGGAGTCTGAAATTTCAAATAGGTTCAATATTTAAATGTAAAATAAATAAAGAAAAATTTGTGAGAATTCTTTTATAACCTTAAATGTTAAAAGCCCTTCTAACTAACACAAAATCCAGAAGCCACGGAAGAAAAGACTTTACAAGATCCACTCTTTAAGAATAAAAAGACTATTTTCTGAATTTAAAAAATGAGCCAAGTAAAAAACAAATGACAATTAGGCAAAAATATTGGCAACCTGAAACATAAAGGGCTAATGTCCCACATATAGAAAAAGTATCTACAAATCCCTAAGAGTAAAAGAAATATCATTCATCCAATTACAATGTTCACAAAGGTATGAACAGATCATTCACAGAAGAGAATATCGATATGGTTCCTAAATAAGTGGAGAAAAATAGATGCCAAACTTCATTTATGGTAATGAATATACAAATTAAAACTAGATGAAGTTATTCCCCCACTACCTATCAGATCGACAATATTCCAGAAGTTTAAATAATAAATTATGTTGCAAGACTGCATAAAAATAGCCCTTTCACATATTGTTGGTGAGAATATGAATTAGTAGAATTCTTATGGTGGGCTGTCTAGTAGTATCTACCAAAGCTTCAACTACTTATCCCGTTAACCTAGCAATTCTACTTCTAGGAATTTATGCTACAGATATAGAAATGCTAAAATGAATTAAATACAAAGATATTACTTGCAGTATTATTGTAATAAAAATTTTGACAAAAAACTCAATGTTCATCAACAGAGAACTGAATAAATTATGGACTATCCACACAGTGGAATACTATGCATCTGTAAAAAAAATTAAAAACTATTAGTGTATTGATATGAAAAGATTTCTAAATTATACTAATTAAAAGCAAGGTATATATAGCATTTCTCTATTCTTGACAAAAGAGAGACAGAAAAGATATATACATATATATATTTGTATTGACTTTTATTTACATTTAAAAAATATCTCTAGGGCTGAGCATGGTGGCTTATGTCTGTGATCCCAACACTTTGGGAGGCCAAGGTGGGCAGATCACTTGAGGTCAAGAGTTCGAGACCAGCCTGGCCAACATGGTGAAACCTTGTCTCAGCTAAACATACGAAAAGTAGCTGGGTGTGGTGGTGCATGTCTGTAACCCCAGCTACTTGGGAGGCTGAGGCAGAATTCCTTGAGCCCAGGAGGTGGCGGTTGCAGTGAGCCAAGATCATACCACTCTACTCTAGCCTGGATGACAGAGTGAGATTCTGTCTCCAAAAAAAAAAAAAAAAAAAAAAAAAAAAAAAATATATATATATATATATATATATATATAAAACACATATAATATGATGATAAGAAATCAATAATAATGTTACCTATCACAGGGATAGGGACAGTTGAATTAAGGGCTGATAAGAAAATAGTTTTTTTAATGAATAGCTTTTATATGTTTTATATTTGAAACACGAATGTATTACCAATCCAAAAAATTATAAAAATAAAATTAATGCCCTGTGATTATCCTGATACTGACGTCACTCAAAAGTAGGAGGGCTTAATTTTTTGATTGAGGTTAAAATCCTTTTCGAAACTCCGTAATCCTTCTCCTTATCCCACTGTGATGAACTAATGCTCCCAGTGTTGTTTTTACTCTGCAGAAAAAAGGTATAGAGATAACAGAGTTCCAAGACCTGATTCAACTATACTCAGGCTGTAACTATTACAAACCCTTAAAATTCCTCATCAAACCTTAGCCTAGGTTATCAGCAACAGCAAAAATAAATAATTATCGAGCACTGGCTGTAACTAAGGCATTGTGCTAGCTTCTTTGCTTCAGAAAAACCTATCAGCCCTTGCACTGACAGGCTTACAAGAAAGGCATTGTGTATAAATTAGAAAGATAAAAGTTTCCATGAATGGTATAGACAAAAAAAAACTGGAAGAAAATGTTATCACCATAATTTGTGTTGGAGGATTTATTAGCTATTATTTATAATTTATTATAAATTTTATTAGCTATTAATTATTTGCTATTAAGATAGGACTAACAATAGCACCTCCTTTATGGAGTTGTTGAGATTAAATTAGCTAATAGGTGTAAAGTTCATTAGTGGAGAAGTGCCTGGGTCAGAGTAACACAGAGTAAGCATCATACAAGTCAAGACGAGGACTTGTCTGGATTTAGGGTGCTAGTTTATGCGGATGAACTTTGTGCTGCTGATAGTGTGGAAGGTAGGAAGTAGGAAAACTTGAGCTGCATCTCTCAGCTTCATTCAATAGGCTAAAATGATCTCTCTAATTAAAAAATCTCCTCAAAGGATTTTAGATCTGGGATCTTCACTGCACAACACACTCTGTGTAGCTTCAATATGGAACTTAAAGGATGAGAACTCCAAGCAAGAAGAGGAGTCCAGAAGACATTTCAAACAAGGAAACATGATGAAGAAGGGCACAGAAGTGGGAAAATGTGTACCATATTCAGACCAATGAGCAAACGCTGTCCTCCCCACAATATGTATGAAGGGAATGAGAGGAGAAAAAATTAAAACGTGAGTTAAAACCTGTGGCAGAGACTGCTGGTTCTTTGCCCCAGAATACATTATTCTCCTCCTTTTTAAAAATAGAATACTGATTTTTTGGCTAGATACAGGTAGAATAAAAGAGCACATTTTCTCAGCCTCCCTTGCAGCTAGAGGTAGCCAAGTGACCGGGTTCTGGCCAATGAAATGTGAGAGGAAAAGCTCTGTGAGACTCTGGTAGTCTCCTTAAAGGGAAAAGGAATGTAGCAAAATATAAACAAGCAAACAGAGCCAAAAGTCTGTAAGGAAGAGTTTTGGTAGAGACACCTAGAGCAAGATATGGGAAGATGAAGAACAGACTCTGCCTCTGCTCAGCGCAAAATGCCAGCTGTGAGCCTGTGGAAAACAGGGCTTCAATTAGAAGACAAAAGGGTTGCTTTCATGAGGATTTTGTGATACATTGGAGCACGGATGGCGTGTTTTTTTGTTTTGTTTTGTTTTTTGTTTTCTTTAATGACCGAGTAACAAAGGGCAACATACTGAGGAAGGTGCGTTTTCTCCTAATTACTCCATGAGGCAATGTGGTTCTAGAGGAGTGAAAGCTAAATGTGCTGCCATTTTGGCACCTCACAGGTTTGCAACTTTGGAATGTTCTAGAAAAATATCAACAACGGTCTCATGAAGATTGGCAGAGAACAAGGAGACACTCTTACATGGTAGAACCCGTTATGAGCTCATAAAAGCCCCCACAAAATAACAGAGAAGAAACTGAGTGATACCAGAAGTAACTGAGAGAGACTTGGAACAGAGGGTCTGAAGACTTGTGTTATGGAGGAAAATATAAAATCAGCCACTGAAATGTGACTTATTGCTATTAATGTCAACTTGTTTTCTCACAGATTATTGGGGTACAGTGACCACCTGCTACATAAGTGTCAGTATTCCTTAGACGAGAGCCCCCACTAAAGCAACAAAGCAAAAACAGCCAGAAGGATAAGCCAGGACCTGAGATTGCCTTCCTGGGCATGAGAGAGTGATTGGTCAGTGATGGTGACTCATCAAAGTGAAAATGACGAGTAGTGGTGACCCCAAAACAGAAGGCAGCTACGTTGTAAGGAAAGAGCCCTGGACGGCTTTGGAAAATCCAGACCCCTGGGAAGAGGATAGCTAAATGTCAGGAGCCTCAGAGGGGTTTTTGGCACCTAAGAGAAGATGAAAATGTACCTTCACCTTGACCAGTAGTGGTCATCTCTCCACACAAATTGATTTAACACGCTCCATATTCTCTAGAGCAGGAATAACTTGAGATTCCCAGAGCCATACTCAAACTGCATGCAAGTCTGAAACACATTTTCCCCATAACCCTCAGGGCAGTGAGGATCAATGGGCCCACCTGCTTTTTCTACTACTTTGTTATCACATCTGATAAAACCTTGAGGGCTCCTGACTGCCCAGTCACCTCCAGGAGAGACTGCAACTTGAGCTCAGAGGACTGAGAGTCACTTCTTATTTGCCATTAATTTGTATTTGTTTAGTGTGCCAGTCATGGTAATCATCTTAAGTTCAAGGTTTTTGCTTGTGGTTAGAAAGGAAAGCTATCGTTAAGGATGTGGTCATTCTAAATTAAATCTTTAATTCTTTTTTTGAAGTCTGGTGTTATACAGTTACCTGTCACTCAAGGAAAGGGGGAATGGGAAAAGGAAATGAACAAGGGGGAGGGAGGGAGAAAAGGAAAAGTATTAGTGGGAAAGCCATATGTGATTGTACCTGGAGCTATAGAGAACTTTCTCTCAAAGTACCACAGACTGAATTGTATATGACTCTGTAAGTTTCGACATTTTGCACACAAGTGTGAATATGCTGCGTAGTAATATTCTTACATTCATAGTATTCTTATATTTTATATGAACTTTTGTGGGGCTAAAAGTATTTCACATTTCAAAGAAGACTTTTCTGGCATTCTGTTCAATTTAGTTAAAATACTCAGCTAACCATTTCAAACTTCCACAAAAGAAATTCAATATGCAAAAACATATTTGATTTTCACTATTTACATTGGCTCTGACTGTGTGTACCACTAGGGTGGGGGAATGGGAGGAAGCAGGATTTCCACAGTTGGCTCTTTATAAGGTTCTGGTGAACCAGACCAGATTAAACATTAAATCACCTTTGATCATTCTCACCCTAACGTTTTCCACATTCAAACAGAACCTTCAGCTAACCAAAGAAATCTACATATTTTTTGTGCTTTGATGACATCTAAGCATATGTGTAACTAATCATTTACTACTGATTCTCAAAAAATCTTTTAGGCCACATCTAGGTATCTAAACAACTGGAGTTTTCTTTATTTTTTTTTAATTTTGTGGGTACATAGTAGGTGTATATATTTATGGTGTACATGAGATGTTCTGGTACAGGCATACAATGTGAAATAAGCACATCATGGGGAATGGGGTCTCCATCCTCTCAAGCGTTTATCCTTTAAGTTACAAACAATCAAATTACATTCTTCATTTCAAAATATACAGGTAAGCTATTATTGACTATAGTCACCCTATTGTACTATTAAAAAGTAGGTTTTATTTATTCTTTCTCATTTTCGTGCCCATTAACCATCCCAGCATATCCCCCAAACTCCCCACTACCCTTCCCAGCCTCTAGTAACCATCCTTCTACTCTCTATCTCCATGAGTTCAATTGATTTGATTTTTAAATCCCACAAATAAATGAGAATGCATGTTATTTGTCTTTCTGTGCCTGACTTATTTCACTTAACAAAATGATCTCCAGTTCCATCCATGTTGTTGCGAATGACTGGATCTTATTCTTTTTTATAGCTAAATGGTAGTTTATCATGTATATGTACCACATTTTCTTTATTTATTCATCTGTTGATGGATACAAGTTGCTTCCAAATCTTAGCTGTTGTCAACAGTGCTGCAACAAACATGGGAATGCAGATACCTCTTCAATAGACTAATTTCCTTTCTTTTGGGTATATACCCAGCAGTGGGCTTGCTGAATCATATGGCAGCTCAATTTTTAGGTTTTTGAGAAACCTCCAAACTGTTCTCTATAGTGGTTGTACTAATTTACATTCCCACCAACAGTGTACGAGGATTCCCTTTTCTCCACATCCTTGCCAGCTTTTGTTTTTGCATGTCCTTTGGATATAAGCTATTTTAACTGGGGTAAGATGGTATCGCATTGTAGTTATGATTTGCATTTCTCTGATGATCAGTGATGTTGAGCACCTTTTCATATGCCCCTTTGCTATTTGTATGTCTTATTTTGAGAAATGTCTCTTCAAATCTTCTGCCCATTTTTTGATCAGATTATTGGATTTTTTCCTATAGAGTTGTCTGAGCTCCTTATATATTCTGGTTATTAATCCCTTGTCAGAGGGGTAGTTTGCAAATATTTCCTCCTATTCTATGATTCGTCTCTTCACTTTGTTGATTGTATCCTTTACTGTGCAGAAGCTTCTTAACTTGATGCGATCCCATTTGTCCATGTTTTCTTTGGTTGCCTCTGCTTGTGGGGTATTGCTCAAGAAGTCTTTGCCCAGACCTGGAGTTATTCATGTGACTAAATCCACTACATCCTGGTAATTGGCACAGCCTAGAAGTAGCACACCACATTAACTATCTGGTCTGATCTATTATATGGTCATTTGGACTATTTATTCCCTCACTTGGTCAAAAACCATTTATTGAGCATGTTCTATGTGCTCAGCCTTCAAGTGGATGCTTAGGTTACAGATGTGAATAATAGAAATATGGTTCTCACCCTCTTTGTGCTTAAAATCTGGTTGAGAAAAGATGCTAACAGCTAATCTTTATGGAGCACTTATTCTATGGCAACAACTGTGTTATGCACTTATGCATTTTATATCAGTTCATTCTCACAATAACTCCAAGAGGTAAGAACCGTTATTTGAACTGGAGCTTGAGGGATAAAAAGACTTTCCATAGGCAAAGAATGAAAAGAATCAACCCTGGAAGTTGATAAAACAGCATAACAAGTACAAGAAGATAAAGATAGCTGGCAGATTTGGAGTGAGTGTACCATAAGGTTCATGGAGGGAGAAAGAGTTGAGAAGTAAATCTGGAGCCTTATCTCCCAAGCTATGGGGGTTTGGAAATTTATTCCAATGAAATAAGCACAGATAGTATTTGATACCTCTTCCTGCTTTTATTTGGCCTAGTGAAGATTGTGGACCAAAATTTCAGTGCAAGAACATGGCAGAAGTCATAGAGTGGAATTCAGCTTGAGAAAAACTAGGCTGGTTCTCCCAGATGTCTTGATGATGAAAACAAGCTACAGTTACATCTCCATTCAACAAGCACCTATCAAGTGCCAAGCACTGAGCCAAGCTGTAGAGATGCAAAAATAAACAGGTGGAACACATTCCTTGTGCATGAAAGTTAATAGTCTAGCAGAAAAGAGATTATTAAACAAGCAATTACAACTTAGTTATGCTGGTATTTTGGTCTGGGAAGCATGAAGTGCAGTGGGCAAAGTGAGCAGAGCATGTGTCTTAGCATGTTGGAGCCCAGGCCCAGGCCCCCTGGAGGAAATGACTCAGGCCCAAATCATAAGTAGAATTTAGCCAGTTAAAGTGGGGAAAAGAAGGCATAGCGTGTGCAAAGACACAGAGGCTTGCAGAACTGGGAGAAGCCAGGTGTGGCTTGAGTGTGAAGGCAGAAGAGTTGGTTTTATTTATCATCTTGTGCACTTTGTGTTTCTTTCTCTTTTTTTAACCGAGTTTCTCCCCCAGTAGTCTAGGAAATAAATGGAGGACTGGAAGATAAGAAGGTATGGAATGTTTAAAAGGAAAAATCCAAGTGGAAATAAAAGGAAGAAAACAAGGCAAGAAAAAGAAGGAAATGAGGAGAGAAGATAGAGCAAGAAAGGGGAACGGGGCAAGGGCAAAGTGGGGGCAACACAAGTCAGGAAGAGGGGTGATGATATAACTGCAGTTATCCCTAAACCACAGGGACCAGGTGGAGATTAAAATGCTCTGAGAACACTAAAACCCAGAAGCGTTTTTGAGAGAGTTCTTAAAATAAAAATCAGAAGGAAGAAAACAATTATTGAGCATCTACAGTATGCAATAGGTATTTTCACATATGGTATCTCATTTAATCTTCACAAAAGCCCTGCTTGATGAATATTATTGTGTTACCTAGGAGAAAACTAAGCCTTTGAAAGACTAAATTGAGTGGCCAAGTTTACACCGTTGGTAAATGATGGAGCTGACATTTATATCCGGGTCTACTTGAAAATCTCTGCCATTTTAAGACAACAAGAGAACACAGGCACTGAAAGGGGAAAACACCAAACAACCTTCACGTTTCTCGCCATTTTGTTCAAGGCTTCCTTTGACCCTGAGAGAGGAGTCATCTGCCTTCTAACATGAATAAAATGCGTAGAAATTACACAACTCAAATTTATAAATCTCTTTAATCTACTCCTGGCTGCACATATTATCCATGATCAGTGATCATAAGGAAACAAGGAAAAAATGGGCACATGAACTCTGATACTGACCTACAACCTCAGATTCAGTGACTTCTGTTTTTTACTATCGCAAGCAAACAATGTGACATTAGCCTCTTTGCAGTTATGCCCTTGCACACTTACGTAGTTCTGTAAGTTAGATGTCTAGAACTGGAATTACCAGATCAAAATAGTTATACTTTATTTTGGTCTACCAAATTTTCTGCCAAGCTGCCTCCAAAACATCTAAGCTTTTTACTTTTATGGCCAGGACCAAAAATTTTGGTAAACCCACCACCGTAGATGTGGAGTTTCATATTGTTACAAAATCATGTTTCATATTTCATATTTAAAAAATTATATTTTACAAAATATTTTCTTAAAAAAAACAATATTTTTTCAGAAAAATTTGGGATTTTATTACAACTAAATGGAAAGCTTAAGTATTTTGAAACACACTACCTGACATGGATTCCATCAGAACCTCAGAGCCAGCAGCGGACATAGAAGGCCAGAGCTGGAGGCCCAAGCAGGCTCCCAAAGCCAGGAAAAAAACAGGGAGTTCACAAATGGGAACAAGATCAGAAGTGGCAATGCCAGTGGCAACCATCAGGCACTTTAACCTGAAATCTTGATACATAGAAGAAAGGGGTGGTGAGGTTAGTAAAGGTCCACGTCAGTTTATTTATTATTCTGTCAACAAGTATCTGTTGAGCAATGACTATGTGCCAGGTACTGCACTAGGCTTGAGAAAACAAAAATAAATAAATGTTCTTCCCTAACTATAGAGTTGCTCACAATCTCATGAGGACACTCTCCCTTGTTTTCTGGAACTCCCTGCCTCCAGCATTTGTTCTGAGCCCTCATTCCACCCCTAGCTTCCTTGCTTCTCTCCACAATTCACACGCCTTACAGTCTGGCCCAACACCAGGTTGGCAAGGCCTGGCCAGGATGGGAGGAGATATGCGGTGAACTACAGGATACATTTTAGCCCTGTAGCCAGGGCTCTAGCCAGGCCAATGGAAAGCCATCTACCTTTGCCTCTTATCCAGCCATGAGTCAGTCTTACCTATATTTTTTTGTTCATTTAATATGTTGAACAGTTAAATACTCCCTGCTGCTCTGAGTGGATTAAGACAGCCAATTTGGAATGGCCATTCATATTCAGGTTTAAAAACTGGAGGGAGTGAGTTTGATGTTTGTCTCCATGGAGAGAGCTCTGCAGCAGAAGGGACACGATCACTTATTGCATGTAACAGGTAATCTAAATCAGCCTCTGAGGCAGATCTCACAGGGTGACACCTCTAGCTTGTCAGAACACCTCCCGGCAGGATCACATGGCCAGTTTACAAAAGAGGGGAAAGAATATTTTTTAGATTCTTACACTGAACTCGTAGATTCATTCAAATCCATCTCATATTCTAAGGGTAACCTCAGTCTATGCACAAGATTAGAGTTCAAGGCAGGCTAAGATCTCAGCGCAGAGTTAAAGTGTTTGGCGTGCTCCTCCTACAACCCTCCTTGAAGTGCTTCAGAGAGGGCGGAACTAGGAAGTGGAAAGTCTAGATTCTCTTCTTTGCTCTGATGCTTGATGTGTGGTTTCAGAGACTCCGCATCAAAAATGAGACAATCCACAGCCACCTGGACCTTACAGGACTGCCATAACAACCAAATAAGATGATGCATGAGAAAGTGTTTCTAACTGCAAAGTGCATTGATATATGAGAGGTGGTGCTGGTGGTGGTGGTGGTGGTGGTGACAATGATGAAGAAGGAAGACATGGCCCAAGTCCACCACCTGGATAATGTTGGTCAGCAAATTATTTTGTCACTGTAAGTGCATTACCTCTCAACTCTAAAGTTTATTTCATTAACTGTTCTAAGTGCCAGTATTAGACTTAGAAACGAAAGAGTAACCCAAACACAGTGTATCCTTTCTTGGGTTCAGATAGCAACATTCTGAGGAGCTAAGAGTTACCAATGAGGTCACCGGGCCCAGTATATGTGCCTATAGATATGCAAAAATAAAATTATGAAAGCTTCAAGTGGGAGAATCCCAAGGCCACACAGGTTGCTTAATATTTGTGCTAAACGGCTTCAATCCCCAGGGAGTGGCAAGATGAAAAACAACTGCATACTCTTGCTAGAGACCCAGGTGCCAGGCTGTGTTTTCAGTTCGTGTGAGTGCCCTTTATCGGGCAGTGGAATGGGTTGACCTAGTGAGACCCTAGAAAATGGCCCTCCTTAATGGAGCTCTCATTGTAGACATCTGCAGGCTTTTTTTTTTTCTAATTGAAAAAGCTAAACCCTTTCTGCTCAATCTTATGATTTCCACAGTTGGCTTTAAGAAACTGCAAATAAAACCCAGAGGCCTCCTTAAGCTAAGACTTTTAGAATTGGCTTGCTTTTCCAAAACCAGTGGGGGAATAGAAACGGTGAGAGAGAGACTGGGTTGTGAGTGGATGGGACCGCAGATATAATTCCCTTGAATAAAATTATCACATAATGAGACGGATGCAAGACCAGAGATTGTATAAGACATGAAAGACATGATTCCAAATCAAAGCACTTTATTTGTCAAAGCAACTAAAATAGTTGTTTAAAACACACACACGCACACATGCGCACGCACGCACACACACTGTTTTCTAAAGCGTGATATTTTCTGCCTGAGCCTTTTCTTCTCACTTGGCAGCCCTGTTGTGTACACGATCTCTACAGGAATGCAGAAAAACCACCTGAGGGAGAAAATTACTAATCACTAAAAATTACTAATCACTCTCTAACACTAAACAAATCCCACCGGGAGGTTTTTAGTTACACACCAGGATATGGGCTCTCTCTTTTTTTTTTTTTTTCCTTCTCAGGTTAATGATACAAAGGCATACAAAATTTTAAAAAGGAAGCATGTCACATCTTAATATGCATTAGCAGGGATATTTTTACATGATAGCATCTAGGTCTCAGTCCAAAATAAAGGCAAAGTAGACTGAAAGTCTCTAATGCCTACCACTGGGTCTCTCAGAAAGAAAAGAGCCTGGAGGGAGTCGTACTTCCCACAGCATTGAATACAGCGCCTATCATTCCCCCGACTGTCACCCGTCACTCTCTCTAACATTCATCAACCTCCTTTTCCCATGATATTCAATTCACAAAGCCCATCAAGTGCCTATCATATATTATTTCATTAAATAGATTAGTGTGTTATTTATGGCAGGCCTCATCAAGTTATATCATATCTTCACATTGTTTATCTCTTACTTGTTTATCTTTTACTGTTTCTTTCATCCACTGTAAATAGTCTAGGCCCGTGTCCCTACTTAGTTGATCAGAGGTTGAGTGTTTCCCATTCAATGGTCATATTACAAATGAGAGAAATTAGTAGAAGCAATAGAATTAAGAGTTTCATTGTAATGCCTCTTGGATTTTTCTTCTTCTTTATTATTATTATTTTCACTGATGATGCAACATAATACCATTCACTATTAAAAATATGTTTAAGCAAGTGAAAAGCCCCCAAGTACAAAGTGAATGTTCTTCCCCACTAACTTCTTCTACCAGAAACCATTGTATACAAACACATTCTTTATGTGTCTAAGTATAGATAGATATATACATAAACATGTCCATCTAAGTGTAATAATGCAAAACATACAATTCTGTAATTTTATTTTCACTTAACAGTGTATCACAGCTGCCTTTCCATATGAAAAATATGGAGCTACAATCTCCTTTTGAACAGCCACTGAGTATTTATTCCATTTGGAGTTATATCATAATTAATTTAAATAATTTCCTATTTGTGGACATGTATCTTATTCCCCATTTTTCACCTTATCAATAAATCTTAGAAAAACAGGCCAGGTGCAGTGGCTTATGCCCATAATCCAAGCACTTTGGTAGGCCAAGGCAGGTAGATTACTTGAGGTCAGGAGTTTGAGACCAGCCTGGCCAACATGGTGAAACCCCATCTCTACTAAAAATACAAAAATTAGCCAGGTGTGGTGGTGCATGCCTGTAATCCAAGCTGCTCAGGAGGCTGAGGCAGGAGAATCACTTGAGCCCAGGAGGTGGAGGTTGCTGTGAGCCAAGATCACGCCACACTGCACTCCAGCCTGGGCAACAAAGTGAGACTCTGTCTCAAAAGAAGAAGAAGAAGGAGAAGGAGAAGGGGAAGAAAAAAAAACTAATAAATATGTCTTTGAATACCTTTCTAATTTTCTCCTAAAAATAACTTTCTGGAAAAGAGATCACCTCATCAAAAGACATGAACACAGTTTAAATTTTGAAATGTATTGACAATACACCTTGCAGAAAAGTTAATCCAATGCACCCACATTCTCACAAACACTACATATGATCAATATTTTTTGTCTCTGACAATCTGATAGATACTTATTAGATATAATGCCATTATTTTTTCAGGTGAATTTCCTTGATTGTTAGTAAAATGAAATATTTTCAGACAACTATTTCATTAATATTATGATGAAATCTAATTTTTAAGGTTAAAATTCTTCACGTTATTTTGTAGATTAAAACTACCCCTTGCTTTTATAGACTTCTATCCATCTATCACAGCATTAAGGAATCATAACTATTTTATAGATAAAGAAGCGGGGTCCAAAAAAAAGTAGATGGTTAAAAGAAAGTAAGTAGTTGACAAGCATTCTCATGCTACTTCTTAAAACAACAACAATAACCAAGATGGAGCATACTCTGTGCTCCAGATAGAATGTAGAAAACAGAAATGAACTCACATTTATCCCTATTCTAATTCAAGCCAGGCAGAGTTGAATTGGAAATGCATGTACAAAAAAAAGAAACCTAACTGATAAAGCATTTGAGTTTTTGCTCCAAAACCCCTTGATTTGATCTAGGAAAGAACATGTAGGAAAGGGTGCACCTCAGAGAAAAAGTGTGTGTGTGTGTGTGTGTGTGTACATATGTGAGCATGCACACGCATGTTAAAATGTGACACTTGGTCTTCTAGTTACATTTTTGCATTCAGACTAATTAAGCAACACCTGCTAACAACCCTGACAAAGGTGTCCCTTTCTCTCATTCCAGCCCCCAACTCCACATATACTGGCTCTGCAACCCCCACACACCTTTATTTGGTTGGGTTGGGAGCCTGTTGAGACCTCCCTGTCACTACCTGTGTGGCAAAACCAGCCTTCCCCAAGATCAGCTGCTCTGCAACAGTGCACAGGTGTGTCCTGGAGAAATCTCAGCATTCTTGTTCTTCACTTAGGCAGAAAGAAAACAAAAAGGCAGAAGATTAAGTTATACACAGGTACAAACAGATGAGAGAGAACCCAGGAGAAGCCATGTAAGCTGTAACCACATTTAGATAAATGCTACTGCAGGGTTCATGGTGATGCAGTTGAGCTCAAAATAAACTTTAAAAAAAATACAGAGGCTCAAAAATCTTATTTTTATGGGACAGCGCCAATTACTTTTAGTTGTTACGGCAATAAAAATTCCATCGTAAATATGATTATATTATTGGAGGAGAAGATCAGAATAGAATTGACATGTATTGAATACATCTATTATGTGCCATGTAGTATTTATGCCAAGACTTTAGGTGTTTTTCTTAAAATAGTGTGCTTTTTCTCCCAGACACAAAATACATGAATATACAGAAGTGAAGCTCTCTGGTATCTTCTCTTGCCCCTCACCAGTTTGTTGGCAATTCCTGGTGCCACGGACCTCCTATCTTTCAATGTGAAAACCTCTCCCTAATCCTGGTGTGCTCTCGTTTTCTCTCTCTCTCTCTCTCTCTCTCTCTCTCTTTCTATCTCTCTTTTTTTCTCTCTCTCTCTCACACACAGACACACACACACACACACACACACACATTATGATAACAATAATGAAAATGTTGCATTCTTAGGAAGGCACTACACAAACCCAAAAATCACTGTATCCTGCTGATACTGTGTGTAATCCAAGGAGACAACAACTGAAGTTTTTTACCTGCTGTGTTGAGGGAAGGCAAGTTAAACTCCTTAAAGAGAGAAGGATTTTTTTTTCAGGAGAGGCCAGGTGGCTGCTTTGTTTGTTTGTTTGTTTGTTTGTTCATTTGTTTGTTTGGGGCTGACTCCTATGTTGCAATAAGACTTCCACAACCTTGGGCAACCAAAATTCCAGTCCTCAGCTACAGAATATTACTCACTCTGTGGTTTAGGTTGTCTCAGGCTTGGCATGCCAGGACATCAGAACATTACAGAGAAAAAAAGCCAGAGCAATTAATTTTTCTTATGTCTACAAGAGGACAAAATATTTTAGGTAAACAACCTCAGCCAACATGGATAATTAACAACCATGTTTTAGAGAGGCGTTCCACTCAAGGAAACTCAAGCTTGGTTTTGTTTCTAGGTTTTTAATTCTTGAATATAAAGATGGTACTATCAAAACTAACATAAACCTATTTCTGGTAGAAATTTGCCCTTGCAACCTGTTTGCAGGATGCTTCAAACAAACTGGCAGGGTGTAGGTGGCCTTAGCTCAGAGGCAGAAAAATGAAGGGCAGAAAAATGAAGTGCAGAAACATACAGGTCTCCAGGATGCTGCTGCTACGCTAAGGACAAATGACATGAACATGGTCCTTCCCAGACCTTAGAGCTGCTGTTGAATTATGACAAGCCATAGAAGTAATAAGAATTGAGGAGGAGGGGTTGTGGGGTTGGGGGTGCATAGCTTTGTGTTCGGGAGCACAGGTGTTCAGGCCACTGGGGTTCAAATTCCACCCAGCTCAGCTACTTACTGATGCCATGACCTTGGGCAAGTTTTTTTAACCTGCTTTACTATCTCTTCCTCTGTAAAATGAGCACAGTAATAGGACTCCCTCATGAGTTTGCTGCTATGACAGAATGGGATGATGCCTATTACACTCTTGCCTGCACAGTGCTGGCGTCATGGCTTGACAGACAGCAGAAGTTGGCATTGCTATCCAGTGTCATGCTCCTAGAGAGGACACATGACTTGTCCAATGTCTCCCAGCTGGTTAGCCAGGACTGGGACTCAGTTAAGCCCACTTCTTTCATTGCTCTGCCATCACCAGGGTGAACTGATTTAAGGAAACAAGTTGATTTTCCATGCAGCCCAGCCCCACCTAGCTCTACTGGCCCCACCTTTATTCTGGGCCCTGCCCTGCCATGCCCTGTTCTGTGTTGCCCTGCCTTGCCCTCCTCCAGCTACCCTGGATCAGCCTCAGTAGAAGGATCTAGATCAGCCAAGCCTGAGCACCAGTCTAACAGGATAATGAGGCCAAGGTCCAAAACCAACACCTTGACCCATAAACCCAGACTGAAAACTGCTGACATGGCAAGCAAAAGGTGGGGGCTTCCAAACTCTGAGAAAGGGAAGTGCAGGCTGGTAGGTGGTGCCCCAACCAGCTCTTCCCAAGAAGCTATGTGAGAGGTTTGCAAGGGTTCTGTCAACAATTATAAGCCCAACAAACAAACAAAACAAAGACAGACAAACCTTCACTCAAGGGTGGAATGAAATGAAAGAAAGGCAAAAGGCCCAGGGCATCAGTTCTAGGGTTCCTGAGAAATGGTGACAGCAGTTCAGAAAATGAAAAGCAGCAAAGGAAGATGAGCCACACCAGTCTGAGCATAGAGGAAAGACCTGAGCTGTCATATTTGCACCAGTTCTGCCCCTATCAGGTTCACAAAAAGTTCTGTGTTCCATGCTGGGCATCTACAAGAGAGGAGAGAGGCAAACGCTGGGATGTGCCCAGGAGACAGCAAACAGGCTAGTGGTGAGTCTTAATACCATATGGGAGGAAAGAAAAGATTTCAAGGTGATTGCTAAAGAGATGAGACTTCTCGATGTGATATGGCAGCTTTCACTGAATAGCTGATATTTTCCCAGGTAGTCCCACTTTGTCAAAGTGGCTCCAAAAGGCAGAGCGAGGCTTGGAGAATGGAACTCACAGGCAGGCAAATTTCAGCACAATACAACAAAGGTGTGTCCACTGACATTCAAAGTTGTAATGGACTCTGGTGGGAAAGTTGAGCTCTCCTGGCGGTTGTCAAGGAGATGGTGGAAATAGTACTGGCAGGATTCCTGCACTGGGTATGGGGGTTGTGAAGTTGACCTTTGACTGTTGAGGTCCCTTTCAATTCCAACACTGGTAAAATGGGGTGAGTCAGTGAGCACACCTAGAGCTACTTTTATTCAGAATAAACACCGATTCATGTGTCTTCCCCTCCTCCCATCACTTGGCTTTTTCCTAAATAAGTAAAGGGGACATAATTGTTCTCTAACCCTCAGATTCAATAACATTTAGATGCTGTTTATTAACTCCTTGAAAATAAAATTCTAAATTACAAATCTCTCTCTCTCTCTCTCAAATTCTAGTGTGTTAGAAACAGGGAAATCAAGAAGTGATAAATACATTTTTAAAAGCTCAAGACTGAGGAATTCGACTACATATATTTTAATATTCTGTATGTCAAATAAACATAGAAAACAAAACTAAAAGGCAAATACCTTGGAAAATGATCATTTTGAAACAAATGAAACTGAAGAATAGTGTCTAAATATATGAGTAGTTTATATAAATCAATATGGGGACAATCATAGCAATAGAAAAAAATGCAAAGGGCATGAATAGAAAATATTCAAAATGAGATATATAAACGACCAATAAATATATGAAAAACGTTCAAAGTTGTCAAAGAAATGCCAGTTAAAACAATAATGAGGCTGGGCGCGGTGGCTCACGCCTGTAATCCCAACACTTTGGGAGGCCAAGGAGGGCGGATCATCAGGAAAGGAGTTTGAGACCAGCCTGACCTACATGGTGAAACCCCGTCTCTACTAAAAATACAAAAATATTAGCTGGGCATGGTAGTGCGTGACTGTAATCCCAGCTACTCAGGAGGCTGAGGCAGGAGAATCACTTAAACCCGGGAGGCAGAGGTTGCAGTGAGCCGAGACTGTGCCACTATACTCCAGCCTGGGTGACAGAGCAAGACTCCGTCTCAAAAAAAAAAAAAATAAAAGAGAGCGAGAGAATTCTATTGTACCTATAATATTGGTTTGCACTTCTTTATTAAAAATTCAAACAGACCTGGATCCCTGTTTTGGGGGTGAACAAACACAATGGGTTTCTACACAAGGGTGTTTGCTTCAAAGTGGGGAGCATTCTGACACCTTTAAAGTGTTAAAATATAATCTCTCTTCAGACAGAAACAATTGATAGTGGAGAATTTCAAGCACAGCTCTATCATTCATTTGAAATGGATTCCATGGCTGAACTCTTTTCTGGTTTCTCACTGTAGCATTAGAAAAGAACACAGCACAATTTTTGCAGAGACTTCTTGCAAGGACCTCATCATAAGCATTACATATTTTATTTGCTGAAATGTAAAATTTACCTTTTTGAGAATAGTGCAGACAGGCCTTGGTGAAACGTACCAGAAAACCCTAGATATGAGTCACAATTTGCTACTTCCAGCTCTTTGCAAGAGAGAGGTAAATATCTTATTAAATGTATAGTAAGTTTCAGGGCCCTTTAGGTCCATGACAGGAAATTTGACCAAGGGTCTCTGAAACACAATTTTAAGTGGCTAATTTAAAAAAACAAACACACACTCAAATTTCATTTTGATGCCTGTAAAAACTTACATGAAAAGTTTGGTTTAGGAACATTTCGAGGTACTAACTGGAAAAGGATCCCTGAATATCTTTAAAATTCCCTTGTGCTTTCCTTCTCCCTGACTAGCGAGAAAAAGTCAGGGGTAACTGAGTGGAAAACAGGGAAGAAACACTGTGATGAGGAAAGTATGAAAAGAAAAAGTGTGGAAAAATCTTCCCTGAAAGAGACACTACTGGACTATAGTGACTGGAATGATGGTCAGGAGGGCAAGGATGGTTGGTTAAAAGTAGAAGGAAAGAACAAAAAAGTGTCTTTAAAAAGAAAGTAGAAGTAGGAGACAGGAAAGCTGGAAGGAAAAATAACATGAAAATAAACTCAGTACAGCCAGCTGAAGGACAATCTTCCTTGGGGCTTTTCTACGAGCAATTAGTCTTCTGGGTGTTCATCTCCTCAAAGGCAGGGGAACAAACACTGCCAGGAGATGGCAAACAGGCTAGTGGTGAGTCTTAACACCACGTGGGAGAAGGAATAGAGAAAAGATTTCAAGGTGATTGTCACGGAAATCTTTTTTTTTAATTGTTTTTAATGTTCCCATTTTCCAGCCTCATTGGTTATGGAATACTGTTGATTGGAATTGAATTTAGAGAATATTGAATTTCTCCTTGTTTTATTTTCTAAATTTTAGTGACTTTTTATTATTGTATGGTAATTGGAGGAAATTTAGAGAATACAGAAGAAACAGAAACAGTAAAATAAAATTCACTTTTACTTTCCTCTCACAGGTAACACTATTAGGCTGAAGTAAAAATATTCCTGTCTTTTTACCATTGTTTTCATTTACAAAATGAAGGCTGAAACCAATGAACAATATCTGAATGTTGCACAATACTGTTTCAAATAAATAAATTTTAAAAAGAGCAGAAGCCATTTGACATTTTCTAGACTTCTCAATGATATAAAACCTTTAACTCATTGTTTCTTAAAAAAAAACAAATAAGGAGCATCAACTCTGATTTTGTCAAGAGCTGACACCAGAGTGGAGATAGCCAAGGAGAGAAAGAGGATAAAAAAGGAAATTTGTCCAATCCAAAAACTGAGTAAACTACTTTGTATAAGCAAATAATATAATGTATAAATTACTTTCAGTTTGTATAAAAAAAT
This sequence comes from Homo sapiens, assembly GCF_000001405.40. NCBI lineage: Eukaryota > Metazoa > Chordata > Mammalia > Primates > Hominidae > Homo > Homo sapiens. The sequence goes on from NC_000003.12 coordinate 182,641,445, forward strand.
AGCATATCGTGTATGTAAAACAAGTGTACAATTGAGTAAGCAAATGCCATTACTCTACAGAGTTTTCAGGGTAACAACTTTCACTCCAGTCATTATTAGAGTCTGTATTGCATCCTAAGACTTTTTTTTCAAACCAGTCGAAGGACATCAGGACAAACCTCCCCAATATATGCCATGGAAGCTGAGACCTGAGGGATGTGCAGGCAGATGCGAGCAAGCTGACAGGCTAGCCTGGGGCTATGGTAGCAAAGAAAGAGAATTTCCAGTAGAAGGAATAGTGTGTTCAAGAGGGAAGAGAGCATACCACTTTCTAGGACCTAAAAGGATTCAGCATGGTAGATGCAGAGCTCCAGGATGATGCATGATGTGAAATGAAGATGGAGATGAGGCCAAATAGGGCACAGTCTTGCCTAGCCCCTCACCAAGCCTGTCATCAGCATTTGTTCCACATAGGAAATATTAGGCAGAGAGGCTGTTTTTTTGTGAGCCCTAAAGAATGTTCTTTGTAGGGAAAGGCACTGACCTGGAGCTTTTGCATGGTGGCACCCTACCGTGGAGCTTACCATTGCCATCAACACGTGGCTCCTGCCAGTTCTATCAAGGCTGGTCAAAATCCGCAAGCACTTCTATAGCACTATAGTTCCAGGCATGGTGCTAAGAGCTGTGCATGAATTGACTCATTAAGTCTGTGACATAATCTTATGAGATAGAGCCTATTCTTTTTTTTTTCTTTTCTTTTTTGAGATGGAGTCTCGTTGTGTCGCCCAGGCTGGAGTGCAGTGGCACGATCTCGGCTCACTGCAAGCTCCGCTTCCCGGGTTCACACCATCCTCCTGCCTCAGCCTCCCGAGCAGCTGGGACCACAGGTGCCCACCACCACGCCCAGCCAATTTTTTTTTTGTTTTTAGTAGAGACAGGGTTTCACCATGTTAGTCAGGATGGTCTCGATCTCCTGACCTCATGATCCGCCTGCCTCGGCCTCCCAAAGTGCTGGGATTACAGGCGTGAGCCACCGTGCCCAGCCCTGAGATAGAGCCTATTCTTATCCCCATTTCATTGATTAGAAAACTGAGACACAGAGAGTCTAATGTGCCCAAAGGCACAAAGCAGGCAAGCGGCAGAGGTGGGCAGTTTGGCTCCAGCAGCCTTGCTCCTAAGGGTTACCCCACACACCCTCTTGGCGAGTATTATGTGCATACCGTATGGCCTGCACTTTGCATCCACGTGAAGCAAAAAACCAGCATGGGGAATGTGTCCCGGTGACAAGAGGCCTCACTCGCTACTCTGCTACATAAGATAAAACTGCTTGGCAAGTCCTTAGCTAAATATTTCAGTCATTCATCAACAGGTGTGCCTCCTTCAGTGGCAACAGAGGAATAATGATTCTCTCTGGTATTTGTATAACACGCTGTCACTTACAAAACACTTCCTCATGTTGTCTCTTGGTGATGGTTGTCACAACAACCCCGTGAAGCCAGAAAGACAGGATTGTCCTGAGAATCAGACTCTGAGGAGGGAAGGGACTGCCAAGGACACTAGCAGGGGAGCCCAGACTCAAACTTTGGGGTTCTGACTTGAGCAAGGCTCTAAGGAAGGTCACTGCACCTGAGCTGGCCTTGGTTGGACTATTGGCTTAGCCAATTAGAAACTACTTAACTCGCTAATGATATGGGCTCTCTGCCTGCATTTCCTCACCTCGAAAATAGTGATAATAATACCTGCAGTATACAGTAGTTGTAAGCACTTGATGAGGTAACAGGGGACAAAGGCCACTCAACGAATTCTGTGTTTCCTTTTTACTGTCAACTTCATGTGCCTGCCCTTGGAGAAAGTGTATGTCCCTGAATTTTTAAATTAAATTATAGCTTAGATGTTGTTTTATAGAAGAACAAGTATGGTATGGTTGCATGAATATTCAACATTCCCTCTCCTGTCTCCCCACCATCATTTTCACAAATTTCAATTTTCTCTTTAGAGTTTTCTTAAAGCAGGCAACTTAATCTGCAGCCTCCAGAATATGTGCATGTGATGGAGAGGAGGGCACAGATTCTCCATCACATTTCTGAAGGCAACAAAATCTGGCTGGCTCAGATGGAAACTCCCATGGCCAGAGATGGGTGGGACTTGCTCCAGGACCCCTCCTTGGAGACAGCACTAGACCCTGGCCTTCCTGAAGCCCAGCCCAGCATGCAGGCCACTGGATCACACTCTGTTTTTCCCCAGCTCCCAGGGACTCCATTGTCCCCAGAAGCATAAAAGCCTGCACTTCGGGGTAAGATGTTCCACCAGAGCTAAATGCTCCAAGGACAAAAGCTAAAACCTCCAAGGACAAGCATCACAATCCATCTGCCACGAGCCCTCTGGGCTTCATTCTGGCAGCCGTGACTGCTAAAAGCGTGTTCTGTGTTCCCCTGCAGAAGTAAACAGCAGAAAACACTGAGAATTGGGGAAATTCGCTGTCATCTTTAAGAATATATAACAAAAAAAAACACGTCATGCATTTTTTATGTGAAATAAGTTCAGAAGCTGAAATGTCTGAGGGAGAAAATGAGTCTTTGAATAGAAATCTGCAGGAGGGACAGAATGGAGGGAAAAGGCCGCATTTTGAAAATAACTACATTTCTCTTATTTCTTTTTTTTAAAAACACTGCCTGTTCAAGTGAGAATAAGCAGTCTCCAACAAGTATCCTCCCCTTGGCTCTTCCTGAGGCCTCTAAATCCAGGGAGGAGGAAATGGTGTAGTTTGCTTTGCATGTTTCTGTTGTATTTCTGTGGCACTTGATTGCCCTGGTGGTGTTTACCTCACAAATGCTGCCTAATTCAGGCCAGAGGGAAGGCAGAGCCAGTGAAAAGAGCTCCACGGGCTAGAAGGTGAGCAGGCTGAACATGCAGCACTGGAAGCCTATTCAGAAGCAATCAATAAGCGGTAGTAGTAGCTTTGGCTGCAGAGCATTCAGTGCCTGTTTGGGGGATGGATAGGGACAGCCAGCCTTTGGTTATTGACAAGTTCTCCATTATCTTAGAGGGTGGACCCAGGAAGAGATGGCCTCCCCCTGTCCCTGACTCAACTGGAGCTCAGTTCACTCTGCTTTGAAGGAGTAGGAGGAGAACACTACTCACAAAAAGGAGGTTTGTAATGGGCTCTCACACTCCCTCCTCCATCACCCTGTATCCCACAGACACTGATATAGCTCTGTCCTTTGAACCCTGTCTGTTCCAGGAAGGCTTTGTGGATCCCCCAGGGCAGAGTTAGGGGCTCTTTCTGGGTCTCTCAAAGCCATCTGTTTCACTTTGTTAGTGGTGCTTCACTATGCTGAATTTTAAGTATCTTTTCACTTGTCTCTCTCCTCTCCCTGGCTCTAACTTCCTTAAGGGCAAGAACCGGCTTGTTCACCATTGTATTCCTGCACCACAGCATAAGCACTCAATCATTATGGGTTAAAGGCTGAAATTCAAAAAGAGAAAGGGAGATGTTAGACACCTACTGACCAAGGAGGTGCCCTCCATTCTGCTTAACCACCGCCCAGGCCAGTCATTTCTCTCCCTGGAAGACTTTGAGTCATGCACGCGCAAGGAAAATGTGAGTAGATGAGTTGGATTATGAGCTGTAGTGGACAAAACAGAGGCTTTGATGTTAGAACAGCTCTGGTTTTGATTCCTGGCTCCACCAATGCATGCTCTCTATATAAGCTTGGATAATTTTTTGTAACTTCTCTTAACTTTCTCATTTACCAAATGATGATAAGAAGGTACAACAGAACTAATATAAAGGTATGTGAAACAGTCACGTGATTGTTGGTGTTATGAGTGTTAGCTCATGCATTGCTCTGCTAGTCTGTTTTCCACTCCTGCACTCTTCTTCCCAACTCTTCAAAAGCTCCTATACCCCAACCTCTACTGCAGCCTCCAATTCTCACTGCTTTATACAGTGAGAAACAAAATAATTCTTGGTTTTCTCTTGTTTCCAAAGGCCCAGTTTTGGGGTTGTTTTTTTTTTTTTTTTTTTTTTTTTTTGAGTCGGAGTCTCACTCTATTGCCCAGGCTCTGGAGTGCAGTGGCGCGATCTCGGCTTTCTGCAAGCCCTGCCTCCCGGGTTCACACCATTCTCCTGCCTCAGCCTCCCGAGTAGCTGGGACTATAGGTGCCTGCCGCCACGCCCAGCTATTTTTTTTTTTTTTTTTTTTTGTATTTTTAGTAGAGACAGGGTTTCACCGTGTTAGCCAGGATGGTCTCAATCTCCTGACCTCATGATCCACCCACCTCAGCCTCCCAAAGTGCTGGGATTACAGGCATGAGCCACCGCACCCGGCCCAAAGGCCCAGTTTTTAATAAACCATAGATTTGGAAAAACTAAGTGATTCCTTCTTTCTGCAGAGGATTTCCCACCTCTGCCTCCAAGCTCTTTAGGAACAAGAACCTTCTACAAGCTGAGAGAGTGAAACCAATAAGTTACATGCTGGTTTGGAAGCCCAGCTCCTGCCCTTTGGGGCCAACTCCCATTAAGAAGAGCTGGTGCGGGAGGAGGGAGATAGAACATCTGTGTAAGTTCCAGACTCCCTAAAGAAAGAGGACTTGAATCTCACTTGTTCTGAGAGGGTCTGCTGGTAGACTTGTAGAGTGTCAAGCCAGAATAAGGGGGTGCTGCAGGAAGGATACATACTGCATGCATCATCCCTTGGGATAGCTAAAAAGAATGCAATTATTTCTTAGGAGATTGCTGCTGTGGAGGACATGCCCAAAGACCAAACCGACCAGCTACATCTCATGGGAGATAGAATGAGATCTCAACCAGTCAAAATTGAGAAGGGCACGCCGTGCTCTCCTCCAAATCCAAAGTGGCATATTCACAAATCTCTGCAGTTTTCAAGATCAGTATCAGGAAGGAGAAAAGGAAGAAGAGGGAAAGCCCACAGTTACATAGGTGTAAATATGAAATGACTAATGTGATCGTCAAAGGAACAGAGTTGACATAGATATAATGGGACTAAATTTTTTATATCATAAAAAAGTTGGTTTATGATAAAATTTAAGTTCACTTACAGAAAAACAGGGAGAGCTACATTCTTGCTTTTTTGTGGGCTTTGAAATTCACAGGAAATATAAATATACTTACAAAAATATAAATATACTTACAAAAATATAAATACACTCACAACAAACATAAAACATCTAAAAAGGGGCCTCGTCCATAGGAGGTTCTGAAGAAATTGGCTTCCCTAAGCTGGATTATCTAAATTTTTATGCTAATACTTATCTCTAAAATCAGAGACATTTGTAACTTGGCTCCAGTAATGAGTAAGGCTTACTTTGAAAATGCAAACAAATCAATCAACAATCTTTATAACATCCAACAACAATAGAAGAAGAGCACTGTCCTTCCAGAAAGTGACACTGTGATTAGTAAAACAAGATAATGTCCATCATTACTAATGGCCATTGCCCTCATGGTAGTGAAGGTGGAACAGCAATATAAAACCCATAGGCTCTATCTCCCAAGCATACGCAAATCTCAGCCACTTCTCATCATTTCCATGACTGTCACCCCAATCCAAGCCACCATGTCTCACCTGGACATTGCCCAGTCTCCCTGCTTCTGCTCTTATCCCTATAGTCTGCTCTCAACATAGAGTGGCCCTTCCCTTTTAAGAGCATAAATAGGATTATGTTACTCTTCCCCTTAAAACACTCCGAAGTAGCTTAAGTCTCACCATCCTTTCCTTAAGAGTGAGCTTGATTCCAAAGAATAGAGTAGGAAAAGGTGAAAATAGTAACTTCATGGTGGAGAAATCTGGAAAACCTACCTCAACCAAGTGATGAAAGTTAACCTCACTAGAGACATCATATGGATGCAGGTACCTGTTGATATGATGTGATAAGAAGGGCACTCACTTCTGTATTCTTTCTGATGACTCATTGCCCTAGTCCAATCATAAGAAAAACAAAAGACAAACCCAGATTGGGAAGATTCTATGGGGTACCTGACTGCTATTCCTCAAGACAGTCAAGGTCATGAAAACAAGAAGACTGCCAAAGACCAGAGAAGACTGAGGAGGCATGGCAACTAAGTGCAATGTGGTACCATATATTGAATCCTGGAACAGAAAGAGGACACTGATGGAAAAACTAGCAAATCCAAATAAAACCTGACGTTTATTAACAGTAATAAGCCAATGTCAATATTCTAGTTTTAACAAATGAACCGCGGTAATGTATGATCTTAATAACAGGGGAAACTATATAAGGGATATACAGCAACTTTCCGGACTATCTTTATAACTTTTCTGTAAATCTAAATTGTTCCAAAATAAAAAGTTTCATTTTTAAAATTCATGCAGAAATGTAATTCTCTTTATATTTATGTAATCAACTTTAGCTTTTGATAGCCCATTTTCATAAACAACAAAAAACTTTCAGTGTTATCATTTCAGTACAAAATAACTTCCAGAATAAGATTTATTCATATTTAGTTTTTTTAAAAAAAAAAAAAAAAGATCCCAAAAGACTCCACACATCTCTGACAATCTCAGTTCCAAAGTTCTTACCAAAGTCTAGAATGTCCCAGGTGAACTGATGGGCCTGGCCACTCTTCCCTCTCCAGCATCCTTGCCTCTTCCTCACCTTGCTGTTCTTGAAAAGCTTCAAGCACATTCTTAGTTCAGGGCCTTTGCGTTTGCTATTCCCAGAAACCTACATGGTCCCATTTTTCTCAAACCTCTACTCAAATATCAATTTTTCTTTTTTAAGAACAAAACAGGTATACTTCTATTAGACCACCTGACACAGAAGTTAGTGTGGTATGGATGGACAGTATGAATGACAAATAATACAAATATATTTTATTTGAAATAAAAATGTGTACGCAGCTCAGTGGGTCACTTGGAAACAAACTCTTGCTTTGCTGTATTCAAAGAGGTTTTCCATGACTACACTTCAATAACACTCTGACCCTCATCCCCATCACTGCCCAGCCCTTTACCTTGCTTTATTTTTCTTCATACTTCAAATTACGTGACATTATATTATAGACTCATTTGGGTTTGCTTTTTTGGATTTTTTGTGGGTTTTGTTGTTGTTGTTGTTGCTTTTCTCCATGAGGAGAGGGATTTTGTCTGTTTTGCAGTCAAATGGTCTACCCCTGAGCTACACCCCCAAGATTTTTTCTGTTTTGATCACTGCTATAACCTCAGTACTTAGCAGTTCCTGGCACATGGTAAGAGTTTAATCTGTTAAATGAATGAATAAAAATAAAATCAGAGCAGTTCTTGCTGCAAACCATGTCTCTTCAGGTGGCTTTGGTTCATTTCAACTGGAAAACTGAGATTGCCTTCTGGGCCCAAAAGATACCTGATGATGGACATGCTTGATGTAAATGAAACAAAACCTCCTGCCTTGGACTAATTATAAGAAGCTATTTATAATTAGCTCATTGTTAAATTAATCAGCAAGCTGTTGCTACCTCAGGAATAAAGTTTAATTTCCCAAATGATTTTGGCACTGCTGATAAGCCCGTGGGCAATGGACAATATTTAACTGCCAGCAGACGTTAAAGAAAATGACTTGTTTGACTAAGATGCTGGTAAAATGTGTTAATGAAACATATCTTTTTAACTTATTGGCATGAATAAGCCATATTCCTTACTGTAATTATTTTTAGAATCAGAATAATCTAGATACTTCAAATTATACCCCCTACCCGATAGAACGTTCTGAAATTATAGAAATGTTCTATACCTTGATTGGGGTGGTGGTTACATAGGTAAACACATTTATCCAAGTTCATTGATTCACTTAAAACCAGTGCATTTAGCTATGCATAAATTTTACCTCAATTTTTTAAGTGTATCCCTATATTGGTGATAATTTCATTGTCTACAACCCATCTTAAGAAAATTCATTTTGTAGGAGAAATACATATTTTTATAGATAATTGTATCAGTTAGTAAGGGGATGTATATATCACAGGGACCAACATTTGAACTATATTTTTTTGTTTGGAAGTTTCTAACTAAAAGTACTACATTCATATTTCCCATTATTATCATCATTATACATTTTTTAGCTGACACACAAAGCATCTTGAAAACGTTTGCTCTCTTCATGCAGAAAATTGTAAAACAATAGTAGCAAAGTTGATACTCCTCAAATCTAAATATTAGCAGCACAATCTCAAATGGAGGCAAAATTTACTTGAATATTTCCAGGTGCAGGGAGAATTTCTGTAGAAAAAAAAGGTAATTTTTTTTTTTTTTTTTTTTTTTTGAGAGAGAGTCTCGCTCTTGCTGCCCAGGCTGGAGTGCAATGAATGGTGTCATCTCTGCTCACTGCAACCTCCATCTCCCAGGTTCAAGCAATTCTCCTGCCTTAGCCTCCCAAGTAGCTGGGACTACAGAAATGCACCACCACACTGAGCTAATTTTCTTTTTTTTTTTTTTTTTCAGTAGAGACAGGGTTTCACCATGTTGGTCTCAAACTCCTGACCTCAAGTGATCCACCTGCCTCAGCCTCCCAAAGTGCTGGGATTACAGACGTGAGCCACTGCCACACAGCCGAATAAAGGTAAATATTTTAATTGGAATTAAGTCCAGTGAAAAGCCTATTCCTTAATGGGGGAGAAATAAAGACACCTGCAGGTAATTAACATGATTGTTAACACAAAAGGAAACACAGGTAATGAACTACAACTACAAGCACTCAGCTTGACTCAGCAATATTGTGAATTTGGAATTCCAACAGTAAATTAGCTTTTAAAATTATTCCAGAACAATATAATATATGTTTCTGTGTCTAAATTGCTAGGAACTGACATCAAATTTTCCTAAGAGGTGGTACTTATATAAAAGTAGAATAAATGTTTGCAATATTTCTACCTTGAATTTCACAAAGCTGACCTAATTTATTAACCATTGCAATATAAAAAAAGTTTTCTCACCTGAAGGCCACTCCAGGTGACAATTGGATGGGTGAGGCTGACATCCTTTCTCTCATAAGTATTTGCTTTGACTACCGACTCTCCTAACTTTATCCATGCACTTCACAACACTTATCACCATCTGAAATTACATCGTTTATGTTTGTTTGTTGACTTGTTGATGGGCAGCCTCCTCCATTGCCATGTGAGCCCTCTGAGGGTAGGACTTGGATTCTCCTGTCTTTGTTGTGCCCCAGCATGTAGAACAATGGCCTGGCACATAGTGGCTACTGAATCACCAGATTCAGCCACTCTAATGATGTGTGCATGCCCTGGGAGAATGGAGCCCACAGGCTAAGAGAGCTGTACTACCTCACCCTAAATGACTGGGTCTGGGGCCACTGCACAGAGACTCATCCAGGGGAGCGGTGCAATGGCCAGTCGAGCAGTGGACCAGAACAGGAGTGTGGTGACTAAAGAGGGTAGGGCAGTGGAAGAAGGGAGGGCCACAGGTAGTGGAGAGGTCTGCACTGGCTGAGGTCTAGGGTTTGTGGCACAGGGAGCCAGGGAGGTACAAAGAGCCAGGTCCAGGTGAGCAGGTAGAGAACAGGACAGAATCCACAGTGCAGAGTTAACAACAAATAAGTAAGGCAGTACCAGGGAAATGTTCCAAAGGTGAGGCCCAGATTAATCCAAAAAGTTGATACAGACAACTAAAGTTGTTGATAGGATGACTGTGGCCTAGTTAAGGGCGCTGAGTCTATTCAGACAAGTCATCATAAATGCTAATTCATCTTCACACTATTTCTGGCAAAACTAAAATTGTCTTTGGCCTTAGAAGGTAGATAACATGACGTATGTATGCCCATTCAAGGACAGCTTGAATTGAGTTTCCTTTTCACTTGAGAGTTGTAAGTGTTCAGGATATATATATAATATATATATATGATTTGTACACACATCCTACATATTATATATATATATATAAGTCAACTATATATATAACTAATGTACACACAAAGTCTGAGAGATATATACATACCACATCTATAGGTATGTCTTTAGTTGATGGAGAAATAAGGAGAAAGACATAGAAACAGAAGGAGAGACTTGAAGCAACAGAGAGACTAGGAGTTAGAGATTGAGAGAAAGAGAGAACATGAGAGGAACTTTCAGAGATAGAGCTCTTCATACAGGAAGAAGCCAAAGTCTTGTTTGTTTTTTGAGGGCGGTGGTGCACTTTGGATTCGGAACGCCATGTCGTAAAAACAATGTCCACATGTCTGGATTATGTTTGGGTTATCTGCACCCTCCGATCTTAGTGCAACAGGATTTGCCAGTGGACCATATCCACTGGAACAAAGACGCAAAAAGGTTTCGCATTCCTTCACACACACCGTCACACTGTGACCTCCAGGGTCCAAGGGCCACTTCTGTCTGTGACATGTCCATCTCCTGTCATTAGGCCTCCATGCCTTCAACCATGAAAAGTTTACTAACAGGGAGAAGGAAAAGGAGCTTGACACCTTTCGCAGTTTAGTAAAAGCCCCTTTAATGGTTATGTTTTCTTTAGTATTGCTGTTTTCCATCTTTATTACCTAAGGCTGCACTTGACTGCAGGGGAGGTGATAGTCAATGACTTGGTAGTGGTCATTAGGCTTCAGGATGTCATTGTTTGTTGATAGGTAGGAGTACTGCTCACCCTCTTCCTTTGCTAGATACAATGCCTTTGAGTGAAGGGTCCTAACTGCTAGCTAATATCCCAGCTGAGTGTCAGAGTGCTAAGGCATGCATGCTACTCTTCAATGTGGGTCACTTCAAAAGATAAATGCTGGAGGATGTTAGATTAGATTTTCCTGAAATTCTAGCTTTCATTTGTGTAAATAAATGTCATCTAATGCTTACCAATAGCATCGAACTAAAATGAATAAGAATCTTGGGTTTCAGACAGAAATGACCAATGGAGATATTTGTGTCGGTGGGTAAAGATAGCTAGAACTCTTCTAGCTAGCCCAAGCCTTGTCAAAGACTGCCTACATGTCAATGTAAAAATGATTAGTGGAAGAAGAGTCAATGCACTATAAGAAAACTGAATTTTCATTTTAATAATTAGAAGAGAAATTAATTCATAAAGAAATGAGCTTAAAAGACAAATGAGTTGATTCCCATAAGCTGTCCAAAATAACCCATTACTTGATAATTCATAAGAATATCCAAAAGTAATCTGATGTAAAGTATCTACCCTTCACCCCTACAAACATTCCTTTCTGCCCTGATTTGTTCCTCCCATTTATCTTTTCTAACTCACCAAAGTATATAATTATCCATATAGAGAATTTGTGACCCCAAATTGTCTTCTGAGAAATCCCATAGGAATGTGTAGTGGCACTGAATGTCTTTGCTTATTAAAGACTATTCCTGTAACCCATAATTAATCTAATCATTCTTTTCTTCATTCAGAAAATATTTACTGATAACTACTATGTCCCAGGCATTGACTGTGCTGAGAATGCAATGGGGAATAATATAAACAGGTTCCCTGCCTTTGTGAAACTAGTAGTCTGCTAGGAAAGAAGCTACTAATCATCAAAAAATCATATAAATAGGCAGGGAGCAGTGGCTCACGCCTGTAATCCCAGCACTTTGGGAGGCCAAGGCAGGCAGATCACCTGAGGCTGGGAGTTCAAGACCAGCCTGGCCAATATGGTGAAACCCCGTCTCTACTAAAAATACAAAAAATAGCCAGGTGTGGTGGCACATGCCTGTAGTCTCAGCTACTCAGGAGGCTGAGGCAGAAGAATCTGCTTGAACCCTGGAGGTGGAGGTTGCACTGAGCCAAGATTACACCAATGCACTCCAGCCTGGGCAACAGAGCAAGACTCTGTCTCAAAAAATATATATATATTATATGCAATATATTTTATATATTGTATATAATATATTTTATATATTGTATATGATATATTTTATATACAATATATTTTATGTATTATATATTTTATATTTTACATTTTATATAAATAAATAAATATTTTATATAAATTTTTATATAAATTAATAAATTTTATATAAAATAAATATTTTATATAAATAAATATATATTATACTATATATTATATAATATATAATATATAGTATACTATATATTATATAATATATAATATATAGTATACTATATATTATATATTATATATAATATATATTATATAAATATAATTTATATATTTTATATATATTATATAATATATATTTTATATATAATATATATTTTATATATTATATTATATATTATATAATATATTTTATATATTATATATTTATATTATATATTTTATATATTATATATTTATATTATATATAATATAATATATTATATATTTATATTATATATAATATAATATATTATATATTATATATTTATATTATATATAATATAATATATTTTATTTATAATATATACAATATATTTTATATTTGTTTAATATATAATATATACAATATATTTTATATTTGTTTAATATATAATATATTATAATAAATATTATATATAATATATAATATTATAATATATAATATATAATTGTCATATATAATATATAAAAATATATAATATATTATATATTATATATAAAATATATGTGTATGTTTATATATACACTCACATTTATATATAAATGTATGCATGTGTATATATATATAAATATATGTATTTATATATAAATAAAACTCAACATTTATATTATACATATATGTAAATGTAGAGTTGCAAATGTGGCAAGTACTATGAGTGAAAATTACATGGTCCAATGAGAGTTTATAGTCAATGGATTTGACATAGAGCTATCAGAGAATATGTCCTCTAGGAAATGACAATTTCCATCTCTATAAAGAGAGCAGAAAAAATAATCAAGTTATGGGTGGAGAGATTGGGAAAAGAGAAGCTGCACAGGCAAAGACCATCTGGAAAGAGGAAATAGGATGCATTTCAGAAATCAAAAGTAAACCAAGAACTGCATTACTCACTAGGAAAATGCAAATCCAAACAACGAGTTACCACTTCATAACTATTTACGTGCCTATAATCAAAAAGATGAACAATATCAAATGTTAGCAAAAATGTGGAGAAACTGGAAGCCTCATACGTCACTGGTGGGAATGTAAACTGCTACTGCCACTTTGGAAAACAGTTTGGCAGATTCTCAAAAATATTAAACATAGAATTACCATATGACCAAGTGATTACGCCCCTGGGTATATATCCAAGAGAACATATTCTCTTGGATATATACAAACTTGGATATACAAAAACTTGTACATGAATGTTCTTACCAGCACTACTCATAATGGCCAAAAAGCAAAAACAACCTAAATGTTCATTAACTGATGAATAGATAAACAAAATGTGGTATATCCACATGGTAGAATATTATTTGGCAATAAAAAGGAATGAAGAGCAGATACATGCTACAACCTGAATGAACCTTGAAAAGAGTATGTAAAATAAAAGAAGCCAGACACAAAAGGCCACATATCCTACAATTCCGTTTACATGAAATTTCCAAAACAGACAAACCCATAGAAGCAGAAAGTCAATAGGGTTTGCCAGGGGCTACAGGGGAGGAAAATGAAGAGTAACTGATAAAGGATTTCTTTTTGGGGTGATGAAAATGTTCTGGAATTGGATAGTTGTGACGGTTGCACAACTTTAAAACGTACTAATAAACAACTGAACTTTAGACTTCAAAATAATGAATTTTATGGTATATGAATGATATCTCAATTTTTTTATTATACTTTTAAGTTCTGGGATACATGTGTGGAACGTGCAGGTTTGTTACATAGGTATACATGTGCCATGGTGGTTTGCTGCACCAACCCGTCATCTACATTAGGTATTTCTCCTAATGCTATCTATCCCTTGCCCTCCACCCCACAACAGGCCCCAGTGTGTGATGTTCCCCTCCCTATGCCCATATGTTCTCATTGTTCAACTCCCACTTACGAGTGAGAACATACGGTGTTTGGTTTTCTGTTCCTGTGTTAGTTTGCTGAGAATGATGGTTTCCAGCTTCATCCATGTCCCTGCAAATGACATGAACTCATTCTTTTTTTTTTTTTTTTTTTTCGAGACAGAGTCTCGCTCTTTCACCCAGGCCGGACTGCAGTGGCGCGATCTCAGCTCACTGCAAGCTCCACCTCCCGGGTTCACGCCATTCTCCTGCCTCAACCCCCCTGAGTACCTGGGACTACAGGTGCCTGCCACCATGCCCGGCTAATTTTTTGTATTTTTAGTAGAGACGGGGTTTCACAGGGTTAGCCAGAACTCATTCTTTTTTATAGCTGCATAGTATTCCATGGTGTATATGTGCCACATTTTCTTTATCCAGTCTAACATTGATGAGCATTTGGGTTGGCTCCAAGTCTTTGCTATTATTTTAAGTAAATTTTTTTTTTACTTTTTACTCTCAGGACAAGAGTAGCAAAGAGGATTATGAGCAGTGCAATACAAAACAAGGCTGCAACAAAAGGTAGGAGCTCAATCACGCAGAGTCTTGTAACTTAAAATTTTGGTCTGTGTTCTAAGAGTAATGGAGTCTTTTAAGGGGAAAGTAGTTATGATTAGATTTGAGATAAGAACCATCACTTGGGCTATATTATGGATAACTGATTTAAGAGGGCGAGAGTGAATGGTTAAAAAGGCCAAAGAAGCCTTTATAGGAACCTGGGTGTGAAAAGTTTGTAACATAGAACAAATAAGGAGAAGCAGTGATAGAAGTGGATGTATCTAAGATTATTAGGAAATCATATCTCTACTATTTGATGAGTGTGATGAAGGGTGGTGTCAGAGATGACACTTGGGTTTCTTATTGCATAACAGAATAAAGTGTGGTTTCATTTGCTGAAAAAAGGAATGCTGCTGAACACTGGGCAAAGGCAGGAAGATAACGATCTTAATTTGACATTGAATTGTCAATGAGAATGTCAAGTAAGCTGGTAGACAGAGAAGGCTGGGGCTCAGAAAAGAGGTCTAAACTGTAGCTAGACATCTATGAGACATCTGCATGAGGTGGTCATGGAGGCCACAGGCATGGATGAGAAGAGAAGGCAATGGAGAGGACCTAGGGCCAAGCCTTGAGGAAATCTAATATCTAATGACAAAGCAGAAGACAAAGAGCTACAAAGCAGGTAGAAAGCATGCCCAGGGAGGTAAGGGGAAAACTGGGAGTGTGCTGTCATAGTAACGGTGGAAGAAATTGTTTTGAGAAAGAAGATGTGGTAGGGTTCCCCACATGTCAGTCTTGTCTTATGAAAAACACGTCTCAGGAAAAAGGGAGTCTGTGGTCAACTCTAGTGGGAAATTATTGAATTAAGCAAAGCTAAACAGTTTTCTTTTCTATAGACATCCTCAGATGTTTTCACATATTTATGTGTATTGTCACTCTCCCGTGGAATATACCATATCCCAAATTTACTTGGCCATAGAATGCTTTCTTGGGATGAAACACCTATTAATATGGTTTGAGATTCTGTTTGAGGAAGATTTCAGTAGGCAACATGCTAGTGAAGGTCAGTTGTCAGCCCACCCTCCATAATCCTCTGTAACTAACAGATTTGTGTGGGAAAAAATGGTCCTCTGTCCTTTGCTTCATCTTTGTCCTCCATGACACCAGTACACAAGCCTGTTAGGATACATCCGACTTGAATAAATGGCTGAGGTAACTAGAAATAATACAGTTCAGGAAGGTGAAGTGAGCAGAGGGTACATGGATGGACATAAAATTATATGTGACTTTTCTTACATCTAAGGGTAGAGCATTGTCTTTGTCTATTTGGGCTGCTGTAATAAAACTCCTTAGGCTGGCTGGCTGATAAGCAACAGAAATTTGTTGCTCACAGTGCTGGAAGCTGGGCAGTTCAAGATAAGTTGCCAGCAGATCAGTGTCTGGTGAGGGCTCTGTGCTTCATACAGGGTGGCTTGTTGCTGTGTCTTTACATGGCAGATGGGAAAGAAAGGGAAAATAGGCTGACTCAAGCCTCTTTTTTAAGGACGCTAATCCCATTCATAAGGGAAGAGCCCTCATGACCTAATCACTTCCTAAAGACCCACTTCTTCACAACACCAAAATAAGGATTAGGTTTCAACATGAATTTTAGAAAGACACACACATTCTGACCATATTAAGCATCCAAGAAAATACCTAATAGCAGAAGGAGGGTCCTCATAGTCGAACGCATTCTAGCCCCTAAATTTGCTCCGCTGTATTTACAACCCTGCCTCTCCAATGGAGCATCTCTGCAATGCACATCTCCTCCTACCCTCAGCAAACTGTACTTCTTACCTTCTGGACAGGAACTCTCACCTCAAGTAGCGTTTCTCTTTCCCCTCGTAATATCTTACCCTGAGCCTAAGGTATTCAGACTAGAGAATATTCCTGAAACAGACTGGGTAGGATTTAACACATCAGGCTTGGGGTAATCGAGGTGGATGGCAATGAGGATGCAGATAATAGCTTTAAGGCTCTGAGACCACAAAGCAGTCTAGAGTTGGCCTAAGAATTCCAAGTGGATCTCTATTGGTATTATTAATACATGTTCACCATACAATCTATTCAGTAGCTAACCATTGGAATACACAGAGAGAGACAGAGAGAGGAGAGAGCGAGAGACAGAGAGAGAGAGACAGAGATTTCCAAAGGACCAACATTAATTCTCAGATATGGTATAACTAAAAAGGAGAAAAAATATTTTCCTAACTTCCGTCACATCTTGTGAGATGAAACATTTCACAATGGAATTGATACTTCACATTTTTTTGGCCAGTTTCTTTTGTTCTTTGTACCCCAGCCTGTTTTAAATTGTGCTCCTTCCGATCTACCGAAAACAAGAAACAGTCCCATTGTTAAGCCATATTTTTATAATTACCAAAAGACAGCTTATAAGGAGCCCCATCAACCTTTTCTTAAAATGGAAGAGAATTTGTTTGATTCTGCCAGGAAAATATAGCTTGGTTCTTCACATTCTTAGAAAAACATTTGGAACAAGAAATTGTAGTAAAAGCTTCTTCAATTCTTAAATGCTTAAATCAAACATAGCTAAATTCAGACATATAATTTTTATGCATCATTGAGTTTCCTCATAAGAGATCCTTGAAACTCTGGAACTTCCTAAAGGTAACGATAGGTTCTATGTGTCATTTTCAAGATTTTTAAATATCTAATGGAAATTATACACTTGGTCACCAAAAGGGAGTCTATGATATATACAAGTTTCCTTGGTTTGGATGGGAATTATAGCAATTCAGTGTTGAATATTTATTATTGCACTTTCATCACAATAGTTAACTGGTAGCTATGATTGTCTTTGCTTATTAAAGTCGAAAAACTCGGCCAGGCACAGTGGCTCATGCGTGTAATCCCAGCACTTTGGGAGGCCAAGGCGGACAGATCACCAAAGGTCAGGAGTTCAAGACCAGCCTGGCCAATATGGTGAAACCTCATCTCTACTAAAAACACAAAAATTAGCTGGGCATGGTAATGCATGCCTGTAATCCCAGCTACTTAGGAGGCTGAGGCAGGAGAATTGCTTGAACTCAGAAGGCAGAGGTTGCAGTGAGCCAAGATCACACCATGGCACTCCAACCTGGGCAATAGAGTGAGACTCCATAGCAAAAAAGTAAAAATTAAAAAGTGGAAAAATTCAGAATTACTTAATAAATACAATTTCATGGGGGAAAAGTCTTTCACAATTGGAAGATCATGAGGCAAATGGACTTTTGGTATTAACAATGTTGGAAATCACACTTCAATGTCTCCTGAAACAATGCATTAAATAAAGCAGCTGCTTTCTGGCTTAGTAGTCATATAAGCAGGCAATCTTATGCTGACAAATTTTTGTTTCATTTTCTGTGTTTGTGTTTACAGTTGAAAACATCTCTTCCCTTGCATCCACAAAGTTATAATTATTAGGTATTCCAATTAAAGCCATGTAAGAGCTCATCTATTGTTGCATGATTTTGAAAACATGGTATCTCTTTTGATGACTATGATATTATTAATCAGCTAATTATCATCATTTGAAAAATGTGTGCCCAAGTAGTTTTACAAACACCTTCTCAAAACAAAGTAATTTAAACTCTTAAAATGTGTGCGTTATTTTCAGATAAGATGCATTTTTGCGTGTAATTGTTCAGCTCCAAGCAATGGCAAAAATAAGTATAGGACCCCACAGGAATTGTGTGTTACCTTGTTGACTTCTGATGTTTTTGTGACTCCCTCCAAGCTCAGCACAAGGTATTTGTCTGTCAGCAGTGGTCAGCTAAATGATCAGCTGACACAGCTCTTCACTCCATGGGTCACTGGCAGAACAGACAGGTTCAAATATACAAGATGTTGGCTCTCCCTCTTCCTGAATGCCTTTCTTACTTCATTAAGCTTTAAGCTTAGCTGTTTTTGTTGAAAAATAACACACATTGGCACTCAAAAATATAAGCTCACTGCTAAAATGTAATCTATTAATCTATGGAGGAATAATTTACAGACTGATTCCCAAGGAAGTTTTTTTACAAGGCTAAGATGAGAAGATTTTTCAACTGTGTTTTATTTTGAGGAAGGCTTATCCATACATTCATATAATTATGACACAGCAGTATGACCCAAATGTGGTCACAATTATCCATTCTCCCTCTCTAAATCACACCCATGAATGTAGGAAATATCAGCCATAATTTATATCAAAATAAATATTGACCAATAAAATATATTTGGCATTTTCTCAATGCATCATAAGACAAGTGTTTGACTTAGTGCCATGGTATTATGTTTCTCTGGGAATGGTTGAGAAAGACCAGCAAGTAGAAGAAAAGAAGCATGACTTGGAGCACCATGGGAATAATGCAAACCCTAATATTAAACAAAAATCCTTATTCAATGTAACTGGCAATTGTCCTTTCATTGAGACTATTAAATATGAGATTTAGCTTCCTGAGTTGAGGGAGACCAGAAATCTCATCTCCCTAGTTCATCACTTCATTCCAAGTGTCTGATACTCGGTGCTCATAAATATTTGTGGATGAATGAATGGAGTTTGAAAGAACCTTAGGAAATCTGTCAACAGAAAACTTTGTTTCACAGACGGGGATATTTAAAATCGAAGGAACTATGGTGCTTTCACTGCATCTTGCTAGCATTTCTTGTAGGAGGGCTTGCTCCTCCCCTCTCAAAGGAAGGTCTGTATTCTTTTATTCCAGAACTCTATTTCCTTTAGAACTGACAGGGTTAAAAGTGGCCACTCCTAATGTAAGATGTGTTTTAATTTTATTCCACATCCTACAGTACCAGAATAGTTTCTCTGAGAGAATACTTTGCACTAGGATTGCCCCAACTATGCTTCTCTTGAAGTGATAATAATTGCTGATGAAGGCTGAGGGATGGGCCCAAGGTGACCCTGCCAGCCCAAAATAAAGGGAAACATTGTGAAGTTGGAGGAATTTTAGAAGTCGCTTTGGTGAAATAGAAAGTGTAATTGAAAGCTCAGGATATATTTAGACAGAAAAGATCCTATCCCAATGCCTAGTTTCCACGGTGTTGAAATGTAATCTAAAATCCTTATTATGTAAAGGGGAAGCATTTCCTTTCTCATTTTGAATATGCTTGAGGGCAATGGCATTAGAAGATTTTGTCATTGTACAAAACAGAAATGTATGCTTTGTACATGGTTTTGTACTGGAAGGACACCATTCTACAAACCCAAAATTACATACTGAAGACATAAACCAATGTATACATTCTACAGACTGAAGGGAGAGGTTTAACAACCTGCTATGGTGTTAAAGCCAAATATACACATCCGTGAACCTAAGAGGCTGGACTTCAGCCTTTCAGGACAATGTAAATCAGACCCAAAAGCAGAATTTTCATCTTCCCATTGTTACAAGGCACCCAGCTACATGTGGCCCTAGAAGAGCAACATTCAGACCAGAGAGAACACATAATACACTCCCGTCACTTAGGATCAAAGACAACTGTAACACAACTACACCAAGTGGCATAGGTACAATCTGACACACATAAACCAAACAAATTAATACTTATGTTCCCACTAATTTTTATTACACACAGCATAAGTCTGTTTCACAGGGAAGTGGTGGAAGGAGGGAGAAAAGTCCTGGGGCTTATTTGTGCAGACAGCTTTGAGCCTGAAAGAACTTCTGACCTATTGCAAATATATTCAACATGATATCATGACAGTACTGGGCATTCCAGAAGACCCTGACTACAGAGAAAATTGATGACTGAGTGAGGTGAGGGTATTGTAAACAGGAAACAACAGCCTAGGAGAATGCTCAGGAGTGAGATTGAGATGATTTGACAGGTTACTGGTTAGATGAGCTTGAGAAGCCTGAGAGCCTGAGGCTATAGGAAAGCAGGGAAGATGAGAAAGAAGCAAGCTCTACAGAGACAAGACTGAAGCCCCCAATGTGAAGAGGTTGGCCCTGACCCTACAGAGAGCATCTACTGGACTCCTAGTTTGCCTGGATGAGCATTTGAGAATTCAGGAGTATTTTTCACTTTGATATGCTTGGTTAGAAGCAGTTTGAAGGTAAGAACAATAATCTCCTGTTCTGATTGCATTTATACATATGTGTGAAAAATGAAAATAGGGCATTCAGACACATGGCCAGACCTCCTGGGAACCTGGGAAAATCAGGCTCAAGGGAGTTTCAAGGTCTGAACTGGAAGGACACTCCAGATCCAAGGACCCTCCAGAGGTGAAGTTGTTTGTCCCCCATAAGAGTCCCTAGTCCCCTAATCTGATATTTAGTTACAGAGTTGTAATCAAATATATCTCTAAAGAAATTTTGATTTTCCCCAATAATGTTTACAAGACACCCTCCACAAGACACTTATCATCCTAAAAATGACCAATGTACTTGTTTAGGTGGCTCTATAAATGCTTGTCCTGCTCAGAGGACCCTGTGGTCTCCCTAGTGTGTGCTCTGACACGCAACTGCAGTACTACACACTGAAAAGTGTTGAGACGTGATTGCACCACTCTTGATTTTGTCATTAAGTAGCCAGTTGCCACTGGAAAGAGACTTTTCCTATTTTGCCCAAACTTGACTGAGCATCAGAATCTCTTGGAAGGTTTGTTAAAACATAGATCACTGAGCCCCACCCTCTAGTATTTGTAATTTAACAAACCTGGGGAAGTACCCTTAGAATTCGTATTCCTGAAAAGTTCTTGACTGCTACCTGATGCTACTGGTTCAGGAATGAAACTTCGAGAACCACTGGATTAGAGGACATTATTGTTGACTACTGGTTTTAACATATTAAAAAAAAAAAACCCACCTCCCAAAACTACCAAGATCTATGTTTTTCCAGTGAGTATTTCAATAATGTTCTTATTGGCATCTTCAGCAACAAATTGGTAGTCCAGAGCCAAGCAAACAGTGAACCTCCTGAGGGGTTATTTAGGGAGTGTTCCCGTGGAATAAAGGAAGGAATCTAATATTAACTACAGGCTCAGGTCAAAACTATCACTTGAACTGAATTTCATTAAAGGAGCTAAGAGGCAAAAGGCCAGATCTGAACAATATTTGACTCTGAACACCTGAAATACCTGACTTTGTCAAGATACAGATTAAATGTGGGAGCTGTGAGGCAGTGGGTAATGGGAATCAAGTCAGGGAGACATCTCCTGGAGAACATGGCGGAGATGATGTAGATGCCAATTCCAGGCCAGATTGTTCCAAGGGTATTATGAGAATGAATAAATAAAGGCACATTCTCCAGGTATTGTAGGTGGTTATAGTGTGACGTTTGAAGGAGATTAAAAAATAATCAATATCCAAAAGTACCCGTAATATATCATGTAGGGAACTTTTCAAAAATACCAATTCCCAGGCCCTAGTTCAGACCTTAAATAGAATCCCTAGTGGTAGAGCATAGATATCAATATTTTTTTAATCTCCCAAGTGATTCTGATTGATAGCAGATTAAAAATCACTTGGCTGGTTGCAGTGGCTCACATCTGTAATCCCATCACTTTGGGAGGCCAAGGTGGGAGGATTGATTGAGTCCAGGAGTTCAAAACCAGCCTGGTCAACATAGCAAGACCCTGTTTCTAATAAAAATAGAATTTTTTTTAAATCACTGGGATAAATAACAATCTTGCTATCCTTGGTATGTTTAGGGTAGTATGAGGAGACAAAGTAGAAAAATAGATGCAAAAGAAAGAAACAGGCCAAAATATGTCAATAATCAGGAAAAAAAAACTTGAGTGAATCAAACTTTCAATTTTAAAGACAGATATTTATATAGTGGACAAATATACAAAGATCCAGATATGTTTACAAAAGACACACTATAAATAAAAGAAGCCAGGCACAGTGGCTTACACTTATAATTCCAGCACTTTGGGAGGCAAAGTTGGGAGAACTCCTTGAGCCCAGGAATTTGAAACTGCAGTGAGCTATAACTGCACCACTGCACTCTAGCCTGGGCATCAAAGCAAGACCCTGTCTCTTTAAGAATAATAATAGATTAAATAAATACAAACAAATACAAACAAAAGGACAAAAGAGTTTAAAAATAAAAGGATGGAAAAGCATATTCCTCCAAAATACTAACCAAAAGAAAGCTGCAATTGCTAGGTTAGCAGCTACAATAGAATTTAAGACAAGCATAATTAAAGACTAGGGTTTAATCCATAATTATAAAATGTTAAATTGTTCAGAATAACAATTGTAAACTTATATGCACCCAGTAAAATAGCTTCAAAATATATAAAGCAAATAAATATTAATAGAATTACACTGAGAAGTTAACAAATCAATGTTGTATTCAGAGGTGGCTACTAATTTAAAAGACTCTTGGTTTTTTTAACACCCTAATTCTTCCATGCTTATGCAAATGGTAGATATAATTAGCTGCTCTGAATAGGGCAAACTTATACTGGCTCACTACTCTATAGTAGTATAGTGTAACAGAGAAGTAATGCACATTTTCCCAATATAGATACAGAAAACATTTAAAGTTGGGGTGAAAATTAAAATATGAATAATTCACTCCCTTTTATATATAAATAGCTTTGATTAAAAATAATTTTCAGGAGCAGTTTAGATTACTAACCTGGAATACTGCGATAGAATCCTAATTGACCTTCCCATTTCACCCACTATTTTTTTTTTTTTTTTGAGATGGAGTCTTGCTCTATAGCCCAGACTGGAGTGCAGTGGCACAGTCTTGGCTCACTGCAACCTCCACCTCCTGGGTTCTAGCAATTATTCTGCCTCAGCCTCCCAAGTAGCTATAATTACAGGCATGCACCACCACGCCTGGCTGATTTTTGTGTTTTTTTTAGTAGAGACTGGGTTTCACCATGTTGGCCAGGCTGGTCTCAAACTCCTGACCTCAGGTGATCTGCCCACTTCAGCCTCCCAAAGTGCTGGGATTACAGGCATGAGCCACCGCACTCGGCCTGAGGTACCTACTCTTGATCTGGCTATCCTTAAGGGCTTCAGATAGCAACCTGTTATTCTTTAATAACACCTTTTGTCATTGTGTTCATAATTTATAATAGTGTTCATAACACTAGTTATAATTTTATGTTAATTTCTATGCTCATTTCTATGTAACTGTCTATCTCATAACTATAAGCTCCATGAGAACCAGAACCAAGTCTATTTTTTTTAGGGCCACATACCCAGCATTTAACAGAGTGTCTGGCACCTGGAAGGCATCCAATAAATGTTTCTGAATATTTTCATAGAATTTAGAACAGGTAAGAGACAAAGAAGTTCAGCCCATGCTATCTAACTAAAAGTATACATTTCACCAGAAAAAATTACACCAGAAAAAAATCATTAACTAAAACAAGTTTTATTTCTAAATCATGAAGCAAAATGACCACGCCTAGCTATCATATGCTGGTTTTGGTTCAGCTAAGTCTTCCTAACTAGATGCTTTATATAGGAAAAGATAGTTCCTCCACTCACTAATAAAGAGATCACAATGATATGTGCTAATGTATCTATTAAGTAATTGCATAAAAGATGGCTGAAAGACAAAATGAGCATAAAATTTCAGAGGGGGATGAAGTCTCAAGTATTTTTCTACAATTTTTTCTGTTGGGAATTATTTACAGAAATAAAATGTTTTGGTGTGAAAGATATGAAATAGTGTGAAAGATATAAAATAGTGCCCTAGACCTTTCTATATTGTGCTCATAATTTTAGTAAATATACAATAAGATACAAAATATCAATAATGGAAATAGAATTTATTGACAACATGGGCCGTTTACTTTTTGAAATAACTTCTATCCTCATTTTACTTTCATCTATGTTTACCTGTTCAGTTTATGTTCAAAACTAAACTCATGAACTTCCAAAATCAGTTCTTACTTGGATTTTCTATATTATGATCCAGTCTTCAAATTTAGAAACATAAGAACCATTTGTGTATGTTTGTTTGTTTGTTTGTTTGTTTGTACATTTGTTTGGGGGTGGGCGATTGAGGCAGAGTCTCATTCTGTCACCCAGTCCGGAGTGTAGTGGCTCAATCATAACTGACTGCAACCTCAAAATCCCGGGCTCAAGCAGTCCTCTGGCTTCAGCCTTCCTGGTAGCTGAAACTACAGGCACTCTCCACCACACCCAAACTAATTTATTTTGTTTTTTGCAGAGACAGGGTCTCACTGTGTTGCCCAGGCTGGTCTCGAACTCCTGGCCTCAAGCAATCCTCTCACCTTGACTTCCTCAAGTGTTGGAATTACAAGTATGAGTCATGACGCCCTGCTGGAACCATTTTTAATATGTCCTAATTTTGTGTGTGTGTGTGTGTGTGTGTGTGTGTGTGTGTGTGATTAATCTTGTTATTGACTCTTCGAAAATGCTTCCTTAAACCTAAAATCTATCTATAGCATTTATTCAGTAATTCCTTTCTCCTAGAAAAAAATCAGAAATAAAGACAATATAGATATGAAAAAAAATTATCACATCATTATATATAATAGTAAAAAAATCATAGAAAAAATATGTCTCGGCCGGGCACGGTGGCTCACGCCTGTAATCCCAGCACTTTGGGAGGCCGAGGCGGGCGGATCACGAGGTCAGGGGATCGAGACCATCCTGGCTAACCGGTAAAACCCCGTCTCTACTAAAAATACAAAAAATTAGCTGGGCGTGGTGGCGGGCACCTGTAGTCCCAGCTACTCGGGAGGCTGAGGCAGGAGAATGGCGTGAACCCGGGAGGCGGAGCTTGCAGTGGGCCGAGATCGCGCCACTGCACTCCAGCCTGGGAGACAGAGCAAGACTCCATCTCAAAAAAAAAAAGAAAAAGAAAAAAGAAAAATATGTCTTATATATCCATCAATGGGAAATTAATAAATAAATTTCTATATCCATGAAAGAAAATACCTTCATTTTTGCAAGGAATATCTAATATGCAAAAAATACTTATAAAATACATTGAGGCTGAGCACAGTGGCACATGCCTGTAATCTCAGCACTTTGGGAGGCTGAGGCAGGAGGATCACTTGAGCCCACGAGTTTCAGACCAGCCTCAGGAACACAGTGAGACCTCATCTCTACAAAAAAATATTTAAAAATTAGCCAGGCATGGTGGTGCACACCTGTATTCTCAGCTACTCAGGAGGCTGAGGTGGGAGGATGACTTGAGCCCACAAGACTGAGGCTTCAATGAGCCATCATCATGCCACTGCACTCCAGCCTGGGTGACAGAACAAGACCCTGTCGATAGATAGATAGAAAGAGAGAGAGAGAGAGAGAGAGAGAGAGATGATAGATAGATGATAGAGACTAAAAAGATATATAATAAAACGTTAACTTTTTACATTTCTATATTTTACACATTTTCTACAATTTTTTTAAATAAAAGGGCAAATCAAGTTATTAAGAAGTAAGGGGAAAAGAAAGAGAAGAAGGAAAAGAAGAAGGATAGAAGGGAGGGAGAATTTCTTAGATGTATTTTCTCCTGTCTATTGGTACTTGAACCACTAAATTTCAATGCGTGGTCATGGCACCTCTGGATCTAGCTCTAGCATCTCTTCCTCCCATCCCTCCACCTACTGCCGCTACTGTGGCTCCGTTCAAGAACTCCACTGGGTCAAAATTTCTCTGTCAAGAGTAAAATGAAAGGTACACACTCATATTCTCCTAGCGGAAATATAAATTGGAACAACATTTCTGTAAGACAATTTAACAGGATATACCAATAACCTTTAAAATGTTTGTATATTTTAGACCAAGTCATGTCATTCTAATAATTTCTCCTGTGAAGAAGAAAGTGAGATTAGTTTTTAAAGCATTCTCATGGATAGTGTTATATGTTAGAGGAGAAAAAAAATAGAGCAATTTCCAGCAATAATAGACTTTGACTTAAAGCAAGGCCACAAAATGTAATATTATGTGGCCATCACAGATGATGCTTCCAAAAAATAAGTAAAGGCACACAAAAATGCTGGCAATGTCGTGTTAAATATTAAGAGCAGTTACAAAAATTTATGAATAGTATTATCCCAAGTCATGTTTTAGTTATAAAAGTAAATATTTACGTAGAGAAAAAAGCAACTAGAAGGAAGCATACCAAAGTGGCTGTCTCTGAGTGGTAGAATCATGGAATGCCCTTCTTTTCTCTCCTTTGTTATTTCTATCTTCTACTATAAAGAAGTATATCTGGCCAGGCGCGGTGGCTCACTCCTGTAATCCCAGCACTTTGGGAGGCTGAGGCGGGCATATCATCTGAGGTCAGGAGTTCGAGACCACCCTGGCCAACATGGTGAAACCCCAACTCTACTAAAAATACAAAAACTAGCTGGGTGTGGTGGTGGATGCCTGTAATCCCAGCTATTCAGGAGGCCAAGGCAGGAGAATCGCTTGAACTCGGGAAGCAGAGGTTTCAGTGAGCCAAGATTGTACCATTGCACTCCAGCCTGGGTGACAGAGCAAGACTCCGTCTCAAAAAAAAAAAAAAAAAAAAAAGAAAGAAAGAAAGAAAGAAAAAAGGAAAAAAAAAAGTATGTCTGCCTTATCAGCCTTGTCTTTTATGACCACTCCTTCAGTCAGATGGTCTTTTTCCAGAACACCATGTTCTTTCCCACCTCCACGCCTTTGCTTATACTGAGCCTGCTACCTAGAATTCTCATCTCCTTTTTCTCCAAGAGCAAGCTTCGATCTCTCCATCTCTATAAAGGCTTCCCTGTCTGTCTATGTTGATCTTCAGCCATCGCTTTTTTTTCTGAACTTCTGCTCTTCCTCAGTCAGTGGCATGATATGCCATTTCCCAAGGGCATAAATCATCTCCTTTAATCTTCAAACCTCCCTGGGAGATTTTCATTATTATATCCATTTTGTTGGTGAGGATACTGTGTGAATCAGAGAGATTAGGTAACTTGTACAAGACACTGTTTCATTACTCTTTAATTATTTCATGTTTTTACATGCTTCGTCTCTTCACCAAGATTATAAGCATATTGTTTTCCAGGATCTTATTTTATGCAATACTATCTTACTCATCTGATACTCAAGAATGAATCTTTACCATAATTTTATTTTCAAATTGTTTGCTTTAATTATCAAACAGTATTTTATGTTAACCTCTTTTAATCATTTTAACAATAAATTGAGTATTGTGAGCCTTTTTCTCCAATATGTAGAATCAATATAATTATCAGTTGTGGTACCATGCTGTATCACAATGATACTCTCAAAGACTATTAGGGAATAGGGCAATTTGCCCTTGTACCAAATGTCTGCTACAGAATCCTAGTATGTCTTACATAAGTATTACCAGTTAGACTCATGTATCTAATTCCTCTCCTCTCCTCCCTCCTACTCTAAAATGAACAGATGAGCTCATTTTAGCAAGTACAGTATCATGTCTATGCATTTCCAGCTGCATCTGTCTGTTGATAAAAGGAACTTAGTACTGAAACACAACTGGACTAACTGTAATTGAAACTGTAATGAAAAATGAGCAATTTAAATAATGGGTCAGATAACAAAAATCTGTTTTACTTCAAGAATCCTTACATAAGATTTATATATTGCAAATTTCCTGTTAAATTCTTGCTTGATTGATAGACAATATATTATATGCAATCAGACACATACATATACTACAATTATTGCTACTGAAAGTCTATTCAGATTCATTTGTTGTAAGATTAGACTTACAGTTTTCCAAGTTTGCCTTATGAAAGGAATTGAAAGAGGCCTTTGGAAATATTCAATATAATAGTTTGAAATATTCAGATTCCAAGACTTTCCCCTGGAAATTCTGACTCTGTTGATGTGGGTTGGAATCTGAGAATCTATTCTTTTTTAACAAGCATTCTAGATGATTCCAAGGTTTTCTCACAAATCTAAATGGGGTTTGTGGGCAAACTACTCTCTCAGTTCCTGCATATCAATGTATTTTTTTTTAATTCTTCATGACAAAAGAATATCTTAGCTGGGTATAGGACCCTTTCCCTTCTTTCAAAAAATGATGAGAGCTTACTAAGGGTCTGTTCTCAGTGACAGCAGTGAACAAACAAGTCCTCCATTCTTACAGTGCCCATATTCTAGTGGGAAAAAGAGATACAATAAACAAACACAGGTAAGCAGATAAGTGCTATAACTTATAGGAAATAAAGTGAATAAGGCAGATAGAGAATGACCCAGAAGAGAGTTGCCATTTTATTAAAATGTAGGGGGTTAGAGAAGGCCTCCTTGATAAGATAATACCTGAACAAAGACCTGAGGAAGGGAGGGAGCCATGTGGAGTTGGGCAAAGTGTGTTCTAGGCCAGATGCAAGGCAGGTGTTGTGACTGGCGGGTGTGAGCAAGGGGAGAAGGATCAGAGACTGTTCAAAAGGAAAGGAGATGCCAGGTGCGGTGGCTTATACCTGTAATCCCAGCACTTTGGGAGGCTGAGGCAGGTGGATCACAAGGTCTAGACATCGAGACTGTCCTGCCCAACATGGTAAAACCTCATCTCTACTAAAAATACAAAAATTAGCTGGGCGTGGTGGCGTGCGCCTGTAGTCCCAGCTACTCAGAAGGCTGAGGCAGGAGAATCACTTGAGTCCAGGAGGCGGAGGTTGTAGTGAGCCGAGATTGTGCCATTGCATTCCAGCCTGGGTGACAAGAGCGAAACTGTCTCAAAAAAAAGAAAGAAAGAAAGAAAGAGGAAGGAAAAAGGAAGGAAGGAAGGTAGGAAGGAAGGAAGGAGGGAGGGAAGGAGGGAGGGAGGGAAAGAAGGAAGGAAGGAAGGAAGGAAGGAAGGAAGGAAGGAAGGAAGGAAGGAAGGAAGGAAGGAAGGAAGGAAGGAAAGGACAGAGAGAGAGAGAAAAGGAGAGATGGGAACCTCTAAGGGGTCTTGAGCACGGAAGTGTTGTGATGGGACCATTGTGATCTGAATGTCCAGGTGAGAGATCACGGTGGCTTGAATCCACTATTTGGAGCAAAGTTTCACTGGTTTCTTGCCTTTTTCTCTCAGATAAATTAGATTACGATGATTTCATCTCAGTTTTCTGTAGAGGCTATATGTCATTGCCTTCCGGCTTCCATGTTTCAAATGAAAAGAAGAACGACACGCTACCTCTTTTCACTTTTTTAAGTAACTTGTCCTTTCTGTTTGGAGACTTATAAGACTTTCCTGTTTATCCTTGAACTAATATTTACAATGAAGCAGACAAAGTCTGTAGGATAGAGTTAAGTTGTCAGATCAAGGTCAGAAAAACACAAAATTGGCGATAAGAAAACAATTGGAAGCCCTGAACCTGAGCACATAGACCAAAATGGGCTAAGGGCAAAAATTCAGATTTTGAAGGAAGTTCCTGGGGCCTTTACGTGGCTGTAGGGCAGCTGCCCTTCCCCAGTCAGCCTCAGCTCAAGCCAGTTAACCTTAGATCCCAGCCCCCAAGCTGCACTAACATCCTACATCTTATGCCTTTACTATCACTTTCCTTTGCAAAAAAAAAAACAAAAAAACACGTGGTCAGAGTTATACTTGGGACCATTTCACTGGCCACATATGTTGACAAATTTAAATTCTGTACGTCTACTTTCATCTCTATTCATAAGCATCTGTTCTAGATACTTACTTAGTACTTAGATAGATCTAAGTATCTATTCACTATATCTGTGGCCCTGAAAGAACTTGGATATATTTATTCAAATGTATAAGTAGAAATTCTGCTTTATTTAGATGCATTTCTTGATTTTTTATTTCATATTTGGCTAAAAGCTGAGTTCATTCATGTCTATAAAAAGTCGATCTCATTTTGGATGTAAGCAGGGAAGAGCCTTGAAGAAAGTATTTATGCCTTGTGCTATTTGGTGGGGGGAGGGGTAGAAGGAGCAGGGAAGCCTGGCTGAATAAAGGGTAAGTGAGAGAAATGAGACAAGGCTCCTCCATCTCCTGTGGAGGGTGAGTTAGAGCACAGACTCAGGAAACTATGTCAAGAAATGAGCGAGTGTCTAATGGGAGATTGCTGTAGGAAAGCAAATGACTGTAATATCTGATAATGATCCACAGAAAGATAAAAGTGTGATAAGGACAAATCACTTCTTATTCTATTCTTTATGTCCTTCCCTCCTCTGCCTCCTCAGCTAGTAGAATCTGCCTTGCTCCCACTCCCTCCCTGTCGCCCACAATCTCTGCATTTTTTTCTCTCATCCATTCTATGAATATCTTCATCTGCTATTTCTGTGGTTTCAGATGAAGAAATACTTCAGTGCATGCCGTGTGCAGCCTAGAAGTTACATATGCAATTGTAGATGAAGCTAACTGACCAGGCGACACCAGGAGGAGCACGAGGACCAAGAGAACTAAGTGGGCAAGATGCCCAGGCAGTGGACAGAAAACAGAGAACAACAACATCCAAAGAGCCACCTGGAGAACAGATGGGGACCGGGGACCAGAATGCTCTTCCTAAATCAAATAGAAAACAGGAAGGCTGTCCAAAGATTTGGGGGGCCAGGAGAGTGAGCAATACAGAAGGGATTGTGACCACCAAGCTCCCTTTCTAGAGAATGTGTCCAAAGCAGGTCCAGGCAGACTGGGGGTGGGAGAGGAGAATTCACATTAAATATTTATAATGTGCACAATGAGTTCTAGTGGGAAATCTCAGAAGATGCCACCATTTCCAACTTTAAAATACCCTTCTTCTTCAATGTCTGTGTGTGTTTTTAGGAATCCAAATACAATAAAATATTCATCATGGAGAGTTTTTGATGGTAAAAGAGTATCCCAGGGAATATCTTCTGATGTTGTATCGTCACCCTTTGTGGAATTTTCTCCCTCTCACTTCATTCTTTATTGGGTTGGAATTGGGATAAAAGAGTAGAGTGGGTCATAAGGTCCTGTTCCAAGTAATTAGAGAGTTTTTTCTTTTATCTAAATGTGCCTTGTTAAAGTATATCAGTGTCAGCCAGGTTAATTGGAACTTTAATACATAATTGATGCTAATTTATGGCTCTTTTTGTTCCAGGATGCTACTGCAGACCTTAAAGTCAGGATACAGTTTTCTTGTTATTAATTATATACAGAAAGCCAATATCCCCTATGAGAAGAGACTCATGTCATCTGTAGCTTATTAAAGATACAGTATGTCAGCCATAGGTCACTTTTACTGCTTATGCCCCCAGTAAACTCCACATTACTCCATAATAACATAATACACTAATCACAGTAAATAAAAATTAGAATTTTAAGTTAAAGCTCATAGCATACTGTATATTAAAATGTTAACATACAATGTTTTAAAAAGTGTCATGTTTCTATGGATTCATTGTATTCCACAGGGCCACAGAAACCTGGAATCATTTTGGAAATCAGTATACCATCTTGAAACCAAAAATGTCTCCATAAATATGAAGGCAATAGCAATGCCGTCACTGAGTCTGCCATGAAGTCAGAATGCCAAATGAAGACTATAAAACTTGGATTTGCTTGCAGAGTTTCCACTGAAATTCGAATTCTTGGTTAGTCACTTTTTTGGAGACAGAGAAAAATGATGTGTTCCAAATCCAATTAAAGATTCTGTGTTCTAATTTTCTTCTATTGTGAGGAATTCAGTAGATGAAAGTACAGGATCGTGCAAGATTTATAAGCCACATAAGCCCACATGTTGTCCAAATGGACTTAGCCAAAACCTTGAGCAAGAAATTGAAGGAAAGGGGAAGTCCAGTAGTATGAACTTACTTGATGAATAGCAGTGCTAGATTTACAGATGGATAAAAGATGCTACATTTGCCAATGTTGCTTCGTGACTATTCCATTTTGCAGGAGTGAAGAATGGATGACTTTATATAAATTTAGTGCTTCAGAATTTTTCTAATATGTCACCATGTTGATGTTCAACTTAACATTGCCATGATGTGATCAGATATGACATAACGTGATAAATAGCAGGAGTGTCTCACGATGGAACATGACACAACATGGTGTGTCAAGTTTCTTTTGAACCTTTCTCGGGATCCAATATCAGCCAAAAGGAGGTCATTTTAATTATCAGATGATTAATTAATTAGATAGTTAATTGTCACAGGTAGATTAATCCAAAGACAATGTGGTTCTGTACATGCACGTTTGTAGACAGAGGAAAACGTGACTTTTTAAAACGTACCTAGCTAAATTAAAAGACACTAAAGTTTAAGAACGTGACTCATTGTTTATTCAAATAACATTCACAAACGACTAGGATGCCAGATGTTGTGCCAGATGTTGTGTGAAGCATGTTCAGAAGTAGAAAATCATCCCTGCCCTCAAAGGGCTGATGATCGAGTTGAAAACATAAAGCTTTCTTTAAAACAATCTGGACATCTAGAGAATGTTCAATAATTTTTTTTAAGTTAAAAACTAAGGAACAGTTTTAAGGCAATGAATCTTTTTAAATGAACTATTTCCAGTACTTTGCCACTGTTTGCTTTTTAGGGAAAGCTGTCATATTCCAGGAACAAGGGTAACTGCAAAGTAATTTTTTTTAATCATAGTAATGAAATCCCAGTTTCAGACATTCTATGAGTTAGATGTAAACCAAAAAAAATTAAAACCCCATGAAAAACTTTAATAAATCAGTTTTTTAAAGTTATTGTCTACTTTTTATTTTTCTGCTAAAAGCAGAAATCCAAGACATGACAAATACTTAGTTTTCCAAAAAGAGCTGGAATCTTATAACCTTTATGTAAAAGGCTGCCAATATTGTAAGTTCCTTTATACATATTTAGAAGGGATTTTTTTTTTTTTTGAGATGGAGTCTCGCTCTGTCGCCCAGGCTGGAGTGCAGTGGCACAATCTACGCTCACTGCCACCTCCGCCTCCCGGGTTCAAGCGATTCTCCTGCCTCAGCCTCCCAAGTAGCTGGGACTACAGGCACATGCCACTACGCCCGGCTAGTTTTTTGTATTTTTAGTAGAGATGGGGTTTCACTGTGTCAGCCAGGATGGTCGTGATCTCCTGACCTCATGATCCGCCTGCCTCAGCCTCCCAAAGTGCTGGGATTACAGGCATGAGCCACCGCGCTCGGCCAGAATTTTTGACAATCAATGGCAATTAATGTATCATGCAAAATCATGTCAAGTGCATTTCTTAAAGTATCTATTTGTATGAGATTTTGTCCTAGGCGTTATAAAACAAAATAAGCATATAGTTAATGTTCTGCAATCTAAGATGTAAAGTACTTTTCATTATTCTAAACTAATAAAGCAGTTTTTGTTTTATTCCCTCAACTCCACAACATTTGTAATTAGTTCTATTGGCCTTTCTGGTCCTCTCTTCGTCTGCAAAATGAGAATCTACTCCCCGCTCACAGAGCCCAACGATTGACAACCACTCTAAATCATTTGTGCTGTTTTCTAATCATAGTATGTTAAAAATCAAAGATTACAATAGTATTAGGAGGGATTTTAAGATGAGAAAAGAGCTAAAGTGAACTTTAGTTGTGTGAGCTAAAATAGTAAAAGCTCCCAGGACTTCCTTTTAATATAGTTGAAGCAATTGTAATTCATTGCCTTTTAAGATGCTTTTCACAGCAATATTATTCTTGATCCTTTGCTTTCCCTTATGTCTACTGCTAATCCAACAGCAAGTTTCGCATATTCTGTCTCCAAAGCATACCTGAATCTATGCGTTCTCTCCATGTCTAGCACCACTTCTCTGTCCAGGTTTCACTGTTTCTCCCCAGAAGGACTGCAGTGGTCTCTTCAGGTTGGTGTTCCCCAACCCAGACCATCCCCTGCACCTCCATAATAGTGAAGCGCTTTCAATGCACCTCAGTGGGTCTCACCAAGCCCCCTTATTATCAATAGACAATCTTTCTTATTTCACTGAGAAACTAGAAGCAAATCAAGAAGAACGTTCACAAAGTTTTGCCACCCCATCTAGACACAAACTTGTGTCCACATTCGTGCATTCTGCCTTCCTTTCCATTACTCTGGATGAATTGTTTGCATTCCTATCTAAAGGCCACCCTTCCACTTGTCTTCTAGATCCCATTCCTTCTTACCTACTTGGTGACTTTACTGCAATGATTTTCCCCTCTCCAGCATCACCAGTTTTTCCTTCTCTAATGGATTATTCCCACCGACAAATAAACCCACTATAATCGCTCACAGTGTACAAAAGAAAATTCTCCCGAGACCTCACTCTCCCACCGCCCAATCACTGCTCTGTGAACCTCTCCCTTGAACTTCAGGTCCATGTATTCCCCTCCCCATGAAACACCTCCACATGGATGTCTAAAAAGCACCTCAAAGGTAACATGTTCAAACTGAGCTCCCAGCCTTCCCTCAAACCTGCTCTTCATGCAGTCTTCCTCATCTCAGCGAATGGTATGCAGTACTTCCAACTACTCAGTTCAAAAACCTTGCCTCGTCTCTGTTTCTCATTAGAAAATCCTGTCATTTTACTGCATCTACTTTTGAATGACGTTTCATCAACTGTTCCGCTACCACCCTAGCCTAACCCACCATCTCCCCTCTTCTAAATTACTGCAATAGCCTTCTAGGCAGACCCCTACTACTTCCACTCTTATCTCCCTTCAATCTATTCTCAACACAGCAGCCAGAATAAGCCTTTTAAACATAAGTTAGATGATGCCTTTCCTCTGCTCTAATCCCTCCAATGACTCCTCATCTCATACAGAGCAAAAGTCAGAGTACTTACAATAATAAGTATATTATATATATATACTTATCTTGTAGGGATATATAGACAGATATATCCCAACATGACCTGAGCCCATCACCTCTCTGACTTCATTGCCTTCTGTTCCCTCCTTGTGCATCTCACCCCAGCTGTACTGGGCTCCTAGCTTGAACATACCAAGAATGCTTCTGCTTCAGCATTTTTGCCTTTGCTCTTCCCTCTGCCTGGAAAGCTGATCCCCTAGAGATCCTTGAGAGCCCATTTTCTCTTCTGTTTCAGGTCTGTGCACACATTCACCTTCTCAGTGAGGGCTTCCCTGATGCCCTAGATGAAACAGCACATCCTTCCACCTCACAAACCAGACACTCTATCTTCCTGTCCTGTTTTCTTTTCCTCCATAACATTGTCTAACACACTCTGTTAGCTCCTTGAAAGCAGGGAGATTTTTGTCTTTTTTGTTCACTACTAAATGCTCATGCCTAGAATAATGCCTGGTCTATAGTTGTCACTCAAAAAATATTGCATGAAGGCCAGGCGCGGTGGCTCACGCCTGTAATCCCAGCACTTTGAGAGGCCAAGGCAGGCAGATCGCCTGAGGCCAGGAGTTCAAGACCAGCTTGGCCAACATGGTGAAACCCCATCTCTACTAAAAATACAAAAATTAGATGGGCATGGTAGCATGCATCTGCATCCCAGCTACTAGGGAGGCTGAG
Source organism: Homo sapiens (assembly GCF_000001405.40). Classification (NCBI taxonomy): domain Eukaryota; kingdom Metazoa; phylum Chordata; class Mammalia; order Primates; family Hominidae; genus Homo; species Homo sapiens. Next base: position 182,677,222 of record NC_000003.12, read on the forward strand.
GCAGGAGAATTGCTTGAACCCAGGAGCAGAGGTTGCAGTGAACTGAGATCGCTCCACTGCACTCCAGCCTGGGCAAAAGACTCCTCAAAAAAAAAAAAATGCATGAACTAATGAAAATTTGTTTCCAAAACTAATGCCTGATGTTGGTAAGGGTGCAGGGCCACATATACTCTTGTATTCTGCTGATTAAAATATAAATTTTAACAACTTTCTGGTGGCTAGTTGGGTAATAGGAATCCAAAATCCTAAAAGCATAGATATTATTCAACCAGCAACTTCACTTCCGTAATTGAGCCTAAGGAAATTATCGTAGATATGTGCCAAAAAGTTTATATAGGGATATTTATTGCAGTACTCCCTGCAGTAATGAAAAAATTGGAAACAATCCTAAATGTCAAATAAAAGGGATTTGACAGGATAAACTACAATATGGTACATCTATACAATGAAATTCTATTCAGCTAGTCGTGATATTATAGGACATCATAGAACAATCTGCAGTGTTAATGATAGATATTAGAGAATAAAATCAAATTTTGTGAGATAACAATATTTGCAGAGAAAACAATTGGCAGTAGAGCACCTTTATTTATCTCTGGATTATGGGATTATGTATAATTTTATTTCCTTTTGCATGTCTGTATTTTCTTAATTAGCTATAATGAAAAGGTATCATTACTATAATAAGAAAACATCACTAATAACAATAGTTAATATTTACTAAGCACTTCCAATATGCTGAATACTCCACCTATACTATCTCATTTAATCCTCAAAGAGACACTATGAGGTAGTACTATGATTATCCTCATATTGCAGCTTTGGAAATTGAAGCTTAATGAGCTTGAGAATTTCTCCAAGGTTCACAGTAAAGAGTACCAACTTAGGTCTGTACTCTTAGCTGCTCTAGGGGTAGGATAGGTATGAAAGGTTCTCTTTTCTTTTGTGATCCAAACAGATACAACCTCAAAGCCAGCCAGAGCAGGGATCACCAATTCCTAACTGAATTTTCCTGTGACTGCTGCACTTCAATTCTGTTAGCAGCTGCCACAAGCCTCTAACTTCCCCCTTGCCTCCGCTTCCCAAGCAGTGGCTTCCTCCCTCACCTACAGTCAGCTGCAGCTGAACATCACAAGTGATTACTGTGAACATCTCCATACCTTCTCAAGCACCTCTATAGTTAATGAATTAGGAGACTCCAGAATTATAACCATATAAATGTAATATGCCAAAAGGCAGAATATTTATAGTGTGTCAACTAAAGAAAGACTTTTTTAAAATTAAGATTTCCAACCTCACCAAGTAGAAACTTAGCAAAAAAAAAAAAAAGTGGGGTAAATGGCTTAAGGCCAGGGGCTAACCATTCCTACTGAGGAATGAAGAAAAATTCACAAGATGAAATGACTAATCTCTTTCCATATAACTACAAAAGGCCTCCAATCTTTCAATTACTATATTAAATATGCAACAATGACTAGTTTCAACACGGAGAAAATAGTCATTGTAGTAAATGCATGTTAAGAAAACACCACCTCTTCATTATGCAGTTACCTTTTTCCAAGAAGCTGAAATCACCAAAAGAATTTGATTCCATACATTCAAGGCAAGTGGCAGATACTCAGGGCCAATTCTATACCCAAAAAATTCCGGCATTAATTGGCAGAGGGTTGCCCAACTCAGTACAAGTTTTGATTGAGCCATTATATTGCTAACACTGTTAAAGCCTCCAAGAGTAATAAAACAAAAAAGAAAGAAGGAAGATGAAGAAGAGGAAGAAGAGAAAACAGAATGTTTCTGTCCTAAAGGTGCTTGTGATCTGCTACCTAGGGGCCCCCTCAGAACATTGGCTTGAAAATGATCAAATGCCACAATCTAAGTTGGTCTCTCTGCCCCACTCCTCACTACACTCTGTCCATCTGCCACACAGCAATCTGAGTAATTGCTTAAAAACATAAACCAGAACTTGCCACTGTGTCACTGTGGAGTTTAAAACCTCATGACTCCCCATTTTACTTGGTGGGTGGGTGGGGGTCGGAGGACATACTCCTTGCCAAGGTACCACAAAGGCTTAGCTGCCCTGGGCCCTGCTGACTTCCGAGACCCCCATCTCCCCCACACATCTCCACTCTCACTAGCATCTAGACACACTGGCCTTTGCCTAGTCCTCCATCAGCCAAGCTGTCACCTAACTTAGGGCCTGGGGACTGCAGTCTCTCTCCTGACCCAGCTGGTTGCTTTTTTCAGTAAGATCCCAGCGCCTGTGTAACCCACTGAGAAAGGCCTTCCCTACCCAGCACCAATCAGCCTCCCAGCCCAGCTTCACACACTCCAGCATCTCACCTGACATTTTTCTTCACAGCCCTTTTCACCATCTGCAATGGTCAGATTTACATGTGTTGTTATTTAGTGTCTGTCTCCTCCTACTAGAAAGTCAACTCCATGAAAGCACAAACCATGTCTGTCTTGTCCACTACACACGCTTGGCTTCAATAAGTATTTATGGAATGAATCCATGAATGAAAAGTAGGCAGAAAGAAGCATGTCAGTGTTGACTGGAGTTATCCAAGAAAACTCCAGGAACTCAATGGGCCTTGAAGGATAAATAGTAGTAAACTAAAAAGAACCTGATTGAGCTAAGAGCTCTCCTCTTTTTTCTCACTGATATTCCTGGCCTCCTTCAGCATCTTCAAAAGGCAAACGAATAACTCCAAAAGCAATTGCTAAATGCTTATTGAATGGAATAAGTTAATTGTGAAACAATTCCAAGTGACGTATATCATTCTCAGTTGAAGTTATAAGTTTGGGGTTCACTGAGGCTGTTTTTGGTCTAGTCACAAAAGCAACGGTGTCCCAGTTAGAGACTGCCCTATGTCTAGAGTAAAACCAGAAATGAAGCAGAGCCACAAGAAACCCAAAGAGGTCTTGATGTAAGCAAAAAAGTCTACTTCAAGCAAGCTTCTTTCCCACCACTAGGCCTCAAGCCTAACCTAACAAAAAGTACACGGAAAGTGAAATCCTGTTTGCTTTTGTGACTTAAATCCTGTAGCATTGCCTTAGTTTTTAACTTCTGTACCATGCTTTTATTTCTGGTAATATTTATCTTTTTAAAAATAAATCTAAGGCATAATCTCTCTCTCCATTAGATACCTGTTATGGACTGAATTGCATGCCCCCAAAATGAATATGTTGAAGTTCCAACCTCAGTACCTCCAAATCTCACAATATATGGAGATAAAGTCTTTAAAGAGGTCATTAGGTTAAAATCAGATGTTTAAAGGGTGCTTACCCAATATGACTTGGGTCCTCATAAAAAGAAGAAATTTCAACAAAACATGCATGAACAGAGAACAGGCCATCTGAGGACACAGCAAGAAGTTCATCTGCAAGCCAAGCAGAGAGGCCTCAGAATAGACCAAACCTACTGACACCTTCAACTTGGACTTCTAGCCCTCAGAACTGTGAGAAAATACGTTCGTATTGTTTAAGCCATCTTGTCTGCAGTGTTTTGTTATGGCAGCCCTGACAAACCAATAGAATATCCATACTCATAAAGTTTTTCATTGTTGCTGTGTCAAATAATTATACCCATTTCCAACTCATGGTCCCCAAAACTTGTCACTTCAACCAAAACCAGGTGAGATATAAAAGGGAATTACACATTCAGTTGGAAGGAGATACATACAGAAAACCCCTTAAAAACCGGGATCTTTTTTCTATTCATATCTTTCATAATAGTGAATCAGAAAAAGGTAAATTAAAGGTTGTTTGGGAAATTGACAGATCTTTCTTTGGTATGATACCAGGCTCAAGATCCTGTGCTTGTCAGACTAAGACTAAGATTGTACTACCTTTTTACTCCATGTGTTATATCCTGAAAAAAATTCCAAGTCCAGGGAAAAACTTGATAAATAGAAGAATGAAAATGTGCTGTCCAAAATATGTAAAAATACCACAAAACAGATTGTAGAGTATTGTCTATAGCCATTTAACTTGCATGTGTGATAAAGAGTATCATCCAAATATAACCTTATGAAATTTTTTTTAACTTCTAGAAGTCAAAAAGTACCCAAACACACACACATACACACAAACTTATGCTTTGTAGACGGGAGGGAGGTTTGCCATATGTGCGACAAACCGAAGGTTAAATCCTTATTACCTAAAACACAGCTTATAAATTCATAAGAAAAAGATAACTTATCATAATAAATGAATAATATTAAGCAATTCACAAAACAAGAAATTCAAATGTTCTACTAACTTTTTATTCTTTTATTCATTCAATCAATATCTATTGGGCATTTGGTATGTGCTCAGCATAATACAAGACACCAGGTACATGGTGATGAGCAAAAACTGGCCCTTCTCTGTAATTATTCGCAATATAATATTAAACCCAACTTACAATAAAAGAAATTCAAAATAAAATGGTGCCAGGGAATAATCAGACAAGTGTAGAATTGCATACAAAAATATTAATTGAGCTATTATAATAAGGAAAACTTGAAACTACCTTAATGTTTATTAATTCACTGTAAGTTAAATAAATGGATATAGACACTAAATTTGTCCCTAAAAATATGTAATGTCATTGGACAATTCCCACTGCAAAATATGATGGAAAAAAGCATGTGATACTGATGTTTAGATATATGCAAATTTCATATTTTCTACAGTAAAAGTATTATTCTAATAATTAAGGAAAACGCTTTTTAAACAACCAACATGAATGCTTTTGACAGGGATGCCATCGTGTAAGTTAATTGCCAAATAAACTAAATAAACTTTTTTTTTTACTATTATTCTTCAGTTGACAAATAAAAACTGTATAATTTACATTGTATGACATAATGTTTTGAAATATACATAAATATGCTTTCTTGGATGCTCACAATTTGGGTACACTTTGGAGCATACTGGAAAATGCTCCTAACGTTGGAAGCAACACAGTCCCCTTACTTGAGCGATAAAATGTTACTTTGTTCCTTAAATTAAAGAAAGGTTCGAAGTTTAGTTTGACATTCACCTCTGCCTTTATAAAACAAACACAGCCTATAAAATAACTTAAACGCCCAGAGTGCCGAGTTTCGTCGGGCCCTGGCTGCGCCGGGCCGAGCCCTGCCCCGCGGAGGTCGCCGCCCAGCACGGTCTGCAGATGGCAGCCTCTCGCGGAAAGCCCCGCAACGCCGCTTCCTGCCTGGGGGCGGCACTTGGGGCCCGCGCCGGGGTTTCAGAAACCTGTTCGAGCCGTTCCTTTATGGCGGAACGTTCTTATTTAGTAAATATTTATTCCACTCCCCGAGGACCCAGCACTAATCACTGCCACTTCTCTTTAATAATAAATGGTGAACTTCAAATGCGGCAGAACTCAGCCGGCTAATCAGTGCTCGCCGGGAGGTGCAAAACTGTCTGAAGCCCACCGGTGGACATGAAAGACGGAACATTTCCTGTTCCAGCTCTCGGTGGCCCAGAATAAACTTCAGCCGAATGAGAGGATGTCTAGGCGGCCGCCCCCCGCGCGCCGGCCCGGGAGCCCGGGTTCCATCTGCCCGCGGCCCGGAGGTGCGCCCCTGCCCGCTTCGCCCCGGGGACCCTCGGAACCCGCGGCTCTGCCCTCCACACAATCTGGGCTGCCGCTCCCTTGGGCTTTTCGTGAAAGCTTCCTTTTAAATTCGCTGTTTGGTCGCAAGCCATTTAGCCCTTTCCGTGGGCCCGGGCGAGGGGCGGAGAGCGGAGAGCGACCCGAGCTCCTGGGAACCTGGGGGCTCCGCGCTGGGGACTCCAGGCCGCCCGCCTCGGCTCTGGCCAAGGGGTCAGCACGTGGGGTGGCGTTTGCCCCAGCATTCCAGCCCTTTGGTCTCCAAAGGCTTTTTGTATTCACTAGGGAAGGTAAGGGCCGCCCCTTTAATGGTTGCATTTTGGAATGTAACAAACTATGAGGACCACCCGGTACGCTTGCGTTGGCATCATACGAGCCCCGCGGTCCCACCGTCACCCACGGCTGATTTGGAAATGCCACGGGGCCTTTGGACATATGGAAAGACTTTTGGCCCAGACACAATAATAAAAATATTCAAAACGTCTTGAGACATAACTCATTTATCTACAATTCTGTTTACTCAAGGTGTAATTTTCATTCTATATTGCCCATTCTGGTGAAGACATGAGTGTTTGAAGCGGGCTGACTATAGTTTTATGATAAGCCATATTTTAGCTTTAAATAAGAACTGCATTGCCTCCAAAGTATTCCATCTTTTGTGTAACAGAGACCCACAGATCCTAAGTGAAATTTGTTCTCAAATTTAACACATTTCTGTAACATATTTAAACCTGAGTTAATTTAGAATGGGTTGCTGGCACCACTGGGATTGATACTGAAATGGTTTTGCCTCATTCACATCGAGCCCTGCAAATGTACTTTAAATTCTACGCTCTTAATAATCCCTAGGCATGGAGAAAAGATTGGAAGTTCTTTTTCTACAACCGCTCACTGAAAACAACACAGTGCACGGTTTCAGTGATGAGCTTGGAGTGCCCCTCTGTGGAAGAAGGTGGGCACTGCAATTTTTCTTTCCTAAATTGACTTGCCGGTGTCTTAGGAACTGTGGTTCTTTACCTCTGCCAACCATGAAATTCGATGTTACTTTTCCATTAACTTTTGTGGATTGAACCTCACTCCTTGTTTTATATAGAAACTTAAATATGTGTTGAAAATAATGAATGAATCTTCTTGTCTCTCCTGCCCCCAAAGCTTTCCAACTGATGATAAAAGATGAGAACATTTTCTTGCAAAGCCCAAAGCTGTGTTAGTACCTATTCTGACATTTAGGACTAGACAGAATGGCTTGATAAGGAGCACAGATAGATGTTATCTTATGTGCCCGCAGGGGCTGCTACAGAAAGCTACTGAGACAGAGTTTGAGCTCAGGAAGAAAAGAATGATGTGATACAGAAAGTTAGGTGCAGAAAGTAAGTTAGTTACTCTCCCTCCAAAGAGTTGAAACCTGTGTTATTGATCTATAACAGTGCTGGCCATTGGCTCATTGTCGTGAGTTTATTTCATTTACTTCCGTTTTAATCTCAAAAGTCAAAACAGTGTATTCAGGCAAGGCAAGGTGACTCACACCTGTAATCTCAGCACTTTGGGAGCCTGAGGCAGGAGGATCACCTGAGGTCAGGAGTTTGAGACCAACCTGGGCAACGTAGCCAGATGCCCATCTCTCAAAACATTTAAAAATTAACTGGTCATGGTGGCGGGTGCTTGTAGTCCTAGCTACTTGGGAGGTTGAGGAGGGAGGATCACTTGAGCCCAAGAGTTCAAGGTTGCAGTGAGCCAAGGTTGCACCACGGCACTCCAACCTGGAGTGAAACCTAAATTTGGTTTCCCTCAGAGGTGATAAATCTTCACCTGAGTCATATGTTCAAGTTATACTTTAACAAGAGATATTTTCATTAGGATGCTTTTAACTGCGACTAAAACCCAAAATCTGTCTTATACAATACATGAGTACATTGACTCATATAACTGAAAATTCAGCTCAAGCTTCAAGCAAGGGTTGATATAGAGACCCCCCACAGTGTCACCATAGTATTAATTTCCTTCCATTTTTCTGCTTTATTGTCCAGGATATTGCCAAAAGGGGGATGGATGAAGCCACCAACATCATGGCTGCTCGAAGGAGGTAACTCAATGTTCTCTAAGAAGGAACGACACATGAAAATGGCTGTCATTTGAAAAAAATATATTTTTATCAAAGAGAAAATAATCTACAGATAAGACAGTATTTAAGAAGCAAAGCTTTATTTATTTTGAGTCTGTTTAGGTCCATGGTGGAGGAACTTGTCCTCCCATTTGCCACAGTATAAACGTTTAGTATGCCAATAAAAAGAGGCTGTGGTGAATCCCAACACACACACCAGGCTTCACACAGCACACCAAACTCAGTGCACCTGAGAGAATCCATGGTCTTGACTCTTCATCGTCTAGGGAAGTAACTGAGACTCAGGGCAGAGAAGTGAACATAAATTTCATCATATGAAAACTGAAAAGGCACTTCAAAACGTAAGTGGGGATCAAAGCTCTGCACACCAAAACTTGTTTATTAGTCAAGAAACAACAACTGCAGGCCGGATGCACTGGCTCATGCCTGCAATCCCAGCACTTTGGGAGGCCAAGGTGGGTGGATCTTTTGAACCCAGGAGTTTGAGAATAGCCAGGCAACATGGTGAAAACCCATCGCTACAAAAAATTAGCCAGGCATGGTGGCGTGCACCTGTAGTCCCAGCTACTTAGGAGGCTGAGGTGAGATGATCACTTGAGCCCAGGAGGTTGAGGCTGCAATGAGCCAAGATCATGCCACTGCACTCCAGCCTGGGTGACAGTGCAAGACCCTTTCTCAAGACCCTGTGGTCCAATTACAGATAGCAAGCTTCTTTTTCTCTGATACCCACAGCTCCTACTTGGCTTCATATGATGTTTTCTAAATTGATACACACACGGCAAAGAATACATTCCATAGTGTAGGAAATATAACTGGTATATGAATATCAAGTGCAGGATCTCACCAAGATTATTGTTTAGGATGAGCCTATAGTTTACACATCACTGATAGTCCATCTTTTATACTCTGTTTTTTAACTTTAATTTTAGAATTCAGAAATAGCCATGAACCTTCCATAGAGTCAACCTTGCACATTGAAAGCAAATTTTACATGCCGCTGTATTCACAGAAAAGATTTGGATACTCTGGATATGTATAAAGGTTTACGAGAAAAAATTTCTAAAGCTTTAAAGGCTGTCAGTCTCTTTAGTGTCAAGCCACTGATTTCTTTACCTTTTTTTTTTAACTTTTTAAAGAAATGAAGCTCATTGGCTTTCACTCAGTAATGTTCTCACTCCTCTATTTGTTTTGCAAGGAACTTCAAGTCTCTTCTGTATGTAATCTTCAATCTGCCAAATTGTATGCATGACTTGTGTTGGTGTTAAAAGATAATTGCTCATTTGAACATTCTAAATCTAGCCTTCCATGGCAAGTTTACATTCCTCATGCAAGATAAAGTGAATGGGGAGATCATAAAACTGGAGCTATAAGGAACACTGTTTGATCATGGTAAGATCGGTTTTGTTACTTAATTACTTTGTTTAAATTCATCTGAAGAACCAGTTGTAAATATTTTAAACCTTATTAAAGAAACACTTGAAAAAAGGGCCTCAGATTTCTGCTTCCGGTCGTAAAAGAGATTAAATATTCTGAAAGATCCTGCCCCTCAAAAACAAGTAGATCCTGGATAAATCATCCTTTATTTCATTTCTGAATTAGTAAGGACAAGGGGAAATCTTCAATATCCTTCAAAAAAAACTTTTCAAAAGGCAAGACGGTGAGCAATAATAAAAGGGGGAAATGGGCTGGCCTAAAGACAAAAGCTAATATCAGAGCTGTGTTAGCTGAACTAACTCTCGGGCTAGAAGCAAATAGAGGAACTGTATCTGAAAGTACTACTTTAAGCTAACATTCTCAAAGGACACTAAAGTATTCCAGGTCAGTATTTCCCCTGTTTCCTAGCAAAAGCAAAGTGTTTTCTGGAGAAAATTATCCCCTATGTATTCCCACAGGATTCTCACAGATTAAAAGGAAACAAATATGAGCTCAAAACCAAAATCAGCAAATACACATTGAAAGAAGTCACCCTTATTACAAGTCACCAGTAACTACAAATAGATTTAAGCCCCTAAGCCATTCATATTTTGGAATTGTTGGATACAGAATATAAAATTGCAATCTATGAACTGTTTAAATAATGAAAGATGTGTTCATAAAATGATTGTTAAGAGACTGTCAAAAATATGCAGATTTGAAAAATAAAAACAAAAAGGACTTTTGGAAATAAATATAATAGTTGGAAAAGAAAGTTTAACAAATAGTTTAAGTTGCAGATTAGCTGTAGATGAAGAAAGAACTGGTGAACTGGATAATATATCTGAAAGAAATATCCAGGATCCAGTATAGAGAAAAAAAGGAGGAAATATTAAGATAGATTAAAAGATATGGAAGATAGAATAAAAGGCTTTAATATATATCTAGTCAGAGTCCTTGAGAGGAGAATAGAGAAAATTGAGAGCTGCTATATTTGAGGAGAAAATGAATTTTTCAGAATTGATGAAATGCAGGCCAGGTATGGTGGCTCATGCCTATAATCTCAGCATTTTGGGAGGCTGAGGTGGGCAGATCACTTGAGGCCAGGAGTTTGAGAGCAGCCTGGCCAACATGGTGAAACCCCATCTCTACTAAAAAAAAAAAAAACAAGAATTAGCTGGGCGTGGTGGTGTGCACCTGGAATCCCAGCTACTCAGGAGGCTGAGGCAGGAGAATCTCTTGAACCCAGGAGTTGGAGGTCGCAGTGAGCCGAGAGCACACCACTGCACTCTAGCCTAGGAGACAGAGTGAAACTGCATCTCAAAAAAAAAAAAGAAAAAGAATTGATGAAATACATATGTTCATAAGTGAAGAAAATCAATGTATCATAAGCAAGATAAGTAAAAAGAAGTCCATAAAGATACACATTTTAGTGAAATTGCAGACCATAAAAAACAAAAAGAAGATATTAAAAGTAATTTGAGGCTGGGCACAGTGGCTCACACTGTAATCCCAGCACTTTGGGAAGTCAAGGCGGGTGGATCACCTGAGGTCAGGAGTTTGAGACCAGCCTGGCCAACATGGTGAAACCCCATCTCTACTAAAGATACAAAAATTAGCCAGGCATGGTGGCAGGCACCTATAGTCCCAGCTACTCAGGAAGGCTGAAGCAGGAGAATAGCTTGAACCAGGGAGGCAGAGGTTGCAGTGAGCCAAGAGTATGCCATTTCACTCCAGCCTGTGCAACAAGAGCAAAACTCCGTCTCAAAAAAAAAGTAACTTGAAGGAAAAGGAATGATGATTAGCATCGCAATAGTAGCAATAGAACATAAAAGAAAGGGTTTAATAACTTTAAAATATTTAGAGAAATTAACTGTCAACTTAAAATTATGGACTCAGCAAAACCATCTTTTCATAAATAGTAAGAAAATAAAGACATATTTAGTTGAACAAAAAACTAGAGTTTGGCATCAACAGATCTTCACAGAAACTTCTAAAAGATGTCCTTCAATAGAAGAAAATTATTGCAAAAGTCTAAAATGCAGAAAGAAAAAATTGGTACAAATGTAGATAATTCTAAGATGACATAATATGTATGAAAAAGAGATAAATAAGGACAAAGAGGAAGAAGTAGAAAAAAGAAGGTGAGGACAAGAAGGAGATATAATTTACAGGGTTTAAAAAATAAGGTATAGAACTAAAGTTTTTGCTTTCGATAGCATTTGAGTCAGAAGTAGGTAGCTGACTGAAAAGTGTTATAAGATTCGTTTTATTTTTCAGATCATTTAACTTATTGATTCACTTTAATCTTACTTAAATTTAACATGTTTGATAAGATTTCAATAGTACTAAAAGAAAATAGTGTATTATGTTTAAGTAGTAAAGGGGAAACATTTGGTTAAGAAAAAAATTTAACCAAAAAAGCTAAATTAATTTTTTAAAGACAAGACAAGAAACAAGAGTGAAACAAATAGGGGAAATTTTACATTGATAGAAACAAGTCCCAATATACCAATAATCACACCAAATGTAAAAGAATTAAATACCAGTTTTAAAAAAAAGAAAACATAGCTATACTGTTTATCATATTCATACTTTTTAAATGTGGGAAGGTTAAAAATACGAAGACGAAATACTAGACAAATATCAAAATAATGCAGAGGCCACTACATTAATATTAGATAAAACACACAAAAAACACAAAAATTAGCCAGGTGTAGTGACGAATACCTGTAGTCCCAGCTACTCGGGAGCCTGAGGTGGGAGGATCACTTGATCCTGGGAGGCAGAGACTGCAGCAAGCCGAGATAGCGCCAGTCCACTCCAGCCTGGGTGACACAGTGAGATCCTGTCTCAAAAAGAATGTAAGACAAAGAGCATTACTGGAAATAGAGAAATGTACTATATACTGATTATAGTTTTCAATTCACTATGTGATTATAGACATTTTAAACCCATATATATATAAGAAAATTGCCTCAAAATCATTATAGGATATTTTAACACACCTCTAGTAATTATTGACAGCTTAGAAGATAGGAAATTAATATAGATAAACAATATTTAAACAATATACATAAAAAGGGATTGGTATTAATATAATTAACATATTTAGAATTGTGCCCCTAAACAACTAGAGAATACACATTCTTCTCAACACAGAAGCAATGTTTTCAAAAATCAACCACTTAAACGCAGCCACACAGCAAGTCTGAACACATCTCAAAGGATAAGTATCATAAATACCATATTCTCTGGCAACAATACCATCTAAAAGGAAAAAAATAATAACACAGATTTGATGGACGACTTCAAGCCACACATTCGAGAAGTTTTAATCAGAATAACTACAAAGAAAACTATAACCTAGCACATCAGCATAAAACAGCTGAAAACCAAAAACAAGAAGCAAATTTTTAAAGCAGTCAAAAGAGATACTATCTTCAAAGAAGCAACAGTAAAATAAGCAGCCATCTTCTCAACAGAAACCATGAATGTCAGAAGACATGTGCTAAAAGAAAATAACAATAATGTAGCGTTTCATATTCACCAAGAATACCCTTCCAAGGTAAAAGCAAAAGAAAGATAGTTTCAGACCTACAAAGTATGGGTGAATTTGTCACTAACAGGCCTGCATTACGGGAAATGCTAAAGGGCATTCTTCAGGCAGAAGTAAATGGTCGGTAGTCCCAGATGGAAGCTCAAAGGTGCAAGAAGAAATGAAAACCAAAAGAGAAAATAATATAGAAGTAAATATAAATGAATATTTACAATATAAAACAATAAGAATATTGCTTTGTGGGGATAGAGATATAGATATGACAGTAATAGCACAGAAGTCAACAGAACAAGTAGAATGAAAATGTTTTTCAGTGTTTGTGATTAACACAGCCGTTCTCAAAGTGTAGTCTCCAGGTCTGCGTTTGCATCACCAGTGTCACTTAGGAAATTGTTGGAAATGCAAATTCTCATGCCTCAACCCATGCCTGCTGAATCAGAAACCCTGATGACAGAACCCAGCAATCTGTGCTTTAACAAACCCTTAAGGCAATTCTGATGCATGTTCAAGTTTGAGAACCACTGGCCTGGGAAATAACAAAAGTGACAATTTACATGGATGTTTAATAAATTGAGTAACATGTTGTTATCTCTATGGCAACCACTAAAAAGTCATAAAATAATATATAATTACTTAACCAAGGAAGAGGGGACTACAATAATAAAAAATACTTAATCAACATAAAAGGCAAGAACTTTGAAAAATGAGCAGAGGCAATTCAGTGGAGAAAGGACAGTCTTTTCAACAAATGGTGCTGGAACAACTGGGGATATGAAAAAAAAAAAAATCCTAGACACAGATCTTACACCTTTCACAAAATTTGACTCTAAGCAGATCATAAACCTAAACATTAAAACACTAAACTGTAAAACTTCTAGAAGATAACATAGGATAAAATAGAGGTGACTTTGGGTTTAGTGGTGTGTTTTTAGATACAACACTAAAAGCACAATCCATGAAAAAAATTAGCAAGTCAGACTTTATTAAAATTAAAAACTCTTCAAAACACACTTTGCCATTGATGGCATCTGTAAGACTCAAGGCAAAAGGAAATACAGAAGTACTCTAGTTGATAAAGTTTTTCCCCATAGAGGTATGGATTAAGAATTCTAGTACTGCCTGATACTGCTATACATGTATACAGGAATTGAACAATTAAGTAAATGGATAGCAGATGATAGGAGGCAGTTTTCTCACTGTTGAAGTAGGAATTTATAGATAAGGAAAAGGAGGGGGGTAGAATGATGTATGTGGTAATGGATTCAAACTAGAAACATCAGTAAAAACTTCTTTAATAATTAACAATATGGAAACAGATGGTTACACATAGAAATATTTATAAATATGTGTATATATACAAGGTAGTATACATACATATATTTCATTGCTCTGTCAGGTGAGAAGCCTGCAAAAAAAAACTACATCTCAATAGCAATGAACACACCTAGCACCCAGATCTTGGTTCCCAACATCATTCTCCAGAATAAAGGAACCAGGGCTCCTTGCAGAAATGAGTGACTATGACTGGGGCAGGAAATACACAAGATTAGCCTGGGGTGTCTTATAGTGCTACAAGTAAGAAACTGCATTCTCTCTCCCTTACTCTGTCTCTCTTCTTCTCTCTCTCTCTCTCCCTCTCTCACACACACACACACACACACACACACACACACACACAAATTAATGAGAGTATCTCAAAGGGGCTCAGGACCAAAAAGCTCCCAATGGCCAAAGCTAGAAGGATTTAAGCAATGAAATAAATAGTTTGGGATTAGAGCCCAGAGTATAAAACGCATATCCATGAGCTCAGATCTGATATAAATATATGATTAAGTAAGTTAATAAACACAGGAAAAGAAACAAATATTCAGTACAAAAAAAGAATTCCAAATAAATTATACCGATATGGTGACTAGCTCGGCCAGGCTTGGTGACTACACTGGCCCGGCTACACCGTTCCACACCTCCCACTGTCGGACTGGGCTGCTACCTCTGTGCCTGCCAGTCATGTTATTAATACTACTGCCACTGCTGTCACTGCTGCTGCTGCTGCTGGGATCTGGCCCTGGGTCCCGCCAGGCCTCCAAGAGGTCACACGTGCACCGACGTGGGATCCTGGAACTGGCAGGAACTGTGGGTTGTATTGACTCCTGAACCCCACTTACCTATATGAAATACAGTTGCTACTGTGGCCTGGGAGGCCATGGCCAGCACCGGGATGCCATTGACTGGACCAGCAGAGAACAAATGCCAAAAGCTCTTGTGCAAGTGTGACCAGGAGATTGCTAACTGCTTAGCCCGAACTGAGTACAACTGAAAGTACCTCTTCTACCCCCAGTTTCTGTGAAAGCAGGACTCGCCCAAGTGCGACTGGCTAGCTTGACTTGAAGTGCTCCTTTGCACAAAGAAATAAAGCTCCTTCTCGCTAATGAAAAAGTATTATATTGATACTTCACCCTAATGGAGGGGGAGCAAAACTTGCCACTCCTTAAGGGCTATGTATAAGGAACTTCCATCCAAGGAGTACAGTTAGAAGAGGGAAATTTAAGTGAGTATTTTTAAGATAGGGACACTCAAGAAACAGTAACCCAACCAAGTGATCAAGGTCAATATCAACCATCATAAATCACATTGATAATCTTGATATTATGTGTGATGAAAATGGCACTTCTCTTCTATAATAAACCCATAACCCCAGTCTAATTGTGAGAAAAACATCTGTGAACCTAAATAACAGAGAGGGAGACTCTCTAAAAGAAAATGATGTTTATTTGGGAATAAGCATTGCCATGGCAATAAGCAGCCCATAGTAAACCATATGAGTATTCAGGGAAGTAACAGAAGAAAAAGGCTTTTAGAGGAAAAATGAGGATTATACAATTGTTATGACACTATTATCCTTGGCTACAGGATCAGTAAGAAGAGTGGCACTAGTCTGAGGTTGAACAGGAAGTTGCTGGGCAGATGTCCTCACAGGGGTACTTCTTTGTGTATAGTTGCAATGGCCTTTGTGCAAGGTTGTGGTTTCTGCAGTCTTCTGTGATAGTTCTTGTTACCAGGCATTTGGGCTTGAGAAACTTCCCTTCGAGACCTTCCCTGGGTCTCTTTGTCAGGAATTTTAATGCAAGTGACTCCATTTTGATTCTGACAACTTTCACATAATCAATAGATTTGTGAAATTTATTCTAATTATATTGAAATTTTACAAATTCCAACAGAGGGCATCCTACAGTATACCAGACCAGTATGCCTCAAAACTTGTCAAGGTCATTAAAAGCAAGGAAAATCAAGAGGAATCAGGAGACATGAACATTAAATGTAATGTAGTATCTTGGATGAAATCCTGGAACAGAAAAACGAGATTAGGTAAAACCTAAGGACGTTTGGAAAAACTGTGGACTTTAGTTAGTAATAATATACCAATATCAATGTATCAATTTTAACAAATATAATGACTAATGTAAGATGTTAATAATCAGAGAAACTGGGGGTACATAGGAACTCTGTACTATCTGTTCAATTTTTCTGGAAACCTAAAACTATTCTAAAATAAAGTCTCATTTTTTAAGGCAAGATGAGAGAAAAATAACATTGACTAGATGAGAAAAATGGAAAGCATATGGTAAGGTGGTAGACATAAATACTTATTCAGTAATTGCATTAAGTGCAAAGAGATTAAATTCTTTCCATTAAAAAAAACAAAGATTGTCAGGCTGAATTTTCAAAA
This sequence comes from Homo sapiens, assembly GCF_000001405.40. NCBI lineage: Eukaryota > Metazoa > Chordata > Mammalia > Primates > Hominidae > Homo > Homo sapiens. Next base: position 182,693,642 of record NC_000003.12, read on the forward strand.
ACTTTTATATGTTGCTTATAAAAGAAAATTTTTAAAAAATGCACAGAGGTGGCTCATGCCTGTAATCTCAGTGCTTTGGGAGGCCAAGCAGAAGGACGGCATGAGACCAGGAGTTGGAAAACAGCCTGGGCAATGTACTGAGACCTTGTCTCTACAAAAAAAAATTAAAAATTAGCTAGACATGGTGGCACACATCTGCAGTCATAGCTACTCAGGAGGCATAGGTAGGAGGATTTCTTGAACCTGGCAGTTTGAGGCTGCAGTGAGCCATGATCGCACCACTACACTCCAACCTGGGCAATACAGCAAGACCCCAACTCAAAAAAAAAGGTACAGAAAGATTAAAAATGAAAGAACGGGAAAAGACATGTCATGCAAATATTAACCTACTATCAGAAATGCTTAGTAGGAAAAAGAAACCAGATATATCTTTTTCCACCATTTTACTTTCAATATTTCTGTATCTTTATATATAAGGTTGATCTGTTTGGGATGTACTAGATTAGATAAAGTTTAAGACAATAATTTACTGAAAATAAAATGAACATTTCACAATAAAGAAAAGGTCAGTTCACCAAGAAGACATGGTGATTTGCAGTCTGTAACTACCTAGTAACATTGCCTCAATGTGTATTAAGCAAAAATTGACAGCATTAAAAGGAGAAATAAGCACATCCATAATCAGTGAGCTTTTTAAAATACCTATCTCAGTATTGCTAGGACAGGCAGGCAAAAAAGGGGTAAGGATATAGATTATCTTAAATATATGGTTAACAACTTGAACTTAGTAAATATAAATAGAAAACCACCCCCACAAATGCAGAATACAAATTGTACACACAGAATGATACAAAAGTTGACTGGCTGTTCTACCATAAATCACATCTTAACAAATTTTAAAATATTAAATTAGAATATATTCTCTGACTACAGAGGGAAAAAACTAGAAATAAATAACAAAAATGATTAGTAGGAAATATCAATATGCTTATAAATTAAACAGTACAGTTCTAAATAATCTAAAAATCAAAGAACAAATCACAATGAAAATTAGAAAATATTTTCAATCGAACAATAAATATAACACATTCCAAAATATGTAGGCTACATACAAAACCAGGCTTACAAGAGAAATTTATAGCTTTAAATACATATATTATAGATTAAGAATTAATTATCTAAGCACTTATTCTCAAAGAGCTAGGAAAAGAACAGCAAAATATTCCCAAAGAAAATTGAAAGATGAAAATAATAAACATAAAAACAAATTGATCTAGTAGAAAACCCATGTACAATATAGAAATAAGATAAAACACACAAATCATAAAATCTAGGAATGAAAGAGGAGATATTACTACAAATACTATAGACATTTTAAAATTAATTTAAAAGATATGATAACTTATGCCAATAAATTTGACAATTTAAGTGACACACATGGACAAATTCCTTAGAAAATATAATTTACCAAAAGTGACACAAGAACAAATAGAAAAGTTTTCTTTGTGGGTTTTTTTTCACAATTATTCAATTTCTTTAATAGGTAGAGGACTATTTGAGTTATTTGTGTCTTCTTTCATAAGCTTTGAATTTTAAGCTGTGAAGAAATTTGCCTATTTCATTTAAGTTGTCAAATTTATAAGTTTACAGTTGCAAGTGATATTTATTATCCTTTTAATGTCTGCAGCGTTGGTAATTATGTCCCTTTTGTATACCTGATATTGGCTATTTGTGTCTTCACTCTTTTTTTTTTTTTCCTCAATCAGTTTGGCTAGAGGTTTACCAGCTTTACTAATCTCATCAATTAACCAACTTTTGATTTCATTGATTTTCTCTATTGTTTTTATGTTTCCTATTTCACTGACTTCTGTTCTTAACTTTATTGTTATTCTGCTCACTGCTCACTTTGGGCTTGATTTCTCTTCTTTTTCTATTCCTTTTTGGTTTTTTTTTAGAGAGAGAGATGGGGTCTCACTATGCTCTCAAACTCCTAGGCTCAAGCAATCCTCCTGCCTTGGCCTACCAAAGTGCTAGGATTACAGGAATGAGCCACTGCACCTGGTATCCCTTTTTCTATTTTAAGGTGGGAGCTGATAAAGGACATCTACAAAAGAAACTTAAAATTAATATTATATTTAATAATTAAAAACTGAATGATTTCCCCTTAAGATCAGGAACAACACAAGGATGTCCACTCTCACTATTTCCATTCCATATCATAGTGCAGATTGAGTGGAATAAAGCAAGAAAAAGAAACAAAAGACATACAAATTACAAATAAAGAAATAAGCCTATCTCTATTTACAGAAACCATAATTTTCTATGTAGAAAATCCTAAAGAATCTATTTTTTAAAAAGACTAGAAACCATGAGTTTAGTAAGGTTTCAGAATATAAGATAAATATTTTAAAATATCAATTGCATTCTATATAATAGCAGGGAAGATTTAGAAATTGAAATTTTAAAGTAGAATTACTTACAGTAGCATCAAAAAAAAAAAAAAACACTTAGGCTGGGCGCGGTGGCTCACGCCTGTAATCCCAGCACTTTGGGAGGCCGAGGTGGTCGGATCACAAGGTCAGGAGATCGAGACCATCCTGGCTAACATGGTGAAATCCTGTCTCTACTAAAAATACAAAAACAAAATTAGCCAGGTGTGGTGGTGGGCACCTGTACTCCCAGCTACTCAGGAGGCTGGGAGATGGGAGAATGGCGTGAACCTGGCAGGCAGAGCTTGCAGTGAACCGAGATCGTGCCACTGTACTCCATCCAGCCTGGGCAACAGAGCGAGACTCCGTCTCAAAAAAAAAAAAAAGAAAAAAATTACTTAGAGATAAACCTAAAAAATAGTGTAGAAGCTGCACACTAAAAAGCATAAAACATTACGAAGAAAAATTAAAGAACTACATAAATGTACTGAGTTGACAGATCAGGATACTCTATATTGTTCAGATTTCAATCCTTGCCTAATACAGCTACAGATTCAATGCATATCCAGTCAGTATCCTCTCAGGTATTTATTTAAAGAAATAACCAAGTTTATTGCAATATTTATACGGAAAGAAAATAAAAAACAAAGAATAACCTATTTTCCCACCAGGCATCCACAGAGTTCCTATGCTCATATTTCATACTATATTTAGGATATAGAATTTCCCCTAACTAAAGTCATTTGCTCTATGCTCATTGCTTAATATATGTACATTGGATGATTGTACATTTTTTAAACCACATACAATCATATTTTATTAAAAGCAATGATTGACATAAATACATTCAATTAAAATAATTTTTTGTTTGGCCTGTTGGGAAGAATCAAGAAATTCACATATCAATATATAAATTTACCATGTAACCCTTTATCTAAAAAAGAAAAGTGTGAATCTATATTTCCTTACTTGTAAGCAATAGAAGTAATGAGGATATTCTTCTGCATATTTTGCACGCAGCTTCTGTCACTAACATCTGCTGCTCTTTATATGATGCTTATGTGAAGATATGTGCCAGTTATGGTAAGCTCTCTGAAAAAAGGAAGATAGAACATGTGTGAACCAAAACCGTAAAATATGAATATCAGGATCCTATTTTTAAAGCACTGCCTATGTGTTATTTTATCACGCATTTACTCTAGTTTTGACTTCACCTATTTATGTGAATGTTTCCACAAAGTAATTAACCAAAATCCATGTCATTTGGCCTCTTCACCCCGTACATTCTGCCAACACTTACTTGACCCGATCATCTCCCACATCCTGTGTGTGGCATGTCTCCAAAGCCTCCTAGAAATTCAGGGTTGATTTCTGCTGCACCTATTTGATTAGCTCATTTTGCAAGTTTCTGGGTCGATGCAGACGATCACAAAGCCCGCTTGGCCAAGGGACAGAAATCAATAAGGAGGGAGACAGCAGGAACGACAGGGGTCGGGTTCAGAAACCTTGCCACACAGTGCGCTGGCTTTGTTGAGCTTCATGGCACAGGCCCATGTTCTGTAAACTTTTCATCTGCACACAAATTGCATTTCACAGCGATACTAAAAGGGTGGGTTACTGATGGTGCATGTGGGAGGTATGTGCACAAATCCTGTTATCAGATAATGGGATTACCATGCATGCCTCCTGAGTATGCTTTGAAAGTTTACTCCCGAATCTACATATACAGCCATGGGCCAGCCATTTTATAGCACAACAAATAAAACTGCTGCCAAATCACTTTTAAAGTGGCTATTATCGTCATTATTTCTGTCATCACTTCTGAGTCGGGCTGTAGGAACAGCCATATCCAGGTAAGCAGTATTTTCATCATATCCCCACCCACCCTGAGTAACACCAGATTGTTTCTTAGTGTTTGTTCTGAAGCCTATACAAAACTATAGGCCTTGAGGAAATAAAGAATAAAAATCAATGGGGAAAAAGGAAAATACCAGGTATTTTAGCAACACAGATAAGATGTCTTCTACAAAACTTATAACCAAAAAAACTATTTTAAATGTTCATTTACCATTCATGTTGTCATTGGCTTCGGTGTAAGTTTTCACTTAGTCTTAGGTTATAGGCGGCACAGGTGCAGGTTCCAGCTTGTACCCATTTCAAAAATTTCATGTCCAAGACTTTTGCCCTCTTGTGGCTAAAAACACCTCATACTGTGCTCCAACTTCACTACTCCAGGTGGAGAAATTGTTCTGTGTGGGAAGACCAGGCCATAATCCTCAGGACTATGGTAACTATTGATCAGAATCCCTGAACCAACAGTCATAATACACAATCTATCTGTTAAAATAAAACTTTTTTTTTTATTTTTTGAGACAGAGTTTGCTCTGTCACCTAGGCTGGAGAGCAGTGGCACAATCTCAGCTCACTGCAACCTCCACCTCCTGGGTTCAAGCTATTCTGTCTCAGCCTCCCGAGTAGCTGGGATTACAGGCATGCACCACTACACCCAGCTAATTTTTGTATTTTTAGTAGAGATGGGGTTTTACCATATTGGCCAGGCTGGTCTCGATCTCCTGGTCTCAAATGACCCACCTGCCTTGGCCTCCCAAAGTGCTGGGATTACAGGTGTGAGCCACCATGCCTGGCCAAAAGAAAAACTTCAGACAGGCAGGAGCAATGGCTCACGCCTGTAATCTCAGCACTTTGGGAGGCCAAGGTGGGAGGATCACCTGAGGTCGGGAGTTTGAAACCATCCTGGCCAAATGGCAAAACCCTGTCTCTACTAAAAATACAAAAAAAAAAAAAATTAGTCAGGCATGGTGGTGTGGACCTGTAGTCCCAGCTACTCGGGAGGCTGAGGACCCAGGAGGTGGAGGTTGCAGTGGGCCAAGATTACACCACTGCACTCCAGCCTAGGTGACTGAGCAAGACTGTCTCAAAAAGAAAAAAAAAAAAAGAAAGAAAACTTTGGACAAATTAAATTTAAGAAAGTTAAATTGAGCAAAGAACCATTTAAGAATTGGGCAGCCCCTAGAATTAGACTAGGTTCAGAGCAACTCCAGGACTGCCACATGTTTCAGATCATATTTATGGACAGAAAAAGGAAAATGATGTACAGAAACAGTTGGATTCGTTATAGCTCAGCATTTGCCTCATTCAAATACAGTTTGAACAGTTGGCCCCTTTGACTGGCCAAAACTCTGTGGTTGGTATAAGAGGTAGGTTATAGTCTGTTTACACATTCAGCTAGGTTACAGTTCACTATATATGGAGAACCCTTTAAGCTGAACTTAAAATATATAAGGAGGCAGCTTTAGGCTTGACTTAATTTAGCAATTCCACCTTTTGGTTAACCTCTCAAAACTGATTTTTTTTAGAGATTTTTTGACCCCTTTGAAAACTTTAGGCATTGATATCACTCTGTCACCATCATAAATGGACTTATTTGGTCTCAAATCCCACTAACAGTGGATTTTGTAAGGTGGGAATAAACAGAACAATAGAAAAAAAACTGATTAACATCAGGCTACTTCAGCCTACTTTTTTGTAAGGGCTAGAGGAGACTTCTTTATTATGCTGGAATCTCCTGTTTTCAGGAGGGAAAAAAAAACTGATCTATTTTAGGATGCACCTGCTTCCTCAAAGTTTCCATTTGATTACATCACATTTAGCATGAGTGACTACATTTTGGTTTGGTTTGTTGGGGCCTCGTGCACAAGCTCAGTCCAAAATAATGGCTACTCATAATTTTGTTCAACAATTCCCCCCTTTTGGTCAGGTTCTTACCTGGGTGAGAATGTGACAAAAATGTAAGGCATTACCACCACTTTGTTACCATCATTTTGGGTTTCCAGTCTCAGCATGTCATTCATAGGTTATGGTGCCCTTGTGGTTATGCATTTCTTTGAGTTTTTGTCATTCCAGTCTAAGAGAAACAATTTGACATTTTATAGATAGCTGTGGGCAAATATTTACAACTTTCAAGAAAATACAGCACACTGGGGAAACTACTATCGTGACCATCAGGAGGTCCAAGAGTTTGGAGTATGGTCCTTAGCCAGGGTCCCCATGAACCAAACCAAGTGAAATCAAGTAGATCAAAGAAAGAGCCAAATGAGGAGACTACTAATTTTAACTGAGCAGCCTGTTCATTAATCCCCTGCAACCAAGTCTCTGCAATGTCTGTGTATTCATCCACATGCAACAAGAATGTCAGCAACTGCATAGATTCTTGCATTTTCAGCCAGTAGGTAATCTAGAACAATTCTATTATCTAACACATCTATAGCAAGAGAATTTAAAGAAGTCTGTTATGCAACCATAGCTTTTGCAGTAAGATCTAGTATAAAGCCTATTAAGAGTAATAAATTTTTAATTTTACATCATTTACTCCAAATCATGGAAAAATAGACCTAAAAAATGATGCCCATTCAGAAGTGTGAAGGCCTCCTGGCAATGTTCTCTTTAACCTCTGATAAAGGTTAAGAGGAGTGAACCCTGTTCTGTTTCTCACCGATTATGGCTTGCAACATATCAAAGATTTTTCCCTCAAATGCAATTTTATTTATTTGGAAATTATTCAGGAACGCAAATAAATTCTTTTTACATATTTATACTTAATGGATCATTTTTACTACAAATCATATGATGAGAAATACAGTATTTGTATAAAGATAAATATACAATTTAGCGAGTGATATATCTGATGAGTATATAGTTTTACGTCAGTGAGTTTCTGGGGTTTTTGTTGTTGTTGCTGTTTTGTTTCATTTTTATTGTTTTTTGAGGCAGAGTCTTGCTCTGATCATGCCAGACTGGAGTACAGTGGCGTGATCACGGCTCACTGCAGCCTTAACTTTCTGGACTCAGGCAATCCTCACACCCTACCCTTGCACATAGCTGGGACTACAGGTGCGCCACTACACCCAGCTAATTTTTTTATTTTTTGTAGAAATGAGGTCTCGCTATATTGCCCAGGTTGGTCTTGACATCTGGGCTCAAGCAGTCCTCCCACCTTGGCCTCCCAAAGTGCTGGGATTACAGGTGTGAGCCACCATGCCTGGCCCTCACTGAGTTTTAATTTGCATGGTCTTGATTACTAATGAGTATAAATGCCTTTACGTATATTTATTGGCCATTTGGATATTCTTTCTCATGCATTGTCTGTTCCAGTCTTTGCATTTTCCTATTGGATTGGCTTTTTTTTTTTCTTATTGAATTGTAGATCTTTTTATATTTGGGATATGAGCCCTTTGTCTGTTAGATGTGTTACAAGTATTTTCTCCCTGTCTGTGACTTTCGTTTTCATTCTCTTGATGTGCCTTAATATGTCTTCTGACACATATAGTAAAATTTAACAATCTTTTTTTCCCCAAGCCCCATTGAAAAATATGTTTCCCTGGCCCATGAGCATAAAGAAATTCTTTTTTTTAATTGTTTATTTCCATAGGTTTTTGGGGAACAGATGGTATTTGGTTACATAAGTTCTTTAATGGTGATTTATGAGATTTTGGTGCATCCATCACCTAAGCAGCATACACTGCACCCTATTTGTAATCTTTTATCCCTCACTCCCCTCCCACCCTTCCCCCTCAAGTCCCCAAAGTCCGTTGTATCATTCTTATGCCTTTGTGTCCTCACAGCTTAACTCCTATATATCAGTGAGTACATCTGATGTTTGGTTTTCCATTCCTGAGTTACTTCACTTAGAATAATAGTCTCCAATCTCATCCAGGTCACTGCAAATGCCATGAATTCATTCCTTTTTATGGCTGAGTAGTATTCCATCATATATGTATATACCACAGTTTCTTTATCCACTTGTTGACTGGTGGGCATTTGGGTTTGTTCCACATTTTTGCTATTGTGAATCATGCTGCTATAAACATGCATGTGCAAGGATCTTTTTCATAAAATGACTTCTTTTCCTCTAGGTAGATAGTAGTGGGACTGCTAGATCAAATGGTAGTTCTAATTTTAGTTCTTTAAGGAATCTCCACACTGTTTTCCATAGTGGTTGTACTAGTTTACATTCCCACTAGCAGTGTAGAAGCGTTCCATGATCACCACATCCATGCCAGCATCTACTGCTTTTGATTTTTTGATTATGGCCATTCTTGCAGGAGTGAGGGTGATATCACATAGTGGTTTTGATTTGCATTTCCCTGATCATTAGTGATGTGGAGCACTTTTTCATGTTTGTTGGCCATTTGTATATCTTCCTTTGAGAACTGTCTATTCATGTCTTTAGCCCACTTTTTTATAGGACTGTGTTTTTCTTGCTGATTTGTTTGAGTTCATTGTACATTCTGGATATTAGTCTTTTGTACAATGTATACATTGTGAAGATTTTTCTCCCACTCTGTGGGTTGTCTGTTTACTCTGCTGACTGTTCCTTTCACCGTGCAGAAGCTCTCTAGTTTAATTAAGTCCCAGTTATTTATCTTTTTTATTGCATTTGCTTTTAGGTTCTTGGTCAAGAAATCCTTGCCTAAGCCAATGTCTAGAAGGATTTTTCTAATGTTATCTTCTAGAATTTTCATAGTTTCAGGTCTTAGATTTAAGTCCTTAATCCATCTTGAGTTGATTTTTGTATAAGGTGAGAGATGAGGATCCAGTTTCATTCTCCTACATATGGCTAGTCAATTATCCCAGTACCATTTGTTGAAAAGGGTGTCCTTTCCCCACCTTACATTTTTGTTTGCTTTGTCAAAGATCAGTTAGCTGTAAATATTTGGGTTTATTTCTGGGTTCTCTATTCTGTTCCATTGGTCGATATGCCTATTTTTATACCAGTACCATGCTGTCTGGGTGACTATGACCTTATAGTATAGTTTGAAATCAGGTAATGTGATGCCTCCAGATTTGTTCTTTTTGCTTGGTCTTCCTTTGGCTATTGGGCTGTTTTTTGGTTCCATATTAATTTTAGAATTGTTTTTTCTAATTCTGTGGAGAATGATGGTGGTATTTTGATGGGCATTGCATTGAATTTGTAGATTGCTTTTGGCAGTATGGTCATTTTCACAATATTGATTTTACCCATCCATGAGCAGGGGATGTGTTTCCATTTGTTTGTGTTGTCTATGATTTATTTCAGCAGTGTTGTATTCCCAGGTCAATGGAGCTATGATCCTAGAAGGATTGTGGCTGTCTCTACTGTGTCATGCAAGTTGTCAGGGAAGTTGGGGAAAGCTGGCAGTCACAGCCCTCACCCAGCTCCCCTGCAAAATGAAGGGCCAGTCTCATTCCCACCGTTCCCCCACTAACAGCACAGAGTTTGTTTCCAGGCTGTGGGCAAGCAGGGCTGAGAACTTGCCCCAGGCTACCTGCCTCTCAGCTGCAGAAGCAAGTATGGATTTCCTTCTTCCCCACCTATGGAGTCTGCACACTGGAGTCACGCCCTCCCCTGAGTTCTGGCCAAGAGGGTTCTCAATTAGTTCAAATTGTTACAGAGTTCAGCTGGAGATTTCCTTCTCCCTGTGGCCTATTCCCAGGGCCTCTAGCTGCCCTCCCAAAGGATCCCTGTGAGGCCAGGAAGGAATGGCCTTCCTGGGGACCCAGGAGCTCCCAGCACCTTTCCGGCTGCTTCCTCTACCTCTGTATTTTGCTCAGCTCTCTAAATTGACTCAGCTCCAGGTAAGGTCAGAACCTTCTCCCTAATCTAGACCTTCAGTTTCCCTAGTTGGGGTGTGTGTTCGGGAGCAGATGATCTCCCTTTCCCACTTCCACAGTTTGGGCACTCACAGTATTTGGGGTGTCTACTGGGTCCTGCAGGAGCAGTCTGCTTCCTTCAGAGGGTCTGTGGGTTCTCTCAGGTTTCCTGGTTTATTCCTGCAGTCGTTCTGGAGCTAAAATTCACAGTGCGAGCCTCCACACGCTGCTCTGTCCGTCCGAGTCAGAGCTGCAATCTAGTCCTGCCTCCTGTCCCAAGACAGTCTTTTAAATCATCTACAAAATCTTTATTGTTTTGCATTTGACATCGAGAAGGTCTACCTTTCACCTAAAATGTATATGGGTCATAGTGTACATTATGGGTCCAATATCTTTTTTATTCTTTCTTTTCTTTTTCTTTTTTTTTTTTTTTTTGGCATTTATGGCTTATTTTTCCTAGCATCTTTTATTCTTTTATTGAAAAGATAGTCCTTTCCCTACTGCTCCACAGCAGTAATCAATATAATTAATTCATAAGTATATATATGAGTTTTAAGCTCTCTATTTTGTTTATTTATCTATTATTAAACCAAAATGATGCTTCATAATTACTAATGCTTTTAGGTCTTGGTATCAAGTAGAGCAAGTGTTCCCACATTAGTCTTCTTCCTCAAGAATATCCCAGCTATCCTTGGCCCTGTGCAGTTCCACATAAATTTTGGGATTAGTTTGTCAAGTTTACACACACACGGAGAAAAACATTGTTGCTATTTTTGACTGGGATTACATCGAATCTGAAGATTAATTTGAAGAGAATCAATATTCTTTAAATGTTGAGACATCAACTCCACATATATATTCAATTATTTAAGTTGCCTTTATTTTTTCTTATTAAATTTTATAATTTTCACAAGGGTTCTGCACATTTTTTAAAGATTTATACCTAGGTACATGACTTCTTATGCTATTTTGAATGCTATTTTTTATTTCATTTTCTAAATATTGATTGCTGATTATAGACTTGCAATTAATCTTTACACTGATTTTGCATCCACTGCTGAATTTGGTTATAAATTCTAATAATGTATTCATAGATTCTTTTGGATTGTCTGTGTTACCGTCATATCATCTTCAAATAATGACAGTTTTGTTTCTCTCCAATCCCCGTATTTCTCTCCCTCCACCCCGCGTCCCCTTATCTTACTGTTCTAGTGCTGAGCTGAAATTCTGAATAGAAATAGTGGTAGCGGGCTTCCTTGTATTTTTTCTGATTGTCTCATTTGCACCCATGGAATTTTTGTTTATAGAAGTGAGTGAGTGACAGCACAGAGAGATTAATGCCATTGAAGAAGAATTTATTTTCCAGGAAAACGGGACATGCTACACCACACAGGCCCACTTGGGGAGCACCAGGTGTGGTCAGGAGGCAGCAGCAGAAGCAGGGGAAAGCCCAGGCCAGAGCCTGTATTAGGCTTCCTTGGGAGAGGCAAGGCAGGGCAGAGTCAGCAGTTTAGGAATGGCAAATCTGAGTAAAAATCAGCAGGCTTTGGGGTATGGGGAGCTCTCTAGTTGGCTCGTACCTGGCCCTGCGATGATTTAAAGCAGGGGAAATGTTGGCGTGGTATGTGAGAGTTTGATAAAGGGGAGTGGGTGGTTTGCATTTTAGAGGCCTGCTCCCAAGTTGTTTACTATTTTGAGAAATTAGCTAGCCCTGGGAGGGCAGTCTCTCCTTGGCCAGCAAGATTTTTAAGAAGTCAAGACATCATAAGATACTGAAAATGAAAACATAATAAACACTGATCCAAAAGAGAAAGCTTCCAACATCCCATTCAGGTTTTTTGTTTATTTTGTTTTAGATATCCTTTATCCTAAAAAGGTTCTTTTCTATTCCTCAGTTTTCAACAGTGTTTTTCCTAATTATGAACAGATGTTGGATTTTATCAAATATTTTTCCCTGAATCAATTGATTATATGACTTTCCTCATATCTAGCAATATGAATACTCAATTTATTGAACTTTTAACGTTAACCAATATTTTTATTTCTGAGAATAAACCCAACTTGGTCATGATGTACTCATTTTTATATATCGTTAGATTTGGTTTGTCAACATTTTGTTAGAATTTTTGCAACTGTACTTATAAGAGAAATTGGTCTGGTTTTCCTTTTTTTGTGCTGTCCCTATTGGATATTGGTACAAGGTTATGTTAGCCTCCTGCAATTAGTTGAAAAGTATATCTCAGGAATATTTACCAAGAAAGAGTTGGGCGGGCATGGTGGCTAAGCCTATAATCCCAGCATTTTGGGAGGCTGAGGTGGGTGGATAACTTGAGGTCAAGAGTTCAGGACCAACCTGGCCAACATGGTGAAATCCCATCTCTACCAAAAATATAAAAACTTAACCGGGCATGGTGGCACACACCTGTAATCCCAGCTACTCCAGAGGCTGAGGCAGGAGAATTGTTTGAACCCAGGAGGCAAAGCTTGCAGTGAGCCAAGATCGTGCCACTGCACTCCAGCCAGGGCTACAGAGTAAGACTCTGTCTCAGAAAAAAAAGGCCAGTCGCAGTGGCTCACGCCTGTAATCCTAGCACTTTGGGAGGCCGAGGCAGGTGGATCACTTGAGGTCAGGAGTTCGAGACCAGCCTAGTCAACATGGTGAAACCCCGTCTCTACTAAAAATACAAAAATTAGTTGGACATGCTGGCAGACGCCTGTAGTCCCAGCTCCCCTGGAGGTGGAGCTTGCAGTGAGCCCAGATCACGCCACTGCACTCCACCCTGGGTGACAGAGTGAGACTCTGTCTCAAAAAAAAAAGAAAAGAAAAGAAAAGAAAGGGTTAATAGAATATTGGCATTTTTTTTCTTGTTTGGTAGAACTGTCCAATTAAGCCAATCAGGCCTAGAATCTTCTTTACAGGAACAACTTTAACCGGGATTTCATTGCTTTAATAGTTATAAAAGTATTTCAATTTTCTATTCTTTTTTGTATCAATTTTGATAAGTAAGTAAGTTTGTGTCAGTTTTTAGAAGTTTGCTATTTTTCTGGACATTTCATCTAAATTTTCAATTTTTTGGCATAAGCTTCTTCATATTATCCTTTTATAATCTTTTTAATGCCTGCAGGATTGGTAGTTTTTTTGTTTCTGATATTGTTTATTTGTTCTTTCTTTTTTTCTTGATAAATCTCACCAGAAGTTAATCAACTTTTTTAGTCTTTTAAAATAACTCTCTTTGACTTTGGCAGTGCTTTCTATTAAACATTTGCTTTTCTCTTTATTAATTCATGTTCTCATCTGTTTGACTTTCTCCCTTCTAATTTCTGTGGATTTACTTTTCTGTTGTTTTCTAAGTGTTTGAGATTGATGTACAGCTACATAAATTTCAACCTTTTTCCTTTCTTAATACATACATTTAAGGCAATAAATTTTCTGTTAAACTCTTCTAACTCCATCTTTAAAAGGTTTAAATGTACCATTTTTACCATTATTCCGATAAAAGTATTTTCTAATATTTCCTGTGATTTCTTCTTAGAGTCGTGGGTTACTTAGAAGCATACTGACTAAACTCTAAGCAAATGGGAATTTTTTTAATTAATCTTTTTTATTACTGATTTCTCTAATACATTGTACTAGAGAACATATTCTATATGATTTCAGTACTCTCACGTTTATTAAAAACCTTCTTTACAGCTGCTGTGCATTGTCAATAATTGTATATATTCTGCATGACTTTTTGAAAAGAATATGCAATACATAGTAGTTGTTGTATGTTTGGTCAAATATGTTAAGCATATTGCTCATATCATTTCTATACCTCATGATTGTTTTCTCAATGAGTGAAAACATGTATTGAAATCTTTATGGTGAACTTATTTCTTCTTGCAGTTCTGCCTGGTTTTGCTCTCTATATGTTGATATGGCCATTAAAAGCACGCAAATTTAGAATTGCCATATCTTCCTGCAGAGCTTAACCTTTTATCATTATGAAGCAAAGCCCTTTAATTCTAGTAATGCTTTTTCCCTAAATTCTATTTTGTGTGATATTACTGTAGCTGCTCCAGTTGTAAAACAAACTGGGGAGGAAGGAGGGGTAAGCATTTCACTTTCTATCTTTCTGTATCATTATCATGTTTATCCTTTATGGATATAGATTTGGATATATCTATATTTGTGGATAAATATAAAAGATTGCTTGAAAAATTATATATGTGTATATATAGTCATACATACAGTTCTTTAACTGGAGCATTTAATCCATTTATAATTAATGTAATTACTGTTGTCTTAGAGCTATATTTATCATCTTACTGTATGCTCTCTGTTTGTATAACAGCTCTGTGTTCCTTTTCCTTTCTCTCTTCTCTTGCATTCTTGCATAGTGATTGCTTGGGGGTTTATTTATTTTGTTTTGTTTTTATTGTGCTATTTTCCCTGTTAGTTTGAAAGACATATACTCTTTTTAGATTTTTTCCTTTAGCGATTACCCTAGAACTTAAGAAATAGATCCTTAATTTCTGATGCCTAATGAATTGAAAAATTATTTGTAGAACTAATTGAATGGCAACAGTAGCATTATAATGTTCCAGGTGTTATTTTTATCTGCTCCATTCAGGCACCTAGAGGCACTAGCAGTCAGCATCACCTTGCTTGGGATTTTCCAGGCCACCCATATGATCAGAAAGGTGTAAACCATACACGCTCTGCTTTACTGCCGGTGTAATTTTATTGCTATGTTCCCAGTCGAAAAGGTAGGAGCGGGGTGTTATCTATCAGGACATGTGCACTTTGCACACCCTGGATTCAAATCTAGCACCCCTAGCTCAGGGAGACCTCAGGTCTGCCTCACAGCTGCCTTTTCCGAATCAACAGCAAAAGTGATCCAGTGGTATATTCACATCCTGACCTCCCACCCTCTGCTAGATCTCAGTCCAGTCATTGTTCACTGTGTTGTTTAGTCTTTGATGTATTTTAGAAAAAAGTTTAATACATTTCATTCAGCTCTTTAGTTGCAATGCCTGAGAAAACTTACCCTCTCAGTTCCTGCCCCTGAAGTTCCTGGAGCTACCTATAGCTTGGTTACTCCTCTACCAGTACTTACTGAGAGCCTACTATCTGCCTGACCCTATTCTATGCTCTAGAGATTCTGCAGTAAAGTCCAGGCCTCAAGGAGTTGACATTCTGGCTGAAGAAAGAGATGTTAAACAAGTAAACTTGTCTAAATAGATTGAGAGGGTGAACTACACAACGTCCTGGCAAAGAGCTTCTTAGGCAGGTGAAACAAATCCCAAGGCCCTGAGGCAGGACAGTCAGAGTGCCTGGAGCAGACTGAGAGAAAGGAGGGTAGCAGAGATGAGGTCAGGGTGGCCAAAGCCAGACTGCATAGGGACTGGTAGGGTTTTATTCTAGGTTTAATGAAAAGTCCTTAGTGTGGAAAGATTTGAAAGACTTGTGTTTGTATTAAGTTGCTCTGGTAGCTTTGTGGAAAATAGCCTACAGATCTTTTCTCTGATTCTAATCGAACACACTCCAATACATTTCTTTTCCCTTCTGAATTAGCTACAGTCACATAACCACAAAAGAAAAAAAAAATCCTAAATCATATACCTAGAGTGGTGACTGCAGAGAAACATGAGGTATTTCATTCGATTTGGAGGAAGACAGTGAGGACTCCTATTCATATTCCAGGCTGGGAAATTAGCAGCCATGGGTGTACAGGACTCAAGCCCTACTATGGCAAGTCTGGCCTCCCGAGACTCTGACTCCTTCTTTGACACAGCCACACCTACAGCAAAAGACTTGAGCAACGTGCTGCTGCCCAGCCCCAGGTGGTTCTAGGAAGCAGCCACTCTCCTGAAACAATCAAGGCCCTGATTTCAACCTAGATCACCTGTTCTGATTTCTCCCTCCTTCATCCCCAGTGGGCACGTCGTTACCCTCTGCCACCCAATGCTTCGATTGAGATCACCTGTGTCACCTGACATGTTCTCAGAATAGAAAATGATCAGGCCCTGGCACCAGGGATAAAAGTTACAGGTAGCAGATAGGTAACCCCTGAATAGTAGCTGAACACATAGTCAAACTTACTAGTGCAGAAACCAAACACATTCATAGACTGGTGCAAAACTTCATAGAGCAGTTTTTGACCGCCCTTGAAAAATAAAGTGGGAGAAAGCAATTCTGGCATAAATAGAAAGGCCGATGCTCACGTTAAAAACTCTGGAGAAAATGGTGGGCCGGACACAGTGGTTCATGCCTGTAATCCCAGGAATTTGGAAGGCCAAGGCAGGTGGATCACCTGAGGTCAGGAGTTCGAGACCAGCCTGACTAACATAGTGAAACCCCATCTCTACTAAAAATACAAAAATTAGCCGGGTGGGCGACTGTAATCCCAGCTACTCGGGAGGCTGAGGCAGGAGAATCACTTGAATCTGGGAGGCGGAGGTTGCAGTGAGCCGAGATCGCACCATTGCACTCCAGCCTGGGCGACAGAGCGAGACTCCGTCTCAAAAAAAAAAAAAAAAAAGAAAGAAAATGGTGTCCTTGTAATCCCAGCACTTTGGGAGGCAGAAGTGAAAGGATTGTTTGAGCCCAGGAGTTTGAGACCAGCCTGGGCAACATGGCAAGACCTTGCCTCTATTTTTGTATTTAATAAATTTTTTTAAGAAAATGGTTTCCCATTTCTCAATTTTGTGTGAACAGATGCTAAATATCACATATACTAAGATGGGCCATGAAGTCAAAGTAACCGTTTTTATTCCCATGTATAGCAACACTTCATCTCCTCAGAATCCAGCTGTCTAGACATTTCAGCTATCCAGCATGTAGATATAAGAAAGGCGGCAAACAAAAACGTATCCAAAGAATTCAAATATATTTAACAAGTTTTACATTTTAAAGTATCTCTTTTATCTCAGGTTATTCACATTTATCTCAGTTCTCTTTTATCTTAGTTCTTTTTTCCCTGAGTTGTACACTACATCTTGATGTTAGAGGTGAGAGACGGGCTACCATAGGAAACAACCAGAAATAATAGTCTGCCCTCTAGAGGCCAGAGTAAAAATTTGAAAATACAGATGCAGTATCTCAAAAAATACAGCAATTTTGTCTCTGGGCAAACAGCACTACGATTTTCAGTGAAGGCATTGCAGCACTGTATGATAGCTGAAGTATACAATGATTTCCCTTAAAGATCAAGATCAATGCTTGAGCATGGGAGGTCGAGGCTGCAGTGAGTCATGATTGCACCACCGCAATCCAGCCTGGGCAACAGAGCAAGACCCTGCCTGAAAAAAAAGTGTCCAGAGGTCCAGATCAAGATCAAGAAAATGTTAAGTTGTTTTCCTGGAAGGGCAAGAAACGTGTATTGCATTATAGAACAAATCCCACTAAAACATAACCAGGATTCATTTTGTAAAGTGAGTGAATGTGAAGGTGTAACTCACCTGTTCAAAACACCATTTTACTTGGAGTAACTTTTTTTTCTTCTCTTCACATGTGATTAGATAAGCTCTAAGAAACTAATTGTGTGGTGAAGAACCTGGGTTCTGATATCAGACAGATCTAGACTCAGTTAACAGCTGTGTGACTTTGGACAAGTTACTTAACTTCCGTAAGCCTAGGTTCCTGATCTCTAAAATGAGATTATCAGTACCTCCCTTACAAGGTTAACATGAGGATTAAGTAAGATGAAGCATTGTGAGGCCCTTCCGCCTCACAGTAATTGCTCAATAAATGAAAACTATTACTTCTACTATCTCAATACTGGAGACAGCACTGCCTAATAACTATGGACTCTGCAGCCAAAAGGCATAGGCTCAAAGTTCAAATCCTGGCTTGGCTACTTACATAATAGTGTGACCTTGAACAAGTTACTAAATCTCTCTGTGCCTCCATTTCCTGGTCTTTAAAATAGAGACAGTGATTGTACCTACCCGATAAAGTTGTGAAGAGGATTAAGTGAGCTAAGGCAGGGGTCTCCAACCCCGGTGAGCGGTAAGCGAGCATTACTGCCTGAGCTCTGCCTCCTGTCAGCTCAGCAGTGGCATTAGATTCTCATAGGAGTGTGAACCCCACTGTGAACTGCGCATGCGAGGGATCTAGGTTGTATGCTCCTTATGAGAATCTAACTAATGCCTGCTGATCTGAAGTGAAACAGTGTGGTCCCAAAACCATCTCCCCAACACACAGTTTCTGTGAAAAATTGCCTTCCACGAAACTGGTTCCTGGTGCCAAAAAGGTTGGGGACCGCTGAGCTAATGCATTAGAATTGCTTAGATCAGGGCCTGGTGCATAGTAAGCACATTTAAGTGTTGACTGTCATTGCTGTTAATGACTGATCATGCCATTGTTAGGAAGCACTTTTCCTCCTTTGATTTAGCCATGACTTCCTCCTTTGTCCTCCCCTGGCAATCATGTCATATACAAAGTCCTTTTATGTGTATCATCCCAAATGAGTCTTAGGACATGATACCAATGTTTATAAATTTCACACAGGTATTTGTCCAAAACAATATTTAACTGAATCATGAATCCTAGTATCAAACAATACAAGTATCACATCACATAATAATACATTTTTAAAACTGAAAGAAACTAACATCTATAGTTAGAAAAATACGTTCCTCCAAAGCAACATGGTATTGGTACAAAAACAGACACATGGACCAATGGAACAGAGTAGAGAACCCAGAAATAAAGCCACTATCCTACAGCCAGCTGAACTTCAAAAAGTCAACAAAAATAAAGGCCGGGCGCAGTGGCTCACACCTGTAATCCCAGCACTTTGGAAGGCCGAGGCGGGTGGATCATGAGGTCAGGAAATCGAGACCATCCTGGCCAACATGGTGAAACCTTGTCTCTACTAAAATACAAAACATTAGCCAGGCATGGTGGCACGCGCTTGTAGTCCCAGCTACTTGGGAGGCTGAGGCAGGGGAATCACTTGGACCAGGGCGGCGGAGGTTGCAGTGAGCCAAGATAGCACCACTGCACTCCAGCCTGGCGGCAGAGTAAGACTCCGTCTAAAAAATTAAAAAATGAAAAAAATAAAAAATAAAAAGTCAACAAAGTTAAGCAATGGGGAAAGAGCTCCCTATTCAATAATGGCACTAGAATAGCTAGCCAGCCATCTGCAGAATAATGAAACTAGATCCATTTTACCATATACAAAAATTAAATCAAGATCGATTAAAGATTTAAATGTAAGACCTCAAACTATAAAAATCCTAGAAGAAAACCTAGGAACTACACTTCTTGACATCAGCATTGATTTATGGCTAAATCCCCAAAAGCAATTGCAACAAAAACAAAAATTGGTAAGTGGGGCCTAATTAAACTAAAGAGCTTCTGCACAGCAAAATAAACTTTCAACAAAGAAAACAGACAACCTACAGAATGGGAGAAAATCTTCACAAACTATGTATCTGACAAAGGTCTAATATCCACAATCCATAAGGAACTTAAATCAGCAAGCAAAAAACAACCCCATTAAAAAATGGGCAAAGGACATGAACAGATACTTCTCAAAAGATATGCGAGCAGCCAACAAACATATGAAAAAAATGCCCCACATCGCTAATCATCAGAGAAGCAAATCAAAACCACAATAAGATACCATCTCACACCAGCCAGAAGGGTTATTATTAAAAAGTAAAAAAAATAACAGATGCTGGAAAGGCTGCAGAGAAAAGGGAACACTTATGCACTGTTGGCGAGAATGTAAATTAGTTCAGCCACTGTAGAAAGCAGTTTGGAGGTTTCTCAAAGAATTTAAAACAGAACTACCATTCCACCCAGCAATCCCAAATCCCATTACAGGGTATATATCTAAAGGAAAATAAATTGTTCTACAAAAAAAGACACATGCACTTGTATGTTCGTTGCAGCACTATTCACAATAGCAAAGACAGAAGCAATCTAGGTGCCCATTAATGGTGGACTAGATAAAGAAAATGTGGTACATGTGCTCCATGGCACACTCTGCAGCCATAAAAATGAACAAATTCTGTTTTTTGTAGCAATGTGGATGCAGCTAAAGGCCATTATCCTAAGTGAATTAACACAGAAATAAAAAAAAATACCGCATGTTCTCACTAATAAGTGGTAGCTAAACATTGAGTACACATGAACATAAAGACGGCAACCACAGACACTGGGTACTACAAGAGGGAGGCGGGAGAGAGGGGAGTGTAGGCTGAAAAACTACCTCATTCTATGTACTGTGCTCACTACCTGGTGATGCAATCATCCATACCCCAAACCTCAGCATCATCACACAATATACCCATGTAACAAACCTACACTTGTACCCCTGAATCTAAAATAAAAGTTGAAATTATTAACAGAGAGAGAGAAAAATGGAAGCAAGGAAGGAAGGAAGGAAGAGAGGGAGGGAGGAAGGGAGGGAGGGAGGGAGGGAAATAGGTTCCTTATCTCTCTAATTCCTGGAGATTAAAGCTACTGAGTCTAATTGTGAAATCAGTTTAAATAGCTGCAGTTTCTCCCACTTAGCATAAGGTGGCACCAAAGGATGTTTTAATTTGTTGCTCAATGCCTTGGACAAAGTGCTCCAGCTAGTCAGAAAACCTAGGAATACAAGCAAGATCTTCTGAACTAACTGAATAACCCTGAGAAGCCTCAGTTGTCAGCAGCTTCCTCGAACCTTTTGTGCCCAAACTTCTGAAACTGTTTCATCTTGGGTAAGAACAGAAAAGTTCTCTTACAAAAATATGCCTAAAAATATCCTACTGTTGAACTATTGCTGGGGTAGATTGTTTGACACCTGCCAGGAAGCTGTGCTTCCTGGTAAACAAAAAGTAACCCATGTACAGTATAGGAAAGCCATCAAATTTAAAATACTAACAAAAAATCATCAATACTACAACTCGGAGATAACCATAGCCTCTCCCCAAAATTTCCACCTCCCAAATTGCCTATTTCTAGCTTCCCACATTTTCTCTTTCCCAATTTCAGCCTCCCAAGTTCTCTACCAATATTTTCCAGTTGTCTAAATTCACAATATTTGAGACATTTTATTCTTTCCTAACAAAAATAGTAATATCTCCCCTAGAACTGTATTGTTTTAAAAGTGCTTAATCGTTGGAGATCTGTGGCACAGCCATGTGAATATACTTAATGCTACTGAACTACACATTTTAAAATGGTTTCAATGCTAAATTGTATGTTTTTACCACAATTAAAATTTTTAAAAATTGTTTTCAAAAGGAAAAAGTGTTTAACCATTAACATTTTTATACATTTAGTTCAAATTAACTTAAGCAGTCCTGTCCATAGTACATTGAACTGTACATAATACATTGCATTTAAAAATGGGCCAATAAGCAAGCTCATGCTAATAAAATAAATCAAATAACCTTGTGACTTTGGGACTCACTGGGCATGTGTTCCAAAGAACATACCATGCCTAGTGCTGTGGATATCAACAGGGCAAGATAAATGTGAAGGTTAAGAGTAGCCCTTCAACTTCAACTGCAATTTCTCCAGCGAGTTAGCCACAAGGTCCAACTGACCACAGGTGTCTCTTTAGATTAGGTGGTGAGAAAAAGACTGAAAAAGTCCTAGTCTTTGGCAACTACAAGATCATTGAGTGTCTAAGTTGTGAGGAAGGAATAAGAGAAAAAGTGAACTAGTTTGTGGTCAGTCCGAGACTCCATCTAGATTTTAGGATGGAGTGGCAGTGAGGGGTTTTGTAGGAGGGGCTTTCACAGATGGAAGTCATACCAAAGTGAGGGTCTATCATCTTAGAATCTCCAAAGGCAGATGGCATGGGTTCAAACCCTAGCTCTGCCACTTACTAGGTGTGTGGTTAGCTTCACAAATAACTTTATCTTAGTGTGTCTACTATCCTCCTCTGTAAAACAGGAACTACAATGGTAATAAAGTAGTACCTATCTCACAAGATGGGTAAGTAAATTAAAAGAATTAATAGTGTGAGGCCAGGCACAGTGGCTCACACCTGTAATCCCAGCACTTTGAGAGGCTGATGTGGGCGGATCACCTGAGGTGGGGAGTTCAAGACCAGCCTGACCAACATGGAGAAACCCCATCTCTAATAAAAATACAAAATTAGCCAGGCATGGTGGTGCATGACTGTAATCCCAGCTACTCAGGAGGCTGAGGCAGGAGAATCGCTTGAACCTGGGAGGCGGAGATTGTGGTGAGCCGAGATCGTGCCATTGCACTCCAGCCTGGGCAACAAGAGCAAAACTCTGTCTCAAAAAAAAAAAAAAAGAATTAATAGTGTGGCACTTGACATACAGAAAGCACCCGTGTTAGCCAGGATGGTCTCGATCTCCTGACCTAGTGATCCGCCCACCTCGGCCTCCCAAAGTGCTGGGATTACAGGCTCAAGTCTGCTTTTAGCTTCCCTATCTTAGTACACCTAAAAGGGAAAGGAATGTGCTTATTAAGGCCCACTGTTTCACTGAGACCCACTGTATAGGTGTGAAGTTTGGTGATTACCCAGGAGATTTTCCCCAGCTCCTTCTGTGTGGGAGCTGTCTTATCTGTGTTTTACTGTTTGCTCTTTCAGGCTGCTTGTTGTTAGAAGAGAAGTGACTTTTTGAACTGCATGAGATTAGAAAGGGAGCTATGTCTGAGCTGCTTTTTGTTAAAAGGAAAGTTTTCTGCCAGGGACTCACCTAAATAATTTCTCTCTGCCTCCTATAACATATTTCCCCCCTCTGAAATGGAATCCCTAACTGCCGTTAGGGGGAATTGGGTGATGACTTCTTCTGGCTACTTCCTGCTGGAGAGGGGCATTGTGTGGGGAACAGCAGCTAGGGCTCCTCCTGGGGTTGATTTAAGGGTTCCTGGTAGAAGGGAGGTTTCATTTTCAGCTTTATTTAAAGCACCATTTGAAGCTTGGTGGTTTCTAGGTGAGAAGAGATAAAGTTTACAAGGGGGCTTAGAATATAGGGTTCAACTGTGAGTATTAAGACTGCCATTATT
This sequence comes from Homo sapiens, assembly GCF_000001405.40. Classification (NCBI taxonomy): domain Eukaryota; kingdom Metazoa; phylum Chordata; class Mammalia; order Primates; family Hominidae; genus Homo; species Homo sapiens. The sequence goes on from NC_000003.12 coordinate 182,716,691, forward strand.
AATGGGGGCACAATAGGCCATAACCATGACTACTGAGTTTGTTTGATACCTGCAAGCCATTTAAATGGATTGTGCTATTGTAAGTGGGTGTATGGGGCTTGGCTTTGTTTAGCTTCCTTGGTCTCACCTTCCCTGAAAAAAAGGAAACCTTGGGGTTATAGGTTACCTGTCAGTATTTGTAGGATAATTGCCCAGAACTAGAACATGTTTCCAGATTTTTACATTACCCATGCTTTTTTGTTTCCTTTGAGCTGCAGCCAGAGATTGACAGAAATAAACAGGGTTAGTTTAAAATGTAGGCAAGAACTTAAAAACAATTAATGAGACTACAAGCCAATGACAGATGTATAAGTTTTAAAACATAATTTTTCTCTCTTTAGTCCTCATTTTTGTTAAAAACAACTTATGGTAGGACTGAGCTGTTTGCAAAACAGACTTTAGTTTTAAACTTGGTCTGATTATTTGCATAAAGTCCAGCAAGAATAACCATCTTTTAGATCAGCTTTGATGGAAACTTTTTCCATAAGGAATCTCAGATAGGACCTTTTAAAGCCAAGCCCAGGAATGGGTTGAAACCTTTAAATACATGCGAATTGGGTAAACTTCTTTCTTCTTGAGGTTCCAGGTGCATGGGGTTTCTAGGCCTGTTAGAAAGTGACATTCTTTACTCACCGCAGGCTAGGAGCCCTGTACTGAGAAGCTGTAGTCTAGGTATGAGGCCAGTTTCCTAAGGTGCTTTTTATTGGCTTTACAAGTCAAGCCTGACTCCTTAAAGGGGAACACACCCTTCCAGTCAAAGCCTTGGTAAAACAACCAGTTTTTCCAATTGTGTCCTGTTGCAAAAGAAAATGGATTCTTGTTGCATTGATGCAAACTATATTGTTGTAATTTAAGAATACTTATAACTAGTTTTCAAATTCTAGAGGAACTAGGCAGAGAGAAACAAACACGCTTCAAATCCTATTTACAGGAGTATACTTTACTTAGTTGTTAAAGGCTGTAGCTAGCTCAAGACAAGTTTCCTTGACTCTGAAAAATAAAATAAGGATTAGCGGTGTTCCAAGCAAAAGCCAAAAACTTGCTTCTGTTTTCCATTAGTTCAGTCCATTCTATTAACTTTTGTTTTGCTTGATATTTATAAACATTTCAGCTTTTCATGAGTTCTGTATTTTTGTTGTTGTTGTTATGAGAAACCCACATTTGAGAGCACTTGTTCAAGTCCCACAGCTTGATTATAAAACATCTTTTGAAGAGAATTAAAACAAAACAACAATTATCTGTAAATGACAAAATGTCCAGTTTGGATACTGTCAGAAACACAATTGACAAAGAAACTTGGTTATTTTTATGATTTACAATAACCCAGCATAACAACCTTAATTGTGATTGATTGCACATATTCAGACACTAGAACCCTAGACATCCCATACAGTTGTGGAAAACATGTTAATATTATTCCCTAAAATATAACCTATTAGACATCATTTTGTCAATTCCATGTACCTAAACATGTTAAATAATCCTGTTTACCTCTCTTCTGGATGCTCCAGGGGCCCTCTGCAACACCCCAAAGCCAAAGTTTAGGAAAGACAAACTTCAGACTAAAGTTTGATTTTGGGAAGCCTGTTAAATATGTTCAAAATTCAAAACACTCGATATTATGAAATAGAATTTTAGATTACCATAAGTTTTTTTTATTTGTTTTGTTTTGCCAAAATAAGTCAAAAATTTGAAAAAGCAAAAACCATTCATCAGCCTTTTCTATTACATGAAAATCCTGTTCAAGAGAGGTTAAATTTTACCCTTGCATTAGTATGCTATTAATGTTAACACTAATTTTTAATGAATCCTTATAGACAATCCTATTTAATTTTAACCAGTTTGACCATGAAGTGAGATTTTCACAGACCTGTTGACAAGTTTTCACAACCCTTGACAAGTTTTGGTAAAGAGTAGATTAGCATTGTAAGAAAATCTTGTCGTGCTTTTGTTTTGTGTTTAATTTACAGAAAAAAAAACATATAATACCCTTTTGAATTTAGTTAATATGGTCACACACAGAGTTTCCTTTGCAGGACTAATTTTTACAATCTCCTCACAACTTGCTTAAACCATCCACTTTATTTTATTTAATTGTAAGACAATTCTTTATTCCTAAGCAAAATGTATATTTTCATGCTATCGTATAATTTTTAACTAAAAACATATTTTACTGTTTTTATATGTCTTGCATGCAAATCCATGTTCAGTGGTTTTAATTACAAGTCATAATGGTAATGCTTAGCAATTTTTAACTTTAATGTAAAACCTGCTACGTTTTTTAAATCATGCGCTGGATGCAGATGAAGTTTGACTCCTTCTAGCATAGTTAGGGACATGGCTACTTCAACATGTTCTTGGCCTTACCAGTTGTGAAGCAGGCAAGTTGAAAGTTCTTAAAGGCTAAGGAAGCAGTTTACGGCCAGGCGCGGTGGCTCACGCCTGTAATCCCAGCACTTTGGGAGGCTGAGGCGGGCAGATCACAAGGTCAGGAGATTGAGACCATCCTGGCTAACACGGTGAAACCCTGTCTCTACTAAAAACACAAAAAAAATTAGCTGGGCGTGGTGGCGGGCGCCTGTAGTCCCAGCTTTTCGGGAGGCTGAGGCAGGAGACTGGCGTGAATCCGGGAGGCGGAGCTTGCAGTGAGCCGAGATCAGGCCACTGCACCCCAGCCTGGGTGACAGAGCAAGACTCTCTCAAAAAAACAAAAAACAAAAAAAAAAAGAAGCACTTTACAACCTTAAAACATTTAGCAAACCTAGTATCTGACCTGCATAATTTAGACCACATTTTTACACCTTGAAGACATTTGTATTTTACCAATAATTCCTAAGACCGCTTTTATTTTTAAAGATTAAAGTCATGTGATCTGAAAGGTACCACAGCTTTTACTTTTCCTTTAAAAATATTTGATTTAAGTGCTTATTTTTCTTAGGCCAATTAATTAGAGCTCTTTTTAATAGACATTGCACACATAACACATATATAACCACACAGACAAACAGAATAAGATCCAGTAGTTATAAAACTTACATTTGCCAATTTCCCAATTAGATTATTGGCCTCTGGGTGAGGCCCTATAAGAACAGGGCTAGGAGTACAATTTCCAGGGCCTAATAAACAAGCATAGCCAGAAGACAAGGACAGATTTGGAGAGGTACTTACTCACCTCTAATTCCAGGGGTTCCATAAGGAAAACAGAGATTTTTCCCAGAATGGAATTTGTGGCACCTTTTCTGATGTCCCAAGGCAGCCCAGGCCACCAGAAGTCATTCTAGGGGCTTTCATGCATGCAACAAGAGTGGCAAGACAGAGTGGAGAAAAGTAATTCAGTCGAGTGAGAAAAAAAACCTTTTCCAGGAAAACTAGATTTATGAAGAGAAAAACATGAAGGCCTTTTGGATGTACTTATAGCTTGGATATCCATTTTTAATTAAGCTGAGTGCTCTTTAAGAAAATCCTTTTTCACGAATTAACACTTTGCAGATAAGATAAGCAGTAATTCTTACCATTTGTTTTTCCAGTTTGCACCACTACCTGTTCACAATTATGTTCAGGTTCTCCAGTTTTCTCTGGGAGAAAGTGACTGGGCTCAGGCAAGGGTGGGTTTTTAACTGGCCTGCAGATCCCTTTAGCAGCAAAGCTTGATATTTGAGGAGGCAATTGTCTGTTAGCCAGAGACTTTCCTTAGTGGACAACATTCCTGTTATATTGTGTGGGGTTAAACAGCGAAGTTATTTCTTTTTTTTTTTTTTTTTTTTTTTTTTTGAGACGGAGTCTCGTTCTGTCACCCAGGCTGGAGTGCCTTGGCGCGATCTCGGCTCACTGCAAGCTCCACCTCCCGGGTTCACGCCATTCTCCTGCCTCAGCCTCCCGAGTAGCTGGGACTACAGGCGCCCGCCATCACGCCCGGCTAATTTTTTTGTATTTTTAGTAGAGACGGGGTTTCATCGTGTTAACCAGGATGGTCTCGATCTCCTGACCTCGTGATCCGCCCGCCTCGGCCTCCCAAAGTGCTGGGATTACAGGCGTGAGCCACCGCGCCTGGCACAGCTAAGTTATTTCCCATGGTTAACCCAGAGGTTTCTGGCACCAGCAAAGCCACCACTGTAACTGCTTGGAGGCAGGCTGACTATTCTTAAGCCACCAAGTTAAGATCCTTGCTTAAGTAACCCACTGGCTGTTGAGCTGGACCTCAAGCCCTAGTTAAAACTTTCAGGGCTATTTTCTTCCTTTTCAATACATAAAGATTAAATACCTTCCCTATGGGAAGACTAAGAACTGGTCCTTTTTTTGGGGGGGAGACCGAGTCTCGCTCTGTCGCCAGGCTGGAGTGCAGTGGCGCTATCTCGGCTCACTGCAACCTCTGCCTCCTGGGTTCAAGCGATTCTCCTGCCTCAGCCTCCCTAGTAGCTGGGACTACAGACACGTGCCACCACGCTCAGCTAATTTTTGTATTTTTAGTAGAGACGGGGTTTCACCATGTTGGCCAGTATGGTCTTGATCTCTTGACTTTGTGATCCACCCTCCTCAGCCTCCCAAATTGCTGGCATTACAGGCGTGAGCCACCTCACCTGGCCAGAACTGTTGCTTTAAGTAAGGCTTGCTTTAGCTAGTTTAAGGCTTTTGTGTTTTTAGGTTCCTAAAGGGGGTTGAGTTTTAACTGTCTGAGTTTCTTTTATGAGGTGGTATAAAGGATGAGCTACTTTCCTGTGCCCAGGTACTTACAGTCTACAAAATCCAATAATGCCTAAGAATTTTCTTAACTGTTAAAGGAAATGGGCTTAATCCTTTCCTCACCAGGTGCTCTGCTCCCTTTTGATAAGACCAGAACTAGGTACTTTGCTGAATTCTGAGAGAGCTGAGCTTTAGATTTTGAGACCCTATTCTTCTTTTTTTTTTTTTTTTTTTTTTGAGACAGAGTTTCACTATTGTTGTCCAGGCTGGACTGCAATGGTGTGATCTCGGCTCACTGCAACCTCCTCCTTTTGGGTTCAAGAGATTCTCCTGCCTCAGCCTCCTGAGTAGCTGGGATTACAGGTGCCCATCACCATGCCCAGCTAATTTTTTTTTTTTGTATTTTTAGTAGAGACAGGTTTCACCATGTTGGCCAGGCTGGTCTCGAACTCCTGTCCTCAAGTGATCCACCCACCTAGGCCTCCCAAAGTTCTGGGATTACAAGCGTGAGCCACCGCGCCCGGCCAACCCTATACTTCTTTTAGCTAAGAAATTGAGGAGAGTCTAAGTGCCTTCCTGAGACTTTCTTGATTGGGGCACAGAGGAAAGTGTCATTTACACACTGCAAGACCCTGACCTGAGGATGGGAGAACTTAGAAAGGTCCTTTGACAGTGCTTGTCCAAACAAGTGAGGGCTGTTTTGAAATCCCTCAGGCAGCACCATCCATGTTAACTGGGCGGTCTGACTGGGGGGAATCCTCAAAGGCAAACAGGTATTGAGAGTCAGGATGTAACAGTATGCAGAAAAAGGCATCCTTTAAATTTAGGACTATAAACCATTTAGTTTCCTGCGGTATCTGTGTCAGCAAGGTGCAGGGATTAGGGACCACTGGATGAATTGGGACTATGGCCTCATTCATGAGACGAAGGTCCTGAACTAGGCTCCATTCCCCATTGGGCTTTTGCACTCCTAGTATCGGAGTGTTGCAAGGACTGCTGCAGGGTCTGAGGAGGCCCTGCATTTTCAGGTTATTAATAATAGCTTCTAGCCCTTTCCTGGCTTCTGGCCTTAGGGGATATTGTCTCAGGTTAGGAAAAGAAGGTGCATTTGAACTGGCCTAGCAGTTTTAGCTCAACCCACTCTTTCTTGAGTTGCCCACACTTTTAGATTAATATTGGCTTCCACTAAGAGAAGACAAAGAGTTTATCCTGGGGCCATGAGGATGTAGACCCCCATGTGGGCTGAAATGTCTCTATCTAATGAACGAGTGGGAAGGTCAGGCATAATCAAGAAGGTATGTGTAGATAATAAGTACCCACAACTACAGCTAAGGGGTTGAGAGAAATGTCGGATTAGAGTCTTTGCTGAGATACCCACCACGGTTGTGCTATGGGAAGAGGGGAGGCCTGGATTGGAGAGGACAGAGAGACTAGCTTCAGTATCCAGGAGGAGGCCCACCCTCCTCCCTTCAATTTCCAGAATCACCCAGGGCTGCTGAGCATGATGGCAGCCTGAGCCGCTGGAGCCGGGGGTTTGGGCCCCAGAATCCATCAGTCCTGCTGGATCCTCTGTGAGACTGGTTCTGGACCAGGTGACTTCTGTCCCCAGGGGCAGTCTGATCTCCAGTGATCTCCACCACATGCTGGACAGCATTGAGGTGGCTTTTTCTTGTTGCCTAGGCAATTCTTAAAGTGCACTAGCTTGCCACACTGATAGTGATGAGTGGATGCTCCCTGGGGATGCTGAATTCTGCAAGGCTGCAAAGCGGCCACTAGAGCCTTAGTCTTTCTCTTGTGCTTCTCTTTTTCTCCTGGGCCTCCTCCCGGTCCCTATTGTAAAAGACCGAAGTGTCCAACTTCAGGAGGTCTTCCAAGGTACTACCCGGTCCTATGGCCTGTTTCTGTAGCTTCCTTCTAATATCTGGAGCTGCCTGCTTTTCAGCTGCAGTGTGGGTTTGGCTTAGAAGCAGCATAACGTCCCTGCATGTGAGGTAAAGCACTTGAGTTACATTTTGGAAGGCCTCAATATACCTATCAGGGTCATCAGAAAACCAGCCCAAGTCTCCCTTTATTTGCCTAGGGTTCTGTAATGAGGAGGGAACAGGTACCCTAGTGATGCCCCTTCCATCTGGCATTTTTTTGTAGGGGTAGGAGTGAAGCTGGGGCAGTGGGGAGCTTTGCAGATGGTGGAGCTGGAGGAGCTGATGGCACAGTTGGAGGGGGCCCAGATAAGGAAAACTAGAAGGACTGGGACACTTAGAAGCCGCCTCCAATGGCTCCTCCAAAACTTGCTTTTCTAACTTAGCGGAACTACTCTCCACAGACACCTGCCTGATATGATTGCCAAGAGGGCTGAGTCAATTGTGCAATACTCGCAAAGGTCTGGATTGTCCCGCAGGGCAAAGAAAGCCTGTACATAGGGGACCTTGGGCCATTTGCTCTCCCATCTACAGAAAAGATCTAATTGTTGGATAAGATTAAAATCAAGGCTCCCTTCAGCTGGCCAGGTCTGTTCATTCCTGAGATGGTAAGAAGGCCACACCATTGTGGAAAAAAAAAAAAAAAGCTATTCTTAATAATAGCTTCTAGCACTTTCCTGGCTTCTTCTAGGCCTTTCCTGACTTTTTCTTCAAAGTTTCAGGGTCAAAGGAGTCCCAGTATTTCAGAATGCATGCCAGAGGAGTGCAGGCCAAAGATGGCTTGTTACCCATCTTAAAAAAGAGACAAGAATCAAGGTGTTCCTCAGTCTCCTGGTTCTTTTCGATGTGACCCAGGGTGGAGGGGACACAGTGTGAGCATCCTCCTGACTGTTCTCCCTCCCTACTCCCTGGGTCCTGGCACCATAATTGGTACCCCATGGTTGCAGGCGTGACCCCCAAATGTGGTACCAGAGGACCTAATCAATGGGGCTAGTCATGTTTACCCCAAGTGAGCTCAGTCCTCTGCCTAATAATTGGGTAACTACCCTCTGACCTTCTAGACCTGTGTGACCTGTGTGGCTCCTTGATGGATGGGTCTCGGGAGAGATTATGTAACAGTTGCTTTGAGCAAGGCCCCTTAATGGAGGGAGTGCACTGGGACTCCCTGTGCTTTGTACTCAGTGCACTGGGACTGAGCTTTGTACTCTGCTACTACTGCCCGGACTAGAGAAATTATTCTTAGGTGGTGGTTCCAGTCAACTTCCCGACATAAAATCCCCTTTCTGGCCGGGCGCAGTGGCTCATGCCTATAATCCCAGCACTTTGGGAGGCCGAGGCGGGCGGATCACCTGAGGTCAGGAGTTCAAGACCAGCCTGGCCAACATGGTGAAACCCCGTCTCTACTTAAAATACAAAAAAATTAGCTGGGTGTGGTGGTATGCACCTGTAATCCCAGGTACTCGGGAGGCTGAGGCAGGAGAATTGCTTGAACCCGGGAGGCGGAGGTTGCAGTGAGCTGAGATTGCGCCATTGCACTCCAGAATGGGGGAAAAGAGAGAGACTTCGTCTCAAAAAAATGAAATAAAATAAAAATAAACCCCCTTTCTACTTAGATGCCATTATAGTTTTAGGTAAAATAGGTGTCTTAAGAGAACATAAGGGTCATATGGTGGCCTTCCTGCTAATAGAGTATTGAGACTAAAATTCGGATTTGGAGGATATGTTCCTCCTCACTGCTGAAAGCAGAGTTCTCCCGCTCGCAGAGGGGGCATAAGGTTTGGTCTCTTCCGCTCGCAGAGGGGGCATAAGTTTTGGTCTCTATTAGAGGGGGCATAAGGTTTGGTCTCTCCCGCTCACAGAGGGGGCATAAGGTTTGGTCTCTCCCGCTCGCAGAGGGGGCATAAGGTTTGGTCTCTCCCGCTCGCAGAGGGGGCATAAGGTTTGGTCTCTATTAGAGGGGGCATAAGGTTTGGTCTCTACCACTCGCAGAGGGGGCATAAGGTTTGGTCTCTATTAGAGGGGCATAAAAGGGAGAAGAACTGGAAAGCTAGAGGCTTTTGGCAAACGGCAGGCAAGTTTCCCCCTGGAGAGGATTCCCATTCTACTAGGTGATGCTAGTGGAACACCAGGCAGTAACTTTGCCTCTGTATGCTCTTTAAACAAAGGACAGAGAGAGAAGTTTGACCTGTGGCAAGCTGTCCCCACAGCATACCTCCTAGCAGGAGAAAGTTAATTCGCGTCCTAGAGGGACTATCCAGTCCGACTGGGCAGTGCTGGCTCCTCATATGGGAAAAGAAATAGCCTAGGTGGACAGAGGGGCTTTTACTGGGGGGAAAGTAACCTCCCACCCAACCCCAGGAAGTGCTATGGTTAGGAGTTAGAGTCTGAGATCTGGATCATGAAATCCTCCTGTCTGTAAAGAGTCACAAAAACATCAATCCTTTGACCTGCATTCCTGGTTGCTAAGGTGGTTGCTAAGCCTGCCTAATTGAATTATTTCCCTGGGCTGTAAAAACTCCCGCAGCATTGCATAGAGAGAGAGGATGGGAGGTATGGTGACTGCCGGAAAGGAAAGGAGAAAAATAAAATTTGCGATAGGAAAGCCTGGAGATCCTGTGGCTGACACCCAGTCGGGCGGACGGAGCCTGGGATCAGTCCAGGAACCTTTTGAATAACACCAGGGTGTGGCCCTGGCCAGAAATTCTCAGTTGCTCCAAGACCTATTCCAGCACCACAGCCAGGCTGTCCGTGAAAACAAAACAAAACAAACAAACAAACAAAAGTTTGGACACAGCCAACATTCCCAGCACTCTGAGGGCACCGGGGGATTGACTAGGTCCTCCCCAGCAAGCCTCACATGAGTCTTTAAGACCGGCGGCAGGCTCTCGTGGTTCCTTAATCGGCCATCAGATGCCCAGTGTTTTCGATAGTTCTTTGAGAGAATAAAAAACTGAGGCTGAGAAGCCTCGGAAGTGAAAGGACAGAGTCCGCTCCCCTACTCACCCTTCCGATGAATTCACCTTCAAATCCCAGATGGGCCCCCAAAATGAAGCACCCTCATTGTCTGGGGGGTAAATACCAAGGCTCTTGGTCTTACAGCCAAGGAGATTGAGGTCACAGACACACACACAGACAGAGTTTGGAGCAGGAGTTTCATAGATAAAAGGAAAGAACAGCTCTCTGTTACAGAGAGGGGTCCTGAGCGGGTTGCCAAGGTATAGCAAAAATGTCAGGGTTTTTATAAATGCCCTAGTGAGGAGGGGGCTCATGAGGAGGGGATGTCTTATCCTCCCAGGGCCTGACGGTTCAGTTGGGACCAGATGTGCTATCTGTATCGACCAGAGGTTTTATCAGCTCTCATCCCATTTCTGGGCCACATAGGCTGACTTTTAGTCTGTGTTTCTTTGTCTTGCCTAATCTATCTGGAAGGGAGAGTTTCTGTGTCTGTTCCCATACATCTTCTTGCAGCTGCAGGCATACCCCTCAAGTCTGCTTTTAGCTTCCCTATCTTAGTACACTTAAAGGGAAAGGAATGTGCTTATTAATGCCCACTGTTTCACTGGGGCCCACTGTATAGGTGTGAAGCTTGGTGATTACCCAGGAGACATGCCCCCACCGCCCCGCCCCTTCTGTGTCCGAGCTGCCTTACCTGAGTTTTACTGTCTGCTCTTTCAGGCCGCCTGCTTTTAGAAGAGAAGTGACTTCCTTGAACTGCATGAAGTTAGAAAGGGAGCTATCTTTGAGCTGCTTTTTGTTAAAAGGAAAGTTTTCTGCTGGGGACTCTCTTTACCCTGTCTACCTAAATAATTTCTTTCTGCCTCCTATAACAACTTGGGCCTGGCTGTGGCTCCTGGAGATATGGGTTTTAGGGGAGTCATGAAACCCCTCCCAGCCTCCTCTATTCCTCTGTCAGTTTGGAGAATATCTTCACTGCCTCCTTCACAGGTTGTTGGCACAAGAAAATGAAATGGTATGCATTAAAACACCTGTAAAGCAATAACGATGCATATTATAATATTACAATCTAGATACAATCTAGATTAATAATATAATCTAGATACAATCTAGATTAATAATATAATCTAGATACAATCTAGATTAATAATATAATCTAGATACAATCTAGATTAATAATATAATCTAGATACATATTATAATATTTTTATTTGTATTGTTTATAAAATGTCTCATAGGTGAAATTAGTCAAGTGGAAAATATTGGCACAATTTTCTAACAAAATAGGGAATTTGGGAGGTTGAAATTTCATGAAGGGCATACAGATAATCCAATCAAATCTGCAGCTGCGGAATAGAAATATTCAGAAGACTAAAACTAAAGAGCCAGATCTTGGGGCCAGGTGTGGTGGCTCCTACCTGTAATCCCAGTGTTTTGAGAGGCCAAGGTGGGAGTATCACTTGTGCTCAGTTGTTTGAGGCTGCAGTGAGCTGTGACCGTGCCACTGCACTCCAGCCTGGGCAACAGAGCAAGACCCTGTCTCAAAAATAAATAAATAAATAAATAAATGGATAGATGGGTGGATGGCTCACGGAAAGTGAAGGTGGCAGATTAGCTTCCCCAAAATATGCTGCTTTGACATAAGAATTATTTTGAGCTAAAGGCACTTAAAAAATAGCAGATTCAGAAGAGTATTCTAATGTTCCCCTTTTCTTCCTGAAAAACTCCCTTGTGCAGGCCTGGCATGGTGGCTTACTCCTGTAATCCCAGCACTTTGGGAGGCTGTGGCGGGTGGATCACCTGAGGTCAGGAGTTCGAGACCAGCCTGGCCAACATGGTGAAACCCCATCTCTACCAAAAATACAAAAATTAGCCAGGTGTGGTGGCGGGTGCCTGTAATCCCAGCTACTTGGGAGGCTGAGGCAAGAGGATGACTTGAACCTGGGAGGCAGAGGTTGCAGTGGGCAGAGATCGCACCACCGCACCCCAGCCTGGGCAGCAGAGTGAGACTTTGTCTCAAAAAAAAAAAAAAAAAAAAGAGAGAGAAAGAAAAACTCCCTTGAGAAAAATGCCCTCCTTGTATCTCCTTGTTCGATAGTGGAGTCATAGCCAAGAGAAATCTGTACAAACAGACCTTGTTAAAACAATTCTTATCTTCCTTTAACCTTCCCACATAATTTAGTTATCTGCATAACTGGCTATCTTTGTTCAACCTAATATAAAGGCATTTGGGTTTTCCCACTTCTTTGCATCTTCATTTCCTTATGAGGGCTCCAGTGTCACACAAAACATATTAAATTGTATGCTTTTCTTCTGTTAATCTATTTTATGACAATTTAATTCTCAGGCCCACCTAGGAACCTTAAGAGGATAGTGGTTAAGTTCTGTCTTCCTTACAAAATGATTTTTTTAAATTCCGTCATGCATTGTTTGAAGAGACATAATTAAAAACAAATTGAACCACTAAATGAAAAGGCTGATTTCTGGTTAAACTAATAGTTTAACACATACATCTATTTCTTTTCTAAAATGTCACTAAGTGAGGAAAAATGTATAAATCCATAAGGACAAAGAGAATAGGAGAAGAGACAACAGTAGACATAACACTTTTTTTTTTCTTTGAGATGGAGTCTTGCTCTGTCGCCAGGCTGGAGTGCAATGGCGCGATCTTGGCTCACTGCAGCCTCTGCCTTTCAAGCGATTCTCCTGCCTCAGCCTCCCGAGTACCTGGGATTACAGGCACACACCACCAGACCCAGCTAATTTTTGTATTTTTAGTAGAGACGGGGTTTCACCATGTTGGTCAGGCTGGTCTCGAACTCCTGACCTCATGATCCACCTGCCTCGGCCTCCAAAGCGCTGGGATTACAGGCGTGAGCCACCACACCCGGCAGACATAACACATTTTCATAAAACAAAAAGCAGATTGTCTAGCTCATTTCTCAGGAAAAGAGCTACCACATTGTAGGAGGGGATCCCAAGTAAAAGCAAACCACCTTGCGCTGTATAACAGTCAAGAAGCTTACAGTGGAGAGCCACAGGAGGCGAGAGATGCTGTGAAGGTCAAAAAGCAGAACATTAGTTGGAAATCCATACATGGACCATTGGTGGACCCTCCATCCCCACCCCCAGTATGGCTGTCACTCAAAGTGTCCATTGGTTGGGGGGACTAGGGGTGGAGAGGAGCTGCCTGTGTCCAAAGTTAATGCTTTCATGTTGTTCATTTAAAAACTGTGAGGCCGGGCACGGTGACTCATGCCTGTAATCCCAGCACTTTGGGAGGCTGAGGTGGGTGGATCACCCGAGGTCAAGAGTTCAAGACCAGCCTGGCCAACATGGTGAAACCCCATCTTTACTAAAAATACACAGATTACCCGGGCGTGGTGGCTCATGCCTGTAATCCCAGCTACTCGGGAGGCTGAGGCAGGAGAATTGCTTGAACCCGGGAGGCGGAGGTTGCAGTGAGCCAAGATCACGCCACTGCACTCCAGCCTGGACGGCAGAGGGAGACTCTGTCTCAAAATAAATAAATAAATAAAAACTATGGGACCTGTGCATTGAGGGAGTAGACTTAGTATTGAATCTCAACATCATCAATCCCACCTTCCCAAAGGGAGGTTAGGAAGGGGAACAAACTCCCTTCTCAGAAGCAGTATTTTAGTTACTGCCCAGTCTTGTAAGTAAAATCCCCTCCCGACCCCAAACCCGAAAATTGAGAAGTGAAACTTCTCAGACATTCGGAAGGATGAAGAAGAGGAAAAGGTCTCACAAGCAGAGGGCTAGAAAGAGCAAAGTATCATACTGCTGTTTAGCATGGTTTAAATGGATGCAAAAATGGCAGTCAACACTTTAATTTCTTTGTACCCTAAAGTTTCTATCTCTTTGCTCACAAACTAAGGAGCAACTCAGAGAAAGGAGTCACACTTGATTTTGGTTTGTGACCCAAACACAAAAACTGAAACTTGGAGACAGAAAAAGAAAGATAGGAAACCACCAGCTTTACATCAACCCAATCAGACACATCTAAAAGACTCAGTGTGACTCTTTTTTCTGAAAGTGGGCCAGGCGCGGTGGCTCACGTCTGTAATCCTAGCACTTTGGGAGGCCAAGGAGGGCAGGTCAGAAGGTCAGGAGATAGAGACCATCCTGGCAAACATGGTGAAACCCCGACTCTACTAAAATACAAAACATCAGCCGGGCGTGATGCTGCATGCCTGTAGTTCCAGCTGCTCGGCTGAGGCAGGGGAATCCGTTGAACCTGGGAGGCGGAGGTTGCAGTGAGCCGGAATCGCGCCCCTGCGCTCCATTCTGGCGACAAAGCAAGACTCCGTCTCAAAAAAAAAAGAGAAAGTAAACAGTCTGAGAAAAGGGAAGGTAAACGTCTGTTACCCACCTTCTCCTCACTCTTCATATCTTAGTAAAGGACCCTAGAAAATAATCAGTAATATTAGCTTCTATCTGCAACCCCTCTTGCTATGTCATCAGGCAAATGCCAACCTCTTTGTGACTTGTTTCTCAATAGTAAAATGTACATAATGGTAAGTAAAAGTGCATAATCATTAACAGGACAGGCTCTCTAAAGTGAGACAGAGCTGGGCTCAAATCCCAGTGTCCCTCTACTTACAGCTGAATGGTGTTAAGCCATTCATTACTTAATGTCTCTGAACCTCAATTTCCCCATTATAAAATGGCTTAATAGCAGCATGAGAACTGTCGTGGGTTGGGGGGAGGGGGAAGGATAGCATTAGGAGATATACCTAATGCTAAATGACGAGTTAATGGGTACAGCACACCAGCATGGCGCATGTATACATATGTAACTAACCTGCACATTGTGCACATGTACCCTAAAACTTAAAGTACAATCATAATAAAATAAAATAAAAATAAAATAAAATAAAATGGCTTAATAGTATATATGCCATAGAGTCATTGTGGGGATCCAATAAGAGTATGTAAATAAATCTTTTTTGCTATATGCTATGGTTTGGATATTTGACCCTTCCAAATTTCATATTGAATTGTGACCACCGACCAGGTGCAGTGGCTCACACCTGTAATCCCAATACTTTGGGAGGCCAAGGCAGGAGGATTGCTTGAGCTCAGGAGTTCAAGACCAGCCTGGGCAACATGGTGAAACCCCATCTCTACAAAAAATACAAAAACGTCAGCCAGGCATGGTGGCACACGCCTGTAGTCCCAGCTACTCGGGAGGCTGGGGCAGGAGAATCGCTTGAACCCTGGAGGCAGAGGTTGCAGTCAGCCGAGATCGAGCCATTGCACTACAGCCTGGGTGTGGCAGCAAGACTCCGTCTCAAAAAAAAAAAAAATTAGCTTGGTATGGTGGCTTACGCCTGTAGTCCCAGCTACTAAGGAGGCTGAGGTGGGAGGATGACCTGAGCCTAAGGAGACTGAGGCTGCAGTGAGCAGTAATCACACCACTGCACTCCAGCCTGGGTGACAGAGTGAGACCCCGTCTCAAAAAACAAAAAACAAACAAAAAAAAACTGTGACCACCAGTGTTGGAGGTGGGGCCTCATGGGAGGTAATGGGAGGTGTTTGGGTCTTGAAGGCAGATGACTTGTGAATGGCTTTGTGCCCTCCTCATGGTAATGAGTGAGTTCTTGCTCCATTTGTTCCCACCAAAGCTGGTTGTTAAAGACAGCCTGGCACCTCCCCACCTTCTCTCTTGGTTTCGCTCTCACCATGTGACCTCTGCATATACCGGCTCCCCCTCCCCTTCTGCCATGAGTGGAAACTTCCTAAAACCCTCACCAGAAGCAGATGCCGGTGTTGTGCTTCTTGTACAGCCTGCAGAATCATGAGCCAAGTACATCTCTTTTCTTTATCAATTACTCAGTCTCAGGTATTCCTTTACAGCAGCACAAACAGACTGAGAGACCATGTAAAATAACATTGTAAGTTTCCAGAGATTAGGACCTAGCTATCTTTGGGGCCATTATACAGGCTGCAACTTGATACAGGCTGTATAATGACCTCAAAGATATCCAGGTTTTAATCTGGGTGGGTACTCCAGAGGGAAGACTCCCACCCCCACCCCCAGTGCCCTTCTCTGTTGGAGCTCCACCACCTGCCTGCACGCTCTGGTGTTTGCAAGTAGAGCCCCAGTGGGGCAGGCAAGGCACAGGGGACAGAGCAAAAGCAGCAAAGTATGCTTTAGGGGAGAAAGGGGAAATCTACAAAGTATGCTTTAGGGGAGAAGGGGAAATCCAGTGACATTTCAAAAACCTCATCAAGTACATTGAACACAAAATGATCCTGCCAACCTGTCTCTCCCTTATCCTACTTCATCCTGGGTTAAAATCAGCTTCACAGGAAAATACTTCTATCCTGGCTACGGCAAATCAAAAAAGAAGCTTCATAAGTCACCCCGTCATAGCATAGTCTTCACGAAGCCTGGGAAAAATGGCTCTGCAGAGGCATTGCTGCTTTTGCTCTGTCACCCCTGCCTTGCCTGCCCAGCTGGGGCTCTATTTGCAAATGCCAGAATGTCCAGGCAGGTGGCAGAACTCCAACAGAGAAAGGCACTAGGGGGGTGCGGGGGGATTCTTTCCTCTAGAGTATCCACCCAGAGGCCACCCAAGGCCTGCACCAGAGATTGGGACTACTTACTGTACTGTCCTCTCCCTTGGGTGAAGACTGGGCATATGAGGCCCTCTGTGTAGATAAAGAGCTTCCATTTAGACAGCACCATCTAGCATGGTTCCCTTTCATGATTAATTGCAATGTTTTTGCTTTTAATTTAGCAAGGCTTATGGCCATGTAGTTCCCAAGCCATGTCATTCTCAAATATTTCACTTGGCCGTATCTTACAGACTCAGGGATGCTCTCAGTATGTGTGAGGGGGTCTACAAGTGAGAATTGAGGGAAGCAGAGAGAGCCACATTTGTTCAGTGCCTACTATGCACCAAGCACTATCCTAGGGGCTTTACTTATGTCATTTCATTTTGTTCTTACAAAAACACGTCATGCACATGAGGGAGCTGAGGTTCTGCTAAGTTATAGGTTGTTATTTTCTCAAAATCATAAAGTTAATAAGAGGCAGAGTTTGGAGTCATACTGAAGTGTGTCTGCCTCCTAAGCCACCATGTTTTCACAGCATCCCTCCACCTAAGGGAAGGGGAGGGGAGAAAGCAGCCAACCACAGCCATGACTCCAGTTTCGCTTGGAGTTCTTGAATTACCAGCAGTCGATTCTTCCTTACCTATAGGCTTGTACTCCTAGCCACCAACCCTATGGCTAAATTACAAGTAAATAGAACACAATTGAGAAATTGCTCAGCAAACTAAAATCTAATCTATTCTGCTTTGTATGCCAACTGATTGCCTTATGGACCAGTGGTCTCCAATATTTTTTTGAATGTGTATCTTAGTAAAAAACTGTTGATCACATACCCTCAATAAACCTGTGTTTATTTTTTAGAGGCTACCTGAAAAATAGAAAAAAACAAAAGTGAACATTCATAATATGATATTTTAGCAGTTAGAAGTTTTAATATTTTTCTTTCCACGTTTGAATGGGTCAACTTGCATTCATTGCTGTATTAACAGTCATTAACCCGGAAGACCACTGTCATATTCAGTTACTGTTGAGATGCAAACCTGCTGCTATATACCAAGACTCATCCGTCAACATTTAAGAAAACCCTACCTAGCAATGGTTATAAGTACCTATAATGGAAGACTACTATTTCAGTAGCCAAAAAACTCAGGTGACTTCATGGCATCTTCCACATTGCCAATCAGAATCCTCCTAGATCCGTTCATGCCCAAGTGGCATTCTGGTCCCTAAATGTAGGGCACATTTGCCTAGCTCCTTCCTAAATGATCTGATTACCATAGTTAATTTGTTTAAAAACGGGCCAGAACTGAAGAACATACCACAAAAACTCAGATTTTTGTGTAAACTTTCATCATGAAAAACGTGCCCTGAATTTGAAGTGGAGAAGAGCTTGAAACTTCTTCATTTCTATATTGTAGAAAGTTATTTGGTCACAAAAGAGCATCCACTCTGCATCCCACTGAAGTCTAATTTATGTTTTTTGGTCACAAGTTCCTCTTTGGGATGCCTACAGGTCTACTCCCTGAGTGAGGAGGCTACATGTCTTATCTTTTTAAGTACCCCTTTCCATGGCTTGTCTGAGCTGAGGAGAGAGTCTGCCTAAGAAGGACCCCACTAACAGGGAGTTCCCTCTCCTGAGCCACAGGTGAGGTGTATCCAAATGAAGGGAGTATATCGGGCAAAGCAGCCAGTGGAGTGTGTGCAGTTTGGGGGATGAGAAAACGGATCAGGAAAAAGGTAACTGTCTAGAGAAGACTGTTCAGGAAGGTGATCAAACAAGGAGAAGGGTCCATGGCAAACATCACAAGTCAAATTTCAAACCCAAGAGCTTAAAGAACCTGGGGATTTCAGCAGAGCCAAAACTGGATAGGCCATCTGGGCAAATACCAAAGAGGACTGTTCTCTTCAGGCGGCTTTTACATGCTCACTGAGACACGGCAGAGGGAAGAACAACTCCAAGCTGAAATGCCCTTGTTGTCAAACTTTCTGGGCCTAGGATCAATGGGGACTTTCTCAAAAATGAGATTCTAGTTCAGTATATTTTGGAGGGGGACAGGGGATGGAGACTATGAATCTGGATTTTTAACAAATACCCCCAAGAAATTCTCATGCAAGTGTTCCATGGACCAGGTTTTTAAAAGCACTGAAATTAGTTATTGTCATGCTCAGGTTAATAGGCTCCATTAAAAAAAGTATCTCCCTGGGGTTTAAAGTGTATATATACATAAATGATTTAAACTATCATATAAGTTAGCATATACTTTGTATTTTTCCCACTGAAAGAGGTACCCCAAAATTATCCCCTGTCAAATTAAATACTACCAATAAAAAAGTTCAGTACCAGGAGGCAAGGAGTGTAGTGAATGACAGGCAATAGTACTTATGATACCCTCCTAATGGCAGGATGCTGCAACATAAAACACTCTTTAAGAGTTATCTTACAATTAATTGTGTCATAGGGCACAAAGCTGATCCGTGTAGAGTTTATATTAGCCCTGTAATAATTTCTATTTCTCTTTATAGTTATCTCTCTTTCTTTTGCATAACTCATGGTTCAAAGGCAATACAAGCATCTCTCTAACATTAAAATCAGTTTAGTATTTTAAGACTTCGAGAGAAAGGACCATAATAGGGTTGCCAAGTAGTATTCAGATCTTGCAACAACCAAGAAAATTACAAAGACTTGGAGAAAACAGTAAAAATAGCAGTGAGTTGATAGTAAGCACTCTATTGTAAAGGAAAAGATAGTGGTGATATGTCTGTTAAAATTGTGGATTTCTTGTTTTGAAGGAATGTCAGCTCCATTTCTAGGGCAGTGACAGCCAGCAATGAAGATTCAGCAGTACAAAGGGTATGGGCATGATGTTTGGCTAGTGTTAAAGAAAAATTCTTCCTAGGTTATGATAATAAAGAGTGAAACCTCTATGGTGCTTTTTTTCATGTGTCTGTTCATTTTTATGGGAATATGGTATGAATTATAGTGCTGGCTTCCGTTGGAATTCAGTCTATTTCCTTGTTGCTTTCTTTATCCTAACATTCTGCAAAATATTTGATATAACTGCCTGCATGACTATGATATTGGCATTCCTTCAAATGCAGTAATTTACTCCCGTACTTAATGCTAGCTTTTACTGAACTATTTATTTGGCTACATGTGCTGTCACTACCTTTATAGAAAGACATTCAAATTTATGTTGCTGCCTGCTTTGTGCCCATTTTAATTGATATGTTTACTTTTTACAGACTATGCAGAAATTTATTCTAATATATTTTGTATTGTAACTCACTTTTTAGTACTAGTATTTCCATTAGAAATAGTAGTACGAACTGTGCTAGTACAGTTCCATTATTTTTCCTTTTGCAGCACCACATGTATGGCAGAAGGCTTAATTAACCAGTCTATTTGTGATGTTTTATTTCTATCTTAGGTACCAATATTTAATGGTAATCAACATATTTCGGTAGAGCTACGTATTTTATATTTTTCAAAGGTTAATAGAATATTATATGTTATACTGTATTACATAAACAAAATTATATCTTCCCCTAAAAACATTTTAAAATCACTTTTAATAAAAGTTTAGAGATAAGGCCGGGTACAGTGGCTCATGCCTGTAATCCCAGCACTTTGGGAGGCCAAGGTAGACAGATCACCTGAGGTCAGGAGTTTGAGACCAGCCAGGCCAGCATGGCGAAACCCTGTCTCTTCTAAAAATACAAAAATTAGCCAGATATGGCGGTGGGCACCTGTAATCCCAGCTACTCAGGAGGCTGAGGCAGGAGAATTGCTTGAACCCAGGAGGCAGAGGTTGCAGTGAGCCGAGAGATTGCACCACTGCACTCCAGCCTGGGTGACAGAGCGAGACTGTGTCTTAAAAAAAGAAAAAAATGTTTAGAAATAAGTCTCCTATTGAGTGTTTGCTATGCTGCAGGCAACTTTATGTGGGTTATTTTATTTAATCCTTATGATAACCTTAAGAGGTAGGTACTATTATTATCCCTATTTTATATATGGTGGAAGTAAGACTCAGTGAGAGGAAGTGACTGGCCCAAGTCACACAACCAGTAAGTGGGCTTTGAGGAGGGCACCAGGAGCCCGTAGGCTCTGCCCCTATCTGTATAATCCTATCTGCCCGCAACGGGATGCTTCTGGCTTCTGCTGTATACACCGAACGAGGAAAAGAGTAAGTGAAAATCTTAGATTCCCGTGCCTTGTGATGTCAACCGTGAGCAGAAAGAGTCACAAACAGGAGTCAGTCCATTTAGGTTCTATTTCCACCTCCAATTCCTACACCACTCACCAAGTGAACCCAGACACACCACCACCTTCTCTAGTCTTGAGTGTCCTCAAAGTATCAATGAAGCAGCTAGACTGGATGAGTATCGAAGGCCTGTCAGTTCTAAATGCTAGGAATTAACTTTCCTGTCATATCTGTAGGTGAAGGGAAGCAGTGCTGGAAAATTTCACTTCTCTTAGGTGCATTCAGTCCTGTCCTCATAACATTCCGACCCTACACTCTTAATCCAGCACTTATTCTACACCAAACATTAGACACTGTCTCTAATTTAACCCCTCAAAGAACTTGAAAATGTCAGTGGCGTTATTCCCATTTTATAAGAAAGGGAATTGAGTCTCAGAAAAGGTAACTAGTTTATCTAAAGACACACATAGTAAGTAAGTAATAGAATTAGGAGGCTGGGTGCAGAGGCTCACACCTGTAATCCCGACACTTTGGGAGACCAAGGTGGGCGGATCACCTGAGGTCGGGAGTTCGAGACCAGCCTGACCAACATGGAGAAAGCCCGCCTCTACTAAAAATACAAAATTAGCCGGGCGTGGTGGCACACACCTGTAATCCCAGCAACCTGGGAGGCTGAAGTAGCTTGAACTTGGGAGGCGGAGGTTGCAGTAGCCGAGATCACGCCATTGCACTCCAGCCTGAACAACAAGAGCAAAACTCCATCTCCAAAAAAACAAAAAATAATTAGGAGTAGGCCCCAGGTTTGTCTCCCTCCAAAGCCCACCATGGACCATCACACTTCTTTGAAGTAACTGCCTCCTCCAGCTGTGCTACACATAGATTCAATGTGGAGATGGGAGAGATCAACCATGGTAACTGTAAACCTTCCCTCTTTTCTATCTGTGGCTACAATTTTGTGAATGAGAATGTGTATAGGGTATGACTTGTAACCTTTCCAAGCACTCTACTTCCTTCCTCTTCTGTCCTCTAAGATGGCTAAGATAAACTGCTTATGAACTATTAAGCAGAACGCAGAGCCAGGCACAGTGGCTCACGCCTGTAATCCCAGCATTTAGGGAGGCTGAGGCAGGTGGATCATCTGAGGTCAGGAGTTCCAGACCAGCCTGGCCAACACAGTGAAACCCCATCTCTACTAAAAATACAAAAAATTAGCTGGGTGTGGTGGCGGGCACCTGTAATCCCAGCTACTAGGGAGGTTGAGGCAGGAGAATCGCTTGAACCCAAGAGGCGGAGGTTGCAGTGAGCCGAGATCACACCATTGCACTCCAGCCTGGGCAACAAGAGTGAAACTCCATCTCAAAAACACACACACACACAACAGAATATTCGGTGTAGGGGACTTAAAACACTTAGGTTCTGCTCTAGCTTTACCATTTATGTGACTTTGGTAAGTTCAGAATCTCTGTGAAATAGGATTGAGTATATTTTCTCTGCCTATCTCACAGAACTATTATGAAAAAAAAGCAAATTTATTCTTCCATTAACAAATATTTGGCAAACACCTAATACATGAAAGGCACCGTTCTAGATGCTACACACCCCACACATGTCCAAACACCCATTGAGTGTGTTGACCCATCCCAGCAGAGACCCACAAGTTGTGCACTTATTACAACCCTTTGACCCTGGGTAATCTCATCTATCATAGTCAGATGATCTAACTCAATTATGTCATCACTAGTTCATGATACTGAGGTGGTTTCAGCAATTTATTTTGCAAGAAATAATTGTTTTCCCACACTCTTTTGCTCCTACAGGTACCAGCTTGGACTTTTTGGCGAGTTCCCTTACGCTTACACTTCTTTGAAGTAACTGTCTTTAAGTAAGAAAGTTTTAATAAGAGAGTTCTGCCCTGCTTTACTCACCTGCCCGCCCAGTCCTTCTACCATCTGTGCTTTTTATTTCCTTATATAGACCCAAGGACGGGTGTGCCCAAGAGCACAGAAGGTGCCAGGAAGGGACAATGTTAAAGAGGTTTACATGCCAAATGACTGGATCAAAAAGGGAGGAAAGGCCATCACAGCACACCATTAGCACAGGCTGCATTTCTGGGGAAAAAGGTATTGCCTTGAAGAATAGTTCAGTTTTGCTAGAGAGAGAGAGAGAGAGAATGCAGCAACCTTCATCAAACACAGGCATAATGACTCGCTCCTTTCCAGCAGGTTTCACCAGTTCCTCCACTTTTCAATAGTCTGACCTGATAGTAAGAATCAAGGGTGGACTACTTCCTGGCTCTGCCTCTGATTAAATCATAGCAAGTTTTTCTTCTTGTTGTGATGAATTTATTACTCACCAAGGTAAACCACAGCTGCCAAACTTGATAATTGACTTCTCTGGGATTCTCCCAGAAAAAGGTGTACATCCTTCACAGCACACAGTTATGAAATTTATGTCACCTTCAATTAAATCTGTATTTTTACTCTGTATAAATGATGACAAGTTGTGTTGTACATATTAAGTCATGATGAGATTGCGTTATCTACTTCTTGTCATAAAAACACCAACAGTTGCCCCATTTTCACTGAAAGTTAAAAGCTAAGGTATACAGCAGAGACTGTGTGTCCTTTTAAATGTTTTTCCTAGCTCAAACATCAGTTTGCAGTAACATAATCTTCTGTGAGGTCTCATGGGGAGTAAAGCAATTTGGACATCCGCACTGCAACTTGATCCACAGACGCTGTTTAATGCAGCAGACATCTCATGTTACTGTCTTATCTATGCTGGAAACACATTAGAGGTGCCTCATCTCCTCTGCCTTCAGCTTCCAAGCATCTCTCCTTACACCCTTTCTTTCATCCTCTTCACCAGTCTCAGACAGGGAATGTACTGCTCCCCTCTTTATCTGTTCTCTCTACTACTGTCGGTCTTACCTTCCTCCTTATTCCATTGACTCTCTCTCTCTCTTTCTAGTAACTTCACTTAGTTAGTGTCTTCTGGTTCACTG
Source organism: Homo sapiens (assembly GCF_000001405.40). NCBI lineage: Eukaryota > Metazoa > Chordata > Mammalia > Primates > Hominidae > Homo > Homo sapiens. Next base: position 182,740,072 of record NC_000003.12, read on the forward strand.
CTTCTTCTCTCTGTCTACCCTTCAGAAAAAGCCTCCGTGGCTGGCGCGGTGGCTCATTCCTGTAATCCCAACACTTTGGGAAGCCAAGTCGGGCAGATCACGAGGTCAAGAGATCGAGACCATCCTGGCCAATATGGTGAAACCCCGTCTCTACTAAAAATACGAAAATTCGCTGGGCATGGTGGCGCGCGCCTGTAGCCCCAGCTACCCGGGGGGTTGAGGCAGGAGAATCGCTTGAACCTGGGAGGCAGAGGTTGCAGTGAGCCGAGATTCTGCCACTGCACTCCAGCCTGGCAACAGGGCAAGACTCTGTCTAAAGAAAAAAAAAAAAAAAGCCTCCTCTGCCCTAGAAACAAAAAACCTTGGTGAAGTTGTTCCATCCGTACACTACCCTGCTCCTCTCCTTCGTTTCTCTGCCAAACTTCTGTTCTCCACCCACTGCTTCCACTTTTATATCATCCATTCGGTTTAATCATCTTCAACCTCGAGTTCCAGTGAATCTACATTGTCCAGTGATGTTCATCTTGTCTATCTGCAGTTCTCTGAAGCTGATGATCCCCTTTTTGAAGGATTCTCTTTCTTTGAATTCCAAGGAGTTTTCTAATTCTCCCACCTCTGTTTTCTTCATTCTTCATTCCTTTCTTCTCTACAATCACTCCCCCAGAAATCTCACCCAGACTCAGGTCTTCTAACTGCTCAATTCAAGCCTTACAGGGCACTTTTAAGTAGCTGTGCCTACCTAAGCGGCATGTCACTATTTCACAGACTTTGCTTCCTGAACGGCAGCAGGTGGAGACTGGATGTCTGGCGGGGAAAAAAGGCCTGACTCATTCCTAGCCCTGTTCTCCCTGATGTTCCTGTCCATCAGCTCCTTGCTCATTCTACTGTTACAGACTCACTGCTCTCACATCACCACGTTGTTCCACCTTGGCGGCACATTTATTTATTGTATCTCGGATCCTGAGTTTTCTCCTGAAGTGTAGTTCTACATTTTAACAACTTCCTAAATATTTCCCCTTGCTTTTCCTATCACTTCAAACTCAAAGCATATGAATAAATGTATTTACCTGTGGGGGAGTTGGGGGAACATGGTACCCTTTCTGACATTATATTATGTCATGATGAGATTGCATTACCTACTTTTTGTTATGACAACACAGACAGTTGCCCCATTTTCACTGAAAGTTACAAAGCTAAGGTGTACAGCCAACTATGTGCCCTTTTAATTTTTTAAATGTTAATATTTTAATTTTAATATTGACAAATGTTATCAATTTTTAATTTTTTAATTTAAATTTTAATTGTGTAATTATTTTAATTTTATAATTTTTAATTATATAAAGATATATATTTAATATATATTTTTAATTTTATTAAAAAGTATAAAAATTATATAAAATTAAAATATTTCTAATTTTAATATTTTAATTTAATTTAATTTAATTTAATTTTTTTTTTTTGAGATGGAGTTTCACTCTGCCACCCAGGCTGGAATGCAATGGCACGATCTCGGCTTACTGCAACCTCTGCCTCCCGGGTTCAAGCAATTCTCCTGCCTCAGCCTCCCGAGTAGCTGGGATTACAGGCCCATGCCACCATGCTCAGCTAATTTTTGTATTTCTAGTACAGACAGGGTTTCACCATGTTGGTCAGGCTGGTCTCGAACTCCTGACCTAGTGATCTGCCCGCCTTGGCCTCCCAAAGTCCTGAGATTACAGGCATGAGTGACTGCACCAGGCCAATATTTTAATTTTAATATTGACAAATGTTATCAATGTCATTATCATTCATTTAGTCAATCTCAAAAACCAGTCATTTTTGCTCCCTTCTCGTGTTCTAACTACCAAGCCCTCTTAATTCTTTCTCTGTACTTCTCTTTTCTTTCCTTACCATTTCCAGTGCCACCACCTTGCTTTCTGTAACCCATCTGCTGCTGGCTTAATCTTCATAAAACACCAGTCACAAACATTTAATGCCTACATTAGTCAGAAGTTTTCCATCATAAACAAAAATGCCAGTTCAAACAAAAATGTATAAAGAAAATTTGGCAAACACTTAAATGAAACAGCAAAAATCTTCAAGCATGGTTGAATCTAGATACTCAAGCAACGTCATTAGGAATCTCTCCCCTCACACCCTTGGGCTGTTGGTTGGCTTCACTCTCAGACACATTCTTCCTGAGTGTTGAGGAAAGAGCAGCTACCACCTGTAGACCGATACTGTGAAAGCGTAGCATCATTAGCCGAAAGAAAGAGTACTCTTTCCCAATTGTCCAGCAGAAGTACTGAAACTGACTTCCATTTGAAAGAGCAGGGTCAGCCAGGTGCGGTGGCTCACGCCTGTAATCCCAGCACTTTGGGAATGTGAAGCGGGTGGATCACGAGGTCAGGAGATCGAGACCATCCTGGCTAACACGGCGAAAACCTATCTCTACTAAAAATACAAAAAATTAGCCAGGCATGGTGGCACGCGCCTGTAATCCCAGCTACTCAGGAGGCTGAGGCAGGAGAATCACTTGAACCCAGTCGGCGGAGGCTGCAGTGAGCCAAGATCGCGCCACTGCACTCCATACTGGGCGACAGAGTGAGACTCCATCTCAAAAAAAGAAGAAAGAAAGAGCAGGGTCATAGGCCCAACCCTTGAATCAGGAGGGTAATTTTCGTGCGTGTCCGTGTGAAGAGACCACCAAACAGGCTTTTTGTGAGCAACATGGCTGTTTATTTCACCTGGGTGCAGGTGGGCTGAGTCCAAAAAGAGAGTCAGCAAAGGTGGTGGATTATCATTAGTTCTTATAGGTTTTGGGATAGGCCGTGAAGTTAAGAGCAATGTTTTGCGGGCAGGGGTGGATCTCACAAAGTACATTCTCAAGGGTGGGGAGAATTACAAAGAACCTTCTTAAGGGTGGGGGAGATTATAAAGTACATTGATCAGTTAGGGTGGGGCAGAAACAAATCACAATGGTGGAATGTCATCAGTTAAGGCTATTTTTACTTCTTTTGTGGATCTTCAGTTACTTCAGGCCATCTGAATGTATACGTGCAAGTCACAGGGGATGCGATGGCTTGGCTTGGGCTCAAAGGCCTGACAGTAATGTCAACCCACTGCATGGATTAAGAGTAGAAAAAGCATGTCTCCCATAGAATATAAAGGTACTAGTACCAAAAGGGAGCATGGTTCTGGGTAAACAAAAACAACCAATGTCCAGTTGATTCTCCCACGACTACATGGTGACGTTAAATTCCCTAAGTCTGACTGACATTCAAGATCCTTGTACTCAATGTGGCCTAAAACTTCCTTTTCTATTTTCTCACGCCTTATTCAATGCAAAGCTTTCGCTTGAGCCAATCTTAACTATTTGTTATCCCCTGCTATCTCCACGGTCTTTCCTATCTCTATACCTTTGTTAATGTCACTAGCCCTACCATGTCTTCAAATTCTGCCCATCCTCCAAAACCAAGATTAGGCCACCCTCTTTCTGGTCTACTTAACCCTCCCAGATTGCAATACTTTATGCTTTTATTGACTCAATTAATATTGATTGACTACCAGCTGGTCAGATAGGAGACCATGTCTGTTGTCAGATAGTAAACACTTAACCAAAAGATTGATAAAGATAGAAAAAGTTGATATGAAAGTGAATACTTACTTAGAATGGGAAAATAAATCACAACTAATTATTAATTTTGAAAAGCTGCCATGTCTCAAACATTACAAGATCCAAAAAGCAACAATATTTTTATTAATTAACTGCCTGGCCCCCCACTATAATACTTGTTTGCTACATTTTTGGCTGTGTATTCTTTAATCAGCTCTTCATTTGATAATTGCTTTGTAATATTTTCTGTAAAGAAAACAGAGGGGTAACTCAGTATTTCCTCTAGCCTGGGTGAGCTTTTCTGCTTTTTTATTACTGATATATTTCAAAACATATTTCAGCTTCATAATTCATATTTGGTAATGTCAGATAAATATTTTGAATGCTGTCAAATTTGGGGAAAGTGCTACTATCAAGTTTTTAAAAACCTATGATCTTTAAGGCTTTGAAAATTTTTCAACAGACTAGTTTCTGGCTCTTAATATTTAAAACCTTGCTACTTCTCCACAACCCACTGCCTCTAGTGCTGGGTGCTATGGGATGTACACATATCATGATGAGAATTCTGGTCCTGCTCTTTTGGGTGAAGAATGACAAGTGAGTCACCAAGAGGTTCGAAGCCATTCTGTTTCTATACTGGAATGGCTAGCAATCACTTTACCCATGGGGGTGACAGTGAACATACAAATATATCTTATTAAAATCTTCACTAACTATATTTCTAGCTTAACTGTCCCTTAGCTGGATCCCAAAACTGTTCACAGCCCCTCCAAGGCCATGGGGAAAAGTGTTATAGAGGGAAGTTGGAGTGGAAAATTATACCAAATAAATCTATTATGGCTAAATATGTGACTATTGAAATTTTTAAAAACATATGACCATACTGCCAGGAAAAAATGTGAATCACTTTGAAATGGACCAGAAAAAAGAAGGTAATGAGAGCCTTATTGGCACAGCCTACTTGGTTTTCTATACGGGATTCTATACATATAGAATCCTACTTGGATTCTATACGGGCCTGTGTCTCTTCATAAATGATTGCTGTCCATAGAAACGCAAATGCATGTTACCTTGTGGAATACTATCGATTACTGCTCTGTGGATACTTACTGCTTTTGAGTGTGTAAGTGCATCTGCACAATCCTAGTTGCATATATACATATATAAAGTGTGTGTGTATATATATATAAATGTGTGTATACATATATATTAAATGTGTGTGTGCATCTATATATAAAATGTGCATATATATACACATATATAAAAAATGTGTATATATATAGTGTGTGTGTATAGGCCGGGCACGGTGCCTCACGCCTGTAATCCCAGCACTTTGGGAGGCCGAGGCTGGCAGATCATGCGGCCAGGAGTCCGAGACCAGCCTGGCCAACATGGTGAAACCCTGTCTCTGCTAAAAATACAAAAATTAGCTGGGCATGGTGGCGCATGCCTGTAATCCCAGCTACTCAGGAGGCTGAGGCAGGAGAATCGCTTGAACCTGGGAGGCAGATATTGCAGTGAGCCAAGATTGCGCCACTGCACTCTAGCCTGGGCAACAGAGTGAGACTCCGTCCCCCCAAAAAAAAAAAAAAAGTGTATATATATATAAAATGTGTGTGTATCTATAAATGTGTGTATATATGTAAAATGTGTGTATATATATGTGTGTACGTGTATATATAAAATGTGTGTATATATATAATGTATGTGTGTATATACACACACATTAGATATATGATGTATATGTAGTTCAAATTTTCCTTCAAACCAGTTGTAATCTCTTATTTGTTCCTTTATTAATCAATGAGTTAAATAAAATTTTTGATACATGTTCATTTCATCTCTATGAAAGTCATGATTTTACCTTTAAAAAATGTATCCTTTATCTTTTAGCAATATACCAATATAAACACATTGCAAGATAGAGCTCTAGTGATAAAGTTTCCTTAGCTTCGTGGAAAGCCAACCTTGCTTCTGGCTCTGACATTTTGTGACACAGGAGACTAGGGTCACTAGGGTGACCTTGTGTGCTTTGAAAGGCACCTTAACTTTATGTCAAATTTAAATTTTAGGAGGGAGCCAACAAGAGAAACAGAAAGAGCTGTGGAACTGACATGATCATATTCAGAGCAAGAATAGTTCCCAACACCATCCGAGATTGTGTGGAACACCCAGGAATCAAATCCCAGGGGTTTCCTTCTACCAGGTTTCTTCCCATATTCCCCTAAATCTGACTGGGAACTCTTTATTCCAGAGCCCCTCCCTTCCTTTTTTCTTTTTATTTTTTATTTATTTATTTATTTTTGAGAGAGAGTCTCCTCCTGTTGCCCAGGCTGGAGTGCAGTGGTGCGATCTGGGCTCACCGCAACCTCCGCCTCCTGGGTTCAAGCGATTCTCCTGCCTCAGCCTCCCGAGTAAGTGGGACTGCAGACGCGCACCACCACGCTCAGCTAATTTTTGTATTTTTAGTAGAGATGAGGTTTCACCATATTGGCCAGGCTGGTCTCAAACTCCTGAGCTTGTGATCCACTCTCCTCGGCCTCCCAAAGTGCTGGGATTACAGGCGTGAGCCACTGCGCCCGGCCACACCTCCCTTCCTAAAGGAGAACATGCCAGATCAGCAAGTACAGGTATCCAGCTGCTGAGGTTTGTCCCATCACCTAGACTAGTTTGACAAGTCTTTCTGGGTTTAAAGAAGTGCGAGCCTAAGGGAACTGGCTTGTAGGAGCAAAAGAGTGATGCTGAGTTAAAATACAGCCTCTTAAATGATGAATTATAGAATTCTAATACCTGTTTACTAAATGATGTTCCCCAAACAATTAATACCTATACCTATCAGTTCTCAGACTGGAGTACCGGCAGCCACCAGCAGACCCACACCTGATCAACTGAGAGCATTAACTCTTTCCTCTTCCCTTTAACTGAGCTGAGAAAGGTTGCAATTTTTCAAGGTGAATTTTAATTTGTGAAATTCAAACTAGTGCTGTCTCTTTAGCAGTCTCTCATTAGAGCTGAAACTCAACTTTCAGGCCCCGTTCTTCTTGTACCTGATAGTGCTTCTTCCGTGGAAGAAACAGACCTCAAAGAACTGTGCAAAGGCCTGGCCCAGAATAACCTGAAGCTTTTGAAAAATGCAGGCCTCCATCCTTGATCCTCGATCATCCTTTTGAATAGCTTTAAGGACCAAACTCTGTGGTTAACACAAATGTAGGAGAAATAGCCCATCAGGAGCCAAAAAATTTCCCCAGGTTAATGCTATGTAGAACACTGTAGTTGAGTCGAACATTCTCCAAATTCTTCCCGAAGTACAAGAGATAGTAACAGTTAACATTTATTGAATGTCACTATGTGTCAGCCTCCAGCATAAGCCCTTTACTGGTGTTTACCATATCCTAGATGAGTCGATTGTAAAGGCTTTGTAAGTATTAGCTATCATTAACGCACCTGGAAGGGTTGTAAGGGTTAGAAGTGGCATATAGCTAGTGCCTGGCACATAGCAGGCACTCAGTAAATGTTTGCTAATATTGGTTTATACAGAATGCTTGAAAACTATGACTTTTAACTGGAGTGATTCTTTTATCTTACATGGAGAGATGTACATAAAGATGATAGTAACTATTTATCTCCAGTGAGTTGTAGCAGAGACTGGATTTGTTTGTATGGCCCTGAGGAAAAGATTTTTTTTAAGTTGGTATACGTCATAAGGAGCTGGTAAAAGGAAAGAAAAGGAGAGAGAAGAGAGAAAAGGAAGAGCAGAAGAAGGAAGTTAGGAGGTACGTTTAGAAGTGATGAGCTCTTAGGTATCTGTGGGGCTGTTCTGGAAGGGGCAGGACAGACTTTTTGTTTGTGTGTGTGTGTGTTTTTGTTTGTTTGTTTTTGTTTTTGAGACAGAGTCTGGCTCTGGCTCTGTCACCCAGGCTGGAGTGCAATGGCGTAATCTCTGCTCACTGCAACCTCCACCTCCCGGGTTCAAGGGATTCTCCTGCCTCAGCGTCCTGAGTAGCTGGGATTACAAGCACCCGCCACCATGTCTGGCTCATTTTTGTATTTTTAGTAGAGATGGGGTTTCACCTTGTGGGCCAGGCTAGTCTCAAACTCCTGACCTCAAGTGATCTGCCTGCCTTGGTCTCCCAAAGTGCTGGGATTACAGGCGTGAGCCACCGTGCCCAGCCAAGTTTTTGACAAGGATAATTATAAGGAGAATTCAAACACCAAATAAGCTTGCAGATCAAGGAAAATTTTACTCTAGCCTAATACCAAGTGCCGTCTCAAATCTACCTGGATGGCTTGAGATATGAGAGTGAGCACCATGGAGATTTTTCAAGGGCCTCCAGCTTCACAGGACAAAGAGTTTTACAACAAATGAAATGCTGATCAATTAAGAAAAGGATAAGGGTTATTCCTGAATAAACAATAGGTAATTTCCACACCATTTATTTTTAAAAGCTCCTTGGAATTAGCAAGAGAGTGAACTTTCCCCTATCAGACCAACATTCCTGAGGCCAGTACTAAGTTACTTTTTTTTTCTTCCTTTCTGTTGTCAGAGGACAGTGGACAATATTTGTAAAGCATCAGGTTCCTTTTCCTCTGTTGATGGAACCTAATGCTTTCCGAGTATTGCAGTGATGTGGAACCAATCTAAATGCCCATCAATGACAAACTGGATATGTGTGAAAATTTTGTATATATATACCATGGAATACTATGCAGCCATAAAAAGAATGAAATCATATCTTTTGCGGGAACATGGATGAAGCTGGAGGCCATTATCCTTAGCAAACTAAACAGGAACAGAAAATCAAATACTGTAAGTTCTCATTTATAAGTGGAAGCTAAATGATGAGAATTCATGAACTTAAAGAAGGTAACAACAGACTGGGCGTGGTGGCTCACACCTGTAATCCCAGCACTTTGGGAGGCCAAGGCAGGTTGATCACCTGAGGTTAGCCTGGCCAACATGGTGAAACCCCGTCTCTACTAAAAATATAAAAATTAGCTGGGTGTGGTGATGGGTACCTATAATCCCAGCTATTTGGGAGGCTGAGGCAGGAGAATTGCTTGAACCCGGGAGATGGAGGTTGCAGTGAGCCAAGATCATGCCACTGCACTTCGGCCTGGGTGACAGAGTGAGACTTCTTCTCAAAAAAAGGAAAGAAAAAGAAGGGAACAACAGACACTGGGACCCATTTGAGGGTGGAATGTAGGAGGATGCAGAGAAGCAGAAAAAATAGCTATTGGGTACTAAGCTTAGTAGCTGGGTGACAAAATAATCTATATAACAAACCCTCATGAAACCAGTTTACCTATATAACAAACCTGCACATGTACCCCCGAACCTAAAATAAAAGTTAAAAAGTAAAAAGCATTATGGAATTTGTTAGTTAAATAAATGTGAAAATGAAATTCTTAGAATATGCTGGACTTTTTTGTAAAATGAAGAATTTCTCCTCCTGTAATAAGGAATTCTACACCTATAGACATTTTAAAAATAAAACACTTGACAAATATATAATGATACTTTTATTATCAGTCAACATAGTCCTTGACAAAGTGAGCTTCGTTATAGAACTGTTTTTAGGAAAAAAAAAAACAGAGCTTAAAAAACAAAATATATGTTAACTGGATAATATGTATTTCTGTAGGCTGGGTGCAATGGCTCACGCCTGTAATCCCAGCACTTTGGGAGGCCGAGGAAGGTGGATCATGAGGTCAGGAGTTCGAGACCAGCCTGGCCAACATAGTGAAACCCCATCTCTACTAAAAATACAAAAATTAGCCAGGCATGGTGGCACGTGCCTGTAGCCCAGCTACTTGGGAGGTTGAGGCAGGAGAATCACTTCAACCTGGGAGGCGGAGGTTGCCGTGAGCTGAGGTAGTGCCACTGCATTCCAGCCTGGACAACAGAGTGAGACTCCATCTCAAAAAAGAAAAAGAAAAAAAATATATATATACATATATATATTTCAATAAAATATTTTACAAAAATATGATAAAAGTTTATTGTAATATAATCAGATTTCTGATTTTCACTCAATTTAAACCCAACCTAATGGCAAATGCAAACCCTAATAAGGCATTTTGTGGAACATCATACAGTTAACTCACCAACAGATACCTTGGTGTATAGTATGGTATAGTGGCTAAGTGAGTTGGCTTAAGAGCCAGACTGTCTGGTTCAAATCCTGACTCTATAACTCAACAGCTATTGACCTTAGGCAAATTACTCAAACTTTAATGCTTCACCTCCAAAATGGACATAACCAGTATCCACTTCATAGGGTTGTTTCAAGTTAATAAAAGGAAAGCACAGGCATGAAGTAATTGGCCAGTCAATGTCAGATACCATTGTTATTAGGACCGATTTTTTTTTTTATACAGGGTCTTACTCTATCACTCAGGCTGGAGTACAGTGGAGGGAACACAGCTCACTGCAGCCTCAACCTCCCAGGCTCAAGTAATCCTCCCACCTCAGCCTCCCAAGTAGCTGGGACCACAGGCACGTGTCACCACGCCCAGCTAATTTTTTGATTTTTTTGTACAGACAGGCCCTCAGGATGATGCTCAGGCTAGTCTTGAACTCCTGGGCTCAAGTGATCCTCCTGCCTCAGACTCCCAAAGTGTTGGGATTACAAGCGTGAGCCACTGCGCCCAGCTAGGACTAATATTAAAGAAAGAAGAAAACACATTACTCTTCAGAAAGGTTGACTGAGATGCTAAGTTAAAATACAGAGCCACAAATGAGCAACTGTAAAATCTGAATGTCTCTGTACTAGATGTTCCCCAAGTAAAAATACGTATGTTGGCATAAAAAGCCAACATTGTATTTTCGGAGACATAGATTTTCTTGTTTGCTTTTTAGCATGCATACGATGAGACAAACAGTACCTTTCGCTATATATGTGAAGGTGTAGGTATTGTTTAAGAGGTGGGTATTTATCAGAGAATTTCATGGGGTATTCCATGTGATCTCAAAGTGAACTTTTTCCACTCTAATGATTGAGATCATACCCCATAGCTCTTGAAGACAATCACATTTGATAACACACTGTGGATTTTCTGAAACTTCATTGGTATCGTAAGAAGTAAATATGTCAAATATATCGTACACAATAACGTTTTCACAAAAGAATGTATAACAGTTGTTCATAAATAATTGGTGGGATGGATTGTATACCATGATTATTCCCAGTGGTGCCTTGTTTTATATAAAAAGCATTAATAATAGCTAACATTTACTGAGTACTAAATATGTGTAAGGAATAGTTTATGTGCTTTACATGTATTTTCTCATTCTAACCCCATGACAGCTGTGAAGTAGATATCATTATTATTCAAATCTTTTTTGTTTGTTTGTTTGGTTAGTTTTTGTTGTTTGTTTTTGTTTTTGAGATGGAGTCTCGCTCTGTCGCCCAGGCTGGGGTGCAGGGGCGCAACCTCAGCTCACTGCAAGCTCCGCCTCCCGGGTTCACGCCATTCTCCTGCCTCAGCCTCCCAAGTAGCTGGGACAACAGTCGCCCACCACCATGCCTGGCTAATTTCTTTTTGTATTTTTAGTAGAGATGGGGTTTCACTGTATTAGCCAGGATGGCCTCGATCTCCTGACCTGGTGATCTGCCAGCCTCAGCCTCCCAAAGTGCTGGGATTACAGGCGTTAGCCACCGAGCCCAGCCTATTATTCTAATCTGTTGGAAGTTCTGAGAGGTTAAGAAGTTTGTTCACTATCACATATAAGTTGTAAAGATGATTCAAAACCATGCAGTCTGATCTCTTAACCCATATTATTAACCATCTCATTATGCCACAAAGACATAAACTATCAGGCATCTCTTCACTTTTCAAAAAAAGTTTACTCAAAGTTTTATCAGCACATCCTAATGCTTCTAAAATATGATATCACTTATAAAACCCTGTATCACACACATCTCAGGAGCATACAATTTGCATAAAATTATTTTTTATCAGTTCACTCTGGAAAAATAGCATATTACTCTCCTTTTAAAATAATTTTTACCTTCAAATCATCTGGTTAAATGCTTTTAAATCAATCTATACGTGATTACTCACTTAATGTACTTGAATTACAAATCTAAAATGCACAAAACCAAAAATATCATTTTCTATTTGGAGATGCATATATATGTAACAGTTTCCTGTGATAGAGGATACTGCAGGGTATAAATAAATTTCAAAAAGGCTATGATTAGTATCTTTAAAGAAAAAAGATAAAACACTGAATCCATGAAACAAAAACAGGCTCACATTAAAACAAGAATTCTTGGAGAACAGGAAATGTGCAGCAGCCAGCTTCCAAGATGGTCCCCAGTGATTGATTCCCGCCTCCTAATACTCAAAGCCTATGTTATCTCCTCCCACACTGTATCAGGGTTGGTCTTCTTGACCTATAGAATACAACAGAAGTGATGTTATTTGACTTCTGAGACTGAGATGTAAAAGACATTGTGTTTCTGCCTTGTTCTTTCTCAGGTCACTTAACCGTGAGAAGCTAGCTGCCATGTTATGAGGCTGCTCAAGCAGCTTTATAAAGAAGTCCACACAACAAAGAAGTGAGGCCTTCTGCCAATAGCCATGCAGATTACCATCTCAGATGCCCATCCTCCAGCCCCAGTCAAGCCTTCAGATGATTGCAGCTCTGGCCAATGTCTTGACTGCAACTTCACAGGAGTCCCTGAGCCAAACCACTCAACTAAGCTATTCCTGAATTCCTGGGCCACAGAGACTGACACAATACATATTTGAAGGCTTAAGTTGCTATATTTTGGGGTGATTTGTTACACAACAATAAATAACTAGTACAAAAGATTACTTTAAATTAAAAATACAACAGCAGGAGTTAAAAATACAATAGATGTTTAAAGATAAAGTTGAGGAAATCTCCCTTACTAGAATAAGTGGCAAAAAGGTAGAGAACAGGACAGATAAGATTAGAAACCTGGAAGACAAATCTACCATATCTAACCAGAAAGAGTTCCAGAAAGAGAGAACAGTAAAAAGGGGTGAGGAGGAAAAGGAGAATATTATGAAATAATTTTGTAAATGTTTCAGAAGACCGTGACTTTCTAGTTTGAAATAATCCACTTGGTCCTCAGCAAAATGAATGAAAAACCATGGAAATCAAAGCAAGTGATTGTGAAATTCCAGAATCTCTGAGTGTACAGAAAGATGCTGAAAACTTCCATGAAGAAAAAAACATGTCACATACAGAAAATCAAGGGTTAGACTGACACTTGACTTCTCACCATAACATTAGAAGATAAAAGACAATAAAGCAAAGCCTTCAAAATTCCAAAGACAGATGATTTCCAACCTATGTTTCTATATCCAGTCAAGCTATCAATCAAGTATGAGATTAAATAGTCATTTCATATATGTTACTCAAAAACTTTATCTCCATGAATTCTTTCACACGAAGCTACTGGAACACATGTAACTATTGAAATGAGGTATTAAATCAAGAAAGAGAACATATAGGAGGGGGAATTAGGGGAAAAAAAGAACACACAGTCTTGATGCAGAATTTAGAATTAAAGGTTTATATTAATTAACACATCAATTCATCAATCTCCTTTTAAAAGGGAAACTCCCGCCTGGCCTCCCCCAACCAGGGCCATTCACAGGTGGGTTGGCAACCTTTGGGTAAAAAGTGTGGCCTACATCTTCTATTTTTCCTAGTCAATTCCATTCTCACTCCCTAGCTGCTGTTTCAACTGCCCTGAGGTTGGGGTGAAGGGCATGAAAGAAGGGCAGGTATGTTCTCACTTAGATGGTACTATTGTACGTTGGCCTCACACTCTTTGAGCCTCCTGGACCACTTCTTTAAGGGTGTTTTTTTCTCAGAGGTGCTTTCATTAGGTCCTTGGTGATTCCCTGGCATGTGAAGCTTTTCTGCATAGCCTCCCGTTTTTTGTTTTTTGTTTTGAGACAGAGTCTCACTATGTTGCCCAGGCTAGAGTGCAGTGGCGTGGCCTTGGCTCACTGCGACCTCCACCTCCCCAGTTCAAGTGATTCTCCTGCTTCCGCCTCCCAAGTAGCTGGGATTACAGGCACCCGCCATCAAACCCGGCTAATTTTTTGTGTGTTTTTAGTAGAGACGGGGTTTCACTATGTTGGCCAGGTTGGTCTCAAACTCCTGGCCTCAGGTGATCCCTCCACCTCAGCCTCCCAAAGTGCTAGGATTACAGGCGTGAGCCACCGCACCCAGCCTCTGCATAGCTCCATTGACTTAAGCAATACATTTCTAGTCTGGCTGGTCACTTTGCTCTTTCCACAGCCTCAAGAATCTGGTGGTTCATCTCTAGTTTCTATCTCCTTAGTTCCCATTGCCTCTCTAAAGGGCTCAATTAGACAGAATCTAAGATAATTCCCAAGACATTTCACTCTCTCTTGCACAGTGCACATCTAGAAACATTCTTTACCAGAACAAACTCTGAGTAGCCAGGACATTCATAATTTAGAGACAATGTTTCCTCACTCCCACAATCAGAGAAACTAGTCAGCCGCAGGTGTGAGTCACACATGAGTCTTTGTGCCTTGTGGCTCAAGGACACGTCAAGCTCTCCAAATGGTCCTATTAACGTATTTCTCATTAGACTTGAGGTGAAGGGGGAGGTGCCCCACATTCGCCTCCCATATTTATTTATTATTTATTTATTTATTTATTTATTTATTTATTTATTTATTTATTTTTGAGACAAGGTCTCACTCTGTCACCCAGGCTGGAGTGCAGTGGCATGATCTCAGCTCACTGCAACCTCCACCTCCTGGGCTCAAGCGATCCTCCCACCTCAGCCTCCCAAGTAGCTGGGACCACAGGCTTGCACCACTATGGCTGGCTAATTTTTTGTTGTTGTTGTTGTATTTTTAGTAGAGATGGGGTTTCGCCATGTTGGCCAGGCTGGTCTTGAACTCCTGAGCTCAAGCGATCCATCCTCCTCAGCCTCCCAAAGTACTGAGATTACAGGCATGAGCCACCACGCCCGGACCTCCTCCCATCTTTAATAGTTGGGAATCAGCACAGCTTTGCCAAAGAAATTTATTTCACAAAATCCTTTTCCAATCTTCACTCTTTATACTTCTTTATCTTCCTTATGGGTAAGGGATTGTCTGAATCATGAAACCAGTATATATCTACACAGTTTTTTGGGGTTTTCTTTGGAAATTTCTTCTTGGTCTAATACTGACACTGGAATTTCATATCGATTGTATGTCAGTGCCTAAATCAAAACTTCAAATTCCACCACCTGTCACACTCACATGATCATCATAATGTAGCCTGAATTTTGATTTAACCAGGATTATGACACAATTATATTAACTATAGTGAGAGAAGAGGGTTGAGGGGGGGACAGTATCCAGTAGGGAAACAAGCTAAGTCTTCATCTTCCATAGAACACTGTCAATTAAAAATTTAAGAAATAACAGTATATTATTTACAAATACGGAAGCAAATGCCAGAAGAAATTGTTAAAAGAGTTGAAAGTGGTGGTCTCTGGGGAGTAGGGCTGGGGAACCAGCAGTTTTAAGATCAAACAGCCATAAGTGGTTTATAATAAAAAAGAGTGTTTGACTTCATAAACGAGGCTCACATGTTACTTTAATAAATAATTTAAATTAGCAAAAGGGAGACATCTGGATTTTTTTCCCCAAAACATATAATAAAAGGCAAATAGCAGTGGCATAAAGTATATAATAAAATGTATTTTTTTCAATTAAGGAAAGAATTTCCTGTGAGTGCAGTTGTAATCTGTATCACAGCAAGAATGATACATAGCTATGTCCCTGGAATGTCTAACAGGAAGAATGTTTACTTATATTACAAAGGAATGCTTTGGAATATGTTTTCCCCTCATACACCAAATAAAAATGTCTCTACCTAATATAAGAAGTTTTAAATGACCCCATGAACTGCAGTTAAGAAAGGAAATGCCACCAAGAAAATAGGGGACCAAGAGTGCTCAGATTTGAGCAAGACTGAGGTCTACACATCAGTCACCCTTCCCCATGTTCCCAGGTACAGCTGATGCCTGGAGTTCGTCAGCCTGGTAAATAGAACAATCCACCTCAGCTAATGCAGGGATAGTGTCTACAAAGAATTTAAAGAAAACTTTAATGCATACATTAGCAAAGGCTTAAGAACCCAATGTAAAGGGACCCTGTTATAACAAACTGACATCCTTACTAGACAAGGCCAGTGTGAACCTCACACAGAAAGGGATCAACAGAACCTGGCGGGAAAGGAATGCAGATCAAACCTCAAACCAGGCTACAAGTTCCTCCCAGTTCCAGGAGGCACTGGAAATGTATATGAGAATCGTGTATTTATCTTTAACATAGTTTACAGCAAAGAGTTTTCATGCTCAAGTAGATTTAATCAAACATAAATGCTTTTACTGTCCTTATAAAACCCCAAGTTAAAAAACCTCTCTGAGCAATTGGCATAGATCTGTGTCTGGATAGTTTTTGAGACAGGGTCTCACTCTGTCATCCAGGCTGGAGTGCAGCAGCATGATCTTGGCTCACTGTAGCCTCGACCTCCCAGGCTCAAGCGATCTTCCTACCTCAGCCTCCCAAGTAGCTGGGACCACAGGCGTGCGCCATCACACTCAGCTAATTTTTGTATTTTTTGTAGAGATCGGGTTCTGCCATGTTGGCCAGGCTGGCCTCAAACTCCTGGACTCAAGCAATCCACCCACCTTGGCCTCCCAAAAAGCTGGTATTATAGGTGTCAGCCATCACCCTGGCCCTAAATTCTGATTTATTCAATTATCCTGCAATTCTCCTTCAGTCTCAAGCAAGAAGGAAAGTCCTTTGTAACTTTTTACCTAAGGAATTTTTACAGAGCCCAAAACATATACATATGAAGTCAGGGGCTCTTCTGGTCTCTGCAAAACCAAAGTCCATAGAAGACATAACCCTGTGTGTCTTGCAGTAGAAGTAGAGAGGAAAATATTTTTAAGAATGGGAGAGAGAGAGCACAGATTCTGGAGACTGGACAGGGGACAGACGTTGGTGGGTTCTGAAAAGTATCAGGAGCCTATGCATAGCTTGATAGCCATGTCCAAATGACGAGGAAAGATCTCCAAGCGGAAGGCTTGTCATCCCCCTAAGGAGAACAGACCCCCAGACACAGGGACTCCCAGGATCCCCAAAGATTCTCCTACCCCGGGCATGGTCCAGAAGCAGCAAAGCACTTAAACCTTGCTGGTGAGACACAGGTCCATCAGCAGAAACCAGCATGAGCCGTCGCTCACTAAACAGAACGATCAGTGTTCCCCCAGAATCTTAGCATGGTCCCACGGGAAGAGCCAGTCATGACAGTGAATACTGTCCCTGTTCTGCAGGATGGGGGCTCAGAGTCAGATTTCTGTTGATTTGAGGAAAATAAGGAAATGCGATATTTTCTGCACAGCTGAGCTCGTGAACTGGAATTCATTCCCACAACAGACAGGTATCTGGAACAATGGATTCTACCTGACTTTCACAGGCACCGTTTTCATGTCCAGTGGAGATAAAAATCAGATAATTGACCCCTCTTACAGAATGATGTCTTAATAAATTTCAATGAATAAATGGAGTGGAGAAGTTTTTAAAAAGTAATTCCTCATTGGGAGCAGTTATCATCCCATTTCTGACTAGTTAGGTATATTGTTTGATGGATTAAGTTTAAAGTGTGGAAAATAGGTAAATCAGTCCAGTTTGTTAATTCTGATAGTTCAAATATGGAATGCATTTATAGTTACAGTATGTATCATGAGAACTTCAAGAGATTTAAGAATACTATGAAGGTATATTTGCTTCTAAGAAAGAACTCCCCCTAAGATCAAAAATCGATTCATGGTTCCAGCATACTTCTTATTGCTTAATAACATTATAGAGGAAAGGAAGGTATATTCTACATGAGCCAATTAGATTTTATTTCTTTTGATCCGTATAGAATCCTTAGTATAATTATTAAAATTCACATTGGAAAAAAAAATTTTAGCTAATTTTAAAAGACTCCATCAAATACTTTCAATTCATTAATTTAGTGGGGTTCCCAAACCTAATGTTTTCATGCCTTTGTAATTTCAAAAGCCATAGTTAGGGAGTTTATTCTTAACATAACAAGAAATTTAAGACATCGAGATTAGTGCAATAGACAAAGTATGAGATACTCTCTCTTGATCTAAAGCAAAATCAATCGGAACAGATTCCTTACCCAAACCAGAAGCATTAACAAAATGTAATCTGTTAATTGCAAACAAACTAAAATTATTAAATAACCTGAAGTTAAATTACATTTCTCATTCCAGAAATATAAATACTAGTAGGTTTTTTTTCCGCTTGGCATTACAAAGTTATATGGAAGGAAGGAAGAAGGAAAGGAAGGGAAGATGGGAGAAAGGGAGAAGAGGAAGGCAGGAGAAAAGGGAGAAAGGAAGGGGCTGCCTTGCCTTAACAATCTTACAATGCCTTTTGTTTTTTTTGTTCTCATTCTGTCACCCAGGCTGGAGTGCAGTGGTGTGATCTCAGCTCACTGCAACCTCCCCACCTCCAGGGTTCAAGCGATTCTCCTGCCTCAGCCTCCTGAGTAGCTGGGACTACAGGCACAGGCCACCACACCGCACTAATTTCTTTTGTATTTTAGTAGAGATGGGGTTTCACCGTGTTGCCTAGGCTGGTCTCGAACTCCTGAGCTCAGGCAATCTGCCCGCCTCAGCCTCCCAAAGTGCTAGGATTACAGGCATGAGCCACCTCGCCTGGCCTCTTTTTTTTTTTTTTTTTTTTTTTTTTTAACGGAGTCTCACTCTGTCACCTAGGCTGGAGGGCAGTGGCATGATCTCGGCTCACTGCAACCTCCGCCTCCTGGGTTCAAGCAATTCTCCTACTTCAGCCTCCCAAGTAGCTGGGATTACAGGTGCCCGCCCCACGCCCGGCTAATTTTTGTTTGTTTGTTTGTTTGTTTGTATTTTTTTTTAGTAGAGATGGGGTTTCACCATATTGGCCAGGTTGGTCTTGAACTCCTGACCTCAGGTGATCTGCCTGCCTCGGCCTCCCAAAGTGCAAGGATTACAGGCCTCAGCCACCGTGCCCAGCCCAATCTTACAATCTTATTGAGAGAAAAAAATACAACTGAAAAAAATTAATAAGCAAAGCAACACAATCACATGCTAGATTAGATGCCACAATCAGCTGATACATCATTTCACTAAACAGCCTGCATATTAAACAACCGTTCCGTTTTGTGTATGTGGAATATTTTATTATCAATTATTAGGTGCCCAATGTATGTCAATATCAAATAAAGGGCAAGGAACCTGGAAAAGAATTGAGGACAGATGGAATCATTCATCAAGAAGTGGTTCTCTATTGATTTCACTGAAACCCAAGGTTACCTTTAATATTGTTATGTCTCCATCTTTTAGAGAGATTTTTGGTTTTAATTTTCTTCTTCTCCTTTCCATTTCAGTCTTCTCCAGCAACAAAAGCCAGTAGGCCCAGGTAGTAGCACAAAGTGTTCAGGGTAAAAAAGACCTGAGTTAGAGTCTTACCTGGACCTTTCCATAACAACGTTTTGTTTGTTTATTTGTTTTGCTTTGTTTTTTTTAGAGCTGGAGTCTGGCTCTGTTGCCCAGGCTGAAGTGCAGTGGTGTGATCTCAGATCACTGCAACCTCCACCTCCCAGGCTCAAGTGATTCTCCTGCCTCAGCCTCCCAAGTAGCTGGGACTACAGGCGTGTGCCACCATGTCCAACTAATTTTTGTATTTTTAGTAGAGACAATGTTTCACCATGTTGGCCAGGCTGGTCTCGAACTCCTGACCTCAAGTGATCTGCCCTCCTCGGCCTCTCTAAGTGCTGAGATGACAGACGTGAGCCACCGTGCCCAGCCCCATGACAACTTTTGAGAGAAATTTACTAATTTGAGTCTAGATTGGTGTATTTCTGGATACGGTGTCTTAAAACCAGTTAAGCATGCCATACTGAAAACAAAATTAAAGTTACACTTTATTAAAAATCATTGTTTTTTGTGTCTGCCATACATAGTCTTGGGCTAAGGAGTTAACTCCGTTTGTCTCCACTTCTTCACAGGTAAAAGGAGACATTAGTGCTAAGCTCACAGAGTGAGGATGAGAAAAGCGCAGTTAAGAAGCTAGCATCTGGAACAGACAAGGCGTGGAATCAGATCAGTGGTGGCCGTTATTCTTTCCCATAAAAAAGTGAGGATGTCTATTGTAGAGCAGTGTTTCTCAAGCTTTAAAGCGTATATGAAACATCTAGGATATTGTTACAATGCAGATTCTGATTCAGTAGGTCTGGGGTAAGGCCTGAGATTTGTCATTTCTAATGTTGTTGATTCAGACACCACTCTAAGCAGTACAATTTCGGAGATAAAAAGAACATGGAAATGTCAGAGGAGAAAGATTAACGTGAAGGGAAATAAACCAACATTTATAGAATGCCTACTGTATGCCTAGAAATATATACATAAAATATACATAAACACTTTTTTTTTTTTTTTTTGAGATGGAGTCTCACTCTGCCACCAGGCTGGAGTGCAATGGCGCAATGTTGGCTCACTGCAACTTCTGCCTCCCAGGTTCAAGCGATTCTCCTGCCTCAGCCTCCTGAGTAGCTGGGACTACAGGCGCCTGTCACCATGCCCAGCTAATTTTTGTATTTTTAGTAGAGACGGGGTTTCACCATGTTGGCCAAGATGGCCTCGATCTCCTGACCTCCTGATCCGCCCGCCTTGGCCTCCCAAAGTGCTGGGATTACAGGTGTGAGCCACCGTGCCCGGCCAAACACACCTTTTTTCCCCCTCATTTTATCCTTAAAATAACTCTGAGAAGTAGGGTTTATTTCCTTTATATACAGCAGGAAATTGAGAATCAGGTGCCCTTGTTCATAAGAGATTGCTATAATCCAAAGTTCACATTCACTGCACACCTTGAGAAAGGACACTGAGGTAGCCACATCAACGGAAGTAGATAAGGACAAAGGAGTCTAAGTGCGAGAGAGTGACCACGTAGGGGCGGGCACCAGGGGCCTGCGGAGGGAGAAGTGAAGGGGCTCAGGGATGCGTGAGTACAGGAACGGACTGCAGGGGTAATAAACCGCCTTGTTCCCAAACGCCTTTAAAAGCCAGGCTAGTTGCCGTTCTAAGTCCATCACCTTTTGGGTCAAATCATCATTGACAACGCACTGATGCAACTGTCGCCTTCCATGCAATAAAAAAAATGGATCTGGTGCTACTTCACCTCTCCAAGTTGTTTCTATGGTTACCAAGATAAGGAAGAAAATGCAAAGAGGTCAAAAAGAGAACAAAAGTCCTGCAATTCTGTAGGGACTTTCTCCGCCACTGAGCTTGGCAAAGAGTTCATATCTAATCTAAGTTCAACACTGCACTAGCAAACAAGAGCTGGAGCCAAAGTTATGAGTTCATGATTATAATGAGGTCTAACAGGTGAATGTCACATGGCAAGAGAAAAATGCTGCCATAAGACAATTGCAGTGTTTAGGTTCCATAAACTGTGAACTTCATTTAGGGCAGACACAAAAAACATAATTGTTTTTAACAAGCTACAACCTTAATTTTGTTTTCAGAATGACATATGTAACTGTTTTTATGGCTCCATATTTAGAAATATACCAATTTGGGCCCAAGTTAATACATTTCTTCAAAAGTTGTCATGAAACCTGTAATTGTTAAATAGAAAGAATTCATGTAATCTGTTTCATTAAACTACCAACTCCATTCCTTGAGGATACAGAGCCTGGGATTAATTGGATTGAATAATTCCTCCTCCTTGCCTGCATGAGTAGGACCTAGCTGTGATAATCCCTCATAGTAATCATGATCAAAGAATCAAAATAACACCAGGAAAATGGTAAAGGAACGTGATCAAGAGAAAAGCAGGACCAACTTCATGACAAGGGAAACCAACACGTATTTAGTCTACATAAATGAATTTTATTTAATCTTCACAAACTTGTGAGCTAGGTAATGATATGCCAGTTTTACAGATACTAGGACTGAGGTTCAGATAAGTTAATTAACTTGTTCCTGATCATACTACTAGTAAGTGGCAGTTAGGATTTAAAAAGACAAGGGCAATGCTCTTACAAAGCATATAGGGATTGTAATACAAAGTGTTGGCCGGGCACGGTGGCTCACGCCTGTAATCCCAGCACTTCGGGAGGCCGGGGAGGGTGGATCACGAGGTCAGGAGTTCAAGACCAGCCTGGCCAAGGTGGCGAAACCCTGTCTTTACTAAAAATACAAAAATTAGCCAGGTGTGGTGGTAGGCACCTGTAATCCTAGCTACTCAGAAGGCTGAGGCAGAGAATTGCTTGAACCCGGGAGGCAGAGGTTGCAGTGAGCCGAGATCACGCCACTGCACTCCGGCCTATAGTCCCAGTCCCTGTAGCTGGGACTACAGGAGCATGCCACTTCACGCAGTTTATTTTCTACTATCTTATCAATAGAGCGAGACTCCATCCAAAAAAAAAAAAAAACAGAAATGTTACATGGGACTTTGGAAAGTATTAACAGCAATCTCTCCTGTGTACCATCAACTCGCATCACTGGCCTCCTTTCTGAGGCACTGGTTCTTAGTTCCAGGCCATCCTGACTAGAATGACTCCAACTGTGAAATCCATCACAGGCCAGGCGCGGTGGCTCACGCCTGTAATCCCAGCACTTTGGGAGGCTGAGGCGGGCGGATCACGAGGTCAGGAGATCGAGACCATCCTGGCTAACACGGGGAAACCCCGTCTTTACAGAAAACATAAAAAAAAAAAAATTAGCCGGGCGTGGTGGCGGGCGCCTGTAGTCCCAGCTACTCTGGAGGCTGAGGCAGGAGAATGGCGTGAACCCAGGAGGCGGAGCTTGCAGTGAGCCGAGATCGCGCCACTGCGCTCCAGCCTGGGAGACAGAGCGAGACTCCGTCTCAAAAAACAAAAAAAAAAAAAAAAAAAAAAAAGGAAATCCATCACAATTGGCTGAAACCTTTACCCCTCCCCAGCCTCAGCTTCACTCCTACAGGCTTCTCCCATGGGGATGATGCTCATCTGCTCCCCTGAGCTCCCCATGATGAAAAGCAAGCCCTGGATGCCCACATGAGCACCAAGGAGCCACTATTTCTATCTAAAATTTTAGACTGAAATTTCACTAAAAATGACCGGGTTCATAGCTGGCCCTTGGTGCCTGGTTGTACCCCCTTCCTGAATCTCTGTGGGATTGGAGCCCAGCTCTGAACCCCAGGAAGCTGGCTGGGGACCGCACTGTCTCCTGGGTACTGCTGGCCCCGTTTCCAGAGCTGGACTATGGTATGTCTCATCCCATCATGAACACACCTCTCTGGTTTACAATCTAGTCCCCACAGCATCCAAAACTACTGCTGCCTGCTCTGTCCCTTCAAATTGGATTCCATTCGGCCACTGACCCCTGCATAAAACAAACGGTCTTTGTTGTATGCCATCACCCTCCAACCTCAGCAAGGTATTGTCGAGCTGTTATGTTTTCCAAACCACCACAGGTACACCCTAGTCAGCATATCATTAGCCAGTAAGTCTCAAATCTGTCTCAGCTCAAAATTGCTCCTGTTTTCTTCCAGAAATGCCATTCATCCAGAATGCCATTCTGTGAGAGAAGAAGGGAGAGTGAGGGGCAGAAATCTTTTAATGAAAATGAAATGTACCTACCCTAGCCTCTCTTGATTTAAACTTTTTATATGTAAATTTTACATGTATAATTAGAACAGTTTTAAATAATAGAATTATGCCTAAAATCTGATAATTATTTTCTACTCTCTTTCTCTTTAAAAAAATCTTTTTTTTTTTTTTTTTTTTTTTTTTGAGATGGGGTCTCGCTCTGTCACCCAGGCTGGAGTGCAGTGGCACGATCTTGGCTCATTGCAACCTCTGCCTCCTGGGTTCAAGCAATTTTCCTGCCTCAGCCTCCCAAGTAGCTGGGATTACAGGCACATGCCACCACGCCCAACCAAAAAAAAATCCTTTTTAGAGATGGAGTCTCACTATGTTTCCCAGGCTGGAGTGCAGTGGTTATTCACAGGTGTTATCATTGTGCACTGCAGCCTTGAACTCCTGGCCTCAAGAGATCCTCCTGCCTCAGCCTCCCAAGTAGCTGGGACTACAGGAGCATGCCACCTCACCCAGCTTATTTTCTACTGTCTTATCAGTAGATGTAAACAAAGTATTAGTATTCTAATGTGGAGATTTCAATTGGCTCAAGAAAGTTTCCAGGAGACACAAATTGGCAAGAAGTCCAATTTGAGAGCAGTCTAGTTCCAGCATGCATTCTCTTTATGATTGAGCAAGTAGGCATAAAGGAGCTGCTTGTAAGGTAACAGTGGCTTCTTTTCCTTCCTTCCTTCCCTCCTTCCTTCTTTCCTTCCTTGTTTCTTTCCTTCCTTCCATCCTTATTTCCTTCCCTCCCTCCTTCCTTCCTTTCATCCTTATTTCCTTCCCTCCCTCCTTCCTTCCTTTCATATAACCACATTTCTCTTCCGGAAAGATCGAACTCTTAAATATGACCTCTCAGGCTTGGCTCCCAAGTAAAACCAATTCAGAGAAGGGATAAAATAGAAGAGCTTGGAGTTAATTATTTTGAGAAATCCTTAATTGCATTAGTGTGTGAAAAACCAATAGAGAAATGAATCACTATCAGAGATCTGCCACTGGAGTCAGAAGCAGACATTATTGATCTAAGATAAGCGAAAAAGGGTTGTGACTCCATTTTGGACACGCATATTTTTATTCAGCATTAATTTTGCTCAGAAACCCACCCTTCAAAGACTCTGCAAAGGCCAGAAAGAGAAAAAATGAAATTGCCTAGGAAAACATGAGTTCCTCATAGATATTAAAGTAGAATCCTTATCAATTTTACAACTAGGTAGAGAAGGCCAAGCAGCAAGAAAAAAAAAAAAAGTAGAATAGGTATTTCTTTTGTGTTGGTGCAACGTGGAGCTTGCCTTAGGTGAAGGTCCGAAAGAAAAAAATCTGTCTGTGATACCCTACCAAAATATATTTTTGTATTAAAACTAGTTTCTGGATGTCTTCCTGACTCTCCTACAGATTTAGACACCACTTCTTTGTACCCATTGCGCTTGGTACATGCCTCCAATATAGCAGGTATTATAGTGTCACGGTTTTAGCTTGTCTGGCTCCCAACTAAGCTACATGGGGTCAGGGACTATTTGCTGTGCCTAGCATAGGGTCTGCCAATGTGTACTAAATTCATAAATAATTTTATTTCATGAAATAGTAGAAGGTCTGCCTTTCTATCAATGGAATTATATTGTAAAAAATGGTGATGACAAAACTTAAGCCTATTTCCTTTAGCCTTTTGTCCAAGACAAAATCAAACATAGCAGGTAGGACCATCTGCTCATGATTTTTGGAAGCACGTTACTTCAGGAATTGATTCATAGGAAGAAAAGACCACTTTCCTATAAAGTTATTATATGTCAGTGTTGCAAAATTTAGTGGTAATTTATATGACCTTCTTTCTATTTGGGTTTCTTGAAATACATTTGTATTGGTCAGAGTTCTCCAGAAAAATAAAACCATAAAATATACTTCTATATCTCTAGAAAGGGATATATTACAAGGAATTGGCTCATATGATTATGGAGACTGGCAAGTCCAAATCTGCAGGCAGATTTGCAAGC
Source organism: Homo sapiens (assembly GCF_000001405.40). Taxonomy (NCBI): domain Eukaryota; kingdom Metazoa; phylum Chordata; class Mammalia; order Primates; family Hominidae; genus Homo; species Homo sapiens. The sequence continues at coordinate 182,765,357 of NC_000003.12, forward strand.
CCACCAGGCAGAGAGGCAAGAGAAGACCCAATGATGTAAATGAAGTCTAAAGGTTGTCTTCTGGAGAATTCCCTCTTACAAGGGTCTTTAGCTGGTCTTTACATTCTAGTCTGGTCTTCAACTGATTGGACAAGACCCACCCACATTATGGAGGGCAACCTATTTTACTCTACCAATTAAAATGTTAATCTCATTATTCTGGGTGGTCTTTGAGAGTGTTTTTGGATGTTTGACCAGTTGACACATAAAATTAACTATCACAACATTCATGTGTCAATGTTTGAATAGGCAAGGTTTGCTGTGTATTGCTGTGCAGAATGAAGGTTCAGAGTAAATCTCAATTGAAGAGGATACTGCTAGTTTTGTACAGTTGTAACTAACATGAGCTTTTGCTTCAGAGAGACTGGGGTCTAGGATCTACTATGCCAATCTACTATCTGTGTGACACTGAGCGAGTTATCTAAAGTTTGTACACTTCAGTTTCCTCTTTTGTACTTGAGGAGTAATAATAGTACATAGTACTTATTCATGGAGTTCTGAGGATTAACTGCACCTAAAGCACTTAGCTAAGTACTGAGCACATACACAGAAGTCAATAAATGTTAATTGTTGTTATAGTTGTTTCTGTATGATTTTTTCCTCTGACTAAATGCTCTATTCTTCAAGGCAGATTTTTTTTAGCCTCTCTCAATCACACTCTATGCTTAATGCATTATGTGCATTTGATAAGTTTAGCTGCTCTCAGATTCTATGACTCTACTTTTATGATAAGAATACCAGGGTCAGGGGTATATTTTAATAGCAAAATTTGTCCTTGTGTGTATGTGTGTTTTAAAAAGAAACCAATGTAAAAAATAGCTCATATGCTACTGAAGGGTGGAGGACGCTAGACAAAATCCATGAAGCAGAAATAAGCTCTAAATAGGCCCTGGTGAAGAAAGATAAGGACCTTCAAAGGAATAAATAAATTCACAAATGGAAAGATCTGGAGCACACTAACAGCATTCTGCAGGCTTTAGTCACATAACAAAATCGATGTGAGTTCTATTCAAGGAAACTCCAGATTATTTTGAAGCAAACCTAAGATACATCATTTCTTCTATATATATTTTGATATCCATCTATAAAAAGGACTTCCCTTTTCAAATAGCTACAGTGCCTCCACTCCCCTAAGAATAAAGGAAAATTATTTAATCTTACTAAATATCAAGTGCTCACATTTTCCTTATTGTAACTATACAATCATTTAAAAAAAAAGTTTGTCCATATCTAGATACAAATAAGTCTGCCTGTTATTGGTAGATATATACCTTGAAGTTTGTTTGTTTTTTTAATCCATAAATTTCTCCCTAAATTTTTCTCTTTTTTTCTTGTAATTTTACTGTTGAAGAAAAAGGGTCATAGTCTTACAGAAGTCTCCACTGTCTGAATTTGCTGACAATATCTATGGAGACATTAAACATGTTCTTGTAGCCTGAGTATTTTCTATAAATTAAAATCTTAAACTTGATAATTTTTAGATTTTGTTTTTGGTGAAGGACAAGATTACCTCATAGGTTTTAGGTGCTTCCATCAGAAGCTACATAGTGTCTGGTTGTCTCCCTGGGATGCTAGCAGCCATATTGAGTAATGTCTACCTAGTGAGATCCCGATTCTGCTATTCCTTCTTTATTTGTTGGCTATGATGCTGTAAAACATAAACTTTCTCTCATCAACCATTAGGTTACTTTGAGGCACAGGTCATATTAGGATCAATGGCTGTTGAAACCATACCCTTATTAAAAGTTTGGTAACTAAATTTTATAAATTTGACATTACCTTGTAGAATCAGTTACTCACTGTCAGCTGCTGAATTGTGTCTATAGTCTCTATAATGCACGTTTGTATTATGAAATAGGTACTCACTTTCTTTTTTTTTTCTTTTTCTTTTTTTTGGGGTGGGGGGTGGGGACAGAGTTTCGCTCTTGTCACCCAGGCTGGAGTACAATAGCGCAATCTCGGCTCACTGCAACATCTGTCTCCCAGGTTCAAGTAATTTTCCTGCCTCAGCCTCTGAAGTAACTGAAATTATACACACCCGCCACTATTCCCAGCTAATTTCTGTATTTTTTTTAGTAGATACAGGATTTCGCCATCTTGGCCAGGCTGGTCTCGAACTCCTGACCTCAGGTGATCCACCCACCTTGGCCTCCCAAAGTGTTGGGATTACAGGCATGAGCCACCGCGCCCGGCCTATGAAATAGGTACTCATTTTCAGTTAAGGTTGATGAAGGAGTGTGGTAGATGATCAATCAAAATTTTAATCTGTAGCCTAATATTAATTATTTAGTTTACACCAATGTCTTATTATTATGGATAAAGATGTAATGGATGGGGGTATTCATGTATCTATGTTTTCATTTATTTTGAATTATTTCAAAGTAGAATTACTAGAACAAAGGACTTTACTGTATTTATGGCTATTGTTCCTTATCGCCATATTTCTTTTCAAAAGGAATGTATTAATTTACAGTGCCATCAAGGATGAGTACATGGCCAGCTCCAGTGGCTCACACCTGTAATCCCAGCACTTTGGGAGGCTGAGGCGGGTGGATTGCTTGAGCCCAGGTGTTCAAGACCAGCCTGGCAACATGGCAAAACCCCATCTCTACAAAAAATATAAAAATTTGCCCCGCGTGGGGGCATGTGCCTGTAGTCCCAACTGTTCTGGGAGGGTGAGGTGGGAAGATCACTTCATTCTGGGAGGCGTAGGTTGTAGTGAGCCTAGAGGGTGCCACTGCACTCCAGCCTGGGAGACAGAGTAAGACTCTGTCTCAAAAAAAAAAAAAAAAAAGTACAGAATTTCACTTTAACATTGATTGACAATTGTTACAATAAAAAGCTCTACGTTTTTGTTTTTTCGTAGATATAAAATGATATTTCAAAGTTGTTTTCGCTCACATTCCTTTCATTACTGTCAAGAATGAACGTTTTTCCATGTATTTATTTACTAATTATATTTCCTCTTGGATAGAAGAGATATTTTTCTTAAACTATGAAAAAGCATGTCTGAACAAGGTAACTATATAATGGGAGCAGGACATTTCAGAATCTGGTAAATTTTCAGTTTTCATGAATTGGCTTAGTAGGAAGGTATATAAATATTTCTCATTTTAATTTACTTTTTTGTAAAGTTGGACTGAATATACTTTAGCCACAACAGAAGGTTATTCAGAAAATTCCATGAGTGTGCATACCTTAAATTCTTGTGAAAAAGGATGTACCCAATAATTACATTAGGTATTTTTAAAAGCATAACTTTAAAATACATATTTAGCATTACAGACTAAAAATTAACCCAAGATTATCCCTGAATCTTCTTACATTTAATTATATCCCCGAATCTGTGTCTTAGTCTGTTTGGGCTGCTGTAGCAAGATATATTAAACTGGATTGCTTATAAACAACAGAAATGTTTCTTGCATTTCTACAGGCTGGGAAGTCCAAGATCAAGGTGCTAGCAGATTCCCTATCTGGTGAGCATTCACTCTTTCCTTCATAGATTGTGCCTTCTTGCTGCATCCTTACGTGGTGGAAGGGCAAACAAGCTTCCTCAGGCCTCTTTTATAAAATGCTATAAAATCCTATTTCAAAGTTGTTTCTGCTTACATTCCTTTGATTACCATCAAGAATGAACATTTTTCCATGTATTTATTTACTAATTATATTTCCTCTTGGGTAGAAGAGATATTTTTGCTGAACAAGATAACTATAATGGGAGCAGGACATTTCAGAATCTGGTGAATTCTCAGTTTTCATGAATTGGCTTAGTAGGAAGACATATAAGTATTTCTCATTTTAATTTCCTTTTCTGTAAAGTTGAACTGAATATACTTTAACCACAATCCCATTCACTTGGTCATGACTTAATCACCTCCACAAAGGCCCCACCTCTTGATAGTATCACATTGGATGTTATGTTTCAACAAATACATTTTGGAGAGAGACAAACATTCAGACCATAGCATTTGGAATTGGGAATAACACAACTATTAGCCTCTATACATTCCTATTTAGGGGGATAAATGGAGTGAATGTAAATTAAACTTTTTTTTCTTACAAAAAAGCAGTTCTAAAAATCAATTTATTTAGCAAACATTAATTATCTCATTGGATTTCTTGAGAATGGGAATGGGGGTAATGTTTTGGGGAGGAAGCTTCCCTGGGGGTTGGAATACATGATGACATTCCCTCTCATTTTGTTTTTCTGTCAGAAAACCCAGTGGATTTGACAACCAAACCTGTGGCCAATCCAGATATGGGTCAATGGATCCTCCTCCGGGGTGGGGGGTGATTTTCCAAGCCTAACCAGGGCTCTGGCAGAATCCAGAGGGGCATACGAGAGAAGAAGGGGGTTCTGGGGAAGACATTCACAGAACAGCTAGCCAGACCTGACCCCAGTCTAGACCTTGCATTGGAGTCAGAGTTCTCATTGGCAAGGAACCAAATTGACTTTAGCTTGTTTAAAACTGACAGAATTCTTGCTTATCTATTTGGAACAATTTCTTGGCTTTAGCAATTTTCTTGACCCATAGAGACACAATCACAGTGATAGAAAGCCCAGGTGACAGTGATTTTACAGAACATTTTCTATTTCCCACAGATTTTATTTCTAGGAAATTTAATCAGTTATTTCCCTAGGATATAGTGGACTTTTCTTCTTTTAATTGGCACCTTAGTGCCCAATTAAACAAGCATGCTAATTAAAACAGTAATAATAATACAGAATTAACTTTTGACGCTAGTGAATTTATCAAAGGCTTAGGTATTAGGAAACTCTAATATTAAACCTAGCCTGTTATTGACACACTGTATTTTCATTATCCCCATTTCTTCTATTTTTGAAACTAATATACAATTGAAAATTAAATCAAAATAATTAATAGCTAAACATTCAACAATTGCTCTTATAAATAGTACATAAGGGGAAAAATAGTACACGGAAGTTCAGGTGCAGTGGCTCATATCTGTAATCCCAGCACTTTGAGAGGCCAAGGTGGGCAGATCACTTGAGTGCAGGAGTTGGAGACCAGCCTGGGCAACATGGCAAAGCCCCATCTCCACAAAAAATGCAAAAATTAGCCAGGTGTGGTGATGTATGTCTGTAGTCCCAGCTACTAGGAAGGCTGAGGTGGGAGGATCACTTGAGCCCAGGAGGTCAAGGCTGCAGTGGAGCTGAGATCTTACCACTGCACTCCAGCCTGGACAAAAAAGTGAGAGCTTGTCTCAAAACAAAACAAAACAAAACATATTTCCGTTTTCATATGTCATTCTGTTGGAAGGTTTGCTAAACTGAACATTCTACATCTGATCAACTTCAAAATATTGATGAGACAAGTTTGCTAATCCTGTGATGTTGGAACAGACTCTATAATAAACAGTCATTACTCCAAGTCTTTCCCAGATAATCCCTTCTGTATTGATGAATGTCAAGGAAACCTTTTCTATTCTAAAATTTTCACACCTAGTGAACAGGGTGTGCTCCAGGTCACACTTCAGCTGCAGAATGTATTATAAACATGATGGGTATGTATGGGATGACATCCGGAAGTTCACTGTTTCCTTCAGGCTGTGTAGACCTCACTTATTCCATCTCCATTGAACTATGTGGTAGCTAATACAGCTCCTAGCACATAGAAGATGTTCATAAATATGTGTTACAATGATGGTTGCACTTGCACAAATATGATGATCTCTCACAAGAGGGATGGAGGCATCTTGCCATACTGAGAGTATCTTCTATCTTCCTGACTACTAATACATGACTGGATCATTTCATCTCAGAATGTGGCCCTAAAGAAAACAGAACTTCTCACTATTTGGTTGACTTCAAAAAATGATACATAATATTTTATATATTTATGGGGGTACATGTGATATTTTGTTACATGAATGAATGAGTAATGATCAAGTCAGGGTATTTGAGGTATCCATAACCTAGAGTATTTATTATTTTTATGTGTAAGAACATTTCAAATCCTCTCTTCTAGCTACTTTGAAATACACAATACGTTGTTGCTAGCTATGGTCATTCTACTCCACTATGGAACATTAGAACTCATGCCTTGGAAAAAATAATAATAATAAATCCTGAATCAAGGACCAGATTAGGAAAAAAAAACTTATACCTTCTATCTAACTATCTATTTGTATCCATTTACCAACTCTGTTCATCCCCCCTCCCACCCACACACCCTTCCAAGCCTCTGATATCTATTACTCTACTCTCTACCGCCATGAGATCAACTTTTCTCGCTTCCACGTATAAATGAGAACGTGTGATATGTGTCTTTATGTGCCTGCTTATTTCACTTAACAAAATGACCTTCAGTTATATCCATGTTGCTGCTGATTACATGATTTCATTATTTTTATGGCCAAATAGTATTCCACTGTATATGTATACATTTTTTAATCCATCCGTCTGCTGATGAACCCTTAGATTGAATTCTTATCTTTGCTATTGTGAATAGTGCTGCAATAAACATGCAAGTGCAGATATTCCTTTGATATACTGATTTCTTTTCCTTTGGATAAAACCCAGTAGTGGGATTGTTGGATCATATGGTAATCATATTTTTAGTTTTTTGAGACATCTCCAGACTATTTTCCCTAGTGGCTCTCCTAACTTACATGCCCACCAACCACATATAAGAGTTTCCTTTTCTCCATATCCTTGCCAGCATCTGTTATTTTTTTGTCTTTTTATTAATAGCCATTCTAACTGGGGTAAGATGGCATCTCATTGTGGGTTTGATTTGCATTTTCCTGCTAATATAAAAAAAGTTGAACACTTTTTTCATATTCCTGTTGGCCATTTGTGTAGCTTCTTCTGATACCCACTTTCAAAAATTTTTCAACTTTTAGGTTCAGGAGGTACATGTGCATATTTGCTACATGGGTATAGTGTATGATGCTGAGGTTTGGGGCATACATAATCCCATCACCCAGGTAGTGAGCATGGTACCCAGCAGGTGATTTTTCAACCCTCATCCCCTCCCTCTCTCTCCCATCTACTAGTCCCCAGTGTCTGTTGCTCCCAACTTTATGTCCATTTGTATTCAATGTTTAGCTCCCTCTTTTAAGTGAGAACATGTAGTATTTGGTTTTCTGACCCTGCATTAATTTGCTTAAGATAATGATTTGACCACTTTTTTTTTGTTGTTGTTTTTTGTTTTTTTTTTTTGAGACAGAGTCTTGCTCTGTCACCAGGCTGGAGCGCAGTGGCGCAAACTTGGCTCACTGCAACCTCCACCTTCTGGGTTCAAGCAGTTCTCCTACCTCAGCCTCCCGAGTAGCTAGGACCACAGGAGTGCGCCACCATGCCCTGCTAATTTTTGTATTTTTAGTAGAGACGGGGTTTCACCATGTTGATTTGCCTACTTTTTAATGAAATTATTTATTTTTTACTGTTGTTGTTTGAGTTCCTTGTATATTCTGGGTATTAGTCCCTTATTGGATGAATAGTTTGCAAGTATTTTCTCCCATGCAACAGGTTGTCTCTTCACTCTGCTGATTGTTTCCTTTGCTGTGCAGAAGCTTTTTAGTTTTATGTAGTCCCATTTGTCTGTTTTTGTTTTTGTTGCCTGAGCTTTTGAGATCTTAATAATAAAATCCTTGCCTAGGCCAGAGGTGTACAATCTTTTGGCTTCCCTGGGCCACATTAAAAGAATTGTCTTGGGCCACACATAAAATACACTAACACTAACAATAGCTGATAAGCTAAAAAAAAAAATCACAAAAAAATCTCATAATCTTTTAAGAAAGCTTCTGAATTTGTGTTAGGCCACATTCAAAGCTGTCCTGGGCTGCATGTGACCTGCGGACCGTGAGTTGGACAAGTTTGGCCTTACACCATTGTCCTGAAGTGTTTTTCCCCTGTCTTCTTCTAGTAGTTTTATGGTTTTGAGTATTATGTTTAAGTCTTTAATCCATCTTGAGTTGATGTTTGTATATGGTGAGAGATAGGGGCCCAGTTTCATTTTTCTGCACACGGCTACCCAATTTTCCCCGCACCATTTATTGAAGAGAGTTTCTTTTCCCCCGTGTATGTTCTAGGGGAAGATCTGTTGGCTGTAAATATCTGGATTTATTTCTGGGTTCCCTATTCTATTTTATTGGTCCATCTCTTGGTTTTTATACCAATGCTCTGCCATTTTGGTTGCTATAAGCTTGTAATATATTTTGAACTCAGGTAGTATGATGTCTCTGCTTTGTTCTTTTTGCTTAGTATTGTTTAGCTGTTTGGCCGCTTTTTGGTTCCTTGCATATTTTAGGATTGTTTTTTCTATTTCTGTGAAAAATGACATTGGCATTTTGTTAGTGATTGTGTTGAATCTACAGATTGCTTTGCATAGTATGGTCATTTAAACAGTGTTAAGTCTTCTGATCCATGAGCATGGAAATGTCTTTCCATTTGTTTGTATCTTCTTCAATTTCTAAATCAGTGTTTTGTAGTTTTCTTTGTAGAGGCTTTCATCTCCTTGGTTAAATTTATTCCTGGGTGATTTTTTGTACCAATTGTAAATGGGATTGTCTTCTTTTTCAGCCAGTTTATTATTGGTGTATATAAATGGTACTGGTTTTTGTATTTTGATTTTGTATCTGCAATTTGCTAAATTTGCTTATCAGATTTAAGAGTTTTTGGTGGAATCTTTAGGCTTTTCTAGGAAAAAGATCACATCATTAGTAAAGAGGGACAATTTGACTACTTCTTTTCCTATTTGGATGCCTTTTATTTCTTTCTCTTGCCTGATTGCTCTGGCTAGGACTTCCAGTATTTTGTTGAATAGGAGTGGTGAAAGTGGACATCCTTAACTTTTTCCAGTTCTTAGCGAGAAAAGGTTTTCAGCTTTTCCTCATTCAGTTTGGTGTTAGCTGTGGGTTCGTCATATATGGCCTTTATTATGTTAAAGTATGTTCCTTCTACATGATGTTTGTGAGAGTCTTTATTATGAAGGATGTTGAATTTTATCAAATGCCTTTTCTGCATCTATTGAGATAATCATTTTTTTGTGTCCTTTATTCTGTTGATGTGATATATCATGTTTATCGATTTGCAAATGTTGAACCACCCTTGCATCCCTGGTATAAATCCCACTTTATCATGGTTGTTTGTTTGTTTGTTTGTTTGTTTTTAATAGTTTGAGGAGAATTGGTGTTCTTCTTTGAAAGTTTGGTAGAATTTGGCAGTGAAGCCATCTGGTCCTGGACTTTTCTTTGTCGGGAGGATTTTAGTTATTGATTCAATCTCATTATTCATTATTAGTCTGTTTGGGTTTTCTATTGCTTTCTGATTCAATTGTGGTGGGTTATATGTGACCAAGAATTTATCCATTTCCTCTGGGTTTTCCAATGTATTCCTATATAGTTGCTCATAATAGTTCTGATTATCTTTTGCATTTTTGTAGTATCACTTGTTATGTCGCCTTTTTCATTTCTGATTTTATTTCTTTGGATCTTCTCTCTTTTTTCTTAGTCTAGCAAGTGATTTATTAATTTTGTTTATCTTTTCAAGAAATCAACTTTTCATTTCATTGATCCTTTGAATGTTTTTTGTCTCTATTTTGTTTATTTCTGTTATGTTCTTTGTTATTTCTTTCCTTCTACTAATTTTGGGTTTGGTTTATTTTTACTTGTCTAGTCCCTTGAGATGCATCTTTAGGTTGTTTGAAACCTTTCTACTTTTTTGATTTAAGTGTTTATTGTTATAAACTTACCTCTTAGCACTGCTTTTGCCATCTCTCATAGGTTTTGGTATGTTGTGTTTCAGTTTTCATTCATTTTTAAATTTGTTCTGGTTTCTTCCTTAATTTATTCCTTGACCCAGTGGTCATTCTAGTGCATAGTGTTTAATTGACATGTATTTATACAGTTTCCAAAGTTCCATTTTTATTGATTTCTAGTTTTATCCCATTGTGATTTGAGAAGATACCATAAAAGATCTGAATTTTAAAAATTTGTTGAGACTTGTTTTGTGTCCTAACATATGGCCTATTCTGGAGAATGTTCTATGTGTTAATCAGAGGATATGAACTCTGAAGCTGTTTTATTAAATGATCTCTAAATATCTATTAGGTCCATTTGGTCTAATGTGCAGTTTAGATCTTTCTTTGTTAATTTTCTCTCTAGATGATCTATCTAATGATGACAGTGGGGTATTGAGGCCCCCAACTATTATTGTATTGTATTATATATTGTGAATCTCTCCATTTAGATCTAATAATATTTGCTTTATATATCTGGGTTCTCCAGTGTTGGGTGCATATATGTTTAGAATTGTTACATCTTCTTGCTGAATTGATGTCTTTACCATTACATAATTATCTTCTTTGTCTCTTTTTGCTGTTTTGGAATTAAAGTCTATCTTATCAGATGTAAGTATAGCCACTCCCGCTCATTTTTGGTTTCTGTTTGCATGGAATATCTTTTACCATTCCTTTACTTTCAGTCTATATGTCTCTTTACAGGTGAGATGAGTTTCTTGTATGCAGCATATGGTTGGGTGCCATGCTGTTGTTGTTTTTTTAATCCATTCAGCCAGTGTATATCTTTTAAGTGGAAAGTTTAATTTGTTTGCCGTCAAGGTTATTAATGATATGTGAGGGTTATGTGAGGCTTATTCCTGTGGTTTTATTAATTGATTTCTAGTTGTTTTATGTGTCCTTTATTACTTTTTTTCTCTAATTGTTTATCATTGTGGTTTGGTGGTTTTCTGCAGTGGTAACATTGGAGCATTTTTCTCCTCCTTGTTTGTGTGTCTTCTCTACCCATGGTTTTTATATTCTCATGATGGTAGATATTGTTCTTTCACTTTTGGTTGTAGTATTCCCTGAAGCATTTCTTGAAGGGCTGGTCTAATGATAATAAATTCTCTCAGTTTTTGCTTACATGGGAGAGATTTTGTTTCTCCATTTGTGAAGGACAAGTTTTCTGAATATAGTATTCTTGGTTGATAGTTGTTTTATTTTGTTGTTGTTGTTGGTTGAGATGGAGTCTCGCTCTGTCACTAAGGTGGCACCATCTTGACTCATTGCAACCTCTGCCTCTCGAGTTCCAGTGATTCTCCTGCCTCAGCCTCCCAAGTAGCTGGGATTACAGGTGACTGCCAGCACACCCAACTAATTTTGTATTTTTAGTAGAGATGGGGTTTTGTCATGTTGGTCAGGCTAGTCTTGAACTTCTAACCTCAAGTGATCCGCCCACCTCAGCCTCTCAAAGTACTGGGATTACAGGCATGAGCCACTGTGCCTAACTGACAGCTGTTTTCTTTCAGCACTTTAACTATATCATCCCATTCTCTCCTGGCCTGTAAAGTTTCTGCTTATAGAGAAATCTGTTATTGCTTCTCAGCCTTTTGGCTGAGATCAAGTGGAGAAATCTGCTGGTCTGAAGGGAGTTCCTTTATAAGTGAGTAGATACTTTTCTCTTGCTGTTTTAGAATTCTCTTCGCCTTCGATATTTGACAATTTGACTGCAATATGCTATGGAGAAGATCTTTTAGAATTGTATTTATTTGAATTTGTACTTATTGTCAGTGGAGGCTCTGGTAAAATTTTGCTGGGGACTGGGACACTAGACGGGACATTCATTGGGCCCCAGTGATGCAGTGGTACCTGTCCTGGGGCCCTAGGGCATTGCAAGTTGGTACCAGTATTAGTGGGTCCAGGCATGCCAATTCTTGGGTCTCCAGGTGGCTTGCTTGGATGCCAGGAATGGTGGCAATGGGTGGGTTCTCAGGCCATGGGGCAGCAGGTGTGACATGAGTGATGGCAGTAGCAGTGGTGGGACAACCCTCTGGGACTCAAGCAGTCTGCATTGGTGTTGGTTGTGGCTGTGATGGGCTAGGTGAACCAATCCCCAGAATCACAGGGTAGGTGCCAGCTGTGGTAGTAGCAGCAGATTGTGTGGGCCTCACTTCAGACCCTGGGAGGACTACTCAGCTGTAAATGGTGGTGAACTGGGCTGGGCAATCCCTAGATCCCTGGATGGCATGCTTGGGCACTGGGAGGGTGGTAGAGCCAGGCTGGGTGAACCTGTCCTCAGGTGCCTCCACCAGTTGTGCATGCAGGCACTAGCTATGGTAGGTAGAAGTGGGTGACCTTCCAGTCATCTGTGATATGCTCAGGTGGGGGCTGCACTGGCTCCACTGTGGCCCTCCTACTAGAGAGGGTGAAATTGTTCTAATTAGGGGTAGCCATAGGCAGATGGCTGGTGAACGTGCACTTTTCTCACCCTTCAATGCTGCAGGGGTGTTGGCCCCAGGGCAAGATGCAATCTGATGGGTTTTGGGCTCTCAAAATGGCACCATGCTGTAGCTGCTTAGGACTTTGGGGTTTGTGGGACCCAGTATGAGCTTTCTCTCTGGAGTAGTACCATTGGGTACCATTGGGTGGTCTCCAGGCAGCCCAAAAGGGCCAAGGGGCTCTCCTGTGGCTAGGATTGCAGGAATCCACCATGGGAATGTGGACTGAGGGGTCTCTAACTTGCCCTTTCCTGCATTAGGAAGTCTCTCCAGGCTCCCAGCGAATCCCAGCTCAGCAGGTTGCCTCACATCTCTCTCTTTCCTTGCCTTTGGTATTTCCCACCATTTCTCTCTTAAATTCTAGTGTTCTCTCTTAGATTATCTATTTGAAGCATATTTATCTACTTGCTATTTTGGTTCTTCTTTGGTTCTCTTTGTGGAAGAGACAAATACTAGATGTATCTAGTCAGCTATCTTAAAACTCCTCCACGTGATTTTTTTTCCCCCAGACACTCCTGAGGTTCCCAGGAAAAAAACAATGCAAGGAAATAAGGATACCACAATCATCACTGGCTCAGGCCTCTCCAGGGTAGTACCAGAGATTCAGCCCTCCCCTTCCAAGTCCCTTCTGCCTTCCATTAGGTCCTCAAGCAATTCCCACAAAGTGCTTGCTCCAGTACTCAGCAATCAAATAGCTTCCACCTTGGCTTCTCTCCATCAATCCTGATCTCTTTGGGTAGAATGATGAGGAAAAACTCCAGCTTCAGTTGTGTTCCTACGACTTTCTGAGCTCAGATCCTTCCTGCAGCCACCTTGAAGTTGTGCAAAGATGATGTTGGGGCACACTGCATTCCTTTCCAAATGCTACTAAAAGTCCCAAGATTAAACATCACCAGAGAGCTGTGCAGCCACAACCTTAGGGCCCCAGGTGTTGCTCAGGGCCCAGGGGAGACAGCAGGTGGGTATTTCATCCCTGCTGCTGCTTTGGGGTGAGGTTGCTTGGTGCTGCTGGGGATTGACTCCTCTGCTTGTCCCAGGAGCCTCAGATAGAGCCAAAATCCTACAGCAAACTTGAATGCAAGTGTAAGAATATGCGGGGAAAAAAAAACTCATTTTCTCCTACTATACTCTCACTACACAGAAGACTTCTGTGACCCCGTATGTGTGTAGCTTTTCCAATTCAATTCAATTCTGACACTATTTACCTGGAGATAGCATCAGATCCCTCAGGTTGAGGGCTCAGTCCCACAGGAAACCCCTCCATTTCAGATGCTAGTTTTAAGCACAGGTTGTGGCCTGTGCTTCTGACTGACCTGCTATAAATCAGGGTTCCCATGCCCCCCCGCCCCAGCTTAATTAATTTGCTAGAGTGGCTCCCAGAACTCAGGAAAATACATATTTACATATACTGGTTTATTATAAAGGATACTATAGGCCAGGTGCGGTGGCTGACACTTATAATCCCAGCACTTTGGGAGGCCGGGGCAGGTGGATCACCTGAGTTCAGGAGTTTGAGACTAGCCTGGCCCACATGGTGAAACCCGGTCTCTACTAAAAATACAAAACTTAGTTGGGTATGATGGTGGGCACCTGTAATCCCAGCTACCTGGGAGGCTGAGGCAGAAGAATTGCTTGAACCCGGGAGGAGAAGGTTGCAGTGAGCAGAGATTGTGCCACTGCACTCCAGCCTGGGTGACAGAGCAAGACTCATCTAAAAACAAAAATTATATATTTATATATATATATAAAATCTCATTAACACACAGGATTTTATCAGAGCAACCGATGGGTACATGCTGTCCCATATCAGAGCAACCGATGGGTAATATCAGAGCAACCGATGGGTACACGCTGTCCCAAAGAGCCAGGCTGCCTTTAGCTATAATGCTGAGGCCTCCATTAAGAAAGCTTCTTTGGCCTGGCACAGTGGATCCTGCCTGTAATCTCAACACCGGGAGGCCAAGGCAGAAGTATCACTTGAGGCCAGGAGTTCTCAACACAGTGAGACCTGTTTCTCTAAAATATTTAAAAATTAGTCAGGCATGGTAGCACATGCCTGTAGTCCCAGCTACATAGGAGGCTGAGGCGGGAGGATCCCTTGAGTCCAAGAGGTCGAGGCTGCAGTGAGCTATGCTTGTGCTACTGCACTCCAGCCTGGAGTGAATAGACCCTGGACAGAGTGAGACGCTGTCACAAACAAACAAACAAACAAAAACAAAAAGAAAACTTCTTGGCTCTGTGACTTGATGCCAGACATATCTTCAAGAGATCTGCCTCTTCTATTTCCAAATACCACCCTTTCACCATGACCACAGTAATTCTGCTTTCTCCCCTAGTCAAATTTTCCCACTTTGGTGAATGGACGTGGCATACTCAGCTCTGGGAATTTGCTGCATTTTGTTAAATAAAAGTGTGCTTTGTAGTCGGCAGAATTGTTGGTTCCTGTGTCGGTCTAAGTTACTGACTTCAAAAGATATACAGAACTGTAATAATAGCATTAGAATTTTCTTAAATATTAAGGACAAGATTATATAAATGACTTGGACATGATGTACATTAAATTGGAAGTTAGCTTTTTATCAGGAATGGAGAGAAAGACATGGTAGATGAGACACAGAAGTAGAGAAGCAAAACATAATAACAAAGATTTTCAGCCTTTGGTCTTTGGATTTTAGACATTAAATTATATAAAAGTAAGCACAGTTTAAAAGTATATTAAAATGTTACTTTTATAACTTACCATTCTTGATGTGTTTAACGATTAGCCTAAATACCAAGGCTGTTTATGTGGGGACATAGGCATAAAATGAATAAGGTAATTTTTACTTATAGGGAGATTGTTGCAAAATAACACAACATGGGCTAAATTAGTGAGTATAGGATGAGAGCAAAATAATGCAAAGCAATACCCATTATCAATCCAGTACTTGCATGCTCATTATTATGTCTTGGAACCAGTTAAGAAAACAGTATTTTCACAGCTTTAAGATAAGAATGAAAAGCATTAAATCCATCGCACAAGTAGCCGGACACAGAGTACAGAGTTCCAAAGCTATTCACATTGGGCCTGGGAAGTGCCCATCAATGGTGAGCTGGTATTCTCCGTTTTTTAGCATACTATACTAGTTAAGAGCAAAGATTTTAACCTGAGAGAGACCTAGGTTTGTGTTCTGGTTCTGACAGTTCGTAGATGGGTGATCTTAGGCAAGTTGCTTAACTTTTGTGTACTTATGTGATTTTTGTCACCTGCAAAATGGGAACTATAATACCTACGTTCCTGTTAATAGTCAAAATATTTAATGCCTGGTACATCTTGGGCACCAACCAATCAGAAGGGACTCTGGTATTGCCTCGATGTTGGGAGCACCTGCTGTGCCCAGTGTTAACCCTTTAGTTTCAGAATTTGAGGACAAGGTTGAGGGGTCCGCAGGAGAAGAGTTGAGCCACTGGAGATATAGGGTGTGGTATGGAGGATACTTGGGGAACTCAGGGCACTGAGTTCTTCACTGACCACTATGGAAGTATTTCAGTACTTTACCAACCATTTTAACCATATGGCTGATGTAACTATAAATAAAATATAGTTGTTGTGAGAATTAAATGATACATGTAAAGCACTTAGTTCATACCACCAAGCTTAACAAATGGTAGCTATATAATAGTTAATAGTGTCATAATAGGAATAAAATAATGCCCTCATTGGGATTAGAGAGGATTAAATAAGATAATGTGTTACGTATTTAGTTCAGGGCTTGGCTCCTAGTGAGTCCTCAACAAATAGTAGGCATTATTATTATTGATTCTATTGTTGTTGTTTAATGCCTGGTATGTGGATTAAATTGTATACAGTGGATTACAAGGCCAATCAGGGCCAAGAAAATGTGGACATATAGCTACTAAATAATTGCTAAACTCATGCTGTGAGATTAAATAAGATCATGGAAAATCATATAAAAAAACAGTGTATAGTTTTAAGAAAAACAAAGAGTAATTCCTACAAAACAATAATCTGGGAATACATCTTGTTTGCCATATAGTGAAAAAGAAAATTAAATTAATAAGCATAACTGGATCTAACAAATTATTGGCTACAAATCCAGAAAAGGCACAATATAAAGGAACTGACAATAAAATAAAGTCAATTTTAGCATTCTTGAAGCAACTTGAATCTTGATTGTTACTGATAATTTAAAATTTAATGATACATTTTCACATCTCTGGGACTTTAGAGATAAAAGACTTTTTTTTTTTTTTTGAGACAGGGTCTTGCTCTAACACCCAGATTAGAGTGCAGTGGTGCAGTCTTGGCTCACTGAAGCCTCAACCTCCCAGGCTCAAACGATCCTGCCACTTCCACCTCCTGAGTAGCTGGGACTACAGGTATGCACCACCACGCCCAGGTAATTTTTAAAAAATAGATAAATAATATTTTTGACTAAATTAACAAGCAGGTAATAATTTTTCCTTATTAAAATATATCAGCTCAAATCTTGAGTCTTCAGAAAGCTTTGTTAAACTATAAAATTTAATCCTTCCTCAGAAGGGTATACAATCCAAAATGAAGTGACTGTTTTAAAATCATCTGCTTACTCTTTTTTTAAAGTAAACATTCAAAACAGGATAATTTAATAGATTTGGGGTTTGTGGGTTTTGAGCCTCTATTGTTTCTTGGCCCTCAAATCAATTATTACCAAACTGCTAATTTTACCACGATCTTAAAGTCTCCAGTGAACATTTAGTGGTCTAGTGGTTTGGAAAATGTGGTTGAGATGAAGTGAAACTCTATTGAATTTACCTTCAACTGAAATTAATATTTTCTTCTTAGGAGCTTTATTTCAGGCATGATAGTAAAGGTCAACAGATGATTTTTTTAAATTCATAAGGTAATAATCCTCACCATCATTATGAGGGAAGTATGTCTGAGGGAATCAACCACCGAAAGCAGCACAGAGCCAGAAGTGAGGGTCTCACTTTTTTATTCAAAGATATTTTTCCACATTTGAATGGTAAACTCAAAGCTAATTTGCATTACTGATTAATCAATATTGTACCACAAGTTCTTTTATAGCCTCAAAAGGATTTTTTCCACTCAAGTAAGCCTGAGAGAACAAAGGTTGCTATTCATATAAACTCTGTTTGAACAGATTTTTTTAAAAACATTGTGCTTACAGTAATGAGATTGCACACCAGTATTAAACATACAGTGTGCATATATAATTTTCTGGCTTCTGTTGATCCATCAGCTCAGTCTATCTGAATGATGAAATAAAGACAATTGCTTGCAGAGGAGGGAAACTGAAACCAATTGGGGATAAAGATAATAAAGATAGGTAAGAGCAAGATATTGAAGATCTACTGTCATCCACAGAGATAATATTCTGTTGGAGAGAGAACTATAAAGAAGTAACAGACTTTGAGACTCCCCTCACTGTATATTCACAAAAGATGTCTTTCATTCCACAAGCATTTTCTTTGAATACCATATAGAGGCCTCATTTATTAATAACTAAATTTGTTATGAACCAAACTTCTGTGTTAGTTACAAGAATGTACACTGTTTAATAGTGTGATTAGAGTCACATTTAAACTGCAGTTTTTTTTCATTTTTTTATTTTTCATTTTTTGTAGAGACGGGGTCTTGCTATGTTGCCCAGGCTGGTCCCAAACTCCTGGTCTCAAGCCATCCTCCCACCTCAGCCTTCCAGTGTGCTGGGATTACAGGTATAAGCCACACTATGCCTAGCCAAAACTGCAGCTTTCAATAAGTAGCCAAATCTAACAAGTATACTTTCATTCTCAGTCTAACATTTAATCAACAGAAAATTGAGTCAGGTGAGGAAAAAGGAGTTAAAGAACAGGCTGTACTGTATATGCTTACCTCTGATATAGAGGACAGTCTCAATCATTATTATTAAATGAAATATTCATATACAAATTAATACCACTGCATCTGAGTTATGTTAAAATAGATGCTCAATAACAGCAAATGCCTCACTTTGAAGAATGCACGTACTTCCTGTCATTTTCCCAGGTTGGATTCAGTGGTCCATCTCCCTGGGCTCTAACCCAAGGGTCAGGGAGATGCTAGGAACTGGGATAGTGGGAAAGGGCAGAGGGGGCAAGAGGAGGAAGGAAATCCAGGAAGATGAGACTTTTGGATGTCAACTGGAGACAAATTCAAACATCTTTGGGGATTAGAATCGGAGCGCTCATTTTAGGGAAGCTGGTGGGGACAATACCAATGCTACAAACCAAGTATTTTATCAGAGTTTTAACAGCAACTTGATTAAAGACAACAGATGGAGCTAAAAATAAAAATGGTGGATGCAACCTAAAAACTGGCATCTCTCTCAACAGACTATTGAATTCATTCACACAGGAGAAAAGTTGAATTCTCTTGTCTGACATATCAAAGCCCAATAAAGCAAAAACAAAATGTCATTCAGAATTCTAACGCAACCTTGTGGAATTCTCACACTCAACGAAGTTACCATTAATTATTAATACTTAGTGGAACTAAAATTAGAATTCACATGTATTATTATATTACTCAAGGTTAAGTGATATTTACATCTTTTTGTACAGGTACATACATAAAAACAACATACATGAAATGATACAGAGGAAGACATGTACATATGTTTGTAAGTTTGAAAAACTGTTTACCTTTCCTATTATGATTGAAGGCTTTTTTCCCTCCTTTTTCCACAGTGATGGGGGAAAGTCAGAGTGATGCATCTGACAGTACAGTGATCTCCTCTCCTTTACAATGATGATACTGATCCACCATCATATGACTGAATTGACTTTCTGGTCGTGCTATTGATTCCACTGAGTTACGTGCTCCCTGTTTTTGCCTTTTGGGGCTGGAAATGCAAGCCATGGTAAGGGGGCAGAGATTTTCCTCTCTGTAAAGCAAACGACCACTTCTAGGGGTTGAGCTACAATGTTTTACCTCTTAATAACTGTGGATAAAAATCAAGCAAGCTAAGTAACAAAGCCACATCCCCTCCCCCATCTTCCCCTCTCTGCACAAGCATACAGATACATAAATGCATGCACACACACACATTGACAACATCACTCCTGCTTTGTATAGATGAGATGCAATCTTCTGCAGACAGGCTGCTTCTTCATGCAAGGTCACTGGGTGTGTATATGCTGATTAGCAAGAAGTATTGCTCCATCCAATAAAGTTATTATGTCTCTGTTGAATGATTAAGGACCTGGTCAGTGAACAAGAAAGTCTTAAATGGGAGCTGACAAAACCAACAATTTCTAAACTTTATCTTTTACTCCATGTGTCTGTAATTTCCAACACAGGTATGGTCGGTACCTTTCTGAATACTCTCACCTACAATATTTTTATTATACTCAAGATGGTAGACATAAAATTGTGTTGCTGTTAATAACCTAATTCTGAAGCAGTGTCCCAGGTCTTAAACTATGAACTCCTTGAAGGCAAGGCCTATGGGACTCTTCGCCCAGGCACCTAGGACAATGGCTAGTGTTTGCTACGTGCTTAGCAAACATTTGTGGAATAACTGAATGGTGGCAGAAAAGGTGATGGTGGAGAGAGAGGTCCAGAGGTTAGTATCTGAACACCAGAATAGGAAAGTGCTTAGTATGATTTTATGAATGGGCCACATAAAACTGTCAGCAATTGATTGTAATGACACATTCATGTTGTATTTCACTAGGAATTATCTACAGGAAACCAATTTACCTCACCAGAATAGCAACACTGAATAGTCTGCGAAGTCTCTGACTGAATCAGTATCGTATAGGAAAACACCTCTTACTTCATTTGGTCTTTTCAACTAGTAAGTCATCTTCTTTTACCCTTTTTTACTCATAAAAGTCCATTTTATCATTGATGTCTAGAAAATTCCCTGATTTCTTCACTGATCACTTAAAATCTAGTTTGGTTTTTTGGTTTTTTGTTTTTTGGTTTTTTTTTTTTTTGAGATGCAGTCTCACTCTGTCACTCAGGCTGGAATGCAGTAGTAAGATCTTGGCTCACTGCAACCTCTGCCTCCCGGGTTCAAGCGATTCTCCTGCCTCAGCCTCCTGAGTAGCTGGGATTACAGGCACCCGCCACCATGTCCGGCTAATTTTTGTATTTTTAGTAGAGACAGGGTTTCACCATGTTGGCCAGGCTGGTCTTGAACTCCTGACCTCAAGTGATCTGCCTGCTGTGGCCTCCCAAAGTGCTGAGCCACCACACCTAGCCATAAAATTTCCTTATTCTTTATAGAACAGCTGGTCACACAAACAAACACTTGAGCTCTTGATGAATTCCACAAACTGAGTCCTTGCCCTCCAGAACAGTCTCATGGGGAAGACAGACATTAAAGAGGTTACAGCAAACAATTATATGATGACCAGTGTGCAAAGTACTTGGAGAGATACTGGATACTGTGGGAATGCTAATCTCTTGAACAACTAGCCACTTTCTTCCTGCCTCCCATACAGCAGTCTCTTTGAATCAGTATTTCCCAGTTCTCCACTTCCAACCCATGCTACTTCTTGCAACCTGAAAGAACGGCGCTTGTTTTCTCTTGGATTCAGCATATTTCCCTCTCTCTTACATTTTTTCCCCTCTTTCCACACCCTGGCTTACCTGGCTTCAGCCTTTACTCATCATTTTGTTTCTTTCCTGTCAATCTCCTACTCATACAAATTACATGTACAGTCATTGTAAAATAGTGAAAATATACATGTAATTATGGTGGAGGTAAGGAAATTGAATAATCTTCAGATTAGATTATTTGAAGCTCATTACCTCATTTTAAAATTAGTCTTTGTGGCATAATCATGAATAATTATGTCTTACATTTTCCTTTATTTCTTCTATTCAAAAAATATTGAAGGTGGCTTAAAAATATATATACAGTATAATAAGATATAAAGGAAGTGAAGTAACCAACCAAAAAGAAATTAAGAATAGACAAAATAAGAAGTTGGGGTAAAAGTAATTCACAAAATGTACACCATAGGGTCTGGGCACTGGCTAAAAGTAAGCCTCTGAATTTTTGAACAACCACCACAACAACAAAAGGAAGCACATTCAATTATATAATTCAAAATGCCCACAAGATTATAAAACTAGTTGCTCAAGAAAAGCAGTTGGCCAGGAGCAGTGACTCACGCCTGTCATCCTAGCACTTTGGGAGGACAAGGTGGGTAGATTGCTTGAGCTCAGGAGTTCGAGACTAGCCTGGGCAATATGGTGAAATCCCATTTCTACAAAAAATACAAAAATTAGCTGGGTGTGGTGGCTCATGCCTGTAGTCCCAGCTACTTGGGGGGCTGAGGCAGGAGAATAGCTTGAACCCGGGAGGTGGAGGTTGCAGTGAGACAAGATTGCATCACTGCACTCCAGTGAAACCCTGTCTCCAAAAAAAAAAAAAGAAAAAAAACCAGTTATTTGTGGTACTAAATTTCTGCAGGCTCTTGTTAAGAGAACACAATGTGATAAGTTAGCACGTTCTCAGATGCATCTCCACAGTAAAAACAGTCAGTCAGGGGTTTCTGAGGCTGCGTCTCCTACCATCCCTAGACTTAGGGTATTTGTGTGATCCTAAACAGCAGTTTGGTAAAAGTAATCATAGGAGGAATCAAAAGAAGACTATCCAAAAAAAAAAAAAAGACTTCTCACAATTTTTTTTAATCTAAAGATAAAAATTAGAACACCCAAATACAGTGCAGATTTCAGGAAATCTTCCCTAAGTGTTACTTCTTGCGACTCAGCATTTCTGAAAATATCCAAAAAGCAGAGTCGTGTCAACGATTTAGAGCATATTCATTTGCATTAGCAGTCATGGGAACTAGGAATGGGGTTAACGCTGTGTTATAAAAATTAAGGAAACAGAGGAAATATTTGTGGGGTAAGCCAAGATTTTCCTTAGACAGCAATTTTGGATCTATTCCAATAGAAATATGAGGGCAATGTGACTCCAAAGGTTTTTGCCGTTGAACACAACTTGGGAATGCTTTAGCCCAGAAAATCTATGAAGCAGCTGTTAGCAAATACCTACCTAATACAGTCATTTTAATCAGAAAAAAAACCTCATAAAATATCTAACCTCAAAAAATGAAACTTGTGACATCTATAAGATAAACTATTGTAAAACTAACGCCTCCTAGACGGTAAGCAATTTGATCTACGGTGCAGCACAGATAGCCCAAAAGTTGGTTAAGCGCCGCAGACTGTCTCAACGATAACAGTTTTAACAATTTTAGTTCTGCTGCAGCTGATCTGAGGCCACCAATATTTCTGTCAGTAATTCAATCAGAAGCCACTTGGCTATTTAACTTCCTTCCCTCCTTAACCCAAAAACGTATACAACAAAGTTCATTCATTTTTTCCCCATTCTGTCTTTCATAAGAGAGGTGACAGAATCCCACGTCCAGTTCATCCAAAGATAGTATCAAGTTATTGAAAGGCAACTTAAAATAAGGAAGAAGGAAGGTACAGAACATATTTATGTTTTGTGTACTTTCTCACCTTTCAAAAAAGTGATCATTTTTGTGAGTTCTAATTCTCACATTGGCTTTGAGTATCAGTTCTGTGTAAGCATAAGTAGCCAAAAAATAAAGATGAATTCATGTAATTGCCCACAATAGATATATTTGAGGAATTTTCAAGAAAAGATGCAAATATGCAATGAGATGTTGTTTCTGATGAAATTCTTCACAAGGTGATAAAATATATAATCCTATTCAGTAGAGAAAAGTTTGCTTGAAGTCTGTTCTTTCTTTGCCTAAAGTCTGGTCTGGAAATCCTGAAATGATAATCAGAAGGAAAATGCTTTTTAAATGGAATAATTTGTAACCTAGTACTAGATTGATGATTTTGAGGAAGTGAAAAGTTGTCCTTTTTTTTTTTTTTTTTGAGACGGAGTCTCACTTTGTCACCCAGTCTAGAATGCAGCTGTGTGATCTTGGCTCACTGCAAGCTCTGCCTCCCGGGTTCACACCATTCTCCTGCCTCAGCCTCCTGAGTAGCTGGGACTACAGGTGCCTGCCACCAGGCCCGGCTAATTTTTTTTATATTTTTAGTAAAGACGGGGTTTCACCATGTTAGCCAGGATGGTCTCGATCTCCTGACCTCGTGATCCACCTGCCTCAGCCTCCCAAAGTGCTGGGATTACAGGCGTGAGCCACTGCACCCAGCCAAAAGTTGTCCTTTTAAAAAATGAGATAGAGCAGATTCTGATGCCCATCTGATAGCTCCATCACTATAGAAATATTTAGGGCAACAGATTGGCGAGGCTGTGTCCTTCAAGCAGACTGACCCTTGAAGAGTTCTGAAAGGCACACAACAGGAAGTGCCCTGGATCTAAATGATGGTGACCACCGGTCTCACTGCATAGTTTGGGATCTACTAAAGTTATTCAGTGTGCTTGGCTCTATATCACTTTGATGTTTTTCTCCATATACTCGGTCGTTGGCTTTCTTAGTTCATTTTACATTTACTGAGTACTCCTTAGACGCTGTGGGTACCAGAATGAATGAGCCACAAATGTCGACCTTAACAAGATCATAGTCTGTGCTTCCTATTGATGGTCCAAGATGTTCTCATCAAGAAAAACAGCCCTCTTTGTTTTGTCTGTGTTATAGCTGAGAATACTGTACTGAACTAGGAGATGTTTTTCTCTTGGGAATGATCATGTCTCACAGTATAACTAGCACAGAATTACATTAACAAGTTTACTCAACAATAAGAACCATATTTACCATTTATTCAGTGGTTGTTATGAGATGCTGGTAAACTTACTCTCTCGGAGTTTCTGTTACTTCACTTGGTACAGCTTAACTTTCCAGTTTCCCTGCATCACAGCACAGCTTCCTGTAACAGTTTGTTACTTCTGGTTCTTTGCCAGTCCAGCACTTTTCAACTTAATGTTTCACTCTTGCAATAACTTCCTATCTGACCTTTCTTCTCTCTCCAACCTATCACATATAGTGTCAATGGACTAGTACTCTGATTTCATCCTGCCATTAACCTGATCAGAAAATTCCAGAGATTGCCCATTTCCTGTAAACTCTTATGACTAGACAGAAACTCACCCCACACTATGCCTCCCCTTACTTACCCAATCTCACCTCTTATTACACCAAGTTAGTTGTACCTCAAACATCTTGAGCTTTCTTGACTCTGTATTTGCTCCTGCATTTCTTCCTGTTGGAAAGTCTTTCCCTCCTACCTTCATCCTCCCACTTCAAGTTCAGCTTAAATTCAGCTCCTTTCTTCTGAAGCCTTCCCCAACTGCTATTGCTCACATCAATTTTCTGAAATGAGTGTCTACTGTCAGTATAGTTCTTCAGGACTTAATCCCATACTGACTTGGATTGTTATTTAACTGATTCCCCTCTGCAACTTCTTTTTCTAACTAGATTTTAAACTACCCAGGGAAAAGAGGCTCACCTTAAAAGTTGCCTTTGCGTCTCCTCCTAGTTTTAGGCAGTTGTTATGCATACATTTGATGCTCAACACATGTAAGAAATAAGTGTGGATTGAATGAATTACCACTGGCTCCAAGCATTTTTTTCCCTTTCCTTTATAGCTGGTGCCTGCCTTCTTAAGTCCTTAAGTTCTGTATTTAGCCATCTCAATGTTTTTCAAACCTTTCTAACCATAACCAATAGGAGGAAATTGCTTTTATATTGTGACCTGATGTACATGTGTATGAAAAATTCACAAAACAATACGTGTAAGTACTTACTCTGTGTCATGTATTCTGCTGTTTTCTATTCTATTTTTTAAAATACAGATCATGACACACTAAACTGATTTCACCACCAGGTGGTTATACTTACAGTATTGTTGGGGCTCAGAAATCAACATCCCAAGTATAGTGTTTTGACATGCTGAACTGAAGAAGCCGCAAAATCTCTCTGGCCTCCCCTCTTTGCTCCACCATCTCTCCCAAAGCACAAGATGAAGTTGAAGTTCCTTTATCTGCCCAAGATCTAGACCCATCAAAAGGAATAATTGTTTTTCCTTCCCTTCCTGTAAGACCAAGAATGTAATCACACCTAATAGACCCTTTGACAAAATAACATACAAGTTAATTAATCTCTGTTCCCTGATCCATTCATCTTCCCTAGTAACTTCCTCAACAGAATTCCTCTTCTCCCCACTCCCATAACCTGTTTTGCCAGGATGGTATATTAGCTTGTCAACCACTTAGGGGGTTGGCAATCACTCTATGATTCTCCCCATGTGCACACTGTGTGCACA
Organism: Homo sapiens; assembly: GCF_000001405.40. Lineage (NCBI taxonomy): Eukaryota > Metazoa > Chordata > Mammalia > Primates > Hominidae > Homo > Homo sapiens. Next base: position 182,790,889 of record NC_000003.12, read on the forward strand.
TTAAGTTTATATGCCTTTTCTCTAATCTGCCTTTTTCAAGTTGATTTTTCTTCAAATCTTCAGAGGGCCAAGGGGAGAGCTTTCCCTTGACCCCTGCAGTATAAAAACGCTCTCCTATCTTATGCTCCTTGTAAGAACATGAGGTGTATAGTACTGCTCTTAAAAAAATGCTTAAAATGGCCGGGCACGGTGGCTAACGCCTGTAATCCCAGCACTGTGGGAGGCCGTGGCAGGTGGATCACGAGGCCAAGAGATCAAGACCATCCTGGACAACATGCTGAAACCCCATCTCTACTAAAAATACAAAAATTAGCTGGGCATGGTGGCGCACCTGCAGTCCCAGCTACTCGGCTACTCGGGAGGCTGAGGCAGAAGAATCGCTTGAACCCAGGAGACGAAGGGTGCAGTGAGCCGAGATCAGGCCACTCCACTCCAGCCTGCCGACAGAGTGAGACTCCGTCTCCAAAAAAAAAAAAAAAAAAAAAAAAAAAAGGCTTAAAACACTACCTGGGCTGCTCATTCTGTTCCTGACAGTTTGAGCTTCAATTTGATCTTTACATAGTTACCCTGAGATTACTTCTTACCATATTCCACCAGAGCACTAGGAATCAAGCCCTTCCTTCTCCCAACTTCTTCCTTTTGAAATTTGGGGCACAATTAAATAATGATACACAAAGTATTCTCCAGATCGCTATTTCTTATGTTATCTTGAAAAATTTTAGCGGCATATAAATAAAAATTTCCAGGCCTAATTTGTAATCAAACCATTTGCAGATGAATAAAAGTAGGCATGGCCATATTTTTATTTTTGGACGTAGCTTAAGAACATGAGCACTATTGCCTGACAATCCAGAATCTGAATCCTAGCTTTGCCAAATTAGTGTGAGCCTCCATTTCTGCATCTATACAAAACGGGAATAATACCTACTTCAAGGGATTGATTGGAGTTAAATTACAGCATACAAGTAAAGAACTTGATACAGGACCTGGGTGCTCCATGAATGGACACAGTGCTCCATGAATGGCAGTAAGGTTTTGTCACTAAATATATCTCAAAACTTCCTTTTAGGGTCATAAAGTAAGGTTTAGCCACAAGAATAAAAGTAAGATGACTTTTCAAATATCTAGCTATTTTTTGAAGTTGGATGATTTATAATATAAAATTCCATGTTGGTTTTACAGATCATAAATATCCCCAAAGAAAGATTCTATTTGTGGTGCTGGATAAGCATTATATAGTAAGAAATGTCTACTGAAACTAGAAGATTGAGGATGCATATTCAACGACCTGCCTAGTCATGCTAATCTCATTTAGATTTGTTCTTGCTTAATTTTTTTTTTTTTTTTTTTTTTTTGAGACGGAGTCTCCTTCTGCCGCCCAGGCTGGAGTGCAGTGGCGCCATCTCGGCTCACTGCAAGCTCTGCCTCCCGGGTTCACGTCATTCTCCTGCCTCAGCCTCCCGAGTAGCTGGGACTACAGGCGACCGCCACCACGCTCGGCTAATGTTTTGTATTTTTTAGTAGAGATGGGGTTTCGCCATGTTAGCCAGGAAGGTCTCGATCTCCTGACCTCGTGATCCACCCGCCTCGGCCTCCCAAAGTGCTGGGATTACATGGGATTACAGGCGTGAGCCACCGCGCCCGGCCGCTTAATTTTTTTTTTTTTAACCACAAACGTCTGTCGGTGAAGTGTGCTTTAATTCAGCAAAAATACAGCATTCAATACATATACATAACACAATATGTATACGGGGCTGCTTTTAAACAACGCCAAACCTTTAAGTCAAAGCCTTGTTCCAGTTGCTTGTATATTCCTTCTGAGCTTGTCATCCACACACTTTTTTAACCTAGGTCAAGTTACTGCTACGGGTGTTTTTGATTGCAGAAGTTTGGCAGTTAGCAGTAAAGAACTACCTTTTTATACAAATTATCTTCCCCTGAACCTGTCCAATTTAGCACACGGCAAGACAGAATATCTCATCCATTCGCCTAGAAACACGGGTCCAGGCTGTACCAGGCTCAGGGGACTTGCAACGCTTTCGAATCACTTAATGGGTGTGATCAAGATTTCCCTAGCCCCGTCTCAGCCATTTGCTAAAGAAGAGGCCTGACTTGTGTTGAGACGAAAGCTCTTACAGCTTGATGGAACCCAAACTGGGACTTCTGGGGGGATTAACTTTCAGTCACATACGTTCAGGACTGTGCGTATGCGTGTCGGGAGACGCGTGAACCAAAGAAGCCACAGAGCCCGAAAAAGACCTGCAACAGGAGGTAGAGACCGAGGAATCGGCCCCAAGCTGCAGACTCCGGAGATGGCCAGACCCACAGACACGACTTAATCCCACTCCCAGAACGGGGAGGAGGGTGGCAGTGGACAGAAACAGCGTTCGAGAACCCGGCACCTTTCCACGCTCGCTTCTTCCCGGACCCACAACACAGAAACCCCCCAACTCGGAACGGCGGCGGGGCGCGCCAGGCCCCCCTCGGTCCGCGCACCCCCTTTCGTCACGTCCGGGGGCGGGCCGGGGCGCCGGGGGCGGTCCCGGGTGGAGCCGGGGGGCCGGGCGGGGCGGGGCGGGGGTGGGGTTGCGGGGGTGCTTTGGGTGACAACGGTCAATAATGAAGGTGGCTGCGGCGCGGCGGCAGGCTCAGCTGCGCCGGGCGGGGGCGGCGCCGGGGCCGCGCCTGTAGGACTCGGGGCCGACGCCGCGGGATGGGGACGCGGCGCGGGGAGTGAGGCAGTGGCGGCGGCGGCGGTAAGCGGAACTTCGGCCCGAGGGGCTCGCCCGCTCCCGCCTCTGTCTTGTCGGCCTCCACCTGCAGCCCCGCGGCCCCCGCGCCCCGCGGGACCCGGACGGCGACGACGGGGGAATGTGGCGCTGGATCCGGCAGCAGCTGGTAGGTGCCCCCGCCCCTCCACCTCCATTCGTCCGCCCCCGCGGGGCCTCTCGGCCCGGGGTGGCGGGGAAAGGCCGGCGGCGCGGAGCCGGGAGGCCAGGGCGTGGGCGCCCGGCTAGGCCGCAGCGGAGACGGGCGCGGGGCCCAGAGCCGGAGAAGCCCCGTGCGGCTCCCGGGCTCGTCTCGCCTCCAAGCCCGGGCCGCCGAGGCTGGCGCCGAGCGGCCGGAGGCGGCCGCTTCTAGCCGGCGCTTCTCCGTTACTTCTTCCCCCTTGCCGCTCCGGGGCTGCTGTGGCCAGAGGCGGGAGTCCCGAGCGGGGTGGCGGTGCCCCCAGAGGAAACAGGGCGAGGGAGCTGAGCGAGAGTAGGTCTTGGGGAGATGAGAGAGGCGTGCTCTTCCTGCCTCGAACAATTTGGGACGTGTTTGGGTGAAGGGGAAGCGAAGAACCTGTCTTCTGCCCCCACTCGTCACGGACTTCTGGAAGCGTGTCACGATCCAGAGCTGTGTTGATTCCCGAGGAGGAGGCTGTCGTAGGTGTCTAGCCCCCTCAGCGAGAGACGTTTCTCCCCAGGACCTGGAAAGGGGAAAGACTGTGCCAGCTGCCGGTCTAGCTTCGGAAACGATACGTATTGTACGATAGTTACGAACGATACGTACTGTCGTTTCCTTCCTACCTCGTCCTCACCCCACCCCGAGTGAAACTTTTCGAGTGTGAACCTTACTTTTTTCCCGTTCTCCTCAAGGCAGTTTGAACGACACAGGTTTGGAAGGAATAGTTAACTCTCCAGTATTATTGGAACATCTGGACACCACCAACAAAAAATCTTAGAAAAGGGTCATTTAAGGCCTATAAAAAGTGCCACCTTTCCCAGAATTAATTCAGAGAGAAAAATCTTATCTGCCTCCTGGCAGCTACAGCGCAGAAAGTACAGCATTAAGGCAGCTGTGACAATTAGGACAGAAATTGCCCCTGGCTGAAGAAGCCTAACCTTATCTGTGTGATGAGGCCGGTTACTATTTAATTTCTAAATCGCATTAACTTAATGCTTCTACAAGTTGGCGTTTTCATTTACTAATTCTAAAGGCAGTGGTAAAATTTAGTGAAACAGGAACTATTTTTGTGGGACGAAAGCACTGATAACTCTTTTTCCCTTCTGCTCTAGAAAAGCATTTTAACGTTAAGACCAAGAAGTGTGGTGTTTCAGAGCCAGCCTTCTGTTACTTCGTTTTGCAGCGGGCATCATTCTCAAAAAAAAAAAAAAATTATAAATAAGAACTGCCTACCACTCCCTCCTACAAATGTTGGGTCTCTGTTTTTAGCATTGTAAATTCAGATATCCCAGATATATGCTTTATTAGGAAACCAAGCTAATGATGTCATTATAATACCATCTTGTAATACTTTGGCTTTGTTGCAGTAAGCTGTAGCACAGTAATTTTACTCAGAAAGTTAATTATTACAGATTTGATCTTATGCTTTTGATTTGCCAAATCTTCTTGTATAGAGGGCTGATTTACCTGATGGTGTTTTTGTGTGGTAGGAAGATCATTTTAAAGTGGTTCTCTTGAAGCTTTTTTAAAAATGTATTGAGACATCCTTTCTCACTGTTAGGTATTTTTTAGCCAGAATAAAATCCTGGTTGTATAACCATGCTCATCTTCAAGACAGAAAACCTGGTAATGTTTTTTAAAATGGCTTCAAATGAACCCAGCTAAAAGGAAGGGCCGGAAGTTGTGTGTGGTTATTTTACAAGGCAGCCGTCTTAACAGGGATGGTTAACGAGTTGAACAAGTTCCTGTGCATAAAAAATGCTATCTCTGACATTTAGTTGCTCACCTCACTGGTTTTAAGTTATCAGATCCTCTAAGTATGTAATCATACTTGGGCCAATGTAGGACTTTGTGTCTCTGGTTAAGTTTGTATGATCACATAAATTAAACATCAAGGACCCTGGATACAGAGTAATGAAAGTATATTTTGCTATCCCAGTCATAGACAGCTATTCTGATTACTGCACCAGAAATTATTCAACTCAGGTAAAAGCTAGTTTAGATTATACTTCCAGTGGCTTAATGGATTGAATCACCACGACTTTCAGCAATGGGTTTATTTTAAAATGCAGATAACTAGGACAAATTTGGGGAAATTGACAAGCAAATCCTAAGGACAGGTTGGAGTTATAAGCATATTTAATTCGTTATATGAATCCCGATTTTCAACTAATGTCTCACAAAAAAGTCCTTTTATTACAGAAACAATGCCTATGTTCTAGTAATTTCTTTTTAATTAAAAAAAAGTGTGACTCCTTATGACAAAATATTTTCACTACTTGAGAAGATGGAAAAATCAGAAAGTTGACAGAAGCTTGATCTTTTCTATTGGGAAAGTAGGCTGAAAATAAAAAGATTGGAATATCCTTTTTTGTTTTTCTTTTTGGCACACAATGTTAAAGTTACTTGACACTAAGAAAATTCTCTTATGGTGTCTTTGTGGTACAGTTAGTATTATTCAAAGTATACTCATTTTCAGTACCATATTTTATGTATTAACTCATTAGAGATGACAATACCTTGATTATAATTATGGAAATGCCATTAGCTACTCACTGTATTCTAATATTTAGACCTGTACGGTAGCCATTAGCCACAAGTGGCCATTAAAATTAAAATTGGAGCCATATGTGGGTATTAAAATTAAAATTTGAATTCATGTGTCTATTGGCTGCCATTGGCTGCCATATTGGACAGTTCATATTTTCATTATCACAGAAAATTCTATTGGACAGCACCAATTTAGACTTTTAAATGAAAGTCTGTGTCAGTACATATTTGAATGTAATACTACATTTTTAAAGCACTTGCTGTGTGCTGGTATTAACAGATGCTGAATACCAGGGATACAAATGTTGGTCAGGGTCACACATACTCTACATAAGTAGACATTGGATACATGTTGCTGAACAAATAATTAATAGATGAGGAAAGAAAGAATGAATCTGTAGTGTTGTTTCTGTGTTTAGAGACAAAAATGACCAAATTTAAGATTGACTAGCCCAGAAAAAAGTTAGAAAATGAGTAATTACACAAAAACAGTATTACTAGGATAACTGTTTCTTAAACTGTTCCATAAATGTAATCCCTTTAGATTGTATTGGCGATGGTGGTAGGAGGCTGCTAAGATTGTCTTCTGATTAACTGAGAAAAATGAGAAGGTCTTAATCTGAACTCCCTCAACTTTCTGTTCTTCCTCACACTCACCGAACTTGCTTATATTTTATACTGGTACTTAATTCTTCCCTTCACAGTCACAAGGAAGATGCAACCCTCTTTTCCAAGATAACAATTCCACTTAAGCTTTTGATCCTTTTCTTTCATTCTGCTGTCCATACTCCATCAGTTATCATTAGTATGTTTCTTTTCTTTCTCTTTACTTTTTCTCTTAACTTGTGAACATGTTCAAGCCTCTCTGCTACTTTTTCCTGTACCTGTAACTGGCAAATTCTTTTTAATTTTCTGAAAAACAGATCTATAAAACTGTGCTGGCTGATGTATTTGGAATGTGGCTAGTTTGAGTAGAGTTATTCTTACGTATAAAATACACATTGGATTTCAAAAACAGTATTAAAAAATGTAAAACCTGGCCGGGCAAGGTGGCTCATTCCTGTAATCCCAGTACTTTGGGAGGCCGAGACAGGCAGATCACCTGAGGTCAGGAGTTCGAGACCAGCCTGGCCAACATGGTGAAACCTCATCTCTACTAAAAATCCGAAAATTTGCCTGGCGTGGTGATGGGCACCTGTAATCCCAGCTACTCAGGAGGCTGAAGCAGCAGAATCACTTGAACGTGGGAGGCAAAGGTTGCAGTAAGCCAAGATCATGCCACTGGACTCTAGCCTGGGTGACAGAGGGAGACTCTGTCTCAAAAAAGAAAAAAGAAAAAAGAAAAAAGAACTCTCATTTTTTTGTTAGTTACATGTTGAGATATTATAATATTTTACATATATAGGTAAAGTAAAATAAATTTTTGGAATTTTGTTTCTTTTTACTTTTTTTAAAGTGGTTAGAAATTTTAAAGTTACCTACGTGACTTGCATCTGTTGCTCATGTTCTATTTCTATTAGTGCTGCTGTATAACATTAAAAGTGAATTCCTGTATCCTGGTAAGAATAGTGAGATCCTGTCTCTAGGAAAGAAAAAAAAATTAGCTGGGCATTGTGGTACTGACTTGTAGTCTCAGCTGCTTGGAAGGTTAGGGTGGGAAGGTCACTTGACCCAAGTAGTTTGAGGCTGCAGTGAGCCATGATCATGCCACCACACTCTAGCCTGGGTGACAGAGTGAGACCGTCTGAAAAGAATAGTGAGCTCCTGTTTTTACAGAACACATTGTGGAAGTCTAGATATCTCACTTACTAGACTAGACTGTAAATATCTTAGGATAAGAACCATATCTTACTTGTATTTATATTCCTTACACTCAAGACAGCAGTTGGCCCATTGTAGGTATTCACCTGCCAAATGTTGGTTGAATAAATGAATGAGTATCAGATCTAATTCAGCATCAGTTTGAAAATACCTGCATTCTCTGCCTCTTTTCCAAGGAATGAATGAAGGAATAGAAAAAGGAAGCACTGGCCTAGGGTGGTATTTTTTTTGTGGATAAGTTTTAACCTCAAGAATTAATGTTTAAGAACCTAGATCTGTGAGTATGTGCTGCTTTATCTCTATTTTCAGACATATATTCTTAGATACGCAGTTTTGCATTTGGTTAGGAAGAGGATAAAGCATTAGAGGAAACTCAGGTATTCCCAGCAACACTGAAGTAGGGACCTTGCTCCAGATCCTCTAAAGAGCCTTATGATTACCATTATTGTCATTAAATGTTTTCTAGACCTGTGCTATTCAACATGGTATCCACATATGGCTGTCGAAATGTAGGCACTTGAAGTGTGTCTACTCTGAATTGAGATGTGTGTGAATGAAATATGCAGTGGATCTTGAAGACTTAGTTTGGAAAAAGGATGTAAAATATCTCATTCATTTTCTAATTGATTACATGTTGAAATTATATTGGGTTATATAAATATACATGTATTTGGTTAAATATTAAATGCTACTTGTTTATTTTTACCTTTTTTTAAATGTGGAAACTAAGAAAATTAACATATGTGGCTTAGGCCATATTTCTGTTCTACAGCATTGTTTTAGATTATGGTAACAATATATAATGCCTGGCATAGGCAGATTCAAGAAAGTTTTTGATTCTAAGGACTTTATGACTTTACCCAGGCTTTTTTTCTGTGAGTTTTCTATTTTCAGAGTGTTGGTCTGCATTATATCTAAGAGACTAGAAGCTGCCTGATAGACTAACTGCATCTGGTCCCTTGGAAATAATTTATCAAGTCAACATCGACTGCTGTGGGGTTCTAGATTTAGCCATGCTGTTTATTCTTCATTTTGTTTCTGCAGTTGTCTGAGTGCTGATCTTTCTTTCTTTCTTTTTTTTTTTTTTTTGGAGACAGTTTCGCTCTTTCGCCCAGGCGGAGTGCAGTTGCGCGATCTCAGCTCACTGCAAGTTCGCCTCCTGGGTTCCCACCATTCTCCTGCCTCAGCCTCCGGAGTAGCTGGGACTACAGGCGCCCACCACCACGCCCAGCTAATTTTTTGTATTTTTAGTAGAGATGGGGTTTCTCCGTGTTACCAGGATGGTCTCGATCTCCTGACCTCATGATCCGCCCGCCTCGGCCTCCGGAAGTGCTGGGATTACAGGCGTCAGCCACCATGCCCGGCCCGAGTGCTGATCATTCTAAGCAAGATAATATTCATAATTAGCTTAGTTTTTACTAGAAATGTGCATTTTTATTGTTTAATTTTAATTTTTTTATTCTCAAAAGGAAGTAAACGTGTATTTTTTAAAAAATATCAAAATGAAACTCAAGATTTGAGTTTATAAACATAGTTGAAAGATTTTATTCTCAGATATTCTTTATTTTGCTTTTTTTCCTGGAGTTTCTCTGTTATAAAATTTAGTATAAGAAAAACATTCTAGGCCAGGTGTGGTGGCTCAAACCTGTAACCTCGGCACTTTGGGAGACACACAGGAGGATTGCTTTGGGCCAGGAGTTTAAGGCCAGATTGGGCAACATAGTGAGACCCTGTGTCTACAAAAATTAAAAATTAGCTGGGCATGGCGGTGCCTGCCTTTAGTCCCAGCTACTTGGGAGACTGAGGCAGGAGTATTGCTTGAACACAGGAGTTCAAGGCGGCAGTGAGCTATGATTGTGCCAGTACATTCCAGCCTGGATGACAGAGTAAGACCCTGTCTCTAAAAAATAAAAATTAAAAAAAAGAAAGAAACAAAAACATTCTTGATTGGATATTTATATGGGAAATACTATGAGACTTATTTTTAAGCCAATACTTCAAGTTAGAAATTATATATATAATTTTTTTTTTGAGATAAGGCCTCACTTTGTCTCCCAGGCTGTACTGCAGTGATGTGATCACAGCTCACTGCAACCCCAAACTCCTGGGCTCAAATGATCCTCCTGCCTCAGCCTCCTGAGTAGCTAAGACTTCAGGCATTTGCCACCACACCCAGCTAATTAAAAAAAAAAAAAAATTGTAGAGGTGGGGGTCTCACTATGTTTCCCAGGCTGGTCTCAGACTCCTGGACTCAAGCGATCCTCCTGTCTCAGCCTCCCAAAGTGCTGAGATTACAGGTGTGAGCCACTGTGCCCAGACGATGTTTGTATTTAATTTTTTTGCATATATGGTTATAATGCATTCAGTAAACATTCACCTGTATTGTGAATGACATGCATTGAATTTCTGTTACTTCTCAGCACTTGGGAATGGCTCTGAGGGAACTGTTTGACTCTTGGGTGTGCTTAGGAGAAAACTAGAACACAAATTTTTTTGCTGACTGGCTCACTTAAAATTGTACAATTTTTAATTTTCGTATTTTCTTATCCTATACATGGTATTGGCAAATTCTTTTGATTTTTTTTTTTTTTTAAGACAGTCTCGCTTTGTCACCCAGGCTAGAGTGCAGTGGCGCGATCTCCGCTCACTGCAACCTCCGCCCCCCACCCCCCCCAGCCCCGCCCAGATTCAGGTGATTCTCCTGCCTCAGCCTCCTGAGTAGCTGGGATTACAGGCACGTCCCACCATGCCCAACGGATTTTTTCGTATTGTTAGTAGAGACAGGGTTTCGCCATGTTGGCCAGGCCAGTCTCGAACCCTGGACCTCAGATGATCAATCCACTTCGGCCTCCCAGAGTGCTGGGATTACAGGTGTGACCCATCCCACCAGGCCTTCCTTTGAAATTTTTAGCATGTAGTTTATCCTCCTTAACATTAAGTTATGGCTTATGCAGATAATCATACTTGTTTCTCTTTAAAACTATTAGATTGTCCAAAATTTAGATGAAATACCAAATTAAGGATATTAATTAGTTAAGCTGTGTCTGTCTCCACATTTTAATTGGAAGTGAAGTTCCCCCTCAGGAAAGGAGGAAGAATAGGATGATATGCATAGGTATCAATCATTCATTCATTCACGTACATTTTGGAAAAGTTAGGAACAGAAACAGATGTTGTATATATGTAGCTTATTCTTACTGTGTGAAGCCGGTAAAGCTGGTACAGGTTATTTTTATTCTTTCTTTAAGCATTATGTTATAGAAAATTTCAATCACCTGCAAAAGTAGAGATAATGGTATAATGAGCCCCTTTATGGTATAAAGTTGGGCAAATGGTATAATTTATCCTTTACCCAACTTTTACAGTTATCGGCACATGACCAATCTTGTTTTATCTATTCCCCCCACCCACTATCCTCACTCCCTTTAGTGATTTTGAAGCAAATCCCAGACATTATATAATTTTACCCATAAATATTTCTGTATTTATCTCCAAAATCGCTTCTTCCTTTCCTTCCATTCTCAAATTCTTATTTTTACAAGTGTAGAAATTTTATTTTATGTCAGTTACATCAGTGATTATTAATATAAGTTAATGTAAAACTCTCCCCTTAACTCTTGATTTAATTCAGTTATATTAATAATAAAAGGTACATGCATAATATGTATTGCTAATAAATTTACTAAGAATCTGTCAAATTCTAAGCAGGAGATGTAGTTCTTTAAAAGTCAACTGCTCTTTTTCTATGGATACCTCTGTGGGGAGAAGAAATCAAAGAAAGACACATGAATCAAAAAATGCTTTGCTTCAAAACATCATGTTGTGCACCATAAATATACAGAATTTTTGTCAATTTTTTAAAAAATGCATTTTAAAAAGTGTTTTACTTATAACATGAATACATCTAAGTGTTTGGGGAGCAAATCGTATCTCCCTTTTTGTTGTTGCTAAAAATGATATATCCAGAACCATTTCTCTCGTCTTTCTCTGCCACCACCCTCAACTAAACTACTGCTACCTCTTACCTAGATTATTGCAAAAGCTTCCTAGTTCATCTCATTGTTTCTCCCCTTCTGTCCTTGCAGTCTGTTTTCAATATACCCACCAGAGTGATCTTATTAAACAGGTTAGATCATATAATTCCTCTGCCTAAGATTTTCCAAGTGCTTGCTCTTTTGTTCAGAGTAAAAGCCAAAGTCTCTGCTTGATCTGTATGCCAACCCCTACACTTCTTCCAATCCATTTCTCATCCTCCATCACTATTCTCTCACTCTTTATTCACACTAGCCTTATTGCAATTCAGAAGTCCCAGGCATACTTCAGTTTTAGGAGCTTTGTCCTGACTGTTACTACCTCTACCTGGAATGTTCTTCCTGCAGACATCTGCTGGCTCCTTCGCTCCTTTCAAGTCTTTATTCAAATATTGCGTTATTCATGAGTGAAGCTTTTTCCAGCCATTCAGTATAATGTTCTGACCCTCCCCATTACTTCCCTGTTGCCTTTCCTTGCTTGATTTCTCAGCACTTAATGCTATTTAACCTACTCCAAAACTTGCTAGTCTCATTTATCTCAGGAAGGAAGGGATTTTGTCTGCTTTAGTTTTGTTCTCCATTTAACAAAAGCCATTTCTCAACTCTGCATCCCCTTTTAGGTGACACCATTTCTTTCTCATGTATTGATGAATTGAGTCATTTTCTGTAAGTGAATTAGTTTTCTGTGATAGCATATTTGTTGCTAGGCTTTGGAACTACCAAAATGAAGTAATCCCTGCCCCAGCCAATCTTATGGGGGGTTCTTTTTTTCTAATGTATATTCGGATTGTTGCCAATTTTTTCCTGTTACAAAAAGTGTTACAATGACTATTATTGTTTATTTATTTATTTATTTTGAAGTTAAATACCCAGAAGTGGAATTGCTGGGTCATGGGTCACGTACATTATGACTGTTACTAAATATTGCCAAAGTATTTTCTAAAACAGAGTTCTCCTTTCCCTACATCTTGCTCAACACTTTGTACTGTCAGACTTGAAAAAACGTACCAGTCTGATGGGTGTGAAATAGTGTCTCATTTTGTTCTAATTTGCATTTTCTTGATTGCTGGTGAGATGCAGGTATCCTCAATTTCATTCACATGAATAGATTGCCCGTTTTCCATTGGGTAGTTTGGCCTTTCCTAATTCTTGCTATAGCCTGGATGCCAATTCTTTGTTGTATATGTTGTAAATATCTTCTAGTCTGTTCCGTGTATTTAATTTAGTTTATGGTATCTTTTTTTATACAGAAAGTTTAAATTTATTTGTAGGTAAATTTATTAGACATATGATTTCTGCTTTTTATTACATATTTGACAATTCCTTTGTTATACTAGGATCATAAAGCTGTTTTTCCAGCGTTTTCTTCAAATTGTTTTAAAATTAGTTTTTTAACATTTAGATCTTTAAAGATACCTGGAATCAATTTTTGTATATGGAATAAGGAAGGGAATTTGTTTTCTCCCGTATAGAAAGTTGTGTCAATGCTGTTTATTGAATGAGGCATCCTTCCTCCACGAGTCTGTGTTGTTTGCCTTCTCTGTCATAAGTGACACATTTAGGACACGTACCAGCATTCTCTTTCACATACTCTGTCATATACCAGCATTCTCTTTCATATACCTTGGTCTCATTCTAGATTCTGTATTCCATTTCATTCATTTCTTGGTGCACAAATAATGCTCTGTCTTAATTATAGTATTTTAATGATAAGTCTTGGTATTTGGCAGGCAGAACCCCCACCTTCTTTTTTTTTCTTTTTACAATTATACTGAACTTTATTCTTCCATATGCCACTTACAGTGTTTGTCTAGCTCCATGGAAAATAGTTCTAGATTTTGATTAGCTTTGCATTGAAGTTAAGTTTCTTCATATTTTTTCCCTTTGATGATTATAAGCTATGGATTGTATTTTCATTTTTATTTATTTTTCTAGTTATGCCTATAGTCATTGAGCATCTCTATACATAATCTACAAATAACATAGGAATTTAGATTTCTTTTTTTTTTCTTTTTTTTTCTTTTGAGACAGAGTCTCCCTCTGACCCCCAGGCTGAAGTGCAGTGGCGTGATCTTGGCTCACTGCAAGCTCTGCCTCCAGGGTTCAGGCCATTCTCCTACCTCAGCCTCCCGAGTAGCTGGGACTACAGGCACCCGCCACGACGCCCGGCTAATTTTTTGTGTTTTTAGCAGAGACGGGGTTTCACCATGGTCTTGATCTCCTGGCCTCGTGATCCGCTCGCCTTGGCCTCCCAAAGTGCTGGGATTACAGGTGTGAGCGACCGCACCTGGCAGGAATTTAGATTTCTTAACTCCAGTGTTCTTTCTCATCTTCTGCGTTACAGTTGCATAGTAGTCTGTTTTTTCTCTTTGACCAGCTTTATTGAGATACAACTCACATAACATACAATTTACCCTTATAAAGTATATGATTCAGTTTTTTTCTAGTGTATTCACAGGTTAGTGTAACCATCACCACACTCTAATTTTAGGATATTTTTTCTTCCCAAAAGAAACTCGATACTCATTAACTGTCATTCCCCATTTTCCCAAACCTCAAGCCCCCAGCCTAAATCAACCACTTTCTGTTTCTAGATTTGCCTACTCTGAACATTTTATATAAATGTCATCGTACCATATATGTGGTATTTTGTAACAGTGTTCTTTCACCTAGCATAATGTTTTCAAGGTTCTTCTATGTTGTAGCATGTATCACTACTTCATTTCTTTTTATTGCCAAATAATACTCAATTTTATGGATATACCACATTTTTTAATTCATCCATCAATTGATGGACATTTGGGTTGTTTCTGCCTTCTGGGTATTAGAAATAACACGGCTTTGACCATTCATCTGTAAGTTGTTATGTAGATGTGTATTTTCATTTGGGCTTATACCTAAAGAGTAGACTTTTATTGGGTCATATAGTAACTCTGTTTTTAACTTTGTGAGGAATTGCCAAAGTGTTTTCCAAACTATCTGGACCATTTTACATTCCCACTAGCAATGTATGAGGGTTCCAATGTCTTCATATCCTTGCCAACACTTACTTTTGTCTGTCTTTTTGATTATAGTCATCCTAGTGGGTATGAATAGTATCTTACTGCGATTTTGGTTTGTGCTTCCCTAATGACTAATGATATCCAATTTTTTTTATGTACCTGTTGGCCATTTGTGTATCATTTTTGGAGAAATGCCTATTCAGATATTTTTGCTTTTTTTTTTTTCTTTTGAGACGGAGTTTCACTCTTGTTGCCCAGGCTGGAATGCAATGGCACGATCTCAGATCATGGCAACCTCCGCCTCCCAGATTGAAGTGATTCTCCTGCCTCAGCCTCCCAAGTAGCTGGTATTATAGGCGCGTGCTACCAGGCCCAGCTAATTTCTTTTTTTTTTTTTTTAGTAATGATGGGGTTTCTCCATGTTGGTCAGACTGGTCTCGAACTCCTAACCTCAGGTGATCTGTCTGCCTTGGCTTCCCAAAGTGCTGGGATTACAGGCGTGAGCCACCGCACTGGGCCGCTTGTTTTTAATTGGGTTATTTCTTGTGTTTTAAAAAAAATTCTTGAGTTGTAAGACTTCTTTATATATTCTAGATATAAGACCTTTATGAGATGTGATTTGCAAATATTTTCTCCCATAATGTGGGTTGTAGTCCTACTTCTTTTTAAACTCAATGTTTTTTAGCATTAGTTTTTAATTAATATGGTAATTTTTATTTAGCACAAGGATTTAGTGATATCTTTTACTCATTATTGTTTCTTGCATACCACCTCTTTCTTCTGGATTTAATTTTATTCTTGCTGAATAACTTCTTTAGTTGTTTTTAAGCAAGAGTTCATGAGTGGTAATGTTTTTATTTCATAGTCACTATTGAATGGGAATTTAGCTAGATACAGAATTCTAGATTAATGGTTACTTTAGCTCTACGTATTGGAGATACTACTTATTCCATTACTTTCTGACATTTATTATTGCTGTTATGAAATATGCTTTTAATCTAATTGTCATTACTTTGTTGGTAATATCTTTCACATTATTTTTAAGATTATCTTTGTCCTTGATATTTTGTAATTTTACTGTGATGTATCCATCATGTTTTTTCATATTGTTTTTCCTGCTCTGCATTTGCGTGTGCTTTCAATCTGAAGACTATACAATTCAGAAAAATTTTTAGCCATTTTTTCTTTAAAATATTATTTCTCAGCCTTTAGTTTTCTCATTCTAGAACTCTTGCTTGACATATGTTGAAGCCTCTTAATTTGTTCTCTATGGCTCTTTTCTTATTCTCATCTCATTTTCTATCTGTGCTGTTTTCAGCAGAAATTTTTTATTTCTAGCTTCTAGTCCACCAATTCTCTTGTTTTCACTGTAGTTTATCCTGTCTTCTGAATTTTTACTTAAATGACAATTTCTCATTTTCAGCATTTATTTATTATTGGACCTTGTTCATTTCTGTCTGCTCTTTCTGCATATGTGCCTGATTTGTTTCATAATTTTTCATTAAAAATATTATTCCATTATTCCTTTGGAGATCTTAAACATACTTATTTTAAAGGTACCCAGCTTTTTCCAGGCTTCTTTCAAAGGTGGGAGCAAGCCTGGACCCAAGCACAATACTACTAATTGAACCTGACTCTAGAACCATGGTGCAGAGGGGGTACTGCTGATTCTTATCCGGCTATTCTTATCCTATAGGAGTTGAACTTCAAACTGCTTATTTCCACACTGAGAGTCCCAGAGGCTCAGCTCCTGATTACAGAAATGATTATCTTATGTTAAGCTTGGCTAAGTATTAATTTAAAAAAAAAAAAGACTATCTGTCTTTGCTTTTGTGAAGTAAAGGGAACAGTTCAAAATGTAGACCTTCCCAAAGCCAATAGCCAATTAGTGTCACAGCCAGGACTTGAACCTAGAGAGTTTTTCCAGGGAGTTTAGTAGTGTGGAATAGAATTAGCCATAGTAGGGAGAATGAAATAACAGTAGCTTCCACCGTTATCTCTTAAATCTGCCTGAAAGTGTGATAAGACTACAGAATGCATTAGGGGAAGGAAAGTCTAGCAGTGGTATTCTGGAGATGGTGGTGACAAGTTTGTAGAGGAAAAAGAAAAAAAAATGATCAAGAGTTTCTAGTCCAGCCATGGCCATTCTCAAGGTGAAATATATTTTATTAGTTAGGCCTGGCTTATATCTTAATGTGTATCTCCTCTTACACATGTTATATAGTGTAAATGGCAATGTGTACATTGATTTTAAACAGCGTGGCAAATTATTTTTTAGAGTTTTCAAAAGTTTTAAATTCCTTGGGAGCTCAAAAATTATTTTGACATTTGAGAAATTTGTGACCTTGAAATAGAAATTAGAATTGCAGCAAAGAGATAAGGTGGTGCCCATTTTTAATAATAGCTTTTATCATATCCATAAGGAAATTATGTCATACTTTTAAATCTATTAAGGTTATATTTTATAATATTCTGTAGGAAAATAAGTGAGTCATCTATGATTTAATGCTATTTTAGTCAAAATTGTACTTATTCTACATATTTTACTTTTTGTGCTTATTAAAAAGGCTTTTTTTAAAAATGAAGTTTTATTCAGGGGAGGGGCGTGGTTTTCTCATTTTGGTATTTCCATAGTTCTAAGCATATTACCTTGCTCATGATACTTATAAATTGAATTATAAGATCAAATACTAAGTGGCTTGATATTTCAGAATGATCAAACATTTTAACTTAACTGAGTAGCAAACACGTTTTTCTTTATAAGTGATACACATAGGTATTGTAAGATTTTGCTTTGAAGAGTCTTTTGCAATGAGTGTAATTGGCGGATAAAGCTTGAGCACAATATAGTAAGTCCAAGTCTTAATCATATGTTACCTAGAACGTTGTTTCTTCACTTTTTCATCTCCTGAACTACAAGGGGAATGTAGATACTCTTGCTTATTTTAGCTCTCCACTATGCTCTTTAAGGTACGATAAGTTCAGAAACAGTGAGAGTGAACCTGATTGTTTACTATGGAGAGACTGTAAAGTAGTTCTCTAATCTTGTGTTTTCCTGTTGAAGTTCCAGTGTTGTAAAGGAATTGGTTTCTAACTTAGATATGCAGGAGACCCTCATACCTTGTGGATCCAAATCTTTATGCAAAGTTAAAGGGAATTGATGCAGTGCTAACCTGCCAATGTTGATCAACATTTTTTTTCCAGCATATATTTGTAGTATTTTTTTTTTAAAGAGGGAAAAGCTGAAGTATCTTAGGAATGTATTATGAGAAAGGGAAAGTCAAAATTTGTAAAGAATGCTTTTAACAGTTTTTTTTAGTTGGTAGTCTCCCAGGCCATGGGTTCCATAATGATGATGTTTCATGTAGATTGAGATAAAGCTCTCAGTGGTCTATGGCAAAATGAGAAAAATGAGGTCAGTGTAATCTGTGTGTTTGCATAAATTTATAGATGTCCTTGTTTTTGAGTAATTTTTTTAACATTTTAAACATAAACTTTATTTTAGAATGGTTTTTGATTAACAAAAAAGTTGCAAATATAGTGGAGAGGATTCCTGTACCCTTCTCTCCCACCCAGTTTCTCTTATTGTTAACATTTTACATTACTGTGCAGCGTTTGTTACACCAATATTGATGTGTTGTTATTTAACTGCATACTTTATTTGAATTTTATTAGTTTTTCCCTAATGTTCTTTTTCTGGTTTAGTTTCTCAGACTTTAATTTAAAGTCTTAGATTGTTTCCCTTGCTTTCTTTTTTATTAATATTCTTGGTTAGAAAAATAAAAAGTTGGCAACCCTATGCCAGTTTCCTAATTTAAAAAAGTTTTACCGATCTGTGAAATCCAAAACTGTTCCCTCCTATAGGAGATTAAAAAAATAGAAGTCCAAAACTCTGAGAACCAATGCCTTTGGTTATTAGAAGTTAGTGTGATAACCATTAACAATTAAAGACTAAGTTTCCTAATTACATTTTATTTATATTCTATTTTATTTCTTTTATTTAATTTTAATTATTTTATTTTATTGAGACAGACTTTTGGTCTGTCGCCCAGGCTGGAGTGCAATGGTGCCATCTCCGCCTACTGCAACCTCCGCCTCCTGGGTTCAAGCGATTCTCCTGCCTCAGCCTCCCAAGTAGCTGGGACTACAGGCATGCTCCACCACGCCTGGCTAATTTTTGTATTTTTAGTAGAGACAGGGTTGTGCCATGTTGGCCGGGCCGTTCTTGAACTCCTGGCCTCAAGCGATCTGCCTGCCCTGGCTTCCCAAAGTGCTGGGATTACAGGTGTGAGCCACCACGCCCTGCCCGCTCTGTACACTAATAAGCAATCCTGTACACATCCTTTGCTTGAACTGTCACCATTTTGCTTGCTGGGTTCCAATATCAAGTCCAGCCCTCTTTTCTAAGCTCTAAGCAAGTATATCCAGTTGCTTTCCAGATTGTTAGATATCCATGCTAGTTGTCTCACATTTAAAACAGGAAACAATCCTGATTTGATCTTAAGTATGTGAGATGAAATAGCTTAAGGCATAAATCACTAAGATTTCATCAATTCCATATGGGCAGGGACTAAATCATGTATTTCTTTCATCATCATTAGTCCTTAGCACATTACAAGGCACATAGTAAGTATTCAGTAAGTATTCTTTGATTGGTTGCTAAAGTACATTTTTAAAAAATCGAATACAGGAAAATATTAAAAGGCAAGAATTGCAGATCAGCAGTAGAATTTTCTTAGTTATTATGCAGGGTAAATGAGCTGCTTTTTGAAATAACTGAAAATAAGCTAAAATTCTTCTGTTTTTTAAAAATACATTTTCAGCCGGTCACGGTGGCTCATGCACTTTGGGAAGCCGAGGCGAGCAGATCACTTGAGATCAGGAGTTCAAGACCAGCCTGGCCAACACGGTGAAACCCCATCTCTACTAAAAATACAAAAGATAGCCTGGCATCGTGGTGGGTGCCTGTAATCCCAGCTACTCAGGAGGCTGAGACAGGAGAATTGCTTGAACCCAGGAGGTGGAGGTTGCAGCGAGCCGAGATGGCACCACTGCACCTCAGCCTGAGCGATGGAGCAAGACTCCACCTCAAAATAAATAAATAAATTTTTCAGAATTATGTTAGTGTGATCCAGTGATGCTAAGTAATCATTTCTCTGCTTAAAGTTTAATTTTCATAGCAATAGTTTAGGATTTACTGAGTCTTTTTTTTTTCTCTTTACCCTGCGTAGACATGCTTTACTTTCTTTCGAAGCATATTTCCCAGGTTCTTGATAACACATTTCTGACATATAAAATTAATTAGACAATTGTGCATCTTCCTCCCACCCTACTTTTTTCTACCTTTGTGTCTATTCTTTTCTAAGTGAGTAGGATTCACCTAGCATCTTTATTCTTTGACCTCAGTGCGTTTTTTGTGCTGCTACTGTTGAGAATGTTTTTACCTATACTTTATCCTACTTTTAAATCTGTAGTTGGAAATATTTGTTGTACAGTAGTTTCCTGGTTTGAGTACTGTCTGTACTGCTCATGTGAGATAAGCAGCACCTTCTAACTTGAGAGATAGTGAATACTTGTGGTATAACTTACATTTTAACATCCAAATACATAGTTGATTCTCAACGCTGTCAGACATATTTCCCCTGTTCGTATCAAATATTTTATAAATATTTCTTCCTTTTTAAAATCCTGAAATAAAATTTAAATAAGTTGCTTATACAAGTAATTTTTTAAAAAATCCACATTACCACCCTAATTGTCATATGAAGGAAAAATAAATGAATACATTTATATTAAATAAAATCTATTTCAGTATGTAAACAATCATGACTACACTGGACATAATGAATAATCAGATGCTGAAGTCATTGTGAATGCTCTGGCTCTAAAATATACTGCTAAAAATATATTGTTATGGTGACTCATAGCATTTTCACTGGTGATGTGATTTTCTGAAATAGTAAACAGCACTTCATAAAAGTTCTGACAAAAAGTATAATCTTTCTTCAATTTTCCTGGTAATTGCATTCCTGGAAAATTCATAAATCCATATAAAATTTTTTTGTTTATGTTCAAATAGAAGGTTTGGATTATTTCAAAGGGATTTTTGCAAACATGGCGTCTGGAAGTTGTGATGCTCATAGGACAGTTCTTCATTGGCAAGGCTCTGCAATCCATTACAGAATGTCTAATACTTCTGCCTCACCCACCCAGTAACTAAATGCCACTAGCACCCCCCAGTCATTGTGAAAATCAATACCAACCTTATTTCTGAAAAGTTCCTAGAAGTCCACCTTCCTTCCTTTGGCTCATCCCCCCAGAAGGAGTTTTTTGAGGCATACACCTCTTAGCTATAATAGAACTAGTACATACAGTTTTCTATATGAGAATAGCAACCAATCGGAAAATAATAGGTGGATAGAAAAGCCTGTAGAACACTAAGTATATGATTATTCGGGAACATTATTTCAGTGATATTATTATTTTGGTTGGTTTGCCCAATTTAAGTTGTTTATATTACATTGTATGTATCTGATAACAGGAACAGCATATACTTTCATTGTAGGTAAGAGCATTATGTATTTTGATAAACATTAAAAATGTTTATGGCAAGATGAAAAGTAGGACAACTAGATTGTGGTGAGACTGGTACAAAGTAGTTGGTTTTTGTTGTTGCTGCTGCTGTTATTTATTTAGTAATGGTTTCTTGGTTCAGACATTACTGAAAACAGGTTTCCAGCGTGTAAAATTAATAGCACAATTGCATATCTTCCATCCACCTTTTTTCTACTTTTTTTTTGCATTAATTCTTGTCTAAATAACCAAATAGGATTCACCCAGGACATCTTTTTTTACTTCAATACATTTTTTAATGTTGTTTAGAATTTTGTGGTGTACATTTGTGACTGGTATATTTTTTAAATAGTAAACTTTGAAGATATTGTGAAAAAGATATGTTTATTCATTGACTGTGTCTCCAGCCTATTTGCAGAGTTGTAGCCAGCTGTTGCTGATATACCAAGGAGGATTTAGAAAGCCATTTTCATTGCCAGTTTTGTTTATGATTGTTGGGGGAGAAGGAGGAAGCTCAGAAGTGTTTTAGATATGAGTGGAAATGTATTTTTACCCGTTTATCTCCAATCTGGATACTGCAGCCATAAAATTTACTAGTTTCACTCCTTATCCAGACAGTGGTTAACTGGATAGGCAAAGAACTCAAATTTAGTGTCCTTGCTTATAGAAACCTTAAATTCTCCCTTACTAAAACCTGTGATCTTTAAATTTGATCTAAACTAAACCTTACACATTTATTTTTATCATAAATACCTCTGTGTTTCCATACATGGAAACTACCAGTCCAGCATATAAGGGATATTTACTATCATGGTTGAATTATGGCCAAATAGGACTTGCCTGATGCAGAAAGTCCACAGTGAAGTCCCAAATGGATGAAGTTGATTTCTAAAAATTGTGTGAAATATACATAATATAAAAGTTACCATTTTAACCATTTTTAAGTGTACAGTTCTGTGGCATTCAGTATATTCACATTGTTATATAATCATTACCACCATCCATCTCTTGAACTTTTTTATCTTCCCAGCCTGAAACTCTGTACTCATAAACTTGCCATTCCCTTCCTTACTCAACCCCTGGCAACCACTTTCTGCTTCTGTCTTATGAATTTAACTACTCTTATTCCTTATATAAGAGGAATCATACAATATTTGTCATTTTCTGACTGGCTTATTTTACTTAGCATAATGTCCTTAAGGTTGATCCATATTGCAGCATGTGCCAACATTTTCTTCCTTTTTAATGCTGTATAATATTTCATTGCCTGTATAATACCACATTTTGTTTATTCATTCATCAGTTGATGAACACTTGGATTGCTTCCACCTTTTGACTATTGTGAATAATGCTGCTTTGGACATGGGTGTAGAAATATTCTTCGAGCTCCTTCTTTCACTTCTTTGAAGTATATACCCAGAAGTAGAATTGCTGGATCTTATGTTAATTCTGTGTTTAATTTTTTGAGAAACTGCCATACCATTTTCCACAGTAGCTTCACCATTTTACATTCCCCCCAGCAATGCACAAGGGTTCCAGTTTCTCCACATTTTTGCCAATACTTATTTTCTGTTTTGTGGGGTGTTTTGTTTTGTTTTGTTTTGTTTTTGTAATAACTTTGTTAATGGATGTGAAGTGTTATCTCCTTGTGGTTTTGATTTGTATTCCCCTAATGGAAGTTGATTTGTTTGACCTTCAGGAATGGATCCCCACCAACTGTAAAACTGTAATAAATAGCCTTGATAAAAATAAGACATATCTAGGAACACCAGAATAAAAAGTTTCCTGCTAGCCCCTCTTATACTAGTAATGGTATATTTCACTCTACAGAACCGCTTTAAAATTTTTTCCATTTCCAAATTAAATAACATAAAAGTTAAATTCAGTTTGGTAGACATTTGTTTTTTATTATTTTTATTTTTTATTTTTTTGAGGCAGGGTCTTACTCTGTTGCCCAGGCTGGAGTGCAGTGGCATTATTGTGGCTCATTGCAACCTTGACCTCCTGGACCCAAGTGACCCTCCTGCGTCAGCCTCCCGAGTAGCTGGAACTATAGACACATGCTACCCCATCCGGCTAATTTTTCTATTTTTGTAGAGACAGAGTTTTCCCATGTTGCCCAGGCTGTTCTTGAACTCCTGGCCTAAGTGATCCACCTGCCTTGGCCTCCCAAAGTGGTGGGATTACATGTGTGAGCCACCACGCCTGACTGACATTTATTTTTAGTGATATTTTATATTTATTTATTTATTCATTTATTTATTTTGAGACGAGTTTTGCTCTTGTCACCCAGGCTGAAGTACAATGGTGCAATCTTGGCTCACTTGCAACCTCTGCGTCCCAGGTTTAAGTGATTCTCCTGCCTCAGCCTCACAAGTAGGTGGGATTACAGGCACGCACCACCACACCCGGCTAATTTTTTGTATTTTTAGTAAAGATGGGGTTTTACCATTTTAGCCAGGCTGGTCTCGAACTCCTGACCTCAGGTGATTTGTCCACCTCGGCCTCCCAAAGTGCTGAGATTACAGGCGTGAGCCACTGTGCCCAGCCTTTAGTGATATTTTAAAGCCAAATTCAGAATGTGAAACTAGAGAATTTGAAACTCAGAATGTGAAAACTAGAGAATTTAATCCATTGAGTAAATATTCTTTAAAGAATTAATTTGTGTCAGACATCTAAGCACATGCTGCCCTTAAGAATTTTACAATCTGAGCAGAGCACAGTGGCTCACAGCTGTAATCCCAGCACTTTGGGAGATTGAGGAAGGAGGATTGCTTGAGCCCAGGAGGTTGGGACCAGCCTGGGCAACACAGTGAGACCCCATATCTACAAAAAATTTTAAAAGTTAGCTGGGCATGGTGGTGTGCATCTGTAGTCCCAGCTACTCAGAGGCTGAAATGAGAGGATCGCTTGAGCCTGGGAAGTCAAGAGTGCAGTGAGCCGTGAATACACCACTGCACTCAAGCCTGGGTGACCGAGCAAGACCTGATCTCAAAAGAATCTTATAGTCTGGAGGGGGAGATAGATACAGAGACAAGCAATTAGAATTCAGTGTAATGAAATCTATACTGGAACCGTATAAAAGGTTTGGTGGGAGTAGTACATAACACATGCCTTCCTTTGTCTCTGGGGAATGAGGGGCATCAGCTAAAGCTCCACTGAGAAGGAAGCTCTTAAGCTGAAAAATGAAGGATGAGTAGGCTTTTCCTGGAGCCAGAGATGAGCTACCTTTAGTAAAACTTTGGCAAATGATTTGAGAATTTTTGAGTTATCTTTCGCTAAGATTACTCTAGATTTTATATCCTACAGCTTGAAAAAATCCAGTCCCAACTCACCCCTGCACTAAGCCAGGGTTCTTGGAAGACCGGACTGGTCTGATAGATGGCAAACTAACTTAAATCCTGAAGTGAAAGTTATGTAATACAAAGCAAAAAGCTGAGGTAAATTATAACTGTTTACATTGTGGGTGTTTTAAATTTTTCTCTATCACCTTAGTCTGGTCTGTTAACAGTGTCACATTATCTTGCCCTGATGGTACCTTTATATAGGTATATTTTACTGAATAGGTATAATTTATTGAAAGTTTATGTCTAGGAAATAGTAATTCACAATTAACTTTGTAGGTTTCAGTAAAAGACGTTAAATAATTCCTCCCCAGAAGCATTGGTATTTTTTTTCCCTAGGCATTTTCATGTGCCTGTATACTTTGAAACATATAGCCAGCAAAAATCACTTTCTGTCATGAATGTGATCTAAATAAAATTCTGTTCATTTATTTTAATAACCTAATACAGTTTTGACCCTGAAGCTGCTTTTTGTTTTTGTTGTTTTGAGGTCTTTTGTTTGTTTTGATGCTTTTTCTTTCTGTCATAGAGCAAATAGATCATATGTAGGAATGCTAGAAGGCGCTGTGAACTCTAAGGATGATGTTTTCTTAGTTATATTAAAGAAGTATGACTAATTAAATTATTCATAACTATAGTTTTAGTCTCTTCTTAGCTCTTTTACTTGTAATGCTTATAAAATCTTTGGGATTTTAAGATAATGCAGAGGCTAATATACTTGGCCTGAAATTGAAAATGTTGAGATTCATTCCTAAGTATTGTTTTATGCCAGAGACCTCCTGCTAAAATTGATATAGCTGTTTGCTGATTTGATTTCTCCAGGTCTCATTCAGTTTGGTTACAAGAGGAGTCCCGTTCAAATCAATCCTGTCTTGTGTATTAACAGTACTTCCCCTGTCTGCCATCATGAGACTTTTTCCCCTTTAAATATTCACCCACTTTTTTTTTTGAGTACCTATGGCTTTAACATATGCTCACAAGTCCAGTAAGAAAAAAAAAGGGATTTTGAATTTCATAATTTTTAAGAATATGATAGCTTTCAAATAGTTTAAATTTGTGTGCCTACAATACCTAAACTCTACTTTTTAGTAGACATTAACATAAAGCCAGGGTGGCTGGAATAGCATTGATCTATCTCAGGTCCTTTGCCCAGGACAAGATAAAATCAGAGAAGAAAGGAGCAGGCAAGCATTAAGGGGTTGAGGGTGTGAATGAGTAGCCTGGGATAACAAGAGAAAATGTATTATGTGCCAAAGGTTTCTGAACCTTGCCATGTAGCCTTGACCTAGTAATTAGAGAGTTCAGATTATATTTCCTTTCCAGTGTCATAGAATTGCTGATAATGCTTACTAGAAATAGTGTGAAACTATGCTTGAACTTCATACTAAACGTGTAGTTACACAAATAATTTTGTTAATAGTTTGTTTTGACTCCTGTTAAAGAAGATAAAGGTGTTACTGAAACATAAAGATTCTCTTGAGGTAGTTTTAAATATAGAATTTCAAGCTACAGAACTAATTACAAAGCAAGATTTTAAGTTAAGTACTTTTAAGCTTCTTTTCATCATGCAAAGCTCATGAAACCTATGTATACGCTTATCAGAAAAATGCACATATATGCAAATTTGCACACAATTTCAGGGATTCACAGAACTAAAGCCCATTTATGGATCCTGCTCTAAGTCACTTTCTTCATTTTTGGATAGTTTTGTTCTTTTATTTTTATTTAGATTGTGGCTAGTTTAATTTGTTGCAGCAAAGTTAATATTAAATACTAATGAACTGAAGTTATAAGTTTAATTTCCGTAAGGGACATTTGGCTGTACTTATACTATAGACACATATATTAAATTTACCTATTTTGCATATGAAAGAAAATAACACACGTACGTGCCCACAAATGCAGGCCATTGACTATAATATGATTGAATGAGATTATGTGAATTAATAAAAAGCCTCAGAATGCATAGGTAGATATTATATCATCATTGGGAATATGGAAAAGTTTGTCATCATTCTCCTTTTAAATTTGTCATCTTATTTTTAATTGGAATATAGAATTGCTCTATAGGATTTTTAAAATTCAGTTTAATTTATAATGTATTTTGGGGGGACCGTTTTTTTTTTTGTTTGTTTGTTTTTGAGACAGAGTCTTGCTGTGTTGCCAGGCTGGAGTGCAGTGGCACGATCTCAGCTCACTGCAACCTCCACCTCCCGGGTTCAAGCAGTTCCCCTGCCACAGCCTCCCAAATAGCTGGGACTACAGGTGTGTGCCACCACACCCAGCTAATTTTTTAATTTTTAGTAGAGACGGAGTTTCACCATGTTGGCCAGGACAGTCTCGATCTCCTGACCTCGTGATCTGCCTGCCTCGGCCTCCCGAAGTGCTGGGATTACAGCCATGAGCCACCGCCCCCAGCCAGGGGGAACGTTTTAATATATCCCTTTGAAATAATTATAGAACCCTCAGGAGTTCCAAAATTTTAGTATGTGGTCATTGGTTCTTATCATCCAGTAGAGATAAATGGGAAATGATGAGCATTTGCTTCATGTAAAGTATGTGCATTTATATGTTAATATAAATTCTAGTCATAACTGAGGTGTTGCTGTAGTTATCTTGCTGTTATTTTGGGTCCTTTTTTTTTTGTTTCTTAACTTTAGATGTACATAAATTCTGGTCTTGTGAGAATTTAGCAAAAAATTAAACTTTTCTTTAAGTGGTTCTCAGTCTCAGTTGTCTTGACATCTTAAAGATTTACGTACTGTTTGAGGCCCTGAAATTTACTTTCTTTTTTAAAAAAACTTTATCCCAGAAGCTATAAATCAGTGTTTAAATTAGTGTTAAAGAGAAGTAGTAACATATTAGTAATATTTTATCTGTTTTAACGGGCTCTTAAAAAGGTGTCCATCTGAATCTGTTGAGTTGAGCTGAAAGCAGAGTGATGCTGGAGAGAAAGATGGCAGAAAGCATATTAAGAGGCAGGAGCTAGTGTTTGGGGGGAGATGTTAACATGTTTGTGGAGTGGATGCTGAATAAATATGCTTCCTGCAGTCTAATGCTCCAGATACCTGTTTATAGGTAAACTTCCTGTGAACCTCTTTTGAGAAATACAGCCCTAGACTAAAGGAGTAGCCTTGAAACTATTTGTTCATTCATTTGTTCACTTATTCATCTGTTTACCAAATTGTGAAAAATTTTAAAGACACTTTATGAGGAAAATAAATATTTATGCCACCATATTTTTTCCTTAAAGAGACTGATTTTTGAAATCAGACACATAATGCTACATTCACATCTACAAAGTGTGTTCATCACTATTGCAAAATGTTGCAAAAGCAGGGTAGAAAAATCTTAGGACTTTAAATAGTCTGAACAAATAAACATGTTTGTTATGATGCATACAAATGCATTTGTACAGTCCTGTACTAGCTGTTTCTGAGATCACAGAATAAAAGTTTAAAACCAAGAATAATAACAGTTGAATACCGTACATAACACTTAATATTCCAATGGACTAAGCAAAATATCCCTCTAAGTTACATGGGATCTCACACTATCTGTGTATGTCTGTGCTTAATGGAAATGCTACAAGGATGCTAAGTGTTGAATGGTAGCCAAATTACTTACGTAGTAGGTTACTAAATTAGAGCGTTTACTAATATCTAAAAATGGATCATCATAGCTTATGAATACCCAAGTTTTATTGACCTTTTAATAACTGCTTAGTAGTACTAGTAAATAGCCCATGACCACTATGTAAAAAAAAAAAAAAAGAAAAAAAGAAAAAAACCTAAGGAATTTTGAATCGTTTTCCTGTTAGAACCAAAGAAAGAAAGTCTTTCATTTGGATATTGCTTTCAGCCCATCAGTGGGTTCCCAAGATCTGCCAAAAGAGTCTTTTTTTCTTTTTTCTAATATTTCTTTTTTTTTTTTTTTGAGACGGAGTCTCTCCCCGTGTCCCAGGCTGGAGTGCAGTGGCGCGATTTCGGCTCACTGCAAGCTCCGCCTCCCGGGTTCCCGCCATTCTCCTGCTCAGAGTAGCTGGGACTACAGGCGCCCGCCACCACGCCCGGCTAATTTTTTTTGTATTTTTTAGTAGAGACGGGGTTTCACCATGTTGGCCAGGATGGTCTCGATCTCCTGAGCTCGTGATCCGCCCGCCTCAGCCTCCCAAAGTGCTAGGATTACAGGCATAAGCCAGCGCGCCCGGCGTCTTTTTTCTAATATTTCAAAACCCTAGACAATATGCCGAATGTTAAAGTGTCTTGAAGGTTCACTTGCAACTGTGGAAGTGGAAATACAGTCCTCTAAGAATAAAGTTTCAGTGTTCTTGTTACCCGTGAAATCTTTTCTACCAGAGGTGATTACTAATATGCCTTGACAGATGGTCTTCTCAATCTGAGGTCAGGATATGAGTTCCCAAAGGCCAGGAATTACAGCATATTCATATCTCTATTTCAGTAAGTCAATTGATACTATAATGGCTCAAATAAGTGATTGTGTGGAATGAGTCTGGGCAAGACCCTACCTAATGCACTGTAAGTCATCTGGGAACAAAGCTCTTTGCAACCAAGTCAGTCTGGGGATGGAAAAAGTAAAATAAATATAAACCTTTGCCATCAGATGTGGTAGGTGCTTATTAGGCTGTAGCTACACAGGACTTCCACATCACTGAGTAGAAATCCATCCATAGAAATGAAAGGGAAGGAATGCAGTAGGGATAGAAAATTTGTCCTCAAATACTTCTATAGGTCTCCCATATGATTTTTTTTCAATATAGTAGTATTTCTGACAGAGAATGAACTGTTTTTCATTACTAAAGGCATTACCTAGTTAAGTTTCTATCTGGAGATAATGTACCTGTTTACCTGTGAAAGAAAAAAAAATAGTAAAGTTTCTATCTGGAGATAATGTACCTGTTTACCTGTGAAAGAAAAAAAATAGGTGGCATAGCTCTTCTAATTAGATGGATTGAGTCTATATGCATTTTAAGGGCAATAGTAATATATGTAATCTGACCAGCTAAATAAAGCTAACAGTAAAGTATCATAACTAACCTGGTTGACTAGTATTTCTTTTTCTCTTGCTTGATTGGTCTTAGGGTTTTGACCCACCACATCAGAGTGACACAAGAACCATCTACGTAGCCAACAGGTTTCCTCAGAATGGCCTTTACACACCTCAGAAATTTATAGATAACAGGATCATTTCATCTAAGGTAAGAATTAAAATTTTTATTGTTAGGCCAGGTGCAGTGGCTCATACCCATCATCCCAGCACTTTGGGAGGCCAAGGCGAGAGGATCGGTTAAGCCCAGGAGTTTGCGACCAGTGTGGGCAACATAATGAGACCTTGTCTCTGCAAAAAATCAAAAAATTAGCCAGGTGTGGTGGCACACCTCTACTGACAGCTACTCTGGAGGCTGGCTTCAGCCTGGGAAGTCGAGGGTGCAGTGAGCTGTGATTGTGCCACTGCACTCCAACCTGGGCAACAGAGTGAGACCATGTCTCAAAAAAAAAAATTATTATTAAAACTGTAGATATGGATCATTTTATTTTTAAAAGTGATTATATGTGTGTGTGTGTATTTATTTATATCCTTACAAATTCAAGAAAACGGTGGTCGATTTATCTTAACCAAAATGGTTAACTGTAGAATACAAGGAGTGGCTAATTGCTGATATCAGTAGCCCACATGCCAAAAAATTATCTTTAGTTGCTAGTAAACTAAGGAACTAATATTTATGCTATGTACCAGAAACTATATTAAGTACTTCTCATATCATTTAATCCTTACAACAACCCTATGAGATAGCTTTTATGAAATCTATTTTACAAAGCAGTGTTATACTGATTTTAAATCAGTTTCCTCAATTGAAGTCCTAGGAAATGGAATAATTTTCCCAAGGTTGCTCACTAGTAAATGGCTAGATTGGATTTTTGGGGTTTTTTTTGTTTGCTTGTTTTTTTGAGACAGAGTCTCGCTGTGTCACCCAGGCTGGAATGCAGTGGTGCAATCTTGGCCCATTGCAACCTCTGCCTCTCGGGTTCAAGCCATTCTCTGCCTCAGCCTCCCAAGTAGCTGGGATTACAGGTACCTGCTACCATGCCCAGCTAATTTTTGTATGATTAGTGGAGATGGGATTTCACCACCTTGGCCAGGCTGGTCTTGAACTCCAGACCTCATGATCCACCCACCTCGGCCTCCCAAAGTGCTGGGATTACAGGTATGAGCCACTGCACCCGGCCATAGATTGGAATTTAAACTCAGTTCTGTGTTGCTTTAAAGTCTGCTTCCTCCAATTTTATCACTCATTTGTACACATTTTATGGTGCCAAAGTACAGCTTCACTCTTATATATTCTTCCTTGTTTCATTTTTTCCTGTGGCATTTTTAAGTTGTCTTAGGTTATTCTGAAGCTAAAGACTGTAGAATAGTACTTTGCAGTAGACTTTTCTGTCATGATGGAATTGTCCCATATGATGGCCAATAAATTATACAAGGTTATCAAGGCCTTGAAATATGGCTAGTGCACTCAGAAACTGAAGTTTAATTTAATTTTTATTTAAATGTCAGTAGCTACATGTGACTAGTGGCTTGGACGGTACAGTTATAGAGGATATGAGTCAAAGAGACTGAGGGTAAAGTTTTCCTTATATCATAACTATTGCCTGAAAGGGCACCTTAAGAAGCATCTTTGCATTGCTCCTTCCCTCTCTTCTAAAGCAACTAACATCTTTTCTCTAATCCTAACCTCGTCTTTCCCAAGGATGTTGTCTTAGGTCAGCAGTTCTTTGCCCTGCCCCATGTTGCTGCCTTCACATTCTTTATGTGTATAACATACCCTTAGTGCCATCTCTCGTTTTGGATGATGGTTCTAAAGCAGAAAGTAGGAAGAGGAGATGTCAGAATCCAGGATAATGGATGAGCTTTAGATTAGTGACACAGTTCTTTTTTTTTTTTTTAAATTATTATTATACTTTAAGTTCTAGGGTACATGTGCACAGCGTGCAGGTTTGTTACATATGTATACATGTGCCATATTGGTGTGCTTCACCCATTAACTCGTCATTTACATTAGGTATATCTCCTAATGCTATCCCTCCCCCTGCCCCTACCCCACGAGAGGCCCCAGTGTGTGATATTCCCCATCTTGTGTCCAAGTGTTCTCATTGTTCTGTTCCCACCTATGAGTGAGAACATGCGGTGTTTGGTTTTCTGTCCTTGCAATAGTTTGCTCAGAATGATGGTTTCCAGCTTCATCCGTGTCCCTGCAAAGGACATGAACTCATCCTTTTTTATGGCTGCATAGTATTCCATGGTGTATATGTGCCACATTTTCTTAATCCAGTCTATCATTGTTGGACATTTGGATTGGTTCCAAGTCTTTACTATTGTGAATAGTTCTGCAGTAAATACACGTGTGCATGTGTCTTTATATTAGCATGATTTATAATCCTTCGGATATATACCCAGTAATGGGATGGCTGGGTCAAATGGTATTTCTAGTTCTAGATGCTTGAGGAATCACCACACTGTCTTCCACAATCGTTGAACTAGTTTACAGTCCCACCAACAGTGTAAAAGTGTTCCTATTTCTCCACATCCTCTCCAGCACCTGTTGTTTCCTGACTTTTTAATGATCGCCATTCTAACTGGTGTGAGATGATATCTCATTGTGGTTTTGATTTGCATTTCTCTGATGGCCAGTGATGATGAGCATTTTTTCATGTGTATTTTGGCTGCATAAATGTCTTCTTTGGAGAAGTGTCTGTTGATATCCTTTGCCCATGTTTTGATGGGATTGATTTTTTCTTGTAAATTTGTTTAAGTTCTTTGTAGATTCTGGATATTAGCCCTTTGTCAGATGGGTAGATTGTAAAAATTTTCTCCCATTCTGTAGGTTGCCTGTTCACTCTGATGGCAGTTTCTTTTGCTGTGCAGAAGCTCTTTAGTTGAATTAGATCCCATTTGTCAATTTTGGCTTTTGTTGCCATTGCTTTTGGTGTTTTAGACATGAAGTCCTTGCCCATGCCTGTGTCCTGAATGGGATTGCCTAGGTTTTCTTCTAGGGTTTTTATGGTTTTAGGTCTGACATTTAAGTCTTTAATCCATCTTGAATTAATTTTTGTATAAGGTGTAAGAAAGGGATCCAGTTTCAGCTTTCTACATATGGCTAGCCGGTTTTCCCAGCACCATTTATTAAATAGGGACTCCTTTCCCCATTTCTTGTTTTTGTCAGGTTTGTCAAAGATCAGATGGTTGTAGATGTGTGGTATTATTTCTGAGGGCTCTGTTCTGTTCCATTGGTCTATATATCTGTTTTGGTACCAGTACCATGCTGTTTTGGTTACTGTAGCCTTGTAGTATAGTTTGAAGTCAGGTAGCGTGATGTCTTCAGCTTTGTTCTTTTGGCTTAGGATTGTCTTGGCAATGCGGGCTCTTTTTTGGTTCCATATGAACTTTAAAGTAGTTTTTTCCAGTTCTGTGAAGAAAGTCATTGGTAGCTTGATGGGGATGGCATTAAATGTATAAATTACCTTGGGCAGTATGGCCATTTTCACGATGTTGATTCTTCCTATCCATGGCCATGGAATGTTCATCCATTTGTTTGTAGTGACACAGTTCTTAAGAAATTATGCAAGAAATAAAAGCTCTTGAAAACTTTAGGTTTTTTTTTTAACTTGGGGTATAATTTACATACAGTAAAATTTATCAGTTTTAAGTGTGCAGTTTGATGAGTTTTGACAAATCTGACCACCGCCATAATCAAGATGTGGAATATATCCATTGCTTCAAAAAAAATCTTTCATGGTCTTTTGCAGCAGGTCCCCCTCCTCCTCACCCCCCAGGCACTAGCAACCACTGATCTGCTTTCTGTAACTATAGTTTTTTCTTTTCTAGAATTTCATATAATACAACACAAGTCTTTTGTGCCTGACTTCTTTTTTCGTAACATAATGCTTTTGGGGTTCATTTTTGTTGTTGCAAGTATTAGTATCAGTAATTCATTCCTTTCTAGTGCATAGTTTAGCTGTCAGCCTGGAATTGTGTAGTTAATGTTTTGAATATAAGCCATTTTCTTTGTGTGGTTCTCTGACAATCAGTATTTTCCCTTTACATTTCCAGCTGCTTTTCCAGCCCTGAACTCTAATCTTGGTTACATGTTGTTGATGAGGCTGTAGTTTTCCCCAGCTGTTTTGCAGCCATTGTTGTGTGTGGTAGGTGGATACTGTCTCCAAGCTAAGAAGCCAAAAATTCACAATTTATACTTCTTCCATTTGCAATTTTTTGAAATTAAACTCTCTTCCCGTTTCCATCTATATTTTGGACATTTTCCAGTATTTGACATAGTTTTTAAAATGTAATCTTTATAATTCTTATCTGCTGGGAGTCCACAGGACCACCTCTTTGTCAATAGTGGAAACTGAGTGTCCTCCTAGAAAGCTTTTGGGATTAAATAAGTATCTTTAAATGACTGTCTCTGTACACAGAAGTATTTGGTTTAATGTTTTTGACCATATTTTTTAAAATGTGGATGTTTAAAGAAGTATTGCCTTTTTAAATGTTTACGGTAAATGAGGACTGTCTCATTACTACCTATTACGCCACTATTGCTTTCATAAACTCCTTCCAAAACAGATTACCTGTTATTCCACAAACTCATGTTGAACTTTCCTACCACTGTGCCTTTGCTTTGATTTCATGTTGTTAGCCACAATTTTTAAAATGTAAATTTTATGTATTTGTGGACATTGTAGATTTTATGTTTTTGTAGAAAGGTAGAATTCATATCTTTGACCATAATTTCAAGAATGTAAATATTTATACAGATACTGTCACTTTTTTCCTGAGCATAAATGAAGCCTGCTTCTCATTACTTTCATTTTACTACCTTTCACTCCCCTGTTATTCTCTTGGTCTCCTTCCAGACTGCATTGTTTTCTATCTCACAAAGCCATGATGAGCTTTTCTCCTGTCCCTTTGCTCATGCTGTCCTAGCTTCCTGAAATGTTCTCCCTTATTTGCCCTGGATTTTCAGCCTGTTGAATGTTCTTCTTTTAAAGCACATGTCAAATATGACTGTCTTGTTAAATTTTTTTCATACACTTTACCTTTGAATACAGCTATTAATGTTTTGTTCTTAATCTCCTCTACTTAATATTAAACATCTTATTTCTGTTTCTCTTATTGTGGAAGTGTCTTGCATGTTGTGGTTGTGTGGTATGTCTTTAACTGGCCATAGTAACTACATTATCTTAAATTTAAACTTTCTTTGGCCATGTGTAGTGGCACACACCTGTAATCCTAGTACTTTGGGAGGCCAAGGTGGGCGGATCACTTGAGGCCAGGAGTTTGAGAACAGCCTGGCCAACAGGGTGAAACCCCGTCTCTACTAAAAAAATACAAAAAAATTAGCCAGGTGTGGTGGCGGTTGCCTGTAGTCCCAGCTACTTGGGAGGCTGAGGCAGGAGAATGGCATGAACCCAGGAGGCGGAGCTTGTAGTGAACAGAGATCGAGCCACTGCACTCCAGCCTGGGTGACTGAGTGAGACTCTGTCTCAAAAAAAAAAAAAAAAAATACAGAAAAATTAGCCAGGTGTGGTGGTGCATGCAAGTAGTCCCAGCTACTCAGGAGTCTGAGACATGAGAATCGCTTGAACTCAGGAGGCGGAGGTTGCAGTGGGCCAAGATTGCGCCACTGCACTCCAGCCTGGGCAGACAGAGTGAGACTGTCTCAAAAAAATAAAATAAAATAACCTTCTTGCAAAATATTTAATTTTATAGCCATGTTTTAGTTTTCTTAGGAGAAAATAAGGTCAATTATAAAGTCATATATGACTATAGAGAAGTTACACTTCTAATTCATTTGTCTTAACCATTATTACATAACAAAGAGAACTTTAAAGCATAATAAATTATTTTCTTAGCAGTATTTTCATAATGTTTGATATTATGCTACTAGAGTTCTCCCTCTCTATACAATAGGACAAGCACAGAATTTAGACTCATTCACAATCTATTATGTTTGTATTTCAGAAAAACTAGAAACAATTTCTACCATTTATGTGCTAGTTTTCATAAGAAATTTTTATTTGTTCTGAGTTGTTCCTTGTATTATTGAACTAGCCAAAGAAAACACCCTGAAACCAATTACTTTACTGCCAATTTATATAGCTGTTCTCTTCAGGATTCTGGAATACAAAATATATTGTTGCTGTTACGTTTCAAATAGATTGCTGTAAACTTAGGAGACTTCCAACCTTCCTTATAAAGTATTATACATTTGGTGACTGAGATACTCTGACAACTGATTTTTAATTCCAATTAAGATCACCTGCAGGTGACTTGACACACAATTACCATCTCATGTGTATACATTGAACATTGACTTCCTTTGGCTCCAGGAAGTATCTACCTCTCTTCTTTCTAGAGCCCTAAACATACTTCCCATCCTCAGATTCTGGAACCACTGCTGCCGCCACTACTCAGGGAAAATATGTTTCACATATTCCAGATTCAAACTGAAAATATAATTTCACCAAAGAAGGAAAGTTTGTTGCTATTGGACTAGTCTTTCCATATCCCTGGGTCAGATAGGCTTTTGTGGGCTTTTCTGGGAACCTAACTCTGTTTATAAGGTTGTTCATGTGGGAAACAGTGTTTCAGGTCTCAAACAGCTAATTAAGAAGTGAACTTTTGACAATGAAAATCCAAAAATTAGAGCCATCTGACATGACACTAGGTAACGTAAAGTACCTCTTTGGAAATCTTGAATTGGTCAGTAACCATTGAGGCCTCATTGCCTGAGATCAGGATATTATCTCAGAAAAAACCCGTTGTCAACCATATTTATTTATTCATTAATCTATTCTGCAAAATATTTGATCTCTACCTATGTGCCAAGGAGTAGTATATGTGCTAGAGATAGAACAGTAAATAAAATGATATCCCTGGCCTCAGGGATCTTATATTCTTCTGGGAGGATGTACATAAAGTAAACATTCTATAAATCAATTTCCCTGTTTCATGTATGAAGTTATGTTGTGAGTTGTAACACAAATAAAATTTGCAGCATATTATTCTGCCCTTGTAATACAGCATTATAGGTTTTTGAGCTGAGTAATAATAATAAGCACTTTTATAGCAATTAGTATGAGCCAGGTTCTGTCCTAAGTGCTTCTTCAGTATGTTAGCTGATTTAATGTTTATAGGAACCCTATAAGATATGATTAATATTATCCTCATTTTATAGAGGAGCAAAGTGGGACACGGAGAGATTAAGTCCAAGGTCATTTAGTGAGTATTACAAATTAAGATTTGGGCCACCACAGTTTAACCCCAAGCATCTATGCTTTTAACCATTGTGCTATACTATCTTACCTTTTAAAATTGATATTGTGACAGATTTTCGTATCCTTTATGAAATTTTCTTGGTGGTTATCGCGGCGATCACTTATCTAAAGCATTTCTATTTCTTTAACATTCTAGGTTATTTCCTCATATTTCATACTAAACAAACTATTTCCTCTGTTTCTGATGCTAAACTAACTAAAATATAAATTGTATCTAGTATCTGCATTTCTATCAACTCATATTTATCTTTAGCATTAGGTTTAGTTTTGTATACCAAAATCCAAAATAAGTTATTAAAATGTTGTTTTAGATCTGCTTTCTCTAACTTCTAAAAAAACTGGAATTTAGTAGCAAAATTGTTGGGTTTCAGCTTATTCCATTTTTCAAAATTAAGCTAAAATTGCCAATAAATAGTAAAAGGAAGAAAAAAGGGAAGTAGAATAAAAGTCCTGAACTCTAAAAGCCAGATGGTTTCTGTAGCATATAGACTTACAGAATTTTGTCTAAGGGGTTAGTAAAACCGATTTTACTTTACTTCTTAATATTATGTCTATATACTTGATATTATTTTTAAATATTAATTTATTGATCTCTTTCTTTTTAGTACACTGTGTGGAATTTTGTTCCAAAAAATTTATTTGAACAGTTCAGAAGAGTGGCAAACTTTTATTTTCTTATTATATTTTTGGTTCAGGTAAGCTTTATTACTCAATCTTAAGTTTGTAAACATAGTTTCTAAAAATATGTCTTGGAACAAAGAAAAATTACATTGTGTTGCTAATCATTTGACCATGTGACCATTTTTTCTGCAGTGCTTCTGCATTGTATTCAGTGAATACAATGATCTGTCATATCTAGATTTCTAAAAGAAATAGCCTGTAAACTTTAAGATCAATTGTATATTGTTTCATCAATAATGTGCTGTAGTACTTAGATTAACCATAATCTTAGCTAAGAGTGTAACCTAATATCTTTCAGATATTCTGCCTCAGAACATAAATGTTTAGGCTTTTAATATATAGTTCATATTTTCGGTACATTTCTGCCTGTGGAATCATCTTTGTACAAAGTAAACTTTTCTTTGGCTTTTAATTTTTTAATTTAAATTTAACTTAAATTTAAGTTATTTAATAAGAATTGTAATTTTTAAGTATCCCTGTGGGTGAAGTTTTTTTTTTTTCCAGGAGACTGTTTTCTTTGCTTAAGTCTGTGTTTATTATAGGCTGTTAGACAGTTTCTTAATTTTCACCTTGTGCTTAAAAAAATTATATATGTATATAAAATCAAGAGAACTTGAGTATAAATCAAGATTTTAAAATAGTGATGGCCATTTTCCTTTAAAGAAGTTATTCTTTTCCGATAAAACTTGGCAATTTCAGTGTAGCATCAAATATATAAACTCTGAACTCTTCTCTCAGTAGAACCTGGGATTTCAAATGAAAAATTGAAACTTGTCAAATAATCATTTTAATGCTTTAGGAAACATTTACTTTTTAAAAAGAAAAAATTGCTTTCTTTCATGAACAGACAAGGAACTTCTGATTTTCTGCCCATAGACCGTTCGCTTGGCTTTCTTGGAAAAGCAAGAAATGTATGCTAACCATATCCACGTAACATCCATACATTTGTGAAATCACTAGCTAAGATGAATTCAGCTTGTCCATGGAATAGAACAAATTTAATGGGCCTATCCGGAGTAAAGGAACATCATTTTCCTAGTTATCCACCTCTGGCTCTGTTGGATGTAACAAAATCACTTATAGAAAAAAATTCTTTCCATAGTCCCATTCCTAGTTTTCTTTCCCTAGTGTTGATATCATTCTGAATCCAAGGGTAAAAATTGCTGACAGACTCTTCAGCATTTATCAGGATGTGCAAAGAAATGTGAAACGAGATCTGAGTAGCTGTAGTTCCACTCCTTGGCGAATATTGAAGAACTTTGTGTTTAAACAGAGTTGCTGAGTCCAGTCTAGCCATGTATGTGGATAGGCAATAGATTTAAATAGTCTTCCAACCCCACATAATAGCCAACAAAGTGAAGTTGTGAAATCGTGAACTAAAGTATACTCACTGTGTAATGTGAAATTTTAGATGTTAATAGTGTGATGTGCACAATATAAAAATATAATATTCTGTATTCTTTTTTATAAATCTAGCTTATGATTGATACACCTACCAGTCCAGTTACCAGTGGACTTCCATTATTCTTTGTGATAACAGTAACTGCCATAAAGCAGGTATGAAATACTTTCTTTTTTTAATTTTCCTCTAAGTCATTTAGAAGTTGCTAAATATTTCCACTCCAAAGTAACATTTATTGTTGTGAAAATAATTTCCATAAGAAAGCAGCAAATTTGTCTGATACGTAGTAAAATTAAACTGAATTAGCCACTCTGTTATATTTCAGGTACCTGGTGACTCATGGAATGATTAACATCGTTAAAATATGTAGTTCCCTTGACAGAGCTAGAAAGCATCCAAAAACAAGTATTGTATATGTATAAACCATTTATATATGAAATAGATTTCTTAATTATAATCATCTTTGTAGAGTTTGGTGATATTTAAAGGAAATACAATTCAAAAGAGATATGTTTATAGAGAGCAGGGTATATACTTCTGGTGTGAACATTTGTGAGTAAAAACTATGTAGTTCAAAAATTAGGGTGTGGTAGCACATACCTGTGGTCCCAGCTACTTGGTGGGCTGAGGTGGGAGGAACGCTTGAGCCCAGGAGGTAGAGGCTGCCCTGAGCCGTGATTATGTCACTGCACTCCCACCTGGTTGACAGAGTGAGATCCTGTCTCAAAAAAAAAAAAAAAAATGTATAGTCCTTTTCTGCTGTTTACAACTTTCTCTTATGAGTTTAGTTTTTATGTATTTTCCCCCTGGGGAAATATTTTCAATCAGAGCATGAATTGACATTAAAATCTAGTTACAGAGAAACAAGGTTATTAGATAAACATATAGAATAAGAAGGAAATTCATAGAAATGTCCTGTTGATTTAGCTACTACTTCTCAAAAAGGTCTTGGCAGGGTTTCAGTTATACAGAGATGATTCCTTCCACCTGCAAGAGAATTAACTGAATTTTCTCAGGCAAATGTGAATTTTTCATTTTATAAGATGTAGGGATAAGGCATAAATTGACATGGAAATAAAATTGACAAACATTTTACAGTTCTGGGATGAAGTATATTCTTTATTGCATACATAAGAAAGATAGAGGAGCCTATAGATTAACAATTAGATTATGCATCTACATGTCAGAGAATACTAGGCCACAGCTCTAAGTTCGATTTTACTTTCTTCACTTTTCCATTGGAGATTAAAATGTGTGTATATCAGTCGATATGCATTTAAATCACTCCATATAATTATTCACCTGATGAATATTTACTTTGATGAAATAAATGACAAACAGATGTCATTTATTTCAACAAAGTAACATGTTTGTCCTTTGGACCTCGTTTCTATATATACTTTCACCTTAGGTAATTTCATCCCATCCAGCAGAATGAAGTTACCATCTCTATGATGATGGTTCCCAAATTTATGTTTATCCTGAAACTATTCTTTGAACTCCAAACACACATGTACAACTGTTTGTACAACATTTCAACTTTGTCATCTCACAAGAATCTCAAACATGACTCGATTTTTTTCCCCCTCAAAAACTATACTACTAGTTCTTGTTATTCTGCAGTTTATTAAATGGCACTACCATCCAACCACCGCAAGCCTTGACATCATCATCCTTTGACTGTTCTGTTTTATCCCTACCTTCAAGATCTCCCTCATTAGTCCAAGCCACCATCATCTTTTGTCTGGACAATTGCATTCTTTTCTGAAGAGTTCTCTCATTTCCGCTCTTACTCTCCTATGGTTTTCACAGAGCAGCCAGATTGATCTCTTAAAATCAGATCACACTACCCTCCCACTTAAAGCTACTGAACAGTAGCTTTGCATCACCACTTTGACCAAAACATGTCTTTTCAGTGATCTACAAAGACATAAAGACGTACAGAGTCTAGACCCTGGTTCCTTCTTCATTTCCTACCATTTTTTTTTTTAAACTCACTGTGCTGCAGCTACACTCCTCTACTTGTCCTCGAACACAGTAAGCATGCTCCTATCTCAAGATTTTATGACTTGCTGTACTTTCTTCCTGGAAAGTTCTTCTGCCAGATAATTGCATTCTCAATTCATTTTACTCTATACTTAAACTTTGACCACCATGCCACTCTTATTTCTTAGTCTGTCCTTTTTTTCCTTCATATCATTTATTCTTTTGTTCTATTGATAAAAGTTGGTATTTTAGTTTATCCGTCACTTTCATTTGAATGTCTAGCTCTACGGTGCCAGATAATTTATTCTATATACCTGCTTATTTCCCATTAGCAGAACAAGACCATGCACATATTGGGCCTTCAGTAGTTGTTTAACAGATGAATAAATGAATGAATGAACTTATTGGATATTTTTAAAGCCATGTAAAATGTTGCAATACCTCTTGTCCTTATTTCCCAATGTATATTTGGCCAAATATGGACTGCATTTAACTGGAATATGATACCATTAACTGAGTTGAAAAAAAGTTGGTGAATTTTTATCTACAAGTAAGAGTTTAATATAATCATAATAATAATTGACAATCAGTCTCCTTCCAAAATTGGTTTAAGTAAAAGTGAATAAAGGCAGAAAGCAAAAAGGTTATGCCTAGAACCTGTGTTAGTATGATTATTAAATATGAGTACTAAATTTAGATGAGAGCTTCATAACTAAGGCAAAAGGGGGAAATATAAAAGGTCATATAGTTTTCAAAGAGAAAATTTGAACCACAAAGATTTTCTCCTTAACTCAAAACAAAATTTTGACACTCAGAGTTTTCTCTTTTGCAACAACTATTCCTAACTTTTTCTCATTTAAATACACAGAATACTTCCATATATTGTTCAGATTTATGTATCTATTTATTACTGTAGATCAATAGAACAAATTTTGGAAAAACTGTAAAAGTGAAAGTTGCCATGTTCCAACCTTTCTTTCTTGTCTTCTCCCCTTTTAGTCTGCCTTTTCCCTTTGTACTTCTATCAAAATAGGAAAAGGCTCCATTATCAATTACTTACACTTTAATATGAATGAGGTTGTCAGTTGTTTGCTTGTTTTTAGCTTCTCCCAACTGTATTTACATATTAAGTCTTCTCTCCAATTGTGTAATGCAAGATACAGTGCTGTAGGAAATAAGATAGTCTTTGCCCTCCACGATTCTAAAACCTATGAAATAGGAAGGTAAGACCAAATATAAAAATAATTATGGTTCAATAGAGTAGTAGTAAAATCCAGTGAGCTGTAGCTAGCTATTCAGAGAAGGAAGGGAACACTTCATCTGGATGATCAGAGACGGTTTTGTGGAGGAAATATTATTATTATTATTTTTAAATAAATTTAAGAATTTATTCAAGTAAGGGTCATATTTCAAATCAGTAGGTAAAATATCAGACAATAAATTGTGATATGATAATCACTTGAATATTTAGAAAAAATAGTTGGATTCATACTTCATACCATATAGGAAAATAAAACATTTGGATTACTAAGCTGAATATACATAACTACAAAATAATAGAAGTAAATACAGATGAAATTTTATCTCATTTTCAATTTGGGAATTAATCAGTTAATCTACTGGTGTAAGAAAGGAAAGGTATCATATAGGAAAAATAAAATGTGAGTGTTTAAAAGAAGTCTGAATAATATTAAAAGCAAAAATGAAACTGAAAAATTTGTGTTCTGTGTAACAAAGGGCCTATGTCCTTAATTTTATCTTTTTTAGAGTCTCATTCTGTTGTCCAGGCTGGAGAGCAGTAGTGCAATCAGAGTTCATTGCAGCCTTGACCTCCCAGGCTCAGGTGATCCTTCCACCTCAGCCTACCAAATAGCTGGGACTACAGTTGCGTGCCACCACACCCAGCTAATTTTTGTTATTTTTTTTGTAGAGACAGGGTTTCGCCATGTTGCCGGGTCTGGTCTCCAACTCCTGGGCTCAAGCGATTCTCTCCCTTCGGCCTCCCAAAGTGATGTAATTACAGGCTTGAGTCACCACGCCCAGCTGATCTTAATTTTAAAAGATATTTTACCAAGAGCACATACCTAAATAAGGAAAAGGCATGGATCATCTCCAAGAAAAGAATTGCCAAATTGCTGATAAATAGATGAAAATATGAATTCTCATGGAGGAAATATTATTGAGTTTTGGAATATGGGTAAAATGACAGTTGAGGAAGAAGATGAGGTAGAAATGAACTACTTGGGCAAAGGCCCAAGTGCAAGAAAAGGCAAGACCTATTTTGGGGAATTGTAAGTCTAACTAATGTTTGATCCTATTTAGGAAAGTACTACAAGGTAATAGAAGTATAGGTTGGTTCTAAATTAAGGAAGCCAGAAGATGCTTTGTTGTAAGCATTGAGAATCACTGAAGGGGTTCTGAGCAGGATAGTGAATCAAGACAATGCTTTGGGAAGATTAATCTGGCAGTAATGTGTAGGATGGATTAGAATTTATGAGCTTGTATTAAAAAAAGATGTTTGAATTATCGTTGCTCTGCTATTAATGTCATCTGACTGTAAAGAAAAGTGTGCTTTTGACAGTTTCAGAAAAAATATTTTGACTTTCAATTAAATTTCTCTAAAATGACATACTGCAACTTAAATAAGGCCAACATAATTTAGGTGTCTTAAGAGTGCTTTCCCACAAGGTTTCCATCTGAAAACAGTATACCTTCAAAATAGTCTTTCATATTTTGCTTTTTATTTTATAATTTCATAATATTTTAAAAATAATAGATGCACATTTTTTTAAGGGAAACAGCACAAAATAGAATATAGTAAGTCTTAGACTCCTAACTCCCAGTCTCCTAGTTCTCCTACCCAGGGAGCAATTATTTGTAAGTTAGTCCAGATATCTATGCAAAGTGTTCACATAGGCAAGCATTTTTTTTCACAAATGGTAACATAGAACAAAACCTATTCTGTACCTTACCTTTTTAT
Organism: Homo sapiens; assembly: GCF_000001405.40. NCBI lineage: Eukaryota > Metazoa > Chordata > Mammalia > Primates > Hominidae > Homo > Homo sapiens. The sequence goes on from NC_000003.12 coordinate 182,834,564, forward strand.
TCACTTACTCTTTCTTAGATATGATTCCATTATCTATACTTGTGCCGTATCTCTGAGTTCTTGAATTTTCTTAAAATGGCATAGGAAGTCTTTTCCACTTAAAAGATCGCCATTCCTTAATATTTAATCAAAAGATTCTTTGTGAAATGCTTGTGTCTGTTTCCTTCCTAGTGATGATCCATACAGGCTAACATATTTTTGTTAAGCACAATTGACCCTTGAACAATGCAGGGATTAGGGGAACCCCTTATGCAATTGAAAATTCATGTATAAGTTTTGACTCTCCCAAAACTTAACTACTGATAGTCTACTGTTCATCAGAAGCCTTACCAATATCATAAGACAGTCATTTAACACATATTTTGTGTGTTATATGTATTATATACTGTATTCTTAAAGTCAGCTAGAGAAAAGAACATGTTTTTAAGAGGATCATAAGGAAGACAATATATTTACTATTCATGAAGTGGAAATGGATCGTGTTTAGGGTCTTCATCCTTGTCTTCACATTGAGCAGACTGAGGAGGAAGAGGAGAGGTTGGTCTTGCTGTCTCAGGGGTGGCAGAGGTACAAGAGGTAGAGGAGGTGAATAGGGAGGAAGATGATTTAGGTACACTCAGTATAACTTTTAGTGAAAACAATCCGTGTATGAGTGGACCTGTGCAGTACAAACCTGTGTTGTTCAAGGGTCAACTGTACTAATTATAATTCTGTCAGTCTGTTGTTTAAGAAAGTAAAAGAACACAATCTCAGTTCCAAAAATCTGCTCATTTTTTTCTACTTATTGTCTGTAATGCTCTGTGAATTTATACTTTATGATTAAAATATCATTTGTACATAGAAACAATAGAATTTAGTGATTGCATAGATGTTAGGAAAAGGGTAGGAATTAAGAATGACTCCCCAGATTTCTGGCAAGAACAGCTTGGTAGATGGTGATGTTATTTGTCAAGATGGGAAACATTGGACATGCAGCACACTTTCAGGACATCATCTGTTTGGTTCTGAATATGTTTAAGACATTTATGAGACATCAAAATTGAGATATTAATAAAGCAATTAGGTATTCAAGTTTGGAGTTCAAAAGAGATATATGGCTGGAGATACACATTTTGGAATTACCAGCATATTTATACTATTTGAAGACACAGGGATAGAAGAAATCTCTTAGTGAGAAAGAGGAATGTGAGAAAAGGATCCATAAAGGTGACATCGAAGGAGCCTCCTTAAGGAAATTGAGAAGAAATAACTAGAGGTCCTGTGAAAGCCAGGAAAATGTATATGACAAAAAAGAAGCAAGTGTTTCCAGTAGGAACAAATATCAGATACCTATGAGCATGTGCATCCAAATAGCCTCATATGATTCTGGAATGTAGTGTTCCAGGGAAGTTTTTGAGTTTTTTTTCTTATTTGATAAAAGTATCTTCAAATTATACTGAAAAATTATTTTTTACCCTTTGGATATTTACAGGGATATGAAGATTGGTTACGGCATAACTCAGATAATGAAGTAAATGGAGCTCCTGTTTATGTTGTTCGAAGTGGTGGCCTTGTAAAAACTAGATCAAAAAACATTCGGGTATGCATCTGGTAAATAATGGAAATCAACTTTATCTTGATATCACAGGACATAATTCTAATCTTGATATTACGTTTTAGTTAAAAGCCTACTTTCCTATGCTAAAATACTGTGATAGGCTGCTTCTTTAGAGCCCAATAAAAGTAAGTCCTTGCCTTTTAAAATTTATAAATTCACTCTTCCCCAAAATTCTTTATAGGTGGGTGATATTGTTCGAATAGCCAAAGATGAAATTTTTCCTGCAGACTTGGTGCTTCTGTCCTCAGATCGACTGGATGGTTCCTGTCACGTTACAACTGCTAGTTTGGACGGAGAAACTAACCTGAAGGTTTGCTTGCATATGTTTGAGTATTGCTCTTGGTGAACAAAGTGTCTTTGGATTATAATTATACTTAACTTTGGTTAAAGTAGTAAAGTTTGACCAGATTAAGGGGAAGTTTTTAAAATTACTATTTCAAAAATAAAAAGGTTTTAAGAAAGAATTGATGTTATATCTTTATTTCAAGGGTAGCCTCACATGGGTTTAATCCAAGTTAAAAACAGAAGGTGTTTTTAGGAAAAATATAATCTTTTACTATTTGTGGTACTTTTAAAAGATAAGGGACAAATTTATATTTTCTCAGTTTTCAGAGGGTAATCAAAGGTGAAAATTCACAGTTTTTCCTATTAAATTACTTATGATAAAGTAATAGTGACTATGCACACAGACTTAATTTCCTTATGTGCAAATGGCCTCTTTAGACAGGTAATGATAGTAGCTTCCTTTGCCCCTTGTTTATTTTACATGTTTCTTTCTCTTCTGTTGTCTAGCTGAGTGATCTCAAGTACAGTATGCCATTACTTTACCTATAAAAGAGATTTGAAATAACTGATATTGAAGGTCGCAATTTGGATCTGAAAACTCTACAGTTTAATTCATTTTTTTCAGACACATGTGGCAGTTCCAGAAACAGCATTATTACAAACAGTTGCCAATTTGGACACTCTAGTAGCTGTAATAGAATGCCAGCAACCAGAAGCAGACTTATACAGGTATGGTGTGATATTCAGTATACTTATTTTAAGTCCTATTTACAGACCTCATTTTTAAATAACCATAAACATAAAATGAAATCTTTAGCTAATTGGAGACTGTATTTGTGGGGTGGGTTGGTGGGAGATGCAATTAATGGTGAAAAAAACTAAGAGCAGAAATTGCTAGAATTCTAAGCAAAAGATAATAGTTCAAAGCCAGAGTTTATATTCACAAGTTTCTTCACATTACCTTCTATTTTGCTATGAACTAGCATGCTCACTTTGTAGCTATAACAGTAGTTATAGTAGACATAAGATTATTTTCTTAGAAGAAAATAATGATTTTTTTGGTAAGCTCCATGAAGCCAGGGACTATGTCTTTGTTTTTACCACTATAGAGGATACTGCTTTTAAATTAGAGGATACTACTTTTAAATTATAACCTTATAAAGTTTTCAATATTTTACTTACACGCACATAATAAAGTAAAAAATAATTTTCTATAAATATATAACAGCTATGAGTTTCTCAAAGACAGAAACTATTATTCATCTTATTATCTATCACAGTGAACACAAAATAAAAACTATTTTTCTAGTTTGTTAGATTTTTAAAGATCTTGTTTCTGAAAGGAGAGAAAGGAACAGAGGAACTAACTGCTTTTAACATTACAGTTTGCTAAACACAGTGTTGTATACCTTCAGTGATCATCTTCAGTAATCCTACCAATTATATGTGGGCTGTGGAATGGAAACAACTTTTTATTATTAAAAAATTAAACGATTAACTAAGTTCATTTTTACTCAATAAGTGGTGGTAGACTATAAATTACAGCAAATTTGTAGAAATCACCCTCAGCTTCTTGTCATATTATATATCTCCCCCTGTTGGTTGAAATGTTTCAAAGTCTTTAGCCGTTGGCTTTTCCAAACTTACGTATCTTTTTTTTGGATCCATCTTTATAATGGAGGTTTTCTCTATGTGATGTTATAAAAATTGTATACTTTCATCAAAGTCAAATGCAGTATAGAATTTGCCAAATAACTAAAAACTTTGGAATCATATGCTTTAAAAGCACTTGATAGACTGACTGTAAGACATTTAACTGTGAAGAATTTTAAGATTTCTATATTGCTGTTATATCCTGGTCTGAGGCAATGGCAGATTGTAAAATAATTATTAAAAACCAGAAAATGGACAACTAAGAACTAAGCAAGCATAAGATTAATATGAGATGAAGTATAACTAATGCTTTGGTGTATGGTTTTTACATTATCTTGGAACATGGGGAGAAAGTTTGAAAAAACTTTTTTAAATAAACACTTTCTCTTATTGGAAGTATGTGTTTTGTTTTAAATATAAGTAAAATGTAATCATTGCAACAGGCTTTTATAGTAGAAAGAAAACTCGTAATTATATCACTACTTAAAATCTTTGAATGCCATTTTTATTCATTCATTCATTTAACAAATTATTGTTTAGCATCTGTGTGCTCATTGTGATAGGTGAATAAGATGAAAAGGAATAGTTTCCCTCCTTGAGGAACTCATAGAAGTTAGAGACAGTATTTATATAAAATTATATCTTTCATTTTATTATGTGCTTGTAACACATATATGTGCTATATATTATATATATATATATACACACACATATATTACATGTGAAATATTGCAAACATTTTATATGTCCAAGTAGGAAAATGCTTAGATAGGTATATATGTAGATATTTAAAATCTTTTTAAAGAATTGAATGATATAGGTACATACTGAAATATAATGTTAAATGAAATAAGATACAAAGTTGGGGCTCTCATATGATCCCAGTTATGTAAAAATAATGTGTGTGCAATAGCAAAGACATGGAATCAACCTAAATGCCTGTCAGTGGCAGATTGGATAAAGAAAATGAGGTACATATACACCACAGAATACTATGTAGGCACAAAAAAGAAAGAGATCACGTCTTTTGCAGGAACATGGATAGAGCTGGAGGCCATTATCCTTAACAAACTAATACAGGAACAGAAAACCAAATACTGCATATCCTTACTTATAAGTGGGAGCTAACTGGTGAGAACACATGGGCACAAGGGAACAACACACACTGGGGCATACTGGAGGATGGAGGGTGTGAGGAGGGAGAAGAGCAGAAAAAATAACTGTTGGGTACTAGACTTAGTACCTGAGTGACAAAATAATCTGTACAACAAACCTTTGTGACACAAGTTTACCTATATAACAAACCTGCACATGTACCCCTGAACCTAAATGTTTAAATAAATGTGTGTATATATGTACTAAATAGGTAGTTAGGTGACAAGATGGAATCATTGATAGCTGCAGAAAGAAAAACCTGGAGGAATTGTAGATCAAAATTTAGTAATATTCTCGTGGTAGGATTTCTACTGATTTTTAATCATCTTTTTCTTTTCCATTTTTTAAATATTTATTTTATTTTATTTATTTTTGAAACAGTGTCTCGCTCTGTTGCCCAGGCTGGAGTGCAGTGACGCGATCTTAGCTCACTGCAACCCCCGGACTCCCGGGTTCAAGCAATTCTCCTGCCTTAGCCTCCCAAGTAGATAGGATTATATGTGTGTGCCACCACACCCTGTTAATTTTTTTGTATTTTTAGTAGAGATGGGGTTTCACCATGTTTGCCAGGCTGTTATCAAACTCCTGACCTCAAGTGATCCGCCCACTTCAGCCTCCCAAAGTGCTGGGATTACAGGTGTGAGCCACCCCGCCCAGCCTAATATTTCTTTTAAGAATGTGGATTGGTTTTGTGATTTTAAAAAGTATTTTCCATTATAGTGAACGGTATTCTTGACCTTTTTTTAAATATTGCAGGAAGCTGAATTAATGATCATTTTAAATGGCTATGAATAGTCCAAGTGCATGTACTAGAACCTAACCATTCCCCAACCTTTCCATACTTGACTCCTTTCGTTGTTTTGCTGTTTCAAATACTGTATGGTACCTCATTACAAGTAAATTCACCAATTCAAAATCTAGTGGTTGAATAGTTCATTGCTTTCTCCTCTTTGATACAATTTGCTAACTTGTCTTCCAGGACACTCCCCTCTCTTGGTTTACCTCCTACCTCACTATTCCCTCTGTCTCAGTCCCTTTTGCTAGTTTTTCCTCTTGTCCCAGTCTTCTTCCTGTTAGAGTGCCCCAGGACTTGCACTGTTCCTTCTCTACCTTACCTTTCGCTATCTACCCTCACTCCCTTGGTGATCTCACCCAACCTCCTGGCTTTAAAGACTGTCTACATGCTGCTGACTGTCGGATTTATTTCTCTATCCCAGACTTCTTTCCTAAACTTCAGCTGCCTGTTCTACAGTTCCACCTGGATATTTAGTAGAAATCTCAAATTAATAATCAAGCTGAAAACTAAACTGCTAATCTTCCTGAAAGAAACCTTTTCTACCAGCAGTCTTTCTCATCTCAGTTGATACAGTCCATCCTTCCAATTGCTCAGGCCAGAAACCTTGGAATCAGCCGTGACTCCTCACATCTCCTCTCCCTTCGTCTTTCTTCACCTCCTTACTCACATCTCACCCCAACCCATCAGAACATTCTGAAGGCTTACCTTCAAAATACATCCAAAATCTGACCATCTTTTCCTAGTTTTGTCTGAGCCAGTACCATCTCCTGCCTGGATTACTGCTATTTTATAGTCTGTTCTCACAAAAGCAGTCATAGTGTTCCTTTTTAAATGTAAGTCAGATCATGTGACTCTTCTGCTTAACCCTGTAGTGGCTCACCATGTCACTCAGAGTCAAAGCCCATATGTCTATAACCATCTCTAGGATCTGCCCCCATCCCCCATCCCCAACCTTTCTTCTCTGCCCTGTTTGCTGTCCTTCCACCTCTAGCTCATCCTGCCCATACACTGACCTCCTTAGTTTTCCTTGAACATACCATGTCTACTCCCACCTGGTCACTAGACCTAGCCCTTGTCTAACTCTTGAGTAACACCTTCAAGTCTGCTTAAATCACCTCCTCAATGGAGGCCTACCTTAACTACTTAGTACGCACGCTGATCCTTCTTATTCTGTTCTGCTCTTCTGTTTTCATAATACATAATATTTTCTAGTATACTGTGTAATTTACTTTTTTATTATGTTCATTGCTTACCATCTCTCCCACTAGAATGTAAACTCTAGAGCAGGCATCTTTGTGTATTTTGTTCACTGATGGATCTCAAGCACCTAGAACAGTATCTGTCATCTTGCAGGCCTTACTGTGTATTTGTCGACAGTTGATAGAGTAAACATTGTATACCCTTTGATTGAATTACAGGTTGAATATCCCTAATCCAAAAATTCAAAATCCAAAATGATCCAGATTCTTGCCATTTTGAAAACATTTATTCATTACCTCATTCATAGCTGGAGTAGAGATAGCAAGAATTCTAAATTTTTTAAAGCTTAAGGACTGATAAGTGTTTTTAAAATGATTTATAGCAAGAATATTGGACCATTCATATATACAAATGGTTGATTTTTGTTTCATGTGTAAGAATGGTGCAGGCCGGGTGCAGTGGCTCACACCTGTAATCCCAACACTTTGGGAGACCGAGGTGGGCGGATCATGAGGTCAGGAGATCGAGACCATCCTGGCTAACATGGTGAAACCCTGTCTCTACTGAAAATACAAAAAAATTAGCCAGGTGTGGTGGCGGGCACGTGTAGTCCCAGCTACTCGGGAGACTGAGGCAGGAGAATGGCATGAACCCAGGAAGCAGAGCTTGCAGTGAGCCGAGATCGCACCACTGCACTCCAGCCTAGGCGACAGAGCAAGACTCGTCTCAAAAAAAAAAAAAAAAAAAACAAAGGATGGTGCAAAAAAACAGCCATTGATGTCATAAGTGATATTATATGTTTTTGTAATGTGAATTTTTTGATAGATTCATGGGACGAATGATCATAACCCAACAAATGGAAGAAATTGTAAGGTAAGAATTAATTTGTGTTATCTAATTACCTTTAAATGGGAACTGTTTGGGGGAGGGACTAGAAGTTCCAAAGGGAGATTATGTAAATAAGCAGCCCATCATGGGAAAGGGTTAATTTTGTTGTGTTTTGTTTGTTTTGTTTTGTTTACATTTAGTGGTTTATTATATCACTTCAGAATCATTCAGTGCAAGCTAGAGTGTTTAGTGGTCAACCCAGAACTGCTTACTTTTCTGATTGGTTTATCATATCCTTTATAATAAACCACTAAATGTAAACAAAGCATACAGATGAAGAGATGCTCAGGGCCAGATACTGGGGAAGGGTTGTGGAGCTTCCGTGCTCTCCCTGGGCGTGCCACTCTCCAGAAACCTCTGGAAGCCCTCCCATCCCATTTCTCTTGGTTTTTTTATGGAAGCTTCATGACATCAGCTTTCTTTACTCCAGAGTATAGGGCAGGAAGGACCCTCTCTGGGGATGGCCTTAAGACCCACAATTAGAAAGGTGGGGGAAGAGTAGAGTCCTACCTTGGGGTGAAAGGAGGGCAGGAGAAGGTCAGAAGCCTGCTCCTGAGGCTGAACACACCCAACATTATAACAAAAGACTGTAACAAGGGCTATGGGAGTTATGAGCCAGGGACCACGGATGAAAACTAATGTATGTATCATAACATCACAGGCCATCCCCTAGTTTTCAAACACAAATCCCTTACATCAAAAGAATATACAATTCAGAAGATATTGCCACATTACTAGAATCCCATTCAGTTGTTAATAATTAGTCCAGTCTATCATAGTGGATAAGTATCTCTCAGAGTAAGGTCACTCAGGTTTGCAGGCTTCTTACCAGTCCTCTCAGATTCCAAAAGCAGCTGTGGTCTCAGCAAACAGACAGCTTCACTCTTTCAGGCATCTGGTATTATTGAGCTAAGAGACAATGTAATCTCTTGCTCTGAGCCTCTTTCAAGGTGTTAATGTAATGTTAGATTTCCCTCAACTTGTAACCCATTTATTCATTCATTTACCCTCAGCTATTATTTCTCCTTTTCTCCATTAATACCCAAACTTTTCCAGGAAAGGGTTAATTTAAAAGCACTTTGCATTTCATCTGCTAGTAATTTGTGGCAGCAGCAAGTGAGGATGAAACAAATCCCATGAAATGATATCAGAATAATTTAGTAAGATTATTTGTGTTTTTGCATTTCTTTTTCTGATAATACTAGGTAGTAATATTAAAAGGAAACATAGCTGCTTTTTTGCACTCCTTATACATTTAAACCGACGATGCCTAGTAAGTCTAGAATATGAAAAATGTTTTATATGATGTTTAACAAGTATAAGTGCTATGCTCTTCTTCACTTCAGAATCATTCAGTGCAAGCTGGGGTGTTTAGTGGTCAATCCAGAACCGCTTACTTACTTTTCTGATTTTTATTTTTCTTGGTTGTTTCAGATTGTTTTCCCTCAATATTTGGGTTAATGAATGGCTCCTAAATGAAAGGCTTTGTGTCAGTTCAAAGACATGCTGATAGGATATGATTACGTTGTTACTCATGAGCGTTAACCTTATTTGGAATCAATCTTGGAATCAGCTCTTGAGTTTCTAATCGCATTTGACATTCTACCTCTTTTCTGGGGACATGTTCAGTTTATACTGGCTGCATGAAATAAGTCACTATAACAGAAAGAGTTGAGCATTTTTTAATGAAATCCTCAAGACAAGCCAGCAAAAATACCATACATTCACATTGATTCACATTTTTAATAAGCATTAACATAGGAGCATGTTCAGTAAACACTGTAGCAAGATCTTTGTATGTGTACGATCCCTGCTGAATAACTATGCCTAGGTTTATTTTGATTTTTATAGGGAAATAGTGAGAAATGTGTGGATACATAGTCTGAGTTGCATTAATATGTAAAGGAAAATAGCAGTTATATTACTTCAGCCCCTAGAATGGTTAAAAAAATGAACCATGTTCTCTACTAAAACAACCTGACCAAACTGATGAATTATCTTTTAATCTGAAGTTGTCATTATATCCCAATTTTACATGCCAGTGTGAGCTAAAAGTATTTCTGTTTATTGTTAGAAGCAACACTGAGTGAAAAAGAGCTATTTTATAGCTCCTAAAATAGTTTTCATATTGATTTGGACTATCCATGGAGTGTACTCCAAATATGACTGTATTGGTTCTCCTTGCTTCATTGCAATTTTTTACAGTGTTTGGGTTTGCAGGTGTCTTCATAAATGGTTCAGATTCTGTTTGGTTTGGATAATTGTGTATGCATATTTCAGAAAACTATAAGGAATAGCAACAAAATAATTGCTTTTTAACTTTTCCATAGAAGATTCTTATTTTGCTATCACTAAGAAGATCAATTTCCTTTCTAGTTATTCCTTGTCGTTTTATATCTCCTTTATGGAGAGAAATTCAAACAGCAAGAAGACCTGTGCTTCAAGAAGTATGCAATGCAAGTAGTCAAGTTATACTGTGCGATCTTGCCTAGAAAAAGCACTAACATACCTTGTACTTTGTATTTTATAATTCAGTATAATTGTGCAGAATTCATCCATTTATATGCAAATCATACTATAGTTTATGTTTACGTTGTGTTCTAATTCTTTATTTTCCCTTTCAAAGCTGTTTATTAACTTTGCTTTAAAATTTTAAAATTTCATCTTCTGCCACACATTTTTAAATCGCTGCTTACTCTTTGATTTTGCTGAATTTTATGTTTAAAATTTTGAAACTAGTGGCTTTGTGACTGTATTTACATGCATAATCATTTTTCTGAGCCACTAATCTTAAAGCAGGTATTTGTTGTTACAGTAACTAACATCATGATTAGCCTAGGCAGCCTTTTTTTTTTTATTTTTTTTTTTATTTTTTTTTATTTTTGAGATGGAGTCTCACTCTTGTCACCCAGGCTGGAGTGCAGTGGCGCAATCTCGGCTCACTGCAACCTCCGCCTCCACGGTTCAAAAAATTCTCCTGCCTTAGCCTCCTGAGTAGCTGGGACTACAGGCGCATGCCGCCACGCCTGGCTAATTTCTTTTGTATTTTAGCAGAGACGGGGTTTCACCATGTTGCCCAGGCTGGTCTCAAACTCCTGAGCTCAGGCAATCCACCCGCCTCAGCTTCCCAAAGTGCTAGCATTACAGGCGTTAGCCACCACGCCCGGCCCCTGGGCAGCTTTATAGTAGCTGGGATTTTGGTTTTATATGAAAGTGGTGTTATGGCTATAGCTTAAGTACCTTCTGCTGAAGATGCCATTTCAGAATTGAAGAGTTTTTAATATATTCAGTGCTTTATGGTTATTTTCTTTTTTTCCTAGACCTCTGGGGCCGGAGAGTCTCCTGCTTCGTGGAGCCAGATTAAAAAACACAAAAGAAATTTTTGGTTTGTACATATTTAAACATTTTAAATTATTGATTTGTGTTGATGCTTTATATGAAGTACTTTTAAAAGTACAATGTGGTCTTTTGGTTAGATAATTTATTAATTATTTGTCATTTATGATAATTTTCTTATAAAGTTTGTATTACAGTAGTCGTGTATTGAACTTTTGTTTTGTTGATGATCCCTGTTTTTTAATAGTAGACTAGAACCTTGATCTTATGTTATCTTTACGGATACTTGTGAAACTGAGTGCAGATAATTTATATAACACTTCTAGTAATGGTGGGTGAGAACCAATATAATATGGTATCATGGTACAGTAAACCACTTCTATAATTTCATTATGATTATTAGATTGGATTAATAACTGCAGATTTATCCATTCATACATTCATTCAACAAATTTACTGATATCTGAATATATACTAGGTACTATTGGAACATACACTGATTGGATCAAAAGGATGAATAAGTACTGCTCTTGCCTTGGAGATGGATCAAAAGGATGAATAAGTACTGCTCTTGTCTTGGAGATCTAAATTAATACAGTACACTCTGAGTCAACTATAAGCAAATTGTGAAGTTGATGATAACCTTTAGCTGTTAGCTAGCTCCTCACATTTCAGGAATGGCCCTTAGTATCTTGGCCCACTGTGTTACCCACTGGCTGTCTGCAGCTTGTGAGATCTTCTTTCCCATTTGCTCTTTTTCTGTTACCTGTACTATATCTTATCTCTCAGTGTTAGACTCTCTGATAAAGAAGTCCATATGTCGAGAAAAAAAAAAAAACACAAAATAGCAAGTGTTGGTGAGGATGTGGAGAAATTGGAACCCTTGTACATTGCTGATGGGAATGTAAAACGTTGCAGCTGCTGCCTTGAAAAATAGTTTTGGCAGTTCTTCAATAAGTTAAATATAGAATTATATGACTTAATGATCCCACACTACATATATACCCAAAGTAACTGAAAATGAGTGTTCAAACGAAAACTTCTACAAGAATGTTCATAGCAGCACTATTCATGATAGCCAAAGGTTGGAAATAGCCCAATGTTCATTAGATAATGAATGAATAAGCAAAATATGGTATATCCATATAATGGAATATTATTCAGCTATAAAAAGGAATGAAGTATTAATGCATGCTACAGTATGGATGAACCCTGAAAATACTATGTTGAGTGAAAGAAGCCAGACACAAAAGGCCACATGTTGTATGATTCCATTTATTTGAAATACCCAGAATAGGCAAATTCATAGAGACTGAAAACAGATTAGTGGTTTCCAGGGGCTGGGGAGTAGAGGAGAATGGAGAATGTTTGCTTAATGGGTACAGGGTTTTCTTTGGGGGTGATGAAAATTCAAAATTATAAACGTACTAAGTGCCACTGAATTATACACTTTAAACTGGTAAATACATATGTTTTTCCACAATTAAAAAGAAATCTGTAAAAATATTCTAATAGCAGAAACCAGAGTAAACCTTGAGGGCTTTTAGATCCTCTAATATAACACTGTACTTTAAAACTTTTTTTTTTTTTTTTTTTTGAGACATGGTTACTCTGTTGCCCAGGCTGGAGTATAGTTGCACGATCTCGGCTCATTGCAACCTCTGCCTCCCGGGTTCAAGCAATTCTCCTGCCTCAGCCTCCCAAATAGCTGAGATTACAGGCATGTGCCACCATGCCCGGCTAATTTTTGTATTTTTAGTAGACCACGTTGGCCAGGTTGGTCTCGAACTCCTGACCTCAAGTGATCCACCTGCCTTGGCCTCCCAAAGTGATGGGATTACAGGCGTGAGCCACTGCGCCCGGCCAACACATCTTTCTAGTAGTAACTTCGTCACTCCTGTTTACTTTAAAGTAAACCATAATGAATGGGGTCCAAATTTTGTACACTCTTAAAAGAAAATGTGAATTTGAATGCCTTTAGATGGGTCTGTCTTCTGTTGTTTTGCCTCAGTACCACCTCTCCCTATTGGATCATTCTGGCTATTTTACCACGTTTCTATAATCTCTATTTGAGTTATAATACCCTGCCTTTAAGGAATAAGTCAAGATAAAACTTCCAGGACAAATATTTAGGAAGAGGGCATGAAAGGTTCTATATTGCTTTTCAAATTGTACTATTTAGGGATGGGAATGAATATTTATTGATCATCTCTCAGTTTTTAGGCATTTTGTTAATTTGTCATACAGACCTCACAACTCTATGAGGTATTTTTTCCCATTTAAAGATGGGAAGATTGAGACTCACAGAAATTACTTACCCGAGGATGTAGAACTAATAAGTGGCAGAGCTAGAATTCAAACCAAGGTCTAGCTGCAAAGTTTTTTGATAAGCTGGTCTCACCTAATTCCATTTGTTGTCCAGTTTTAGTCCCATTACTACTGTCATCCTTGCTCATCTCAAAGTCATTCAATAGGCGCACATTTTTTAAATAGCACTTTCCATGTGCTTACTTGATTTACTCTGACAGACTTCCATGTTATCTCTCCAATGGTTATGGAATAATGTCTAGACCCCCGATTCCAGCATTCAGGGCTTTTCACACTGTGGCCATAGTCCATTGTCCCAACCTAACAGAAAGTGCTTTTCCATATCTGTCTTTGTTAACACTGCTGTATTTGTAATGGCCTTCCCTGACACTTTTATCTTTCCAGATTCTTTTCCTCTATCAATTCCAATTCAAGTAATAAATTTTTCATTCAGGTATCTGTTACAACTCAGGAACAGGACTCCATGCCCTCCCCCATTTAGCCAGTTGAGTGACTGGGGCTTCCCAAAATTGGACTCAGAAAGCCTTTTAGTACTCTGAAAATACTTAAAGAAAAGCAAAATTATAACAACTGTCAGACAGTACACTAAAAGCTTTCATGCTGGTAAATATATTTATTTCTTGTGAAACATGCTAGAGGATTATTTTAAGAGACAATTTTGTTTTATTTTACAGGTGTTGCGGTATACACTGGAATGGAAACTAAGATGGCATTAAATTACAAGAGCAAATCACAGAAACGATCTGCAGTAGAAAAGTAAGAAAACTGTTTTCATTTATTTATATGTAATTATAACTCTACATTTTTTATTCGTTTGGTATAAAATATTATATATATAATATATATTAAGTAAACAGAATGAAAACCTTGGGGACAGTGATAGTTTCTTATATTTTTACATACAAGTAACATTTTGCACAGTATTGGACATGTAGTAAATGCTCTATAGTATGACTTTTAAAATAAATACTATTGAATAAATGGTGGAATCACTTAATCACACTAACGCAGATAACAGTTCTAAAACTGAAAAAAAAATTTAAATAAACAACTATTTGAAAACATTGGAGACAAACCAGAATCGAATAGAAATGGGCAAGGAGTGTAATCCTGAAAGATGATAGCAGCAAGGGGGAAAATTTAAGAGTATAGCTTTTTGCCTGAGGGCACTCCCCAGTTTATGTGCTGCTTGGGACATCAAAAAGTCTGAACTTTACTGGATAGAAGTATCAGAGGACAAGGTTAATAGCTGGAAGAGCAGCTGGAAAGTTAGGGGAAAATAATGTAAGGGGATTAGCATTAATTCCCTTCTGTAAGCAATGAGATGTAAGCTACAGAATGGAATTAACTCTAAAAACTGCACATAAATTCTGCCCAGGTCCTTGGCTGACTGCTAGAACTATACATGTGCAAGGGAGACAAAAGAACTCAACAGAATTTTACTGCTGCCCATTGCATTGGAGACACAGTTTGTTGAACTAGGTGAAGTTAACTTCCTACTGGAATAAAAATAGCACTCTTCTGAGGAACATAAAAGAATACAGACTGTCTACAATGTATTATTATGAAGTCCAGTCTGCAATAAAAAATAAGCAGAATATGAAGAAAATGTAATTCATCCATAAGATAAAAAGCACTCAATAGAAACTGTCTCCAAAATGATCCAGATCTTGCATTTAGCAGACGAGAACTTTAAAGCAGATATTATAAATTTATTATAAACATGTTTAAGGGCCTAAAGGAAAATTTGAATGAACATATGGGAAAACACAGCAGAGAAATGAAAACTCTTGACTTGAAAAACATAATTACTAAAATGGAAACATCATTAGGTGGGTCTCAACACCAGACTGAATAAATCAGACCAGTGAACTTGAAGAAAACACAAATTACTCAGTCGAAGAATGGAGAGGAAAAAAGATTAGGAAAAATGAACAGAGCTTCAGAGCCATGTGGGATAATATTAAGCTGTTTGGCATATGTGTAATTGATTCCCAAAAAAAGAGAAAAAAGGACAGAATAAAAATATTTGAAAAAATAATGACTGAAAATTTCTAAAATTTGAGGAAGAAACTTCAGCCTACGCTACCAAGATCAGCAAACTCTAAGCAGGAAAAATATAAAGAAATATAAAGAAACCCACACCAAAGCACATCATGGTCAAAATACTAGAATCCAAAGAAAAAGAAAATATTTCATGGAGCCGAAGAGAAATGCATCACATGTAAATGAATAACAATATAAGCGATAACCAGTTCTCATCAGAAACAACGGAGGACATTGGGGAAAGGACATCCTCTTCAGGAAATGATGCTGGGAAAATTGGATAGCTACATGCAGAAGAATGAAACTGGATCCCTATCTTTCACCATATAAATAATCAACTCAACGCTGAGCACGGTGGCTCATGCCTGTAATCCTAGCACTTTGGGAGACCAAGGCAGGAGGATCACTTGAGGTCAGGAGTTCGAGACCAGCCTGGCCAACATGGTGAAACTCCGTCTCTACTAAAAATACAAAAATCAGCCGGGTGTGGTGGCGGGTGCCTGTAGTCCCAGCTACTCAGGAGGCTGAGGCAGGAGAATTGTTTGAACCTGGGAGGCAGAGGTTGCAGTGAGCTGAGATCACGCCACTGCACTCCAGCCTGGGCAACAGAGCGAGACTCCATCTCAAAAAACAAAACAAAACAAAAAAAAAGTGTATCAAAACCACAATGAGATGTCATCTTGCCAGCCAGAATGGCTATTATTAAAAAGACAAAAAATAAATAAATAAATAAATAACAGATGCTGGCAGGGATATGGAGAAAAGAAAACTCTTATACGTGGTTGGTGGGCATGTAAGTTAGGATAGCCACTATGGAAAATAGCCTGGAGATGTCTCAAAAAACTAAAAACGTAATTACCATATGATCCAACAATCCCACTACTGGGTTTTATCCAAAGAAAAAGAAATCAGTATATCAAAGGAATATCTGCACTTGCATGTTTATTGCAGCACTATTCATAATAGCAAAGATAAGGATTCAATCTAACGGTCCATCAGCAGACGGATGGATAAAAAAATGTATACATACCTAAAAAAAAAGGTATACATACCCACACAATGGAATACTATTTGGCCATAAGAAGAATGAAATCGTGTCATTAGCAGCAACATGGATGTAACTGAAGATCATTATGTTAAGTGATACAAGCAAGCACAGAAAGACACTTCATTAGTGGCACACACCCGTAATCCCAGCACTTTGGGAGGCTGAGGTGGGTGGATCACTTGAAGTCAGGAGTTCAAGGCCAATCTAGTCAACATGGCAAAACCCTGTCTCTACTAAATATGCAAAATTAGCTGGGTGTGGTAGTGTGCGCCTGTAGTCCCAGCTGCCTGGGAGGCTGAAGCAGAGAATTGCTTGAACCCAGGAGGCAGAGGTTTCAGTGAGCCGAGATCGCACCACTGAACTCCAGCCTGGGTGACAGAGCGAGACTCCATCTCAAAAAATAAAAAAAGACTCTTTATAAATATTTTTCAAAGAACCAACTTTTGGCTTTAATTTTGTGTATTTTTTTTCTCTTTTCCATTGCCTTCAGCTCACATCTTCAATTAATTTCCTCCGTTTCTTCTCAATTTGGGTCTAATTATTTCTCTTTAACTTCTTGTGATGCTAGATGAACTCAAATGATTAATTTTAAGCTTTCTTTTTCCCTTACATAAACAGCACAAAAGATGATGGGGGGCTTTAAATGAACTGTTACAAAGGTCTTACATTTTACATGAAATAATACAATAGCATCTATAAATTACAATAAGGTAAAGATGCATATTCTGACCTCTAGAGCTTCCATTAAAAACAATAAGGCAAAGATTTATAGCTAATAAGTTAGAGCAACTGAATATTAAAATGTTTGGTAAACACAGTAAACAGCAAGAAAGGAAGAACAGCGAAACAAAAAACCAAATGAGAGAATAGAAAACAAATAGCAAAATGGTGGTCCGAAATTTGACCAAAAATTACATGAGATATAAATGCATCAAACAGTCTAATGAAGTCAGAGATTGTCAGATTGGATAAAAGAGCCAGACCCAACTATATGCTGTCTAGAAGAAATACAGTTTACATACAAAGATATAAATAGGTTGACATCAAAAGATATACTATGTATATTGTAAGCCTATGAAAACTGAACACTAGAATAGTTCCATAATTATACATGGAAAGTTCATCTAGACAGATCATATGATGTGCCATAAAACCAATCCCAAAAGATTGAAATCATACAAAGTATGTTCTTTGACAATGAGGGAATTGGATTAAAAATCAATAACAAAATCTGCAAATATTTTGAAATTAAAAAACAACTCTTTTAACTGACTCATGGGTCAAAGGAGAAATCACAAAGGAAATTTAAATTTCTTCAAATAGAATGGTAATTGAAACCCAACACATCTACATTTGCAGACTCAAGGCAAAGCCCAGCTTAGAGGGAAATTTCTAGCTATAAAGTTGACAAATTCCTGCTGAGATTGACAGATTAAGCAAAAGAGAAGTGGTATAAGAGAAAAAAACTAAAAAATTACGAATGTCAGGGATGAAAGAGGGGATAGCTCCATAGATGCTACACATATCCAAGGATAATAAGGAACTACTGTGAACAACTTTTTGTCACTGACTTTTACAATTTAGATGAAATGGGCAGATTCTTTGAAAACACAGGTAACTTACCAAAATTGGCCCAAGATGAAACAGAAAGTCTAAATAACCCTTAAGTCTGTCAAATAGCTTTAAGTTATTATTTAAAAATGTCTCCACGCTAAAGATTTGCCTTTTCAACACATGGTGCTAGAACAGGTGGACGTCTGTATGTCAAAAATTCAATCTTCACCCTTACCCGTCTCCCGCATATACAAAAACTGACTCAAAGTGTAAGATCTAAGCATAATAACTAAATCTGTAAAACATGGGAGAAAATCTTTGTGACTTTGGGTTAAGTAAAGATTTCTTAGATGGGAAATGTACGGAAAAGGAACCACCAAAATTGATAGCTTAAACTTCATCGAAATGTAAGACTTAAACACTTAAAAAGGCACTGTTTATGTTGTGAAGATGCCAGAAACTAAAACAAAAAATTTAAAAATACAAGCCATAGACCAGAGAAAATGTCTGCAAAGCATATATCTTGTAAAGGACTTGTACCTAGACTATCCAGTCTCACTACTTTTTAACATTATTCTAGAAGCCTCATTCAGTGCAACAAGTTAAAGGAATTAAAAGCCATAAGTACTAGAAAGCACGAAGTAAAATTGTCCTACTGGAAGACACATGATTTTTCATGTAAACAGACATAAGTATTCAATAAGAAAACTATAATAAGCAAGTTGGTCTCAGAATACAAGGTAAATAAAGAGAAACCTTTTTTATTTTTATTTTTTTGAGACAGAGTCTCACTCTGTCACCAGGCTGGAGTGCAGTGGTGCGATCTCGGCTCTCTGCAACCTCCGCCTCCCGGGTTCAAGCGATTCTTTTGCCTCAGCCTCCCGAGTGGCTGGGACCACAGGTGCGCGCCACAACACCCAGCTCATTTTTGTATTTTTTAGTAGAGACAGGGTTTCACCATGTTGGCCAGGATGTCTTGATCTCTTGACCTCTTGATCCGCCTACCTCGGCCTCCCTGCAGGTGTGAGCCACTGTGCCCGGCCAATAAATCATTTTTATATCTTATAATAGTAAGAAACAGTTAAGAAAATGAAATTTTTAAAAGGTTATATTTACAGTAGTATCAAAAAGCGTAATATATTTAGGAATAAGTTTTTTTTTAACTTGTGCAAGATTTATATAATGAAAATTACAAAACATGGCAAGATAAATTAAGAACTAAATAAATGGAGAAATCACATTAATAGATTGTCAAGCTCAGTATTGTTAAGCTGTCAGTTACTGTGTAGATTCCCTCAGTCTCAAAATCACAGCAATCTTTTTGTAGTAATTGACAAGGTAATACTAAAGTGTATATTGAAATGCAATAGCCAAAATGCATATTCAGATGCACAGCAAAAACAATCTCTTAAGAAAGCTAAAAGATTTACCTTACCTGATTTAAATACTTAATATAAAGCTACAGTAATTACAGTATGGTATTAACAAAGATGATAGTTCAATAGAATAAAATAGAGAGTTGAGAAGTAGACCATTCATGTGTGGGTTTGTTGATTTTCAACCAAGTAACAAGTCAATTCAATGAAAAATTTAGTATTTTCTACAAATGATGCAGCAATTGGATATTCAAATGAGAAAAACATGAAACTTAGCTTCTGCCTTATGCTGTACTCCAAAAAGTTTTGAAAACAAGTCATAGACCTAAATATAAAAGCTAAAATTACAAAACTTTTAGAAGAGCTGGGCGCGGTGGCTCACACCAGTAATCCCAGCACTTTGGGAGGCCGAGACGGGCAGATCACCTGAGGTCGGGAGTCCGAGACCAGCCTGACCAACATGGAGAAACCCTGTCTCTACTAAAAATACAAAAATTAGCCGGGCATGGTGGTGCATGCTTGTAATCCCAGCTACTTGGGAGGCTGAGGCAGGAGAATCACTTGAACCCTGGAGGCGGAGGTTGTGGTGAGATGAGATCGTGCCATTGCACTCCAGCCTGGGCAACAAGAGCGAAACTCCATCTAAAAAAACAAAACAAAACAAAACAAAACAAAAAATACTTTTAGAAGAAAACTTAGAAAGATATCTTTATGACTTAGAGTAGGTAAAGATTTCTTAGGATACAACAAATATAATAATTAAAAATTGATAAATTACACTTTCTCAAAACTAAAAACTTCTGCTCATCAGGCTAAACATTTAAAGAAATGAACATACACGTTACAAACTGGGAGACAATATTTGCAAAACATGTATCTGACCAAAGACTTGTATCCTGAGTATATAATATATATGTGCATGTGTTTACACACACACACACACACACACACACACACACACACACACACACACACCTGCCTACAAGTCAACAATGAAAAGAGAAGCTAATTAAAAAAAATGGGCAAAAGGTGGAAGGTAACCACCTTTTGTCATCTTTTCAGCTGAAAATTACAAAACACTGAGGAAAGAAATCAAAGATCTAAATAAATGGAACAATATATCATGTTCATGGGTTGAAAGATTCGTACGGTAAAGATGCCAGATTTCCCAAATCGATTAATAGGTATAATGCAATTTCTATAAAAATCTCAGCAAGTTTTTTTGTAGAAGTAGAAAATTTATTCTGAAATTTAGATAGAAAAGCAAAGGAACAGTTTTGAAAATGAAAAATAAAGTGAGAAGAATTGCTATTGATGTTAAGTGTTACTATATAAGCTACAGTAATCAAGACAATTTGGTGTTGGTTAAAGAATAGATACATAGATCAGTGTTACACAATAGAGAACCCCAGAACAGACCAACACTAATAGGCCCAATTGATTTTTGGCAACAGCACAAAAGCAATACAATAGAGGAAGTGTAATCTTTTTCAACAAATGGTGCTAGAACAATTGGATACCCATAGCAAAACAAACAAACCCAAACCCCCACTGTATGTAAAAATTAATTCAATTAGAGTATAGATTTAATGTAAAACAAACTTTTAGAAGAAAACAGAATCTTCAGGACTTAGTGTTAGACAAAGAGCTAGAAGACATGACACTAAAAGCATAATTCCTAAATCAAAAAAATTAATAAGTTGTAGTTAATCAAAGTTAAACACTTTGGTGCTGTGAAAGACCCTCTTAAAAGGATGAAAAGACAAGCTACAGACTGGGGAAAAATACTTGCAAACCACAAATCTTCCAGAGGCTTTATGTTTAGAAACATAAAGAACTCTCAAACTCAATAGTAATTCAGTGATCCAATTAGAAAATGAGCAAAAGGCATACTTCATATTTCACCACATGCATAATACATATTTCACCAGAGAAAAGCTGCAGATTACAAATAAGCACATGAAAAGATATTCAGCATCATTACCTGTTAGAGAGAAGCAAATTAGAACCACATTGGGATATCACCACACCCATTAGAATAGTTAAAATAGTGATAATACCAAATGGCTAGGAGGTGGAGAGACTGAATCTCTTATATGTTGTTGGTGGGAATTAAAAATAGTATACCCACTCTGGAAGATAGTTTGGGAGTTTCTTACAAAACTAAACATGTTTACCATATGACCCAGCAGTTGCACTCTTGGGCATTTAACTCAGAGAAATGAATTTTATGCTGACACAAAACCTCAAGCAGAAATGTACATAGCCACTTTATTTGTTACAGCAAAAAACTGGAAACAGCCTAATGTCCTAGAAATCTTTATTGAGCTTTTTTGTGTATCTGTTGCTGTAGTAGGTTTTCTGAGATGTAATTCCATCTCTTTTTGGAGATTTCAATCAAGTTGGAAGTTAAAACTAATACACAGTAAAAAAATTAGGTAATAGGAGCTGTGGTACTAGTTTTAAATTTAAATAAGGGAAAGTTGAATGTAAACCAATGTAATTAGGACAGACTTTAGGAAGGAGATGGATTTTGAGTTAAATTTTGAAAAATAGGTTAGTAATGTAGGGAAAAAGGAGAATATGTCTGATGAGGGTAGACATGAGCAAGAAAGATGGAAATAAACCAGGCATTTTGTTGCCACAAGGAGACATGACTAGTTTAGTGAAAAGAGGTCAAAATTTAGACTCAGACAGATGTAGATTTGAATGTCATATCCCTTCCTTACTAGCTCTATGGGGCTTTAGACCAGTTGTTTTCTTCTCTTGATCCGGGTGTTCTCATGTATAAAAATGCGAGCAGTACTATAGGTGAAGTGCTGAATACTATGCCTAATACATAATAACCAAACGAAAGCCAGTTCCTTTCTTACATTCCTTATTTACTGTCACAGCAGAATATATAGAGTTTACATTGGAACATGGTGGAATATCAGCTTACTCCATAGTTAAGATTAGGTTCAATTATGAAAGGCCTAGGGAGAAAAATCAGAATTCAGGCATTTTTCAGTCTTTTAAAGAGTTTTTACAAAGCTTGTGATTCACATTTTCCCTCAATATTTGTTGGATGTGAGAGTTCATTATAATAACATAACTTGTTTTGCATACATTTGAATTTATAATGATGAGTTCCTTTAATTGTATTAATATGTTTTTAAACTTAAAGACATGTGGCATTAAGCTTACCTAATAAAGAGAAGAGGGATTCTGAAGTCAATTCCTGACATGTGTGATTTTGGGATATTTACAGAATTATTTTTGGGCTTTGATCTTTGTCAGTTAAAAAGTATATAATAATTTCCCCTTTACAGGGTTTTTGTTTGTTTGTTTGTTTTTTCGAGACAGAGTCTCGCTCTGTCGCCCAGGCTAGAGTGCAGTGGCACGATCTCGCCTCACTGCAAGCTCTGCCTCCCGAGTTCATGCCATTCTCCTGCCTCAGCCTCCTGAGTAGCTGGGAATACAGGCGCCCGTCACCACGCCCAGCTAATTTTTTTTGTATTTTTAGTAGAGATGGGGTTTCATCGTGTTAACCAGGATGGTCTCAATCTCCTGATCTCGTGATCCACCCGCCTCGGTCTCCCAAAGTGCTGGGATTACAGGCGTAGTGAGCCACCACACCCAGCCAGGGTTTTCATATAGATTAGGTAAGGTAGTAGATGTGACAAACATTTTATAAAATTTTAATGCTATACAAATGCTATTTTTAGCTATTACACTTAAGGTGGGTGCTGAAAATGTAAAAAAAAAAAAACTTAGAATAATTACTTATGGCAAAAATAACTGACTAAAACCGTCATTTACTGTAAACATTTTTAATGGTAACATGGCTATATTAAATAGGCTTGTAACCTGTGTGCACTGGTTCTTTTATTGCTAATAAATAAATTCTATTTAACGGTTATTTCTTGAAAACAAAAGCTGTGTATTTTAAAATAGTTACAGTAATACCCTCTATGTTTTAATATCTTCTCTAATACAAGTACTAATTTTCAAGCAAATGAATATAGTAATACATGAGTTGTATGTTTTATATTCTCTTTTTCTTCCTTAAGGTCAATGAATACATTTTTGATAATTTATCTAGTAATTCTTATATCTGAAGCTGTCATCAGCACTATCTTGAAGTATACATGGCAAGCTGAAGAAAAATGGGATGAACCTTGGTATAACCAAAAAACAGAACATCAAAGAAATAGCAGTAAGGTATTTTATGGTGTTATTGACTGTGTCATAAAGGAAACTATTACTTGGCACGATTAGTGCTTTGGTAGTGACTTCTGATTGGAGAGACCACTGTAATCCTAAAACTGTTGGTACTGAAGGGTGACAGAAATGGCATTGCAAATGCAGAGAAGCCAGCGTGTTTGTACTGATACGCTTTTTGTAGTTTACGGCATAAAAAGTTGTATTCCCTGTGGCATGACTTGAATAGTTCAAAGAGGTCACAAAATTTTAAATCCATCTATATTTGCATTTCACATTAATACTACAAACTCAATTTTCTCTTCCACTTACTGTGTCTTATAAATGAATCAAAGAGTAAATGGATGTATTTTTAATTTTGTCTTAATAATTCAAGGATGCTTGTTATCAGTCTTAATATGAAGTAATATGCAAATTATGTCATATATTTTAAATTGATTAAACATGGACTACCAAGAGAATTTAACCTATAATTTTGGTAAATAATTGTTCTCCAGGTTTCACTTTAGATTAAAATCTTTGTATTGGAAGACAAATTTGGATCTCAAGAAACTACAAAGCAAATAATCACAGGGTCGTATTTTTAATATCATTCACAATTAGGTACATTTCCTTTCACCAATGCATATTGAAATATGGAGCCGCTAAAGCCGTTAAAGTAGGCTATTCCTATATAATCTGCACTTAAGAGTTTTAATTTCTGGCACTTTTAACCTCGCAGTTATTTTATAACTTTGTAAAGTTACACTCAACTTTTAGTAGTTATCTGATTTTGAAGGGTAATAGTAGAATGGGATAAATACACTGCAGATATTATAATTATAATTTTGCCAAAGGTAGTTTCAGTCATACCAGGCTTTTTGTTAGCTTCTGAAAGTAACGAATTAAGTTACTTGAATTTAACCTTTTCATCATTTACTTTATCAAGATTCTAATGAGCAATAAAATAACCAGAGGAAATGTAATGTTAAAAAGACAATTCAATAAATGAATTTCAATTCATGAGACTATTCTACCTCAGAATATAGTTGATGGTCTATGTAGGCATGAAACTTTCTGGTAATTTTCATCAGTAATACTGAAGAAATTCTAGTTTATTTTTTCTTTTCAAACAATTATTTCCTTTTTTCTAGATTCTGAGATTTATTTCAGACTTCCTTGCTTTTTTGGTTCTCTACAATTTCATCATTCCAATTTCATTATATGTGACAGTCGAAATGCAGAAATTTCTTGGATCATTTTTTATTGGCTGGGATCTTGATCTGTATCATGAAGAATCAGATCAGAAAGCTCAAGTCAATACTTCCGATCTGAATGAAGAGCTTGGACAGGTGAAAATGATCCTAATATTTTGTTTCTCTAATTTGTTATTTTTATCAAAGCAATACATGGACAAAGATTAATGTAACAAGGTATTATGATGCTTATACCAAAAACAACCCCCCTTTGCTCCACTCCTAGCTGTTCCCAATTTTTAAACCCTAAGTTGTTTCTTTTGTTATTTACCACTATATTTCTATTTGATATTCTTTCTTATTCTTAAGTTTTAGACATTATCTACTATGGAATATAAAGACATAACTCTTACACTACTCTTCCCAGACACATATCCCTTTGCTTCTCCATAGCCCCCTAATACTATCATATCACAATTTGGGATTTAATAAATATTTTTATTAACATTATTATGATTGTTTTAATATTGTTCACTAATTCCCGGTTCTATAGATGTGTCCTGTAATACCATAATTACATTTCCCTTCTTATATATTTTGTTTTCCCAAGAGTTATTTGCTCTGTTTTTTCATTTCCTCAATTTCCATGTGCCACAAACAAGTCTCTGATAATATGTGCAGCATCTGTCTATATATTCAAACATACCAGGTAATCTAGAAGTTCCTTTCTTCCTCCCTGCCTTCCTTTTTTTTTTTTTTGGTAGCAATGTTTTTGGAGGCTTCCACCTTTCTGCTCCGATTGGATTATTCTTTACTCTTTCTGGGCTTGCTTCTCAGCTGTCACTCTGGACTTCACTTTACCATCACCCTGGAAATTCCTTTGCCTCTCTCCTGTTTTGGATCTCCTCTTTCTTGCATCCCATGTCTTCCTACCTGTGGCTTATTCTCTTTTGGTGCTGTACATCTTCTAATAACTTCCTGAGAAAGGATGTATCAGAGGATAATGTTTTGAAACTTGGCATGTCTGAAAATATCTTTATTCTCTTTTCACACTTGATTAATAATTTAGCTGTTATTGCATTGCAGATTGAAATCTTCAGAAATTTGAAGGGATTTTATTGTTTTCTAGCCTCCAGTGTTGCTGTTAGAGAAATCCAGTTCCATTCTGATTCCCAATTCTTTATGTATGATCTGTTGTTTTATCTCTGGAAGCTTTAGGATCTCCTTATGCAATAGTTCTGAAATTCATGATGGTGTACCTTGGTGTTCGTTTTTCCTTTTTTATTTTTTGTTTCATGGGCAATTAACTCTGTGAGTCTTTTCATCCTGGAAATACATGTCTTTCAATTCTAGGAAATTTTCTTGTACTATTGTTTTGATAACATGTCTTTCTATGTTTCTCTTGTTTTGAAACTTACTATTTGCATGTCCTACCACTTATATTGACCCTTTAATTCTCTGACTTCAATTTTCAGTTTTTATTTATTTGTTTTTATATTCTACTTTCTGGTAGAATGCCTCTGATTTATCTTTTCAGTATCTTTTGATTTATTTCTGCTATAATATTTTTAATTTCTAATATTTTGGTATTCTCTGGATAGTTTTTTAAAATTGCCTCTTATCCCATTTCTTGAACATAATCTATTCTTTTACCTCCCCGAGGATATTAATGACAGTCAATTGAAGTCTTCTTCTGCTCCCTCTATTATCTTTGCTTGTAGTGCATTTTCCAGAACAGCCAGTTCTGCTATAATGTGATATATGCGTTCCTAAAATTCACTGCATAATGCAAAATTGCCTAGTAAAAGCCACAGGGTTTATGAGAGAATGGGATTAGGGGTACAACACAAAAACAATAATACTTTTTTTTTTTTTTTTTGAGACGGAGTTTTGCTCTTGTTGCCCAGGCTGGAGTGCAATGGCGCAATCTTGGCTCACTGCAACCTCCGCCTCCTGGGTTCAAGCAATTCTTCTACCTCAGCCTCCCGAGTAGCTGGGATTACAGGCATGTGCCACCACGCCCGGCTAATTTTGTATTTTTAGTAGAAACGTGGTTTCTCCATATTGGTCAGGCTGGTCTCAAACTCCCGACCTCAGGTGATCCTCCCACCTTGGCCTCCCAAAGTGCTGGGATTACAGGTGTGAGCCACTGTGCCCAGCCTAATAATACATTTTTTAAAAGATAGGAACCTAATAAAAACAGCACTTGCCAAATTGTTCATGAATACACAAATGCTTCAATAAATACGGCACTTACCTGGACCTGAAGTTTGCCTGTGGAAGATAGGCATCAGAAGGGTTGCAACTTAAGTGTTACTGTGAAGTGTGAAAGGGAAGGTTATCTGAAATCAGAGGGAAGGTTGTAATACCAGATGTGGATGAGTGTGACTCATAACACATGGTGAACTGAGATAGCTAGTAACTGAGTTTTGGGCAAAATTTGCACAAAGTTTTGATTATGCTCAAATTGTCTCTTATTGTATCAGTTGCATTGGGATAAATTTGTGTTTTCAAGACAGTGTTACAACAGAACTGATTATAATTTGTTTCAGATTCTACCTTTTATGTAAGGAGTGATCCTCAAATGGATGCTAATCTTTGGCTATCATTTCAAATTTAAAAGTACTCTACCCAGGAGGCTGAGGTGAGAGGATGACTTGAGCCCAGGAAATCGAGGCTGCAGTGAACCCTGGTCACACCACTGCACTCCAGCCTGGGCAACAGAGTGAGACCCTGTCTCAAAAAAAAAAAAAAATGAAAGGCTGGGCTCAGTGGCTCATGCCTGTAATCCCAGCACTTTGGGAGGCCAAGGTGGGTAGATCACTTGAGCCCAGGAGTTCAAGACCAGCCTGGAGAACATGGCAAAACCCCATCTCTACAAAAAAATACAAAAACAAAAAATACAAATACTAGCTGGAATACAAAAATTAGCTGGGCGCAGTGGTGTGTGCCTGTGGTCCCAGCTACCTGGGAGGCTAAGGTAGGAGAATCACTTGAGCCCAGGAGATGGAGGTTGCAGTGAGCCCAGATTGTGCCATTGCACTCCAACCTGGGTGACAAGAGTGAAACCCTGTCTAAAAAAAAAAAACAAAAAAAACCTCAGGCACTAATATGCTTATCAGAAGCTATTGATTCAGTGGGCCACACCTTAAGGTAATGAGCTGACAGGCCCAGCAGGTAATATTTCTGCTGCTTATGGCTGCTAGAGCTGGCCATTGGATACCTGTTTTTAGTGCACTGCCTCCCTTCTGTGTTCAGCTGTCTGCGGAGACCAGATTCTGTCCAGTTCAGCCTACTAGGGGAATACACCTTCCAGCTGTTGCTCCAATAAATGAGGGGCGTTCTGAAGTTTGCAACTTTTAAAGAGATTTCAGAATTTAAACTACTCCTGATAGCTTGTATTTTCAGCCTCATCCTGTACTCCCACATTCAGGGGTAGCTGGTAGGTCTACTTCCTGAGCGTTTCTGAGAATGGGTTTTCTCATCACTTGGGTTTCAGATTCTAAGTTCTGGTACATCAGTTACCACTCATTCATCTCCTTTTCCATCTTCCAAACTTGTGTCAATCTTCCCTCTCATGCTGACTTTTTTACCATTATTTTTGTTCTTTTTCTGTTTTTTTTTTTATCCTCATGGTGAAGTTTTAAGAGAACCAGAGATAATTAAATGTGCTCAACCTGTCATGTTTAACCACAAGTTGATCCATTTATTTATTTATTTATTTATTTTTGAGACAGAGTCTCACTCTGTCTCCCAGGCTGGAGTGCAGTGGTGCAATCTCGGCTCACTGCAAGCTCCGCCTCCTGGGTTCACGCCATTCTCCTGCCTCAGCCTCTCCGAGTAGTTGGGACTACAGGCACCCGCCACCACACCTGGCTAATTTTTTGTATTTTTAGTAGAGATGGGGTTTCACCGTGGTCTCGATCT
This sequence comes from Homo sapiens, assembly GCF_000001405.40. NCBI lineage: Eukaryota > Metazoa > Chordata > Mammalia > Primates > Hominidae > Homo > Homo sapiens. The sequence continues at coordinate 182,863,131 of NC_000003.12, forward strand.
CCTGACCTCGTGATCCACCCGCCTCGGCCTCCCAAAGTGCTGGGATTACAAGCATGAGCCACCGCGCCTGGCCAATCCATTTATTTTTAGTAACATTTAGGAGGCCTTAATAATTTATGTTAAATATTAATTCATGTCACATTTCTTTAATTACATATTATATATGTAAGGCCTAAAGGCCCATTTTTACTTTTCTGAATAAATTTTTCCAATCTGCCTTTGACCTTTCTTTCTCAACTCTCTTCCCCTCCTTTTTTCTTCATGATAGAATTTTTGTTTTCCTGGAACCTCACATTGTGTATGCATACTCATGTCTGCTTTGTCTTTAAGAAACTTCTGGTGATTATTTCTTTAATTACTGATTTTCTCAGCCTCTCTTTTTGCTTTTGAAACTACAAGTATTTAATGTATGTTTACTGCCTCTATTCCTATTTTGTCTTTTACCAATGAAATCTACTTTATTTCATATTCTTCTGTGCTCTTTCATTTCCATATTATCCAAAAAACAACTCTTAGGAAGGTTTACAGTGATGACCTGTTTATCATGAAAGTTAAAAGATTAAACTTCTTGATTTTATATATATATATATACTTTTAAATCAAAGTTAATTTATTTTATCCATCCCTACCATCTAATCTTTTTTCTAAAGAATCCTCCATGACTGATAGTGCAGTCTGTATTCTAGTAACCTCTGAGTATTATTTCTGTTTGATTGCTAATGTATCTTATATATTTTCTGTATAACTCATCCCTCATTCTTCCTGATCTACATGTGTGGGCTTTTTTTAATTAACTTGCATGGGGTCTTTAAATTCCAGTTCAACATTGCTATAAATACTGGGCAACATTTAATATCAAATAGTAAAGATAAAGTATTCTATCTCTTATTTCCAGTTTCACCATTTATTTGCTTTTTGACTTTAGGTAAGTTAAGTAATTTTTTGCCAAATTTAACCCTACCTTTCTTTTTGGATATCGATCTTTTTATCCTGGAATTGTGCTGAACTTATATATTCTATTTTTTTTAGTCAGTTTTTTAGAATTTTCTGTATACAAGGTCATATCATGTGCAAATGGAGATAGTTTTACCTCTTGTTTTCCAATCATGTTAACTTTTATTTCCCTTTTCTTGCCTAATTGTCATGGCTAGAACCTTAAGTACAATGTTGAGTAAAAGTGACAAAAGCAGTCTTATTCCTGATCTTAGGAAGACAGCATTCAGTCTCTCTCCATAAGGTACGATGTTAACTGTGAGTTTTTTATAGATACCCTTTATCAGGCTGAGGAAGTTCCTTTTTATTCCAGTTTGTTGAACGCCTTTATCATGAAGGGTATTGGATTTTTATCAAATGCTTTTTCTGTACCTATTTTGGTGGTTATTTTATCAATAAAATGAAGGCCAGGTACCATTTTATTAATATGATGGATTACATTAATTTTTTTAAGTGTTGAGTCAATCTTGCAATTCTGGGATAAATCCCACATATTTGTAGTATATAACCCTTTTTATATGTTTCTGGATTTGATTTGCATCTCTTTATAAGGGATGTTGATCTGTAGCTTCTTTTCTTGTGATTTCTACATCCCTTTTTAAAGGACTTCTTTCTCAAGTCATTATTGCAGTAATCAGATTTTCATGATGATCCTGGTTGGATCAAGACTTGACTATTACATCCTTCTTTTTTCATGGACATACTTTCTTTTAAAGTACTTTTTCTGGAATTAGTCTCCAAAAGTAATAAAATAATTTGTCTTACTTACTTTTAAAAATATGTTTTTTTCTTTTAAACATCGATTTTTTTCACTAAATTTGTTTTCTGTCCTCAGTTTCAACTTCTCTCTGTTTTAGACAATTCGCACCTCTAACTTCTTGTGTTGCTGTCACTATCACTGTGTATTCCTATTCCTAGCTCTGCACTATTTCTCCTCACTCGGATACCCTTTCCCATTCTACATTATTAAGCATCCTTTCCACCCTGCTTTAGAGATAATTCTTAGAGTCCTACTACTTAAAATACCTTAGCCAAGAAAAAGAAAAGAAGCATTAATACCAAATTCTCGTCAATTCTACAGATAAACATGTACGTAAAGATGCCACAAACTTCAAAATCTATGTAGCTTTAAACTATTTTGTGTTACCCTGTTTTCTTTCCTTGGCATCTATATTTATTTAATTGTGCTTGGATTATAAGAATCTCAGCATCCATATATCAATATTAATAGATAAACTGGACTTCAGGAGAGCGAGGACAGAGATTTTTTTCTTGTTTAACATAGGACCATGAACACAAAGGTTTATTTTCTTTTGTTTTCTATCTCTATAGGTAGAGTACGTGTTTACAGATAAAACTGGTACACTGACAGAAAATGAGATGCAGTTTCGGGAATGTTCAATTAATGGCATGAAATACCAAGAAATTAATGGTAGACTTGTACCCGAAGGACCAACACCAGACTCTTCAGAAGGAAACTTATCTTATCTTAGTAGTTTATCCCATCTTAACAACTTATCCCATCTTACAACCAGTTCCTCTTTCAGAACCAGTCCTGAAAATGAAACTGAACTAGTAAGTAATTTTTAAATTAATAAATAAGGGTTTCATATGAAATAATTCTCTTCAGTAGTTGATGAGTTGCAGGAAAAAAAGTTTGTGTCAGTAGAGCAAGGAATATACATTTGAAATTCATATATTTGATTCAACAATATAAAATATAATCCTAAGAATTTGTTGTTACAGCCCAGTTTAACTTGTTATTTAATACGTGTCTGCCTTAGCTCTTTGAGTATTTAAATGGAACGTAGTTAAGAAAAGCCCTTACTGCCTTGAAGTGAAGAAGACTTTCTTTGAAAAATAGAGCTTAAATTTATTTAATACTTTTTGAGACCTCACTTCTTCTATAAAAAAGTGTTCCCCTCTACTTGCAATGTGGTTGTACCTCCTAAAAAGATGCTCACGTGTTGAAGGGTCCTAAGCAAATGTGACATTTTACTTTTTGAAGGCAGAAACAACCAACTGTTATTCAGGCAATCAAGGTTGTAGCACTCTTGTTCTAGATCTTAGAATTTTGCCTCTGGTTTCCTAAATGGTATGTGGAAATGATATTTTTATCATGAATATTAATTACATTTTTACAGATTAAAGAACATGATCTCTTCTTTAAAGCAGTCAGTCTCTGTCACACTGTACAGATTAGCAATGTTCAAACTGACTGCACTGGTGATGGTCCCTGGCAATCCAACCTGGCACCATCGCAGTTGGAGTACTATGCATCTTCACCAGATGAAAAGGCTCTAGTAGAAGCTGCTGCAAGGTAATTTAGTCTGATTTCCAAATCTTCGGAAAAACACCATTTAAATAAATGTAACAATATTAGAATCATCATTTAAAATTTTCAAACATAAATTCGTCATTTTAAGTTGTCAGAATTCATATAAATACATAAAAATAGAAGTACAATTTAAATTTTAAATGACAATTTGAAGTCATTTTATTATCAAGCTTGCATTGAGTCTTTTTTTAAGATCTCTTTGAAAATCTGATTACTATAAAAATCTGTGTAATAGAATTTATTAAAAATGCTTGTGCATATGTTGTACTACACCTACTCTGATCCTTCTAATCCTTCTAGTCCTTAAAAGTATATATATATGTTTGTGTATGTGTATATATATTTATATATTTTTATATACATTTTATAAAAATATGTAAGTAATAAATAAAAATTATTATATATAACATATATAAATAAAAATATATATTAAAAAGAATATATAAGAATATATATAAAATATATATATATTTTTTTTTCTTTTTTTGAGATGGAATCTCACTCTGTCACCCAGGCTGGAGTGCAGTGGTGTGATCTCAGCTCAATGCAGCCTCTGGGGTTCAAGCCATTCTCCTGACCCAGACACCTGAGTAGCTGGGACTGACTACAGGCACAGGGCACCACACCTGGCTAATTTTTGTATTTTTAGTAGAGATTGGGTTTCGCCATGTTAGCCAGACTGGTCTTGAACTCCTACCCTCAGGTGATCAACCCGCTTTGGCCTCCTGAAGTGCTGGGATGACAGGCATGAGCCACCACTCCTGGCACCAAAGTTGTAATATTAAAAGGAAATATTTTTAAATGCATTTTGAACTTTGATTTTAAATGTTTTTATTCAAGTTAAGCTATAGTGACATTGTGAAATATGCAGTATTATTTCTTAAGTCTCACTTTTTTATCCTTTTGATGTCTAGGATTGGTATTGTGTTTATTGGCAATTCTGAAGAAACTATGGAGGTTAAAACTCTTGGAAAACTGGAACGGTAATTTTTTTTCATATATTGGAATGTTTTCTGTGTTAAGTGTATATAGTATAGAATAAGGATCAGTAAACTGTAGCTCACAGGGCAAATGTGGCCTATATTTTCTGTTTTTCTACAGCCCACAAGTCACATTACTTTTTTTTTTTTTTTTTTTTTTGAGACAGAATCTTGCTCTGTCACCCAGGCTGGAGTGCAGTGGCACAATCTTGGCTCACTGCAGCCTCCACCTCCCAGGTTCAAGTGATGCTTGTGCCTCAGCCTCCCAGGTAGCTGGGATTACAGGCATGCGCCACTATGCCTGGCTAATTTTTGTATTTTTAGTGGAAATGTTGACCAGGCTGGTCTGAAACTCCTAGCCTCAAGAGATCCACCCACCTTGGCCTCCCAAAATGCAGGGATTACAGGTGTGATCCACTGTGCCTGGCCCACATTACATTTTTAAAGGGTTGTTTTAAAAAGAGGTAAAATATGCAACAGAGACCATGTATGGCCTGCAAAGCCTGAAATATTTACTCTCTGGCCCTTTACAGAAAAAGTTACTGAACTCTGCTCTAGAATGATGTTAACATTATATTGTATCTCATCATAGTTATAACAATAGTATGCTTTGAATATTTCATCTATATTTTAACTTAATGATTCTTGAATTTACTTGTATGTTTATTTTTAGATGCTTCTGGGTAGTGAGTTTTATAGGTTCTTCTCACTGAATAAAGAAAACTTTCCTTGTATTTCCTGTGATTTTTATCTTTCAAACATGAAGGAACAGCTGTCTATATCTAGTTTTTCCATTCTTTGATAAATTAGTTCATGCTTAATATACTTACTCCTTTCATGGTTTTAGCAATTCTGATCATATGTCAATTCCAGCTGTGCTTTTCCAAACTATGCTTTTCCATACTAGATAGGGCCCATTCTTTGGCTACTTTCATGTGAGAGCCTGTCTAGCTTATTTTATCAACTTATAAACCATTATTCAACTCACTGTTTTTCTTGGAGATGTGTAAAGATTTCATATGTAAATCACTGTGTAAGATTCATCTGGAAGACTTTAAGCCACACCTCATGTAGCCACACAAATTCTTTTACAGCTCCCTAGAGAGGCACGAGGGAATGGACCCCCGCACACACACACCCAGGTTCACAGTCACTGCTATAATGAGCCTTTGATATTAATGTGTGTTGTGTTTGTCAGGTGTATTAGGACAGAAAAAAGCGTTGAGAATCAGTTACCTTTTTTAGTCAGAAAAACATGGAGCTGGGCAGATCTGGATTCCAGTTCTTGCTCTGCCACTCACAAGCTTACCTGACTTTAGGCAAATTACTTAATCTTTCTGAGGTTAATAGTCCTCATCTATAAAAATGAGATAAGACCTACTTTCTTGGCCTCTCATGGATATTAAATGACATAAGGTGTGTAAAATACATGGCATTTGGTAATTACTCAATGTCAGTCTCTTCTATTTCTTCCCTGTTTTGTTATTAATGGCATGTAACCTATCATCATGAAAATGGTATTAATTCTTGTTCTCAATTAGCCATTTTATCTTATATATGGATTATTTCCATATAGTCACTTAATATTATTTTAAAAAAAGTAAAGTTTTTGTCTTTCTTACTTTCTTTTGTTTAGGTACAAACTGCTTCATATTCTGGAATTTGATTCAGATCGTAGGAGAATGAGTGTAATTGTTCAGGCACCTTCAGGTAACCAATCTAAACTTTCATGAATTTTTATTTATGTAATATTAAGAGTCTGATAACTCATTTTTTTTGTCTCTAGGTGAGAAGTTATTATTTGCTAAAGGAGCTGAGTCATCAATTCTCCCTAAATGTATAGGTGGAGAAATAGAAAAAACCAGAATTCATGTAGATGAATTTGCTTTGGTGAGTGCAAATTTCTATGATTTAAAAAACTCTAAAAGATATATTTATGAAATATTTTGGACTTTATTTCTTATAATTTATCAAAAATTGTGGACATTCTGCAGTTGTGTTACACTGTGTGTTGGCTCCACATTCCTTTTGTGAAAACTGACTTTTAACGCAAGCAAAAATATATCTTCTCTTCAAACCTACTCTACAGTCGGGGCATTTCTGGTTACAAGGTCTACTCAAACTATGCTATTTTAGAAGAGTGTTTATTAAACAAACATAGGGGAATCCTAATGATGTGGAGAAACTGGAACCCTTATACACATATTGCTGGTAAGATTATAAATGGTACAGCCACATTGAAAAATAATTTGGCTAAGTTCCTCAAAAGGTAAACATTGAGTTACTATATGACACAGCAGTTCTACTCCTGGGTGGACACCCAAGACAGCTGAAAACATGTTCACAAAAAAATCTTATACACGAAATGTTCATAAGCAGCATTATTTCCAATAGCCACAAAAATGGAAAACCCCAAATGTCCAGCTAACAAGTGGATAGGCAAAATGTGGTATATCCATATAATGGAATATCAGTCAGCTGTTAAGAGGAATGAAGTACCAATATATGCTACAACATGGACGAATCTTGAAAAGAGTGTGCTGAGTGAAAGAGGCAGTCAAAAAAGGCCTTATATTAATACTACATTTATATGAAATATCCAGAATAGGCAAATTCACAGAGAAAGCTCATTAATGATTGCCAGGGGCTGGAGGAAGGGGAAAAAGGAGAGTCCTCGTGGGAGCAATGAGATATTGTGGATTTAGATAGTGGTGATAATTGCACAACTCTGTGAATATGCGATATAACACTGATTTGTACTGTTTGAAGAGGTGAATTATATCTCTCATTTACAAAATTTAAAAATATAGGGGAATCTTGTTAAAACAAAGAGCCATCATTCATGTAAATGGCAAAATTATTATGCAGTTCTCTCTCAGTCTTAGAACTTCATGATCTCTCATTTTTGCATTTCTGTGAATGTGTGCTCCACACTCACCTCTGCTCATCTGCCTTCTTTAACAGTTTATGATTTTTTTCCCATTATTTGTTTCCTAATTGTTTATGTTCCAGTTTACCCACCACATCGTAACATCTGTGAGAACAAAGACATTGTTCTACCTTATCACCATTTTAATATTTAAAATAATGCTGGCACATAGTTTGTGCTCAGTAAGTATTTGTTATAGAATGAATTAATTCATATATTAATAACAGATGGTTTTTTAACTATTAATTAAAAGAAGCACATTTATAGGTATGGGTCATTTATAAGTCAGGGAATGGCAATATTTAGAAATCTGCTAAATAGGGCTGGGCGCGGTGGCTCACACCTGTAATCCCAGCACTTTGGGAGGCCGAGGCTAGCAGATCACGAGGTCAGGAGATTGAGACCATCCTGGCTAACAGGATGAAACCCCACCAGTAGTCCCAGCTACTCGGGAGGCTGAGGCAGGAGAATCACTTGAACATAGGAGGCGGAGCTTGCAGTGAGCCAAGATCGCACCACTGCACTCCAGCCTGGGCAACAGAGCAAGTCTCCGTCTGAAAAAAAAAAAAAAAAAGAAATCTGCTAAATAATGTTATATAGTATTTTTAAGTCTACGCTTTCCAAGTTGTTATTAGGATATTTATTATGGGGCTCAGCACAGTGGCTCATGCCTGTAATCCCAGCACTTTGGGATGCTGAGGCAGTATCACTTGTGGCCAGGAGTTTGAGACCAGCCTGGGCAATGTAGCAAGACCCCATCTCTACAAAAAAATAAAACATAGCCAAGCGTGGTGGCACATGTCTGTAGACCTAGCTACTCAGGAGGCTGAGGCAGCAGGATCACTTGAGCCCAGGAGTTCAAGGCTATAGTAAGCCAAGATCACACCACTGCACTCCAGCCTGAGCAACAGAGCAAGACCCTGTCTCTAAAAATAAAAAAGAATATTTATTATTGGTTTTCTTGAGGAAAATGCATGTAGCAAGAAAAGGAACTTTTATAAGTCTTTAGATTTAGATATCAACTTTCAGAGATGAATACTATAAGAAAACTTTGGCCCTAGTAGAACCAGATAATCAATTCTGATTCCAATTCACTGGTGAAGATATATTACTTAAAATCATTTATTTGGTAAATCTAAAAAGTATTTTTTATAATGGCCATTTTATTGACTTATTTGAAAGGTAAATTTTGTCATGCAATGAATCTTTAGGAAATTATGGTCTCCTTTGCTTTAGAAAATTGTACGAAGTAGGTAAAAAATGGAATTGTAAGTTAAAACAGGAAGGTAGAACCTGCAGCTGTCTCTCTCTCTTGACAGTCTTGAAGGTATTAAGAACTTTCTGGCTTTCCATGTAACACAGTTTAAAAACCACTAATAGGATAGTCTTTATGATCTATTCTAGGCTCTAATATTCTACAATTCAGTGACCTTAATTATTTTGAGCAACTTTTTTTTTTTTTTGAGACAGAGTCTCGCTCTTTCGCCCAGGCTGGAGTGCAGTGATGCTATTTCGGCTCACTGCAAGCTCCACCTCCCGGGTTCACGCCATTCTCCTGCCTCAGCTTCCTGAGTAGCTGGGACTACAGGTGCCCGCCACTATGCCCGCCCAATTTTTTGTATTTTTAGTAGAGACTGGGTTTCACCATGTTAGCCAGGATGGTCTCGATCTCCTGACCTCATGATCCGCCTGCCTTGGCCTCCCAGAGTGCTGGGATTACAGGCGTGAGCCACCGCACCCAGCCTATTTTGAGCAACTTCTTAAGAAAACATCAGAAGTTGAAAGAGGTATATGTGTCCCATAACTCAGATCAGTAGAGCTTTGTGACATTATTTATTTCCTGTCACTAGGTGATAGTACTTTTTAAATGATTTGTGATTGACTTTTGGTACTAGGTCTTCAGTGTATTTTGATAGTGACTTCTTGATTTTCTGTTTGTTGTTTGTGTTCAATTTTTGTCTTTAATTTTTATTTGTTTGTTTTAGAAAGGGCTAAGAACTCTGTGTATAGCATATAGAAAATTTACATCAAAAGAGTATGAGGAAATAGATAAACGCATATTTGAAGCCAGGACTGCCTTGCAGCAGCGGGAAGAGAAATTGGCAGCTGTTTTCCAGTTCATAGAGAAAGACCTGATATTACTTGGAGCCACAGCAGTAGAAGACAGGTAAGTATCAGATAATTAAAAAATATTACTTTTCTCTCATAGGAATTTTTGTAACCAAGTATTCTAATATGTGACATAAATTCTCTTTACTAACATCCCATGATATATTTAAGATCAAAGTAGAGAACTAAAGCCTTAATTTTTCCCGGTCAGTATGTACAATTTTTGTTCTAGCTAGATACCTGAAATGGATGAAAGAAACTAGCTCTCTATAGTTTTTTCTTATAGGCTTGAATCTTTAGAATACTCCTCAGCATGTCATGCAAACACTTGAAGCACCTGCTTAATTCTCCAGCCTTCCCTCCTACCACTGTCTCCTTCCGCTTTATGTTTCAACAATACCAAACTGTCTCTGCATGCCACCTGTAGCTAAAACTATTCTGTTTTGTGCCTATGTTGGCCTTCTGCCTGGGTGATTCTTCCCTTCACCATCCCTCTGTGACTACCTATTCATAAAGTATAGCTTAGATATTAGCTCCAGTCCAGTAAGACCTTTCCTGACACCTAAGAGGATTAAAAATTCTCTTCTTTGTGAAGTCTCATTGTAGGTAGTTCTGTTGTTGTCTTTGTGGCACTATATTATAATTATTTGTTTAAAGACTTCTCCTCTGTTAACCTGTGAAATCCTTGAAGTCCATTTATTCTTTGTCTTTGTTCCCAGAACCTATCTCAATGTCTGTTTCACAGTTTCTTAAATTTAGCTGAATTCTGAGATTGAATTCTGCAGATTAAGTTTGTTGTTATGTTTGCCTCCACCACCTAGACCTAAGGGTGTTTGCATATTTTTAAAATCTATGTTTTCATTTACTTTTTGGTTGTCCTTACGAGATTTCTGAGACTCACCTAAAGTTAGCTAGACCTTTATTTTCTACAGTCTGATTTTTTAACTATATGAGTGGTTTGAGATATTTTTTTAAATCAAAACAAAAGGAGAAAAATCTTCTTGTTTGAAATGTAAGACTTCGTAATAAAACAGGAGTTTATGAAGAGCACATAGTTTCATCCTATGAATAGCAACTTTGAAGATACATTCTTAAAATATGAAATTGTAGATTTTAATTGGTTGATTTTGTGTTAACCAGACAATTACCAATCTGTTTATTCGTGTTTCCTTCCTAATGAGAGAAAATTCCAGTTATATTGCTATATTGTATAATAACATTCCTAGGTCAAGTCAAAGAGTTTAGAATTATCCTTAAATATACTATGTAGTTTAACTTAAAATACAGTCATAAAAGTATTCTCTACTACTAATTTGTTTCTGTTCTTTTCAGACTACAAGATAAAGTTCGAGAAACTATTGAAGCATTGAGAATGGCTGGTATCAAAGTATGGGTACTTACTGGGGATAAACATGAAACAGCTGTTAGTGTGAGTTTATCATGTGGCCATTTTCATAGAACCATGAACATCCTTGAACTTATAAACCAGAAATCAGACAGCGAGTGTGCTGAACAATTGAGGCAGCTTGCCAGAAGGTAAGAATATAGGAACCTGTATCATACCTTTCAGGGGTTAGCAAACTATGGTTCCCTGGGCCCGATGATATAGCCCACTGTCACTGCCTGTTTTTTACAGCCTATCAGCTAAAAGTAGTTTTTACATTTTTTGATAGATGAAATCCAAAGAAGAAGAATATTTCATGAAGTGAAAAGTATATGAAATTCAAATTCCAGTGTCTATAAAGTTTGATTGGAACACAATCACATTCATTTGTTTACATATTACCAATGAGTGCTTTTACACTACAGCATCAGAATTGAGTAGTTGCAGCAGAGACTTTACAAAATACTCTCTCTTCAGCTTTACACTGCTGTTTGATACTCTACAAATCACAGTGAGATACATATAATGTGATAGTGTTTGGAGTGCCATGCATAGCACCATGTTGCGACATTTTACTGTTTTTTATTAGTATATGGCCATCATGTCAAAACAAGAAAAGAAAAGTGGACTTTTAACATTACGATTTTTTTTGAAGCACTGTGGATAGGGGATTATTTTATTTTTGAGTTAGATGGCAAAGCATTGTTTATTATGCATTGATATGTTAGCTGTGCTACCTGTTTGAAAAGACATTTTCAAAGATGAATTATAAATCTCATTACATACAGTTCTATCGTATGGAAATGTAAAAATCTCGTTACAGATGGACATTAACAGATGAACATTTGCAATGTTAACTTTGAACCCCAATTAAACAAAGTACTATCCCTTGCCCAAAAGAAGTATTTTCATTCTTCTCATTAGTAAACCTCTCTTATTTAAAAAATTATACTCAATGATTACTACATTTTTATCTTAGTGAAAATTTTGTTGAGATTTTTTCCTCTCATTCTGTAACTACCTATATCCTCAATTTTGCCTCTTGGCCCACAAAACCTAAAATTGAAATATTTACTCTCTGGCCCGTAACAGAAAACATTTGCCAACCCCTGATCTAGTTTGCATGACCAAACTGGGAAATTAAGCTGCATTTAATTGTTCAAGATTATTTCATAAGAATTTATACTCTAAATTCTGTCTTTTTTGTAAATCTATCTTTTATAGGCATATCAAATTTTTGCCCTGTATGGGGGCAAATGATGCCCCATTTAACACAGTCTAATTTTTCACAGTAAACTAGGAAGGGCTTCATTTGACCATCAGAGCTGCTTGTATGTAAGCATATTAGGTCTCCTGCAGGTTTCTGTTGTTTGCTGTCTTGTGATACTAATCCAGAAAAATAAATACCAAGAGACAAATACCATAGTTGTTAATATACATTCAGTGTTTTCTATTTATATTTTTTATGCAGGCATTTATGTGATACCAAGTCTGGATTTCATCTTTTTAAAACCTATTTAAGAGATATTTTAAAAAGACCATGCAGGGGATTTTTTGTTGTTGTTGTTTTGTTGTTGTTGTTGTTTGTTTGTTTTTTGAGACAGAGTTTCACTCTTGTTGCCCAGGCTGGAGTGCAATGACGCACTCGGTTCACCACAACCTCCGCCTTCCGGGTTCAAGTGATTCTCCTGCCTCAGCCTCCTGCGTAGCTGGGATTACAGGCATGCACCACCGTGCCCAGCTAATTTTGTATTTTTAGTAAAGACAGGGTTTCTCTGCATTGGTCAGGCTGGTCTCGAACACCTGACCTCAGGTGATCTGCCTGCCTTGGCCTCCCAAAGTGCTGGGATTATAGGTGTGAGCCACCGCACCCGGCCCATATAGGGTCTTCTTAAAATATCTCTTAAATAGGGTCACACTGGATCTTTGAGTGCAAAAAGACAATTAATTTAGGTAATTATACTACAATTTGGGGACAGTGTCAACAACATTGTGGCTATTTAAACGTTTAAATACTGCAATATCATGAACTCCCTAAAACACAGAAATTAATTGCTCAGAATCATTTACTTTATATATGCCTTTTTAAATATTTTTTTCTGGCTGGGCACAGTAGCTCATGCCTGTAATCCCAACACCCTGGGAGGCTGAGGTGGATCGCTTGAGCCCAGGAGTTTGAGATCAGCCTGGTCAATGTAATGAGACCCTGTCCCCACAAGAAATTTAAAAATTATCCAGGTGTGGGGGTGTGTACCTGTAGTCCCAGTTACTCCGAAAGCTGAGACAAGAGGATCACTTGAGCCCAGAAGTTCAAGGCTACAGTGAACTGTGCTCTTGCCTAAAAAATAAAAATAATTTTAAAAAATATTTTTCTGATTATAAAAATAATAAATGTCTACTTGAAAAATACTGAAAATTGTAAAGCTTATGCAGTGGTTAATAACAAAGTCATCAGAAGATTATTATTTGTAATTTAGGCTATTTTCTTTAAGTCTTCTGTATATAGGTGGTTTTAATGAATATGCTAATCATTAGTATTTGTTTTCTTTTCTGTACAAAAGCTGTATTATAAAACGTAGAGTACACTCTTAAAGTGAATTTTAGGCTTGCCGTCTTAGTCTGTTTGTGCTGCTGTAACAAAATACCTGAGACTAGGTAATTTATAAAGAACAGAAATTTATTTTTCACAATTCTGGAGGCTGGGAAGTTGAAGATCAAGGCACCAGCAAGTTGTATAGTGAGGGCTGCTCCCTGTTCCAAAATGGTGCCTTATTGCTGCATCCTTCTGAAGGGAGGATTACTGTGTCCACACATGGTGGAAGGGACGAAAGGCAAGAGAGGGCAAATCTCTGAAGCCTCTTTTATCAGAGCATTAATCCATTCATGAAGGCAAAGCCATTATGACTTAATCACTTCCGAAAAGGCCCCACTTCATAACAATGGGGGTTAACTTTCCACATTAATTTTGGAAGGGATTCGACATTCAAACCATAGCACTTTCTATGTGAAATTTATGTTATATTTTAGAGGTATCTTTTGATGGAATATATTTTATGAGATAACCATAGAAGTCAATAGGCCCATTCATTCACAGACTTTCAGGAAGTATCCTAAATCTTGATAAAAATCTGTCGCACAAAGAATTTCATGCCTTTGAAAGCTTTAGTATATATATCCATTCCTTCACAAAGATATATTGTCACCTGTCTAGGCATTTGGAACAGAGACATAAGGTGTGTTGTTTATGCCTTGGATACTTGGTGTAGGGAAAACAGAAAAGTAAATACACTGTCATAGTCCTATCCCTACAGAACTGTATCTGAGGCAAGAACAGAAGCTCTGGAAGGACAGAAGAGAGAAGCCTAGCCTAGACCAGGGGTACCAGGGAGAGCTCTGAACAACCAATGACTGTGTTGCCTCCTGTGGGGCGAAATGTTCACTGGACAGAGAGTGACACTAAGAAGCAAACGGGAGGCTGGGCACAGTGGCTCATAATCCTGACTTACAGGCACAGTGGCCAATAATCCCAGCACTTTGGGAGGCCAAGGAAGGCAGATCACTTGAGTCTAGAAGTTCAAGACCAGCCTGGGCAACATAGTGAAACCCCGTCTCTACAAACAATACAAAAATTAGACGTGTGTGGTGACACATACCTGCAGTCCCAGCGTCTTGGGAGGCTGAGGTGGGAGGATGTATTGAATCAGGGAGGTTAAGGCTGTGGTGAGTTGTGATCACACCACTGCACTCCAGCCTGGGTGACAGAGTGAGTTGCTGTGTCAGAAAAATAAAGGCAGCAAAGGGGGCAGTGCGTGCAGATTCCCAGAGCTGAGAGAGAGGAGGGCATATTCAAGGAAATAATTATAAAGTATGGCCAGGGAGTGGTATAGATGGGACAGGGTATGAAGAGTAGTGATGCATGAGGGCTACAGAGATGAGTAAATGCTACCTACGTGCCAGAGATGTAGGTGCTTTTCCATATTTCTTAAATATTATCCCATGGATTGTAAGATCATAATGTGATTCATGAAGCCTGTCCAGAGGAAAACCTAATTTCATGTGCCTTGGGAACTTTTCCTAGGAAAACTGATCTGCTCTGTCCCACTCTTGACTGCTAGCATTTCTGAGGCCTGTTCCTCAGGTAGTGCTTTGGACAGGCTGAAGACATTGGAGGCAGCACAAGTTGCCAAATAAAGTTTGGCCAATAGGGAAGAAAAATTGTCTATATAGGTGTTGATTTCAGATATTGGAGAGTTAGTAGTAATGAGAAAAATACATTTTATAAAACTTTATGGTATAAAGTGAATTGCTTACCACTT
This sequence comes from Homo sapiens, assembly GCF_000001405.40. Classification (NCBI taxonomy): domain Eukaryota; kingdom Metazoa; phylum Chordata; class Mammalia; order Primates; family Hominidae; genus Homo; species Homo sapiens. Next base: position 182,878,180 of record NC_000003.12, read on the forward strand.
ATAGCTACAGTACAACACAACAGTGATTAGGCATACTATGAAAGACATTGCTTTAACTTACGAAAGTTTCTTATAAGACTAAAATCTATCAATATATGTTTAGCTTTTATAGTGTGCTCATTTAATAGTCTTCTCACTTCTTATTTTTAAGTGGAGGGATAGTTCTCAGCAGAGTCTGATATTCTGTGAACCTTCGGTATTTTCTTGTGGTGTATATAGCACAGTGCTACACTGAGTACTGGCTTTCAGCAACATAAAGGAGCTTACATCAAAATGTAAATCTAGGTATACTTCCTTCATCAAGAAAGTATTATTACCAAAGGAGAATTGTGGGGGGAAGCAGTTTAATAAAATAGTGTGCTTAGTGATTTTGTTGATTTACATTCTGGTGTAGGCTCCTTATCTCTTCCTGGCAACAAATAGTTTGCCCACTTTCCAGCAGTGAGACTGTACTTGGAGTAGCACCTACGTAGCATATGCCCACATGTGAGGTGTTATCCATGTTCTACCATAGTAATATCTGGCATTACAATCCATCATCGGTTTCCTATTGCAAGACAGTGCTGTTCCTTCATTCTTTTCCTTGCTTGTTATGCATATCGTGAATCTTGCTCATGGGTTTTCCTGAACATCTTGATTTCATAGAGTTTTTTTTTAATTAGGATTTGCTGAATGTTTAAATAATGTTTCGATTTTTGTAAGACTTTTCATCTAATTTGGGAGAATATCCTCAGATTATGTATTACAATTCACATTTTAGAAAATATAATTACTGTATCTATATATCAGTTCATTGTAAAATTGAATATTAGGCTGGGCACAGCGGCTCACACCTGTAATCCCAGCACTTTGAGAGGCTGAGACAGGCAGATCGCTTGAGGTCAGGAGTTTGAGACCAGCCTGGGCAACATAGTGAAACCCCATCTCTACTAAAATAACAAAAATTAGCCAATCATAGTGGCTCATGCCTATAGTCCAAGATAGGAAGCTGAAGCAAGAGAATCACTTAAGCCCAGGAGGTCAAGGCTGCAGTGAGCCACTATACTCCAGCCTGGGTGACAGAGCAAGACCCTGTTTCACAAAAAAGAGAAAGAAAGAAAAATTGAATATTATCTGTTTTACTCATCAGTGACTCAATTCTGCTTAATTTTAAATTTAAGGTAGTAAAACAGTTTGTTTCCTGACATAACAGTCTTGTAACAGTAAGGGCTGTGGGTAAAAGATCCATCTTTCAGTAAGAATGTGTTGTTCTATATGAGTGTAAATAATATGGCTTCAAAGTATCTTACAGAGAATATAATTATTTTCTCTTTTAGAATTACAGAGGATCATGTGATTCAGCATGGGCTGGTAGTGGATGGGACCAGCCTATCTCTTGCACTCAGGGAGCATGAAAAACTATTTATGGAAGTTTGCAGAAATTGTTCAGCTGTATTATGCTGTCGTATGGCTCCACTGCAGAAAGCAAAAGTATGTATATATGTTATAAAAAAGTCCCATAAAGCTATTTAGATATAAACATATTATTTAAAGTTAATGCCTTACATAGTTCCATTTGGTGATGTGCAATATATACATTTTGCTAGGAGTCAGTCACATCTCATGTTGTAAATTTTAATCATGTACATCAGACTTTTGGAATTCTCAGAGTGAGTTTCAACTATTCATAGTGACCCAGAAAACCTGTGATGAGTAGCAGTTTGTGATCTTGCAGAAATTAAACTGTGATAACTAATGTTTCGCAAGTTAGCTACTTAGCGAGTGAAGGAGCCTAGGAGACATCAATTATTTGCACCTTCAGATGGTTCTGTTGATCTCCGTTTATTCTTGCATTCTCATGAAGTGATAATTCTTTGTTACTTTTAGCTATAAAGTGATAAATAGAGCTTTAGTATAAAAAGTTGAAAAGCCAATTAACTTGTAAAGCTTATATATAGGAAATATTTAAATTTCAGCTACCTATGTGATTCAAGTGAAAGCCTATATAAACATTTTTTATAATTCTAAATTTGGAATTTGAGATCTTAGACTGTTTTTCACAAATATCCTTTGCAGTGCACATCTAAATACTGATTATTTCCCATATAGGTCTAATAAATTAAACGTCTAAGTTTTTGGGCTTCCTGGAATTTTGTTACAGTACTGATACTATGACAATTCATGTACCCCAGTCTATGGAGACTAAAACTGGAGACCAAACAGAGCAAATACCCAGGTTCTTTATAAAAGTACATTCAAGAATTCCAAAGAAATATTTCTTTTGAGTTCATTGAATTTAATCTTGATTGATTTTTTTAAAGTCTTAAAATTTTACTACAAGAGGAAACAATTATTTCTTTCATATCAAATGAAAAAATAATTTCTTAAGAAAAAATTTTGCCTAACAGTTCAATTAAGTAGTCATTTTTTACACAATTACTATTAAACCTTCTAAATATTTAAGCTATATTTAAAAGATTCTTGTTTCTCATCATAAAATCCAAAGATAATTCTCTGTTTTATTATAACATTTCTGAAAGACATCTCTAAAATCTTAATGGAGATACCCTCAAAAAAATGAACCTGCATATTATTGTCTAATAAAAAATTAAATATTTCTTTCATTAGTGTTCTTACTATAGTCATTTCAGATAAATGACTATATGAATGCAAGAAAATTGAACTTGCGTCATAAATAACCAATTCATTATGTCTTTCAGGTAATAAGACTAATAAAAATATCACCTGAGAAACCTATAACATTGGCTGTTGGTGATGGTGCTAATGACGTAAGCATGATACAAGAAGCCCATGTTGGCATAGGTGATTGATTCTTCCTGAAAAGTTTTTCCTGAACTTTTAAAGTTGGTGGTATTATTTGGTGGTTTTTAATTTTCTTTTTGTAGATTAAAGTACAGTATCAAATTTGTGAATGAAAATTGCAACATGGTAATAATATAGCACAGTGTGCCCCATCAGAAACTTACTATAATTAGGCCGGGCGTGGTGGCTCACGCCTGTAATCCCAGCACTTTGGGGGGTTGAGGCAGGCAGATCACGAGGTCAGAAGTTCGAGACCAACCTGACCAACGTGGTGAAACCCCGTCTCTACTAAAAATACAAAAATTAGCCAGGCGTGGTGGCACGTGCCTGTAATCCCAGCTACTCAGGAGGCTGAGGCAGGAGAATTGCTTGAACCCGGGAGGCAGAGGTTGCAGTGAGCCGAGGCTGAGGCAGGAGAATTGCTTGAACCCAGGAGGCAGAGGTTGCAGTGAGCCGAGGCTGAGGCAGGAGAATTGCTTGAACCCGGGAGACAGAGGTTGCAGTGAGCCACGATCGCGCCACTGCACTCCAGCCTGGGCGACAGCAAGACTCTGTCTCAAAAAAAAAAAAAGAAACTTCCTATAATTAAGCCCACTATTTAATATATTTTCATTCCAAATTTTAGTTTCAGATTTTAAAGGAAATAAATACCACATTAGTGAATTTTATCTTTGCCGATTATTTTTCATAATAAAAGTAGCTTTATTTTTACATGTCATTTTGTACCTTTTAAAGTACTTTCACATGTTATTTTATCCTTTTTAAATTCTAAATTTGTGATTTACATAGTTGCACTGCTGGTTCTTGTTTTAGAATCTTACCGTTACTCAGTGTATTTGTGCATCTAAAGATCCTACAGCGCATTTTAAAGATCATTATAAAGACAGGAAATTGTACTAAACTGCGATAAACACAACATCTCAAGTAGTTTTCTCATTTTAATAACCTTTATCCTTATTCTTTTCTATTTTTGCCTAAAACTTTTATTAGATTCAGACTGCTAATGTCATTTCATTATATTGAATTTATTAATCCTTTCCTTTTTAGCCATATACTCTTATTGTATAAATACAGAGCAAAATGAAAAGTGTGGGCATAGGATTTTTTATGGAAGGATAAAATTTGAGAGTTAAGCTAATTCCTGTTCTGGAATAGTCTCTATAATGTGCTGGATGGGAAGTTATCAGGTCTGATATTTTCTGTGTGCCTCTTAGATCAACTCCTTCCTCTTTCAGATAATTAATTCTTCATTTTGAAAACTTAATTCTCCTTCTAGTTTGTATACCGTTATTTTCCATAAATTTTCATAGCAATTTGATGATAACTTCCTATACCATACATTTAAGGCTATAAAAAAAATTACAGTATTTAAAACAGTTTAATTCTGTAATGATAACAGGCAGACCAGTGACTAGAATACATTCAAGCATCTGGAAATTTAGAATATAACAAAGGAGATATTTCAAATAAGTAGGAAAACAAATTATTTAGTAGAAAAAAAATGGATAAAACTGGTTAGTGATTTGAAAAAAAAAAGAGAAGTTGAGTCTCTTTCTATTATTTGTAACAAAACAAATTCAAGATGGATTAGGATTTAAGTAACTTATAAAGACCCTAAAAAGTAATAGAAGAAAATTTAATGAATAATTCTGTTATTTGCGGTATGGAAGAATCTTTTGAGGACAACACCAAAGCAAGGAACTATAGTTAATTATAGGGAAAAGATCATGCAGAGGTAAAAGCTCCCAAAACAAATTTTAAAAACAAAGGACAAACTAGTAAAGAATATTTGTAAAATAGATGACAAAGTTGTAATAATCCTGGTATACAAAGTATTAACAAATTAATGAGAATAAGAAAAACGTTCCAGTAGAAATAATATGGAAGGATGTGAGCAATCGATTGTTATGAAAGGAGAAATCTAAAAAGAATACTAAATGTATGAAAAAAATGTTTAGTCTCTCTAACATTCCAAGGAATGGAAGTTAAAATTGCCTGTCAGATTGGCATCCATTATAAACACTGATAAACCTGGAGTTGGTAAATGTATAGATTAACAAATGATCTTATACAATGTTAGTAGGAGCATAAATTGGTATACCCTGCATTATTACTCCAAACAAAATTTTAAAGTATGCCTATTGACATTGCAATTATGAATGCAGGAATTTCTTCTAGTAAAAAAAATTGAGCATGTTGATAAAGATGTACATTACAAGTATACATTTGAAGCAGTGTCCATAATCTGTTAAGCAACAAAAGCAAGTTGTAAAACAATCCTTTTTTTTTTTTTGATATAGAGCTTCACTCTTGTTTGCCAGGCTGGAGTGCAATGGCTCAATCTCGGCTCACGGCAACCTCCGTCTCCTGGGTTCAAGCGATTCTCCTACCTCAGCCTCCCAAGTAGCTGGGATTACAGGCACCCACCACCATGCCCAACTAATTTTTGTATTTTTAGTAGAGATGGGTTTTCACCATTTTGGCCAGGCTTGTCTCGAACTCCTGACCTCAGGTAATCCACCTGCCTTGGCCTCCCAAAGTGCTAGGACTACAGGCGTGAGCCACCACACCCAGCCTGAGCCACCGTGCCCAGCCTGAGCCACATTTTTATACGTGTTTTTGTATGTATGAAATACTTACACACACAGACATGAAATAAGCAGAAAGAAAATTTCTAAAAGAATGCAGACTAGGCCGGGCGCGGTGGCTCACGCCTGTAATCCCAGCACTTTGGGAGGCCGAGGCGGGCGGATCACGAGGTCAGGAGATCGAGACCATCCCGGCTAAAACGGTGAAACCCCGTCTCTACTAAAAATACAAAAAATTAGCCGGGCGTAGTGGCGGGCGCCTGTAGTCCCAGCTACTTGGGAGGCTGAGGCAGGAGAATGGCGTGAACCTGGGAGGCGGAGCTTGCAGTGAGCCGAGATCCCGCCACTGCACTCCAGCCTGGGCGACAGAGCGAGACTCCGTCTCAAAAAAAAAAAAAAAAAAAAAGAATGCAGACTAAAAACAGCAGTTTTCTCTAGGGATTATGAATACAGGTTTTTTTCATCGCTTATACATTTTGGAACACTTTCATCCTTTTATGACAAAGTTTTAGTTTTGAAAAATAATTTTTTTAAGTTGCTTCTAGATTGAAAATAAAAACTTGGCAATGACTCTTCTTCTCTTTTGAAACCTTAAGGATTATTGTAACCATTAAAAAAGTATTCATATTTATCAGAGGAAATGTTGCACTGATTTCAAATGATATTGCTTATTTTTAAAAATTTATTTATTTTAAATTCATATTTTCCTTTTAAAAAGTGCACTTTGACTTATTCATGGAAGTGTTAAGCAAACAAATGACTCATTTTGCTAAACTCAAATGACTCAATTTGAATATTTTTTATATTCAGTGAAAATAGTGAAGTTAAGTATTTTATAGCATTCTGTCCATCAGAAGTCTGTTACCCAGTACTTGTGCTTATTAGTGTAATAATTGATGTTCCTGCTAAATCCTTAACTTTCAATATTATTTTTTATATTGTATTTTATCTTTTTATATTCTAATTCTTTGGAAATTGGTGTTATGTGTCTGATAAATATCGTAGCCTTATATTAATTACATATTTAAGTAGAACAACCTTTTGGACATCTGCTATCTGCTGTATATTAGGATTTAATGTTCCTAAGTGCATGTTCAACTATTATAAATAATTAAGATATTTGCAGATTTATCATGAAAATTACAGTTATCAGTGAACATGTCTTTTGTCCCTTTTATTATAGGAATCATGGGTAAAGAAGGAAGACAGGCTGCAAGAAACAGTGACTATGCAATAGCCAGATTTAAGTTCCTCTCCAAATTGCTTTTTGTTCATGGTCATTTTTATTATATTAGAATAGCTACCCTTGTACAGTATTTTTTTTATAAGGTGAGTTTCATGTATTTAGAATCAATTATTGATATAGTAATATGAAGTTTCAATTTAAGGAATGTTATAACCTTATACATTTCTCTTTAAAATAGTTTCAATAAGTAAAAATAACAGTATTTTGTCATAAATCTATTCTATACTGACAGAAAGCAAATCAGTGGTTGCCTGGGGCCCAGGGGTTCCATGCAAATTAGAACATAGTACATTTGATATCTTTAAAGTTATTTTGTCCTGAACCAGCAATAAGTTTTAACACCAATATAATGGTTTTAAGTAGAGTTCTTAGCCTTTTTATGCCATGAATGACCTTTTAGTAGTCTAGTGAAATGTGTGAGCTCCTCAATATGGAGCTTTTATATGCATAAAATGAAATACATAGGGTTACAAAGAAACAAATTATGTTGAAATATTGTCCTATCTTTGGGTCCTTTGGTACAAGGTGGGAGTTTGCAGAACCCACATTAAGAGCCCCTGTTACCAATACATTTAATAACACCAGAGTGTACTATGTTGCATATATTTCTATAATTGATAACTACAATCCAGTGATAGAACACAAGTAGATTGCATATTGCTATAAGATGATGGCAGTTTTTTTCTAACTTATTTTTCTAGCTTTTACTTGTAATATGAGTATATTGAGATGGAAAGAAGTTTCGATAGTTTGATTTATTGTGTGTTTTAAACATTTTTGTGTTGTAAAGATATAGCCCTAAAGTTTGAGTAAATCTTACTTATTGTACTATATATGAAAAGTATTGAGTAATAGTTTGAAGGTTGTAAATTCAAAATTATAGTGTTGCTTGGCAGTGAGAGGAGTCAAGGGTTTTTTCATTCTGATGTCTGCACTGTTGCTTAGAATGTTTTTAGACATTTTTTGATAAAATGGGAATCCTGCATTCCTGTTATATATGGACAAGTCCTTATCCTTTACTTACCATACCAACTGAGATTGTTTTTGGACACTTTAACAGCCATTTTTTTTATTTTTTATTTTGTCTTTGAAACCTAAATATTTTAATTATTTTCCATTTAATCTTGTTTTTCAGAATGTGTGCTTTATCACACCCCAGTTTTTATATCAGTTCTACTGTTTGTTTTCTCAGCAAGTAAGTAAATAGAAACTTGTGTTTTGTGTTTTGTCCTTTTAGAGTAACGTATGTATGTTCAGATTTTGATAGACGTTTGAAGGGACTTTTTTCATTTTTCTTAGTCCTGCAGGGAACCAGACAGAACTTTTCTGTTTAGTATATTTAACCAGCATGACATTCAGAATATTTATTTATTCTGGTTTTCAGTTTGAGGTGAGTGTTAATACCAAAATGTAATTCTGGATGCTTTTAAAAATAGATAATAACCCTTAACAGCTTATGAGAGAATTTTGATAACTTATTTGTGATATTTCTGTAAAATCCAAATCAAGCCAGGCCAGATAACTTGGAGGTTCACCTCATTTTTATTTTTGATTCGAAATGTCTTAGGTTTGGAAGGAGCAGTAGTGATTTAGTCCAGGGATGGCATATAGGTTTTATCTCAGAAGCTACCTTTAAATAATTGATGGGGCACCTAGAGTATATTGAAAAGGTTTCTAAAGCTGCAGGCTCAGAGGGAAAATGTAATTTGTTAGCAATAGTTGTAATGGGCACAAGGTGGGTCTTTGTTTGCATGCATGTCACATATTTACCAGTCCTGATCTACTTTGTTTTAATTTCTAGAAAAGAAAAATGAAATCCACATAAATTAAGTAACTTGCCTTGCTAACTTAATGACTAAACCATAACTTTGACCTACTGCTTCTGACTAATGTGGCAGGCACCCTTTTTACATACCATACTATACATCTCAAATTGATCAAGACACTAGTTCTAATTTATTGAAAAAACAAGAGCTTAATTATCTTAACTTTTTCATGAGTTTTTCCTATTCTTAATTGCTGTTTTATCCTGTTTACAACCTGTAACTCTAAATTCCAAATATTTGCTTGGGCATTGATTACCGATAAAAGTTTGTTTACCTAAATGAACTAAAGAATATGCTAAGACAATACGACAAGGAAAACTGACCTATTTTGATTAGGTTTTCTGGAGAGTTTATAGTGTAATTTGGGAGGCAGTATTAATAACAATAAAAACAATATGTAAAGCATAGGCAAAGTGCTAAGTGATTAGTACCAACAGTGGTACCTGTGACTGTTTAGAGGAGCAAGATATCGTTAAGGACTTAAGCCATTGTGCAGAGTTTCATGGAAGAAGATAGTCTTGTTCAGTGCCTTAAAGGAAGTGTAGTGTGTAGACAGGGAGACAAAGCCATGAAAGGTAAACTGTATGTGTTGCATGTGGAAGGAGTAGTAAGATGCCTGGAATACATGGAGGAGAATTATGTAAAATTACTTCACAGTGATCAAATTGTGGAGAACCTTGAAATGTTGATCTAACTCACGATAATTCCAGAAGCACCTGATATAGCAAAATATTCCAGTTCTCACAAAGAATATCAACCTAGGAACATTATATGTTTATGTCAGTATTAAAAACAAATTAGAATTATTTAATTGGAGTTACTAAAATGGATTTCAGTATAAATTTTTAAAACTTTAATTTTGTTTTTAATATGCATAGTTGTCATATGCATAATAGTAATGCATAATTCAGAAACTCAACATTCCTACCAATTTCTCTTTCTAGACATTGTATGACAGCGTGTACCTGACTTTATACAATATTTGTTTTACTTCCCTACCTATTCTGATATATAGTCTTTTGGAACAGCATGTAGACCCTCATGTGTTACAAAATAAGCCCACCCTTTATCGGTAAGTATTTTCTGGTATTAAATGGCCTTATCAGTTTTTTTAAGTAAAAAATAAGCAGATTTATTTATGTCTTGGTGATTAATGCTTTACTAAGGAAAGTTCTTTAGTTGTCGTATGATTTACAGTTGTTGAATATCAGAGAAAAAAAGGTTTCTTTCAAAGAGAAAATTGGAATAATTTTTCCGGTGTTTTTTTAAGAATGAGCACTTTCATCCTGGGAATGCACTGGGCAGTTGTGTAATTTGCACTTACTCTCGCAAACCAGTAATATTCTATTTCGTGTGCACAAAAGAAGTTATTCATAATTGGTAGTCTCTAGAATTCCTAAAAGTTTTTTTCTACTATTAGCGAAATTTATGAGTAATAATTAGTGCAAAATCCAGAGGTGAGGACATTAATTCCCACCCCAGATTCTCTGCTTTATTCCTGCTTCCCCAGAACCAAGTAATCACAGAGATGTGATTGGGACCTGTTCCTCAGGACCAGCTATGGTATTCACCATAAGCTCTTATAGAGATAGCTATTGAAGTACCACTTATAGAGTCATCTCATTATCTAAATTTGGATTAATTTACTTCAATTCCTCAGGTTATCTAGGACAGGGCTTGACCTAAGATTGGCATAGATTGTTCTTCCCATAATAGCTATTATTAGAAGGGAAGTTAGGAGCATCAGTGCTGAACCTAACTCAGATAACCTCACTAAAAAGAGACCATTATGGCAGAGTGACTGAATGTTAACAGAAGAATATAATAACAGATAAATCAACTTTTCAAAATTAAAGTGAAGTATTATGCCTATGTCATATTTCTTTTTTTCTTTTTTGAGACAGGATCTTGCTCTGTCACCCAGGCTGGAGTGCAGTAGCAAGATCGTAGCTCACTGCAGCCTCAATCTCCCAGGTTCAAGCAATCTTCCCGTCTTAACATCTGGAGTAACTGGGATTACAGGCACACACCACCATGCCTCACTAATTTTTTAAACTTTTTATTTATTTATTTATTTATTTATTTTAGTAGAGACAAGGTTTTGCCATGTTGCCCTGGCTGGCTTCAAACTCCTAGTCTCAGGTGATCCTCCTGCATTGGCCTCCCAAAGTGTTGGGATTACAGGCATGAGCCACCATGCCCAGCCTATCATATTTCTTTTTTTTTTTTTTTTTTCCTTTTGAGAGAGAGTCTCAGTCTGTCGTTAGGCTGAGTGCAGTGGCGTGATCTTAGCTCACTGCAACCTCTGCCTCCTGGGTTAAAGTGAGTCTCCTGCCTCAGCCTCCCAAGTAGCTGAGACTACAGGCGCGTGCCAACATGCCCAGCTAATTTTTATATTTTTAGTAGAGACAGGATTTCACCATGTTGGCCAGGATGGTCTTGATCTCTTAACCTTGTGATCCGCCCACCTTGGCCTCCCAAAGTGCTGGGATTACAGGCTTAAGCCATCGCACCCAGTCTTCCTATTTCTTTATCAAATGAAGAAATATGTTTGAATGTAGTATGTGAACTATAAGCTATTAAACAGATGTATGATATTATAAGCAGTGGTTTATAAATTTGGATTTATTTATTCTTTGTGCTAATATTTTCAAGCAATTTTAAATTAAAAATCTATCTTGTTTTTTAATTATCATATTATATTAATTGTTTAGTGGGCAAATAATAAATGATCCCTAATATGTTTCTTTTTCTCTTCTTTTTAACAGAGACATTAGTAAAAACCGCCTCTTAAGTATTAAAACATTTCTTTATTGGACCATCCTGGGCTTCAGTCATGCCTTTATTTTCTTTTTTGGATCCTATTTACTAATAGGGAAAGATACATCTCTGCTTGGAAATGGCCAGGTAAAGTATATAGTTTTTTTAAAGAATGCTTGTTAATATTTTATGGGTTTTTTATAGCTTTTGTCATAAAGTAAAATTTAATTTAAATTACAGAACTTCAAGTATTAAAATGCAAATATAAAAAGGTTTAAATTTTGTGGTTAAATAATAAAGTTTCATACAAGTGAAAATTGACAGGCAATACAGTGTAATCTCGAAATGAAACTCAAGTTACTAGACAGTTTTGCTATTCAAAAATTAGCTCACACAGGGGATATGTTATTGCCCCTGCATGCTCTTCACCTTAGTATTGTGTTTTATTGATAGCTGCCATTTATCTGGTACTTACTTTTGTGCTAAGTACTTTAATATGCCCCATCTCCATTAGTCCTCCCAATAATCTTATTAGAGAGGTATTATTACTCCCATTTTTCAGATGGCAAATGAGGACTTAGTGTTTGTTTGCTTTTAATTGCATTGTTGTTTGCCTAGGAAATGCTACCACATTCTTCATTGCACACTCACAATTCTAAATAGATGTCATAACTTACTGTTTAATTTGGCCACTTTTCCGAAGCATGAAATTAGGAAAGAGTGCATTTTAAACAGTACACTGTTACACTGTGTTCTGATTGGAGTGCTCATGTTGAGAGACTCTTGGCAGAGCTAGACCTCTCTTTCGGGGCTTAACTAAATGGGTTAGGAAGGAAAGAAATGACAGCAGTGGTAGGGACTCTGGTGGACTGGAAATGGTTGTCACTCTTAGTTTCCCTTTTCCATTCCCATCACTTAAGTATTGCAAAATATGTTTGGAGATACAGACATACAAATTTGCAATTGGAAGAATATAAAGTTTTATCTGCTCAACAGATCTTTATTGAAGGCCAGCTATTCCCAAGTACTATACTAGGCTCTGGTAAGTAACTTGGTCATGGAGCTTAGAATCTTGAAAAGGATACAGAAAATGAGCAAGTAAACTAATAACAAAATACACCGGTGTAATAAAGGAAATGGGTTTCAAATGTAGAGGCCTTAACCTTGCAAAATCCCTTTACCTTATAGAGTAGGGACATAAATATAATTGCCACTTCACTTTTGAGGACATATTTAGACTGATGTGGATGAAAATATGAATCTTGTAGCATAAAGGTTACAGCACTTCCCAAATAATAACTACCTTTTGTTGAGTTTGTTTCTCTATGCCTGGTACATTACATGCATTTGCTCATTAAATCATAACTCTGTATGAGAAAAATATCATTATTAATTTTCGCATGTTAGAAAATTAACCTCAGAGAGGTTAAGAAACTTGCCTAAGTTCACACAGTAAGCAAATTACAGTAATAGAATTCAGACTCAGATCTATCTGACTTTAAAACCTACATGCCTTTAGGAGATATACCTAATGTAAATGATGAGTTAATGGGTGCAGCACACCAACATGGCACATGTATACATATGTAACAAACCTGCACGTTGTGCACATGTACCCTAGAATTTAAAGTATAATAAAAAAAACCTACATGCTTAGTCATGATTCTCAATTCTTCTGAGAAACAGCTGTTAGCCTGGTGCCCTTCTGCACAGTCTTACCATCAGTGCAAGTGCCACCAAATATATAGACATATGAGTGAGTATGCTCACTTCCACCTGAAATAGTGGGGTGAAAACCGGACAGAATTAAGAGGGGAGGAGAGTTAAGAAGAAGGAAATTTGGATCTTCATCATTGGATGAAAAGGATGTTAAAGATCTTGTATTGCTAGTCACTACTTTTTTTAATTTTTAAAAGTAATATGTGCCCATTGTGATAAGTTTGAAGTTAGTAGGAAAAAGTATAAAGAAAATAAATCACATGGTGGCCCTCTACCCAGATATTATTACTTTTATTATTTTTACATACTTGTTTCAATTCTTTTTTGCTATTTTCATTAACCTCATAATTTGTATCCCCTTATTTCTTAACATTGTAGCCTAAGTGATTTTGTATGTTATTAAAAATGCTTCAAGAACATTTTTCATGATTACGTAATACTCTATTACATTGTCATAATGTAAGTATTCCCTTAATTTGAGGATTTGTTTCTAATTTTTAGTAACTTTTTAAAATAAAATCTTGAACATTCTTTATACAGAAGATAAAACCTTGAAGGATAAATTGTTATTGGCCATTAGTATAAAAGCTTTTTTCTCTTTACTGTCTATTGAAATTAATCTGCCACTCCCTACCTCCAATACTAGGTATAGTAGCAAAGCAGCACATGTTAGAATCAGAATTGGATTCATACCCTGGCATCTGTAGTCATCGTTTGAGTGATTTGGGATGAGTTAACCTCTCTCAGACTCAGTTTTCTCACCTGTGAAAAGGCACATAATCCCCACCTTATAGGTTTGATGTGAGGATTAAATGACATATTATTTGTAGAGCATTAAGCATAGTGGCTAGCATATAGAAGTATTCACTACGTCTTAGCAGTGTTCATTGTTATTTTTACTATTAAGTCATTATATTGGAAGATCATGTCCTACTCAATCCCACCCGGTCTAATTCTCCCAGAAACTCTCTCTTAACTGTGAAAATCACCTTGCTGGCTCTCAGAATGTGCCATGCTAATCTCTAATTCTAAAACATTGCTTATGTTCCCTCTCTAGAATGCTCATGCTTCCCTTTCCCCAAGATTCCCTCACCACCACCTATTCTTCGCAGTTGAGCCCACAGACGCCTTTCCTGTTGGTCCAGCTCCCTCTTATGTGTCCCTGTGCTAAAAATCCTTTTAGACATCTGTCTAGGCCGCGTCTCATTGCTTAGCACTGAGTTTGTTGAATGCTTCCTGTTTTCTAAATATTGTTATTGCATGCCCAAGTTATCAGTAAACAATTGAGGGCCTAGAGCAGAAAAAGTTACTAGAGGGAAGTGCTGAGAGGAGTGACTGGAGGCAAAGATGAAGTCATTGCAAACCAAGTGATCCTGGGAGAGGAGCAGGAGGAAGACTTGTAATAGTTTGGGTTTAAGGGTAGAACAATTCAGGGAAAGTTAAGACTTTATCCCTTTTTTTTTGTATTAGGGTCTAGCAATTTTATGTTAATTAATTTTCAACAAATACTTTTGAAGTATTCACTAATTCTTTCAGTTTAGCTTAGGAAAGAACTAGTCATTCTTCATGTATTTATCTCAAATCTTTTTAACAGGCCTTTCTTTCTCTTAGTAAAGTATAAGTCTTGATCAATTTTCTCTAAGATTTGGAAAGACTGGAAGAATGTGTATGACCTGCCTGAGTTCCTGTCATGTGTGTCTCTAAAACTGCTTTTCCATGGGTACATCTTTACCTTCAGAGCACTATACAAAAGATATTCCTTTACTATTACTCCTTAATGAGTTGCCAGAGAGCAAAAATAATGTTAATGAGAAGGCTGAACTAGTGACTAATTTTTAACTTTGTTTTTTTCCTAAATAGTAGAAGAGTTAATCTCTCACATAAAATTTGCCTAGCCCTTATCCAGTCTTAAAGTAGTCACAGTATTTGAATCTAAGTATTAGTTAAAAAGTAGGGCTTGTCTTAATAATACAGTAGTATTGTCTTACCATGGACATTTGTCAAGAAGTCATAGATTAGTAATTCACTGAATATGTTGTTTGAGTAATCTTTTTATTTTTTAAAGTTAAAAATAAGCTTAAGACTTTATTTTCTTGTTTAGTTTTTTTATTATTTACTTTTTTTTTACATGAATAAGTTCTTCAGTGGTGATTTCTGAGATTTTGGTGCACCCAAGCAGTGTACATTGTACCCAATGTGTAGTCTTTTATTCCTCACCCCCTCCCACCCTTTTCCCTGAGCCCCAAAAGTTCATTGTCTCATTCATATGCCTTTGCGTCCCCATAGCTTAGCTTCCACTTATGAGTGAGAACATAAGATGTTTGGTTTTCTATTCCTGAGTTACTTCACTTACAATAATGGTCTCCAATTCCATCCAGTTTCCTGTGAATGCCATGATTTCATTCCTTTTTATGGCTGAGTTGTATTCCATGGTATATATGTATACCACATTTTCTTTATCCACTCATTAATCGATGGCCATTTGGGCTGGTTCCCTATTTTTGCAATTGCAAATTGTGCTGCTATAAACATGGGTGTGCAAGTATCTTTTTTGTATAATGACTTCTTTTCCTCTGGGTAGATAGAAGGAGTGGGATTGCTGGATCAAATGGTAGTCCTACTTTCAGTTCTTTAAGGAATCTCCACACTGTTTTCCATTTTGGTTATACTAGTTTATATTCCCACCAACAGTGTAAAAGTGTTCCCTTTTCACCACATGCATGCCAACATCTATTTTTTTATGTTTTTATTCTGACCATTCTTGTAGGAGTAAGGTGGTATCACATTGTGGTTTTGATATGGATTTCCCAGGTAGTGATGTTGAGTATTTTCTCATGTTCATTGGTCATTTGTATATCTTCTTTTGAGAATTGCCTATTCATGTCCTTAGGCCACTTTTTGATGAGATTATCTTTTTCTTGCTGATCCGTTTGAGTTGCTTGTAGATTCTGGATATTAGTCCTTTGTCAGAAGTGTAGATTGCGAAGATTTTCTCCCACTCTGTGCTTGTCTGTTTACTCTACTGATTATTTCTTCTGCAGTGCAGAAGCTTTTTGGTTAATTAAGTCCCATCTATTGATCTTTGTTTTTGTGAGCTTAATACTTTATTTCTGTAATCTGACAGGGTCAACTTTTTTGTAGTTGCTTTTAAACAGAGCTTCATAGAAGCAATTCTCCTGCCTCAGCCTCCCCAGTAGCTGGGATTACAGGCATGGGCCACCACGCCAGGCTAATTTTGTATTTTTAGTAGAGACAGGGTTTCTCTATGTTGGTAAGGCTGGTCACGAACTCCCAACCTCAGGTGATCCGCCTGCCTCGGCCTCCCAAAGTGCTGGAATTACAGGTGTGAGCCACCGCACCCAGCCTGTAAGCTCATCTTCAGCCAGATCTCCAAAATGCCTTTGCCACTCACATTATCACCTACCAGCTCAAGGGCAAGTCAGAATGGAAAGAGACAGCAGTCTTAACCAGTTGATTACAGTTGAAATACATTACTTCGTATAATTTTACCCACAAAAAGCTATGTGAATGCTTTTGTATGGCTTCTTCTAGGACCTTGAATGGGGCCTATGCAAGAGGAAGCCCTAAATCCTCCTCTAAGGAAAATACCGTGTAACATACCCCAGTCTAGGCCCAGTAAAACCAGATACTGAAGGATGGACATGTCCTTACCACTTCCAGGCCCAGGTCCCCGGTTGCATCAAAGTATCTCTCCCAGCTGGGCACATGGCTCATACCTATAGTCCTAGCATGTTGGGAGGCCAAAGCAGGTGGATCACTTGAGCCCAGGAGTTCAAGATCAGCCTGGGCAACATGGTGAAAGCCCATCTCTGTAAAAAATACAAAAAAAAAAAAATTAGCTAAGTGTGGTGGCGTGTGCCTCTAGTCCCAGCTACTTGGGAGGATTGCTTGAGCCCGGGAGGTGGAGATTGCAGTGAGCCGAGATCATGCCATTGCACTCCAGCCTGGGTGACAGATGGAGACCCTGACTCAAAAAAAAAAAAAAAAAAAAAAAAGGAAAGTATCTGTGTCCATACCCATGAAAGAGGAGAATGGCACTCCTCCTGAGAGAGCTAAGTTGAGACCCACTGATCATCGGTATTTCTGGGTCATTTCTAGAGATGATAAAAGCAGACAGCAGACAGATAAGCACAGGTTCAGTATGACTTTTGATTCTCCTCTTGACAAATACATTCCCCAAATGCTCTCAAATAAAGGAATATTAATTGATGTTTCATTGTTGATAATCATAACTATTATTTACTGATTGCCTATTATATACCAGGTACCCCATTCTTTTTGTATACCCCAATTCTTATAGAAAACTGCGATTTATCCTCATTTTACAAATGAAGAAAGTGAGATATAGAGAGGTTAAGTAATTTGTTAAGTAAATGATAATTGTTAGAAATCTGTAATAAAAAACAGGCTTTTTATTAATTTTTTTGAACCAGTGTTAAGATAATGATTGTTAGGTTTGGAAGGGAAGGTGAGAGTTAAAGAAAGACACACACACAGAAAGAGGGCGGCTCAACAGCATGCAGGCTTTTTGTCTAGCATAAAACCTACAGAAGTCAGGGACCAGCCTAATGCCAGAGCCCACTGGCTGCTTACAGGCTAGGGTACTTACAGGTGTGGGCGGGAGGGGTCTGGGCAGTATGGCTCGCTGCCTGGCAGGATATTGATAAGATGTTCCCATGATGAGGCAGTTCTGACCCTTGTTCTGGCAGGATGTCTTCGTGGTGTTCCTTGGACCTTTATCCAGCAAGATACGATAGGGCTCTTTCTTTAGTGGTCAGGTGGTTAGGCAGGATGTTTCTCATGTCCCGAACCCCCGTGAAATGTTGCACTTTGACCAAGGTCTGCAAAATAGCAGGGAGCTTACAAAACGATGCAGTTTGGACTAACAATGATTACTTTGTAAACTAAATTATTAAACTTCTGGTTGTATTCTTGTAGAGATAAAATCCTGAAACTCTTTTGGGGTTCTGCGTGATTAATACCTTAGTAAGTTTTGGCTCTAAAGCCCAGGGGAAACTTTCTGACTGGCAATAACTGCATTTTTACATGGAATCCTTTGAGGAGTAATTCCATGATCCATTATCCTTCCTTTCAGATACAGGTTTTAAGTGTAAATTTCTTTTCTCCTGCTCTACTGTACTGTATCCAAAAATACCGTGGCATGTGCTCTGCTGTAACGTCTGGTTGGAAAGGTTTCTGAAAATACTTGTGATTGAAAAGGATTTTGTTACCATTTTTACTGTGCAACAGCAATAAAGCAGTCCCTAATGACTACATTATTCTAACTAAAAATAGTCTGTGCCACACCATTCTAAACCCATCTTTGGGTTCCAGTCTGATAATGATATCTAAAAGATCATTGTCTATAATAATAACACATGTAAATAATGCTTTATGCTGTTCTTCTCATACTTTTAACTTTATGAGTATAGTCACCAGTTTCAAATGTACCTGACTTAAATAATTCAAGGGATTTTTAGTAGAGAATTAAATGACTTTTTACCTGACATTTAACATTATGTTAACACGTAATGTAATAGTGTATTCTTTCTGTTTAGATGTTTGGAAACTGGACATTTGGCACTTTGGTCTTCACAGTCATGGTTATTACAGTCACAGTAAAGGTATGGTACTGAAATTAGAAATGTGGACACATTTTGCAACTGTTTACATAGTTAGTTAACTTTCTTCATTTCTTTAGCCATAGATACTTTCCCTTTTTCCATTTTCAATAACGATTAATTTCACTGGTTACTATTTTAATAGTTAAATTTTTGTCAAAAAATTATTTTTAAAGTTTATTATTTTGGGAAGCCTCAGCTGATATTTATGATCACATTTTTAAAAATCTCTAAAAATTTTGCTTCTCTGTGTATAGTGCAAGACAGCGTAATTTGTTTTAGGCCATGGAGTTGAAAATAGAGTAATCACATGAAATTTGAATGCTGTTTCCTCAAAGAAGAAAAACATTATAAACTTGAAATTATTTCATTTTATACTAGGACCTTTTCATTCATATTTATCTCTGAGGGATTTTGAGGGATTGTATCTGTCTTCTGAGAGACTTTTAGATACTTATGTTTATTCTTGAGTTTCATCTGAAAGGTTAAGGTAAAGCTTTATTTGTTTATATTTCTAAGGATATAAAAACTTTTTTTTAGATGGCTCTGGAAACTCATTTTTGGACTTGGATCAACCATCTCGTTACCTGGGGATCTATTATATTTTATTTTGTATTTTCCTTGTTTTATGGAGGGATTCTCTGGTGAGTGAATATATTGTATTTTAATTGGATTGCTTCAACTATAATAAACATTTATTGTGATAGGTTACATTATGAACATATTCTGCTCATAACAGATTTCAGACTCCTGGTAAGTTTACTTCTTCAGTTGATCTTACTGATATGGAGAGGAAAAAACTAACATTTATTGAATATCTACAATTTTTCTAGATTTTTTTTATATAAGATATTGATTCATCATAATAATGATCCCTGTTTTTTTCTGTGTAGAAACTGAGCCTCAGGATCACAAAGACAAAAAAGTACCAAAGCCAAGATTTAAACCCCAATTGTCTTATTTCACAATTTTCTTTACACTAGTTATATTATGTATTAATGTATTATGTGTTAATATATACAATAAAGTAAGTCACATAGAACCATTAAATATTAATCATTAACTTTTCTCACAAAAGTAAGTAGTATGCATCATCTTCATTGATAGAATCAGATATTCAACTGGCTACTCAGATAGATTAAAAATTAATGTTTCTCCTAAGATTCTTTGGTAAGTGATGGACAACTGAGGGCTCTCTTTTGGAGAATTTATATTACATTTGCCTGCTATGTCTTTGATCCATTTATCAGACAAAAAAAAGCTTCTGAAGGTAGGCCAAAAAAATTTGGATTAGCTAAATATTAACTTCTATTTAGGATCATAAAAGGATACTCTTATGAATATTTCTATATTTCACCATATTCTTTTGAGGTAGTATATACAAAAACCCAAAAAGAATATCTTTATAACACTTACTACTATGTAAAACTAGTATTCGTGAGTACATTAATTTTAAAATATGTTTTTGAAGAAGAGCCTCTGAATAAAGCTTTCATTCTAAGATTTGGATAATCGGCCTTCTAAAATATTTTATTACACACTTTTTCTTGCTTTACTTGGTCCCTTAAGTCTGTATTACTACATTATTCTTCTGATCCACTACCACTAAGATAGGGTTATCTGGTCAACTGCTTGCCATTTTCCTAATAAAAACTATAGTTGTTTTATTTTTAACAATTAAAGCTTATCTTGTTTTGTTAGTTCAGTTAATTAAATTATACTGATTTCAGTTTTGAACATTTTCTTGGAGTACTTGTTACTTTCAACTGTAGTGTCTTTATATGATGTCCTGATTTAAGTCTTTCAGTTTCCACTTTTATTAAGCACATTTTCTTTCTTTGCAGGCCATTTTTGGGCTCCCAGAATATGTATTTTGTGTTTATTCAGCTCCTGTCAAGTGGTTCTGCTTGGTTTGCCATAATCCTCATGGTTGTTACATGTCTATTTCTTGATATCATAAAGAAGGTCTTTGACCGACACCTCCACCCTACAAGTACTGAAAAGGCACAGGTAACCACTTTTTATAATAAATTCAATATCTTTTTAGTTAGGGATCTTTAATAATGAATAGCTGTCATTATAATTTGATTATGTCAGAAAATAGGAAATTAGCCATTCCTGTTTCAACTATTTTGTAACATAAACATTGTTCAGTGTGATATTTTTGAAGTTATTTCTTACTATTTCTATTAATTTTATGACTACTGATAAGTTATTTTTTTAATTACATTGTGTTGTTAATAAAACTTTATGTTTTTAGGTATGAAACTATCAAATTATATCCAGATAATAATAGTAAATATTTTTAAAGTAATATCACAGCATTCTATCATATATATATAATGAAGATCTATAGCCATGTCTTTAGAAACATCAGAATTTGAGTAATTTTTTTTTTTTTTTTTTTTTCCGAGACGGAGTCTTGCTCTGTCACCCAGGCTGGAGTGTAGTGGCACGATCTTGGATCACTGCAAACTCTGCCTCCTGGGTTCAAGCAATTCTCCTCTCTCAGCCTTGTGAGCTGGGATTACAGGCACCTGCCTCCACACCTGGCTATTTTTTGTATTTTTAGTAGAGACGGGGTTTCACCATGTTGGCTAGACTGGTCTCGATCCCCTGACCTCATGATCCGCCTGCCTTGGCCTCCCGAAGCGCTGGGATTACAGGTGTGAGCCACTGCACCTGGCCGAGTAATATTTTTTCTGATTATATTATTTTCACCAAAAAAGTATGAAATGAATTATTTAACCTAAATAATTTGTACAGAATAGAATTTTTAAAATTACATTATCTCACTAAACATTTATTAATAAATATTAAACTACAGCAAATATTAGCAGTATGTTACATAGTGCTTAAGAATCTTTGGGGCCTGATAGATCTCAGTTCAAATCCCAGGTCTTCCACTTGGTATCTCTGTGACTTTGAATCTCAGTTTCCTCATTAGTAAAATTATGATAGAAATACCTCTTCTGTTACCTTTCTAGTGAAGATTAAATGAAATAATTTCCAAATACTTAGTAGGTGCTCAAGGATAGTAGCTATTTAGTTGACTGTGTCTTTTTTATATATTTGACTAGTACGTGAGCTAGAAATCTCTCAGTTTGTCCTTTTAACTCTATCGTATTGGATAAATACTCTAAAAAATATATTCTAGTCAACTCTTATGCCCTGAGCTTATTAATCATTTAGTTCTTCCCAGGTTGAGATTTTTTAAACATGCTTGTAACATGCCAAATGAATTTTGGAAATTTAGTTGTATATTCATCCTACAAATAGAAAAACTACTTCCTAAACATTTGGTGATGTAAGTTAGGCTTCCTGACCAGTGCATTAGTTTTAATTTCAGTAGTTCGTGTCCACAACATTTCTTTAGTATTCATTTGCTTTGATAACCGAATCCTAGCCAATATACACATTCACACCATTGAGACAGCATAGGCCTGTGAAGCCTGACAAACTTGAATTCAGATATTGTTTCAACAGTTCATATCTGTGTCCTTGATCACTTCATAAGCCTCAGTTTCCTCCTCTATAAAATCAGAAAAATAATTGCTACTTTACATGGTTGTTAGAGATAACGAGTATGAAGTACCTCACACTGAGCCTGTATATAGTTGATCCTCAGTAAAACAGTTATCATTATAAGTAAAATGAGGTTGAGAATGTTGCTCTGTTATACTGATCTCCAAATGGGGCTAAAACAATTTGCATAATCTGATTCCTCTATCTGTCCATGCGTATATATTTATATCAGTGTGGACAGACTTTTCCACTCTGCAATATATTACTTAAATATATATCAGAAAGTTTGCCTATCTTATTATTCCTAATCTTCTGAAAAAAAAATTCACAATAAAAGAGTACTATTTTTAAGGCTTTGTCCATTATACTTACTCTAGATCTTTATGGAGAATAATTTGTCTCCCTGTTTTGACCTAAATACAGTTATATTTCACCAAAATATATGGATGGCATTATTTTAAATACTTAATTCTTGAGACCGGGTGCAGTGGCTCACACCTGTAATTCCAGCACTTTGGGAGGCCGAGGCGGGTGGATGGCTTGAGCTCAGGAATTGGAGACCAGCCTGGCCAACATGGTGAAAGCCTGTCTCTACTAAAAATTAAAAAAATAGGCCAGGCATGGTGGCTCACGCTTGTAACCCCAGCACTTTGGGAGGCCGAGGCAGGTGGATCACGAGGTCAGGAGATCGAGACCATCCTGGCCAACATGGTGAAACACCGTCTCTACTAAAAATACAAAAAAAATTAGCCGGGCATGGTGGCAGGCACCTCTAGTCCCAGCTACTTGGGAGGAGAATCATTTGAACCTGGGAGGTGGAGGTTGCAGTGAGCTGAGATGGCGCCACTGCACTCCAGCCTGGGCGACAGAGCGAGACTCCATCTCAGAAAATAATAATAAATAAAAATTTTTAAAAAGTAAAAAAATTAGCTGGGCATGGTGGCACACTCCTGTAGTCCCAGCTACTCAGGAGACTAAGGCATGAGAATCGCTTGAATCTGGGGGGCAGAGGTTGCAGTCCACCCTAGGCGACAAAGTGAGACTCCGTCTCACAAAAAAAAAAAAACAAAAAAAAAACCTTAATTCTTTATAAGAGTAAATATAGGTTCAGTATCCTTTATCCAAAGTGCTTGTTTCGGATTTCAGATTGTTTAAAATTTTAGAATATTTGCATTATACTTATTGATTTAGCATCCTTAATACAAAATCTGAACTGCTTCAATGAGCATTTTCTTTGAGCATCATGTCTGCACTCAAAAAGTTTCAGATTTTGGATTTTCAGATTGGAGATACTCAACCTGTAATCAGATTTATTTATATTTATCCTTAGAAATTCTACTTTAGGCAGAGCATTTGCAAACTTACATGTTTTCATAGATATTTCTTAATAATATAAAAGGTGATAATATCAGTTCTTGTTACCTTTCCTATAGCCTCTTTTTAAAGGAATACATAGGAAATATTTGGGCTACCTTAAGGTAGGCCATTAGACAAGTTAAAAGTGCTTTTATATATTTTGGTTCTTTCACTATAAAGCTAAAAATTGATTTAGTCTATTTGATTAAAAATGGAATGTACAGTGCATCAATCATTTTATCTATGTGTAAAAGCTAGTATAGTCTTCCTTCTTGGCTCACTAAATTTATTTCTAAATGACTTAACTGGATGTTCTAGGTGGTCTAATCCAAGAAGGAAGTCTCTACTTCTACTCAGGGATCTTCTAGCCTGCTGGGGTTGGTGTGTTTTTTCCTTTCCTTTTTTTTGCTGAAACAGTATATGGTCATTGAAATCCTGTATGTAACATTATTCCTTTGCTACAGGCAGTAGTCGTTATTTTAGCTTTATGTCATTCCTGATTTCAAATGATGGAGAAATGGCTAGAAAGCTATCAGCTACTTCATTGTTTACCAAAAGTAGCAGGAAAAACCATATCAAAGGAAGAGCTGTCAGCATGTTTTCTGAGCCTTGTTTTTCTCCAGAGTAACAATGTGGTGTTAAGAGTGAAGAATAAATTCTTTTGATGGCACAGCCAACAGCCCTACAAATGTTAGTCATGTATGTGTATCACGTATGATATTTACTCCTCGTGTAGGAACAGATGTATTTACAAAGCTTGTCCTGTGTCTGTCTCTTAGGTGATGAATACAGCTCACTGACTTGTTGTGTGTCCATCCCTTTTCTGTCCACTTATAGATGTACTCCAACACAGTTGCTTTAAGTGACGAGTTCATCGCACTGCAGCCATTGTCGAGGGCAAGGAATCAGCTGAGCAAACTTAGGTAGAGTAGGAGGAGTAGAGCCTCATTAACTCTTCTGCATGCTAAAGGTCAATTAAACAATATCAAAAGATGGGCAGAGGCATAAATAAAGAGCGGGGCATTTTTGTTAGCATGGCCCTGTCTCTGAATAATTTGACCTTTATTAACATATACGTTAAAACCTAAAAAAAAAAATCCATTTCTTCTTTGAGAAGAAAATTCAGATAAAAATTCAACGTGATCACAGAACAGAGATCTATACCTTGTTAATATATCTTTACACCTTAACTACCTTTTCTAGTACAATTCTAATGCTTCTGCTTGTCATGTTATTCATATTTATGAATGCTCCTGCATGTTGAGTAATTAAAGCTACATATTTGGAAGTGAGAGTTGCCCATTTTTTTTATCTTGCCTTAATCTGTATTGTAAATACATGTGCATATTTATGTTTGTGTATTGTAATGGCTGCTGAAGCATTTCATATCCTGGCTACTATTTAGTGCATCTATAAATCGAACAATGTGTGTGTATGTCTTATCTTTATCTCCACAGACAGATTCATTCTGTCAGTTTGTACAAAAAATAATAGTTTAGGGATGCCTTTTGATAAAAAGGGATGAAAGCTTAAATTCTAGAACTGTTTATATTAAGATACTATAACTATGTATTAAGTATGGTTTGAAGGGGAAAAGTAATATAAGTTATTATTTTTCTTTTTAGAAATTGACACTTTTCCATTTCTTGCCCTATTGGTTTCTTACAGATTCTTAATCACGTATTTTTTAAATTATTTTTTATTCTCAAGGTTTCTAATCTTTCTCTATGTTCATTTGAATTTTAAATTCTGTTTTATTCTCAAGGTTTCTAATCTTTCTGTGTTCATCTGATCAAATGAATGGCTTTTACGAAGCACCACTTAAATAGCCTTTTATAAAACTCTATGAGTTCATAATATTGAGCTGTTTAAAGATTTACTAAACCTTTCAGGTTTTTTATTATTAGCTTCAACTTTAAAAAATATTCTATTTCAAATTACAATGGTGTAATAATTACAGATGAGTATACAAATGGGTGTTTAAGTTGTAGTCAACTAAATTTTATATTTAAAATGAGAACTAAATTAAAACAAACTTAAAGATTTACCTTCACTTTTGTCTGAGCCAAATATGTGTATCACAATTTTATCAGTAGGTGACTTTAAAAACAGTGGCTTTCTATCACATTTTTGAGCATCTAATTGTTTAAAGCAAAAGGAGAGCTCATTATTTAAAAGCACACTCTGGCCAACTGTTTTGTCATATAAATATAACTTTCGTATTGTGACTAATTATATTTTTATGAAATCATATTTTCATATATCATACTGGCTTAAACCACTTTTTTTTAGCAAAGCTAGATTTAAGAATAATGGAGAAAGGAGATCATAAATCAAAGAAATCACAGATTCTGTAATACTCTAATAAAACAGTAAGCTGAACATTCATCTCTGAAAGATCACAGTGAGAACAGGATATTGGTGAGATGTTCTTTCTGCAAGCCACTCTCCAATCAGGTGGTGTAACAAGTGGGAAAGAACACTGTTGAGAGAGCGGCAGACCTGAATGCTGGTGCTGCAGTTGGTGCTACTCCCAGTGGGTCCTAACCAAGTCACTTCACCTCTGGGCCTCCAGGTTCTTCACCTGTCACATGATCATTTTACATATTGTGGTCTGTTTATTTACCATCAGCATCATAGAAGAGCAAAAAGAAGAAATACTGTGCTCCACTAAAAGCCAGGCTGAGAAAACAGTTACTCACATTGAGCAGTGAGTGACCACTAGGTGGGCATTTGTTCATAGCTGCATGGAGAACAAGTGCCCATATACATCTTTCTGCTGATGCAGCCTCTAAATTTTGAATGCATCAGTTTTTTAAACTGCATTGAGCAATATTCCGTGGGTGTGATCCATAATAGCGTAACTATTTACGCCTGTGACAGAGAGGAAAACTGTATGGATATCAGATATCTTTAAGAGCTTTTTAATCTTTAATCAAGTTAGTACTTCTTAAGGATGATTAAGGCCAGGCAGTGGCTCACACCTGTAATCCCAGCATTTTGGGAGGCCAAGATGGGTGGATCCCTTAAGGTCAAGAGTTCAAGGCCATCCTGGCCAACATGGTGAAACCCCATCTCTACTAAAAATACAAAAATTAGCTGGGGTGTGGTGGCAGGCGCCTGTAACCCCAGCTACTCAAGAGGCTGAGACAAGAGAATCGCTTGAAGCCAGGAGTTGGAGATTGCAGTGAGCCAAGATCATGCCACTTCACTCCAGCCTGGACAGCAGAGTGGGACTTCTTCTTAAAAAAAAAAAAAAAAAAAAAAAAGGATTAATTCAAAACTTATTAACAATTTTCTTTTGAATAAACAAAGCTCATTTTGAGTATTTTCTTTTCCCCTCTTCCCCTGTGTTATAGGCAAAGCTATTAAGGTATCTTCACATAAACTTAGTATACCCTTGAAACCAAAAAATTCTGCTTAGTTTTTGTTTATGTCAGAAATTCAGCATTGCATCTTTCATAGAAATAATTATTGGTCAGTCTTAATCCTGGAAAAATACATAGAGATGAGGCAAAATTGTTTTTTATTCATTAAGGACATTGTCTTATAATAAGATTTAAAATAAAGATGGCTATGGAAACATTTTAAACTTCCTTAGAAGATCTCTAATACAAATACAGAAAAAGAACTGAAATTTATATAAATTATTGACCCTCATTAAAAATCTGTTTCAAATTAAGGATTAAATTTCTTTTGTTAACAAATAGATCAGGTGAAGCCCTTTGCACACATGCTCAACATTTCTAAGGCCATGAAGTCCAGTTAGAGTAGAGAAGTCTTCTGAGAAGGGAAGCAGGAAAGGTGAGAAATTGGACATACCTTTTCAATAAGAACCCTAAATCTTGGTGGCAAATGAATTTAATAGAAGAAACTGAATTTTATTGAAAGAAATTTGGTTTTAACTTAGCTGTAATATATGTTTAGTTAGAGCTTCGTGCACTGAAAAATCATGGCTTTATTTTGTGTGCTTGTGTTCCCCTTAAGAAGTTCCCATTAGCCCTCTTTTGTGACAGTAAATGTACTGTTCTTTGAACATTCTTTTGTGCCTCAGATTGTGAATGCCAACTTGTTGCTTTGATCTTAAACCTCTATATGGTGAAGAGTATCATTCTGTAATATGAGACTTGTTGCTTTTCTGTCCTTCCAGATGGAAGAAGATAAGGGTTCAGTCAGCTCAGCATATGAATTTGCTGAAAGCCAGCACAGAGGGGAGGACAGTAGGCACCTGCTAGCTGAGGCTTGCAGCCAGCAGGACAGTTGTTGCGTGCACTAGGTAGTACTGCGCTGGACCTTCCCGGGCACTCATCCGCTAAGTTCTCATGCTTGGGGGGCATGTCATGGGACACCTGACCTGACATTTCCATTTCTTTACTAATTCCTTCACTGTTCCTCATATGTTGTTTTAGTTTCGTTGTTTTCCTTTTTTGTGGTCTTTACATTTTTCATATGTCCATCCCTGAAAATTTTGTCAATCTCTCTTTAGAGTTCCAAAGATAAATCAGACTTCACCTCACATTCTAAGCTGTGAAGATATTCTCACAACCTATTGTCTTACATTCAAGAAAATACTCCTTTTTACTTCTCCTTTTGAAAATGTCATGCTATTTCTGTTATCTCTGAAATCATTTTCCCCCTTGAAGTTGTAGTTGTGTATCATTTACCCATCTTAATATAGTTGGATACTGAATTACTTATCTAAGTCACCTCTTAAGTTGAATGATCAAAGAGTAGGGTGCTTAGACTTAGTACTGAGAAATTTTCTGCTGACTGCTGCTATTCAACAAACTTTCCATTCTTTTCATAAATTTTTTCTTTGAGACAGGGCCTCATTCCATCTCCCAGGCTAGAGTGCAGTGGCACGATCATGGCTCACTGCAGCCTCGACCTCCCGGGCTCAAGCGGTCCTCCCACCCTCGACCCCTCTCCCCCAGTAGCTGGAACTACAGGTGCATCCCACCATGCCCAGGTAGTTTTTTGTATTTTTTGTGGAGACTGGGTCTCGCCGTGTTGCACACACTGGTCTCAAACTCCTGGGCTCAAGCGATCTACCTGCCTCAGCCTCCCAAAGTGCTGGGATATAGGCGTGAACCCCCACACCTGGCTCATAAATTTTCATAGTTGTATCTGTTTTAAAAAAAAAAAAAAGAAGAAGAAGAAGAAGGCCGGGCATGGTGGCTCACGCCTGTAATCCCAGCACTTTGGGAGGCTGAGGCGGGTGGATCATGAGGTCAGGAGACCGAGACCATCCTGGCTGACACGGTGAAACCCCGTCTCTACTAAAAATACAAAAGCAAAAATTAACTAGGTGTGGTGGCGGATGCCTGCAGTCCCAGCTACTCGGGAGGCTGAGGCAGGAGAATGGCATAAACCTGGGAGGCGGAGCTTGCATTGAGCTGAGATGGCACCACTGCACTCCAGCCTGAGCGACAGAGTGAGACTCCGTCTCAAAAAAAAAAAAAAAGAAAGAAAGAAGAATTGATGAGAGCTTGATTTTCTCTTCTCTCGAGGAATAACCCTGACAACCATTTCGAGACCTAATAGGGATATGCAGAATATTTGGATTGGTAGTAATGATGGAGGATAAAATTTCCTGCCACTAATAATTGTATTATTTGGACTAATTGCTATTTTATTTATTGTAATTACTAGTCAAGAAAGTGCTGTTGTCTCATATGGGAGAAGCAGTGATGAAACTTTGTAACAAAGCCACTTGAAAATTGTAAATCTTTTAACCACACTATAAATCAGACCCTGGAACAGGTAGAATAATTTGAAGAATCTGGACTATTCTATAAGATACAGTTTTAAATTAGATTAGTGGATTACCCTAAATGAAAAATTAATCAACTCTGTTATTAAATATCATCAGTTGAAAAGATATTCAAAAGAATCCTGAATTTTTGTGTGTTTTGGTATGCTTCATATGATTATATTTACAGTATATTTCTGTTGCATTGTGCCTTGCTATAGAAAGATGTTTAGGCTTTTTTAATAGGCTCTGATTGAGCGCCAAAGAAAGCTCATGTGAAGAGCTTGCTGCTGCCTAGGATTTATGTTATGCCTTGGATAGTCTACAAAGCAGATAATCTCCTAAGACCTGACTAAAACTATAAAATTGTGTCCTCTGTAATAAAAGGTCCCCACACATTTAAGTTCTAGTGGATATTTCATATGATGTGGATCTGGTACTGCTTTGCTTTAATATGTCCATTAAATGTACAGTACAGCTGAGAATTGGGTTCTTAGAATGTTCCCATTAAATAACAGGAGCCTTATTATGGTGACTTTTGCCAAGGAATGATAAGTGAATTCTCTCTTACAGCCTGTGACATTAATTTACCGTCTGCATTAAATTTGGGGATTTTATCATTTTTCACAGGTATTAATTTCTTCCTCACCTAAATTACAAATTCCTAGTCATATGTTGTTATTTATGTAACCAGTAGAATACATTAAAACAAAAGGCCCTTAGTCCTCTTTCAAACTAAGAATAAGCCAGATTATTAAAATAAATTTACCGAATCAATATAATTCTCATATTATTATTTTCTTTTTTTTTTTTTTTTTTTTTTTTTGAGCTAGACATAGGGTCTCACTCTGCTGCCCAGGCTGGAGTGCAGAAGCACCATCTTGGCTCAATGCGACCTCCACCTCCTGGGTTCAAGCAGTTCTCCTGCCTCAGCCTACAGACGGGCTGGGACTACACACGCAGCTAATTTTTGTATATTCAGTAGAGACAGGGTTTCGCGTTGTTGGCCAGGCTGTTCTCAAACTCCTGGCCTCAAGTGATTCACCTTCCTTGCCTCCCAAAGGTCTGGGATTACAGAAGTAAGCCACCGCACCTGGCCCATATTCTTAGGTATGTAATACATACAGAAATCTCCTTCTCTTAAGAAATCCCTAAAAGACAGTATGGAAGTATTTTATAACAATCTTTCTAAGTTGTTTATTTTACTTAGAGGGAAGGAGAGAGGAAAGGGAGTTTAGAAGAGTGAATATGAGCTTGAAGAATGTTTTGGAGAAACAGGCCTTGAGTAAGATATACCAGTTACCCAGATTTCATCACTACCTGGCTATCTCCATTGCAGTTCTGAATTATGAGATGAAGCTCATTACTTGTTTTAGAGATTTTATGATTCTTAATCAGATTTGAAAATCAGTAACATTTGATGACTTGATTTTACATTAAAAAGAAAAACATTTCCTTAAACACAAACCTCTTCTTTTTTCATTTTTGTTTTTAAAATTAGAGTTTAAGCCTTCTTTCCAAATAACTCCTTGAAGGCCATGCAAGGTGCTCACTTTGATTATCCAGTATATAGAACACCTTTAAGGGCAAAAGACCTAGCATGGTTAATTGTTTGACAGTTATTATCTAAACTTTAAAAAACAAAAACCTTTATTTGATTTGATAGAATGTCATAGGTGTGACTAAAAAATGTTAGAAATGTGAGACATTTTTCTAAAATTTATAAGATTTAAGGAAGGTTGTAAGGTTTCAGGAAAATATTTTGTATAAGCAATAAGAAATGTCTTAGTGTTTATTGTCATTGACATGAAAATAATGGAAATAAAAGCAGTGAGCCAGAATTTATTTCAAAAGGCAATTTCTGTGAAGATGAGCATTTTTATTATCTGTGCATAGTCATGTTGAATAGACATAGTTGTTTTGCTTGACAGCCTTTCTAGCACTAAATTATGTGGTCATTCCTGGGAGCAAGTGTGGTGGAAAGTGAGGCTTACCAATCACAACTTCTAGTAAATTAAAAGTTACCTCTTGGTACCACTAGGTGGGGTCTCACTCCCATTACTATGCTTTTTTTTTCTTTTCTATTATTTAAAAGTGGTCTCCCAAAACATGTAATGATTTCCCCCAAAAATGTAATGATTTCCTCTCCTTACTTTGAATGAAATGGGCTCTAAATGCTCCACTCCCATTCTCCTCACCCAATTATACTGGCAACTATGTCTATACAGGTACTCTGGCCCGAGCTCCCAGTTCCTGAATATTGAGATCAAAGATGTATATATGGGAAAGTAGTAGAGCTTGGAGGTTTGCTAGAGAACAGTATAGCATTTTCTATAGATAGCTTTACAGAAACACAGCCAACATTCAGCATTTTAAAAGCAGCTGAGGCTGGCCACGGTGGCTCATGCTTATAATCCTAGCACTTTGGGAGGCTGAGGTGGGCGGATTGTCTGAGCTCAGAAGATTGAGACCAGCCTGGGCAACATGGTGAAACTTCATCTCTACTAAAATGCAAAAAATTAGCTGGGCGTGGTGGTGTGTGCCTGTAGTCCCAGCTACTCAGGAGGCTGAGTCATGAGAATTGCTTGAACCCAGGAGGCGGAGGTTGCAGTGAACCAAGATCACACCACTGCACTCCAGCCTCCAGCCTGGGCAACAGAGTGAGACTCGGCCTCCAGAAAAAAAAAAAAAAAAAAAAAAGCAGCTGAGTTCTTTTTTTTCTTTAGAGAAAAAAGGAAACATATACATACAAACTATATATTCACATATATATACACTTAGTTCAAAAAGTGATCTGAAGAAGTCATTTCTTAAAATTTTTGACATTTCAAGATGTTTACCTTCTCTGTTGGGATGTCCATATTTTAATAACTGTCCTTCAGTTTTAAAGCAAAGGATGGCCAGGCTCAGTAGCTCACACCTGTAATCCCGGCACTTTGAGAGGCTGAGGTGGGAGGACCACTGGAGGCCAGGAGTTTGAGACCAGCCTGGGCCGTATAGTAAGACCCTGTCTCTACTAAAATTAAAAATTAGCCTGACATGATGACGCACACCTGTAGTAGCTACCCAGGAGGCTGAGGTGGAAGGATTGCTTGAGCCCAGGAGGTTGAGACTGCAGTGAGCTAGGATCGATTGTGCCACTGCACTCCAGCCTGGATGACAGAGCAAGACCCTGTCTCTAAAAATAATAAAAATAAGGTGAAAGGTGATGAATGCAAAGCAAGATGATTACCAGGGTCAGATCCAGACCAAGGCAGTGTCTTGCACATATATGGATACTCAAGCGCTGGCTACCTTCTGGGTGTCATCTCGATGAATTTCTCCCAGTTGATTGAGCACCAGCTTTGAGCAAAGCACATGTTGTTAAACTAAAGTGTCAGACAAGATCCTTGCTCTTTTGAGTTTCTGGTTTAGTTCTCTCCAAGTAAATGTGGTGAAGGACCAGTTTGTTATTTTCTTGTTTTGTTTTAATTTCCAGTTTATCTTGAGCCAGTGCTTTTACAAATACAATAAAAATGAATTATAGGAAAATTAAATCTAAAAGATATATAAAATAAGCCCCAATTTTTAAATTATTGAATTTAACAGTTATAAACATACTTTGTCCAACTGCTGTAAAAATTTCTAAGCTCTTATTCTCACAGATTAGAAATGCTTATTTCTTCATGGGCCAGTAATAGTGTTTATGGATCAGCATTGATCTATGGACCACACTGTGAGTCACAACTGGTCTTTTTGCAAGGGGACAGTACCACTCCCTTACACTTAGGCTAAGCTTCTGCGGAATACACACCACACTGCTGCCCACACATAGCCACTCTTTCTCCTCCTTCAGCCTGGAATATCTTTTCCCCCCCATCTCCTGCTATTGAAATGCCCCCCCCCGCTAAGTCCTTTAAGATGTATTTTAAATGCCACCTTTTTCATCAAATCTTCATGCCCTCCCACCAGTACCACTAACAGCAGCTGGGTTTGAGCTTTCCCTCCTGTTTTCTGAGTAGTCTGCCTCTTATAATCATAAGGCAGGAAGTGCTATGGTAAAGGGGTTTGGGCTCTGCAAGCAAAGAAACCAAGATTCAAGCCCCAGATTAAGTGGGTGACCTTGAACAAATTCTTAACGGTTTCCTCATCTGTAAACTGGGGATGATCATGATGCCTATTCCTAAGGGCTGTTTAAGTTTTCAGTGAGACAATCCATGAGAAGCATCTTACATAGTCACTGGGGCATACGTGGTGAGCACTCCACTAATGTAACTGCTGTTGGTATGTCTTCCTGACTTGTCCTCTCTCCCACCTTCTTCCTTACCTTTAGCTCACCGGATTGAGCACAGGGTTACTATCCCCTGTGGAAAGTGGCACAGTACCTTGCTCAATAAATAGAAGTTTAAGTGCTTGTGCCAATTAAGTGATACAAATAAGCAGTGAAATAGAATCAGAGAAAGAGATGACTCATAGTTGGAGAGGTGAGGGAAGTTAATGGAGACGGTAGGATTTAAGCTGAACGCTGATGTAGGGGTCAGCATTCTGACCCTGATTGATGGCAGGCCCCGACACGTTGCCCACAGGCAGGGAACATTGGTTGGCTGGAGTGGAGACTGCACCAGAGCATTGGGAAGCAGAGCAGGAAAGGCAGCCTGGGGTCAGGCTGTAAAGGGCCTTCAAGGCTTCATGCGGTGTGGGGCTTTATCCTTTGAGCATGTAGGAGCCCTGGAGTCTGGGTTGCTACAAGGGGTAAATTTGAGATTGGGAAAACTGGAGTCCAGGGACCCAAAGAGAATACTGGAAAACTGATGAAATCCTGTTACCTAAACCAGCATTTCCTAAACTGTTCCTCTGAATATGAATGATCCTCCTGGTGTTGCTTAATATTTGCTGGTTGGTGGGTGGGGGTGTATGGTTTCTCCCACTAAGAAAATGAGTGGAGAATTATGATATCTCAGGCTTCCCCCATGGAGATGACCATGTATCCTGACTTCACAGTCCTCTACTTTAAAAGTCTGTTTAGAACTTTGTTAAATTAGTGTTTCCCAAATTTAATTGAACACTGACCCCCTTTTTTTTTTTCATGAAATGTCTGTAAATATCTTACAAAACACAGTTTAAGAAACTGTGCCCTAAACAATTCTAAACCAAGAGTATTGTAACGAAAGAACAAGTCAAGTTTGGCTCTTTCTCAGTGCTTAGCTGATCCTAGGACACTGTCATCAGGCAGTTGCCAGATAAGAACCATGTTGTTTCACACTGTGTGGTGTTGAATCTTCTGAGCATGGATCTTGCAGGACATCAGCAGTTGTTTACATTCAGAATGCCAGGTTTCTGTTCCATCACGTCCGTCTCTTCTGTTCATTGTGAGCATCTCCACAAACATCCTCTGTTGCCTGCACCCAGCACATGGTGATTCCCAACCTTCGTGGAAGTGCAGCCCTGTATTTATTCTCCTTCTCTATCCTCAAAAGATGTGTTACGTAGGATGTTATATATGTAAAAGAAGGTGAATTGAAATAAGGTGTTTTTTTTTTAAAACAACAGCCCTTGAAAAATTTCGGAGCATCTTTGACAAACAAAACCAGGGTTGGGATTCATCGAGCTACGTGGTCATACCATCTTTCCCCCTCATTTTTACTCAGTTAAAATTGTTAGTCGTGTGGAATAAAATTATCTTGCTGGGCTATTTATGCCTGAATCAACATAAATCTTGCATACTTTCAGAAAGTAATTCAGTTTCAAATCTTGATAGTACTACTTATTCACTTGTTTAATAAATTTTAATTTATTAAACTGTCAGCTAACTGTTACAAAGCAGGATGAGCTGATGATGGGATGATTGCCACTTAAAAGTTTTTAGCAATTTATGATAAATGATGCTTTTTTCAAAGATAAGTATGGAGTGGATCTATGTAGAGTGCTTAGAACCTGGCACATAGTAAAGCATACGTAAAGTGTTTGCTGCCATTGTTGTTGTTACTGAACATTGGGGTGAGGTCCTGCCTGATTGTTATTTCCCAGTCTTAAAGATAATTCATACTCCACTTATCTCAATTGTTGGACATTGTTCATTGAAATTGCAGGCTAGACATTTTTAATTGAAATTGCAGGAGCATTTCACCTAAAGAAAAACTCCATGCAGAATTGGAATTCATTACATTCCTGAGTGGTTGATGGAAATCATTTTGACCATAATAAATGATTAAAATGAAACATTAAAAGTAGATTTACATAATATCCAGCTTCTTAATTTATATAATTATTTTACTAGACCTCTAATTTAGGATACAAGGCTTTAAAATAATTTTGGATGGTTATACTCTAGTAAATTAAAGCCTTTCATATGTTTCCCATATTATAGAAAAACATGTAGGTTTATATATGTTACCTTTGATTTGAAAGTGCTTGTTGTAATGTTCTAATGCTTTTCAGAAGTCCATATCTTTAAACAACTGATGTTTTCTGCTTCACCTCCCGCAGCTTACTGAAACAAATGCAGGTATCAAGTGCTTGGACTCCATGTGCTGTTTCCCGGAAGGAGAAGCAGCGTGTGCATCTGTTGGAAGAATGCTGGAACGAGTTATAGGAAGATGTAGTCCAACCCACATCAGCAGGTGTGAAATCTCTCTAAGTAGCCTTTGCTGCAGATGAGTATCCTATCTGGAACAGGATGAACCTGCCGCTCTAGATACCTAATAAATCAGCAGCTGGTTTTACCAACTGAAGCAGGAAGTCTGCTATTTATTAGCACTCTTTGGTGGTAGATTTCACTTTGTGGCTTTGGGGTAAGGGCTTTTTCACTCACAAAGGAAGAGAAAGCACCTTTGAAGAGACTTCATCTAATGAACAAAAAATTTTGTTTCATAATCTTTCTAAAATGTGCTCAGTAGGAGTGTGTTTATGGTACTCTTTTATGGTTTGTATAACTTTCTTTTTTAAATTATACATATACTATTTCCTTTTTATTTTTTTAAAATTTTTTTGCTTTTTGTCTTTACAAAATAATCTCAACATAACAGTGAAGTCAAAGGCTTTCCTTTTCTTACTCTGTATGTATATTTTCCAGTTGGTTATTTGAGGCTTTGAGGTATTTATAAACACAAAAGGCTGTATTTCTGCTCCCCTACCTCTTCTTATGTCTGTAATGAAGTTTTGAAATGAGTCATGATTTTTAAGTTTCTTTTGCTTGGTATTTATTGCCTAATTAAAAGTGTATGAGTTAGAACAGGCTTTTTAAATTATGGAGTAAAAGAATCTTAGCATTTTTGTCCCCTCCTAAATCTGTTTCTTGAATGAGATTTATCACCATGCCTGCTGTTGTGCACCATAACGAAAAAAAACACCTTTTGGTAAACACCATTTAAAATTCATTTAAACTTGCAATGGATTTATTTATTCATACATTTCCCCAAGAGTTATATCACTATTTAGAGGATGTTAGGGGGTAGAAAGAGCTTTTTCCACACTTGGTGTTCTTTAGGTGAATGATACCATATTCTCAAAATCAGGGCAGCAGTACACGGTATGCATGGAGGTACAAATGGGCAGGGAGAGATGTTGGTTGCCATTGTCCCAAATGTGCTACATGAATATTAGCACTTTCTACATGTGCCAGGGCTTGGAAAAGGTTGGAAATTACCCCAGGAACAGGTTATAAAGAGTGAAGAAGGCACTACTCCTATCTACTGGAAAAAGGATTTTTATTATTTGGTTAGCTTTGTGTTTTAAAAAAATGATGAGTATGATATCATTCATCTGTTATAAAATTCAGGTAACTTTTACTGGTGAACTTGTTAGTTCTCACTTTAGCTTTAGCTTAGCCATGCCTTTATGATACAATTGAATTTATAAATAGCATTCTTATGTTAACATAATGTCTGTGGTTTCAATCCCCGTTTATTCTGACTTGATTATAACGTGATCTGAAATATTTCCATAATGCTGTGATACCATTTTGTAGTAATTTCATTCCACGTAGAAGGATGAGCACTTAAACTCTGGGACTTTGTTATGATTTACATAATTGTATTATAAAATGTGGCTCTGTCATGTACCTAGGCCAGCAAATTTCCCAAAGAGCTTGATTTATAATACTATTTTACCTAATAACATAGCTTCATTGCACAGAATCAAGATAGGAGTTAGACTAAGATACAATAGAACCTCTACAGAATTTTTTCAACTTCTCCTTCAATGGAAATTTCTCTTTAATGACAATATACGTTTTTGTTAATGATTTTTTTAAAACTAGAATTAATTTTAAATGAGCCCCAGATTTTTTCTGCTATATACATATATCCATTTTCTTGATATCGATTATGGTAATATGCCCCCATTATTCTTTACATAGCCATTTTGATGCAGCATTACCTCTTTTGAACCTGCCCCAGGAGTTATTGAATTTACTTTTACATGTTCTCTTGAAGGTAGCTATTATCATCTATACTTCTTTTCACTTAAAATTGCGCCATATTGTTTTTTTCTGAATTTTTTTATTCTCCTAATAAAATGTTTAACTTAGTAATTAATATCATATTAGACTATAAATGCCCTTCCAGGTTTCTCCAACATCACAGGTTATATTATTGGTTACTATTATTTTCTTACCCTTTTTCTCATGTGAATAATCTAGAAGGTCTTTTCAGACCTGTTCATTCTTTTCTAGGGGATAAAGTCATATAATAACACCAAGCTACCTGGTGCTTTTCAAGGGCTATGTGAAAATTGCCATAGATGCATCAATATTGTATTTAAACTTGCAAAGTCATTTTGATACATAGAGTTCTCTTTTTGTTTACATATAATTGTATTTGTGAAATGTGTTGGGCATTTCCATTGTGACTTTAGAGTAGCATCTATTCTATGTTTCTATTTCATGTCTAATTTAAGAGGTGGGGCAAGTCTGAGACTGCCATTCCAAGATGTAGAAGCCCTTAGCTGTGTGTTCCATTGACATAGTAAAGTCAAGAGTAATGGGCATCACTTGAGAAATGCCACCAGTGTTTTTATGTGACAGATTTCTTTGGTGATTACATTTGTACCATCCAGGCACAAAAATTTGACTTACATTTTATTAATTGATGTTGTCAATGAAGTATCCCATATTGCAAGCTCAGTTTCAAAGAGAGCATCATGGTGCTATATAAAGAATATGCCATGTTGCACCCTAAAGAGCTGGATTTTAGCAATAAAAGATTTTCTGTTCGTGTATTACTAACAGTTAAGCTACTGTATCCTCATCAAAACTATCTTCTAAATAGAAAGTAATATGTAGTTCAAGTGTTTAATGTTCTGTCAAAAATTATATTTAACATATGAATGCACATGTGTGCTTTGAAAAAAAATTTAAAATGAAGGAGACTTTACCTAATAAGATTATTCTGTGTAAGCAATGTGGAAAGAAGAAAAACTAATATAAAGTATTGGCAGTTTGGAATTGGACATCTGACTCCGGATAATTGGAGTACTGATAGCTGTTATAGTTAAAAGTTATAGTTAAAAGCATACTTGTCCCCTGTAAATACTTACTCTTTAAGAAATTTTCATCTTCTCATTTTATTCATTTATTCTGCAAATACTGGGTGCCCAATATATGTCAGACACAGTTCTAGATGCTAGGGAGACAGTAGTGAACAAGTCCTTCCCTAACCTAAGGTAGATACTGTTCCAGCTTTTCTAGAAACTAGTCGAATTAAAGTTGAGCTACATACAAACTTAGCATCTCTGGGAAAGAGAAAATATTTGACAAAGGTGAATTGGGGCCTTTTTTAACGCTCATCTCTTCCTGTAACATCTCTGTTTAGGGAAGGTGGGAACCCTGGAAAAAGTTACATAAAATGTATTTATTGTTAAATGTGTTTAGTCTCATAAGAAAAGCAGTCTTTCACTTGGTAATCCTAATACTGTCCTTGAACTAGGTTAGTCTATTTTAAGCATGGCAGGCTACTTTTGGTCTTGAGTTATTTTAGCTTAAATTAACTCAAGCTAATTTAAGTTTACAGCTGCACATAAAGTATTATGTAATGACTTGCTTTAGGGCCTTATCATTCAAACACCAGTTAACTTTTCCAGACCAGTAGAGGATCGTTTGTCCTTATTAAGTGAAAACGCTAGTGACCTACAGGTGTCTTTGATGCCTTTTGAATACATCATTCGCTACATTCAAGCTAATTATGCGGAAGTCTTTAGAATAGGATTTATAGCTGAAATGAAATGATCAATAATAGGAACATACTACTGTTTCATTCCAAAGCCTTTGGTAAGTGGGATTTGGGTTTGTTTTTGTAAACTGAACTTTTCAGTAAAACAATGTGCATAACTCTTAATAACATACTTCTTATTGAATTGTTAACACTTTAAAAGCAGCTCATGCTTTACTACATATAGAAACTGTTTTAATGCTAATGAATGTTTGAATTTTGGCTAATATTTTTATATGATGACTAGAGCATTATTTTTCCCAAGTTTTTATATAATATAAATAGAAAGTTTGGGCATTCGATACTAGTATGAAGAACCTCTCTTTAGTATTTAAATGAATCAATCAGTGATTGCATTTGGGTCCTAAGTTTTAGAGTAAATTTTTTTCTCAATTAAAACATAGGTCCTGGTGAGCCAAACTTTTCTCTTATTGTTACTTTAGATCATGGAGTGCATCGGATCCTTTCTATACCAACGACAGGAGCATCTTGACTCTCTCCACAATGGACTCATCTACTTGTTAAAGGGGCAGTAGTACTTTGTGGGAGCCAGTTCACCTCCTTTCCTAAAATTCAGTGTGATCACCCTGTTAATGGCCACACTAGCTCTGAAATTAATTTCCAAAATCTTTGTAGTAGTTCATACCCACTCAGAGTTATAATGGCAAACAAACAGAAAGCATTAGTACAAGCCCCTCCCAACACCCTTAATTTGAATCTGAACATGTTAAAATTTGAGAATAAAGAGACATTTTTCATCTCTTTGTCTGGTTTGTCCCTTGTGCTTATGGGACTCCTAATGGCATTTCAGTCTGTTGCTGAGGCCATTATATTTTAATATAAATGTAGAAAAAAGAGAGAAATCTTAGTAAAGAGTATTTTTTAGTATTAGCTTGATTATTGACTCTTCTATTTAAATCTGCTTCTGTAAATTATGCTGAAAGTTTGCCTTGAGAACTCTATTTTTTTATTAGAGTTATATTTAAAGCTTTTCATGGGAAAAGTTAATGTGAATACTGAGGAATTTTGGTCCCTCAGTGACCTGTGTTGTTAATTCATTAATGCATTCTGAGTTCACAGAGCAAATTAGGAGAATCATTTCCAACCATTATTTACTGCAGTATGGGGAGTAAATTTATACCAATTCCTCTAACTGTACTGTAACACAGCCTGTAAAGTTAGCCATATAAATGCAAGGGTATATCATATATACAAATCAGGAATCAGGTCCGTTCACCGAACTTCAAATTGATGTTTACTAATATTTTTGTGACAGAGTATAAAGACCCTATAGTGGGTAAATTAGATACTATTAGCATATTATTAATTTAATGTCTTTATCATTGGATCTTTTGCATGCTTTAATCTGGTTAACATATTTAAATTTGCTTTTTTTCTCTTTACCTGAAGGCTCTGTGTATAGTATTTCATGACATCGTTGTACAGTTTAACTATATCAATAAAAAGTTTGGACAGTATTTAAATATTGCAAATATGTTTAATTATACAAATCAGAATAGTATGGGTAATTAAATGAATACAAAAAGAAGAGCCTCTTTCTGCAGCCGACTTAGACATGCTCTTCCCTTTCTATAAGCTAGATTTTAGAATAAAGGGTTTCAGTTAATAATCTTATTTTCAGGTTATGTCATCTAACTTATAGCAAACTACCACAATACAGTGAGTTCTGCCAGTGTCCCAGTACAAGGCATATTTCAGGTGTGGCTGTGGAATGTAAAAATGCTCAACTTGTATCAGGTAATGTTAGCAATAAATTAAATGCTAAGAATGATTAATCGGGTACATGTTACTGTAATTAACTCATTGCACTTCAAAACCTAACTTCCATCCTGAATTTATCAAGTAGTTCAGTATTGTCATTTGTTTTTGTTTTATTGAAAAGTAATGTTGTCTTAAGATTTAGAAGTGATTATTAGCTTGAGAACTATTACCCAGCTCTAAGCAAATAATGATTGTATACATATTAAGATAATGGTTAAATGCGGTTTTACCAAGTTTTCCCTTGAAAATGTAATTCCTTTATGGAGATTTATTGTGCAGCCCTAAGCTTCCTTCCCATTTCATGAATATAAGGCTTCTAGAATTGGACTGGCAGGGGAAAGAATGGTAGAGACAGAAATTAAGACTTTATCCTTGTTTGCTTGTAAACTATTATTTTCTTGCTAATGTAACATTTGTCTGTTCCAGTGATGTAAGGATATTAAGTTATTAAGCTAAATATTAATTTTCAAAAATAGTCCTTCTTTAACTTAGATATTTCATAGCTGGATTTAGGAAGATCTGTTATTCTGGAAGTACTAAAAAGAATAATACAACGTACAATGTCTGCATTCACTAATTCATGTTCCAGAAGAGGAAATAATGAAGATATACTCAGTAGAGTACTAGGTGGGAGGATATGGAAATTTGCTCATAAAATCTCTTATAAAACGTGCATATAACAAAATGACACCCAGTAGGCCTGCATTACATTTACATGACCGTGTTTATTTGCCATCAAATAAACTGAGTACTGACACCAGACAAAGACTCCAAAGTCATAAAATAGCCTATGACCAACTGCAGCAAGACAGGAGGTCAGCTCGCCTATAATGGTGCTTAAAGTGTGATTGATGTAATTTTCTGTACTCACCATTTGAAGTTAGTTAAGGAGAACTTTATTTTTTTAAAAAAAGTAAATGGCAACCACTAGTGTGCTCATCCTGAACTGTTACTCCAAATCCACTCCGTTTTTAAAGCAAAATTATCTTGTGATTTTAAGAAAAGAGTTTTCTATTTATTTAAGAAAGTAACAATGCAGTCTGCAAGCTTTCAGTAGTTTTCTAGTGCTATATTCATCCTGTAAAACTCTTACTACGTAACCAGTAATCACAAGGAAAGTGTCCCCTTTGCATATTTCTTTAAAATTCTTTCTTTGGAAAGTATGATGTTGATAATTAACTTACCCTTATCTGCCAAAACCAGAGCAAAATGCTAAATACGTTATTGCTAATCAGTGGTCTCAAATCGATTTGCCTCCCTTTGCCTCGTCTGAGGGCTGTAAGCCTGAAGATAGTGGCAAGCACCAAGTCAGTTTCCAAAATTGCCCCTCAGCTGCTTTAAGTGACTCAGCACCCTGCCTCAGCTTCAGCAGGCGTAGGCTCACCCTGGGCGGAGCAAAGTATGGGCCAGGGAGAACTACAGCTACGAAGACCTGCTGTCGAGTTGAGAAAAGGGGAGAATTTATGGTCTGAATTTTCTAACTGTCCTCTTTCTTGGGTCTAAAGCTCATAATACACAAAGGCTTCCAGACCTGAGCCACACCCAGGCCCTATCCTGAACAGGAGACTAAACAGAGGCAAATCAACCCTAGGAAATACTTGCATTCTGCCCTACGGTTAGTACCAGGACTGAGGTCATTTCTACTGGAAAAGATTGTGAGATTGAACTTATCTGATCGCTTGAGACTCCTAATAGGCAGGAGTCAAGGCCACTAGAAAATTGACAGTTAAGAGCCAAAAGTTTTTAAAATATGCTACTCTGAAAAATCTCGTGAAGGCTGTAGGAAAAGGGAGAATCTTCCATGTTGGTGTTTTTCCTGTAAAGATCAGTTTGGGGTATGATATAAGCAGGTATTAATAAAAATAACACACCAAAGAGTTACGTAAAACATGTTTTATTAATTTTGGTCCCCACGTACAGACATTTTATTTCTATTTTGAAATGAGTTATCTATTTTCATAAAAGTAAAACACTATTAAAGTGCTGTTTTATGTGAAATAACTTGAATGTTGTTCCTATAAAAAATAGATCATAACTCATGATATGTTTGTAATCATGGTAATTTAGATTTTTATGAGGAATGAGTATCTGGAAATATTGTAGCAATACTTGGTTTAAAATTTTGGACCTGAGACACTGTGGCTGTCTAATGTAATCCTTTAAAAATTCTCTGCATTGTCAGTAAATGTAGTATATTATTGTACAGCTACTCATAATTTTTTAAAGTTTATGAAGTTATATTTATCAAATAAAAACTTTCCTATATAATTAAAAGTGTTCCTTTATTTAAGCATTTTAAGCCTGTCTCTGTTTATCACAACCTGCACTGCCAAACTTGTTTCAAGTTAAGTTTTACTGTATTTACCCTTCATTATAGCACAGGGATATCATTTATGCCTTTCACTGACTGCAGTTTTTTAAAATGTAGTTCTTACCCAGCTTTTATAGATCATCATCAGTACAACTCCTGGAAAAGGCTCTGATAGGAATGTGCCAGCTGTAGATACCAGCATACCTCAACTAGAAATTGCATCATTCATGAAAAGCCAGCCAAGAGCACTTGTGAATTTGGAAATGGCCTGGTTCATAGAAAATATGTGCTTTTTTAAAAATATAGGACTGATTGATTGATTGATAATAGAATGTATACGTCCATATAAAATATTCCAGCTTCCTGACAACCAGTTATTTGCACTGCTTCCTCGGTTGCAAGTTAGAACAGACATAATTGTCTAATC
Source organism: Homo sapiens (assembly GCF_000001405.40). NCBI lineage: Eukaryota > Metazoa > Chordata > Mammalia > Primates > Hominidae > Homo > Homo sapiens. The sequence continues at coordinate 182,922,100 of NC_000003.12, forward strand.
TACATCTGCTTAAAAAGTTAAGCTGTTGTCTTTGCCCAGTTTTTAGTATTTGCAAAGGATGACAATGCATGATTTATGTAATGTATTTTTGAGATGTAATAAGAATACGATCCTAGACAAATCAGTTTAGGCATCTGTTTTTATATTTAAAAAGGAGTGTTTGGACTATCTTTAGGGCGACTACTGTCTTTAACTTCTAATATACAAGTAGAACATGATGAATAATGAATAAATTATTTAGGACAAAAAAATTTTATTAGAAGCATCTCACTAGAAAATTAATTAGTGAATTCAAAAACAATTCAAGTTTTATATTGAAGAGCTAACTGACTCAAAGGAAAGGCTATTGTAAATGGAGATAAGTAAGTCACCACACCTCTCTATGAACAGCCAGAGAGCCCTGTGATAAATCAAATTTTTAAATACTAATTTAAGGGAAAATGGTTTGTATTCAGATGTAATTTGTACACAGTAAAATGTATCGATTTTAGGATTATAGTTACTCACTTTTGATAACTCTCTACACCCATGTAACCCTAACCCAATCCAGGTTAAGAACCCTTCCGTCATTCCTCAAGGGTCCCTTGTGCCTTTTGCAGTGAATTTATTCCCCTCTTGGTCCTGTCCCAGCAACCATTTTCTGATTTCTGTTGTCTTAGATGATTAGTTTTGCCTACTCTTGAATTTTATGTAAATGAAATACACAGTGTGTCACCTTTGTGTCTGGCGTTGTTGCTCAGCGTCTCTGTGGGACTCACTCATCTACGTTGTGCCAGGACCCATAGTTTTCTTTTTGCTACTCGGTAGTGTTTCATTGCATGAATGTACCACAATTTGTCCTTTCTCCTCTTTATGGACATTTGTTCTTTTACAGTTTGGGGCTGTTGTTAAATAAAGTTATAATGAACATTCTTTGTGGACTTATGTTTTCACTTGTTTTGTGAAATAACTAGGAGTAGAATTGCAGGGTCATAGGGTAGGTTTATGTTTGTTTATAAGAAACTATCAAAAAGTTTTCCACAGTGGCTGTAGGTACTATTTTACACTGCCACCAGCAACTATGAGAGTTCCAGTTGCCAACATTTGGTGGTGTCTTTTTAATTTTAGCCATTCTAATAAAGCATCTCACTATGGTTATCATTTCCATGATGATGTTTTTAATCCTTTTTTCGTATGCTCATTGGTGATTTATGATTTTTTCAAAATGTCTGTTCAAGTCTGGCCATTTTCTCATTAGGCTACTTTTCTTGTTACTGAATGGTAGGAATCCTTAAGGTAAGGATATAAGTCCTTTGTCTTATGTATGTATTGCTAGCATTTTTCCCCCAGTTTGTGGCTTGCCTATTTATTTTCTTAATTGTCACTCTGGGGAGCAGAAGTGTTGTATTTTGATGAAGTCCAATTTTTTTTCCTTTTATAGTTAGTTAGTTAGTTTTAGGTGATTTTCATGACTTCTAAAAACTCTGTCAACCCCAAGGTCATGAAGAAATTTTCCCATGTTTTCTTCTGAAAGCATTAGTCTTCTTAACTTTTATGTTTAGGTCAAAGATGATATCTCATATTCATTTGAGTATGATGCAAGGCAGCAAGGAATGAGGATCTTCCTTCCCTGCAACTCCCCCCCACCCCACAAGGTTATCTGGTTTAACTCCATTTCTTTCTTTAAAATATTCTCCTCCTCCATCGAATTGTATGGTGCCTCTGTTTAAAATGAATTGACTTTTCTACAAAAAAAAAAAAAAAAAAGGAAAACCTGATGTGGTTTTCATTTGTATTGCTCTGAATCTATACATCAATTTGGAAAGAACAGACATCTCAACAATATTGAGTCCTCCAATCCATGAACATGGTGTATCCATTTATTTAGGTTGTCTTTAATTTATCTCAGTGATGTTTGGTAGTCTTTAGGTATCTGGCAAATACTTTGTTAAAGTCCTAATTTTTTATGATTTTTTTATGCTATGGTAAGGGGAATCACTTTCAAATTTATTTTCCTATTAGCCTTACTAGAACACAGAAATAAAATATGAAATAAGGGGCCGGGCGCAAGGGCTCACGCCTCTAATCCCAGCGCTTTGGGAGGCCAAGGCAGGCAGATCACAAGGTCAAGAGATCGAGACCATCCTGGCCAACATGGTGAAACACCGTCTGTACTAAAAATACAAAAATGAGCTGGGCGTGTTGGTGCACGCCTGTAGTCCCAGCTACTTGGGAGGCTGAGGCAGGAGAATCACTTGAACCCAGGAAGCAGAGGTTGCAGTGAGCCAAGATCACACCATTGCACTCCAGCTTCGGCGACAGAGCGAGACTCCGTCTCACAGAAAAAAAAAAAACGAAAAAAAAAAATAAGGATATGATCCTGGACAAATCAATTTTAACTTTGTTAACCTACAACCCTTCTATATTCACTCATTTGTTCCAGTAGGTTTTTTACTCCTTTTGTATAGAATCCTTTGGATTTTCACATACACAGTCACGTCATCTGAGAACTAAAAGGTTAATTTTTTTCTTTCCAATCTTTATGCCTAAAATTACTTGTTACTGCCCCGCACACTGGCTAGTACAGTGTGCTTAATACTGGTACAGTGTTATATAGGCATGGTTAAAACCATGAATAGGTGTTGAATTTTGAAAAATGCTTTTTTTTCCATTTACTGAGAGGATCATGTGATTTAATTTTTTTAGTTTGATAATACAGTGAATTACCTTGGCTGATTTTGGTTTTTTGTTTAAGAGACAGAGTCACCCCCTGTTGCCTAGGCTGGAGTGCAGTGGCAGACTTATGGCTCCACTGCAGCCTGGAACTCCTGGGCTCAAGCAGTCCTCCCACTTCAGCCTCCCAAGTAGCTAGGATTACAGGCACTCACCACCACACCCAGCCGATTTTTAAATTTTTTGTAGAGACAAGAGTATCACTATGTTGCCCAGGCTGATCTCCAACTCCTGGGCTTAAGCAATCCTCCCACCTCAGCCCCCCAGAATGCTGGGACTACAAGCATGAGCCACCATACCCAGTCTACCTTGGTTGATTTTCAAATGGTAAACCAACTTTGCATCCCTAAAATAAATCCCACTTGGTTGTGATGTTTCTTACTACACTATGACCACCGCCCCTCACCCCCATTTATATCTACTTCCTCAGAAAATAGACCTGCCTTTAAAGTATATCCAGAATTCAAATGCATTAATATTTAGAGTGTTTGTCAACCTGGTCGTCATCCTGGTCTAAGTCACCATCATCTCAGGATAACTGCAGTAACTCTTTAACTGACATATTACTTCCCTATTGCTGCATAAAAAATTTCCCCAAAATTTCGCATCATAAAACAATAGACTTTATCCCAGTTTCTGTGGATCCAGGATATGGGTGCAGATTATCTGGGTACCAAAGCCTCAAGGTCTTTCACAAGGCTGCAGTCAAGCTGTCAGTCAGAGCTGCAGTATCACCTGAAGGCTCAACTGAGATTAAACCTGCAGCCAAGCTCATTAATGTGATTGTTTGTATTATTTAGTTCTTTATGGGTTGCTGTACTAAGGACTTTCAGTTTCTTACTGGCTGGTTGGCCAGAGACTGCTCTCAGTTCCTTCCCTCACGGACCTCTCGAAAAGGCAGCTTACAAAATGGCAGCTGGCTTGCAACCAAGTGAGCAAGAGAGGGCATGCAAGATGGAAGCTATTTATAACCTAATCTCAGAAGTGATGCCTCATCACTTTGCCATATTCTACTCATTAGAAGCAAGTCAGTAAGTCCAGACCATACGCAAGGGGAAGAGATTACACAAGAGTGTGAATCCCAGAAGGCAGGGACCATTGGGGGCATTTTAGAGGCTGCCTACCACAACTGATCCCCTACTTTCATCTTACCTCCACTCTACCCCCCGACACAACAGGATTTTTCTCAACACATCAGCTAAAGCAATTTTATTAAAACTTTAGTCAGGACTTGTTACCCCTTTACTTAAAACCCTCCAATGACTTCCCACCTCACTGTAAAAGCCACAGCACTAATAATAGCCTACAAGGCCATATACAATTTGCTTCCTGTTATCTCTGACCTCATATATTACTCTCCTTACCCCCTCCTCCCCAGCCTGCTAGCCTCCTTGATATTCCTTAAACACGCCAGACTCATTGCCAACTCAGAGCCCTTACAGTTTCTATTTTCTCTGCCTACAAAGCCTTCTCAGATATATGCATTTTTTTAGGTGTTTATTCAGATGCGTCAGTGAGGCCCTACCTGACCACCCTGTTTAAAACTGCATATTCTCCTTACCCCATCCTGCTTCATTTTCCCTCTGCAGCACTATACATGACACTGTATACTTGACTGATTTTGTTTATTACATCCCCAACACTAGAATGTAAGCTCCATGAGGGCAACTATTATTATTTGTTTTGTTGACTGCTGTATTCCCAGAATAATGCCTGGCACATTAAGGGCTTAAGAGACATTTATTTGAATAAGTTAGTGAATCACTTCTGAAAGCCATGGGGAGTTACTAGAGGATCTTAAGCCTTTTAGTTAAATCATCCTGACAACAGTGAGAAAAAGTGGTTGGAAGAGAAGCAGACAAAAGCCATAGAGAATATATAAAAAGCCACTGCAAACATCAAGGCAACGTGTGATGGGAATTCAAATGAAGGCGGTGGCACTAGGAATCAAGAACATTAGATTGACACATGAAATAGTGAGGCAAAATGTATGAGTGGTTCCAAAACTGATCTACAAATTCAACACAAACCCTATCAAAAAACCAGCTGGCTTCTCTTGCAAAAACTGACATGCAGATCTTATTATTTATATGGAAGTGCAAGAGACTCAGAGAGAAACCAAAACAATCTTGAACAAAGTTGGAAGACACACTTCTTGATTCTAAAATTTTACTATAAAGTTATAGTAATCAAGACTGTGGTTCTGACATAAGGAAGGACATAGACAATACAATTGAGGATCCAAAAATAAATCCACACATTTACAGGCAACTGATTTTTAGCAAGGGTGCCAAGACATTCAGTGGGGAGAGAACCATCTTGTCAACAAATGGTGCAGGGACAATTGGATATCCACAGGTAAAAGAATTAATTTGGACCCCTATCTCAGGCATTATACAGAAACTAACCTAAACAAATCAAATACCAAACAATAATCTGAAACTATAAAACTCTTAGACACATAAGTAAAAATCTTCTGACATTGGATTAGGCAATGGTGTGATACCTGAAGTACAAGCAACAAGAGAAAAAAATAGATAAAATTGAACTTAATAAAAATTAAACTTGGCCAGGCGCGGTGGCCCACGCCTGTAATCCCAGCACTTTGGGAGGCCAAGGTGGGCAGATCACGAGGTCAGGAGATTGAGAGCATCCTGGCTAACACGGTGAAACGCCGTCTCTACTGAAAATACAAAAAAAAAAAAAAAAATTAGCCGGGCATGGTGGTACTTGCCTGTAGTCCCAGCAACTCGGGGGGCTGAGGCAGGAGAATCACTTGAACCCGGGAGGCAGAGGTTGCAGTGAGCTGAGATCACACCACTGTACCCCAGCCTGGGCGACAGAGCAAGACTCTGTCTCAAAAAAAAAAAAAAAAAAAAAAAAAAAAATTCAACTTTTATGCCATAAGATGCTATCAAGAAAGTGAAAAGACAATCCACAGAATAGTAGAAAATACTTGTAAGTCACATACCTGATAAAAGTCTAATATCTAGAGTATATAAAGAACTCTTACAAGTCAACAATAAAAGAACCAAATTAGGCTGGGCATGGTGGCTCACGCTTGTAATCCTAGCAATTTGGGAGGCTGAGGTGGGAGGATCGCTTGAGCCCAGGAGTTCGAGATCAGCCTGGGCAACATAGTGAGACCTTGTCTATACAAAAAAATGAGGCAAGAGGACTGCTTGAGCCTAGGAGGTCGAGGCTGCAATGAGCTGTATCATGCCACTGCACACTCGCCTGGGTGATGGGAGTGAGACTCTGTCTCAAAAAAAAAAAAAAAAAAATTAAAAAATGGGCATAAAACCTCCCAACAAAGAAAAGCCCAGGAACAAGATGACTTCACTGGAGAATTCTACCAAACATTTAAAAATTAACACCAATCATCTTCAAACTCTTTCAAAAAAAATTGAAGAACACTTCCAAACTCATTCTGTGAAGACAGCATTACTCTAATACCAAAGCCAAAGAGGCTGTAATATAAGACTATAGGGCAATATCCCTGATGAATATTGGTGCAAACATTCTCAACAAAATAGTAGCAAATTATACATCATGAACAAGTGAAAGTTCTACCTGGAATGAAAGAATGGTTCAACACAGAAAACTCAATCATCAAAATACACCACATTAACAGAATGAAAGACAAAAACCACACGATCACCTCAATTGATGCAGGAAAAAACATTTGACACGATTCAACACCCTTTCATGATTAAAACACTCAACAAGCTAAGAATAGAGGGAAAGTACATCAATATAATAAAGGTCCTATATGACATACCCATCACTATACACAATGGTCAAAGAGAAAGTTTTTCCTCTAAGATCAGAAACAAGACAAGGATGCCAGTTTTCACCACTTCTATTCAACACAGTACTGAAGTCCTAAGCAGAGGAATTAGGCAAGAAAACTAGATAAAGTCATTCAAATTGGAAAGGAAGAAATAAAATTATCTCTGCTCGCAGATGACATGATCTTATGTTAGAAAACCCTAAATAGTACACACACACACAGACTGTTTGAACTGTTAAGTTCAACAAAGTTACAGGATACAAAACCCACACACCAAAATTGTTTGCATTTGTATACACTGACAATGAACAATCCAAAAAGAAAATTAAGAAAGCAATTTACAATAGCCTCAATAAACAACAACAAAAACCCTAAGAATAAACCTAACCAAGGAAAAGAAATTGCTAAAAGGAATTTAAGAAGACAAATGCATGGAAAGACATTCTGTGTTCAAGACTGGAAGACTTTGTATTGTTAAGATGTCAATACTATCCAAAGCAATCTACAGATTCAATGCAATCTCTATGAAAATGCCAATAGCATTTATTGTAAGAATGGAAAAATCCATCCTAAAATTCATATGGAATATCAAGGGATCCTGAATAGCCAAAACAATTAAGAAAAAAAAAAGGGAACAGGCTGGGCACGGTGGCTCACACCTGTAATCCCAGCACTTTGGAAGGCCGAGGTTGGTGGATCACCTGAGGTCGGGAGTACTAGACCAGCCTGGGCAACGTGGTGAAACCCTGTCTCTACTAAAAATACAAAAAAAAAATTAGCCAGGTGTGGTGGCACACACCTGTAATCCCAGCTACTCAGGAGGCTGAGGCAGGAGAATTGCTTGAACCCGGGAGGTGGAGGTTGCAGTGAGCTGAGATCACACCACTGCATTCCAGCCTGGAAAACAGAGCAAGACTCTGTCTCAAAAAAAAAAAAAAAAGAAAAAGAAAACAAAACAAAACATAAGAGGAAAGCTTTATGACACTGGACTTGGCAGTAATTTATTGGATATGACACCAAAAGCACAGGCAACAAAAGCAAAGATAGACAAATGGGTCTATATTAAACTTAAAAACTTTTGTGCATCAATGAACACAATCAACAGATTGAAAGGCAATCTATGGAATAGGAAAATGTATTTATAAATCATATACAAGGGGTTAATATCCAGAATACATAAAGAATGCCTACAACTCAACAACAAAAAAAATATCAAATAACCTGAATATTTTAAGGGGCAAAGGACTTGACATTTCTCCAAAAATGATATGCAAATGGCCAACAAGTATATGAAAAAGCGCTCAACATCACTAATAATCAGAGAAATGCAAATCAAAGTTACAATGAGATGTCACCTCATACCCATTAGGATGGCTACTGTCAAAACAAGCAAACAAACAAGCAAACAAAAACAGAAAATAACAAATGTTTGAAAGGATGTGGAGAAGCTGAATCCCTTGTGCACTATTGGCAGGACTAAAATGGTGAAGCCACTGTGAAAAACAGTATGGCAGTTCCTTAACAAATGAAAAACAGAAATACCATATGATCCAACAATCCCACTTCTGGATATATACCAGAAGAATTAAAAACAGAGTATCAAAGCGATATTTGCACATTCATGTTCATGGAAGCACTATTCATAATAGGCAAGAGATGAAAGCAACTCAATGTCCATCAAAGGATAAATGGATACACACAATGTGGTATATACCTACAATGGAATATTATTCAATCATAAAAGTGAAGGGAATCCTATCACATGCATCAACATGAATGAATTTTGAGGACATTATGCTAAGTGAAGTCAGCCAATCACAAAAAGTACTATATGATTCTACTTATGTGAGGCATCGAAAGTAGTCAAATTTATAGAAAAATAATGCAGATTTGTGGTTACCTGGAGCCAAGGGGAGGGAAAAATGAGGAATTGTTTAATGGGAACAGAGTTTCAGTTTTGGAGGATGAAATAGTTCTGGATATCTGTTGTACAACAATGTGCAAATAACACTACTGACTGTAACTTAAAAATGGTTAATTAAGATGGTAAATGTTATGCTTTTTACCACAATCAAAAAAATATTTAGGCTGGGTGCGGTGGCTCATACCTGTAATCCCAGCACTTTGGGAGGCCAAGGCAGGTGGATCGCCTGAGGTCGGGAGTTTCAGATCAACCTGACCAACATGGAGAAACCCTGTCTCTACTAAAAATACGAAAAATTAGCTGGGCTTGGTGGTGCGTGCCTGTAATCCCAGCTACTCAGGAGGCTGAGGCAGGAGAATTGCTTGAACCCGGAAGGCGGAGGTTGCAGTGAGCCGAGATCGCACCATTTCACTCCAACCTGGGCAACAAGAGCAAACCTCTGTCTCAAAAAAAAAAAAAAAAAAAAAAAATTAATGGGCAAAGATTTGAATAGGACATTTCTCCAGAGAAGATATACAAATGCCAATAAGGACATGAAAAGATGCTCTGCCGGGCGCAGTGGTTCACGCCTGTAATTCCAACACTTTGGGAGGCCGAGGTGGGTGGATCACGAGGTCAGGAGACAGAGACCATCCTGGCTAACAGGGTGAAACCCCAACTCTACTAAATATATAAAAAATTAGCTGGGCGTGGTGGCACAGGCCTGTAGTCCCAGCTACTTGGGAAGCAGAGGCAGGAGAATCACTTGAACCCGGGGGGCAGAGGTTGCAGTGAGCTGAGAGCGCACCACCGTGCTCCAGCCTGGGCAACAGAGCAAGACTCAAAGAAAAAAGAGAAAAGAAAAGAAAAGAGAAGAGAAAAGAAAAGAGAAAAGAAAAGAAAAGAGTAAAAAAAAAGAGAAAAAGCTTCTCAACATTTGGGAAATGCTTATCAAAACCACAATGAGTTATCACTTCATACCCACTAAGATTGCTTTAATCAAAAAGATAGACAATAACAAGTGTTGCTGAGGATGTGGAGAAATTGGAACCCTCATACTCTACAGGTAGGAATGTAAACTGGTACAACTGCTTTGGAAAATAGTTTCGCCGTTCCTCATTTGAAAGTTAAACACAGAATTACGATACGACTCAGCACTTCCAATCCTAGGCATATACCTAAAAGAAGTGAAAACAGATACTCAAGCAAATACTTGTACATGAATGTGCATAGCACCATTACTCAATATAACAGTAAAAAAAATGCAAATCTGGCCAGGCGTGGTGCTCATGCCTGTAATCCCAGCACTTCGGGAGGCCGATGGGTGGATCATCTGAGGTCAGAAGTTTGAGACCAGCCTTGCCAACATGGTAAAACCCTGTCTCTATTAAAAAAAAAAAATAGCCTGGCATAGTGGTGGGTGCCTGTAATCTCAGCTACTCAGGGGGCTGAGGCAGGGGAATCACTTGAACCCAGGAGGTGGAGGTTGCAGTGAGCAGAGATGGTGCCACTGCACTCCAGCCTGGGCAACAAGAGCGAAACTCTGTCAAAAAAAAAAAAAGGAAACCCAAGTGTCCATCAACTGATGAATATATAAACAAAATATATATCCATACAATAACATTATTCAGTCATATAAAAGAATACTGATATATCCTACAATACCCGTAAACCTTGAAAACATCGTGCTAAGTGAAAGAAGCCAATTACAAGAGGCCACATATTGAATGATTCCATTTATGTGAAATATCTAAGATAGGCAAATCTATAGAGAAAGTATTTTAGTGGTTGTCAGGGACTAGAAGGAGGTGATAATGAGGAGTGACAGCTAATGGGTACAGAGTTTCTTTTTGGGGTGATAAAAATGTTCTGGAATTAGATAGTACTGACCATTGTACAATCTTGTGAAAATAGTAAAAGCCATTGAATTGTACACTATAAAGGGGTGAATTTTATGTGAATTATACCTCAATTAAAAATATTAGCAAACCCAATTCAGCAGCATATAAAAAGGATTATATACCATGATCAAGTGCTATTTGCCCCAGGAATGCAGGGTTGGTTTAACATCCAAAAATCAAAGTGATATAACATATTAATAAAGAACAAAAACCACATGATTATCTCATACACAAATAGCATGTGATAAAAAAATAGCATGTGACAAAAATTCAACACCCATTCATGATAAAAATCCTCAACAAAGGCTTAAAAGAGAATGTACAGCTAATATCATACTTAATAATGGAAAAACTTAATGTTTTCCCCCTAACACTGGAAAAAAGGCAAAAGTGACATCTTCACCACTTCTATTCAACATTGTACTAGCTAATGCAATAAGACAATAAAAAATAATTAAAGGCACATTGATTACAAATGAAGAATTCAGCTGTCTATTCACAGATTATATAATCTTGTACATAGTAAATCTTAAGAAATCAAACAACTATTAGAACTAATAAAAGTGTGTAGCACAGTTCCAGGATCCAAGATCAATATATGAAAATTTACTTTAGTTATGCACACTAGAAACAAAACAAAACATAAAACTGAAAAAACAAGTTTGCAACGCATCAAAAAGAATACTTAAGGCCAGGCGCGGTGGCTCACACTTATAATCTCAGCACTTTGGGAGGCCGAGGCGGGCGGATCATGAGGTCAGAAGATCGAGACCATCCTGGCCAACATGGTGAAACCCCATCTCTACTAAAAATACAAAAATTAGCTGGGCATGGTGGTGCATGCCTGTAATCCCTGCTACTCGGGAGGCTGAGGCAGGAGAATCGACTGAACCAGGGGAACTGGAGGTTGCAGTGAGCTGAGATCACACCACTGCACTCCAGCCTGGGTGACAGAGCGAGACTCCATCTCAAAAAAAAAAAAAAAAAAAAGAATACTTAAAAAAATAAATTAAACCAAAGTACAATACCTGCAAACAGAACATCATAAAACTGCTTAGGAAAATTGAACATCTAAATAAATGACGACATCCTGTGTTTCTGGATTGGAGGACTCAATATTCTTAAAATGGCAATCCCCCTCAAATTAATCTATAGATTTAATGTAAGATTTCTAACCCTTGGCATTATTGACACTTAGGACAACTCTTTGTTATATGGAGCCATCCTGTGCATTAAAAAATGTTTAGCAACATCCTCGGCCCCACTAGATGCCAGTAGCTCCACCCTACTCTAGTTGTAATAAAAAATGTCTCCAGACATTGCCAAATGACCCTTCGGTGCAAATTTGCCCCTGATTGAGAACCATTCAACAGTGGTTACAATCTCCATCAAATTCCCAGCAGGACTTTTTAAAAAAGTTTTTGGGTTTTTGTTGTTGTCGTTTTCTAAGAAAAACTGACACTAAAATTCGTACATAGAGGCCGTAGAGGCCTGGCATGGTGGCTCACACCTGTAATCCCAGCACTTGGGGAGACTGAGGCGGACAGATCACTTGAGGCCAGCAGTTCAAGACCAGCCTGACCAACATGAAAAAAACCCATTTCTACTAAAAGTACAAAAACTAGCTGGGTGTGGTGGTGGGTATCTGTAGTCCCAGCTACTCAGGAGGCTGAGGTGGGAGAATCACTTGAACCCAGGAAGCAGAGGTTGCAGTGAGCCAAGATCACGCTATTGTACTCCAGCCTGGGTGACAGAGTAAGACTCTGTCTCAAAAAAATATAGTAATAATAATAATCAAATGCAAGTATCAAGGACCTAAAGTGATCAAAAATTTCATAAAATCACAAAGTTGGAGAACTGAAAGCACTGATGTGAAAACAGAAAGCTCTGGCAGCCAAGGCAGTGTGCCATAGGTTTAAGATTTGACCTCGAAATCCATGGAAAAGAAGGGAGCCCAGAAATAAACCCACACACACGGGCAACTGATTTTGACAAAGGTACCAAGATAATTAAGTGGGGAAAGGATAGTCTTTTTAATGGATAGTACTGGAAAAACTGGATATCTTTTTGTAAAAAAAATAAAGAAGAACCTAGACCGTTACTTCACATACCACATGTATAAATTAACTCAAATCCAATGAGAAACCTAAAATGAAGACCTACAAATATAAAACTTATAGAGAAAATAAGGACGGACCCAGTGGCTCGCACCTGTACTCCCAGCACTTTGGGGGACTAAGGCAAGAGGATGGCTTCAGCCTAGCAGTTCAAGACCAGTATGGCCAACATAGTGAGACCCCATCTCTATGAAAACTTTACAAATTATCTACATGTGGTGGCACATGCCTGTAGTCCTGCCTACTAGGAGGCTGAGATGGGAAAATCACTCGAGCCTAGGAGGTTGAGGCTGCAGTGAGCCATGACTGCACCACTGCACTCCTGCCTGATAGAGCAAGACCCTGTCTCAAAAAAAAACACGATTAAGAAAATGAAAAGACAAGCCACCAACCAGGAAAAAGTAAATACAAAATATATATCTAAGATTTGATCCAGAATATATTTTTTAAATCTTTTATAACCCAATAAAAAGAAGACATATTCTAAGACAGCACTTGAGTTAATATCCTCAAGGATCTCTCAGTATAAAAGTGGGTGTTTTTTATAACAGAGCAACTGCAGCAAACAGACCAGGTCCTCTGCTATCTCAAAATACTTTGAATAAAGTTATCCATAAAGCACTGATATGTCCTACCTCCCCATCAGGAGGAACGTTGGCAGGTAACAGAAACATGGGATCCTGCTAACCACAGCTAATAGGCACAGAAGCCAGCCTGTTCTAGTCACAGGCTAACAGTTTCAAAAGGGATCCATCTTTTTGGTGGATTGTCATTTTACAGAAGACTTCTTCAAATTGAACAGAATCAAAGTGCTCATCAAAACGGGGATATCATGCTGAACCAATTACTACTTAAACATGCAATTGGCAATGGGAAATAGGTTGTGATCTCTGAAGAGATAAGGCTCTACCAGAAAAGATTAAACAGTCATCAGAGAAGATCCTGCCTAACAGAGCTTTAATAGCTAAACTGATAATTTGGATTTAGAACTTGAATTCCTTCCTACGCAACTTTGGGAACTTGCCTTCAAAGGCACATCCTGGCACTGGTGTCTTTAGACCAATGGACAGACTCTTCCTAGGCCTGGTTAAAGAGGAAGACATTCTCCAAAGCAGTTATACAAATTTACCGGGATCTCTCACTCTGAAGTAAATGTACAAATCAAACAGACTCTCTGAGAGGAGCTGGCAATAACGCATAAATTAGCTTTTAGGAAACATTTTAAAGTAACCACTTTCTCAATCACTCTCCCTCTAGAAATAAATATAAAATCTTTCCTGAAATGAATGTAAACGTTGACTTTCACTTATAGAATGGAACACACTTCAAGTTCTATAAACGTTAAATGAAACCTACAGCAGGCCATGGATTTGGACTGAGCTCCTGCATTATACCCAACAGACCAAACCGAAATGAAGTCACTCATGCTAAAGTTCCAGGCCACCAAACCAAAACTAAGTTGTTTATCTGAGCTTCTGATAAATCAGGAGAGAGAGATAACAGCCAAATCTCCAAACAGGCCAGTTTTAGCCTGCATGATGAGAAAGTCCCCTCTATTTTACCCTTACAAGGGAAGTAACCTGAAGTAACCTAATGTTAACCAACTGCATTTTGTATTATGCTGTTTCTTTGCTCCTGCTCAAGATACCTTATAAAAACTGACTGTTCTTCCATGCCCAGTGTAGATTTTTAGATAAGATGCTGCCCAATTCATAAATTGTGAATAAACGCCAATTAGATCATTTAACATTTCAAATTTATTGATATTTTTTTCACAGATATAAATATCAAGGGTTACTTCTCTCTAGAAAGACCCACAGCTCATCAGCTCAAGCAAGTTAGTGAACAAGGAACTGGCTACAGCTAGGAAACCTGATCCAGCTACCTAAATCCAGGGGAAGAGAGTTATACAGATTTATTCCAGCTATGATAGGGTTGGTCTAAAGAACACATCCTCCCTTGAGTAAAGTCATAGCACTATTAAAAGTTAAGGGAAGAAAGTAGGCCAGGGAGTGCTCAAAGTGAAAAAATCAAAGGAAACAATTCTATTCCATCTGAATTCAGGCTTCCCAAATTCTTCTGTCAGCTAGGTAGGGTATCAATACTTCATGTCATTATTTTCCCCCCGATAAGGATAGCACACAGAAACTACCAACCTATTCTCCCTCGCAGCTTAGTGGAGGTACAACAAGGAGGCCCAAAAACTGCCTGTATCCAGCTAAGCGTGGGCTGGGCAGTAACTCTCTCAGACAGGAATGCTATGCAGAGCAGCCCCTTCACACACTCCTGCTAGTAAGAAAATATTGCAAAGTTACAGTCTGCTTGGCCTTAAACTACTTTCAAAAACCACTGAAAACATATTCCCTACACACTCCTTCCAGACATGACAAAAGTAGTATACTTGTATCTTCAATATTATTAGCTGGATTTTCTACTTATTTACCAAGTTCCATTCATCAAAAATTAATAGAAGGTGCAGTGTTTCCTGTTTTTAAATGGGGAAATTTTGAAGAGGGAAAATTTACAGCTACATGTGTATGAAATAGAAATGCAACAATCCTATGTGTAATCAGTTCTCTCTCCAAAATCAGATAAAATGGGGAACTATGTATTTTCCTGATGCTTTCAAAGAACGTATTATGAAGTTCCACTGTACTGTCTTTAGATATGCATGCCTATATTTAATTTTTAAAATCACTATGGACATGTAATTCATATGCCATAAGACTGTCTTAAAATTTTTAATATATTCACAAAGTAGTACAATCATCACCACTAATTCTAGAACATTTTAATCATTCCAAAAAGAAACTTGTATCTATTAGTTCTCACTTTGTATTCTCCACCTCCAACCCTAGCCCCTGGCAACCGCTAATCTTTCTCTCTATAGATTTGCCTATTCTGGATGTGTCATACAAATGGAATAGTACAATGTGTGCCCTTTTGTGACTGGCTTAACTGAGCATAATGTTTTCAAGATTTATGCACGTTGCAGCATGTATCAGTACTTCCCTCATTCCTTTTTACTGCCAAATATTATTCCACTGAATGACTATTAAGATTGCACTTATCCAGTCATGAGTTAATGGACATGTAATGGGTTGTTTACAATTTTTGGCAATTATGAATGCTGTAAATACACACAAATTTTTATATGAACATGTTTCCAATCCTCTGGAGTATATAACTAGGAGAATTGCTGGTCATATCCTAACTCTGTTTAACTATTAAATGAGGAATAGCCAAACTGTCTGCCAAAGCAGCTGCACCGGTTTGCAGTCCTATCAGCAACTTACAGATGACCCAGGGGCTCCACATCCTCAGCAACACTTGTCACTGTTTATCTTTCTGATTAAAGCAATCCTAGCAGGCAGGAAGTGGTATCTCATTGTGGTTTTGATTTGCATTTCCCTAATGGCTAATGATATTGAGCATCTTTTCACACCCTTAGTGACCATTTGTATATCTTCTTTGGAGAAATGTCCATTCAAATCCTTGGCTCAATTATAAATTGGGTTGTTTTTTCATTAAGTTGTAAGAGTTCTGGATACAAGTCACGATGTATTTTTAAGTTAAAGGAAAATCTGTTGATATAATAGCTTCTTATATACTACATTAACTTGAAAAATATATTCGTTAGAATTTTTTTATTAAGTACATCAAAATTTCACCTTACATTTGAAATTGCATAGAAATTTAAAGTGCTAAAGCAATCATTGTTTTTTCAAAAAAATGAATTTGAAGCCAAAGAGTGGAGAGTGTGGGGATCCACTGGGTAGGACATTTGAGATGTATGCAATGTAGGAATCTTATTTGAATCCTGACTTGAATTGGAAAAAAAAAAAAAAAGGCACAACTTGAACACTGCTGGGTAGTTATTAACACTAACAAACTGTTAACAGTTAAGTCTAACAACAGAATTGTGGTTTTATTTAACAGTCCTTATCTTTTAGACATACATATTGAAATATTTACAAATGAAATGATTTGCTATCTGGGATTTGCTTCAAAATAAATAGGGGTTCAAAGATGAATGGCATTTAGATAAATCAAGATTGGCCATGGATTGATCATGTTAACATGAGTTCATTATGCAATTGTCCTTTTACATATACCTGACATACGCCATTAATTTTTTAAAAAGCACTCACTCCGATGTCTCCTATGTATAAGAACACAGGCAGCTGGCAGCAACTAAATGGTATCAACTAAATTTTTATAAATTCCAAGAGTCGTTAATTCTCAGCTATCTCAAAAGTAAAATCTCTGGGAAACTTAATATTAAGACAGTAACTATCTGCACACAGTAATCTGTACAAAGTTTAATTACCACCACCAGTCAGTCATAGGCTAGTCGAGTAGCTGTATCAACCTTGGTACAAACAATAACAGAGCCAAAGCACCAGCCATCAGCACCACTCTTCGCTGACACATTTCTTCTCACCAGAGATCACTGAGGGACTGGAACCCCCACTGGAAGTATTATTATTACCCTCACTGACTACAGAAAATACTACCTCCAAGAGAGTACATGTCTACTAGAGTAACTAATTTTACAGCAATCGCTGAGGCCACTTGAAACTCACTCAAACTGCACATCCAATCGATACACGAGTTGGGATGCCTAGGTATAACTCACACACATAAAGTAAATACCCGCCAGGATGGCTGCAATAAAAAAGACAAGTATTGGCAAGGATGTGCAGACACGGCAGTCCGCATGCACTGTGGCAGGAATAGTTCTAGAAGTACAGCCACTTTGGAAAAAGTTCAGCAGTTTTTTTAAAAACGTTAGGTATAAATTTACCACACAACCTGACAATTCCACAACTAGGAATCTGAGATGAAAACATGTCCACACAAAGACATTTATGAATGTTCATAGCATTATTATTCGCAATTTAAAAAAACTAATTGTAGGCCAGCCAAATGTCTATCAACTGGTGAATGGATAAACAAAATGTGGTATATCCAAACAGTGAACACTAAGTCAGCAACTAAAGGAACTACACGCAGGTATAAGCTGCAACATGGATGAACCTCAAAAACATGCTAAGTGAAAGATGCCAGATATAAAAGACTAACTGCATGATTCTACCTCTGTGAAATTTCTAGAAAGGGTAAATCTGTACAGAAAGCAGATCAGTGTGGCTGCGTGGGGCTGGAGGCAGGAGCAAATTAACCGCAGAGCAGCAGGAGTAAATTTTGGGGGCTGATGGACATGTTCTAAAATTGGACTGCACAACTCTTAAGTTTACTAAAAACAATTAATTGTACATGTACAATGGGTGAATTTTACAGTGTGTAAATTATACAAAGCAATTTTTTAAGTACCATTGTAACAAAGTCTTACAAATCACTATTTTAAAGCTCTGGTTCATAGTTCGTTCATTTGATATATTCAACACAACGAAGTCTAATATACTATTAGGATTAAGAACATTAGCATTTGCTTGAAAACTAAACACGCTGCTTTCAAAGGATTCCAAGTACACCCATCTCTAAATCTTACTGATTAAATATTGCTCTTTTAGCTATAAGTCATGTAATTATGTGACAAAATCACTGTTAACGATTTAATTAGCATTGTCCCTTAGCCATTTCATTAATTGGTCTTCCCCCAACCTTATGCCCTATAGTATTTCTTTTTGTAAAAATCTCTTGCTTCGTATTGGGTATTGCCCAAGTTTTCCATCAGATATAAGGTTTTCTCAGAATATTTCATAACCTGAAATAAAATTATAATATTCATATGAACATGCATTTGAATATATATGTACTTTTTAAATATAAAATGAGTATGTTCCGTTTGTTTGCTCATTAAGCCACTTACATGCTGCCCCTAAGTTTCAAACACTTCATTGTTTCCAATCAGGCTTTGTTTTTACGATGTGGGTTGAAAATTCTTCTTTTCAAAGCAGTGCTGCCTTCAGTGATTAAGCTGGCATGAATTTCAGTCTGACTCCATTTCTTTCCATTCCGCTGACAGATATGCCAAAGAGGTAACAGTCCCTCTAAAGCCAATCATTAAAAAAAATTTTTTTAACTGAGTATTTTTCCCCAAACCAAATCGAATATGAAACACTAACAGCCTACAACAGATAAAAGTAGAATGCCATAAAGGAAGTGGGAAAGGGCCTGCCTGCTATGGCCCTACCTCATGAAGGACAGCAGCCCCAAGTTACAGCTTCAAGACCAATGCTCTGAAGTATTACAAGCTACATTATGATTTCTGCACAGCATGATGGCAAAAAATAAAAAAGAAAACAATCATGAAGCACTTGTAAGTAAATAGAAAATTGGGCTATACTTAAAAACACTTTTAAAATCTCAATTTAAAAAATGGACAACTATAACATGATTCCCTTTAAATAATTTCCCTTTAAAACTCCATAAAGACATTACTTATTGAGAATTCCACTAACTACAAAGGCTGTGCATCTTTTACCATAACTTCCTTATTTGTGACAGATTTTTCAAAATCAACCAAAGGAAAATAAAAAAACACATTAATAGGAAACACTGAACCTAGTCAAATAAATGAGTTGGTGAGCAAGAAATGCTACTTACTCAACAGGTAGGAAAGAAAATAAGATAGCAAGAATGCTCTGATAAAATCATTTATGTAACTATATTATGAGTTTGAAAAAACAGCACTATTTGCCTCCAGAAATCGGGTACAAATAAAGCAAATATTTAAGAAAAATGGCAACAAATAGCAAAGATAAACCTGGAAAAGGGCATTTGTACTATTAGGAACTTTCTCATTTATCTTAACTACAAAATATACACCCCTTTCCCTCAGAAATCAAAGATAAAGGTGTCATGATAAATAACTTCACCACAGTCCTATGAAATAAAAATAGAAATTATTGCTATATTATGATTGTAAAAATGGAGGCAATAAAGAGTTCAGAAATATACTCATTTATAATCAATTAAATGATGAGTCATAATTTGAACCCTAATTATCACATTATGTAGAAATCACAATTCAGGTTTTGTGTCCCCATTTATATGTTAAATAGTTCACATTTAAAAAAACATTTTATCATTACATTATCAAATTTGATAAAATCTTATGAAAACATCTAAGTATTCAATATAAATCATACTGTTAAAAGTATAAGGTAACATTAAAACTGCTGAGGTGCCAGATAAGTATTTTCTGTTAAATATACACAATTTAACATTTAAAACTACATAAATTAATTCTTGCTAAAAGTTGATTCAGTTTTACAAAGGCATACTTTGTGAACCATGGTGAATTTCCCCAGCACCACTTTTTTATTCCAAAACTCCTTCGATTAGGTTTAACTTTCTCCTGTCATTCATATGTGAAAATTACAGAAGGTTTACAATACGTAGTCTTAATAGTAACATGTTTAAAAACCTAAGCAAAGTGTACATTAAGTTAGCTACTACTACTCACTTCTTGATTATCATCAAATAAAAAATAAATGAACACTTCATTCATTTAAGTCTGAGGAAAAAATAGTGTACCTTGCTTAAATAAGAATTCCCCAGTAAAGATATTACGTAAAGGATTTCTCATGTTATTTTGTTGAGTAAATTTACTTTCTCTCATTAAAACTTTTTAAAAGTCTAAGGAAGGACATGTACTTATAATGCCATATTATGCAAGTACAGTATTGTTAATAAAGCAGCCCAGTATAGTTGTAAACATCTTAAATGTAGTAAACAAGACTTGGCATGTCTTTTCTCCCCAAAACATGCCATTACAATGCTCTTTCCATGAATAATTATTCTTCCTAGAAAAGTTTTCAGGTATATTTTAAATCTATAAAAAAAATACACTGAAATATGTGAAAAGATTTAGTCATGGCAATTTCACTGCAGCTTTTATTGCCTCTGTTGGTAATATGACAGGGACTGTAAGAAACACAATTGAACTTACAGAGATATGCAGATGATATTCACTAAAGATAATCTTCATCTCAAGTATTTTTTATATGTGGGCACTTCTAATTTTATACATTTTTCTATTTAAAAAGCATTACATTTTAAAATTTGTACCTGTTTTGACATTTGGCAAAAAGGAAACTGTACCTATGGTTCAGTTTAAAACAAAGAATCAGCATGGGGAGTTTACCGGAATGAGGACTGAAACACTTAGGAGTTAAAGCAATTCAAGGGGCGTGTGTGTGTCTCTCCCTTTCTCTGTCAATCTCTCTCACTCTCTCTGGCTCTCTCACAGACACAGACTCAAACACACACAGCCATATGTGTAATCATTTTTTAGTACAAAATATTCCCTGTAGCCAGACATTTATCTTCAGAATAATCACACCACATTAAATCAGTCTTCTCTTTTCAGCCCTAGTAAAAGTTTTGTTTAATTCTAAGATGCCATCATAGTGAACAACCTTAACTTTTATGCTACATAATTATATTCAAAGCTTTATGTATTTTTGTTTATAATTACACAGTAATTATAAATGTTTAGTACCAACCTGATGACAAACACTATTTTGTTGAAAAGGTTTTGCATTTAAAAAGAAAAATATGTAAAATCCAAGGCACTAGGCCACGAACCAATATGACTTTTAAAGAAAACACTTTATATTGAAAAAAAAAAAAAAAAAAAAAAGCTAATGGGATCTCATTTCAAAACACAGCATATGTGAATTAATCAATCTGAAACCAATAACCATAACTCAAAATCTTCAAGACAGGAAACAAAACAGTACATATATATAGATATATAGATATATATATCTTTTAAAAATTTTTCATAATTGAAGTTCCTCTTTATATTTACAAAAAAATCAGGAAATACTGAAAGCAGCAAGATTCTTCTTTTTCCTTTTTCTTTTAATAACCAATTCCAGTAGCCTGAATAGAAATTTTCAAATTTTTCTTTTGGTAAAACTGCATTCTTGAATTAAAGTTATGATTGGAATATTAATATGTCTATAGGGAAAGCTTTCTAGTCTATTTCAAAATCATGTAAAAAGCAGTTTTGATATGTCATTGTTTCTTAAAATAATTTCCATATTTGCATAAAATGTACTGCTATTCTAAGTACATTCCTTTGTTAATATCAACCCTAGACCTTAGAGAGTGCCTGGATATATATCCCAAGCAGAATCTATTCCTATCAAAAGACCATAATCATCAAACATTTGAAGTATTACATTTCTAGCCTGCCTTACGGAAATGTTTAAGAAAGCAAGAAACCCTTCTTCACATGTCAGTAAGTGAACAGGGAAATGACCATTTTCAGCATAAAAGCAGCTCATGGGGCTTGTAATGAAAAAAATACATACAAGATAGCATTCTGCTTTGATGAGAAAACTGAGCTAATCTGAGTGAAACGAAAACAGTAAAGAGACTAGAAGCCAGATTGGTATTTTGCATCGTGTATGCTTGTTTGAAAATCTTTGCTCCTGAAGTAAATATTTGGCAACCACAGTGATTAGCAGTTAAAGCAATTTCAACAAAATAATAAGTCATCGAAAATGGACTATTTGTCTGAAAGAGCAGTACCTATATTATAAAGATTGAACTTCATGGCTCATTACAACCATTTTCAAAATTTAACTGCAACTATCTTCTTATAAATTAAGAGAATTCCATTTGTGTTCCATAGTGCGATGACAAAAAAAAAGTAAAAACAAAACAAAAAAACCCTCATGCCTAAATTTAGAATATTGTATTGTGTAGCAATCCAAAACATTCAAAACAAATTAAATAGTTTAACTTATGTGACAGGCAGATAAGCATTTCAAAAGCATAATGAAGTCCAATTATGTAGTGCATAATGTAGACAGGAGAAGAATCTAACATTATGCAGACATTTTCTAAATAAAAGCTCCCTGTAGGACAGCTATATATAAACATGGGTAAGGTAAGCGCAGACTAGTTCTGTGGAACCTTTTGAAATCAAGAGTCTAAAACACAATACATTTTTCAGGTAGGCACCAAGTTATCCTAAAAAATTTTCATGTCGGTTATTCTGACATTGTTTTTTCATCAGATACTCACATCAACAACACATGTGATTTGCCAGGAAAAAAAAAAAATTCCCCCCAAACCAAAACACCATTCCAGATCCAGTACACTTAAATATATCACTCTCACTGGAAGTGCTATTAGCATAGTCTTTGCAACTAGCCCAAAGCGTATATTTAAGAAGTTTTTATAAATTGTTTTGTGATGTTCATATGTTTAATTCTTATGCCAACTGTTTTCTGATGAAGACAGCATTGTGCTTTATGCGAGAATGAAAACCTCAAAATAATCACCATAAAGCTTCTAAGACTTATGGGAGAATAAACTAGGATGGTCCACAGATATAAGATGAAATCCACAATGTTGGAATTATAAATGTTTAGAGCGGCCCAGACTAGAAGACAAGCCCAAACCACCATTAGAAGAATGAAATACGATATGGTCCAAGATGTATCCTTAAAGTTTTGTCTCAACCCTCAGTCTGAATTGTGAGGATTGATCTTCAGTTCAGTCCAGCCAGCAGAAATTGACTGTGCAATTTTCTGTTGTATTTATTGTACAGACTATGTACATTCTAGAAGGTTCCTTTAGTGCTACACTGTTGTACTTTTTGTCCCAGCAATTTGAGGGCGTGCAAATTCCACAAAGTCATCAATAAGAACAGGCCATGCTCCTGGAAAAAAGAAAAAATATGAAAGAAAGAGAAGGGGGAAAAAAGCAGAAATAAGGCTAACATTTTAGTAGAATCCTTTTTTTAAGACTTCCTCATAAGCGTTAAAGTATATCATTCTTATCTATTCCCACTGATTAAGTCTTTCAAAACTCAAACTTTTTGGAGTTTTTACCCCAAATATTCCTTGTATTCCTTGTGATTTATTACTCCAACATTTGGTTGTTCCTTGAGTGATAAAAGTAACTTGTCTGGCAACTCATCAATAATATGATTTTCTCAAGGCCACTGCAGTCAGCCAATGGAAGTAATTTGGTCAAAACTGGCAGCCTGAGGCAGGAGAATGGTGTGAACCCGGGAGGCGGAGCTTGCAGTGAGATCGCGCCACTGCACTCCAGCCTGGGGGACAGAGCGAGACTCCCTCTCAAAACAAACAAACAAACAAACAAAAAACTGGCAGCCTAAGGAGCAGCTATGAAATGATAGCATGCTGCCAGTGCTGAAGGCATAGGAGGAGAAACAAGTTTTCAAGCATTCTGTGGCCATCTCACAAAGGAGATTAACAGGAAGTGTCAAATTCCATCCTATTTCATGCTAATACGTTACTAAAAGGTGTAAAATTGCATATATGCATGCCTCTACACATTCACATGCCCATCACCAAGTCAGAAAGCTCTCCATTTTTGTGTAAAACCTACCAGAAGACACAATTATTAGGTATATGCAGGATTAAACATTTCTCACTTTGCAGGGAAGATTATAAACGACAACGAAATGAAGAAAAGAAATAACATCATCCCTGATTAGCCTTAATGATTCCAGGACACTTTTAAATGATTCCAGGACACCGAGATCACAGGGGGTTTTTCAAAAAATATCTCCATCTTGCATCCTGCCAGTTCTCAAGTGGACTAGGGAAATATGTATGAAGAAATCAATGTAAATCACTTCTACATATAGAAAAATACAAGTCCACATCCTAGTAGTGGATGGTAGCACCATCTTTATACATTTATGAAGAAATAGCAGAAAAGTATTCAGTGATTATTTACTGAATGCCAATAGTACTATATTAGGCGGCTGAAGTAAGTTTCAAAAAAAAATAGGCTGGGCGCAGTGGCTCATGCCTGTAATCCCAGCACTTCGGGAGACCGAGGCGGGTGGATGACAAGGTCAGGAGTTCAACACCAGCCTGGCCAACATGGTGAAACCCCGTCTCTACTAAAAATACAAAAAATTAGGTGAACGTGGTGGCAGGCACCTGAAATCCCAGTTACTTGAGAAGCTGAGGCAGCAGAATCGCTTGAACCCAGGAGGCACAGGTTGCAGTGAGCTGAGACTGCGCCACTGCACTCCAGCCTGGGTGACAGAGCAAGACTCCATCTCAAAAAAAAAAAAAAAAAAAAAAGTCACTGAACTTAAGGAATTTACAACCAAGCTTATACAAAAGACTAACAGATGAAAAAGAGATACAAATAAGTACAAAAGTACATCAAGAAGTAAAAAGGTTCCTAAACTGAAAACCTAAAACATGGATAAAAATTACTTATGCCTTTCTGGAAGACATGAATGCTGAGTAGGAATTGAAGGAAACAGAAGAATATGGATTGGTAAATGTATGAAGGTATTTCATACATTCAGAAGAGCATTAAAAAAAGCTTGGAGCTGGTCACAGTGGCTCATGCCTATAATCCCAACACTTTGGGATGCCAAGGCAGGAGGATTGCTTGAGGCCAGGAGTACAAGAGAGCAAGACCCCTGCTTCTATAAAACATTAAGAAATTAGTCAGGCATTGCAGCGCATGCCTGTAGTCCTAGCTCCTTGGGAGGCTGAGGCAGGAGGACTGCTGAGCCCAGGAGTTTGAAGACTTGCAATAAGCCATGCTTGCACCAATGCACCTACCCTGGGCAACAGAATGAGACTCTATCTCAAAAAAAACAAAAACAAAACAAAAGCTCAGCGGAGGGAATTCCAACTCCGAGAAAAACAAAAGTACCTAAGAAGTTCAAGGGTATGGGATAAAAAGGCACATTAAAAAAAAGTGGTGTGGCAAAAATTTTCATTACCTTCTTCATCATAATTAGACATGTCATCTGCAATCATCGTACTGAAGTCTAAAAGAAGATTCCAAGTGTCTTTTGGTATTGATCGTTTATGATGTTCCTATTTAAAAAACAAAAACAAAATACATTTGTATCACTAAAAAGAGCTGCACAAAAACAGTTTGGACAATTTGAAATACAAGAATGCAAAACAATTATGTAACAAAATTCTGGTAATCAAATTTCTCATTCTATATCCAATACATTATGTTAATTTATCTTTAAACATAGCAGAATTTGAGAAAACAGAGAGAAATGTAGAAAATGTGAACTTACCAACAAAAATTTATTCCATAAGTCTAAGAATTTAAATCTTCCATTAAGCACTAAGTTCCAGTAGGCAATGGCCATTTCTAGATCTGAAATAGTAAAAATGAATTATGTATTTAAATGCTATAAATATTTGTCCCTGCAAAAATAACAAACAAACAAAAAAACAGGTATGACCAAAGAAAGTCTAAAAATAAAAAACTTGTATCCTGAATACTTATGTATTAAAAATTTCCTATACAAATGAGTCCAAAGTTTGTATCCTCCCTCTTCAAAAATGACCAGGGCCTTTAGGGCAAAAAATGATACTACTTATCTCACGGGGGAATTCTGTGTTTTAAATTAGAGAATGCAGTTAAACATAGTAGCTCACAAAAGTGTTCAAATATTAGTTACTGTACACCAGGGTTTCTCAACCTGGGCACTTCCAACATTTTAGGCCAGATAATTATTTGTTGTAGGGTGCTGTCCTGTGTACTGTAGGAAATTTAGCAATATCTCTGACCTCCATCCACTAGATGCCAGTAGCAGCTTCACTCAGCCCCCACTGGTGACAATAAAAAATGTCTCCATATATTGCCAAAGACAACCTGAGGGCCAACCCAGATGAGAATCCCTGATGTACACCTACAGGTTGGAAGGTGAAGGACTGCTCTTCAATCCTAAGTAACCTTATGCTCTAAATTATTTACTGACTGATCCTGACCACAAAGAGATCATTAAAAATACTGATCTAAAACTTAAAATTAATAAGAAACCAAGAATTTCTTAAAGTTTGCCAAAGACAATATAAATGACTTTTTAACTGGGCATGGACCAGAGAAGGGTAGAGAAGGCAATAATGCCGCATAAGAAAGAGCTACACTTACCACACGACAGAGAACTACACTTATCACACGACAGAGAACTACACTTATCACACAACAGAGAACTACGCTTACCACACAACAGAGAACTACACTTATCACATGACAGAGAACTACACTTATCACATGACAGAGAACTATGATCTCTTTCAAGGAACCATAGCAGTTAAGAAAGTGTTTAGTTTTTATGAGTGAATTTACTTCTCCAGCACAAGAAAAATTACATCCTAAGTAACTTAAAAGTCCTTTTATTGATAGATGACATCTCGAAACCATTCTTTATAATTGAGAAATCATGAGTGATTAGGAAAGACAAAAATTGAGGCAAGTGCTGCCCCAATTTTTAAAAGCAACAAAGAGCCAGGCGGGGTGGCTCACACCTGTAATCCCAGCACTTTGGGAGGTTGAGTCGGGCAGATCACAAGGTAAGGAGTTCAAGACCAGCCTGGCCAACATGGTGAAACCCCATCGCTACTAAAAACACAAAAATTAGCTGGGCATAGTGGCGGGCACCTGTAATCCCAGCTACTCGGGAGGCTGAGACTAGAGAATCGCTTGAAACCGGAAGGCGGAGGTTGCACTGAGCCAAGATCACACCACTCCACTCCAGTCTGGGCAAGAAAAGCAAAACTCCGTCTCAAAAAAAAAAAAAACAAGGAACAAAGAGTAGGCTGGGAGCAGTGACTCTCGCCTGTAATCCTAGCACTTTGGGAGGCCGAGGCAGGCAGATCACTTGAGGTCAGGAGTTCAAAACCAGCCTGGCCAACATAGCAAAACCCTGTCTCTACTAAAAATACAAAAAAATTAGCTGGGCGTGGTAGCAGGCACCTGTAATCCCAACTACTTGGGAGGCTGAGACAGGAGAATTTCTTGAACCTGGGAGGTGGAGGTTGCAGGGGGCCAAGATCATGCCACTGCACTCCAGCCTGGGCAACAGAACAAGACTCCGTCTCAGAAACAAACAAAAAAGAGCAAACTTGATGCTAATTCACTGTCAAAAACAGATGATTTGTAAGAAATCAATTATAGGCTGCATGCAGTGGCTCATGCCTGTAATCCCATCACTCTGGGAAGCTGAGGCGAGAAGACTGCTTGAGATCAGGAGTTCAAGACCAGCCTGGGCAACATAGCAAGACCCCATCTCTAGAAAAAATTTAAAAATTAGCCATTCATGGTGGTGCATGCCTGTATTCCCAGCTACTCCAGGAAGCTGAAGCGGGAGAATCCTTTGAGCCCAGGAGATCAAGGCTGCAGTAAGCTATGATCATGCCACTGCACTCCAGCCTGGGTGACAGGTGACATCTCTTAAAAACAAACAACACAACAACATAAAAAACAATACCTACTTCCCCACCCCCACATACACACACAGTAGCTGGAAACCTGCAAGACTGACCCTTAACTTTCTTCAATGATGGAGACTACATATTCCTCAACTAGCAGACTGAAATACACAGTAGGCATTCAGAAACTGCTAAGTCGACAAACTTCCTATGGTTTCACATACAAACATACTTACCTTCAAATCCATCATCCTCATCTTCCTTCAAACTCAACAGAAGAAACTCTCCTTTCTTCTATCCAAGGATAAGCCCCTTATAGCTCTATTCTAAATCCAATACCATCCTACCTCTTTAAGGAATCTTGTCTGTTGATTTGCTTTCCCCTCTTCTCAACATCTCCAACTTTACCTTGTTCTCTGGCATTTCGAACTCCATCAAGAAACATGCTCAAGTTATCACTTATCTTTTTTTTTTGAGATGGAGTCTCACTGTGTCACCAGGCTGGAGTGCTGTGGTGCAATCTCGGTTCACTGCAACCTCCGACTCCCTGGTTCAAGCAATTCTCCTGCCTCAGCCTCCTGAGTAGCTGGGATTACAGGAACGCACCACCACGACCGGCTAATTTTTGTATTTTTAGTAGAGACGGAGTTTCACTACGTTGGCCAGGATGGTCTCTATCTCCTGACCTTGTGATCCGCCTGCCTCAGCCTACCAAAGTGCTGGGATTACAGGCATGAGCCACCGCGCCCAGCCAAGTTATCACTTATCTTTTAAAAATCTTTCTTGGATCTTTTTTTTTGACCAATCAAAATAGGTTTGTTTTTATTATTGTTATTATTATTTGAGACACGGTCTCACTCTGTAGCTCTCTTGGATCTCTTGATCACCTTTACTGGCTATACCCTTTTTCTCCTTCCCTTCACAGGTAACCTTGAAATAGCACTCAGAGTCTTCTACTTTTATACATAATTTGTTTGAAAATCAAATTCTGATGCCCATGTTTTAAGAGAACTAAAAAATACATAATACTGGCTGGGCGCAGTGGCTCACGGGTGTAATCCCAGCACTTTGGGAGGCCAAGGTGGGCGGATCACCTGGGGTCAGGAGCTCGAGACCAGCCTGACCAACATGGCGAAACCCCATCTCTACTAAAAATGCAAAAAAATTGGCCGGCACGATGGTGGGCACTTGTAATCCCAACTACTCGGGAGGCTGAGGCAGGAGAATCGCTTGAATCCGGGAGGCAAAGGTTGCAGTGAGCCAAGATGGCGCCATTGCACTCCAGCCTGGGTGACAAGAACAAAACTCTGTCTCAAAAAAAAAAAAAAAAAAAAAAAAAAATACATAACACCAATTTCTAATGGCACTTCCCTTTTAATCTTTGCAATGTGTAAAATCTGTAAAGCCAATATTCCTTCCAGGTTGTTCAATTCTGTTCTTTTCTTTACCAACTCAACATACAATTGTCTGGCTTAAGTGCCAAAAATGTTGTGACTAAATATTTGCTGTTATTAGTGTGCTTAATTCACTTCACTTTAAATGCTTTAAGTTTATCAGAACTAAGCATATTGCTAGTATATTTTTTTCCTTTTCAACTAATTTGTATAAAATAAGGATGATGATGAAATATTCAAATAAGTACTAACCATGTGGCACCTATAAATGCCAGTATGTCAAGCTGATATACCAAAATAAGAATTTGACAAAAGTAAAAGTTCAGGTTGTAATCCTGAACAACATAGTGAGACTTGGTCTCTACTAAAAATCAAAAAAACCAGCCGAGCATGGTTGTACATGCCTGTAGTCCCAGCTACTCAAGAGGTTGAGGCAGGAAGAGTGATGGAGCCCAGGAGGTTGAGGCTGCAGTGGGTCATGATTGTGCCACTGCACTCCAGCCTGGGTGACAGAGAGAGACCCTGTCTCCCAAAAAAAAAAAAAAAAAAAAAAAAAAAAACCACCACACACAAAAGAAAGAAAGTTCAGGTTGTAAAAGAAGATAATTTCTTTTTTTTTTTTTTTTTGAGACGGAGTTTCACTCTTGTTGCCCAGGCTGGAGTGCAGTGGTGCGATCCCTGCTCACCACAACCTCCGCCTCCCGGGTTCAAGTGATTCTCCTGCCTCAGCCTCCCAAGTAGCTGGGACTACAGGCATGAGCCACCATGCCCAGCTAATTTTTTATTTTTAGTAAAGACAGGATTTCTCCCTGTTGGTCAGTCTGGTCTCGAACTTCTGACCTCAGGTGATCCGCCCACCTCGGCTTCTCAAAGTGCTGGGATTACAGGTGTGAGCCACCACGCACGTCCAAAAGAAGGGAATTTCTTATAGTCTACACTCATTGCCCGGTTTCCCCATTTCCCACACATTCTAATCCTGTTAACCAATGTCTACCTGTCATCCACTCCAATGAAATTAAACTCTGAAGGGTCATCAGACCCTCTGGTTACTAAATGAATACTCTTATGTCCTCTCTGCCTTATCTTAGAGAACTGAGCATACCTCCTGATAGAACTGTCACTTCCTTCAGCTTCAATGATAAGCACTCTACTGATTTTCCTCCATTCAATCTAGGCTTCTCACTTTCTTTTCCTGGGGCTCCTCTTCCTCCATTCGTCCATTACATGTTGGTGTTTTGTAACAACGTGTGTCAACAATAACCACTTTTCCAACCTCCCTCAGATTTTCAAACCTATATCATTTTTCATGTTATACATTCAACCGCCCCTAACAGCTCCTAAATCTGAAACCTATCTCTATATTCTAGACTCAGATATCTAACTGCCTGAAGACATCTTCCAACTTGGTATCCACGAACAACTTCAACTCAGGAGGGCTCAAACTGAACTCTATCTTACCTCTATAGACCTGCTCTTCCTTCTATGTCACCACCCACTATAGTATTTCTCAATGGAACACTTCTCATTAGCACCACCCCCATCCCCACCACCCTGCACCCCCTTCCCATGGCCAGTAGAAACCTTAGGTCATTACGACAAAAACCCCACAGGTTCCCCAGATGTCTCCTGAAAGTGTTGATAATCCCTGAGAAAGGCTCCTTCCTTCCTCATCATACACAACCAACCAAAGTACCTTTTAAATCTATCTCTTCTCCATCCCCACTGGGAAGGCTTATGTTAGGATATTCCTCATTTCTAACTAAATCACTGGGATAGCTCCATAACCAATCTCTCTTCTAGTTCAGCTTTCACTCCTTTCAAAGGACCACAGTGCTTTGAGATCGACCTTTCAGGCATGAATCTGGTGTCACTTCCATGTTAAAATTCTTCAATCATTTCCAATTACCTTTAGATAAAATTTGCACTTCTTGTCAAATGAACTCACTTGCAGTTCCTCAAAGGTGGAATGTTCTTTCACCTCTGAGCAAGTGAACATGCTAACCCCTCAACCTGAAATGGCTTCTTTTTTCCTTTGGTCTTGAAAATGTGCATTCATTCTTCAAGGCTCAAAAACTATACCCTTTTTGAAGGTACTGCAAACTACCCCAGACAGACTAAAGATGCTCTTGACTCCATGCTCTCAGTGAAAGCAGTCAAGTGTTTTTGAATAAAAAAGGAAGACTTTAACTCAAAAAGATTAATAAGTTATAACTAAGAGCTGAAATACATAAGATTAAACAAGGATAAAATGTTAATTGTCACAGGTATAGGAAAAGAAGCCCTCAGAAAGAAATTTATAAGTGATGAAGAGAGCAGCTTAGCTAGCGAGAGGTGATTTAACATAGTAGTTTACAGTATGAGTTTTAGTCTCTTAAACCCCTACTCTACCACCAGTTAAGTGACCTTGGGCAACTGGGCTGACTTCTCCTTGATTCAGTTTAAAATGAAGATAACAATAGTACCTATCCTTACCTGGTTGTTCTAAGGACTAAATGAGTTAATACATAACAAAGCATTCGTAACAGTACCTGGTAAATAACATATCAGTTCTTACTATTATCATTATTTTAAATCATTTAGAACTATTAGATTCTGAAGCAGTATTGGAAAAGACAACAAAGTCAGTGATAAGGTAACAAGAAGCAACAGCAGTTAAAATAAATGGAAGGCAAATATAGAGAAAAAGAAATAACTAAGTCCTAATAACAAGCTATTGCATAAAATTGAGATCCTTGCAGAATAAATCCTTAAGTCCTTACGGTAAAATGTAAAATGCAAACAGAGATACTCCCCATGTTATTCTTTCAAAGAGAATCAACAAGAATAATGTGGTATTTCACAACAGATGATCAGCTGAATGCAGGATGAACATGGAAATGAATTGAGACTAGACCCAATCACAGTCCCTAAAAGAAACAAAATGTTGCCAGCTCACTGGGGAGGATGGAATGGTGATTAAAAATCCTATTCACAATGTCTTTTTTAATCAATCTCAACAAATTTTATAACAATGAAAAAAGAGATATAAAATAACATATATAGTATAAGTCTGTTC
Source organism: Homo sapiens (assembly GCF_000001405.40). NCBI lineage: Eukaryota > Metazoa > Chordata > Mammalia > Primates > Hominidae > Homo > Homo sapiens. The sequence continues at coordinate 182,954,142 of NC_000003.12, forward strand.
ATACAAAGTTCAAAACCAGTGCACATTTTCAAATGGTTCAGCAAATAAAATATGTGTGTACATCCATCTACTGAGATATAAAGAAAACGTGGTAAAATGTTAACAATTGGGAATCCAGGTGAAGAATACGCAAAAGTTCACAGAACTATTTTGCTACCTTTTCTGATTGATATTTTCAATTGATATTTTTCAAAACAAAAAGAGGAAAGTTAAAAAACCAGACAAAGCTAATTTATATCGTTTAGGAACAGAAACATGGGTAGTAAAAGAATTAAGACTATAATTATCAAAATTCAGAATAATTTCCAACTCTGGGAAGAAAGATGAGCTTTTGCTGAACGAGAGCCTTGCTGGGATCTTCTGATGCCGGCAGTTTCTTCACCTGGCTGTATAAATGCATGAACTTTTCTTTATATTTATTAAATTATCTATATAAATTCTATGCATTTTTTTCTGTGTGCACATTTCACGAGAAAAAAGGTAAAAACAATGTGATGAGGTATATAAAAATACAAATAAAAATCGCCATACACTTGTTAAACATTAGTATTTGAGAATGCTGCTTCTGCTTTTTAACATGCAAACATAAGTATGAGGCTTTTGCTATGAGTCATTTACTTGAGATCATTTACCAAAAGGCACTTACTGAGGACCAATTTTTGAGGCTAGCAATATAATAATGTCATTTTATTTTTACATGAGGTGGTTCCTTTCTTATACAACCATCAATTCTGAATCTGGTTTAGTTTGGTATTAGATAATACATCATACACAATTTATATTGTTCGTGTCTAAAATTTGTCTACTTTTCTAAAGGTTTTTCTGATTTCCTCATTAGGATTTCACAGTATCTTTTGTGAAATAGTCAGAAGTTGGTCAGAATTTCACATTCTTAAATTGACTTTTTTTTTTTTTTGAGACTGAGCCTCGCTCTTGCTGTCCAAAATGGAGTGCAATGGTGCGATCTCGGCTCACTGCAACCTCTGCCTCCAGGGTTCAAGGGATTCTCCTGCCTCAGCCTTCCGAGTAGCTAGGATTACAGGCATGCGCCACCACACCCGGCTAATTTAAACTGACTTTTAATACAGTAATATTAATTCACTTGAGGGTCTCCTCCTGTGTTTTCTAAACCAATATCAAAATCCAAATCATCATCACTTTCTTCACTTCTTCTGCAGCTTCTTCTATGGTTGGAACTTAGATTATTTTCAATATTCTCTGTTTTTCCTGGTTCTTTATTGAACAGAATAGCAATGTCTTCTTCTTCCCACATTTTGCGCAAACTTCAAGTTCATAGGCACATGGTCTACACGTTATGAGATAAGAATCCTCCACTGTCTTTTGTAAACATTTAACACATTTTTTAGGTTGGATAATGGTTTGTATTTGCTATATTTTACATGCCACTCAAGAACTTCTTTACAGCGCTGACATACTCCATCAGGAGGGTTTTTTTTTTTGAGACTGAGTCTCGCTCTGTCACCCAGGCTGGAGTGCAGTGGTGCGATCTCGGCTCACTGCAACCTCCACCTCCCAAGTTCAAGTGAACCTGCCTCAGCCTCCCGAGTAGCTGGGATTACAGGCACCCACCACCACACCTGGCTAATTTTTGTATTTTTAGTAGAAACAGGGTTTCACCATGTTGGTCAGGCTGGTCTCCAACTCCTGACCTCAGGAGATCCACCTGCCTTGGCCTCCCAAAGTGCTGGGATTACAGGCGTGAGCCACCGCGCCCAGCCGCACCATGGTTTTGTGTTACTTTTCTTGGTCTAAACATGCTTATCAAACTTTTTTTTTTTTTTTTTGAGGCAGAGTCTTGCTCTGTCGCCCAGGCTGGAGTACAGTGGCACAATCTCAGCTCACTGCAACCTCTGACTCCCGGGTTTAAGCCATTCTCCTGCCTCAGCCCCCCGGGTAGCTGGGATTACAGGCAGGCACCACCATGCCTGGCTAATTTTTTATTTTTAGTAGAGATAGAGTTTCACCATGTTGGTAAGGCCGGTCTCGAACGCCTGACCACAAGTGATCCACCCACCTCAGCCTCCAAAGTGCTAGGATTATAGGCGTGAGCCACCATGCCCAGTTGAACTTGTCATTTTTGAAGCTAAATATATTCTGGTGCTTCTGAGGCCTGGAATGAGGCACGTTGCCTTTCTGGGAGCTCATCACCAAAACCCCAATCACCCCTCACTGGGAGCAGGCAAAAGCCACAATGTCTTAATTTACTTAGAAATATCTACGGCTAACACAAAATAACAACAACAACAACAATAAAACACAGAATGTGGAGTCATAAGGCCTGAGATCTAGTCTCAGTGCCAGTCCAACCACTCTCCAGTTAGGCGACCTTATTAACAAGTCAGTCTCTCTGGCTATGAGTTTCCTCATCTATATGATGGAGAAGATAATATGCTTTTACTTAGCTCAAAGGGGTTGTTATGAGAACCAAATGGGATTATACAGATTATCGTGTTCTTTAAAACACTATACAATTGTTCCTAAATATTAAACTAAATATTTAACAAATAATGTTCAAATCATTTAAATCAATTGTAGAGGTATAAGATTCCAGCTGAACCACAACCTACAAGAAAGTGACTCATAGACTTTAGTCTAATAAAAGTTCAGTATGGCCCTAAAAATGATATGGCTGCTAAAGAACATATATAATCTTTGATCAAATTAACATAATGAATAGTCTCACAAAAATTAACAGACCCACGGTGTTCTATATTACTTAGGCTCCTTTTGAAATATGATGTTCAACTTTATGGGCTCTATTTTGAAAGAAATTGGAAATGTGTTTGGGGGGATAGTAGTGGGAATAACAAATGTCTCCTGTAAGAAGAATAGTTAAAATAATTGGAATGCTGGCCTGGAGAAAAACAACAGGTAACTGAGAGTGGATCTTTAATTTTAGCCTTTATCAGTGTTGCACTGGGGGACAAGTAAGAGCAATGATAGAAGTAATAAAGACAAAGATGTTAGCTTAATAAGGAAGAACTGTGTAATAACAAGTAAGGATATTCTGTGATAGGAATGGACAACTTCCTAAAACAATGTGTGTCCAGTCCCTGCATGTTCAAAAGGAGAAACTGAATGAGCATCAGGTAAGGATGCTACTTTGGGTAGGTTAAATTTTATAGAGGACTTATGAAATCCTTTTCAAATTTTAAGATTCAGGCAATTATCAGAAAATGGCAGGCTGGGTGTGGTGGCTCATGCCTGTAATCCCAAGACTTTGGGAGGCCAAGGCGGGGTGATCACTTGAGGCCAGGAGGTTGAGGCCAGCCTGGGCAACACGGTGAGTCCTTATCTCTACAAAAAATGTAAAAATTAGCCAGGCATGGTGGCACACGCCTGTAGTCTGGCTACTCCGGAGGCAGAGGCAGGAGGATCACTTGAGCCTAGGAGTTTGAGACTGCAGTGAGCTACGATCATGGCACTACAGTCCAACCTAGGCAAGAGAGCCAGATCCTGTATCTAAAACAAATCAAAAAAAAATGTTTAAGTCAGATTACTAAAGCAGATGGCAACAGAGGAAGCACCCTATCCTGGTATCACAAGAAGTAAGGTTATAAAAAGTGAAAAAATAACCAGGCTGGGTAATACCGCAAGTCTCCAGCTCCACAAGAAATTAAAAAATTAGCCTGGCATGGTGGTGCTTCCCTATATAGTTCCAGCTACTCGGGAGGCGGAGGCAGGAGGATCACTTGAGCCCAGGAAGTCAAGCCTGCAGTGAGCCACGATTGCACCACTGCATTCCAGCCTGGGCAACAGAGCAAGACCCTGCATCAAAAAAAAAAAAAAAAAAAAAAAACAGAAACATGGAATACACCAGTTCTCATTTTAATTAGCACAGCTATTTATAAACAAACCACAGGGTTGTCACTCACTCTCTGCCAATTTGTTTTGGGCCTTACCTCTTCTCCTATGATCTTCTAATTCCTCTCTGCCAAATCTTGTAATTTAAGAGCACTGTGAACCCTTAGAAAGGCTGTTATAAAAAACTGTTTCCTTTTTAATTAAACTCTGCAAATAAGCAAGTCATTACATTTCCTGATACCTAACACCAAAGCAAAACAAACCAAAAAAAAAAACTATGATTTGTCTCTTACTACATTTTTCTTTTTTTTAATTAATAGACTTTTTTAGTTTTAGGTTTATGAAAAGTTGAGCAGAAAGTAGAGATTTCCATATACCCTCTTCCCTAGTCAGTTCCTACTATTTTTAACATCTTGCTTTAGTGTGGTATATTTTTTATAACTGATGAATCAATATGAATATATTATTATTGACTAAGGTCCATATTCTACATTAGAGTTCATTCTTTGTATTGTACACTGTATGGCTGTGGGGGGGTCTTAAATAACATTTTCATTGTAGTTAAATACATATAACATAAAGTTTATCATCTGAATCTTTTTGAAGGGTGCAGTTCAGTGTGAAGTACATTCACATTGCTGTGCCATCGATCTTCAGAATGCTCATCTTATGAAACAAAAACTCTACATCCTTTAAATATTACATTTTTTCTTAAGCACAATACTTATTAGATAACAGAATAAACACACATAATTCTTCAACATAATGCTTTCACATAATCTGTTTCTCAATTTTTTCCTGTAATCTAAAATTCCAATTTACCATATTAATATATCCAATAGTTATAAAAATTTAATTTTGCTCAATTCTTACCACAAGTAATAAAAACTAAGATTCAGTCTCAAAACTATATATTCACCCAAAACACCATTTATTTTGTGCTCCAGTAAAGGGTAGCGATATAACTAAGAAATAGGTTATGTCCCTTTAAATCAACATTTGACATTCACATTATATTTAATCTTATCAAAATATTGTACTACACTTCTAAATATGACAAAATAATTATTTTACACATACATGTAAATTCAAAGACTTTAACAGATTATTATTTGTGGAAGGAAAGAGAAAAACAGAAAAAACATCCCAGTTAACTGGTGGCCCCAGACAGAAAAACTAATTGTAGGTATCCCGGCTTATTCTGCCTGCAAAATGAGGATTTTTCCTTTAAGAATAAAATCCTATCTATATTGAGCAATCAAGTTGGAAAGGAGGCTTTATTATTGAGAATTTCGCTTTACAAATATGTTATGAATCTTTCATCAATTCAGTCATGTTTAGTAACTCGTGGGGCCATACCACATTACAAAGGTTATACATTTATCCCTTCCTCTCTACCTTTCCGTCACTTCCTCAATCTAATCCGTTCATATAATCTGTTTCTCAATACTTTTTCCCCCCAATTTAAAAAATAAAGTGGAATTAGTGCAGAAGGCCCCTTATTAGCCTCTCCAACTACTATATCTTCAAAAACCAAAAAAAAAAAAAAAAAAAAAAAAACCTCATTTACCTTCACTGGGTAAGTTACTTAACCTTCCTGTGCCTAAATTTCCTCATCTTCAAATTAAGGATAATAAACTGCTAGCACTTTATTACTATGTATTTGGCACGGCACATAGCAGGTGGTAAATTACTGAATGAAAGGATGAATCACTCAAAAAATTGGTAAACATTAAATGAGGCAGTGCTATGGTTTGGATATAGTTGGTTTGTTCCACCAAAACTCGTACTGAAATTTTATCCCCACTGTGGTGGAGCTGGAAGATGAGGCCTGGTGGGCAGCATTTAACTCATGGGGGTGGATCCCTCATGAATGGCTTGGTGCTATTCTCCTTTTGCAACAGTGAGTTCTTGCCAGAGGGAATGGATTAGTTCCTGGAGTGTGTTATTATAAAGCGAGGCTTCCCCTCCTGTTTGGTCTCTCTCCTCACAGGAGTCCACTTCCCCTTTGACCTTGTCTGCCACGTGATGATGCAGCATAAAAGCCCTCTGCAGAAGCCAGGGCCATGCCCCACTCCTAGCCTGCAGAATCATGAGCTAAACAAACCTCTTTGTAAGTTACCCAGTCTCAGGTATTCTGTTATAGCAACACAAAATGGACTTACATACAAGACAAGTAGTATATGTAAAGTACAGTACTTAGCACAGTGCCAGACATACTAAAAGCTCACATTAAATGGAAGTTATCACCATCATCAAAATCTTCATTGGGTCCCCATTTCCCACAAATTCCAATTTAAACCTTTCTGTCTCCAAAAAAAAAAATAAAAACAAAATCCTTTCTGATTTCAAAAGAAGCCTGTGGTTATTCAGCTTTCTTGTGTCTCACCAATTTCATCTCCAAACAAGCATTCTCATTAAAATCAAACCAACAACTTCTCTCCTGCACAAAGCCAAGCTTATTGCTGAAATTTTAGACCTTCATTCATAACTATCTTCTCACTGGAACATCTTTTATCTTCCCTCGTTCAGCCAAATACCAAATCCTTTAGTTCATATCCCACCTTGTCCAGGAAGCATTTCCCAACCACTCCTGCTTTTACTCATTTCTCCCTCTAAAACCCTTACATACTTTTATTATTTTGTAATTACCTACTAGCACTATCTAATCTTTTTAGGTAATTTGCAAATTACACTGTATCTTTTACTCTCATATCCCCTTAACTATCCCAAAAGCAAATGTACAAATACAAATGGATTGATCTAAACTTTTACAGTGGTTATTTCTGGATAATAAGACTATGAATGATAAGCACTTCATTTTTCATCCTTATAGTTTTCAAATAAATCATAACAAAAAAGAATAAATTTATCTGGCATTCTATGACTCAGAAATCTTATAGTGCTATTTCTATAGATCCTAAGATCCTAAAATATCTTCAGGGTCATGAATGAAAAAATGAATGAATGGATGAATGCATAAATAAATAACTGTCAGTGGAATTTTAACAACTATCTTCTATATTGACTGTAGTTTTCATAAAGCAAAAGTCAGTGGTTCACATATAGTACCCAGGGTAAACTTACTCAATGTGCATGGTATTTTCTGATTAAAAATTTCCTGTTTCTAATTACTTTTCAATAACTGGTATTTTCATGACTTTATGCTCAAAACACATAACTTTCTATTACAAAAACGACACTGTCAATGTATTTGAATATATCTGAAACACCAAATATAATTTTTAAAAATTCTTACCTAATCCTTTTTGTCCTGGATTCTTTGCAAAATTAAAAGTAAACTGGTAAAAATCCTTAAATCGTCCTGGTTCTTTCAATTCTTGTTCCATCTTGGGTATCTGGGCCTTTAGTTTTTCTATGCTGTCACATCTGCGTCGTAAAATTAAGTTTATAAAAGATTAACTGTTTCACTATAAATTAATAACTTACTTATTCCCATGAGGGCTTACATTTATTTCCTAGAACTACTTTTTTAAAAATCAAATAGTTCGAATTCAGTCTTTTTATATTACATAAATATAAACACGCATGGGGGTTAGCTGCGGGAAGAAGAGGTCTAGAGTGATTAAATGTTCTAAATAATTACTTTTAAAAGAAACAGGCTATTCGTTTTAATTACATAATTCACTAGACTATCAACACTTTCACTAGTAGAAGTCAGCTTCAGTGGATAAATAAGAATGTATAGTAATCAGCATAACAATCATTTTAAACTGTATTAGACACTACTGACACAGTAATTAATCGCGTCTACTATCTAAATTAACTAAAAGTATGGTCTCTTGCTTATGAGGAAACATTCCTTCTGAAAACTTGCTTCTTGTTATATACACAGTACAGGAGTAAACAGGTGAACCTCCTACCACCTCCAACTGAATCATCTCAAATTAATATTAAGCTTTTTCTGTATGTGCAAAACATTCAACTTTCGAAGAGTTTGAAAAGCTCTAAGTACCAAGCCTTACTTTCCTCATAGAGCCTTATGGTAGAAATACCCTATTTCTTATAGATTCCACAAACAAATCAATTCAATTTTTTTCCTTCTAATCGTTTTTTGCTTTCATTTTCCTTCTACATTCTTTGTAACACCTTCCAGATCATTAGTTTGTAAATTAAAATTTTGATTTGAAAGTTCATTACATATTACATGAATTCAGTTTCAAATGTTTAAAAACATTGCTTCCTTAAGTTCTGATGAAACCTGTCCTAGCACAGAAAATCCCAGCAAGTTCAGGATGGGCCTGGCTTTGGCTGAAGGACATAGTGTCCAGGCCAGTTAATTTACTGCCTCTCAGCTTTAAACCTATCCTTCTTTGCCCTACTTTGTGATATTGGACTGCAAACTGTGAGACTTCATTTTTCTTGCCAGCTGGCTCTGTGTTAGGTTCTACCAAGAGCCAATGAAAGGCTGGAAGAGGAAGAAGGAACTTTTCTTATCCCAGTTTGTTTTCACCAGAGGGCAAGGGTTTTAGTGTGTGGGAAGGTCCCAGCAGTATCCACTAGTGGTAGCAATCTCACAGCCTGCAGCAAGTGGTCTCCAGGCAGTTTTTTCACCAGCATCACAGCTGGCCACACCCTCTCCCCCCAAACCCCAGATCTGAATCTCAGCCTTGTGGGGATCTCCTAAGCTTCTAAATTTCTTCCTTGTCTGTTCCCTTCCCTTACTTCCCAGAGGTGGTAGCAGCTTACTGCAACTGCTACCTGTTATGCCTTGGAGTTTCCTTTTATCCCTTTGACAGAGTAAAGCAAGTCTTTAAATTTTCTCTGTTAAAATTACAGGTGTGGTTTTTGTTTTGTTGTTGTTGTTTTTGAGATGGAGTATTGCTCTTGCTGCCCAGGCTGGAGTGCAATGGCGTGATCTCGGCTCACCACAACCTCCGCCTCCCGGGTTCAAGCGATTCTCCTGCCTCAGCCTCCCAAGTAGCTGGGATTACAGGCATGTGCCACTATGCCCAGCTAATTTTGTATTTTTTGTAGAGACGGGGTTTCTCCATGTTGGTCAAGCTGGTCTCAAACTCCCAAACTAAGGTGATCCACCCACCTCGGCCTCCCAAAGTGCTGGAACTACAGGCATGAGCCACCGCGCCTAGCCCCTGGTGTGGTTTTTGTATCTTGACTGGACGCTGACTGACTGCAATGTCACTCAGACTCGAATCATGACTCTAATACTACCTAATTCTATAATTTCTCTGTACCTCAATTTCTTCATCTCTAAAATGGGGATAGAAAACTATTCTCAAAAAGTTGCTGTGAAGAGGTAGGAGAAGTACTTAGCACAGTTAACTGAAATAAAATAATGTTCAATAAATGTTAGCTATTACTATTCAATAGTGGCCCACTAAAAAACAGAAAGGGCAGCTTGTTACCTACCAACAGACTGATTACTTCTGTCTGCAACCTCATTAAATATGGACAACTAGAGGTCACAGGTAAAACCTCTACCCATGACTTTTCAATCAATTTATCCAAAGACATTCAGCTAATCAGCTGTCAAAGTGTTAAGTGAAACAAGTAGTAACTTCTAAGGCATCTTCCAGTTTTTAAATTCTAGGATTTTATAAATGCAGGGTTCAAAGTCTCACATTAGGAAATAACTTTAAAACTTGGTCATTTCACTTTTCCATAGTAAATATTAATGCATAATTTTAATACTAATGAACCTGCCTTAGAAGTAAATGATAAGAATATAGCCAAATAGAATAGGCTGTACTAACTATATAAATAACTTGACAAACCCAAAAAACTGTATAACATGGAAACTAGCAAGTTAACCCATTTCTATTTATACCAATGTTTGTGGGCCAGCAAATCTTTAAATTTACACTAAAAAGTTCATGACATAATTCAGTTCCACAGTAACATATCTAATTTCCTATTGTAATTATATACTCACCCTAATTCTGTCATGCCATCCATGAACTCCTGTTTGGAGAACTCGCACTGTGTTGCTGCTCTGAACTTCCACGCAATAATCAACACACTAATGCTGGCTGGATCGAGTGCCAGGTCATCACAGAACTGCTGTATGCCATCTATTCCAATTTTATTCTCATCTTGAGGGTCTTTAAAAATAACAATGCAATATTAAAGTAGTGTCATATTATGCTACATTATGAAAACTGAAAAAGGTAATGCTTTATATGCCATTTTTTAAATGACCACAATATATGGAAGGCATGAAACGATATTACTCTAACATACACTTTCCCATTATTTAAAGCCATTCTCCTTACTAACAGCATTCTTAAAGTGTAGAGATATATGCAGATGAGACATGATTTTTTAAAGTCTCATTTATTCATGTGAAATATGTCCCATACTTATACACATTCAGAAAATCAGACATTCGTATATAGGGACATGGGATTCTAATTCAAGATATCCATATTTTGCTTAGGTAGGCATTCTGAACAGAAATTCTTTTTTTCTTAGAACAAAGTTCATTTTACCACAACAATTACTTCTTAAGAGTATCAGAAAAACTGTGACCTAAACTATGCAATTCAACCCTAATCTCAACAATGTAAATATCTCTTGTTTAAAGAAAAAAATCTATACTTATCAGAGAGGCAAAAATTTTAAATAACAAAAACAAAGAGAAAGAGGCACTCATAGACTGCTATCAAATATGATTTACTAACACCTTTCTTTTTTTTTTTTTTTTTTTTTTTGAGACGGAGTCTCACTCTGTCACCCAGGCTGGAGTGCAGTGGCATGATCTTAGCTCACTGTAACCTCTGCCTCCCAGGTTCAAGTGATTCTTCTGCCTCAGCCTCCTGAGTAGCGGGGACTACAGGCACACGCCACCACGCCCAGCTAATTTTTGTATTTTTAGTAGAGACAGGGTTTTACCATATTGGACAGACTGGTCTTGAACTCCTGACCTTGTGATCTGACCACCTCGGCCTCCCAAAGTGCTGGGATTACAGGTGTGAGCCACCACGCCCAGCCTTGCTAACACCTTTCTAAAAGTAATCTGGCAATATTTCCAGCAATAAAAAACATGAACATAATTTGACTTTGGAGCACAAGTTATGCATAAAATAAATATCCCATTTTCAGAAAAACTTTGAAAGAAACTCTGTAAATATATTTCTGCATAAACATAAAAGATATGGAAGGATCCACAGCACTGGTTACTCAGGAGAATGAATAAGAAAAGACAAACTATTAACCTTTTCTTATTCACCTATTATGCAGTTGAACTTTTTTAAAAGTATGCATTACTTTATAATTCTTTAAAGATTCAGTATGCAGGTTTCCTTAGACTGGTTCAGCTGAGTTTTATACATATGAGGGCAGAAAAAACAGTTCCCCATCCCCATTCTCAACTTGCACAATGGGGGAGGAAAATAAAGAGGCCAAGAAGAAATTTTAGTGAAAAGAAAATAATTTTTCCTCAGACCTCTTGAAATAACTCTAAGATCTACAGACCTCTATTGGACACATCCACCCAATTTAAGTTATATATAGTATTTCATTTCTCATAAGCCCATCTCTTTGGAAAATCTGGTCCAAAATTTACTTAAAGTCACAAGCAAGCACTCACCTTTGTATCTATTGTACAGCTGTTCTAACTTCTTCCTGTCCAATGATCCTTTTACACTCTCTCGTATATAAAGTTCAGGATTTTGGAAAAAATTATCTGTTGCAACATCTAACTTCCAGTCATTTTGAGAAAGACAACTTACTGCTGTTTTTTCACTAGATTGTGTGAAGATCATAAACTGACGAACTTTATCCTTCTGCGATGATTTCAACTTGTTCTATTGAAACCAGAAAATAAACTGAAACTCTATGTAAAATCACATAAGACTAAATATTTCTATATGGCTAACTAAACATTCTTAGTAATACTTTTTCCTCACAAAACATTAAAACATTTTAGCTTAAGATTTATTTTTGATCTATTATTCATCAGAAAGGCTAACTTTTAAAAAATATGAAACAGAAAATATGGTACAGTTTTGGAAGAGAAATAGGACAGAAGCGAAGGAAGCTCAACCACCCAGCGTTTCTCCTACAGTGGGTCCTGAGAGCATACAGAAAGGCTGCAGAAGGGAAGCCGCGCTACCCTCCAAACCCCGACCAAGCACAGTGCTCTGAGATGGATGCACAAGCAGACACGGGGAAGAAGGTGACATGATCAGACGCAGGGAAGAAGATGACATGATCTGCCCAGTCAGCAAATGCCCCTGGGGAACCATGAGATTAACAGGTGTTTACTGCAGTCCTAATACCCACTATAAAGGATATGGCGTGGGAAGAGGGGGGATCCTCCCTCCCCAACACCACCTACCTTGTTTTCTTGCTGTTTTTACCAAATAGGAGAAAGCAATAAAATAGGAGTATTCGACATTTCTCCTAGTTGTATCCAGGAACCAAGAAAATTATCAACAAAATTTCCTCATATCCTATCAAAATAATTTTTTTTTCTTTTTCCCCTGAAAGAATCACTTCATTCCCTTAGCCAGAGCCTAGCAGAGACCCTTGGTCTCTCCAAACAGCCCTTCTACTTCTTCTCAGAGAGGGGAAGAGGTGAAGAGATAATCACCTCTTCTCACTTGCTGCACATTGTCAAGGATTCATTTCTCATCTGACCTAAACCCACAGGAAAAGAAGGCAGGATACTCTCTCCCAGTATCAAAGACCATGTTCTCCCTTCCCTCTCACCCAAGCCGGCCTCCTAGCAACTGCAGCCTCACCACTGTTACTCTTCCTCCTCCCAAGCTCCAATACCATCTTCTAGCAAAATACTTGGGTTCTTCCTAAGCTACTATTGTAAATGAAGAGGGAAAACTTGAGGTACTCATGAATAGACACAATATTCTGTGGTTGGCTGGGCACAGTGGCTCACGCCTGTAATCCCAGCACCTTGGGAGGCCCAGGCGGGAGGATCACCTGAAGTCAGGAGTTCAAGACCAGCCTGCCCAACATGGTGAAACCCCGTCTCTACTAAAAATACAAAAATTAGCCAGGCATGGTGGCAGGTGCCTGTAATCCCAGCTACTCGGGAGGCTGAGGCAGAAGAACTGCTTGAACCCGGGAGGCAGAGGTTGCAGTGAGCCAAGATCACATCATCACACTCCAGCCTGGGGGACAAGAGCGAGGCTTCACCTCCAAACAAACAAACAAAAAAACTATATATATATATATATATATATATATATATTTTCTGTGGTTTAAGCAACACATTTGAGAGCCCCAGATTCCCTCATCTGGCCCAAACAGACAGATCGTAAACATCAACTTCCAGATTAGACAGATCAGAGAACCTTAACCAGAAGGTTAAGGCATTTGTTCAAAAAAATCACTCAGGTTGTTATTAGTAGAAATGAGACAAGAACAAAGAGGTCTCATGAATCTGAGTAATCTTTCCATAAATCATACTGCTTGCTGTACATATTTACATAGCTTTTGAGATTTTACAACATACTTCTACCGATCACAGTAAAAACAAGACTATGCAAAATCAAATATGAAAACTAGCCCTATTTCCCTTTTTCTTGCAATATGAAAAATATCTATGCTCTAGAATCTGATGTCAGCCACACTCCTCTCTTTGTAAATATGTTACTGTTAGGATTACAGATTAAAATCTCAACCTCTGTACTCCACTAAAATTAAGAAACTATAAATTCACTACTCTTCTGCTACTTCACTAGTAACTCTACAACATCTGCACATCAGATAAGTCATATCCCATTGCAAAACACATCCCTCAAGTGTCTAGGATTCTTCCCTTTTGAAAACTATCTCCTCCTTGAGATTTACTGTTCAATGACAACAAACTCACAATGAAATCAAATGCCAAGGAAGAGAACTGTCCTAATTTTGCTTAAATGAAAGTTAACAAGGAAACCATTTTGATTCCAACTTTTGTTACTGAAATTTATTTTAAAACTCAGTATACCTTTCTCCCTTGAGTGACAGAGTACCCTAACATGTTTTAATCCTCCTCTGAGGAACAAAGTAAAGTACCAAAGGATCACTGTGACTGTCAGTGACCACTGCACAATGGTGCAGGAAGTGTTGGAGATTAACCTGCAAGTACACCAACCACAGACCATATCCTGGAAATTACGTAGGTTTTTTTGTTTTTTTAGAGACAGGGTCTCGCTATGTTGCCCAGGCTGGTCTCAAACGCCCGGGCTCAAGCAATCTACCTGCCTCAGCCTCCCAAAGTGCTGGGACTACAGGAGTGAGCCACTGTGCCTGGCCTGGAAATTACTTTTTAATTAAACCTGATATAACATATTGGCATAACTTTTCCCCCATCCTCCTAAAAGTTGGAAGTGGCAAAACAATCAGATTTGTCTGGGGTTTTATCATATAGTTTTAAATCCAGTGCTCTGTTCCCTGCAGGGTCAATCACCTTTGTTGAAGGGAGGAAGGAAAAATCATAGCTTAAGTCATTTCTACAAGCCAAAAAGAACTATTCATTCTACTATACTATTCCTATCAAAAAGTAAGATAATAGAAGACCAGGGAAACAAAGATAAAAAACTGTCTTACCCACACCAACTAAAAACAAAATTATACAAATGAATTAATTCCATGTCATATCTTATTTGAAAAATGTTTATGTAATAAATGATATATATATATAAATGTAAACTTTTTTTTTTTTTGAGACGGAGTCTCGCTCTGTTGCCAGGCAGAAATGCAGTGGCACCATCTCAGCTCACTGCAACCTCCATCTCCCAGGCTCAAGCGATTCTCCTGCCTCAGCCTCCCGAGTAGCTGGGATTACAGGCACGCACTGCTGCGCCCAGCTGATTTTTGTATTTTTAGTAGAGATGGGGTTTTGCCATGTTGCCTAGGCTGGTCTTGAACTCCTGACCTCAGGTGATCCAACCGCCTCAGCCTCCCAAAGTTCTGGGATTACAGGCATGAGCCACCGCGCCAGGCCAAATGTAAACTATTTTAACTGGTTTGGTATAAATTTCCACTATATAGGGCAATATCAACATATTTGAAGAAACAGGGTGTACCTACCCACTTCCAACACCATAAAGGCTACTGAGTTCTACCAGGCCAAGAACTGACAGTACGGACTCCAGCTAAGCCAAGTGATATTGACAATCCCATTCCTATAAAGTCTGATAAGTACCCTCCACTTCTTACACTTACAATGCACTCTTACCACTTCTCTGTCAGCTCTCTGTTCCTAGAATACATTGTAACATTTGATTCCCTACTAAGGGAATTCAATTCTGTAGTCTCAAAGGCTATCCTAGAATAAAGCTGGAGTATACCTGACCAATTTAGGGGAGCTGTAACACTCCCATCCCCTTTTCCTAAGCCACAAAGGTGTACCAGGCAGTGTTCTGATTTTGACAGTATGGCACTAAAGATTTAAATTTTTATCAACACAAGGAAGAGAAAAAGGTGACTAACCAGAGAAGAATGATTTTATAGGGGATGAGAGGGTGGATAGAAAATTGAGGTGGAAGAAAAAACAGATGGATTTTTTCTCTGTTTCTACTACAAACCCAGTGGGGAACTTCCCAAGAGCAAAACCATGTGACAGCTACAATGATTCAGCACTCAAATGTAATATATGCCATTTATTTAAATACTTATTTAAAGGGAATAAACTAGAGTAATAATTAAATAAGATCAGGCAATATAATCTTCAGTATTCCAATGTTAAAACTACCTAGGTATTATCAAGTTTTCAAAGAAATGCAATAGTTGTAAGGCTGTAAAATGCATAAAACAGAATATATTTTGCTTTTTAACCCCAGCAAAAAAAGCAGGGGGGAGGAGAAATGCTATCTCTTGTAACAGAAAGCTAATTACAACGGTATCAAAGATTACCAAAATTAGAAATACTGTCATAATCTGAACAGTAAAATGAATTTATTTGTTCATCTTTCCAAAATATAACATGCCAAGTTATCAACACATATTGTTTTATTCTTAAATCTAGCATATTTGCATTATTTTTTTCACTCAAGAAATTCAAGAATTAAGAGAATCAGCCAGGTGCAGTAACTCACGCCTGTAATCCAGCACTTTGGGAGGCGGAGGCAGTGGGACTATTTGAGGCCAGGAGTTCAAGACTAGTCTGGCCTGGGTAACACAATGAGACTGTCGCTACAAAAATTTTTTTTAATTAGCTGGTTGTTGTAGCGCACACCTATAGTCCTAGCTACATGGGAGGCTGAGGTGGGAAGATGAGGATCACTTGAGCCCAAGAGTTCAAGGCTGCAGTGAGCTATGATAGCGCCGCTGCACTACAGCCTGGGTGACAGAGCGAAATCTTAACCCCCCAAAAAAAAGAAAAGAAAAGAAATTTAAGAATCACATTTTAAATAATAGTTTATCTGAAGAAAAAATAATAAAGTTTAAAAAGCCTTCCCATTAAAAGTATTTCCCCAAGGAAAAATAAACATGGAAAATGACTTTCTAGTCAACTAAGTCCTAACAATTGCAAAATAGAAGTAATTTTAATAAGTGATTTTTTAACAGCAAAAAAATAAGATCCATTTTATTATTTCCATTATCTTGAATTTTCACCTTCTCATCCTTAAGTTTATATTTCAGCCTGAACTTCAGAAACAGACACTTAGGCCTTTATATTTTTAAAGGAATTAATTTTCTAACTCAATTCTTGTTATCTCAGGATTTGATGAATCTAGCTCACAAAAGTCAATGCTTTCAAAATCAAAACACTTTTACGATCACCTATAATTCTCACTAAAAGCTCTGTATGTTGTTATGTAATTATCATATTGACAGTTTAACTTCATCTGAAATTTAGAAGAGCTAGTTTTAACTTTAGAAGATCATACTTTCCATACATAATACACGGTATTCAGCAGACATAGCAAAACGTTACCAATATCCAAAATCACTCACTCACAAAAGGCCCTCCAATAGACTACAGGTCCGAAGTCAAAAGTGCAGGAAAAATCAATTCAGCCAATGAGCCTACCTACAACTCCCAGAGCAGACTTTCACCTAGAAACAAAGTTCTACTCCAGGAAAGTCAGAATAGGAATCTAGGTAGGAGTAGCTCTATCTCTTTCCTTCTACCTGTACAGAGGCAATATAATATGATTCACTAGTGAAGAGTGCAGACTTTCAAACCAGACTGTCAAGATTTTAACTCTACTGGTGCCACTTAATGGCTGTATGACTTTGGGAAAATTAATCTTTCTGTGCTTCAATTTCTTCATCTGTAAACAGAGTGTTGAGGTTACACGAATCAATTCAGGTTAAACTCTTAGAACTGTAACTAGCACATGGTAAGGACTCCACAGAAGTCCACAGAGGAAGAAAGATGGACAGGTGTGGTGGGCTCATGGCTTGTACTCCCAGCACTTTGGGAGGCCAAGGCAAGAGGAACACTTGAGCTCAGGAGTTCAAGACCAGCCTGGGCAGCACAGGAAGACCTCATCTGTATTAAAATTAGCAACAACAAAAAAGTAGCCGGGCATGGTGGTGCATTCCTGGAGTCCTAGCTACTTGGGAGGCTGCGGTGGGAGGATCACTTGAGCCCGGGAGATAGAGGCTGCAGTGAGCTATGATGGCACCACTGCACTCCAGCCTGGACAAGAGAAGGCATGCGACCCTATCTTAAAAAAAAAAACAAAAAAAAAACTCCAGAAAAAAAAATTTAAATGGTAAACAACAGCTATAATAAAACTAGCAACTAACATTTGAGCTTCTACTGTGTGCCAGGCACTGTGCTAGGTACTTATTAATCCTGCAAGATGGTTCCATTTTACCAATGAGGAACCAAACTTTCAGCATCATTTATTTACTTATTCAAAAAGTAGCAGAGCCAGAATGAAACCCTGGTGCCTGGTTTCAAGGCATGCAGTCTCGCCATTTACTACATACTGTCTTCAAGTGAAAAGAAAAACAAAAAGGGCAAAAGTGCAACCACTGACTGTTGAAGGGAGGAAAACTGTGAGCAATATTTCTTCACCTATTTTAATGGAAAAGTAGTCAAATGTGAACGATTTGCATTCCAACTAAAAATTCCCCATTAAGCATTCTCTCACAACCTAACTAAAAAGATAATTTGGGGATGGAGCTTCTATTTAGGGTTTTTTTTTTTTTTTTTTTTTTGGTTGGGGGTAAGAAGGAGAAAAGGAAGGGTATAAGTTATTTTTAAGACAAGCAATACAACAGAAAGAAAAATGTATTTATAGTCCTGTCAGTCTATTTTAAAAACAGATGGCTATAATCTATAGTTTTAAATGTACACAGGTTGAAAAAAAAAATCACAGGGCACTCTAAGTCAGGGTTCCCTTTTCCAAAGAGAAGGCTTGAAACTCAGAGAAAATACAAATACTTGTACAGGTTATGGCCAGAAAATATATGGAAATATGTACAATTTCAAATACTAAGCAAAACGAACAAAACCCTCATAGTACTCTTATAATTTGAAGTTTAAAATAATTGCTTATGGATAACGATTATTCATTCATTCTTAAATTTCCTGCACTTTGAATAACTCTTGAAATTAACTCCTTTTTAAGAGGTGCTGAGGCTGAGCAAGGCAGCTCACGCCTGTAATCCCAGCACTTTGGGAGGTCGAGGGAGGAGGACTGCTTGAGCCCAGAGTTCAAGACGAGCCTGGGCAACACAGCAAGATCTGGTGGCGCACAGCTGTAGTTCCAGCTACTTAGGAGACTGAGGCAGGAGGGTCACTTGAGTCCAGAAAGTTGAGGCTGCAATGAGCCATGATCACATCACTAACTCCAGCCTAAACAACAGTGCAACACCCAGTCTTAACAACAACAAAAAAAAGAGGCTGGGCGCAGTGGCTCACACCTGTAATCCCAGCACTCTGGGAGGCCAAGAGGGGGGCGGATCACCTGAGGTTGGGAGTCCGAGACCAGCCTGATCAACATGGAGAAACCCCATCTCGACTAAGAATACAAAATTAGCCGGGCATGGTGGCACATGCCTGTAATCCCAGCTACTCAGGAGGCTGAGGCAGGAAAATTGCTTGAACCCGGGAGGCGGAGGTTGTGGTGAGCGGAGATCACACCATTGCGCTCCAATCTGGGCAAGAAGAGCGAAACTCCGTCTCAAAAAAAAAGGGGGGGGCTCTGTATTACTTTAGTCCCCTCTTATCCACATGGGGGAGGGAGGAACGTTCCAAGACTTCAGTGGATGCCTGAAAACACAGATAGTATAGAACCCTATATATACACATATACACTATGTTTTTTTGACCTGATAACTAAGAGAGCTACTAAGTGACTAACAGTGGGCAGTGAATACAGCATGAATAAGATGGACAAAGGGATGACCAACGGCTGCAACAGTGAGATTTCATCATGCTAACTCAGAACAACGCACAATTTAAAACTTATGAACTGTTTATTTCTGGAACTTTTCATTAATATTTTCAGATCACCAGTTGATTGCGGGTAACTGAAATCGAGCAAAGTGAAATCACAGACAAGAGGGTATTACTGTACTACTAAGTCCAGTAGGAATGATATACATACTACGTAATTATTGTGCACAATGATACATTATGGCAATCTACCTTTCAAAA
Organism: Homo sapiens; assembly: GCF_000001405.40. Lineage (NCBI taxonomy): Eukaryota > Metazoa > Chordata > Mammalia > Primates > Hominidae > Homo > Homo sapiens. The sequence goes on from NC_000003.12 coordinate 182,973,517, forward strand.
ATTCAGAAGTGGCCGGGCGCAGTGGCTCACGCCTATAATCCCAGCACTTTGGGAGGCCAAGGCGGGCGGATCATGAGGTCAAGAGATTGAGACCACCCTGGCCAACATGGTGAAACCCCGTCTCTACTAAAAATACAAAAATTAGCTGGGCATGGTGGCGTGCGCCTGTAACCCCAGCTACTCAGGAGGCTGAGGCAGGAGAATCACCTGAACCCCGGAGACAGAGGCTGCAGTGAGCTGAAATTGTGCCATTGCACTCCAGCCTGGGTGACAAGTGCGAAACTCCGGCTCAAAAAAAAAAAAAAATTCAGAAGTATATCTGTAAGATTCAAATAGATTTTGTAGACTTTTGTATACTTTTCTTAACAGGTTTTTAAAAAGTAGGCAACTAATGAAAATTTAAAAGATTTTCTCTCCACCCCTCAGAATTACTAGTCAAAATTACAAGTCAAAAGGCCAGCCGCGCCCGGCCTTTTAGGAGGTGCACTCCTTTGGGAGGCTGAGAGGGGCGGATCACTTGAGGTCAGGAGTTCGAGACCAGCCTGGCCAACATGCTGAAACCCTGTCTCTACTAAAAATACAAAAATTAGCCGGGCATGGTGGCACATGTCTGTAATCCCAGCTACTCAGGAGGCTGAGGCAGGAGAATCGTTTGAATCCAGGAGGCAGAGGTTGCAGTGAGCCGAGATTGCACCACTGCACTCCAGCCTGCGCAACACAGAGTGAGACCCTGTCTCAAAAAAACAAAAAACAAAAGTTATTTTTGCTAATTTCTGATTATGATAAATAAAAAATAACCATCTTAAAATACCTGGATTAGTCATCATATCGCAATTGATTCTCTCAAACTTGTTTCTTGAACTTCTAACAAGAAATCCAAGTAGCTAATTTAAATTTACTTTCCTTTAACATTGTTTTCTAAAGTAATCTTAAATTAACAAAAGATTACTGAGGCCAAAAAAAAAAACCAACACACAAAAAATGAAAAATTAAATGAGATTTTTAAAATTCCACGGTTAAGTTCTAACATACTATATTTGTTTCACAGACAGAATAAATGATCCTTGAAAAATAAAATCTAATTCTAATATTTGATATTTTCTCAAATCCTAAATCAGGAAGTATTAGAATCCTCTGAATAAACACTCCACATGTTTATTAAAATGAAAATACTCTAATAAGGGAATGGGCTGTGTACTTCAGCAACTTATCTCTGTGTTGAGTGATTCAAAAGTATAATAGACTTTAAAAAAAAAAAAACTAAATCCCATAATGCAGACAAGCAGCCTAATCACTCTCAGTGACTAGGTACTAATTATATAAAACAAATTCAATAAAGTAATAAAAGACTATTTCAGTGATTTTTTTTCCTTCTGTTTTGCTTTTTCTTGTGGGGGTGGGCGCACACCTAAAGTGGCTATATAAATTAGTCAAGAGCTTGTTTCTGTCCACAAAGCAACTGAATCCTATTTGGAACTATTTCTCTTCATCAAATTTCATGGCAAACACAGTATTGAACAACTTAATACTGAAATTTAAAAGGAGTTTTCTCCCAGACTTTCCTTATGCTTGACCCAATCTATAAGAGCACAATCAAAGCAGCCACTTGACCCAAATGACCTGTTCTTTTAAAACTTTTTTAAAAAAATTAACACAGAATTTTTTTTTTTTTTTTTTTGAGACAGGGTCCCGCTCTGTCGCCCAGGCTGGAGTGCAGTGGTGCGATCTCGGCTCACTGCAAGCTCCACCTCCTGGGTTCACGCCAGTCTCCCGCCTCAGCCTCCTGAGTAGCTGGGACTACAGGCGCCTGCTACCACATCCAGCTAATTTTTTGTATTTTTAGCAGAGATGGGGTTTCACCGTGTTAGCCAGGATGGTCTTGATCTCCTGACCTTGTGATCCGCCCGCCTCAGCCCCCCGAAGTACTGGGATTACAGGTGTGAGCCACCGCGCCCAGCCAAAAATTAACACAGAATTAACTGTACCTCCAACTTTCTTACTATATGCACCAAAAGTTATAATTTTTCAATTACTTAATGTTTACATCAGATCATTTGATTGGATATGGAAACAACTAGGTCACTATTATTCAGCATGACAAGGAAGAAACCAGAGTAAAACTAAACAAAGATTCCACATCTACACTGAAGGAGTGCTTGCTGGGTTAAAAAAAAAAAAAAACAAAAACAAAAAACAAAAAACAGAAAAATGGGAGTAGGTGAGGGTCAGGGGGAGATAAAAGTGTGGAACCAGAGACCAGGGTCCTAACCCCTGCTCTGCCACATACTAGCATGAAATCATTTAGAATCGCTAAGCCTTCATTCCCAGATATGCTAAAAAAAAAAAAAAAAAAAAAAAAGTAGTAATAATGCCTATTTCAGAAGTGGGAGTGGAGATTAATGACAATTGTAAATTGTCTGACTAGTAGAGTGTACCTTCTCGATAAATGTTAATTTCGTTTCTTTGTCCCCAAAGGCCCAGTTTTCTGCATATAGTCACTGAACTACATATAAACCACTAGAACATATTCAACAATCTATCAAAGAGGTTTGGTTGTGTTTTTATTAACCCTAGTGTGGCTAGGTATACTTGATAATCCATTAGTTTTTATTGAACATTAGACAGTCATCTTAAACAGAATTCAAAACTCTGTACATAGAAGCTGCATGGTAAAGAAAACTGTAATAAGGGTCTTCTGAAAAAACTGCTTTTAAAAATAATTATCTGTAATACTGTCACAGGACACTATGGAACAAAAAAAAACAAGGTATATCGTACCACTCAGAATCCTTCAATGGATTTCCATTTCTCTAGGATAAAAGCCCAGTATCCTTACAGTGTCCACCCATGCCTACCCCCACTCCTTGCCACCTAGGCCTCATCTGCTCCAACGACCCCCTGTATATACACATGTACATATACATACATACACACACACACACACACACACACACACACACACACACACACACTGCTCCAGCCACATTGGTCTCACTGTTCCTCAAGATTTCTACATTTCTGCATGGCTTATTCCCTCATCCCCTACTCTGTTCAAAATTATCTCATTGGTGATACAGATATTTAGCAACCCTACTTCCATCAATGCCCTAGCACCCCCAATCCCCTTCCCTAACACTGCTTTCTCCCACAGCACTTAACACCTTCTAACATAGTAAAGAAGAAAACTATATACTATGTTTATTATTTATGTCTCCCTACTAAAAGGTACCCCTCACCAGAGTGAGGATTTTTGTCTCTTCTGTGATATATACATCCCTTCAGTGCCTAACACTATCTCTAGCACACAGCAGACGTATAATAATCACTGAAAAGAACTGATAACCTCCTTTATTTGTAGACATGCAAAGAATGTGCAACAAGTTATGAAAAGACAACCTTGAATAGACCTACATGTATTTGAATTTACAAATTCTAGTATTTGTTGACAACATAATCTTAAATTTCAAAGTTCATATATATTTAAAGCCATTGAAAACATAGGCATTAACATCATTGATCACCCATTAATATGAATTTTGTTACTTAACATATTCATAAATAACATGGGGTTTCCTGTGTTTAAGTGATGGATATGATTTAATTTCAAATGTAATTTTCTGGATTTCATATGAGTTAACAGATAATACTGGGGGAAATGGTAGACCAGGAGAAAATAGTTTCAGTTCTGCAACCAACAATCCTGCAAACCTGAACCTCAAAACCTCCTTGATATTCAATTTCTTCTTGTGTAAAAATGGGGAGGAGTAATTAGATGATCTCTGAGTCTATTTCAGGTCTAAAAATTCTATGATGCTATGAGTCTAAAAATCATTAGAATCATAAAATGTCTATGCTGGATGAAACTTTAGAAATCATCAAGTCCAATCCTGCCATCTTATAAATAAAACAACCCACACGTTTTGAACACTTTTTTTTTTTTGAGACGGAGTCTCGCTCTCGCCCAGGCTGGAGTGCAATGACGCGATCTCGGCTCACTGCAACCTCCTCCTCTGGGTTCCAGTGATTCTCCCGCCTCAGCCTCCTGAGTAGCTGAGACTACAGGCCCCCACCACCACGCCTGGCTAATTTTTGTATTTTTAGTAGAGACGGGGTTTCACCGTATTGGCCAGGCTGGTCTCAAACTCTTGACCTTGTGATCCGCCCACCTTGGCCTCCCAAAGTGCTGGGATTACAGGCGTGAGCCACTGCACTCAGCCGAACACTTTTTAAAAATATGTTTCAGGCTGGCGTGGTGGCTCACGCCTGTAATCCTAGCACCTTGGGCGGCCGAGGCAGGTGGATCACCTGAAGTCAAGAGTTCGAGACCAGCCAGGTCAACATAGTGAAACCTCGTCTCTACTAAAAATACAAAAATCAGCCGGGTATGTTGGCGGGCACCTATAATCCCAGCTACTTGGGAGGCTTAGGCTGGAGAATCGCTTGAACCCAGGAGGCACGGGTTGCAGTGAGCCAAGATTGCACCACTGCACTCCAGCCTGGGCAACAGAGCAAAAACTCCATCTCAAAAAAAAAAAAACAACAACAACAAAAAACAAGTTCCAAAGTAACAGAATATTATCTAATTTTGGAGTCGTTTTTAGTCTGTGTGTGGGGGGAGGGAGGAAGTTAACAGAACTTTTTTACTTATACAAAGTATTTCAAATATCCCATCATTTAAGTTTGCTCTAGAACTGACAATAACATGTGCTCTGGAAATGGGCTGCAGCTACAGACACCAAAAAACTCACAGCCCCGAAACTGCATAAAGAAACAAATATATGTAAGATAACTTTATAATGAAACAACTTCTTAACTATAAAATTCTTACTGCCTAACTTCGATTAGGGCCAGTGGTGAGTCTCTTTCCTTTCTTATTATTTTTTTTAAGAGACAAGGTCTGTTAGCCAGGCTGGAGTGGTGCAGTGGCAGGGCTCACAGCAGCCTCAACCTCCCAGCTCAAGTAATCCTCCCACCTCATCCTCTGGAGTAGGGGCAACCACAGGCTAGCACCAGCATGCTTGGCTATTTTTTTTCCTTGGGATGGAGTCTCACTACTATGTTGCGCAGGCTGGTCTCAAACTCCTAGGCTCTCAAGCAATCCTCCTGCTTCGGTGACCCAGGGTGCTGGGATTACAGGCATGAGCCACCGTGCCCAGCCCCTACGGTGAGTTAGCTAAACCAGAGAATATCACGACAATTCTCATGACATAAACTGAGTTCAGCCACAGGATATGTTTTAAATTAATATCTTGTCACCACTGGTAGAATTACATGGGTTATGGCTAAGTTTCAAAACTAGCTAATTTTAATATTAACCAAAAGAATAGAAGCTTACAAGCTGAACTCTCCCTACGAACCACTTGATGCCTGAATTCCTGAACAGGTGATGAGTATTTCCGGGACCCCACTGTCTAGGGGATGATGCGGATCTGGAGACCATCCTGAAGAGCACACATTTCAGCTGTGGCTGAGTGTTTCCCAGGGAATTAACGTCATTACTTCGAGCTTACTATACTTATCTAAATGCTAAGAGTCTGGAAACTTCAGGAGTAATGTCTATGACCATCTAAATACTTAAGAAACTAGAAACTGTTTAGACTGCCTGGTGGATCTCTGAACACTGTAATACTAATCTATACATTAACCTGCACTTTAAAGTTTTCTTACCAATTCAAACTGTAAATTCCTACACAACTTGCCACAGAACATAAGTGTTAAATATGTGTCAGACTAAACCATATATCCATACATGACAACAAAATACTGCCAAGCTGGAGGATGGGACTAGAAGTGTCATTCAGCAAAAATAAGACCAACTAAAAACAAAGACACTGGAGCATTCCCTTAACACAGGCGCGCACACACACCCTCCTCAAAGAGGCCTTTATGTTCCCCACGAGCAAAGGACAACAATATCATTTTTACTATTCATACAGTAACCTGCACGGAATTCAACTCACGCTCAGACTGTACAATGCCAAACAGCGCTTCTGAAACGCGAAGAGCGTCCAGCAGAGTCAGGTACTTAATTACCAAAGTAAACAACTCGACCACAAGGGTCTGCAAGCCTGGAGAGGACTTTTTCCCCCCCCCAAACAAAAAAGGAGAGTAACTTGACAAACTGTTTTAAAAAAAATCACAAATGGCCCTTAACTACTATAATAAAGCAATTACTCCTCCCACCCCCAAGCAAATAAAATAGGTGCTCGAAAGGGCGCTCGCTAGTCTGTGTTCCCTAATTTTATGAAATGAGAACAGGTTGCACTTCCGTACCCCCTCCCCCAAGCTCAGCAGTCTCCCATGTTTTCAGTAGAGAGGTAAATATAACCTCCACCAACTGGCCGGGGAAACTCTCCTTCTCCAAAAGCATGGGACGCCTCGAGAGGTGATGGAGAAAGGAAAAGGGCTGATACCCCGCCCCAAGCAAAACTGCCTGGGAGACTTGCGGGGTATTGGAGCCGGGAGCGGAGGAGGGAGAGGCGCGCCGGGAAAGTCTTTCCTTCTCCCCGGCCGGGCGGAGAGGGAAGCCCCGGCTTCGGGGCGGGGGGAGGCTACTCACCCGGAACCCCAGACCCCAGTCCCCGACCAGACACAATGGAGCCGGCAGAGGGGCAGGGGCAAGGCCGTTGCCCCCTCCCCTCCCCCCGCCCCAACGCCTCCCCCACCCGCGCCGGGCCCCGGCAAGGGGCACCGGGGCCGCTCCCCGCGCCCCAAACTCCCCGGGGCTCCCGACTAGGCCCGGCTCCGCTCCGCCTCCTCGGCTCTCGCGTAGCGGCTGCGCCCGGGCGGGAAGGGGCGAAGGAGGAAGGGAGAGGCAGGCAGGAGAGCCCCCGCCTGGGAGCGGGACGGAGGCCGCGGGCCGAGGCTCGGGGCTGCAGGGTCGCCGCGGGACGGAGGGCGGCCGGGGCGGGGGTGCGCGGCAGCGCCGGCCCCCAGCCGGCAGGGCGGGCGGGCGGCCGCAGTGCCTCACCATGTTGGTGTCCTCCAGGCCTCTCCCCTCCTCCTCCGGCTCCGCAGCGAATGGACGGCGGCGGCGGCGGCGGCTCCTCTCACGGGCTTGCCCGGCTCCCGCTCATGCGCAGTGCGGGGCGGCCCGGCGCGGCCCGAGGAGGCAGCCCCGGACCTCGGGGAGGCGGAGGGACGGAGGCAGGCGGAGGGCGCCCCGCGCGGGGCTTCCCCCGGGCGCGGGGGTCCCCCGGGGAGTGGGCGGGGGCGGGGGGCGCGGCGGGGGAGGGGCGGGCGACGCAAGCCCTCCGCGCGCCGACATCCTCCTGCCGCGCCGGGCGGTCTCTGGTGGGGGCGCCGGGGGACACCCCACCTCCGTTTCCTACGCGGTTCCTTCCGGACGACCACGGCCGGGTCTACGCAGGCTGGAAGCGGGCACGAGCGGCGGCGGATAAGTTGAGCAGCTGGGGGCGGCTGAAACGGATGGTTGAGGAGCTTCATCCATCCCAGACCTCCCCTCCCCATCAGTATCAAAAAAAGGGAGAAGATAGTGGAAACACCTCCCCCTGCCCCGTGTTTTCTTCTTTTTCCCCCCAATCTCAGTATCAGACCTACATCAGTTCCCTCGCGTGGGCATCCCAGGGGAGACCTTAGTCCCCCCCCTGCGGTGGCTGTCACTCCATTAGTGAGGACCAGGCTCTCCCCAGACCTGTCTACTGGGAGACAGTTGGGGTAACCCTATAGTGAGATGGGGTGGGGTGCACTGAGACCCAAGGCCGGGCTGCGGGAGTCCAGGTTGCCTGCCTACTGCTAGCTCTCAGTATCCCCTCAGTTCGGCCCGCCCAGGATAAGTTTCGGGAAGCAACTACACATTTTTTCACTGAGGGTCTAGTCACGCAGGGCGGACAGTCCAGGTGTGACCTGCCCTGGGCGTTAAATCAACTGAGGCTGAGGAGCACTAGGATTCTGAGCTGAGGATCAAGTGGACAAATTCGTGCTGCAAGGAGGACAGAAGACTCCTGTGGAGTAAGTGGTCCTTGCCCTTCAGAAATGTAGTATCCAGTTGGAGAGATAAGACACCTTCACACAGGAAGGAAATAAAACAGCTAAGAAAGCAAACTCACTCAGAAAGTCACATCTGAAACTGTACCAAGAGCTTACCTACGTTTCAGAACAGGACCCACCTGAGTAGACCCGTTATCACCATCATCACCAGCACAGGCATTAAACGACCAGATCAACCCTATAACTAATGAATTTGTTCTTACCAAAACAACAGAACTTCTTTGGTAACTCCCAAAGGCCTCCTAACTTCCTGGAGCTAGCCATGTACTGGGAGCGCCCAGCGCTGTACCAAGGCAGGTTTCTGGCGGCCACAAACCGTTCATCCATTCTTTCCCCCAATATTTAAAGAATGCATGTGAATGTGCCAAGCTCCTTGCTGGGCTCTGGGTAAATAGTCCTGCAAGGAGAAGCCAGATCTGCCTCATGCAGCAAGCCTGAAACTGGACTACATCCACGGAGGTTCTCCAGGAATTCACCTAGCTTTTGACCTAAAGTATTAACACCTAGGGCGTTAATGAGGAGGATTCACTGTATCTCTTACTCCAATCTGTTCTACTCCATTGAAATAATCGTTTGTGGGTTTTCCTAAGCTCTACCAAGGTACAGGCCTTAGTTATTCTAATTGACCTCTCGCCTGCGTTTGGACACTTCCTCCTTGAATTTCCTGTTCATTTTCCATGACTCCACCTTCTCCTGCATCTCCTCTTTACTCTGACCACTCTCCTTTGCTGGCTGTACTCAATTTAGGCTTTCCTGACCATTCCTGAACGTCCTTCTGTATACAGCCTGTGTCACGCTGTCACTCACATTCCCACGTCAACTACTGCCCATATCAAGAGGAATCTCAAATCTTGACTTCCAGTCCCCAAGTGACAGGCCTAAACACTCATTCTGGTCATTTCACAGGTCCATCAAGCTCACCAAATCTAAAACTTTATCCCCAAACCCACTTTTCCTCCTGCCTTTTATCAAATCATCCAAACTAGAAATCTAAGAATCATCCACCACTCTTCCTGCCTCATCCCCTTACTCCGCATCTCACCAGTTTTCCCTCCTAAATGACTTTTAAATCTGCACCCTGCCTTCTATTTCTTAGCCAATTCTTTTTGTTGTTGTATTTTTTTGTTTGTTTTTGAGATGGAGTCTAGTTCTGTCACCCAGGCTGGAGTACAATGGCGCAATCTCAGCTCACTGCAACCTCCGCCTCCCAGGTTCAAGCGATTCTCCTGTCTCAGCCCCCACCGAGTAGCTGGGATTACAGATGTGTGCCACCATGCCCAGCTACTTTTTGCATTTTTAATAGAAACAGGGTTTCACCATGTTTGTCAGGCTGGTCTCGAACTCCTGACCTCATGATCTGCCCCACCTCGGTCTCCCAAAGTACTGGGATCACAGGCGTGAGCCACCGCGCCTGGCCAGCCAATTCTTTATCATCTCTCCTCATCAGTAACTTCTTACCTAATCTTCCAGCCTCTACTCCTTCTCCACTGCTCCATAGTTGTCTTTCTATAATGCAAATGTGAATTTGTCCGTAAAATTCTCCAAGAGCTGCATAAGCATGAGCCTCTGGAATGGCATTAAAGTTCTCTCCTCTGATCTATCCATTCCCATTGCCATTTTCCACCACCCTCCACCCAAATGCACCTCATATTTCAGTTTTCACAAACCAAGACTGCCATACCTCTGCATGTTTCCTTGCTTTCTCCAATTCTCCTATCCCTGGCCTCCTAGCTAATACTGACTGAGCCCATGACACATACTAATTTATGTAATCCTCACTGCGACACATACTAACTCATATAACCTCACTTCTACCCTATGAGCATGCCCAGCTATTACGCCCATCCTACAAAGGGGAAAATGGAAGCACAGAGAGATTAAATAATATGCCTAAAATTCCCTAGCTAGGCCAGGCGCAGTGGCTCACGCCTGTAATCCCAGCACTTGGGGATGCCAAGGCGGGCAGATAACTTAAGTTCAGGAGTTCGAGACCAGCCTGGCCAACATGGCGAAATCCCATCTCTACTAAAATTAACCGGGCATGGTTGCGCATGCCTGCAATCCCAGCTAGTCCGGAGGCTGAGGCAGGAGAATCGCTTGAACCCTGGAGGCAGAGGTTGCAGTGAGCTGAGATCGCGCCACTGCACTCCAGCCTGGGCAAGAAGAATGAGATTCCACCTCAAAGAAAAAAAAAAAGAGATTCCCTAGCTAGCAAGTAGCAGAGCTAGGATTTGAAACCTGATAGTCTGGCTATCTGGTTAGTCTATTCTCTTGATTACCACATTATATTTCCCACCAAGATCTCAGTACTCAACTCAAAGACCATCTTCTCTATGATTGTCTCCTGACCTGATCCTTGGATTCCAGCAGTTAGGCAAGTTTCTCCCCACACCTTACATATACTTTTGTTACACTTATGACATTCATATGATAAGCATTTGCCAACATGACCATCTCCCCTGCCAGACTGCACTGCTTAAGGTCAGAGACCTGGTTGCACAATTCTTTGAGTTTTCAGTGTCAAAGTGAGTGCCTGACATATATGTGCTACATAGTCACAGTGGGATAAATTAATGAAAAGAAAGAGATATGTAACTGATGTCTGTCTTAAGACAGTGCCTATATTGTTTGTTATTGTAAAGGAATGCTTGTTCTCCTTGGCAGATGTATGTTATACCATATGGTCAGATGGTAAATGTAGTAGCAACTGTATCCATTACTGTACTTCCTGGCTACAGTACTGAATGTGAAATGGAGAATTATTACTCAATCATCATGATTGGGTGAGATAAACATATTTGTTAAAATTGTCCTGATTATTTTTTAAATGGAAAAGCATCCTGAAGATAAAGTATAAATTACAATATTTAACAAAATAATATTAACTAATATTCTCGTATTACTTTTTTTGTCATGTTTCAAATATTTAAGTTAAGGCTTTGAGTTTTTTCAAGTACAGGAGTTCTAATGACTATTTTCCATAGCAACAATCTCAGTACAATAATAAGAAATAAGATGGAAACATCTAGCCAAAATTGCCTATCTTGTCTATCTCTCCTCCTCTCTCTACCCCACCACCCCCAACACATACACACACACTCCCTCTCACTGTATACCTAAAACGATGAAAAAATTAATATAGTGCTCATAAATACGTAAATACTTCTTGCCACAAAAGCTTAAAAATTCATATTAAGACATAATATTCACTGATAAAATAGTTGCAGTTCTGCTCAAAGAAACATGTAAAAGTAAAGATTTCATACTTCTAGAATCTGTCTTTAGCAGAAAGAGCAGAAGTAATCTGAAAAGACAGATTGCTAACATTTCTGGTAGTTCATCTAGCTAAAATTAAGCCTGCAGGGTAAACTATACACAGACACAGTTCAAAGCCACTAGTCTGAGATACACAGCCACCACCCTCCCACACTTAACTTGGGTGCTCTCAATTTTGCCCAACATTTACACTAATGTCCTTATTGGATTCAAGCTTGCTGATTTATAAATACATAAGGGTAAATGCGATTGACTGATGGAACCTATTTTGTTTTCAGTAAAACATGGCATTTAGATCTTATGAATTCAGAATTATAACCATTTTTTAAAGGGTAAAGCAGACAGGACTAGGCCTCAGTCAGAGTGGGCCCTAGTGAAGCCACAGGAAGCCTAACATGAAAGCCACGGTTCCAAAGCTCATACCAAACTTACCAGAGTGGAGGCTAGAAGCAGAAGAACCTTTTGGCTCACCCCCCAGTGTTACTGGTGATACCAAAGGAATGACTGCCTGGGCCTCTTTCATCCACATTAAGAACCATGCTAAGGCCGGACTTGGTGGCTCACACCTGTAATCCCAGCACTTTGGGAGGCCGAGGCGGGCGGATCACCTGAGGTCGGGAGTTCGTGACCCAGCCTGACTAACATGGAAAAACCCTGTCTCTACTAAAAATACAAAATTAGCTGGGTGTGGTGGCACATGCCTGTAATCCCAGCTACTTGGGAGGCTGAGGCAGGAGAATCGCTTGAACCCGGGAGGCGGAGGTTGCGGTGAGCCAAGATCACGCCATTGCACTTCAGCCTGGGCAACAAGAGCGAAACTCTGTCTCAGAAAATAAAAAATAAAGTTAAAAGTAAATAAATAAGAACCATTATAAAAGGGATTCTTATCAGAACGAAGGGGTACACCTCAGGAACCATCCCTAGGAAGTTGGGCACCAGTACTCCTTTCATACAAAAGAACCAACAAAAGCAGTATTCCAGTGGGTCACCTTCTAAAAAGGAAAATGGGAATATTCACCAGAGCCAGTCTGTCACCTCAAGGTACATGTGGATCTGTTGATCTTAACTCCTCCACCCTCATGGTAGAGGCATGGACTTGCAGTAACAGCTAGGAGTGGAGACCCAGCAATGAGAAACTGTCCAAGACCACCAATGATGATGTCACAATGTCCCACTGTCCCAGAGTGTCTACCCTGGACCGCCCTGCCCACCCCAGCTTGGCCACTCCTAGATGAGACCAAGGCTCAGCCTGGGGTGTTTGTCCTTGACAGCTCCGGTCAATTGCAGAGAATGAATTCATGAAAACCATAATGAGTGATCCAGTTCCACAGGTAGCAAGGTAGAGGGTCCTCTAGAATCCTGGACGTTTGTCCCTGGATACTTTTGGAAATCCTCACTGAGACATTTTCCACCGATGATGACAGAGGGATGCTGGTATTGAATCACCCACCGCTTTCCTGTCTATTCCGTGAATAGTATATAAAGCATGAACATAGCCCTGAGCCTCAGCATTCTCAATTACAAAATGAGATTGAGTTGAATTACAATAAATTTCTGTCAAACCGTAACTTTGTTTGATTCCTTCCTGGTAGACTATTGTGAGCTGCCCTCAAAGATCAGAAAAAGTACAGCCAGTTGCATTTTTTCACTAATTCATTCACTCTAAATATATGAAGTGCTGAGACCAGCACTGTCTGACAAATATGATGCAAGTCACAAATGCAGGGCAAATAAGAAAGTTTACCTTTCCTTTTAGTGACATTTTACAAAGTAAGGAGCATCCTGATTGCTGAACACGTGGAGGTGCCTGCAGAGCGTCACCCCGGACGGCGCATGGACTCCCACAATGCCTTGCCCTGTGCTTCTCTTCATCTAAATTGTCTTTTGTATCCTTTATTATATACTTTAAATAAACTAGCAAATGGGCTGGGCGCGGTGGCTCACGTCTGTAATCCCAGCACTTTGGGAGGCCGAGGCTGGTGGATCACTCAAGGTCAGGAGTTTGAGACCAGCCTGGCCAACATAGCGAAACACTGTCTCTACTAAAAATACAAAAATAAGCCAGGCATGGTGGCGGGTGCCTATAATCCCAGCTACTCAGGAGGCTGAGGCAGGAGAATCGCTTGAACCCGGAGGGCGGAGGTTGCATTGAGCCAAGATCATACCACTTTGCTCCAGCCTGGTGGAAGAACAAAACTCGGTTTCAAAAAAAATAAACAAATAAACTAGCAAATGTAAAATAAATGTAAAAAGAAACAACAGGCTTCACCTGTTTTGTTTCTAGCGTCTCTTTTTTTTTTAAATATTTGAGACACTGTCTCGCTCTGTTGCCCAGGCTGGAGTGCAGTGGCTCGGTCTCAGCTCACTGCAACCTCCGCCTCTCAGGTTCAAGTGATTCTCCTGCCTCAGCCCCCCAAGTAGCTGGGATTACAGGCACCCACCAACACGCCCGGCTAATTTCTGTATTCTTAGTAGAGAAGGGGTTTCGCCATATTGGCCAGGCTGGTCTCGAACTCCTGACCTCAAGTGATCTGCCCCCCTCGGCCTCCCAAAGTGCTGGGATTACAAGTATGAGCCACTGCACCGGGCCTGTTTCTAGCATCTTATTTAACCCAAGATATCCAAAATATCAGCATTTCAACATGTGCTCAATATAAAATATCAATGACATATATTACATTCTTTTTTCAAAGTATGTCTTTGAAATTTGATGTGTATATTATGCCTAACGTATACCTTAATTTGGACTAGCCATATTTCAAGTGTTCAGTTGCCTCATTTGGTAGTGGCTACCATATTGACCAGCATGTGCCTCAGCAGTGGCTGTGCTGGAGTAGATGCTCAACAATTGAGAGTAATAGTACTCTAACCTTCAAGAAATAAGTAAAAACCAAAACAAACCTGAAATATTTATATATAACCAAGAGTAAGCACAGAAATATTTAGTATTTGGAAAGTTAGCATAGTTCAATTGGAAAAAAGCATGTGGTAAGGGGAAATAATAATTATTCTTAAAAAATAAATATCTCTTGGATAAATGTTTTCAGTGTTTGTAGCAAACTAGGAAAACCACTTATACACATTTGTAAAATCTTCCAAGCATTTGTAATTTGCTTGACCCTGAACATGTTATCCTGTTCAATGTGATTTCTGCACAGGGATTTTTCAATCAAAATAAGACATATGAAACCCAGAAACACATTTCACAAGCACTTTAGAGTTTCGAGATGTTTTTTGTGGGGCACACAGTAAATAAGGAAATGTCATTTTCTCCATTTCTTTCGTGATACGTCACACTTTTAAAAGAAATTATTTGGGATGGATGAAGAGAGAAGAGTTTGGAGAAAGGGAAGGTTTTTGTGCAAATATTATAAAACCAAAAAAGGTTAGTATCAGGGTCAGGTTAGCCTATAGCACTGTGAAAGAGAAAAAAAAACAATAAAAATAACAAAATGTTAATACTGTGAGATGAGCATTTTGAGAATGTATGCACCAAAAGAAATCAATGAACGGGCCGGGCACGATGGCTCATGCCTGTAATCCCAGCACTTTGGGAGGCCGAGGCAGGTGGATCATGAGGTCAGGCGTTCAAGACCAGACTGGCCAACATAGTGAAACCCCACCTCTGCTAGAAATAAAAATTTTAAAAAATTAGCTGGGTGAGATGGCAGGCACCTGTAATCCCAGCTACTTGAGAGGCTGAGGCAGGAGAATCGCTTGAACCTGGGAGGCAGAGGTTACAGTGAGCCGAGATCACGCCACTGCACTCCAGCCTGGGCAACAGTGTGAGACCCGTATCAAAAAAAAAAAAAAAAAAAAAACAACAGCCGGGCGCGGTGGCTCACGCTTGTAATCCCAGCACGTTGGGAGGCTGAGGCAGGTGGATCACGAGGTCAGGAGATCAAGACCATCCTGGCTAACACAGTGAAACCCCGTCTGTACTAAAAATATAAAAAATTAGCTGGGCGTGGTGGCGGGTGCCTGTAGTCCCAGCTACTCGGGAGGCTGAGGCAGGAGAATGGCATGAACCCGGGAGGCAGAGCTTGCAGTGAGCCGAGATTGCGCCACTGCACTCCAACTTGGGCAACAGAGTGAGACTGCATCTCAAAAAAAAAAAAAAAAAAAAAAAAGAATCAATGAAGGAATCTAAAGGTAACACACACACACACACACACACACACACACACACACACACGCAAATAAAGGTGCAGTCCAGACAGCTTAATCTGTTGTGGGGCGTCAGAGAGACTCCTTCAGGGTATTTGGGCAGGGAGATGACAAGGCAAAGGTCTTTAGAGATCAAATGTGGCCCAGCACGGTGGCTCACGCCTGTAATCCCAGCACTTTGGGAGGCCGAGGCGGGCGGATCAAGAGGTCAGTAGTTCGAGACCAGCCTGACCAACATGGTGAAACCCTGTCTCTACTAAAAATACAAAAATTAGCTGAGCGTGGTGGCAGACGCCTGTAATCCCAGCTACTCAGGACGTTGAAGCAGGAGAATCACTTGAACCCTGGAGGCAGAGGTTGTAGTGAGCTGAGATTGTGCCACTGCACTCCAGCCTGGGCTATAGAGCAAGACTCCATCTCAAAAAAAAAAAAAGAGAATAGAGATAAAATGTAACATAGCAGCTCTTAATTGACCAAAAGTATAAAAGGAAAATGCTGTGGCCACAGATCACCACATTGAAGCAAAATAATTTTGTGGACAGCCTGGCCACAGAAGGGAGATGCACGGGATGGGAGCTGAGGAGAGAGGAAGGAGGCAGGAAGATCCATGTCAAGCCTGCCAGGGTGAGCTCTGGGGAGGTGTTGGTGACAGCACAATAGGCAGATCAGGTCTAGCTGGAAACAACTGCCACCACTTGGGAGGGGTTAAGAGGGAGGAAGGGATTATTTTCATTCTTGATCGATAGGATACAGCCCTACAGAGTAATAGCATAGCTGTGAAATGTGTAAGAGAATCCCTCGCTCAGCCTGTGCAAGTGTGACAGAGCAACATACCTTGGGTGAAGTGTATGGCACAGAGCCCAGCTTCCTAGTTCACCACCAATGAGCCAGGTGTTTTGCTGGGTTGCTTGTTTTTGTGCCTGAGAAGGATCTACGAGTTGATCCCAATCCTTCAGATGGATGATTTTTCTTTTTCTTTTTTTTTTTTTGAGATGGAGTCTTGCTCTGTCGCCCAGGCTGGAGTGCAGTGGCGCGATCTCAGCTCACTGCAAGCCCTGCCTCCCGGGTTCACGCCATTCTCCTGCCTCAGCCTCCCGAGTAGCTGGGACTACAGGCACCCACCACCACGTCTGGCTAATTTTTTGTATTTTTAGTAGAGACGGGGTTTCACTGTGTTAGCCAGGATGGTCTCGATCTCGTGACCTCGTGATCCACCTGCCTCGGCCTCCCAAAGTGCTGGGATTACAGGCGTGAGCCACCGTGCCTGGAGGGATGATTTTTCAAAGAAGTAATGGATAATATTGATAACCATAACCTTGTAACTTCACCGTAGTTGGAATTTTCCCCCCATAATGTGATCTCTACATTATTTGAAGTTCAAACCCCTTGATATTTTCTTTTTACAGTTTGTTTTATTTATGTTTAATTCAATTTTTATTTATTTATTTATTTGAGATGGAGTTTGACTCTTGTCGCCCAGGCTGGAAGTGCAGTGGAGTGATCTCTGCTCACTGCAACCTCCGGCTTCCAGGTTCAAGCAATTCTCTGCCCCAGCCTCCCGAGTAGCTGGGATTACAGGTGCCTGCCACCACGCCTGGGTAATTTTTGTATTTTTACTAGAGATGGGGTTTTACCATCTTGGCCAGGCTGGTCTTGAACTCCTGACCTCGTGATCCACCTGCCTCAGCCTCCCAAAGTGCTGGGATTACAGGCGTGAGCCACTGCGCCAGGCCAGTTTGTTTTATTTTTATATAACTTAAAAACTGAGGCGTGACATCAGCTTTGAAACTTTTGAAAAAGGCCTATGGGTTACATGAAAGAGTCATGGTCTAAGAGACTGGCTTCCAATTTGGCTGTCACCATATGGGCAACTCATCCCTGCCTTCTTTGAGCCTCAATTTCCCTATCTGGCAGTAAAAAGAGAAGTTTTGTCCTAAAATTTACATGGAATAGCAAAACAACTTTGGAAAAGGGTAACAAAGCTCAAGGACTTACATTTGCTGATTTCAAACCTTACTGTAAACCTATAATGAAACACTATAGTCCTGGCATCACACCTGTAATCCCAGCACTTTGGGAGGCCGAGGCAGGCAGATCACGAGGTCAGGAGATCAAGACCATCCTGGCTAACACGGTGAAACCCCGTCTCTACTAAAAATACAAAAATAGACATAGATTAATTGGAAATAATTGAGAATCCAGAAATAAACCTTTATATTTGTGGTCAATTGATTTTCAATAAAGGCATCAAGACAATTCAATGAGGGGAAGGATAGTCTATTCAACAAACGGTGCTGGAATAACTGGATAATCTTATTTAAAAGACTAAATTTAGACTTTATTTTGTACCATAGAGTATTAGTCCATTCTCATACTGCTATAAAGACTGGGTAATTTACAAAGAAAAGAGGATTAATTGGCTCATGGTTCTGCAGGCTGTACAGGAAGCATGACGGCTTCTGCTTCTGAAGAGGCCTCAGGAAACTTTTCCTCATGGCAGAAGGCAAACTGGGAGCAGGTGCCTTACATGACAGGAGCAGAACCAAGCAGTGTGGGGAGGTGCCAAACACGTTTAAACAACCAGATCTCACGAGAACTTACTATCATCATCACCAAAGGGGAAACCCCCCCAACATGATTTAATCACCACCCACCAGTCCCCACTTCCAACACCGGGGATTACAATTTGGCATGAGATTTGGGCGAGGACACAGATCCAAACCTATCACATACCAAAAAATTTAACCAAAAAATAGAACAGAGACCAAAATATAAGAGCTAAAACTATAACACTTTAGGAAAAACATAGGAGAAAATATTTATGATCTTGAGTGAGTCCGAAAGTTCTTAGACATAACCCCAAAAGCGCAATACATAAAAGAATGAAAATAGATAAATTGGACTTTATCAAAATTTGAAAGTTTGCACTTTAAAATACATCACTTAAAAAGTGAAATAATGGCCGGGCGAGGTGGCTCACCCCTGTAATCCCAGCACTTTGGGAGATCGAGGCGGGCGGATCACGGGGTCAAGAGATTGAGACCATCCTGGCCAACATGGTGAAACCCCATCTCTACTAAAAATAAAAAAATAAGCTGCGCGCGGTGGCACAAGCCTGTAGTCCCAGCTACTCGGGAGGCTGAAGCAGGAGGATTGCTTGAACTCAGGAGGTGGAGGATGCAGTGAGCCGAGATCGTGCCACTGCACTCCAGCCTGGGCAACAGAGTGAGATTCCGTCTTAAAAAAAAAAAAAAAAAAAAAAAAAAAAAAAGGAGAGAGAGAGAAAAAAAACAAGCCAGACTATAAATCATATAACCAGTAAAGGATCTATATCCAGAATATGTTAAAGACTTTAAAAACTCAATAGTAAGACAAGAAATCCAATTTTATTTTATTTTATTCATTTTATTTTAAAAATTTCTTTTCCAAGCAATATTACAATGAATATTTTTAGCCGTACATCCTGGAGTGCCTGTGTGGATATATCCGTACAAAAAAACTCTTCAAGGCCGGGCGCGGTGGCTCACGCCTGTAATCCCAGCACTTTGGGAGGCCGAGGCGGGCGGATCACGAGGTCAGGAGATCAAGACCATCCTGGCTAACACGGTGAAAACCCATTTCTACTAAGAATACAAAAAAATTAGCCAGACGTGGTGGCGGGCGCCTGTAGTCCCAGCTACTCTGGAGGCTGAGGCAGGAGAATGGCGTGAACCCAGGAGGCGGAGCTTGCAGTGAGCCAAGATGGCGCCACTGCACTCCAGCCTGGGCGACAGAGCGAGACTCCGCGTCTCAAAAAAAAAAAGCGAACAAACAAACAAACAAACAAAAACCTATCTAGAGAGGAATGTCTGAATTAAAGGGTATTTTAACAGATATTAATGCTTTACCAAATTGACCTTCAAAAAAGTTATGCCAATTTATACTCCCATTACCAGTGTGTGATTATACATTTACTACATATCTTGCCAAATCCATAGTTTTGTAATCCCCTTTACTTGTTGCCAATCTAATAGGTAAAAATAACAATATCCTGCTGTTTTAATTTACATTTTTAAAAATTTAGCTTTTAAGTTCAAGGGTATAGGTTTGTTATATAGGTAAACTTGGGTCTTTTTTTTTTTTTTTTGGTTGTTGTTGTTGTCGTTTTGAGATGGAGTCTGGCTCTGTCACCCAGGCTGGAGTGCAGTGGCAGGATCTTGGCTCACTGCAAGCTCCGCCTCCCAGGTTCAAGCAGTTCTCCTGCCTCAGCCTCCCGAGTAGCTGGGATTACAGTTAGAGACAAGATTTCACCATGTTGGCCAGGCTGGTCTCGAACTCCTGACCTCAGGTGATCTGCCTGCCTAAGCCTCCCAAAGTGCTGGGATTAGAGGTGTGAGCCACCTCGCCATGGGGGCTTGTTGTACAGATCATTTAATCGCCCAGGTACTAAGCCTAGTACCCATTTGTTATTTTTCCTGATCCTCTCCCTCCTCCTAGATTCCACTGTCTGATAGGGCCCAGTGTGTGTTGCTCACCTCTATGTGTCCATGTGTTCTCGTCATTTAGCTCCCACTTATAAGTAAGAACATGGAGAATTTGGTTTTCTATTCCTGTGTTAGTTTGCTAAGCATAATGGCCTCCAGCTCCATCCATGTTCCTGCAAAGGACATGATCTCATTCTTTTTAATGGCTGCATAGTATTCCATGGTATATATGTACCATGTTTTCTTTATCCTGTCTACCATTGATGGACATTTAGGAGGATTCCATGTCTCCGCAATTGTGAATAGTGCTGCCATAAACATACATGTGCATGTGTCTTTATAATAGAATGATTCATATTGCTTTGGGTGTATGACCAATGATAGGATTACTGGATCGAATGGTATTTCTGTTTTAGGTCTTTGAGGAATCATCACACTGCTTTCCACAATGATTGAACTAATTTACACTTTCACCAACAGTGCATAAGCATTTCTTTTTTTCTGTATACTCACCAGCATCTGTTATTTTTTTACTTTCTATTAATAGCCATTCTGACTGGTGTAAGATGGTATCTCATTGTGGTTTTGATTTGCATTTCCCTAATGATCAGTGATGCTGAGCTTTTCTTCATATGATTATTGGCCGCATGTGTGTCTTCTTTTAAAAAGTGTCTGCTCATGTCCTTTGCCCACTTTTTAAAGGGTTTGGTTTTTTCTTGTAAATTTAAGTATCTTATAGATGCTGGATATTAGACCTTTGTCAAACACATAATTTGCAAGAATTTTCTCCCCTTCTGTTGTCTGTTCACTCTGTTGACAGTACCCTTGGCTGTGCAGAAGCTCTTTAGTTTTATTAGATCCCATTTGTCAATTTTTGCTTTTATCACAATTGCTTTTGGCATCTTTGTCATGAAATCTTTGCTCGTTCCTATGTCCAGAACAGTGTTGCCTAGTTTGTCTTTCAGATTTTTATAGTTTTGGGTTTTATGTTCAAGTCTTTGATCCATCTTGAGTTAATTTTTGTATATGGTATAAGGAAGAGGTCCAGTTTCAATCTTCTGCTTATGGCTAGCCAGTTATTCCAACACCATTTATTGAATAGGGAATCCTTTCCCCATTGCTTGTTTTTGTCAAGTTTATTGAAGATCAGATAGTTAGCAGGCTTGAGGTCTTATTTCTGCGCTTCCTATTCTTTTCTATTGGTCTGTGTTTCTGTTTTTGTAACAGTACCATGCTGTTTTGGTTACTGTAGCCCTGTAGTATAGTTCGAAGATTGGTAACTTCATGCCTCCAGTTTTGTTCTTTTTGGTTGGGATTGCCTTGTCTATTTGGGCTCTTTTTTGGTTCCGTATGAATTTTAAAATAGTTTTTTCTAGTATTTTTTTTTTTTTTGAGACAGTTTAACTCTGTCACCCAGGCTGGAGTGCAGTGGCACAATTTTGGCTCACTGCAACCTCCACTTCCTGGGTTCAAGCAATTCTCTTGCCTCAGCCTCCCAAGTAGCCGGGGCTACTGGTACATGCTAACATGCCTGGCTAGTTTTTTCTAGTTCTGCAAAGAATGTCAATGGTAATTTAATAGGAATAGCATTGAATCTATAAATTGCTTTATACAGTATGGTCATTTTAAGGATATTGACTCTTCCTATCCATGAGCATGGAATATTTTTCTCTTTGTATCATCTCTGGTTTCTTTGAGCAGTGTTTTGTAGTTCTCCTTGTAGAGATCTTTCACCTCCCTGGTTAGCTGTATTCCTAGGTATTTTATGTTTTTTTGTGGCAGTTGTGAATGGAATTGCATTTCTGATTTGGCTCTCAGCTTCACTGTTGTTGGTGTATAGGAATGATAGTGATTTTGCACATTTATCTTGTATCCTGAGACTTTGCTGAAGTTTTTTTTTAATCAGCTTAAGGAGCTTTTGGGCTGAGACTATGTGGTTTTCTAGATATAGGATCATGTCATCTGCAAACAGGGATAATTTGACTTCCTCTCTTCCTATTTGGATGTCCTTTATTTCCTTCTCTTGCCTGATTGCCCTGGCCAGAACTTCCAATACTATGTTGAATACAATTGGTGAGAGAGGGCATTCTTGTGCCAGTTTTCAAGGGGATTGCTTCCAGCTTTTGCCCATACAGTATGATGTTGGCTATGGGTTTGTCATAGATGGCTCTTACTATTTTGAGGTATGTTCCTTCAATACCTAATTTATTAAGAGTTTTAACATGAAATGGTGTTGAATTTTATTGAAAGCCTTTTCTCCACCTATTGAGATAATCATGTGGTTTTTGTCTTTGGTTCTGTTTATGTGATGAATTGCATTTATTGATTTGAATAATATTGAACCAACCTTGCATCCCAGGGATAAAGCCTACTTGATTGTAGTAGATAAGCTTTTCGATGTGCTGCTGGATTCAGTTTGCCAGTATTTTGTTGAGGATTTTTGCATCAATATTCATCAAGGATATTGGCCTGAAGTTTTCTTTTTTTGTTGTGTCTCTGCTAGGTTTTGCTGTCAGGATGATGCTGGCCTCAAAGAATGAGTTAGGGAGGAGTCTCCCTTCTCAATTCTTTTTTTTTTTTCTTTTTCTTTTGAGACAGAGTCTCCCTCTGTCACTCAGGCTGGAGTACAGTGGCGCGATCTCAGCTCGCTGCAACCTCCGCCTGCCAGGTTCAAGCAATTCTCCTGCCTCAGCCTCCCAAGTGGCTGGGACTACAGGCGCGTGCCACCAGGCCCAGCTAATTTTTGTGTTTTTAGTAGAGACGGGGTTTCACCATGCTGGCCAGGCTGGTCTTGAACTCCTGACCTTGCCATCTGCCCGCCTCGGCCTCCCAAAGTGCTGGGATTACAGGTGTGAGCCACCGCACCTGGCCCTCAATTCTTTGGAATAGTTTCAGCAGGAATGGTACCAGCTCTTCTTTGTATAGCTGGTAGCATCTAGCTGTGAATCCATCTGGTCTGGGCTTTTTATGGTTGGTAGGCTATTCATTACTGACTCAATTTCAGAGCTTGTTATTGGTCTGTTCAGGGATTCAGTTTCTTCCTGATTCAGTCGGGAAGCTGTATGTGTCCAGGAATTTATCCGTTTCTTCTAGAATTTCTAGTTTATGTGCACAGAGGTGTTCATCATATTCTCTGATGGTTATTTGTATTTCTGTGGGGTCAGTGGTAATATCCTCTTTGACATTTCTGATTGTGTTTGTTTGTTTGTTTTTTGAGACAGAGTCCCACTCTGTTGCCCAGGCTAGAGTGCAGTGGCATGACCTTGGCTCACTGCAACCTCCATCTCCCAGCTTCAAGTGATTCTCCTGCTTCAGCCTCCCAAGTAGCTGGGATTACAGGCAAGTGCCACCACGCCCATCTAATTTTTGTATTTTTATCAGAGATGGGGTTTCACCACATTAGCCAGGCTGGTCTGAACTCCTGACCTCAAGTGATCCGCCTGCCTCAGCCTCCCAAAGTGCTGGGATTACAGGCTTGAGCCACCACGCCTGGCCCTGATTGTGTTTATTTGAATCTTCTCTCTTTTCTTCTTTATTAGTCTAGCTAGTGGTCTGTTTTATTAATTTTTTCCAAAAAAAAAGCTCCTGGATTCATTGATCTTTTGAGTGTTTTTTCATGCCTCAATCTCATTCAGTTCAGCTCTGATTTTGGTTCTTTGTCTTCTGTTAGCTTCGGGATTGGTGCGCTCTTGGTCTCTAGTTCTTTTAGCTGTGATGTTAGGTTGTCAAATTGAGATATTTCTAACTTTTCGATATGGGCATTTAGTTCTTGTTTTGTTTATTTGTTTGTTTGTTTGTTTTGAGACAGAGTCTCTCACTCTGTTGCCCAGACTAGAGTGTAGTAGCGTAATCTCGGCTCACTGCAACCTCCCCCTGCCAGGTTCAAGTGATTCTCCTGCCTCAGCCTCCTGAGTAGCTGGGACTACAGGCACGCACCACCATGCCCAGCTAGTTTTTTGTATTTTTAGTAGAGACAGGGTTTCCATGTTGGCCAGGCTGGTCTTGAGCTCAAGTGATCTGCCTGCCTCAGCCTCCCAAAGTGCTGGGATTATAAGTGTAAGCCACCATGCTCAGCCTGATTAGTTCTATAAATTTAGTTCTATAAATTTCCCTCTTAACACTGCCTTAGCTGTGTCTCAGAGATTCTGGTATGTTGTATCTTTGTTCTCATTAGTTTCAAAGAACTTCTTGATTTCTGCCTTGATTTCATTCTTTACCCAAAAGTCATTCAGGAGCAGGTTATTCAAATACCATGGAACTGCATGGTTTTGAGTGAATTTCTTAGCCTTGATTTCTAATTCGATTGCACTGTGGTCTAAGAAATTGAATTACTATGATGTCAATTCTTTTTTATTTCCTGAGGAGTGTTTTACTTCTGATTATGTGATGATTTTAGAGTATGTGCCACGTGGTGATGAGAAGAATGTATATTCGGTTGGTTTTGGCAGAGAGTTCGGCAGATGTCTATCAACTCCATTTGGTCCAGTGCTGAGTTCAGGTCCTAAATATCTTGTTAATTTTCTGTCTCAATGATCTGTCTGATATTGTCAGCAGGGTTTAAAGTCTCCTACTATTATTATGTGGAAGTTTAAGGCCCTTTGAAGGCCTCTGAGTACTTGTTTTATGAATCTGGCTGCTCCTGTGTTGGGTGCATATATATTTAGGATAGTTAGATCTCCTTGTTGAACTGAACCTTTTACTGTTATGTAATGTCCTTCTTTGTCTTTTTTATCTTTGTTGGTTTAAAGTCTGTTTTGTCTGAAACTAGGATTGCAACCCCTGCTTTTTTCTGTTTTCCATTTGCTTGGTAGAGTTTTCTCCATCCTTTTATTTTGAGCCTATGCCGTCATTACATGTGAGATGGGCCTTTGATGACAGCATGCCAATGAGTCTTGATTCTTTATCCAGCTTGCCACTCTGTACCTTTTAATTGGGACATTTGGCCCATTTACATTCAAGGTTAATATTGATATGTGTGGATTTGATTCTATTATCATGATGTTAGCTGGTTATTTTGGAGACTTGTTTATGTGGTTCCTTTATAGTGTCACGGTCTGTGTACTTTATTGTGTTTTTTTTAGTGGCTGGTAATGGTCTTGCCATTCCATATTCAGTGCTTCCTTCAGGAGCTCTTGTAAGGCAAGTCTGGTGGTAACAAATTCCCTCAGCGTTTGCATGTCTGAAAAGGTGTCCAAAAAGGATCTTATTTCTCCTTTGCTTATGCAGCTTAGTTTGGCCAGATATGAAATTCTGGGTTGGAATTTCTTTTCTTTAAGAATGTTGCATATTGGCCCCCAGTCTCTTCTGGCTTGTAAGGTTTCTGCTGAGAGGTCTGCTGTTAATCTGATAGGCTTCCCCTCGTAGGTGACCTGGCCTTTCTGTCTACCTGCCTTTAACATTTTTTCTTTCATTCCAGCCTTGGAGAATCTGATGATTATGTGTCTTCAGGATGAACTTCTTGTGAAATATCTTACTGGGGTTTTCTGCATTTCCTAAATTTGAATGTTGGCCTCTCTAGCTGGGTTGGGGAAATTCTCATGGATGATATCTTGAAATACGTTTTCCAAGTTAGTTCTATTCTCCCCATCTCTTTCAGGGACAACAATGAGTCATAGATTTGGTCTCTTTTACATAATCTTATATTTCTCAGAGGTTTAGTTCATTCCTTTTCATTCTTTTTTCTCTATTCTTGTCTGACTGTCTTATTTCAGAAAGCCAGTCTTCAAGCTCTGAGATTCTTTCCTCTGCTTGGTCTATTCTGCTATTAATACTTGTGATTGCATTATGAAATTCTTATAGTATGTTTTTCAGTTCTATCAGATTGATTATTTTCTTTTCTATACTGGCTATTTTGTCTGTCAGCTCCTGCATTGTTTTATCATGATTTTTAGCTTTCTTGGATTGGGTTTCAATGTATTCTTGCAGCTCAATGATCTTCATTCTTATCCACATTCTGAATTCTATTTCTGACATTTCAGCCATCTCAGCCTTGTTTAGAACCTTGCTGAAGAGGGGATGCAGTCATTTGGAAGAAAGAAAGTACTCTGGCTTTTTGAGCTGTCTTGCACTAATTCTTTCTCATATTTGTGGCCTCATCTTCATTCAATCTTTGAGGTTGCTGACCTTCGTATATATACTTTTCTTTTATCCTATTTGATGACCCTGAGGATTTGATTGTGGTATAAGGTGGATTCCGCTGACTGGCTTTGTTTCTGGAAGATTTTAGGGGCCCAGTGCTCAGCCTTCAACTCCTGGACTGTATGCTCTAACTCTAGGGGACTTGTATTGGGCCCTGACTTTCTTCTCTGGCTCCTCAAGATTAGGAATTTCTCTGCACTGTAAGGGGGTGGGGTGAGGTGCTCTTGGACCACTGGTCACTACACTCTGATGGATGGTGTCAGCCAAAGCATTTAGTAGTGCAGTGACAGCAGATCCATCCTCATCTGCACATGCCAGTAGCAGTGGTAGTGGCAGCTGTGGCAAAGAGCTAGCAGATGCTAGGGTGTCTGCCTCCCCGCAGGCATTCACCACAGTGGTGGAGGCAACACAGCTGGGGATGTGCAGGGGGCCTCTGCTGGTGACTGTGCATGTGGTTGTGCTGGAGGTGGTGTTGGCTTGGGGGCAGAATGCTGGCAGGTGCAGGTCTGGGTACCTTCTCTGTGCCCCACAAACAGGAGTGGTCACTTAGGGTGAAGGAGGATCTGCTCTTCTCTACACAGTGTTAGTGCAAGGGTGGGGTGCTGACAGGGGCTGGGCTGGCGGGCTCTGTGTTCGCCAAGGCTCCGATTGCAATGGTGATCAGTGGGGGAATGGGAAGTGGCTGCATTCCCACACTGGCAGGGCGAGGAATGCAAAACCCACCCAGGCAGACACGTGCCAGCAAAGTGATGTGGGGAGCTGCCGCGGACCCCAGGGAAGCTGCAGTTTGGGTAGGGAGTGTGTGGGCTGGTGTGTGGCTGTAGGGGCCACCCCTCTGGAGCTCTCCACCAGTCACACACAGTCCACCAGCACAGAATCTATGGTGTGGGCCCCCAGGGCACCTGAAGCTGACTTGCAAGCAGACGTAGCCAGGCTGGGGCCCATCAGACAGTGCCAGCAGATCAAGGAGTGCTCGGGTCCAACTGGCCCTGTCTGATGGACAAGACCGCCCTGCAGAATTCAGGTCCGTCAGTTCCCCTAGGGCAGAAGTCTCTTATGGGAGCAAGTTGAATCTAGGGGGATGGACATCCTGGTCATGCTGTGCTACAGATGCTCCCACATGAAACCTTTTGGGCTCCACATCAGCTGGTGTGCTGCCCCTATCACTTCTCTAAGCAGCTCTCCCTGCCAAATTGAGTATCTGTGGTGGTCCAGGGGTCTCCTCCTGCCACGGTTCCAGAGGCCCATGGTGAGAGTGGATTGCTCCTTGCCAGTTCAACTCACCCATTCCCCCAGAGCTCTTGGGGGCCAGGAAGGAGTCCAGGTGTGCTTAGCCTTGTGTAGGGTTCCCAGCTTTCTCCTGCTTCAGCCCAGCTTTTGTATTTTCTTTCCACCCACTCAGTGCCTTCCCTCACAGCAAGGGTTTTCAGTTGCTATCATTGAGTGTCACAAAACATGACAAACGTCCATTGGTATCCTCTCCTTCAGGACCGTGTTTAGGGTCACAAAGTTGGGATGTTGACCCAGTTTAAATGTTCTAGGCTTAAAACATGGAGGGACAAAGGCAATGTGAAGGACAGCAAATACTTTGTGTGTAGATCTGCTCTCATCCCCCAAACACACAAAAGCAAGCTTTGCATACTGGCCCCCAGCAGCAAATTTCTAGTCATCGCTCTGCCACTTCCTTTTCCACATGAGCCTTCCAGATCACCTAGCTACCCCTCACCTGAAATATATACAGGGCACCAGAACCAGGCCCTCCAATCTGTACTACTCACCACTGCAATCTTGTCACCCAGGCCAGGGTGCAGTGGCACAGTAACAGCTCACTGCAGCCTCAAACTCCTGGGCTCAAGTGATCCTCATGCTTCAGCCTCCCAAGTAGCTGGGACTACAGGAACGCGCCCCTACTCCCAGCTAATTTTTAAATTGTCTGTAGAGATAGTGTCTCCCTAAGTTGCCCAGGATGGTCTTGAACTCCTCACTCAAGCAATCCTCCCACCTCAGCCTCCCAGAGTGCTGGGATTACGGGCATGAGCCATCATGCCCAGCCTCGCTCATGTTGCTTCTGGCTCGAAAAAGATTTCAGTGGTTGCTCATTGTCTATATCAACCACTCTTTTTTTTTCTCTTTTTTGAGATGGAGTTTCGCTCTTGTTGCCCAGGCTGGAGTGCAATGGCATGATCTTGGCTCGCTGCAACCTCTGCCTCCTGGGTTCAAGCAATTCTCCTGCCTCAGCCTCCCGAGTAGCTGGGATTACAGGCGTGCACCACCATGCCCGGCTAATTTTGTATTTTTAATAGAGATGCAGTTTCACCATGTTAGTCAGGCTGGTCTAGAACTCCTGACCTCAGGTGATCCACCCGCCTCGGCCTCCCAAAGTGCTGGGATTACAGACGTGAGCCACTGTGCCAGGCCCAACCAAGCTCTTTAGCTTGACTTTCAGGAACTTTATAGTCTGGACGCAACTCGTGCTGGCTTGGAATGCATCTCAACTATATTTCCTTGTATTCCTTTTCTTGTATGTTTCCCATTAGGAAGGGCCATGAGGAAGATTCTTGGGAGATTTGAAGGGCACAAGGGCAGCGGCAGCCAAGCCTGAAATTTCTTTCCCTTGGATCTTCCTTTAGCTTCTCCAACTCTTAGGACAGGTTTAAGTGTTCAGTTATTTGATAAAGGGCCCTAGCTTCTGCAGAATAGCCTTGACACCAAGATCAGAGACAAGAAGAACTGACACATCTTTTAGTTAGTTCATCCTTGTAGGTTTCTCTCATCCAAGAGAATTCAGGATTTCACTGGCCTCTGAGGAAACATCTTATGAGGAAACTCATAAGATGAAACATTTCCATTTTATTCCTAAATAAACATGGATTTTAAAGTTCAGGCAAGAGTCAAGCAGTCACAGTTTTTCACTAACCAAACCATTGTCATTGTGTCCCTTCCAGGTACACGCTTCTAAGAACCGCAGGGCAGATACTGAGACCCGCATAGAGGCAATGGAGGAAATGAGAGGCAGGCTTGCTGGGATCTTAAAGTTGAGAGAGCTTCAAATGGTGATGGCGAATCACTGAGGCTCCAGTAGTATTTAGTGTTTTCATTTCACAATGAAAGAAAGATTAAATAAGGTGTAATAATTTTTATGCTAAAAGTTTATAAACAAATGCAAAAGTAGACTGAATGGTCTCCTGTCCATATACCCATCTCCCGACTTCTACAATTATCAACTCAAGGCCAGTCTCATCTCATCTATACCCTATTCATTCCCCATGATCTGCATGTTTTTTTTTTGAGACAGGGTCTTGCTCTGTTGCCCAGGCTAGAATGCAGTGGCTTGATCACAGCTCACTACTGCCTCAACTTTCTGGGCTCAAGTGATCCTCCCACCTCAGCCTCCCAAAGTGCTGGGATTACAGGTGTGAGTCACGGCGCCCAGCCAATATGCATAATTTTGATGCAAATCTCAGATATCATAACATTTGATTTGTAATATTTCAGGATATGTCTCTAAAAGAAGGGGGCTCTGGGGAGAGAACTTACAATACCATTAACTCACCTACAAAATTAAGAATAATTCCTGAATATCTTCAAATATCTAGTTTGTATTTACATTTCCCTGGATGTTTTATACATTTTTTTTAAGAACATAAACTTTATTCAGCAAGTTAATTGATTCCGGTTTATGTTTCCGATTTCCTAGTAAATTATTAACTGCTTGAGCCGAGGGACTGTTTTGTTTATGCCTCCTTCTGAGTGCTTTGCCCGTATGTATGCCCAGATTTCACAGCAAAGGTAATTAATTAAATGTATAATAAAATAGCTCTTTAATAACTTTTTATGAAACTACACATTCACAAATTAGGAAAAATTATCACACTACCTGTTCACATTTTGATATTGAAAACAGGGATAATATAGATCCTTAATTTCTTGAATTAAATTGGCATGAAAATGGCGCATGTAGTATAATTAGGTAATTGCAAATCTGAAAGATCTGGCTATTAAAAATCTCTCATGTGGCTATCCTAATTTCTGACTACTTGAGAAATTGATTTTCCAAAGAGTGACGTACTGTGTCAGTTTGGGCACAATATCTATCGTCATCAAAGAAAAGTAGGGGAACATTTCTTTTAGGAGAAAGATGCATTTTATAAATTGTAATACAAAAATTGAAGATTTGCCTTGGATTAACTCAAGATAAATAACTTCAAATATCTACACACATGCTGGATGTTCCCTTCTGTACCTCCCTCTACCTGTTTCTCTTGTCCATTTCTCCTCCAATCCTAGTTCTTTATTAGAGTGGACAAATACGGGTTTGTAGAAAAACAAAATTGAGAGCCAGGCACAATGGCGCATTCCTGTAATCCCAGCAATTTGGGAGGCTAAGGTGGGGGATCACTTGAGCCCAGGGGCTCGAGACCAGCCTGGGCAATGTGGCGAAACCCCATGTCTACAAAAAATGCAAAAATTAGCCGGGTGGGGTGGCGCACACCTATAATAGTCCCAATTACTAGGGAGGCTAAAGTGGGAGGATCACCAACCCCAGGAGGCAGAGGTTGCAGTGAGCCATGATCACACCACTGCACTCCAGCCTGGGCGACAGAGACCCTGTCTCCAAAAAAAAAAAAAAGGCAAAAATGAAGTAAAATATAATTTTCTCTCATTAAATCTTACTTCTCTTTTTGCTTAAAATAATATACTATGCTATAATAATACTATAACTTTTTTTTTTTTGAGACATAGTTTCACTCTTGTTGCCCAGGCTGGAGTGCAACAGTGCTATCTCAGCTCACTGCAACCTCCAACTTCCGGATTCAAGTGATTCTCCTGCCTCAGCCTCCCCAGTAGCTGGGATTACAGGTGAACGCCACCACACCCTGCTAATGTTTGTATTTTTAGAAGAGACCGGGTTTCACCATGTTTGCCAGGCTGTCTCAAACTCCTGACCTCAGGTGATCTACTTTCCTCAGCCTCTCAAAGTCCTGGTATTACAGGTGTTAGCCACCACATCTGGCCACTATCACATATTTAATAACATGTCCTTACACATTTAGGCCTTTACTGTATATTTTCTGAATATATTTGAAAATCATTCATTCATTAGCTCATTCAACAAGTATTTATTGAAGACCTATTTGATCCAATGAGTATTTTCCCTAACTTAGAAAAGGGCCAAATGATTTCTTAAATTATGAAATATAACAAGTATACATAAAAGTGCAAAAACTAGGCCAGGCACCATGGCTCATGCCTGTAATCCCAGCACTTTGGGAGGCCGAGGCAGGTGGACTACCTGAGGTCAGGAGTTCTAGAGCAGCCTGACCAACATGGTGAAACCCCATCTCTTCTAAAAATACCAAAAATTAGCCGGGCGTTAGTGGCGGGTGCTTGTAATCCCAGCTACTCAGGAGGCTGAGATTGGAGAATCACTTGAACCCGGGAGGTGGAAGTTGCAGTGAGCCGAGATTGTGCCATTGCACTCCAGCCTGGGCAACAAGAGCAAAACTCCACCTCAAAAAAAAAAAAAAAAAAAAAAAAAGCAAAAACCCAAGTGTGCAGCTTAACAGATTGTTGTGAAATAACCCCCTGCGTAGTCACCTTCCTACCTAGGTCAAGACACAGAACATCACCAGCTCCCCAGAGCACCAACACTTTCATTCCGGACACTACCCCTCCCAGCCCTCCAGTGGTCACCAGGACACAGGCCTATGTTCCATGATACTCAGAAACCTCCAGGACCCCTGCTTGTATGGGCCCCTTCCAAGGCCCTGGTCATCTGATTTTTGTAAAATTTTAAAAGTAAACATTCTACCACATTTGGCTAAGACTGCCTTGTACTTTCAAAACTATTTTTGTATATGTCATTTCACACTCTTTTTCTTAAGTAAGTTCTCCCCAAACTGTATAAGCTTCAGGACCTGCAAAACCTGGATGTGCCTCTGGAATTACTTTCCTGTTAAGTATTCTTTGCTTCTAGAGGGATTACACAATCTGAAACTTCATTTTCCAATATGAAGTGTTCCAACTATTTCCATGGGCGCTAAACTTTGGCTGATCAGGTTGCTACTTGGAGAGAAGAGCTGACTTACCTTTCATGGGGCATGGAAAGTAGTTGGTGGTTGAGTTTCCCAGCAGTGGACCACCAGAGCTGGGTGATACCTCAGCTTGGCTTGCTGCTTTGTTTTTATTTTCCCCATCTGCCCCTTCACCCTGTGCACCTTTCCCGTCCTTTCTGTGTAATTAATTGAGGAAGGGAAAGAGTGGTAGTCTCTGTAGAAACCTGTTTGGAGACTGTGGTTTCCACAGCATGTTAGATGACTGACATGGAATCTCAGATACTCCTCTGGATTTAATTTGACAGCAATGAAACACTCAATAGTGTTTTGAAAGCAAAGGACCTGCCGGGCGTGGCAGCTCACGCCTGTAATCCCAGCACTTTGAGAAGCCAAGGGGGGCGGATCACAAGGTCAAGAGATAGAGACCATCCTGCCCAACATTGTGAAACCGTGTCTCTACTAAAAATACAAAGATTAGCCAGGTGTGGTGGCACACGCCTGTAGTCCCAGGCTACTTGGAAGGCTGAGGGAGGAGAATCGCTTGAACTCGGCAGGCAGAGGTTGTAGTGAGCGGAGATCTTGCCACTGCACTCCAGCCTGGGGGACGGAGGGACAGAGTGAGACTACATCTCAAAAACAAAAACAAACAAAAAACAGAAAGCAAAGGACTCTTGGGGAAAGTGTCCAGGGGAGAGAAGGGAACTCTCATACATAAATTAATTCTTATGAAAACCCCAGAAGTAAGTAATAGTGTTATGGGAAAGGGGTTCCAATCCAGTCCCCAAGAGAGGGTTCTTGGATCTCGCGCAAGGAAGAATTCAGGACGAATCTATAAAATGAAAGCAAGTTTATTAAGAAAGTAAAGAAACAAAAGAACCAGTACTCCATAGGCAGAGCAGCCTTGGCTTGCTTCTTTGTGAGGGTGGCCCACGGAGGGGCAGCAAGGCTGGTGAATCACCTCCCTGGCTAGTTCCTCCAAGGCAGAGCTGCCAACCAAGGCCAACTTGGTTCAGCACACAGAATATTTACCACGAATCTAAGAGTTTGCCAAAATTTCAAAATCAGGAGATTTCACGCAAAAAGTTGGAAGATGTGACCGCCCTGGGCCCACATTCCCGCCTGGCCTGGCACTAGCTGGGTGGGGCTGAGGAGTAGCTGCTCTCCAAGAGCCCTGCTCGCCAAACCTCTCCTCCCCTTTCCCCCATGCTACCTCACTCACTGCTGTCTGTGTGCTTGTCCCTTTCACATTTGCATTTGCAAAGCCTGTTCTAACCTAACATGGTTTCCGTAGTGATCTTTAAACATTAAATTTGAAGCTAACAAGGAACAGGTTCCCTCAAAATACCCCAAGATGACTTTCTTGCCAATATTCCCTGAACTCTTTACAAAGTGGCCAGCAAGGCACCTCCCCAAGTGGAGTTAAACTATGTAAATGTACACAAAACAAGTAAGATTGGAAATATCCAAATGTTCATCTCCAGTGAAATAACTTTCCAGCCAGAATCAGTAAGAAGCAGCTAAGCCTAACTAACTACAGATCTGATCTGTGGTTCTTGATTTTTCATACGTATAAAAATCTCACCGGACGTCTTGCTGAGCCTCACCCCCAAGATTCTGATGCAGGAGATGTAGGGTGGGGCTGAGAATTTGCATTTCTAATAACTTCGCAGGTAGTGCTGCTGCTGCTGGCCCTGGACTACCTTTTGAGAATCACTGATGCATGCCACTCAAAATGCAGTCCTCAGGCTGGGCGCGGTGGCTCACACCTGTAATCCTAGCACTTTTGGGAGGCCGAGGTGGGCGGATCACCTGAGGTCGGGAGTTTGAGACGAGCCTGACTAACATGGAGAAACCCCGTCTCTACTAAAAATACAAAATTTGCCGGGCATGGTGGTGCATACCTGTAACCTCAGCTACTCAGGAGGCTGAGGCAGGAGAATCGGTTGAACCTGGGAGGCAGAGGTTGCAGTGAGTCGAGATCATGCCACTGCACTCCAGCCTGGGCAACAAGAGTGAAACTCCGTCTCAAAAAAAAAAAAAATTTAATTTAATTTAAAAAAAGCAGTCATCGGGCTGCAAGCCTGGCAGCTTGTTAGAAATGGAGACTCTCTCAGCCCTTCTCTAGACCAGTGGAATCGGGGGGCTGCAGGTGATTAGTAGGAATGTGAAATTTTCAGATGCACTAGACCAACTCATTGTTCCCAAACCTTCCTGGTCAAAACAACTTGGGGCATTTGTTGAGTCTACAGAATGCCAGGCCTTTCCCTTAGAGATTCTAATTCAGAAATCTACTTTTGGCAAGCACTCCAGGTAATTCCTGTCATCAGGGAATTTTAGGGAAAACAGGCTAATGGTATTAATACATCTAAAGAAAGAATATGTCAACAAAATGGAGATGAGCAAGTGAAGGAGGAAGATGGGAAATCTGAGGGGAGAGAACTCCTAGCGTGTGTCTTCAACCTGTAGCCCCCGTATGCGTTCCTTTTGCAGAGAGAGATGTTATCAAATTGTCGTATCCTCTGCAGAACCAAACCATACACCGTATTCCTTTTATTCGGGCCCCTTCTCATCAAGGAACCTCGTCATTATAATTTGGCTTCCATCCTCTTTTCACCCCGGGGGAAACACGCAAGCCAGAGCAATATAAATATTCTGATTTGAGTGAGAGGTACATTTCTCCCTGTGAATCAAGAAATCATAAAAAGGCCAGGCACAACGGCTCACGCCTGTAATCTCAACACTTTGGGAGTCCGAGATGGGAGGATCGCTTGAGCCCAAGAGTTCAAGACCAGCCTGGGCAACAAAGGGAGACTACAAAAATAAATAATAAATACATAAAAATTAGCTAGGCATGGCAGTGCATGCCTGTGGTTTCAGCTACTTGTGGGGCTGAGGTGGGAGGACCACTTGAGCCCAGGAGGCTGAGGCTGCCATAAACTGTGATGATGGCCACTGCACTCCAGCCTGGGTGACAGAGCAAGACCCTGTCTAAAAAAAAAATAGAAGTAAAAAAGAAGAAATCATAATTAAATGTTACATTATACTGTTGATACATTATACTGTTTGTTTTATTGGTGTATCTAAGAAATCAAGCCACTTTTGTTTTAACAGCAACATAAAATTTCTGTTTGAGAAAGAGACAAATACTTTTGCCCATAAAGGGGTTTCTTAAATGTGGATTCCACTGTGCAGTTTTTAACTTCTTTAAACATTCATTTAAGCAAGTCAGATTTTCTTTGGAAAGGAGAATTAC
Source organism: Homo sapiens (assembly GCF_000001405.40). Taxonomy (NCBI): domain Eukaryota; kingdom Metazoa; phylum Chordata; class Mammalia; order Primates; family Hominidae; genus Homo; species Homo sapiens. Next base: position 183,008,880 of record NC_000003.12, read on the forward strand.
ATTAGCAAATAATAAAAATGTGCAAAAAATGCAAGAATAAAAACATCTGAAAAAGCAGGGCTGATGATAAAACTTTCTAAACTAGTATATTCTTTCAGTGTTTATAAATGTAATATTGCCCTTGGTGAGTCACATCTCTCCCATTAATCCATCTCCCTAATGTTCTAGGAGGAGGGTGAAATTTTGTCCTTGTGTATATAAGACCTAAACTGTTACTGACCCCACCTCCTAAGTACATTTCCCCAAATTTCAGATATTTCCAAAGTCCTTTCATGAAATGCAAATCTCTGAATGTTGGCCCTCACTGTCTGTTATTCTATTCACCACCTAATCCCAGAATTTTCGTCTGGGAAGTTAACAAATTCCTCAGCAACGTTGAAACATATTATTTCTATTAAGGTTTCAAGTGATTAGTCTTCTTCTGTAAGTCAAACAGAGGATCAGTTAGTCTGGAGAAATGTTTTAATAAAAGTCCCATTCTAAATAGATTTTTTTTTTTTTTTTTGAGACAGAGTTTTGCTCTGTCACTCAGTGGCACGATCACGGCTCACCGCAGCCTCAAACTCCTAGGTTCAGCCAATCCTCCCATTTCAGCTTCCCAAGTAGCTGGAACCACAGATGCCTACCACTACGCCCAGTTAATTTTTTAAATTATTTGTAGAGATGGGGTCTCCCTGTGTTGCCCAGGCTGGTCTCAAACTCCTGAACTCCTGGGCTCAAACAGTCCTCCCGCCTCGGCCTCCCAAAGTGCTGGGATTACAGGTGTGAGCCACTGCTCCCAGCCTGGCTGTTTCACCTTCTTATCATTTGTGTGTTCACTGGAGTAGCACTTTTAACTGCCTGCTTTCAATAATGGAAAAAACCGTAATGCTTTTATGACATAGTTGGTCATGATGAAGGAATAACTGGGAAGAGGGAGAAGCCCCAAATTACCCTGTTTTTGTTAGTGGTTTTTTGTTTCTGTGGGAAGCTGGTTTTGGAATAAGAATTATATCTAATCTAATCTAACAGTTTAGCGAAATGGTAGCGAGGGGTGGTAGATACAGAGAATGACGTCAGCCATTCTTAGCAGGGAGGGAGTTAACGTCTGTGCTGTGGCTTGGAGGTGGCAGAGGAGAGTGCACACTTCACTTGGAACTCGCTGCAGGAGACTGAGCCAGTTAGAGGCACCAAGGCATTCTGAGTCCCCAGGGATCCAGCAAATGGGAGACAAATGTCAGGGTGACAAGGTAATCATTGGTATCAGGGTTATAATCTCCTAAAGGCCCAGGCACCCCTTGGTCCAGAAGGCATGGTGTCCCCAGGGACATTCCCAGGGGTTGGGGGAGGGTGGGCAAGAGTGTTTCCACTCAGCCTGTGGCTTTGAGAGCTGACAGCTGTGGGCAGGGCCTCTTGTGATGCCCTATACTCCCAGTCTGGTGGGGAAAAACTACTAACCTCTAGGGGCAGCACCCTGGGGTCAGCCCTGAGGGAACAGTATGTTATTAGCAGGAGGGGACTGGTACCCTAAGGTTCTCCGCACTAGGCAAGGAGCAAAGCATTTGGGGACAGCCATCTCCTCTTCTACCACACAGTTTAAATCACATTTTCCTCTTCTGGGGTATTTTGAAGCCTAGTGTGAATATCTAGAAGTGTCTTTTGTTTTTTTTTTGAGACAGAGTCTTGCTCTGTCACCCAGGCTGGAGTGCAGTGGCACAACCTAGGTTCACGGCAACCTCCGCCTCCCAGGATCAAGCAATTCTTCTGCCTCAGCCTCCCGAGTAGCCAGGACTACAGGCTCCTGCCACCACGCCCGGCCAATTTTTGTATTTTTTTTAAGTAGAGATGGGGTTTCATCATATCAGCCAGGCTGGTCTCGAACTCCTGACCTCAGGTGAACCACCTGCCTCGGCCTCCCAAAGTGCTGGAATTACAGGTGTGAGCCACCGCACCTGGCCTAGAAGTGCTTTTTTGAGACCCTCTGATGAAAGATGCAATAGACGTGCAAACATGACTAACAACGCTGTGAATATTTTAATGACAACAGCAGAAGAGCCCTGGCTACGCAGGGCTCAGATGCACATTTCACCTTCTAATATTCCTAAGAGGACTAGTTGAGGGTTAACAGTAAGTGTGCAGGAGTGAGAAGTTGATTGTGGAGGGGGAAAGGGGGGAAAGAGTTCAGCTAAATGAAAGACCACCCTACTCTGCTGTCCGGCAGCAGGTATGATGCCTGCCCACACTGAGGCGCAAGCCGGACACAGGCTTCCCCTCCAGCACCAGCTACACACGTGACAACTGATGGCAGCAGGTGGAGCAAGTCTGGACCCAGCCTTCATACAAGTGAGTTGTTCTAGGTGAGTTGTTCCAAGTGAGTTTTTCCAAGTTACCCAGCCTTCATGCAAGTGGGCGGGCCGCTGTCCCACCAGCACACAGCTCTAGCTACTGACGGAGGCTTCCCCCCACAGTCCGGCAGCAACACAGTCTGTTAAGTGGTTGACAGGTGCCTGGGTCACACCGGAGCAGGCTACAGCTGGGGAAGGGAGGGTAGGGAGGGGACAGGGTGATGCATATCCAGGCAGGATTTTTCACCATCCTGGGACCTGGGATTTTTCCTGGCAAGAGTAACCAGCTAGTCTGAATTTAAAGCAGTTTCTTAATTGCTCCCTAGCAAGAACCAGAGTTGGTAATAACTACCAGGGAAGTATAAATGATTTTCCAGGTACAATGCTAAAGGCAACCTCTACATTTTCTCCTTTAATCTCCAAAACAAGCCTGTGAGGTAGTGCTGCCACCTCAATTTTACAGATAAAGCTCGGAGAGGTTAAATGACTTGCCCAAGGCAATACAGCTAATAAGTGACAAAGCTAGGGCCTGAATGCAAGAATTTTAACCGCTGTATTTCAACTACAATGCTGTGTGTTCTCCCCTGTGATCAAAAAGCAATCATTGGGGTGCTTAAATGTTGTTGTTCTCTTGGTTATTAAATACCTGAGCCATGCTGCTGTCAAAGAGAAGGTAGCAAGCTGCTTTTTTCCCAACTAATGACTCTGTTTTGGTCCATGCCTCTAATGGGTCTTATCCAACAGAGAAGTACTTTTAAGTCAAGATGTGCACCAAAGTCTGTTTTCCCCACTCTGACCTGTACTTTTTCTTGTCTTTTTTTTTTTTTTTGAGACAGGGTCTCACTCTGTCGTCCAGGCTGGAGTGCAGTGGCATGTGATCACAGAGCAATGTAACCTCAAACTCCTGGGTTCAATCGATCCTCCCATCCCAGCCTCCCAAGTAGCTGGGACTACAGGGATGCACCACCATGCCTGGCTAATTTTTAAATGTTTTGTAGAGACATGGGGCAGGCGGCGTGGGGCTGGTCTCCAACTCTTGGCATCAAGTGACCCTCCAGACTCTGCCTCCCAAAGTGCTGGGATTATAGACTTGAGCCACTGCAGCCAGCCTGGCCCACATATCTGGTGTCTGTTTGGGACTGTCTCCAGCCTCTCTCCACTTTCCGGCCTGTACTCCAGACTGTGGACATTATACAACTTGAAAAACTTAAGTTGGTTGAAAATCTCCAGCAGCTCCTCACTGCCTCCAGAATGAAGTCCTCTGGGACAAGAGAAGGCCTTTTATTGCTAGGCAGCTGCGTCCCTTGCTTGCCCTTCTCTGCCTAGTGGCCCAGGCCATCCACTCTGTGCCCCGAATACATTGCATGCCTTCATGCCTTACTGTTCTAGACCTTGCCAGTCCTTCTGCCTGCAGTGGCCTTGGACTCACCACCTTCTTTCTCCATCTGGCAAACAGCTATCCTCCAAAGCCCAGTTCAGACATCACTGCCTCTCCCTCTGCCTCCTGACCCAAAGCAGAATTTAGTACCTCACTCACCTCACCGCACATGGCACCTAGTAGACTGGTATATTATACCACTTACTGTCAATTATATTACCTTTTTTTTTTTTTGAGATGGAGTCTCGCTGTATAGCCCAGGCTGGAGTGCAGTGGCACAATCTTAGCTCGCTGCAACCTCTGCCTCTGGGGTTCAAGCAATTCTCCTGCCTCAGCCTCCTGAGTAGCTGGGACCACAGGCATGTGCCACCATGCCCAATTAATTTTAGTAATTTTAGTAAGGATGGGGTTTCACCATGTTGGCCAGGCTGGTCTCGAACTCCTGACCTCAGGTGATCCACCTGCCTCGGCCTCCCAAAATGCTGGGATTACAGACGTGAGCCACCACGCCCGGCCTATATTACATTTTTCTATGCAGCTGGATCCTGTTTCCCATTAGATAGGGCAAGAGCAGAAATCATTTCTTACCATCTCTGTTCCAGAGGCCCTAGTGTAGAGCAAATGCTCTGTAAGTGTCTGTAGCACAAACAGATGCATTCATGTGCAAAATAACTCTGCTCACACAGCACCAGAACTGGCAAAGATCCTAAAGAAAGAATTCTACCAATATGTGGGTAATTGGGCTAGCTGGCTTCGAATTCCTTCAATACACATATCCCCAACACAGTCACTTAACAATGAAACAGTGAACTCAACCATGTTCCACTGAAGGATACAAACAGCATTCTCCGAAAGGGGGCAAACAGCAATGTGAAATTTCCATCACAGCACCTTTTGCTTTTCCCTCTATTTTTTTTTTTTTTTTTTTGGAGACAGAGTCTCACTCTGTTACCAGGCTGGAGTGCAATGGCATGATCTCGGCTCACTGCAACTTCCGACTCCCTGGTTCAAGCGATTCTCCTGCCTCGGCTTCCCAAGTAGCTGGGACTACAGGCGCGTATCACCATGCCCAGCTAATCTTTGTATATGTAGTAGAGACAGGGTTTCACCATGTTGGCCAGGATGGTCTCCATCTCTTGACCTTGTGATCCGCCTGCCTCAGCTCCCAAAGTGCTGGGATTACAGGTGTGAGCCACCGCGCCCGGCTGCTTTTCCCTCTTTTAAACAGAGAAAGTTTTGTTTGGAAAGGGGAAACGGCACCCTTGCTAAAACTGTAACTTTCGACATTGTCATAGACTATGTTGCATTGCTGAAACAGAGTATCACAGACTGGATAATTTATGAACTAATTTATTTCTTACAGTTCTGAAGTCTGGGAAGTTCAAGATCAAGGGGCCGGTGTCTGGTGAGGGCCTTTTTGCTGTGTCATAACATGGTGGAGGGCATCACATGGCAAGAGGGCAAGAGCGAGCCAGCTCAGGTCTCTCTTCCTCTTTTAAAGCCACCAGTCCCATCATGGGGGCCCCGCCCTGATGACCATATCCAATCCTAATTACCTCTCGAAAGTCCTACCTCTAATCAACACATGAACTTGGGGATTAAGTTTTTAACACGTGAAACATAGGGGACCCATTCTAATCATAGCAGACATGATTTATGTTTTACTTTTCCAATTATAGGCATCTTAAAGTACGGAGACCATCTTTTATATTTCTCTGTATTTTCCACAACATTTAGCATAGTCTTATGTATTCAGCAAGAACTCAATTCAACAAATATTTAACACTTCAATGAATACATAAAAATGCAAAGGGCTGCACATCTGTTAGTAAAAGTAACACAGAATCTAGACAAAAGTAAACTGAATGGTTTTTCTTCATAATGAAAAAAGTATTTCTAAAAAAAGCATTCAGCAGGCTCAGGCTTTTAACTCTTACCAACTTTTTCTGTAAAATTATGCTTTTCAAATTTACCAAAATGTTATATTAAATATTAATATATTTTAGCATGTAATAGATATATAATACATATATTTTTATAAGCTTAGAAAGTACAATAAAGGCAGAGGCAATCTAGTTAGAAACTTTCCAATCACAAACACTAGAAACAATATCCGTGTCTTTACTTATTTATATTTATGTATTTGTTTTGAGATAGAGTCTCGCTCTGTCACCCAGGCTAGAGTGCAGTGGTGCGGTCTCGACTTACTGCAACCTCTGCCTCCCAGGTTCAAGCGATTCTCCTGCCTCAGCCTCCCAAGTTGCTGGGACTACAGATGTTCACCACTACACCCAGCTTATTTTTTGTGGAGACGGGTTTCACTATATTGGCCAGACTGGTCTCGAACTCCTGAACTCAAGTGATCTGCCCGCCTTGGCCTCCCAAAGTGCTGGGATTACAGGCGTGAGCCACCGCGCCCGACTAATATCCATGTCTTTTAAACTACCTAGCAAGTTGCTTTTTGGCCAGACAAAACCTTAGTTGTTGAACTCCAGGGCACCTGTCTCTGAAACATATTACTGCTCATTTTCATCATAACAGCAACTGGAAAGTAATTCATTTAATTAAATGTCCTTTTCTCTTCCCCCCTTCCTAAAAGAGACTACCTTGTAAAAAATTTGAGGCAGAAACAAACATTGGCTTCCAATAAAAAATAATTCAACTTTATTAGTATGAAATATTTTGAGATAATTAGTGACCCAAATGCATGATTCTCCAATATGAAAGGTGTTCAGCATAAGCATACAATCATTTAGTAAAACTGCTCTTTATGAGACCCCCAGAAAAGCTGGAGGCACTTCCTCTTTTTGGTGGAGAGAGAAGACACTACTTAACTGGCCATTTCCTTGCTGGAGTTTATTCCGATTCCCTTTTGTCTGATTCTTCCTCCTCAAACTCGACTAAAGGAGTGTGTCTGTTGGCCTGAGCACCTTCTCTGTAGAACACTTTCTTTACTGTGCCATCCTTTGGAGACTTTATGGTATGCTGCAGAGACACATGACAGGACAAATGATAGCTGCAATACTAATGAGGACTGAGTATACACCAAGTCAAGAAAGGGAGACCAAAAATGAAAACTGTAGCCAACTTTGATGTTTTGTCATCTCTCGGTGCTTTCCAACGCTTTGTTGTTGTTGTTGTTTTTATTTTTAACATCACAGCACACAGGGAGAACAGTAACAAGTTGAGAGGAATGAACACTGGGACACAGCAGTAACCTTTCAACGATATGACTGGGAAGCTCTGGTGTAGCTCGCAGTTCTCAACTTGAGCTTCACATGAGAATTGCACCTAGGAAGCTTTCAACAGTTTTTTGTTTGCTTGCTTTTGTTTTTTTTTTTTTGTTTTTTGTTGTTGTTGCTGTTGAGACGGAGTCTCACTCTGTCACCCAGGCTGGAGTGCAACGGCATGGTCTCAGCTCACTGTAACCTCTGCCTCCCGGGTTCAAGCGGTTCTCCCACCTCAGCCTCCCAAGTAACTGGGACTACAGGTGTGTGCCACCACACCTGGCTAATTTTTGTATTTTTAGTAAAGACGGGGTTTCACTATGTTGGCCAGGCTGGTCTTGAACTCCTGACCTCATGATCCACCCACCTCGGCCTCCCAAAGTGCTGGGATTACAAGCGTGAGCCACTGCGCCTGGCCTTGTTGTTTGTTTTTTTAAATTGAGACGGAGTCTCGCTCTGTCACCCAGGCTGGAGTGCAGTGGCAAGATCTCGGCTCACTGCAACCTCTGCCTCCCAGGTTCAAGCAATTCTCCTGCCTCAGCCTCCTGAGTAGCTGGGATTACAGGCATGCACCACCATGCCTGGCTAATTTTTGTATTTTTAATAGAGATGGGGTCTCACCATGTTGGCCAAGCTGGTCGTGAACTCCTGACCTCAAATGATCCGCCTGCCTCTGCCTCCCAAAGTGCTGGGATTACAGGCATGAGCCACTGCGCCCAGCCTTTCAAAAGTATTGATCCTTGGGCTCTACTCCTGGAGATTGCAATTCAATGGGTCTGGGGAAGAATTTTTTCAAATCTCCCCAGGTGACTGTACACATGCTCCTTGACTTACGATGGGGTCAGGTCCAGATAAATCCAATGTAAGCTGAGGAGCATATTCAACGTGTATGGTTTTGCACCATTGTCAAGCTGAAAAATCCTTAATTGAACCATTGTAAGTTGAGGACTGTCTGCAATATTCAGCCAGGGCTAAGAATCACTGACCTACCATTTGAACCATCTAAAAACCTAAACAGCTAATTTAATTTGATTGCGGTTTTCACTTTGAAACTGATGCCTGGCATCCTTGGTTCGGCCTTAGAACCAAGATAATACCAACAGTTAACATTAGAAAATACCAACAGTTAACATTCCAGAAACACCAACAGTTAACATTCAGTTGGATTATCTTAGAAAATACCAACAGTTAACATTCAGTTGGATTATCGCCTGATTCCAAGCTATTGATAATTTCATTAATTTCAGAATCAGAAATGACAGGTGCAATTTCACAAAGTTAAAGTAAAACTCTTTTCTACAAGAAGGATAGTTTGGTTTTGTTTCCTACAATTAATGCTTCGTCAATCATGGCTTTTCATATTTAAGGTGGTATTAACTTACAAAATAAGGCAAAAGAACCATTAGGTATGATTGCTCCCAAAGTCCTCATAGCAAATGAACTCATGATTTCCTTACCTCCATCTTCATGGCGATCATAACCATGAGGGAATCTCCCGCTTTCACTTTGTCTCCAGCTTTGACAAACACCTTGAGATTCAGTGTGACAGGTTAATATTTGAAAACACAGAGGTCCTAGATATGTTCATCTGCTTCATTATAGTAACCATTTTACTGTCTATATATACTCATAACATCATGTTGCAAACCATGAATATAAACAATAAAACATAAATAAAAAGAAAAAAAACAACACAGAGGTCCTTTGTGGTCCACAGATTTGGTATATAAACTTACAGAGCAGAAGTAGAGCCCATGTGGTTGTGCCATCTGCCAAATGCACTGGTCAAATCAGAGGCCTACAGCCCAAATATACAGGTCAAATCTGAGACCTACAGCCCAAATGCACTGGTCAAATCAGAGGCCTACAGGTCAAATGCACTGGTCAAATCAGAGGCTTACAGCCCAAATGTACAGGTCAAATCTGAGACCTACAGCCCAAATGTACTGGTCAAATCAGAGGCCTACAGCCCAAATGTACTGGTCAAATCAGAGGCCTACAGCCCAAATGTACTGGTCAAATCAGAGGCCTACAGCCCAAATGCACTGGTCAAATCAGAGGCCTACAGGTCAAATGTACTGGTCAAATCAGAGGCCTACAGCCCAAATGTACTGGTCAAATCAGAGGCCTACAGGTCAAATGCACTGGTCAAATCAGAGGCCTACAGCCCAAATGCACTGGTCAAATCAGAGGCCTACAGGTCAAATGCACTGGTCAAATCAGAGGCCTACAGCCCAAATGCACTGGTCAAATCAGAGGCCTACAGCCCAAATGTACTCGTCAAATAAGAGGCCTACAGGTCAAATGCACTGGTCAAATCAGAGGCCTACAGCCCAAATGCACTGGTCAAATCAGAGGCCTACAGCCCAAATGCACTGGTCAAATCAGAGGCCTACAGGTCAAATGCACTGGTCAAATCAGAGGCCTACAGCCCAAATGCACTGGTCAAATCAGAGGCCTACAGGTCAAATGTACTGGTCAAATCAGAGGCCTACAGCCCAAATGTACTGGTCAAATCAGAGGCCTACAGGTCAAATGCACTGGTCAAATCAGAGGCCTACAGCCCAAATGCACTGGTCAAATCAGAGGCCTACAGGTCAAATGCACTGGTCAAATCAGAGGCCTACAGCCCAAATGTACTGGTCAAATCAGAGGCCTACAGGTCAAATGCACTGGTCAAATCAGAGGCCTACAGCCCAAATGCACTAGTCAAATGAGAGCCCTACAGGTCAATCTGGCATTGCTGGCACTGTCGTCCATGGGTAGCACTGCTTAGTCCCCTGTCCCCACCCACAAAACCACTTAGTTTTACTTGAATCACATGAATATACTCCATGTATTTTGAAATCCTTTCATTTTTTTCAAGAATGTAGAAACAAGACACATTGCCAGTAGGGAAGGACTAATATACTTAAATGTCTTCCCCAGAGAGGGAAGAGGGATGAGGGTCTTGACTGGTTTTCTTGTTTTGGGGTTGTCTAGGGCTAAGTATAGTAAGTGTGTTTGAAGTCTTCAGAGCCCTGTGTAGTAAATGTGAAGACAATCTTCATGCAACAGAATCAAACTTATTAGCAACCCCAGAAAGAGATTTCTATTTTCTTTTGTATACATATAAATGGACTCATAGATCCTATATGGTCTCACTTTCGTTTTGGTTAACATGGCTACTAAGTGGGAGACTAACAGAGTTGTGCAGAGATGCCTGCACTATGAGAGGCCTGTGGGAACTGAAATCAAATGAGCTAAAGGCAGATCCAGGTCTCCTAGCTCATACCCACTTGGGGTAAATATTTCCAAACGAGAATAGTGGCTGAAATCACCCACACTATTTAAGTAGTTATTTTCTTCTTCTTCTTTTTTTGTTCCAAGCATATACAGTTGAGTTTTTATGATTTAAGTGTATTTGAGGAGACTCTACTGTATTCAAGTATATAAAAGGAGACTACGGATACTGATCTATCACCATTTGATGTTATATCAGTATGTGCTAGGGTCTAAATGTCTATATCCCTCCAGAATTCATTTGTTAAAATCCTGACCTCCAGGATGATGGTATTTGGAGGTGGGGCCTTTAGCAGGTGATTAGGTCATGAGGGATCTGGCCTCATGAAAGAGATTAGTGCCCTTATGAAAGAGGCCTGAAGAGAGGTCCCTTGTCCCTTCCACCACGTGAGGACACAGAGAAAAAATGGCTGTTTATGAAATCGGTAAGTAGACTCTCACCAGACACTTAATCTGCTGGTGATTTGATGGATTTCCCAGCCTCTAGAATCGTGAGAAATAAATTTCTATTGTTTAAAAGCCACCCAGTCTATGGTATTCTGTTCTAGCAGCCTGAACTGACTCAGACAGTATGGACTGCAACTGTGAATTATATACTGCATTCAACACCAAACCGTACTGTTCTTCACCAATACCAGCCTTTTACATTAACGCAGATGCAACTACGTACACTAAAAGAAAATGTCATTATTTCATGAAAAATTTGCTGCTATTAAATTTAACATTCAAAACCAGCTTTTTTGAATAATGCTTAATGAATGCTCAGTTTTAATCATAAAAAGACAATTTAGATTATTTGTACTTTGATGCAAATGCCTGCCTTCAAAAACAGCAGTCTTTTTCATAAATTAGGTAAATGGGTATTTTCAGTGAGGACTGTAATAAACAATTTGAATCTGTAATAGATCCTCTTGTTTTTGTGAAGTGGATGCTTTCCAATGAGCAAGGTTTAGAAAGGGAAAAGGACATAAATGACAAGTTTAACAAAGCCACGTATTAAAACTTACTGAACATCATTCTACAGATGTCATGTGATTACCTTTTCAATGGTTCCAGTCATAGGAGCTAAGGGGCCGCCCTGAGTTTCTTGTGAGCTCACAGAAGATAAGTATTTGGGGACTGGAATGTCAATCTCAATACTTCCTTCCTAGAAACAGAAAACAAACTGAAAACCGAATCAACATCCTATCACTATATTTTTACTAATATACCTGAGGTAATAATTGTTTCCCAGCAATTTGTTAAATATTAGTCATCATGGCCAGGCCCAGTGGCTCACGATTGTAAACCCAGCACTTTGGGAGGCTGAGGTAGGCAGATGGCTTGAGCCCAGGAGTTCAAGACCAGCCTGGGCAATATAGCGAAACCTCATCTCTACAAAAAATACAAAAATCAGCCCAGTGTAGTGGTACGCGCCTATAGTCCCAGCTACTTGGGAACTGAGGCAGGAGGCTCACTTGAGCCTGGGAGGTAGAGGCTGCAGTGAGCTAAGACTGCGCCACTGCACTCCAGCCTGGGTGACAGAGTGAGACTCTGACTCAAAAAAAAAAATAAATTAGTCACCATTAATACCAGGGTTCTAATCTAGCTTTATGACCTTGAGCAAATTATTAAACCTCTCTCAGCCTTGGTTTCCCATTGTAAAGGCGTAACGGTATACATGCCTCACAGTATATTAAAAGATTTAGGCTGGGCGCCGTGGCTCACGCCTGTAATCCCAGCACTTTAGGAGGCCAAGGTGGGCAGATCACGAGGTCAGGGGATCAAAACCATCCTGGCTAACATGGTGAAACCCCATCTCTACTAAAAAATACAAAAAATTAGCTGGGCATGGTGGCGGGCGCCTGCAGTCCCAGCTACTCGGGAGGCTGAGGCAGGAGAATGGAGTGAACCCGGGAGGCAGAGCTTGCAGTGAGCCGAGATGGCACCACTGCACTCCAACCTGGACAACAGAGCAAGACTCCATCTCAAAAAATAAAATAAGAATAAAGCATTCACTGTAGACAACAAGTAGCCACTGTCTGGAAGCCATTTTCAGTAGCATCCCCACTCTCAGATGCTCAGTATGCTAGGAACTGTCTTTAACACACACATCATGTCGTGAATCATCACAACTCTATGAGGAAGGTACTGTCATTATTATTATTTTTTAGAGGCAGGGTCTCACTCTGCCACCCAGGCTGGAGTGCAGTGGCACAATCATAGCTCACTGCAACCTTGAACTCCTGAGCCTATTAATCCTCCTGCATTAGCCTCCTGGGTAGCTAGGATTACAGGCACACACCACCATGCCTGGCTAATGTTTAAAATTTTTTGTAGAGATGGGGTTATGTTACCCAGACTGGTCTCAAACTCCTGGTCTCAAGCAATCTGCCTGCCTTGGCCTCCCAAAGTGTTGGGACTACAGGCACAAGCCACTGCACCTATTATTATTACTGTTACTGCTGTTATTATTAAACTGTTTATAGATAGGAGAGCTAAAGCCCAGAGAGTTTAACGGCCAAGGTCACATGGCTGTTAAGTGGCAAGGCAGAATTTGAACCAAAGCAGCTTCACATTTTAGAACTTGAGTTTTTCACCATTCCATTATACGGCCTCTATCATCATATTACTGTAGCGTAATTGGCTATGGAAAGGAATGCCTGGCAAAGTGGGATCATCCTCAACTCCATATATAGTAGTTTAATTACTAGACTACTAAAGGAATCTCATCACAAAGCACTGTGAGGCCACAGCATATATGATAATGCATTATCCTCTTTCTGCCCAGGCCGAAGGTTAAGGACTCACTGGGCAGCAGGCTTCTAACCAAAACCATGCAAAGCCTGCCTCGGCTATCCTTTGACTGTCAAGAGACCACCAGTAATGCCATCCACCTTCCTACTGTCCACCTTCCCCACAAGGAACAACTGGTCCACAGACTCCTCTCTCAGTGGTCACCTCCTCCAAAATCACCAGGATTCCAGTTGTCAGGGGGATGGTGGGTGGGGAAAAGTGTTCAGACATCAAAGCCCTGAGATACCACCACCCACTGAGCAGGGAGATATGCTCTGACAAAGAAAATGGAAGGATTTGTTTCAGAATTCAGGAAGAAAATGGGTATGTGTCTATCAATGAGCATCTGTGTGAACGAGAGAAGTGAATGGGAAACTACAGAGGGCAGGAATTTGGCAAAGAAACACAGAATGGTGGGGGAAACTGAGGGAAAAAGGTCACAGCAGTGGTCACAGGAAGCTGGATCTTTCTAATCTCTTTCAGTGGAATGTCTCTGGTCAAACAGTTTTCTCCCATGCCCCAGGAGGGATATTATAAAGAAGAGACATTACCTTGGAAAATAGGTAAATAGTGTTTTCCAGGATAATCAGCTTCGCTTTACTAGCAACTCCATTAACAGAACATTTCAGGTAAGTGCAGTCTCCCTCGCTGTAAAGATTACCAAGGACTTGGAAAGTTTTATCTTCAATCTGAAAAAAATGAAAAATAAGATTTTTAAAATAAATGAACAACACTACAGAATTAATAAGATCAGAATCAATTCTTCACTATTGGTAGTTTTAAAACATAAAATGTGTCTTAAACATATATAACATATATTTTTTAAAAAGTCATGGAACTTTTCCCCTATTCCTAACCAAGATACTTTACATAGAAATGACAGGAAGATAATTAAAAGGGAAAAAAAAGTTATATAACTTATCCATAGCACCATAATGCTATAGATAAAGGTTCACGTAAACATATAAAGATAGCATTAAAAATATGAAACAAAAATACAAACCAAGTTATGCAAAATTATTAAAATTCATTTGCATATATTACATGTTTGTAATATAAACTTATTTCTGAGTATTTGAAGTCAAATTTAGTTTTCCTGTGCCAAAGTCAGTCACCAAAAAAATGCCAGAATCACATAATTAGATGATATTCTTTTATCTTATCAACACGTAGGCCCAATCATGGGTTTCAGTTATGATTTAAGAACATAAATTAGCTGGAGATTGGCCATAATTTTCTCACTCTCAGAGACCATATGCCAAAGAACAAAGTTCACAATGTTTCAAGGAAGCTGATAAAAGGACATGGAACCTGTTTTAAAATTTCCCTGAGGTAAAAAATCCATTTACATCTTCTCTCTCTAGTCTTCATTTCAATTCCCACAATGCTAGTGTAGAAGTCACATGGCTATTCTTTTCAAATATATTACGTACACTAAGGTGAAATAGGTCACACTGCAATATTTACACATTGGTTCTCATCTATCCTAAGTTAAATATGACATTTTACTATGCTTTGTAACCTACTAAAACAGCCATTTGAATGTTTGTGGAACTCTTAGGACATAAAGGTTAGATTGAAAACAGTTTTGTTTAAAGATTCACGAAAACACATTTTAAAATTGTGAATGTAGTTCCATGAGCAGATTAGAACAAATTGGCAATCTACTTTACCAGCTAACAGGGACAAGAAATAATCTCAAACCAGAGGCATTAATATGAATTATAACCCTCATACCCAAGTAGGCAGACTTTCCATGGTTTTTCTGAATCTCACAGAAAGAAAATCAATGTGTCTCAAAGTGTTGGGAGGTCTAATACATACCACTGATAAATCTGTTCTGCAGGATTTGACATCTCTTAGCTCATATTAAAAATGATTTATTCTATTCCCTGAAGTTGTACCTTACTATAGGAATTTGATTGAATTCCCACTTTTTTTTTTAAACCATTTAAGCATTCCATTTTGCCAATGTAATGGTCTTCTTCTAATTGAGGATTACCATGAACTTTACACTAGAGGTTCTCAAAATATGACCTATGTGTTCCTTGGGGTCCCTAATACCCTTTTAGGGCATCCACAAAGTCATAATAAGACTAAGAAGGCCAGGCGTGGTGGCTCACGCCTATAATCCCAGCACTTTGGGAGGCCAAGGTGGGCGGATCACCTGGGGTCGGGAGTTCGAGGCCAGCCTGACCAACACAGTGAAACCCTGTCTTTACTGAAAACACACAATTACCCGGGCATGGTGGTGCATGCCTGTAATCCCAGTTACTTGGGAGGCTGAGGCAGGAGAATCGCTTGAACCTGGGAGGTGGGGGTTGTGGTGAGCCAAGATCATGCCATTGCACTCCAGCCTGGGTGACAAGAGCATAACTCCTTCTCAAAACAAAAAAAAAGAAAAAAAGATTAAGATATTATTTGTTTTTTATACTCTCATTCTCTCATAAGTACACAGTGGAATTTTCCAGAGGCTACTGAACGTGTGATAATGTTATCACTCTGATGGCTAATGGAATGTGTACTTGTGATTAGGTTTTACAATTTTTTCAATTTATCCTATAACTTAACAACAACAACAAAACAATTAAATTAAGAAATTGGCAGAGGACTCGAATAGAGATTTTTCTAACAAGATATACAAATGGCCAATAAGTAAAGATGCTCAACATCATTAGTCATTATGGAAATGCAAGTCAAAGTCACAGTGAGATACTACTACCTCACACTCATTAGTATTGCTATTATAAAACAAAAAAAAAACAAAACCCCAGAAAATAATAAGTAGTGGCAAGGAAGTGAAGAGATTGGAGCCATTGTGCACTGTTGATGGGACTGTAAACTGCTACAGCTGCAATGGAAAACAGTATGGCGGTTTTTCAAAGAATCAGAATCACTATATGATCTAGCAATTCCACTGCTGGATATATATCCAAAGGACAAAAAACAGGGTCTTAAAGAAGTATTTGTACACCCCTGTTCATAGCAGCATTATTCACAATAGCCAAAAGCTAGAAACAACCCGAATGTTCATTAATGGCTGAATGGATAAAGAATATGTGGTATATACATACAACAGAGTATTTTTCACCCTTAAAAAAAAAAAAAAAGGAAATTCTCACATATGCTACACCATGGAAGAACCTTGAAGACACTGTGCCAAGTGAAATAAGCCAATTACAGAAGGACAAATACTACATTATTCCGCTTATATCAGGTACCTAGAGTAGTCAAATTCATAGAGACAGAGAGTAGAATCGTGGTTCTCAGGGGATGGGGGAAGAAGGAACGGAGTGTTAACTGTTTAATCAGTGAGTACGGAATTTTAGTTCCACAAGAAGAAAGAAGTTCTGGAGATGGATGGTTGTGATGGTTACATATCAACTTGAATGCACTGAATGCAAATGGTTAAAATGGTAAATTCTACATTATGTGTATTTCACCACAATTAAAAAATTAGAAATTAAATTTTCTCAGTTAAATTGTCTAAATGGTAAATATCAAGAGATATAATTAACACAAACCAAAGTGCTCTGGTGGGTATTTTAAAGAGTGTACAGTTCCTGAGACAAAAAATGTGAAAACTGCTGCTTTTGCTGTAAATACAGGCACACACTTTAGGGGCTTGTGAATGTCTGATTTGAGCTTTTACTTTTTGCCAAGTTTTTATTCTTAAAGGAATCACAGCCCAACTGAGTAAACAATCAGTTAGAAACTGTATAGGGGGTAATTTCCCCAAATTGGGTCTGAAATACAAGCATAAGATATTCTCTTAACTACAGTCATAATAGTCAAAGGCTTAAGGGAAACCAGAGAGTGAAAGACCCTATTCAGTATAAAAGCGGTCAGATTCAGCTCTGCACTGTAGAACAAAACCAGTAAGGCTTACCTGCATGCTATAAGACCCATCATGGTTATACGTTACAGCTATGGCTACATCTTTATGGAAAAAGGGAAAAAATGAAGAAAAATTAGAAGACATTCATTTATTTAATAACCGAGATATAAAGAATCTCACTCTCAACCTAAAGACAACCAACTATTCAAAGGAAAATCAACAACTTTGAACTTCTTGGAAATAAAGTATTTTGTTAGAAAAGCATCTGTCAAGCTAGTACCAATAAAGATGAATTTCAAACTTTTCTTTTTTAAAATGGAATTTCAGGGGTTTTATTTTTATTTTGATTTATTTTTTAAGACAGGGTATCACTCTGTCACCCTGGCTGGACTGCAGTGGTGCAATCACAGCTCACTGCAGCCTTAACCTCCTGGGGTCAGGTGATCCCCTCACCTCAGCCTCCCAAGTAGCTGGGACTACAGGCGTGCCACCACGCCCGGCTAATTTTTTGATTTTTTTGTAGAGATGAGGTTTCACCATATTGCCCAGGCTGGTCTTGAACTCCTGGACTCAAGTGATCCATCTGCCTGGGCCTCCCAAAGTGCTAGAATTACAGACATGAGTCACCACATCCAGGCTTGAGTTTTAGATATTTTAAGGTTGTCGAATATTTTACGTATTTTTCCCTCAACAAAAAGGCTGCAGTATTATAATTTTAAAAATGCAGGCCAGGTGCGGCGGCTCATGCCTGTAATCCCAGCACTTTGGGAGGCAGAGGAGTGGGGATCACGAAGTCAGGAGTTTGAGACCAGCCTGACCAACATGGTGAAACCCGGTCTCTACTAAAAATACAAAAATGAGCCAGGCATGGCGGCACGTGCCTGTAATCCCAGCTACTCAGGGGGCTGAGGTAGGAGAATAGCTTGAACCTGCGAGGTGGAGGTTGCAGTGAGCTGAGATCGCACCACTGCACTCCAGCCTGGGTGACAGAGTGAGGCTCCATCTCAAGAAAAAAAAAATGCAATGAATTGGTAAAGAGAAGTTTTTGGTTGAGAATGGAATCTGCCACCTGATCACCTCTGTCATCTTGACTCACTAAATCTCCGAGCCTTGATTTTCTGAGCCATTAAATGGGTATAAAAATGTAACAATTATTAAACAAATATGAAAATGCTTTAGAAATGGTAAGACTATATACACCTAATAAATGATTCATGTTACAGGCACATCTCACTTTATTGCACATTCTGCAGATACTATGTTTTTTACCTATTGAGTTTGTGGCAACACCATGTCAAGCATAATTTTCCAACAGCATGTGCTCACTTCGTGTCTCTATGTCACATTTTTGTAATTCTTACAATATTTAAAACTTTTAAATTATTATATCTGTGACAGTCATCTGCGATCTCTGATATTACTACTATAATTGTTTTACGGTGCCTCAATCTGCGCCCATGTAAGATAGAGAACTTCCTCAATCAATATTGTGTGTGTTCTTACTGCTCCACTGACCAGCCATTCCCCTGTCTCTCTCCCTCTCTATGGGTCTCCCTATTCCCTGAGGCAATACAATATTGAAATTAGACTAATTAATAACCCTACAATGGCCTATAAGTGGTCAAATGAAGAGTTACATATCTCCCACTTTAAATCAAAAGCTAGAAATGATTAAGTTTAGTGAGGAAGGAATGTCAAAAGCTGAGATAAGCCAAAAGTTAGGCTTCTGATGCCAAACCACCAAGTTGTGAATGCAAAGGAAAAGTTCTTGAAGGAAGTTAAAAGTGCTTCTCCAGTAAACACATGAAGGATAAAAAGGTGAAATAGCTGGGCTGGGAGCAGTGACTCACGCCTGTAATCCCAGTGCTTTGGGAGGCCAAAGCAGGACTGCTTGAGCCTGGGAGTTTGAGACCACCCTAGGAAACAAAGCAAGACCCCATCTCTAAAATAATAATAATGATAATAATAAATACTGTGAAACAGCCTTGTTGCTGATATGGAGAAGTTTTAGTGGTCTGGATAGAAGATCAAACCAGCCACAACATTCCCTTAAGCCAAAGTCAATCCAGAGCAAGGCCCTAACTCTCTTCAATTCAATTAAGGCCAAGAGAAGTGAGGAAGCTGCAGAAAAAATATTTGAAGCTAGCAGAGACTGGTTCATGAGGTTCAAGATAAAGCAGAAAGTGCTGACAGAGGAGCTGCAGCAAATTATCCAGGAGATCTAGCTAAGATAATTGATAAATGTGGCTACAAAAAACAACAGACATTTAATGGAGACAAAACAGTCTTCTTTTGGAGGAAGATGCCATCTAGGACTTTCATAGCTGGAGTGGAGAAGTCAATACCTGGTTTCGAAGCTTCAAAGGACAGGCTGACTCTCTTTCTAGGGGTTAATGCAGCCAGTGACTTTAAGTTGAATTAAATGCTCATTTACCATTCTGAAAATCCTAGGGCCTTTAAGAATGATGCTAAATCTACCTGTGCCCTATAAATGGAACAAAGCCTGGATGACAGCACTTCTGTTTACATCATGGTTTACTGAATATTTTAAGCCCACTGTTGAGACCTACTCAATAGTGCTCAGATAAAAAGATTCCTTTCAAAATATTATCACTCAATGACAATGCACATAGTCACCACCCAAGGGCTCTGATGGAGACATACAAGGAGATTAATGTTTTCATGCCTGCTAAGACAACATCCTTTCTGCAGCCCACGGATCAAGGAGTAATTTCAACTTTCAAGTCTTATTAAGAAATATATTTTGTAAGGCAATAGCTGCCATACATTGTGAGTCTTCTGATGGATCTAGGCAAAGTAAATTGAAAACCTTCTACATGCCATTAAGAACATTTGTGATTCATGGAAGGAGGTCGAATTATCAACATTAACAAGAATTTAGAAGACGTTAATGACTCATGGATGACTTTTAGGGGTTCAAAACTTTAGCAGAGGAAGTAACTGCAGATGTGGTAGAAATAGTAAGGGAGCTAGGACTAGAAGTGGAGACTGAAGATGTGACTGAATTGCTGCATCTCAACAGCACTGCATGCTGCAGAGAAATCTTTCATGAAAGGAAGAGTCAGCAGATGCAGCAAACCTCCTTGGTATCTCATTTTATGAAAACTGCTACAGTCACCCCAATCTTCAGCAATTGCCACTATAAATCAATCACAGCCATCAACATTGAGGCAAGACCCTATGCCAGCAACAAGATTACATCTCACTGGAGGCTTAGATAATCATTAGCATTTTTTTTTAGCCATAAAGCATTTCTTAATTAAGGTATATACATTGTTTTTATTTAGACATAATGTTATTGGCACACAATAAAGTATAATATAAACATAACTTTTATATGCATGAGGAAACCAAAAACTTTGACTCACTTTATTGTAGTGGTCTGGAACCAAACCTGTAATAACTCCAGAGTATGCCTAGATTACATGAGTATGGAAATGGTTGATTATCCGAGGAGACGAAAACCTAAAGTTTTGTGGGGTAGAATATACAGGTCAAAATCAATTTGTCTGCTTCTGATACTTCAATGATCATTTTGATGCTGCCAGCTCAAATCTGTTTCCAGCCCCGACATTCCTTCTCCAGGTGACCTCCGATTATTGTCATTACCAGCTGGATGCTCCACTGGTGACTTAAGACGAACATGGCGGGGCCGACAAATCATCTCCCTCTACCTTCTTCTCCAGACCTGTGAGCTCCCTGACTGGCATCCCTATGCTCCTTGTCATCCAGGCTTGAAACCTGTCATCCTTGCCTCATCCTCCTTTGTTTTCCACATGCAACATCCATGCCTCGTACTCCTTCGCTTTTCACATGCAACAGTTTCCACTGCTGGGTTCTGTGAAACATGGCCTCTAGTAGCAGAGAATAGCTTGCAAACCCTGAATACTTAAAACAGTTGGTCATTCTCACTGAGGTCACTAGAAGTTCTTCTGCTTTAGACTCATAAATGCTTCTGGCATCTTATTTTTTTTTCCTTTTTAAAAATTTTTATTTTATAAATAGGGACAGTTACTACAAAGCTGCCAAATTCTTCCCTATCCTATGCATCTCTTCCTTCCATTCCTACTGCTCTACCCTGCCTCAGGCCCCACTGCCTCAGGCCTGGCTGAATCTGAGGAGGTCCTCTGGGGTCTTCCTGCTTCTCATCTCAATAGTCAGAGCTGATGTTCCGACCCCATTCCAAATACTTGGCCTGATATTGGAGGCCCCACCCTCTCAGTCTTATTTCCTACCATTCTCCTCCATGGACGGCCTGATGCTCCACCCAAATAGGAAAGTGGGACAATTAACATTCTCTAGGCCTGGGGAGGTGGCTCACACCTGTAATCCCAGTACTTTGGGAGGCCGAGGTGGGCGGATAGCCTGAGGTCAGGAATTCGAGACCAGCCTGGCCAACATGGTGAAACCCCATCTCTACTAAAAACACAAAAATTAGCTGGGCATGGTGGCACACACCTGTAGTCCCAGCTACTTGGGAGGCTGAGGCAGGAGAATCGCTTGAACCCGGGAGGCAGAAGTTGCAGTGAGCCGAGATCATACCACGGCACTCCTGCCTGGGCAACAGAATGAGAGACTCCGTCTCAAAACAAAACACAAAAAACCAATACACACAAAAAAAATTCCCCATATATGCCCCCAGCTTTCCCTGCACTGTGGCTCTGTGCTCACGCTTCTCCTTCACTACGCTGCTGGTGCCCTGCCACAGCACAGAAACCCCATTGCCCATTCACATCAGCCTCACTGTCCTTGGGAAGAGTTGGCCTGGGCAGCTTAATTTCTCCCTCCTCTGAACATTTAGCCTTCTGCATACAAAACACCCACTATGATTCTCTCCTCATCCTGGTTTACAAAGAGTGATTTTCCTCTCTATCAGTTGTTTCAGAAAAATTATCAAAATAAAAATGTTCACAAAAGTCAAATACTAAAGTACAGGAACTCCAGGGCCCGCACTCTTGACCATCATGCTCTCCAGCTTCTCAACATACACACTTCCAAATGGCAAATTCCTTAACAGAAAAAAAGCAGGGACAAAGACATTTCCTTCTCTTCTCCACATCACTTGGCATATCTATTTTATCAAAAACTTTGTATTGAATGTATGAATGAATAAAACTCTCCACCCTATATCATGTCAACAGGCTTTTACTCTTCTTATCAGAAAGTGCCTCCAGTTACACCACGGCCATTTTCTTTGAATTTATAAAATACGACATGTATTTAACTGGCGCGAATGCCAACAGATCACAGTAAAGACACTACCAAAAAAACTCCTACCCTAGATATCTCTTGTCACATATAAGAGGACCTTAAACATCCTCTCATGCATTTAAGAAGGTATCAAGTGTGGCACCTGCAGTATTAGGTCAGCACGTGTATCCTGGAGTGTGGGTTCAAACCCTGACTCCACCAATAACTTCTGGTGTGACTTTTGGAAAATTACTAATCTCTCTGAGCCTTGACCTTGGCTCACAGAGATTAGTAATTTATAAAGTTCACACTAACAATAACACTAATCTCATTGGCCTTTTCTGAAAATGCAAATGAAACAATCTTTGGAAAGTGTTTAATACAGTATCTGACATAAACCAAAAACTCAATAAATCTTAGCTATTATCATTGAGTTTAGGCAGGGTTCTGTGAAACGTGGCCTCTAGTAGCAAAGTAAGAATAGCTTGCAAGCCTTGAATACTTAAAATAGTTGGTCATTCTCACTGTGGTCACTAGAAGTTGCTTCTGCTTTGGACTCATAAATGCTTCTGGCACCTTTTTTTTTTTTTTTTTTTTTTTTGGGACAGGGTCCCGCTCTGTCGCCCAGGCTGGAGTGCAGTGGTGCAATCTCGGCTCACTGCAAGCTCCACCTCCCAGGTTCATGCCATTCTCCTGCCTCAGCCTCCTGAGTAGCTGGGACTACAGGCGCCCACCACCATGCCTGGCTAATTTTTTGTACTTTTTAGGAGAGACAGGGTTTCACCATGTTAGCCAGGATGGTCTCCATCTCCTGACCTCGTGATCCACCTGCCTCAGCCTCCCAAAGTGCTGGGGTTACGGGTGGGAGATACCGTGCCTGGCACTTCTGGTATCTTTTTTTTTTTTTTTCCTTTTTAAAAATTTTTATTTTATAAATAGGGACAGGATCTCACTATGTCACCTAGGCTGATCTCAAACTCCTGCCCTCAAGCAATCCTCCCGCCTTGGCCTCCCAAAGTGCTGAGATTACAGGTGTGAGCCACTGTGACCAGCCTGGTCTCTTAAGCTTCCTGTTTCATGCATTCTATTTAATTGTGGTCATTGCTTATTAGCATTTTTTGGAGACTTAGCTATGTATCATTTTCTGAAAGCTCTTACATACAGACTTGGATTATTTTCATAGAATACTGCCAAAAGGGTGTAGTGAACAGCAATCATGTTGGCTTTTCAATTATGTATTTATTTTTTCATGAAAACTTTTTTTAATTCCAAAAAATGCAACATACTTCAAATCAGTGCTTGGTGCTTTAGTGAAGAGCCATGCCAAATAACACAGTTGGCCTATATGAATTACAATCAAATATGTAATTCTTCTGTTCAATTCAGGTTGAAGAAGCCAGTGAAACTTTACCGCTTTTGATATTTGCATTCAGCATATAGGAGTCTAGAATAAGATACTTCCAGATTTGGGGGGTTGTATTTTTTAGGATGAAATGAGCATAAATGGATGGGTTAACCATTTGCAGAATGCTACTATATAAAGATGTTTACAAATTTTCATTATAAAGGCTTAACAATATGCCCAATGCACTTAAGATAATGACCATCTAGGCTCAGGATTGAAAAATAACTGAAGAGCTGTAACCCAATAAACTTGTGTGAACAAAATATTTGTTACTGGCTGGCATGGTGGCTCACGCCTGTAATCCCAGCACTTTGGGAGGCTGAGGTGAGTGGATCATAAGGTCAGGAGATCGAGACTATCCTGGCTAAAATGGTGAAACCCTGTCTCTACTAAAAATACAAAAACTTAGCCGGGCGTGGTGGTGGGTGCCTGTAGTCTCAGATACTCGGGAGGCTGAGGCATGAGAATGGCACGAACCCAGGAGGTGGAGCTTGCAGTGAGCCAAGATCGTGCCACTGCACTCCAGCCTGGGCAACAGAGCCAGAGTCTGTGTCAAAAAAAAAAAAAAAAAAATTTGTTACTGGGTGAGTGTCTTCATAGAGGTGAAGTAAAAGAGATTTTCCTCTGTCCAAGGAAGAGCGTTCTGTGATCAGCTGGTGAAAGTATTCTGCTCTACCTGGGAGGCATATTTTTATACCAGAACTGTCACAGTTCAATGACATGTCACATTCAAGGTTAGCCAGGATTCTGAGCTCTGACTCTGCCCATTGGGCCTCCCACACAAACTGTCTCACAGCAGAAGGGATACAGTGACCAGCTATCATAGAATTCTGGTCCTGCTGCTACACTGCTCCAGCCAAAAGTTTATAAACTGCCTTCTGGCTTAAGCGTCAGCCTCTTTTGACATCAGTTAAAGAAAATCAGTCACTAAGTCGAGCCAACTCAAATTAGTTTACAATCAAAAATCAATTTTCTACTGGAAAAGTGGTGGAAACAGCCTAAGAGTCAATGTCACAAAGAGTAGGTGTGAATCCTAGTTCTGCCACTCACTAGCCTTGACTAAACTACTTCACTTCTGTGCCTTACCATCCATGCTTTCATCTTCCATACGTGGGTATAACAGCGACTCCCCCTCATTTACGTTGTGAAGATAAAAACTTACATCAGATAAGGCACTTAATAAATTACAGCTCTGCAGTGACCCACTTCCACCTGAAACCCCTGAAACACTGCATGGGCAGTGGGTAATCGTCCCTCTCTGACATAGTTTTGAAAACTGTTTTTCTTATTTAAAAGTAATACATTCTCGCTGCAGAAAAATTGCAAAGCAAAAAAAAAAGTACAAAGAATTGGGGAAAAAGAGGTTTTTTTGGGCATATTTCTAACATTCTGGCATATTTCATTTCAGCTGTTTTGCTATGTTTATTTTATGACATATTTTTAGAATATTTACAAAATTTTTAAAAAGTGTAAAGAAGAAAAGCAAATACCATCAACTCTACTACCCAGAGCCAATCAATTCTATTATATTGGCATATTTCCCTCCAATGTTTAGCCTAGGCATTTAAAAAATGTAACTGACTGATCATGGCCAGGCTGGAATCCTCTTTTTCAGATTAATGTGATACATTTCTATGACTCACATTTCTCTTTTAATGAAACATTACTTACTGTTTTTACCATCTTTAAGAGTCATGTTTCTGGTATACGAGATATTCAGTCTTCTTCCACTGCTAGACGAAAATGGAGAGAATTGATCTAGAAAAAATTTAAAATTCAGTAACAAACTTATGAGTATCAAGCCTATGAAATTTACACCTTACAAAAGAAAACATAAAATGCAAGTGCTGGCCGGGCACAGTGGCTCATGCCTGTAATCCCAGCACTTTGGGAGGCCAAGGCGGGCGGATCATGAGGTCAGGAGATCGAGACCATCCTAGCTAACACGGTGAAACCCCGTCTCTACTAAAAATACAAAAAAATTAGCTGGGCATGGTGACGGGCGCCTCTAGTCCCAGCTACTCTGGAGGCTGAGGCAGGAGAATGGCGTGAATCCGGGAGGTGGAGCTTGCAGTGAGCCAAGATTGCGCCACTGCACCGGATCCAGCCTGGGCGACAGAGCAAGACTCCGTCTCAAAAAAAAAAAAAAACAAAAAAACACACGTCCTAAACTGGCAGCTCAGATGTGCTTTTTTTGTTCTTCTTGTTAAGTTTAAAGGGCTGGTTTTGTTTACATCTTATGAAATTTCATGTGAAAAATTCTAGCTTCTATTGAAGAATCTGAATATTTGCAATCTAAACTCTAATCCCATAGTGGCATAAACTGTACCACAGTCACCACCTTTTGATGGGGCAAATTCATTCCAGGTCACCAGTCTCTACTATTCACTATTTTTCTTTCACCTGGCCTCTTTTACTCTTTTATGTTTTTATGTTGTTGGCCCAGCCCTTATAGGCCTTTTTTTTTTTTCTTTTTTGAGACGAGTCTCGTTCTGTCGCCCAGGATGGAGTGCAGTGGCATGATCTTGGCTCACTGCAACCTCCACCTCCTGGGTTCAAGTGATTCTCCTGCCTCAGCCTCCAGAGTAGCTGGGATTACAGGTGGGTGCCACCACAGCTGGCTAACTTTTCTATTTTTAGTGGAGATGGGGTTTCACCATGTTGGCCAGGCTGGTCTCAAACTCCTGACCTTAAGTGATCCACCCGCCCTGGGCCTCTCAAAGTGTTGGGATTACAGGCATGAGCCACCGCGCCTGGCCCCTTATAGGCATTTGGGTGTATATCCTCTATTGGACAATATCCAGGAGCTTCAGCATAGCTAAGCTGATGCAATTTATTCTGAACCTCATATCTGTACCAATTATAAACTTTCAAAAGGAAGGTCACAGTAAGACAACGTTCCATTCTAAAAACGTTAAGGTCAGGCTCAGGAATACCACATGGGACGTATTTAGATGCATTTTCATTCAATGTAAAAGGATAAAATGAGGATAGAGCACAAATCTTCTAAAGATGCAGTTTTCGGGACTTAAAACATTTTACATTTTAAGCTTTCCATACAGCTATCTTGAATGAATCTAAATGAATTCAGAAATTAAAGATTCTAATGATAGGATCCTATAATAATACGGGTTCAGTATCACTTACCCAAAATGCTTGGGACCAGAAGTGTTTTGAATTTCAGATTTTTTTTTTTTTTTTTGGATTTTGGATTATTTGCATTATATTTAACTGGCTTAGCATCCCTGATCCAAGTATCTGGAATCTGAACTGTTCCAATGAGCATTTCCTTTGAGCATCATGTTAGTGCTGAAAAAGCTTCCGATTCTGGAGCATTTTGGATTTGGGGATTTGGGATGCTCAAACTGTATAGGGTAATATAATAATTACCAATAAAAGAGAAAAATAGATCAGATTTTTAAAAATTCTGTTTGCTCCGAAAGTCAGAGCTAGCCTGAAATGCAAAAAGTATGTGAGAGCTGAGATTTTGTATCAATTTAAAGGGCAGAACTTTTTTTTTTTAATACTTTAAGTTCTAGGGTACATGTGCACAAGGTGCAGGTTTGTTACATATGTATACATGTGTCATGTTGGTGTGCTGCACCTATTAACTCGTCATTTACATTAGGTATATCTCCTAATGCTATCCCTCCCCCCTCCCCCCACCCCACGACAGGCCCCGGTGTGTGATGTTCCCCACCCTGTGTCCAAGTGATCTCATTGTTCAATTCCCACCTATGAGTGAGAACATGCGGTGTTTGGTTTAAAGGCAGAACTTTCTAATGGAGAACTGACTGAAACTGTAAGCTACCTGATGAGGTAATGAACTTCCAGTTTCCCAAGGTGTTAGGAAGAAGTTGGGCAACAGCTTAGTGGGTGTGCTGGGGTAGGGATGCAATGCATATGTGTGGTAGCCAGGATGAACCCCACTATGGCCCTTCCTATGCTTGGATTCTATGACACTATGAAGTCTCTAGGTAGACATTCAATCACAGGATGGAAAAAGCGGAAGTAATTCGACAATAAGTCATGGGTAACCCTGGGGAATCTAAGTCTCCAGTCTTAGATTGTCTTGAGACTCTGGGACAAAGGGAGTTGCTGCAGGTACAGAGGACAAAACAAAGTAGGGCTATGAGGAGTGGCGAACAAAAGAAGTGATAAGAAATTAGTGTAGGATGTGGGGAGAACAAGTGTTTGACTGAAAAGAGATCCATTTCCTTTTTTTTTTTTTTTTTTTTTAGATGAACTCTCGCCCTGTTGTCCAGGCTGGAGTGCAGTGGCGCGATCTCGGTTCACTGCAACCTCCGCCTCCCGGGTTCAAGCGATTCTCTTGTCTCAGCCTCCCGAGTAGCTGGGACTACAGGTGCGTGCCACCACACCCAGCTTATTTTTTGTATTTTTAGTAGAGACAGGGTTTCACCATGTTAGCCAGGATGGTCTTGATCTCCTGACATCATGATCCGCCCACCCTGGCCTTCTAAAGTGCTGGGATCACAGGCACGTGCCACCACGCCCAGCTAATTTTTTGTATTTTTAGTAGAGATGGGGTTTCACCGTGTTAGCCAGGATGGTCTTGATCTCCTGACCTCATGATCCAGCCGCCCTGGCCTCCCAAAGTGCTGGGATTACAGACGTGAGCCACCGCGCCTGGCCAAAGAGATCCATTTCTACAATGTTAGGTGATTAGTTACACTCCAGTTAATGGGTTAAATAGTGTTTATGGGTGCATCCATGGTAAGTGAAGAGCTTTCCTTCATACTAAAAAACACATCTGAAAAGAATGGTGTCAGTCACTGAGAGGAGAAAAGAGAGGTCAGTGTGCCATACAGAAAGAAAAGCATGTTCAATGATGATTTGCAAAACTTGACAAGCAGAGGAAAGAGAAAAGCCTTCCATACCATGTGCCTGAAGAGTGAAAGTGTCGGTCATGGCTTTCTCCTTGAGGATGAGACCCAGGGCTGCCTGGCATAAAGACTCTTTGGCTGCAGCCTTCCGACTGAGCAACAACTGTTTGTGGTGTTGAGGGATGAAATCAGTGTGCACGTTCCCAGCTTCAAACTCTGGGTGGCCAGACAGGTTGAGTAAGAAGTCAATGTTGGTGTGCAGTCCAACAATCTAGGAAGAGAATAAACCCCCAGTTCCTGCTGAGTGGGGAAAACAATATGTTCAGAAAACCATCTGCTCTTTTTATCTAAGTATTTTCTACTGTGAACAACTCTTAGGAAAAATAAAAAACCTACTAAGGTACCATGTGGCAACAGGACAATTCTCAGGAAAAAAAACACAAAAAAACCATCTCACTATCACTATGTCCATCCGCTATTACTATATCCATCTGGACTTGACACTAAAAATTACATTTTAATATGACAAAGAGGATGCTGGAAATACCGAGGCACTTACTTGACTCAGGTTAGGAACATAATAAATGTTAAGAAACATAAATGAAATTCATTTGCAAGGTATCGAAGACTTGCTGCTCAGAACACTTCCACAGAATAGGAAGACTGCAAACAGCAAGCTGGATTGCTATACTGGGGAGAGGATAGGATTAAATGCCCTCAAAAGAGCTTCTTTCCAACAATAAAATCCAAATTTTATATACCGATACAAAAATTTTAAAAGGTATAAAATTAACCCAAATACACCAATAAATGGGATCAAAAGTAAAACCAGCTATCTGAGCTTTGGGTTCATTCATTCACTCATCCATTCCTTCATTCATTTAACAGCCATTTCCTGAGCATCTCTTAAGTGCCAGGCTCTGATCCAGGCACTGGGGACATAGTGAGGAACAAAACATATGATGTCCCTGCCTTCACAGTCTCTGCTTACATTCTAGGGCAACAAGTAACAATATCTGTAAACAGGTATTGAATATAATGTTACATGCTATGAAGAAAATGAAGGCTGGCTAAGAGGATAAAGAATAACAAAAGGTCATACTTTAAATGGGGCAGCCTGGGAAAGGGCTCAGAGCAGGAGAGCAGGGTAGTCAGGAGGGAGCCCTGCAATCATGTGGGGGAAGAACATTCTGGAAGATTGGACAGGAATGCATGGCTCCATGCTGAGTGAGTCTCAGAAGCGGTGAGGCGGCCAGTGTGGTTGGAGCCACAGAGACCAGAGCTTTGATCAATTATTAACAATAACAAGTTGAATAACTGGGTTAATAAATCCTTCTATGAGCCAAATCAATGTGGTATGGGACTTTCTGCACCAAGGAAATTAATGTTCTACAGAAAAATAACAAACTCTATTAAAGGGATGAAACTGAACATAATTATTTTACTTTAGAGAAAAACTACTGGACTGCAGGCATACTGGGTAGCGAAAACAACATTCAGGAAAACATCTGCTTTTATTTCCTAAGTATTTTCTACTGTGGACAGCTCTTAGGAAAAATAAAAAACCTACGAAGGTACCATGTATAGCTGGCCTTATCTACAGAGTGAATAGGATTTCACCGAAGCATAGCACTGACACTAACAATTTTACTTCTGCAATCTTTCTTTTGTAACTGAAATGAAGAAGTCCTCAAACCCTGTTCTGGCCCACGCAAAATTCTCCCATGTGAAACTATTTTGTTTGGGCAATTGATGGAAATAGAAAATATGCTGACGAGACCAAGGCCCTGCCAAAGACAAAGGCTGACCTCTGGTGCTGACCAAACACATCAAGGTCACTGGCACGGTCTCAGATCACTCACATTGTACTGACGAAGGCTGTACCTCAGTTTTGTCAATGCCGCCTGGCGATCTGCTGCCCACACGACCAGCTTCGCAATCATGGGGTCATAATGCACGGAAACTTCGTCTCCTGAAATTGAAAACCACGGTAACCTCTTCAAGTCAAAACACGAAGGAATAAAATACAACGAGCAAGACATTTTGTTATGTACATTTCACGCTTAATCCTCATAAACCCCTGCATGATAAATAACAACACAAATTTATTCATGAGGACCCTGAGGTTCAGAGGGCTTTGAAAACTCACCAGGTGTAACGAGGTGGGCCACCCAACAGCACCAGGCCCTAACGTGGTGATTCAATGGCACACAAGCTGGCTTTCCCTGTCCTATCTTCTTCTGAATCTTCTTTTCCCTTCTCATTTTCAAAGTCAACACAATCTCCCTCCACCCTCTCACATTCCCCTCATTTCTGCCCTTAGCATTCCCCTCCCCTCCACTCTTTCAGTTTCCGTACTAGTCAAGCAAGTTTAATAATTCCTCTGTCCTGCAGGGTTGCTGGGAGGAGTGACAATAAAGTGACAAGTGCCATACCTGGCAAAACTGATAAACCAATGGCAGCTATCATCACTGGGATGGTTACAGTCCTAGAGAACAAGAATCTGAACCAGGGCACATTCCACTGGTTAGAAATGGTTCAAGTAGAAAGGATGTGGTGTGTTGAAAAGAACGTTGTTGCAGGGTCTTTCCAGGATTTTGGCAGGTCACTTGACCTCTTTGAACCCCAGAGTCCTCGTTGATAAGATTAGAGGTGCCTACAGGTGGCTCACGCCTGTACTCCCAAGACTTTGGGAGGCCGAGGTGGGCAGATCACAAAGTCAGGAGTTCAAGACCAGCCTGGCCAACATAGTGAAACCCTGTCTCTACTAAAAATACAAAAAATTAGCCGGGCGTGGTGGCGGGTGCCTGTAATTCCAGCTACTCAGGAGGCTGAGGAAGGAGAATCATTTGAACCTGGGAAGTGGAGGTTGCAGTGAGCCAAAATCGTGCCATTGCACTCCAGCCTGGGCAACAAGAGTGAAACTCCATCTCAGAAAAAAAAAAAAAAAAAAAAAAAAAAAAAGGAAGGAACCGGTGGGGCAAGCAGAGTTAAGATGCTTTGCTAAGTTAAAAAGTCTACTAACTACCAAATCTTGCTGTGGCTTATCCAGAGCTCTCAAAATGCTGCCAATTTATTTTTAAGAAGATCTAAATCCTCATTTTGGCTTTTAGGACACTAGGATTTGCCTTCAACCCATGTCTCCAGTCATATATTTTCTTACTATTCTTCAAACATACCTTTTTCTCTTTTCTTCACTCTTCATTATGCTGTTTAAATCTACCTATCTAAATCCATTCCAGACATCCTCTTAAAAACTTGTCCTGGCCAGGCACGGTGGCTCACCCCTGTAATCCCAGCACCTTGAAAGGCCAAGGTGGGCAGATCACTTGAGGCCAGGAGTTTGAGACCAGCCTAGCCAACATGGTGAAAACCTGTCTCTACTAAAAATACAAAAAAAAAAAAAAAAATTAGCTAGGCATGGTGGTATACACCTGTAATCCCAGCTACTCGGGAGGCTGAGGCCTGAGAACTGCTTAAGTCAGGGAGATAAAGGTTGTAGTGAGCTGAGATCACACCACTGTACTCCAGCCTGGGCACAGAGTGAGACCTTGTCTCAAAAACAAAAACAAACAAAAAAACAAACAAACAAAAAACTTGTCCTAATTATATCAGTCTAGTGTGACCTCTTACCCCTGAGAATTGCTATATCCCATCACTGTATAACTTATTCCAGCAATTGAAATTAAGATGACAGGAGACCGTGGAGGCTCAGAGCACTGACTCTGGAGCAAGACTGCCTGGGTCTGAATCTTGGCTCCAAGGATGACCTTGGACAAGTCACTTAACTCTTCTGTGCTCCAGTTTCCTCATCTAGAAAACAGGGATGATAATAATGCCTACTTACAGGGTACTTCTCATGGTGAAAGGAACACAAGTAGAAAAATCACCTAGAGCAGTGCCTGTAAGTAGGAAGTCCTAAATAATCACTAGTTATGACCACTGTTATTAATCATATGCTGAACTGTGATAGCTCTTCCACTGTTTCTTTACTTTAATTTTTTTATTGTTTAGCTTATACTAAGTTTATGTGTTAATTCTCCAACTTGACTTTATGTCCTTTGAAGGCAGTCTGCCTTGTGCATAGCAGATATCAGTCATCTTAAATCATTTTTGGAATGAGGCAAGGTCAAGAACAGTACACACAAAATATTTCCTGGTTAGGTTTGACCAAGTACTGCTGAATTTCAAAAAAAAGGAGTCCGTTGTTGAAAAATACTTGTTATTCTTTAAAAATAACAATTCCAGAGGCAAAAAGTAATGGTTACTGAGAAATCACTTAAATTCTTTATTTTAAAATATGCTAGACAGTTCTGTAAGACTCAGGGATAAGAATGTGTCCAAAAACAATAATGTACTAAAAACTTAAAAAGAGTGAGACTTTTCATTTTCTTTCACTTTACCTTGCCGTACTCCAGTTTCAATCCTGGTGGAAGGGTCTGCTCGAGGAGTAGAGAGGTGCACTAATGGGCCTGCCACAGGCATGAAGTTATTGCTAGGATCTTCTGCATATATTCTAGCTTCGAAGGCATGGCCCTGCAGAGTTATTTCTTCCTGGCTCAAAGGAATCTTCTCTCCTGCTGCAATCTGGCAATAGAATAGTGTTTCTTATGAAATCTACCGTATAGCGGCTACCAGACTTAGTAAATCAATGGTCTTGCTTTTTTTCTAGGTAAAATGTACATTTAGGTTTTGCAATGCAGCCAAATAAAAACTATTATTTTGTCTACTCATTTGAGTATTGGGCAAAACAAAAAATTAAAAAACAGATGCAGCTTGGCAACAGTCTATCATTTGGGGTATCGGAGTTTTTAAATGGCAAAAGCAGGCAAAGTGATGGCTAACTTACAAATATAAAAATCAGTGTTTGTTCAATATAATCAAAACCAAAACTTCTTACTAGCAACACACTCTCAGTTTTCATTTAAAACATTAGCACTTAATTCCCAAATCAATTTTTTTTAAAAAATAGTATATTATTAGTGTTTAGGACTAGATTCACAGCCAAGCAAAAAGTGTAGCTGACATTGTCATCCTACGCTGTAATCTTCACCAGTAA
The DNA here is from genome assembly GCF_000001405.40 of Homo sapiens. Lineage (NCBI taxonomy): Eukaryota > Metazoa > Chordata > Mammalia > Primates > Hominidae > Homo > Homo sapiens. Next base: position 183,042,223 of record NC_000003.12, read on the forward strand.
GTGGGTGATAAAGCAAAACAGAAAGGGGAAAATGATGGTTTTTCAATTTTGTTATGTTGATATGTACTGCATGATACCAGATTACAAACAGGGTGATCACTATTGTTTGTTGTTACTATAATTATTACTATTTTAGTTATTATGTACCAATACAACAAATCACTCTCTTCAATTAACTAGTATAAATTGGAAATGGCTATTGGAGGACACATTGCACTTTCTCTCTTTACTCTTAAGTTTTTTTCCAAGATGAGAAAATGACAACCTGAGAAAGCAATATAGATACAGGAAAATCTAGACTCTAAGTAACTTAGCATGACATTGAACTAAACCGGTAAGTATAAAACAGAAGCAAAAGTTTCATTTTTCTGAATCTGTAAATATGAAAGATCAGGATGCACAGCAGTTAAGAATGAAAGGAAACGGAACTAAGTTAAATACCTTTATGGCAGTATATTTTGAAAACACCTCAGGCTCTGCAGACAGATTGCCTAGGTTCAAATTTTGTCTCTATACTTACTTTGTCATCTAGACAAGTTTCTTAAGCTTTCCATGCTTCAGAGAAAAGTGTCTGGCATACAGTCAGCACTATGTTACCTATTATCATTCCATCCTTAGGATCTAGAACCAGAAATACCATTTGACCCAGCAATCCCATTACTGGGTATATACCCAAAGGATTACAAATCACTCTACTATAAAGACGCATGCATGTGTATGTTTATTGCAGCACTGTTCACAATAGACTTGGAACCAGTTTTTTAACGTTTTAATAAATAATTCTGGGTCAGGTGTGGTGGCTCATGCCTGTAATCCCAGCAATTTGGGAGGCCGAGGCAGGCGGATCACCTGAGGTCAGGAATTCAAGACCAGCCTGGCCAACATGGTGAAACCCTGTCTCTACTAAAAACACAAAAATTAGCCGGGCATGGTGGCACACGCCTGTAATCCCAGCTACACGGGAGGCTGAGGCAGGAGAATTGCTTGAAGCCGGGAGGTAGAGGTTGCAGTGAGCTATCACGCCATTGCACTCCAGCCTGGGCAAAAAGAGCAAAACTCTGTCTCTTGTGTTCACCTTGACTTGTCTTTGCCTGTCCATTTTCCTCCAAGCTTGGCTTCCACTTGAGCCCAGAAAAGACAGGCCCCAATCATGCCTCTGGGTCTTTGGAGATATGTGCCATTTGAGTTCTCTCAGGCTGACACTGGCTCTCCGGAACCCCTAACCTTGACATTTTCACCAGCTTTCCCTGAACACTGTTAACTATCTGTATCTGCAGCCTGAACCCAGGACACTTACATCAGTCATCATTCAACCCTTGTTCTAGGAAGGCTTGACTGCACAGGCAGGTCCTCGAGCTTAGACTCTTGACTCACCAAATGGTGAGCCCCTTTGTTTTACCTCTGTTTGAAGGCCAGATGCCAAATGCCTTGAACTCTATAAACCAGGTCCAGCAGCTTCCCTAAGTTCTAGTGTCCCTCCCCAGATGATAAAAGCTGGCTTCTCTTTCTGAAGAGCCTTGACAAGCTCTTACAAGAAATAGATGTCTGCTGGTTTCCTTAATACCCAAAAGCTTTCTCCTTCCTTAATCCTTAGAAACCTTTTTTTCTCTTATGATTTCCAAGGTCGAAACTCTCTTGATTTACTGCTTCAGAAAAATTATCCTCCTTTTCCTTGAATTCTGGAAATATAAACACTCCTTCCAGAAGTTTCCAAAGCCACTACAGTTTTTCTTGACACTCACTAAAACTTACCAGCTTGCTGTGCCTGGTTTTCGTTAACACCCTAGGATATAGAGCCCTAGAAGAACCTTTTGGCTCAATTAGAACCACCAATCACCCCCAAGGAACCAACAAAAGGAGTATCATATTATTATCTACAGAAGTTCTGAAAAGATAAAATTACCAAAATAATCAAGATTTTGGCGTCACACCAGGAAAAAACAATTTAGATGCAGGATATACAAGGAACCACGAATCCTACATATATCAGGACCGTCTATATTACTTAACAGATTTTTTTCATGTTAGGAAAAAGAAGGCTAAAGTAAAATCTATTGTTCTTATGAGAACAAAAACAGACTAAGCTATTATTAATATTTGAGAAGTATGTTTTGTGGAATTCTGGTTTACACCAGTGCTTCTCAAACTATCCATAGTAAAAGAACAGTTATAAACTTACATGTTTGAAAAATACAGTAGGCATGTCATAGCAATGCCAAAATGCTTTAAAAGTTTCCAAACATTTACTCTGAATGAACATTTACTCATGGGCCCGCAACAGCCATAAATCCGCACTTTACTTGGATCATTCTAGACCATCTCCTTGGCTCTTCATTCCCAACTCTGCCTTAGCTCATTTCATCTTGCCTAGTATCTGCCCTGATCTGAAACCGAATGATGGCCTGGCCCAGAATGCTGTGGCCTTAGGTAGACCATGAGGCTTTGACCTTGAGGTGATGTGGTTGTGAGCAAGCCCCTGTGACACAATCTCACCTGCTGGCTGCCCGGGCCTAGGGGGAAGTGAATCTGAGTCCCTAAAGTGCCAAAAAAAGCTACAGCATCAAATGTGGCTTCACTTTTAACCTCCCATCTTCCTGTCCTCATAACCACCAAGAACTGAACCCCGTCCAAAATGACACCTGTTTTAGGAGGCCAGAAGGTAGTAACCTATTCTCAAGACTGTTTTGTTGTTGTTGTTGTTGTCGTTGTTGTTGAATTATAGATTCAGGTGGTACACGTGAATGTTTGCTACATGGGTATTTTGCATAATGCTGGGATTTGGGCTTCTGATGAACCCATCACTCAAACAGTGAACACGGTACCATTTAGGTAGTTTTTCAGCCCTCACATCCCTCCCATCAAGACTGATCTTTTTTTTTTTTTTTTTAAGATGGAGTACCCAGGCTGGAATGCAGTGGCGCGATCTCGGCTTACTGCAACCTCTGCCTCCCAGGCTCAGTGATTCTCCTGCCTCAGCCTCCTGAGTACCGGGGACTACAGGCACCCGGCACCACGCCCGGCTAATTTTTGTATTTTTGGTAGAGACAGGGTTTCACCACATTGGCCAGGCTGGTCTCGAACTCCTGACCTCAGGTGATCCACCTGCCTTGGCCTGCCAAAGTGCTGGGACTACAGGCTTGAGCCACCGCACCCAGCCAAGGCTGATTTTTAATAGAAAAAATATTCTCACTCTAAGCTGCCACTCCACCAAGTCAGTTCCTGTGATCATCTCAGTAACAGGATGTTCCACTTGCAGCCTTGTATTCATCTCCATGAAACAGAAATTATGTTTTGAGTCCATAATAAACTCCACAGTCCCTAAAAGGTAAAAAACAATGGTCATATTCAATAGTGTATAATCAGTAGCAAACCAAAATCTTCCATGATGCATCACATCAAGTTTTACCGCTGTCTTCATTCAATGGTAACACTTTGCATTTCATGAAGAAAACATCTCGCATTTGCAGCAGCATATGAATCTTAGTCAAAAATAGAGAGCTGCATGAAATTTGGCAACGGAAAAGTATATTTGGGGTTGTGAGCAAATGGTAAGCCCAAATTATGAATCCGTTTCAGCTTGTAACAGTGAGAACAAGGGTGGACCACATGTTACTGCCTCAGAGCACCAAGATCCTGGGAGCCTCATACCATGACATCCCATCTCACCCTAACCCCATGGAGAAAAAGAAAACTTTTTTTTCCCTGATTGTGGGCTCCTAGGAATTTCTTTTTAAAGCCCTTTTGCTGGTAACCCATTGAAAGATTGTTTGGCAACTAAACCTTATGTTAATATCTATTGGCATTCTATTAAGCTCTAAAAAATTTCCCCTAACTTTATTAAGGTTTAATTTTAGACAACAAACTGTAACTATTTGAAGTGTAGGCATGTGATTTAGCAATTGAATACAATCACAGAACCACAATGAAACTACAGAACATTTCCATCATCCAAAAAGTTCCCTTGTTCCCATTTGGAATCAGTCCCTTCACTAAACCCTGGGATCCAGGAAACCACCAATCTGCTTTCTGTCACTATAGTTTTTCTAGAATTTTATATAAATGAAATCATATAGTTTGTAGTCTTCTGTGTTTCTGTGTTTTTCTCTTAGCTTAAAGTGAATACAATGTAAAGTTGTTTTTAAAAGTGTGGTCACAACCCATTAGTGGATTTTAAAATCAATTTTTTTTTTTTTAAGATGGAATCTCACTCTGTCATCCAGGCTGGGGTGCAATGGCGTGATCTTGGCTCACTGCAACCTCTGCCTCCCGGGTTCAAGCAATTCCTCCACCTCAGCCTCCTGAGTAGATGGGACCACAGGCGCACACCACTATGTCCAGCTAATTTTTTTGTATTTTTAGTAGAGATGGGGTTTCACCATGTTGGCCAGGCTGGTCTTGAACTCCTGACCTCAAGTGATCCACCTGCCTCAGCCTCCCAGAGTGCTGGGATTACAGGTGTGAGCCACTGTGCCCAGCTTAAAATCAATTTGAAAATCAATCTGATCCGGCATCTAAGGAGCTTAGAAGCTGCCACTCTGTCCTATCAAGTAAAAAGCTGAACAAGCTGAAAATCAACAATTTTTAAATTTGTCAGAGAAATCAGGTCACAGGGCAAGCTGCTTGTCCTCAGAACCAGAGAGACAGACAACTGACAGGCAGATACAGAGATGCCATGAGGAGAAGCCTGAGCTGTAATTGACAAATTCCTGGTAGCTCAGTGTGGACAACTCTGAGAGTTAAAAACTCCAAGGCGACCCAGTTACAGGAGGACCTCACACTTTTGTGAGTTTTACCTCCAGGAGCTCTACCAGGTCTTCACAGTGAATATCAGAGAAAAATCCTCCCATGCTTCCAGCTCAGAAGGGAAATGAAACCACTTTGAAATACACCAAAACATTCAAGGTTTACCCTTGAGAAAAACTATTTTATCAGAGCCTAAACGATTGGGATTTTATCAGAGCCTAACCTCACTGGGGGAGGAGAAATACCCAACTCCAGCCTTTGCCAGACATACTGTCCACCCTAAGGGGTGGGGGAAAACAAAACAAAAACATACCAGGAAGCACTGGTGAAGTTCACACACCAGGGGCACAGGCTCAGCAAGACTGAGATCTGATCATGGGACAAGAGAACATGCCCCCTCCAGCCTTATCACATTACCAAAGGCCTGTTTAGCAAAATTCTCTTTACCCAGTACACCATGTCCATCTTTCAACAAAAAATTACAAGGCATACTAAAAGGCAAAAAACACAGTTTGAAGAGACTGAAGAAGCATCAGGTATGGCAGGAATGTTAGAATTATCAGACACAGAAATTCTAAACTGTGATTAACAGGCTAAGGGCTTTAATGAAAAAAGTAGACAACATGCAAGAACAGATAGATAATGTAAGCAGAGAGGTGAAAATTCTAAGAAAGAATAAAAAGGAAATGCTAGAATTGAAAAAAAAAAAACCATAACCCTAATAGAAATGAAGCATGCTTTGATGGGCTCATTAGTACGTTGGGTATGGCAGGGAAAGAACCTCTGAACTTGAGGATATGACAACAGAAACTTCCAATTCTGAAAAACAGTGAGAAAAAAAACCTTAAACAGAACAATACCTAGCACTGCAAGACAACTACAAAAGGTATTAACTACGCAGAACGAGAATACCAGAAGGAGAAGAAAGGAAGGAACAGAAGTAATATTTGAAACAATAATAACATGTTACTGCATACTGTAGGCAACTGTAACACAGTGGTAAGTATTTGTGTATCTACATATATCTAAACCTAAAGAAAGTAATGCATTGTACTATGATGTTACAGTTGCCACAATGTCACTGGATAGGAATTTTTCAGCTGCATTTTAATCTTATGGAACCATTGTTATATTGAATAAAATGGTGTTATGCAGCATATGACTGTACTTGATATGCTAAAAAAGGAGAGGAAATTGGATCATAGAAGATGCTCAATTAAAACCATGAAAGGCAGAAAAAGTCTGAAAGATAAAAATAGGAACAAACAAGGGGAATAAATAGAAAACAATAATAAATATGGTAAATATTAATCAAAGTACATTAATAATCACTTTAAATGTTGATGTCTAAATATACCAATTAAAAGACAGAGATTGTTGGAGTAGATTAAAAAACAAAAGACAAATATATGTTACCTACAAGAAATCCACTTTAAAGACTTATAGACTTAAAGTAAAAACAGACAAAGAATATGCTAACACCAAAGAAAGTGCGAGTAGCCATCTTAATTTTAGAGCAAACTTCAGAGCAGGGAAAGTTATCAGGGATAAGGAGGGGCATTAAACAATGATAAAAGGGTAGACATAACAATTTTTAACATGCATGTACCTAACAACAGAGCATAAAATATATGTAGCAAAAAAGAATTGTAAGGAGAAATAGATTAATTCACTATTACAGTTGGAGACTTTAACACCCATCTGTTATTAAATAGATATGGATGATCCAGCAGGCAGAAAATCACTAAGGACATAGTTGAATTCAACAACACCATCAATCAACTGGATACAACTGTCATCTATAGACTATTTCATCCAACAACAGCAGAACACATTCTCAAGCTAGAAAGGAATATTCACCAGGATAGACCACATTCTGGACCATAAACCACATCTTAACAAATTTAAAAGAATATAAATCATAACAGTGTCTGCTCTCAGAACATAACAGAATTAAACTAGAAATCACTAACAGAAGGATATCTGGAAAATCCTAAGATATTTGGATGTTAAACAACACACTTCTAAATGACACCTGAATCAATAAAGAAATCTCAAGAAAAAATTTAAAATATTCTCAACTAAATAAAAATACAACTTTCAAAATTTGTAGAATGCATCAAAAGCAGTGCTTAGTGGGAAATTTATAGCATTGAATGTATATATTAGAAAAGAAAATACCAAAATCAAGAATCTAAGCTTATATTTTAATTAATGAGAAGAGAACAGCAAATTAAATCCAAAGTAAGCAGAAGAAATAATAAAAATTAAAGCAAAAATTAATGAAATTGAAAATGGAAAATCAATAGAAAAAAATCACCAAAACCCAAACCAGTTCCTTGAAAAGATCAATAAAATCAGTAACCTTGGCCACAGCGGGCAGCTCAAAAGGTCAAGAGATCAAGACCATCCTGGCCAAGATGGTGAAACCCATCTCTACTAAAAAAATATAAAAATTAGCTGGGTGTAGTGGCGTGCACCTGTAGTTCCCAGCTACTCGGGAGGCTGAGGCAGGAGAATTGCTTGAACCCAGGAGGCGGAGGTTGCAGTGAGCCAAGATCTCACCATTGCACTCCAGCCTGGCGACAGAATGAGACTTTGTTTCAAAAAAAAAAAAAAGAAAAAAGAAAAGAAACAAAAGCACAATAACCTTTAGCCAGGTTAACTAAGAAAAAAAGAAGAGAGAAAATACAAATTGCTAGTAACGGAACAAAAAGAGGTCTATTACTACAGGTCCCATGGACATTAAAATGATAATAAAGAAATATTATGAATAATTCTATGCCCACAAATTTGATAACCTAGATGAAATGAACCAATTCCTTCAAAGACACAATCTGTCAAAACTCCTACAAGAAAGAGAGAACCTAGGGCCAGGTGCAGTGGCTCATGTGTGTAATCCCAACACTTTGGGAGGCCAAGGTGGGAAGACTGCTTGAGCTCAGGGGTTTGAGACCAGCCTTGGCAATACAGGGGGACCCTGTCTCTACTAAAAAATTTAAAAATTAGCTGAGTGTTGTGGCACATGCCTGTAGTTCCAGCTACTTGGGAGGCTGAGGTGGGAAGATCACTTGAGTCCAGGAAGTGGAGGTTGCAGTGAGCATAGGCCAGGTATGGTGGCTCACGCCTGTAATCCCAGCACTTTGGGAGGCCATGGCAGGAGGATCCCTTGGGGCCAAGAGTCTAAGACCAGCCTGGGCAATATGAGACCCTGTCTCTATAAAATTAAATTAAAAAAAGAGAATCTGAATAGCTATATTTATTAAAGAGATTAAGTCAATAATTAATAACCTTCCAAAACAGAAAGCACAAGGCCAGCTGAGTATAATATAACCTAGACAAGCTTGAGTATGGTGATGACTTTTTATATACAACACCAAAGGCATGATCTACAAATAATTTATATACTGGACTTCATTAAAACTTAAAACTTCTGCTCTGTGAAAAGGAAAGTCGGCCGGGCGCGGTGGCTCAAGCCTGTAATTCCAGCACTTTGGGAGGCTGAGGTGGGCGGATCACCTGAGGTCAAGAGTTTGAGATCAGCCTGGCTAAAGTGGTGAAACCCCGCCTCTACTAAAAATGCAAAAAAGTAGCTGGGTGTGTGATGGCACGTGCCTGTAATCCCAGCTACTCAGGGGGCTGGGACAGGAGAATCATTTGAACCTGGGAGGCGGAGGTTGCAGTGAGCCGAGATCACACCATTGCATTCCAGCCTGGGAGACAGAGTGAGACTCTGTCTCAAAAAAAAAAAAAAAAAAAAAGAAAGGGAAAGTTGAGAAGTGAAGACAAGCCTCAGACTGACAGTGTTTGCAAAGGCACATCTGATAAAGAACTGTCATTCAAAATATACAAAGGACTCTTAAAACTCAACAATAGGAAAACAAACAACCTGATTAAAAAATGGGTGAAAGACCTGAACAGACACTTCATCAAAGAAGATATAAAGATGGCAAGTATGCATATGAAAAGATGTTCAACACTGTATGTCATTAGGGAAGTGCAAATTAAAACAATGAGATACCAAATGGCCTGAATCCAAAACACTGACATCACCAAAAGCTGGAGAGGATTTGGAGCAACAGGAAACCTCTTTTGTTGCTGACAGGAATGCAAAATAGTACTGTCACTTTAGAATAGAGTTTGTCAGTTTCTTCCAAAACTAAATATTCTTTTACCATGTGACCCAGTAGCACGCTCCTTAGTATTCACCCAAATAAACTAAAAAATTATGTCCATACAAAAGCCTGTTTGTTTTCAGGGTGTTTATAGCAGCTTTATTCATAATTGCCAAAACTTGGAAGCAACCAAGATGTCCTTCAGTAGCTAAATAGATAATAAACTCTGAGACATCGAGACAACGAAATATTATTCAGCATAAAAAAGAAATGAGCTATCAAGCCATGAAAAGACATGGAGGAAACTTAAATGCATATTATAAAGAAGCCAATCGGAAAAGGCTACATACTGTATGATTCCAGCTATCTGAAATTCTTGAAAAGGCAAAACTATGGGGGCAGTAAAAACATGAGTGGCTGCCGGGGTTTAGGGGGGATGAAAGGATGAATAGACAGAGCACAGAGGATATTTAGGGCACTGAAACTATTCTATACCATAGTACAATGGTGGATACATATCATTATACATTTGTCAAAACTCACAGAATGTACAACACCAAGAGTGAGCCCTAATGTAAACTATGGACTTGGGTGATAATGATGTGTCAATGTAGGGTCGCTGACTGTAACAAACGTACCTCTCTGGTGCAGGAATATTGATACTGTGGGAGCTTGTGTGTTGGGGGGTATCCGAGTGGGGGACAGGGGGTATATGGGAATTCTCTGTACCTTTTGCTCAATTTTGCTGTAAGCTTAAAACTGCTCTAAAAGAGAAAGTTTATTAACCATAAAGAAGTAAAAAAATCAATCTAGTGATTTTAAAATAGAATACAAAATATCAAAACTCATATAATTAAGACAAGTACTGTTTAATGAAACATTTGTTTCAAATATATATGTATGTAAAAATAAACATTTATGTGTACATACTAAGTCTCAATATAAAATGTATTTCTTACTGTGAATATGGTCAAAACAGCTTGAAAGCAACTGATTTAAAAGTTGTGTTTCTCTTGCCTTCTAAAACATAAATTAAACACTGTTACGTCTCTTCCATTAGAAGCAAATCTTAACCTACCTGCTCCAACATAATTTACAGCTTTAGCAGCTCTGACTGCAGCTTCTCCCAGCTTTTTTCTTACTTCAGATTTAATACCAGGCTATGAAAAAAATATGTAAATAAATCTCCATTAGTAGCTTGCCTTACTAGAAATTCCATTAAAATTCAATTCAGTCAGGTGCCACATAATGACGTTTCTTAGTCAACAACAGACCACATATACAACAGTTGTCCCATAAGATTATAATGGAGCTGAAAAATCCCTATCACCTAGTGACACTGTAGCTGTCATAACATCACAGCACAGTCATTACTCATGTGTTTTGTGGTGAGGCTGGTGTCAACAAAACGACTTCACTGCCATTATACAAAAGTATAGCACAATCAGCCAGGTGCGGTGGCTCACGCCTGTAATCCCAGCACTTTGGGAGGCTGAGGCGGGCGGATCACAAGGTCAGGAGATTGAGACCATCCTGGCTAACACGGTGAAACCCTGTCTCTACTAAAAATACAAAGAAAATTAGCCAGGCATGGTGGCGGGCGCCTGTAGTCCCAGCTACTCAGGAGGCTGAGGCAGAAGAATGGCGTGACCCTGGGAGGCGGAGCTTGCAGTGAGCCGAGATCACGCCACTGTACTCCAGCCTGGGTGACAGAGTGAGACTTTGTCTCAAAAAAAAAAAAAAAAAAAAAAAAATACAGCCCAATCATGTGCCGTATATAATACTTGATAATACAACTACGCTATTGTTTTTTTAATTTACTATACTATACAATTTTTATAGTTATTTTAAAGTGTATCCCTTTTACTTAAAAAAAAAAGTTAACTGTAAAACAGCCTCAGACAGTTCCTTCAGGAGATATTTCAGAAGAAAGCATTGTTATCATAGAAGATGACAGCTCCATAGATGTTATTGACCCTGAAAACTTTTATTGGGACAAGATGTGGAGAAAAGACAGTGACACTGATGATCCTGATTCTGTTTAGGTCTAGTCTAATGGGTGTGTTTGTGTCTTCATTTTTAACAGAAAAGGTTAAAAAGTTAAAACAGGCCGGGTGTGGTGGCTCACCCCTGTAATCCCAACACTTTGGGAGGCCGAGACGGGTGAAGCACTTGAGCCCAGGAGATTGATACCAGCCTGGCAAGAATCAAACCATGGAGCAACATGGCGAGACCCTGTCTCTACAAAAATAAAAAAATTGGCCAGGCATGATAGCACACACCTATAGTTCCAGCCACTCAGGAGGCTGAGGTGGGAGGATCACTTGAGCCCAAGAGGTCAGGGGTCTAGTGAACCATGTTTGTGCCACTGCACTCTAGCCTGGGTGATACAGCAAGACCCCATCTCAAAAAATTTTAATTTAATTTAAAAATTTAAAAATAGGGGCCAGGCACGGTGGCTCATGCCTGTAATCCCAGCAGTTCGGGAGGCCAAGGTGGGCGGATCATGAAGTCAGGAGTTCGAGACCAGCCTGGCCAACATAGTGAAACCCCGTCTCTACTAAAAATACAAAAATTAGCCGGGTGTGGTGGCAGGCGCCTGTAGTCCCAGCTACTCTGGAGGCTGAGGCAGGAGAATGGCGTGAACCCAGGAGGCAGAGGCTGCAGTGAGCCAAGACTGCACCACTGCACTCCAGCCTAGGCTACAGAGTGAGGCTCTGTCTCAAAAAAAAAACAAAAAAAAACAAAAAAAAATTAAAAAATAGGAAAAAGCTTATAGAATTAAGGCTATAAAGAATTTTTTTTTTTTTTTTTTGAGATGGAGTCTCACTCTGTTGCCCAGGCTGGAGTGCAGTGGTATGATCTCGGCTCATTGCAACCTCTGCCTCCCAGGTTGTTTTAAGCAATTTTCCTGTCTCAGCCTCCCGAGTAGCTGGGATTACAGGCGCCTGCCACCACATCCAGATAATTTTTATATTTTTAGTAAAGGCAGGGTTTCAGCATGTTGGCCAGGCTGGTCTCGAAGTCCTGATCTCAAGTGATCCGCCCGTCTCAGCCTCCCAAAGCCCTGGGATTACAGGTATGAGCCACCATACCCAGCCAAGAAAATTTTTTTTTTTTTTTTGAGAGGAGTCTTGCTCTGTCGCCCAGGCTGGAGTGCAGTGGCGCGATCTCGGCTCACTGCAAGCTCCGCCTCCCGGGTTCAGGCCATTCTCCTGCCTCAGCCTCCTGAGTAGCTGGGACTACAGGCGCCTGCCACCATGCCCGGCTATTTTTTTTTGTATTTTTAGTAGAGACGGGGTTTCACTGTGTTAGCCGGGATGGTCTCGATCTCCTGACCTCGTGATTCACCCGTCTCGGCCTCCCAAAGCGCTGGGATTACAGGCGTGAGCCACCGCGCCCGGCCTAGAAAAAATATTTTTGTATGTCTGCATAATGTGTTTGTGTTTTAAGCTAAGTATTATTAAAAAGAGTCAAAAGTGAAAACAAAATTTAAAAGTTTATAAAGCAAAAAAGTTATAGCAAGCTAAGGCTAATTTATTAAATAAAAATATTTTTTATAAATTTAATTGGCTCTAAGTATACAGTGTTTACCAAGTGTACAGTGATGTACTAGGTCTTCACATTCACTCACTGTCCCACCCAGAGCAACTGAAAATCTTGCAGGCTCCATTCATGGTAAGTATTCCACATAGGAGGTGTATCATTTTAATAATCTTTTATACTGTATTTTTACTGTACCTTTTCTACGTTTATATATGTTTAGATACACAAATACTTACCATTGTGTTACAACTGCCTACAGTATTGAGTACAGTAACATGCTGTATATAGGTTTGTAGCCTAGGAGCAATGGGCTCTACCAGCAGCCTAGGTGTGTGGTAGGCTTTGCTATTTAGGTTTAAGTACACTCTATGATGTTAACACAATTACAAAATCAACTAAGGACGCATTTCTCAGAATGTATTCCTATTGTTAAGCAATGCATGACTGTATTATATTTCTGTGTACCAAATTCTGCATTAAAAAGGATAAAAAGCTGGCCGGGTGCGGTGGCTCAAGCCTGTACTCCCAGCACTTTGGGAGGCTGAGGCGGGTGGATCACGAGGTCAGGAGTTCAATATCAGCCTGGCCAAGATGGTGAAACCCCGTCTCTACTAAAAAATAGAAAAAAAAAAAAAATTAGCCGGGTGTGGTGGTGGGTGCCTTAATCCCAGCTACTTGGGAGGCTGAGGCACAGAACTGCTTAAACCCGCGAGGCGGAGGATGCAGTGAGCTGAGATCGCGCCACTGCACTCCGGCCTGGGTGACAGAGCGAAACTCCATCTCAAAAAAAAAGGATAAAAAGCTAATATTATATACTTCATCAAAAACTGTCCTATGATAGTTTAACTGTCAATATACCAAAGTTTAATGATTCTGCTACTAATTTCTATGCATTGCAGATATTACTCAGCATAATTACGTATCTTTGTCCCTTGTATCTACATGACAGCTTTCATAACTATATGTCCACTTATAATTATATGTTTCAGGCTGAGCACAGTGGCTCGGGCCTGTAATCCAAGTGCTTGGGAGGCTGAGGTTAAAGGATCACTTGAAGCCAGAAGTTTGAGACCAGCGTGGTCAACACAGTAAGACCCCATCTCTACAATACATTAAAAAAAAAATTAGCCAGGCATGGTGGCATGCACTTGTAGTCCCAAATACTCTGGAGGCTGAGGTGAGGATTGCTTGAGCCCAGGAGTTGGAGACTGCAGTGAGTTATGATCATGCCACTGCACTCCAGCCTGGATGACAAAGCGAGACCCTGTCTCAAAAAAACAAAACAAAACTATACGTATCAATATGGTAACTTTCAACAATCCTTATTTTGTTTCAGGATGATAAGCAATCTGAGTGATGTGCCTAATGATTATCTTAAAATAATGGGAAACCTTGAGATTCCAAGTTAATAAGAAAGGTACATTAAAATAAATGTATGTCTAGAAGTAAACAAAGTTTTTAACTTTTTAAAAACAGTGCTATACAGATATAAATTTAAGTAATCACGACTTGAAAATAAGGCTTTACTGCAATTTCTATTGACATTTAATATGTCAATATTCATGGCATAACATATTCTGGTATAATATATAATGTTATAATATATTCTACAACATAAGTTAAATATATTCTGCAACATAAATTAAAATTTGAATATGGTATAAGAAAAATGTATTGATTAACCAGAAACCTCTGATCCCTGACTTTTTGGAAATAAATATTTATTGAAAAAAAATCTATATAACGTTGAACAAGAACCCATGGCAGTAGCAACCTCCACAGAAATGTAAATCCAAAAATAGGTAGTCCTAGTAGTAGGCTTTGACCCAGATAATCACCTAAACCAATCAAGAGTAAGGCTCAAAGAGATATAAACAAATGTTAAATGAGCAAACGCTGCCAAACGAGAGACTCTCTCTTCTCTATAATATAACCAGTAAGGCAGGAAAATCTCTCACATATTTTGAGAACATCTGAAATGGTAATTAAAAAAGGCTTTTCCACAAAAAATAGATTCAATTAATCAGATCATTCCATTCCAGTAATTAATTCTAGTTCATTATAATTTTCTGTTTTTTTGTTTGAGACAAGAGTTTTGCTCTTGTTGCCCAGGCTGGAGTGCAATGGCGTGATCTCGGCTCACTGCAACCTCCGCCTCCCAGGTTCAAGCAATTCTCCTGCCTCAGCCTACCCAAGTAGCTGGGATTATAGGCATGCGCCACCAAGCCCGGCTAATTTTGTATTTTTAGTAGAGATGGGGGTTTCTCCATGTGGGTCAGGCTGGTCTTGAACTCCCAACCTCAGGTGATCCACCCACCTCGGCCTCCCAAAGGGCTGGGACTACAGGCGTGAGCCACCGCGCCTGGCCATTCATTACAATTTAAAATGTGCGTTGAAACCTCACTAGACAGCTTTTCGCTGTAAATCAGATAGGTGAATCAGAGTAGATTTTCCCATATTTTATCCAGAAGGAACATGACCCTGTTGTGTCTACCCCCAGAACATCAATCTCCTCCTCATCCCCAATACCACAGGAGGTCTTTTCACTACACTGCTATTAGGCAACAGTTGTCCAGCAGGAGTTTGAGGGGTGAGAGACACCAGATTCACAGATTTCTGATGTGAAAATCAGAGTAAGATTCACATTACGGAGAAGCTTACAAATTTCTTTCCAAGGTCCTTACCGCTGGGGCCTCCTCAATGATCTTCTGATGTCGCCTCTGCACACTACAGTCTCTTTCAAACAAGTACACAGCATTGCCATGGTGATCACCAAACACCTGGACTTCTACATGCCTATATAAAAGCAAACATGTATGTTAATATATTTGTTAGGGGTGATAAATATCACATTCGTTAAGCTAAACTGTTAGGCACAATCACCAGGATTTCTCCATTTTTACTTCCTTTAAGTAAGATCTGATATTTTGACCTCAAATTAGAGGTTATGGACTTAGAAAAAGAACCACAGGCCAAATGAGACGGCTCATGCCCGTAATCCCAGCACTTTGGGTGCCAAGGCAGGCAGAATGCTTGAGCCCAGGAGTTCAAGATGAGCCTGGGCAACATGGTGAAACCCCAATCTCTACAAAAAAACTAGCCAGGCATGGTAGCACATGCTTGTAGTCCCAGCTACTCAGGAGGCTGAGGTAGGAGGATCACCTGAGCCCAGAAGGTTGTGGTTGCAGTGAGCTGAGATTGTGCCACGGCATTCCAACCTGGGTGACAGAGTGAGAGACCCTGTCAAAACAAAGAAACTATAATCTTGTAAAACTCAATGAAAATGTTACCATTTGTAGGATGAATATTAAAGAGAAAAAATCTCTCTACATAAAATGGCAATTAAGACACTTCTCCAACCTAAAGGAGAATGAATGAATGAATGAATGAATAAATATTTTTAAAAGACAGAAAATAGAGACTAAAGTAGGGATACGTAACAAAAAGTACAAACTGTCAAAGAAAAGACTGACAAATTTGACTACATCAAAATTACAAATTATAGTCACTTCCTATATTGTCAAAAGACCAATGAAAAATTTTTTATGACTTTTTGTTTTTAAGCAACTCTTACAGTTAGATTTTATGAATATAGAAGACTGAAATTAAAATGGCTCATCCAGAAAAGTTAAATGTATTAAATTAATATGGACCATTAGTATCTCAGAAATACATGAACAATAAATCATAATAAAACCCAAAAAAGGGCCGGGCACAGTGCCTCACACTTATAAATCCCAGCACTTTGGGAGGCCAAGGCAGGAGGACTGCTTGAACCCAGGAGTTCAAGACCAGCCTGGGCAACATAGTGAGACTCTGTTTCTAAAAAAAATTTTTTTTTATAAATTAGCCAGGCATGGTGGTACATGCCTGTAGTCCTAGCCACTCAGGAGGCTCAGGCAGGAGGATTCCTCAAGCCCAGGAATTCAAGGTGGCAGTGAGCAGTGAGCTACGATTGCGCCACTGCATTCCAGCCTGGCTGATAAAGTCAGACCCCATCTCTAAGGAAAAAACAACAACAACCAACAAAGGTAATTACATGTTGATTATAAAATAGTAAAATTATGACAAATCATATTAAGAGTGAATGCACATAACTTTTGTGGAAATAAGGCTAATATGGACTATTTGGTGAACATGAAATTCTTCTCGGTAGGTTTGTGATATGGTCACACTGTAGTTCACTTCACCTATTTACCACCATAATACGCCATAATACAGAAGTGATCAGCAAATATGTTTTCCTGTTGATTTTTTAAAATAAAAACTGTCAAACATAGAAGAGACAAAAAATGCCAGGAAGTCTTATAAATGTATTGCTTCAGTACAATAGTTCATTTCTATTCTTGTTTACTTCATGAAGTATTTTATTTAACCACTTCAAAGAATTTGTCTTCTTGCTGGGCACGGTTGGTGCACACCTGTAATCCCAGCACTTTGGGAAGCCAAGGCAGGCAGATCACCTGAGGCCAGGAGTTCAAGACCAGCTGGGCAACATGGTGAAATCCTGTCTCTACTAAAAATACAAAAATTAGCCAGGTGTGGTGGCACACACCTGTAATCCCAGCTAATCAGGAGGCTGAGAGGCATGAGAATCACTTGAACCTGGGAGGCGGAGGCTGCAGTGGGCCGAGATCGTGCCACTGCACTCCAGCCTGGGTGACAGAGTGAAACTCCGTCTCAAAAATAAAAAGAATTTATCTTCTTGATATATCATCTTTTCTGAATGTTCCCATTTTGAATTTTCCAACCTGTCCAATACATTCTCTTAATAAAATTCTTGGAGCTGATTTTTTCTTTTTAGTTTTCTTGCCTTGTTGACTTTTCCTCTTTATCCACAAGCTATATAATCACCAAATACGTTATTGCCATTATTTTAAACAAACTGTTATCTGTTAAATCAATTCAAAATAGGAAAATATTCCTATGTTAGGATAGGAAAATATTTTACTTCTACCTATTCCTTCTCTAATTCTTTTCTATTATGTAGATCCAAGTTTCTGACCTAAAACATTTTATTTCACTCTAAAGAACATCTACTAATATGACCTGCAAGACAGGTCTACTGGTGACAAAGTCTCTTCATTTCTGTTTGTCTAAGAAAGTCTTTATTTCTCCTTCATACTTGAAGCATAATTTCACTGGATACAGAAGACTAGGTTAGTAGTTTTTCTCTGAACACTTTATATCTCACTCCACTCTCTTCTTGCATGGTTTCTGATAAGATTTCTTATTTTTATTCCTCTAGTATTTTCCTTCCTTGTGGCTTCTTTCAGTATTTTCTATTTGTCTTTCTTTTCCTGCATTTGAAGATGATGTGCATAGATGTATATATTTTGGTATTTATTCTTCTTGGTGTCCTCTGAGTTTCCTGGTTCTGTAGTTTTGCATCTGTCAACAACTTCGGAAAATTCTTGGCCATTACTACTTCAAATATCTCTCCTGCTGCTTTCTAATTCTTGTGGTATTCAAATAACGTGTTACATCCTTTTAAATTGTCCCACAGTTCTTGGATATTCTGTTCTCTCTTTTTTCTTTCATTTTTATTTCTCCTTGCATTTCCGTTTGGGAAAGTTCTATTTATCTATGTTCAGGATCACTGATTTTTGTTGTTGTTGTTGTTCACAAATTTGTATTTATTTGTCCCATCATAGTTGTACGAAATCTTTGTGGCCTTGCATAATCCACAATGGAAAGTTGAGGTCTGAGTGGCACATTCTAAACCTTACCTTTTACATAACAAAATTATAGGAAAAAGAGATACTTAAGAACAGAGGGGTAGATAAGTGAAATAATTACAGTATCTTCTTATTGCTAAGTATAGGAAGCAGACAGAACAAACGTGAGAAGAAAGCTATTGACATAACACAAATCAGCTATTTTGCTATACGACTGAAATCCTTTTCATTGTTTTTTCCATGTTTTCCAATATGTTTGCAAATACACTTATAGTTTTTTTTTATTATACTTTAATTTCTAGGGTACATGTGCACAACGTGCAGGTTTGTTACATATGTATACATGCGCCATGTTGGTGTGCTGCACCCATTAACTCGTCATTTACATTAGGTATATCTCCTAATGCTGTCCTTCCCCGCTCCCCCAACCCCACGACAGGCCCCGGTGTGTGATGTTCCCCTTCCTGTGTCCAAGTGTTCTCATTGTTCAATTCCCACCTATGAGTGAGAACATGCGGTGTTCCGTTTTTTTGTCCTTGCGACAGTTTGCTGAGAATGATGGTTTCCAGCTTTATCCATGTCCCTACAAAGGACATGAACTCATCCTTTTTTATGGCTGCGAGCATCTATTAATATTACGTAGGAGGCTCCCAACTAGTGCTGGGTGTACAGAGGTGAGCAGAGACAAAGTGCCTGCGCTCACTGAAGCCAATTCCATTCATCAGGGCAGAGCACTCAGGACCTAATAACCTGCCAAAGGCCCCAACCTCTTAATACTTGGGGATAGCGGGTTAGGTTTCAACATGTAAATTTTGGAGGGATACAAATATTTAGACCATTGCAACATGGTGGTAGGGTATGGGGGAGGGAAAGCATTCTATAAACTTGTGATTAAATCTCAAGTCTTTTAGTGGTCCTGTGTTTGTGCTGCGAAGTATTTCTAAGTTGTTTTTTTTCCCCCTCCCCTTAGGTGAAATGGGAAGACTAAAGGGGGTTGTGGTTGGCTAACTACCTTCCCCCTGAACAAAAAAGGTTCTGGCAACATCTCCCTTGGAGTTAGGATTTCTTCTGTTAGGGAGAATAGAATGCTCTGGATCTCTTTCAAATTGGTTACTTTTCCCCTCCCACTGCTGTAAAACATGAGGGATTTTTTTTTCTTGGATTTTTACTGTGGGAACTTGGTGAGGTTCCTGGAGGCAAAACCCATGAAAGTGGGAGGTCCCTCTAAGACAGGGCCCCAAGGAGTTTCTCACTTGCACACTGGCCCACACTTAGCCTCAGCCATTTTTCAAAATTCCCATGCAAGTGTTAGGGCTCCAGCAGGTAAACTGATCTGGCTGTGACTCACTATACTTGCATGCTTGTCCAGATTTTAGAG
This sequence comes from Homo sapiens, assembly GCF_000001405.40. Taxonomy (NCBI): domain Eukaryota; kingdom Metazoa; phylum Chordata; class Mammalia; order Primates; family Hominidae; genus Homo; species Homo sapiens. The sequence goes on from NC_000003.12 coordinate 183,061,683, forward strand.
TGAAGGCTTGCCCCATGGCCTCAATTCTCTGATGGTTCTAAAACCACTGACTTTCATTTTGTTTAGCCTTTTTCTTGCTTTTTGGATATGACTGATAACTTTCAAGCTCTTTACATGTTGGAGCTGAAGTGTTTGTTTTTCTAATTCCAATTGTAAAGTTCTACCACGATATGGTTTGGCTGTGTCCACAAGCAAATTTCATCTTGAATTGTAGCTCCCATAATCCCCATGTGTGGTGGGAGGGACCCGGCGGGAGGTAACTGAATCATGGGGGCAGGTTTTTCCCGTGCTGTTCTTGTGATAGTAAAGTCTCACGAGATCTGATGGTCTTATAAAGAGCAGTTCCCCTGCACAGGCTCTCCTGCTTGCTGTCATGTAAGACACGCCTTTGCTTCTCCTTCACCTCCTGCCATGATTGTGAGGCCTCCCCAGCCATGTGGAACTGTGAGTCCATTAAACCTCTTTCCTTTATAAATTATCCAGTTGCAGGTATGTCTTTATTGACAGCATGAGAACAGACTAACACATACCACTTCTGACTCTCCCTCATCTTTTAGGTGCTCCAGGTAAGAGGAAACACTACAGCAGGGATTCCAGGTTATGAAGGGAATGTGTGGGGGCCACATCAAGAGCACAGAGCAATTCTTGCCTGAGTTTTGTTTTTTCAGTTTTTTTTTTTTTTTTTTTTTTGAGATGGAGTCTTGCTCTGTTGCCCAGGCTGGAGTGTAGTGGTGCAATCTCAGCTCACTGCAACCTCCACCTTCCAGGTTCAAGCGATTCTCCTGCCTCAGCCTCCCAAGTAGCTGCGACTACAGGCACACACCACCATGCCTGGCTAATTTTTTGTATTTCAGTAGAGACAGGGTTTCACCGTGTTGCCCAGGCTGGTCTCGAACTCCTGAGCTCAGGCAATCTGCCCGCCATGGCCTCCCAAAGTGCTGGGATTACAGGCGTGAGCCACTGTGCCCAGCCTTGTCTGAGGTCTTAGAAGTTGGAAACACTTTTCCTTTGGCTGCTTATAAGGGAAGTTCAGTGAAGATCTGTGTTCTGTTAGGATTTCTGTAGTCATTCAATCAGTCTTATTTACCTTTTTCTGATTGACCCTTTTCTGTGCAGCTTTATCTAACTTAGAGTTTCTGGAGCATAGTGTCTATAAGTGTCTGAGAACCAGGAGGTGCATCAAATCCCAGCTGCCCTAATTCAGCCACTGCCAGAGTACGGCCAGAGAGACAGACAGATGCAGTTGAGTCCTATCATGAGCGCCTTGATATTTTCTAAGAGTCCTAACATATCCATTTTCCTATTTACATTTTTTTTTTAAGACAGAGTCTTGCTCTGTCACCCAGGCTGTAGTGCAGTGGTGTGACCTAGGCTCACTACAAGCTCCGCCTCCTGGGTTCATGCCATTCTCCTGCCTCAGCCTCCCGAGTAGCTGGGACTACAGGCGTCCACCACCACACCTGGCTAATTTTTTGTATTTTTAGTAGAGACGGGGTTTCACTGTGTTAGCCAGATGGTCTTGATCTCCTGACCTCGTGATCTGCCCACCTCAGCCTCCCAAAGTGCTGTGATTACAGGCGTGAGCCACTGCGCCTGGCCCTATTTACATTTTTAATCCATCTAGAATATGTATTATATATGAACTGAGGAAGAAATCTGATTTGTTTTTTCTTCCAAAATAGTATACTTTAAAGGTGGTTTCTTATCCCAGTCTTTCAGATACACTAAATAGTTTTGATAAGATTTGTGTAATATCTTGATATTGACTCTTCTCAGTTATCAGCACTATTTTGACAATCTTCTGGCACTCCATTAGTTCAACAGGTAATTATTTAGCAGGACATAAAGAATACACAGTATGATTATCAGGATATTTAAATGTTATTACTAGAGGCTGTTCTCTCTATGGAGTAGCCATTCTTTATTCCTTTACTTTCTTAATAAACTTGCTTTCACTTTACTGTATGAACTCGCCCTGAATTCTTTCTTGTGTGAGATCCAAGAATCCTCTCTTGGGGTCTGGATCAGGACCCCCGTCTGGTAACATCTTTCTGGTGACCACAGAAGGGACAATACTAAGGAAATCCCGACCCAAAGCGGTGGGGTCTGGTAACGTCTTTCTGATGAACTACGGAAGGGACGATACTGCGGAGACCCTCCAACCCAAAGACTGCAGCACTGATTGGCCAACTTTGGGTAAGCGGGGTGCATACACCCGGGCAAAGGATAGGATTGGGTTACAGGCCCAACTTGGTGGAGTTAAAGTCTCTCCTAAGACAGAGTGGGTTAAAGACCCCTCTCAATAAAAGGCAAGGATGCTTGACTGAACTTGGGTTTGAAGCCCAACTTAGGAAGGTTAGATTCCTTCCTAAGATTTAGGGGCTCCTCTCAGTAAAATCCCTCTCGGCTAAGAATGGGTTTGGCACTATGGATGTTAACTGCTATTCTGTTTGAATTAATCTGCCTTGCACTCTTTGCTGACGGCGGTCGGTGATAGGATTAGGCATGTACAGGATGGTGGGACATGGGGAGCTTTTACCTCCCTAAAAGGAGAAACTTGAGAGCTGATGGGACTGCTAGAAAAGATCCCCCTTTTTTTTTTAATTCCAAGTGATAACTCTGTATTCCCACAAGTGGTATATATCGTAAATATTAAAATGATCATTGTTTTTAGTTGGTAGACATCGACAAGTAGGAAAATTTGCGAGGTCCGAGAGGGACTGCAGGAAACGCCTCCCTTCCTGGCTTCCCTCGCTCCAGGAGACGCTTGGTGGGCACCCAGGAAGCTCCGTAAAGGCTTCTGGGACGGGCAGAAGCCCCGCGCCCCTGCCTGCACCCCGCGCGCCTGCTCATGGCACGCCACCAGCACGGGCCAGGCGCACAAGTGCAGCACCAGCGGGCTGCACGCCAGCTCCCCGGTTCGCCGGCTGCGGTACGCCTCCTGCGCGTTGCCGAAGTCCACTGCGGGCACCGGCGGCCACACTGCCTCGGCCGACCCACGTCCTGGCATGGCTGCTGGGCCCACGGCAGGCTGTTCGCGGGCAGCCGGCTCCGTGGACAGCAGGGCGAAGCGGGTAATGTAGGGGTGCAGCACCGGCAGGAGGCGCCTCAGAGCCATGGTGGGCAAAAGATCCCTTCTTAACTGACAAGTGGCCACCTGAACTTTTTATTTAGTGTCGGTTGCAATGGGCGGGTCTTTCTCTGGTCTCTCTGAGCACCTTGCTTTCCCCATCCTGCCACAAAGCAATGCTTTTCTCCCTTCCCTTCCCTTTCTCTCTCTGTGCAAACTGGTTGAATGAATGGCAAAAATCACTGTTTATCTCCTCTGTAAAGTTTTGATTAATAAAAAAAGGATTTGTGAGGCTAGTCTTAAGCTGTAGTGAATCTGGTGTGCTTTGCATGTCTTTCTGAATTGTTCTGTCATAGAGATGGATACCTTAGGATAAAACACAGGCTTAGAACACCATAAGCCCACTGTTTAAGATGGCCCAGCAAACTAGTCAGTTATAAACTTTGCTGCAGGTCCCTGAAAAAAAAAAAACTGGATGAGGTTTCCCCTCTTGTCTTGTATGTCCTTGGGAGCTTGACCTTGTAACCATGTGGCCTAGCTTTGTCTTTTCACAATGGTATACCGGGTTCAGGATTCAGTTCCTGGCTTAGGGAATGAGTCCTTTTCTTCTGTTTGTCTGTGTATTTATATGTGTTGTGTGTGTGATATGAAAGAGCTTTGGTTAACTGGTTTAAAAATAAGTGCTTATATCAAATATTTTGTCGGAAAAGTAAAAAGTATAATGCCTTTAATTTATGTGATTTAAGTAATCTTTGAGAAATTGAAACAATTCTACATGTAAGGTGTGTAAGGAAAGTGAAATGCGTTTTTTTTGTTTTGTTTTGTTTTGTTTTTGAAATGCGTTTTTGGTAAAAGATTATAAGAAGGCACAGGAATGTGGATTTTTTTTGTCTAGATTAAAAAGTTAAAGGATTGTTTTAAGTTAAATAAGATAATGCTTAAGGTTTAAGCAAGTTGTGGAAGGTTTGTAAAAAATTAATCTTGTAAAAGAAATTCTGTGTGTGAACATATTGTCTAAAGTTAAAGGGGTATTCAGTTTTTCTGTAAATTGAACATTGGAATAAAAGCACAACAGGTTCTTCTTAAGGCACTGATCTGCTCTTTAACAAAAATTTGTAAAGGGTTATAAAAGGTTTATGAGAACCTCACCTTATGGTCAAACATTAAAATTGGGTAGATATGTCTATAAGGTTTTATTGAAAATTGGGTTTAACATTAATAGTACAGTTATGTAAAGGTGAAATTTGGCTTATTTGGCATAAGAGTCATACAGGAAGCAGTGTCAAATGTGAAATAGTGTTTAGCTTTCTTTGGGCTATATTTATATAAATATGTTGTTAGTATGTGTTCCAAAATAATGGGAAACTCCTATAATTCTGATATGACTTAGTGTACATTATCAGTATAATTATAACTGTTACATAAAACCATTGTATGCAACAGAGGTAACCAAATTTCTTTGTCAATTGTGTTTTTAACTGTGGCTGCCCTAAAACTTTTTGCCATCCACAGACAATTGTCTTGTTTTGATCCTCTTCAAAAGGAGATTTATTATTATTATTATTACTTTGAGACTGAGTCTCACTCTGTCGCCCAAGCTGGAGTGCAGTGGCACAATCTCAGTTCACTGCAACCTCCGCCTCCCAGGTTCAAGTGATTCTCGTGCCTCAGCCTCCCAAGTAGCTGGGATTACAGGTGCATGCCACCATGCCTGGCTAATTTTTGTATTTTTATTACAGACAGGGTTTCACCATGTTGGTCAGGCTGGTCTCAAACTCCAGGTCAAGTGATCCACTTGCATCAGTCTCCCAAAGTGCTGGGATTACAGGCATGAGCCACCAAGCCCCAAAAGGTGATTTATAATCAACTATACAACTCTAATAGGTGTTCTTGAATGCAGGTTTCATTTAACTTTGGAGATTGTGACATTAGAAAAGGGAAAAAGAAACTTTCAGGACTCTCATGGAAAGTTGAAATGTTCATGTATATCAAGCAAAACAGGAGTTAACTGTACAGACTAAACTAACAGAAGTCTGAAGTAATCTTTTTTGACTTTTTGCTTAAAACATTGCTGATCCTCTGTTTTGTTCTTCAGAGTAAAGGAAACTTTTCTTTTAAGCTATTGACAGCTTTTTAAACAATTAAGTAATGTGCACACTCATAAACAAAATTTGGAGCATATTTGTTTCTCTCTATCTGATTTCTCCAGAATTTGGAAATTATTTGTGACTATCTTAACTTACGGCAATATAGTTATTTGCATAAATGCAATAAGAATCTGCTTTCTTTTGCAATGGGACACAACTGGAGAAACTGGTTATTTTACCAAGGCTTTGACTGGAATGGCATGCTTTCCTTTAAGGAATCAAACTTGACTTGTAAAGCCAATAAAAGCCCCTGGGGAAAACTGGCCTCATTCCTTGTCTACACAGTCTCTATATAGGGTTCCTAACCTGTAGTAAGTAAAGAATGTCACTTTCTGAAAGACTCAGGAGCCCCAAGTTATCGTGAGACCTCAAGAGGAGAAAAATTTACCCAACTCATAGGTATTTGAGGGTATAAACCCATGGCTGGGCTGGGCTTAAATACAAAAAAGGTCTTCTCTGACATTCCTTATGGAAGAGTTATATCAAAACCAATTTTAAAAGCCTGTATGGCAAATAATTATTCTTGCTGCACTTTGTACAAATAATCAGGCCATGTATAATAAAGCAAATCAGTCTTACCATGATTTGTCTTTAGTAAAAATGGGAAACCGGAGAGAGAAAAATTATGTTTCAAGAACTATGGCACATTTGTTATTAAATTTTGGTCTCATCAGTTGTTTTTGAGATTTCCTACAATTTAGACTAACCCTGCTTATTCCTGTGGACCAACCAGTGATCCCTGGATGCTGCTCAGAAGAAACAGGAGGGACTGGTAATGCAAATATCTGAATCAATATTCTAATCCTGGGCATGTATTGGAATCACCTAGCAACCTCATATCGGCTTGGTTCCAACAGTTGCCCAGTTAGTGGAAAGCCTTCTAACTTAGTTAACTTGGGATAATCTTGCTTACTTTGCTCTACTGTTGTGGAATATATTACTGTTATACTCTTTGTGTAGAAATGCAGGATAAGCTTACCAAATTTTTTTTTAAAAACACATAGTAATCTTCCAGATATCACCTTTTGTTGGAACTCATGAGTTATGAGTGGCCCTCAACATACCGATGCTTTCTAACTAAGCTCCTCTCTCTATACTGAACACAAGAGATCCTAATAGTTAGGCAGGAATATCATCACCCCATTCAGCCTGAAGAAGTTACAGAAGATGGATCTTTGTCCCTCTGCAACCCTTAGGATTAAGCGTGCTCTTACAAAAGGGAAAAGGGAAATGTCAGAGGCATTTGAACCAGAGCAACTCCCATCTTGAATAGGAGCTGGGTAAAATAAGGCTAAGACCTGCTGGGCTGCATTCCCAGTAGCAAGTTAAGGCATTTTTAATCACAAGAAGAGATAGAAGGTCAGCAAAAGATACAGGTCATACGGACCTTGCAGATAAAACAGGTTGCAGTAAAGACGTTGGCTAAATCCCACTAAAACCAAGATGGTAACAACAGTGACCTCTGGTCGTCTTCACTGCTACACTCCCACCAGCACCATGACAGTTTGCAAATGCCATGGCAACGTCAGGAAGTTACCCTATATGGTCTAAAAAGGGGAGGCAAGAATACTCCACCCCTTGTTTAGCATATCATCAAGAAATAACCATAAAAATGGCAACCAGCAGCCCTTGGGGCTGCTCTGTCTATGGAGTAGCCATTCTTTATTCCTTTACTTTCTTAATAAACTTGCTTTCAATTAAAAAGAAGTTATTACTAGAAATACAGAATAGAAATAGAGTCACACAATGTGCCACACAATGACATTCCATCAATGCCAGACTGCATATAGGATGGTGATTTCATAAGATTATGATAGAGCTGAAAAATTCCTATCATTTAGTGACATAATAGCACAATACATTACCTTTCCTATGTTTTGAGATGTTTAGATACACAAATACTTACCATTGTGTTACAAATGCCTACAGTATTCAATACAGTAACGTTTGTACAGGTTTGTAGCTCAGGAGCAATAGGCTATACCATAGCTTAGGTGTGTAGTTGACTATACTATCTCAGTTTGTGTAAGGACACTCTATGATGTGTGCACAACAATGAAATTGCCTAACAATGCATTTCTCAGAATGTATCTCTGTCATTAAGCAACACATGACTGTATATAAGAATATTAATAATAATTAGGAGAATACAATTATGGGTTGTTTTCCATCTTCTGCATTTTCCAAAAATTTGTAATGTATTCATATTACTTCTATAGTTCAAAAAATATTACTGATGCCTATTACAAGGAAAGTAGTATGCCAGGCAATATATACAAAAAATAAAAATGTATATACTACCAGGTCTTTGATTCCCAGGGGCTTTCCAGCTATTGGGGGAATAAATTATAATGTGACGCAATGTATGGCTAACATTTCATAAGTAAAGAACTTACATATTCAAAAAATGCTGCAGGCATGGAGTTACATAATAACTCAAATAAGCTATTGATGTCTCTGAAATAAGTTACTGAAATAAGCTATTGATGTCTCCACAATTCTAACTTAAGAGCATGCTGATTTGGATGGCTAGCCTATTCTTTCTTGAAAGGAAGCCTTCAATGTACCTTAGAAATGCCCCCCCCTTTTTTTTTGCCTTAATTGAATTTCATTTACTATGCCATGCTCAGGACAGTTGTTTTATAGGGCCTGAAACAAAAAACAATTTGGGGGTCTTCTCTAAGGAGAAGAATACAAAACTGCAAATACAAAATTAGGTCAGGGTCTTGGAAGAGATTAATGTCAAAGAAGGGCCTGAAGTTTCAAGTCTGTTACCTTCAAGGTAAATCTCTTTCCAGTCATGGTTCCCAAATAAATTATTCTTTTCACTTGACTTACAGGTCACACACATATATATATAAAATTTAACAATTGTCATAAAAATCTATGAAATGAGAAACTTTATAATCAGCATCTTAAACAACAAACATGAAAATAAAATTCCAGAAAAAAAAATAGGGATTCACACTGCATTTGCTATAGTGGTACCCAGAGAAGTAGCTTAGTGCAGTGGCTTAGATATGAACTCTGGAGTCAAAGTGCCTGGGTTCAAATCTCAGCTTTACTACTTAACAGCTGAGTGACCTCAGAAAAGTAACACAACACAACCATTCTGTTGCTTAGTGTCCTCACCTGTAAAATGAAAACAGTACTTACCTAATGAGGTTGTTGTAAGAATTATATTAGAATTAGAAGGACAGCAAGATTATTTAGCATGTGTAAAATATTTAAAATCTGGCACATGGTAAGTGCAATGTAAGTGTTAGCTCCTATTAACAGCATATCACTTGTAATTCAATTTAGAAAATTACTTCCATTTCCTGAGCATCTCAACTGACAGAGTTCTATAAATATAGCTGAATTTATTACAATAATTTGCTAATATTGAAAAAAAACCCTAAATTTCATCAACAAGAAACATACTGAATGAATTAATGGTATATCAAGATCATAGAACCGCTAGGTCACCAACAAAAAGAATGAGGCTGATCTACAATTACTGACATGGAAAGATGTCTGTGATATAATATTAGTGTATAAGATTCTATTCACTGGCCGGGCACAGTGGCTCACGCCTGTAATCCCAGCACTTTGGGAGGCTGAGGCAGGTGGATCACGAGGTCAGGAGTTTGAGACCTGCCTGACCAACATGGGAAAACCCCATCTCTACTAAAAACACAAAAATTAGCCAGGCATGGTGGGGCATACCTGTAATTCCAGCTACTTAGGAGGCTGAGGCAGGACAATCGCTTGAACTCGGGAGGCAGAGGTTGCAATGAGCCGAGATCGTGCCACTGCACTCCAGCCTGGGCAACTGAATGAGAGACTCCGTCCAAAAAAAAAAAAAAATTCTATTCACTGTTCTTAGGTATGTATTTTGTTTGCTGTATGTATATGTATATAGGTTTCTATTCACATAGAAAATGGCTGGAAGAATGCATACCATCCTACAATCAGTGGTTACATCACAGGACAGAACTGGGAAACTTGTAATAATATACTTATATACTACTACAGTTTTATATTTTATAGAATGTGCATGCATTATTTTTATAATTTAATTTTTAAACTCTGAGTCAGAAAAATAAGGCCAACCCACCTCGGTGTGTCTACAAACTTCTCGATCAGCATAGCATCATCATTGAAAGACTTCTTAGCTTCTCTCCGTGCTGACTCTAACTGTTCTTGAAATTCTTGTTCTGATCTAACAATCCTCATTCCCTAAGAGAGAAAAGATGATTATGACTACAACATAAATAAAACAAAGAAGACAAGCCTGAATTGGCAAACACAAGCATGCACAATCTTACTTTTCCTCCTCCACCCCGGACGGCTTTAATCATGACAGGATAGCCAATTCTCCTGGCGTGTTCCTTCAGGCACTGGTCTGATTGGTCCTCACCATGATAACCCTCCACAACAGGTACTCCAGCAGCAGCCATTATGGATTTGGATGTGCTTTAGAGTGGGAAAGAAAACAACATGCCCCAAATTCTACAAATTATTTCATTCAAGACAAACATAAATATAGCCCAGTCTATAAATTACAATGGAACTCTTTAAAGAAAACATCGAGTCTGAGACGACAAAATAATACAAATTTAATATGTCTATTAGTTAGTTTCCCTCATTTCATGTGGTAGCTCATCTCACCCTATTTTTTAATCCCAAAATACTAATATATTGATTAGAAACATTAAGTATTTTCTGTAACTCAATAGAATTTCTCTATGTCACAGATAAATAACTTATGCCTATGACAACAGAAGGGTAGAATTAAAATATTATAGGTAAAACAAACTATTTCTTTTTTTTTTTTAGAGACAGGGTCTCACAATGTTGCCCATGCCAGAGTGCAGTGGTGCAATTATACTTCACTACAGCCTTAAACTTCTGAGCTCAAGTGATCCTTCTGCCTCAGCCTCCTAAGCAGCTGGGACTACAGGTGTGTGTCACCATACCCAGCTGAATTTTTTTTTTTTTTTTTGAGATGGGGTCTTACTCTGTCACCCAGACTGAAGTATGATGGTGTGATCACAGCTCACTGCAGCCTTGATCTCCTGGGCTCAAGCAATCCTCCCACCTCAGCCTCCCAAGATGCTGGACCCACAGGCACGTGCCACCATGCCTGGAATTTTTAAAAAATTTTGTAGAGACAGGGTCTCCCTGTGTTGCCCAGGCTGGTCTTAAACTTCTGGGCTCAAGTGATCCTCCCACCTTGGCCTCCCAAAGTGCTGGGATTACAGGTGTGAGCCACTGTGCCCAGGCCTGGCTGATTTAAAAAAAAGAATTTTGAGAGACAAGGTCTCACTAAGTTGCCCAGGCTGGTCTTGAATTCCTGGCCTCAAGCTATCCTCCTGCCTCAGTCTCCCAAAACACTGGTATTACAGGCATAGCCACATGCCTGGCCCAAACTATTTCAACTGACCTTCATACAGTTATATTTTAAAAGATATAAACTCATACCTCTTTATACCCATGTCTCTAATTGCAGATGGAGGAGGGCCTATAAAAATAATTCCTTCTTGCTTACAAAGTTCAGCAAATTCCATGTTTTCTGAGAGAAAACCGCATCCTGGATGGATAGCCTAGAAATGAGAAATAAAATAAAAAATTTACTCATCAGTGCTCAACTGGCAACACCTTAATGCAGGTGAAGCTGTCTTCCTCTGGGAGGCCTCTCCCTACACTGGTAATAGTATGGTCTCTATTAAACTCTGTTTCCAAAGAAATATCTGAAATATTCATATGAAAGCTCTGAAGGCTTACCTAAACCAGATGAATCTATATTTCTTTTTATTGTGATAATATATACATAGCAAAACACTGACCATTTTAGTTACTTGCAAGTATGTAATTCAGTGGCATTAAGTACACTCACAATGTTGGGCAACTGTCATCACCATCCATCCTCAGGATGTTTTAATCTCCAAACATAATTCTCCATTCCCTCCCTTTCCTTAGTCCCTAGTAACCAGGATTTTACTTTCTGTTTATGAATTTCTCTAGCCAAAGTACCTCATGTAAGTGGAAGCGTATAATAATTTGTCTGAGTTTGGCTTATTTCACCTAGCATAATGTTTTCAAGGTTCATTCATGTAACATGTATCAAAATTCCATTTGTTTTTAAGGTTGAATAATATCCAGTTTGTACACATTTTGTTTATCCATTAATCTCTTGATGGACATTGTGTTATTTCTACACATTGTGAATACTGCTGCTGTGAACAACAAGTATTGGTATACAAGTATCTGTTTTGAGTCCCTGCTTTAAATTCTTCTAGCTGTATACCAAAAGTGGAATTGCTGGATCATATGGTACAGAAGTTTCTATATACTTAAATTTAAAATAATATTGCAATTAGGGTAGAATGTCAAGAAGTAAAGGGCTTCAGAGTGGTAAGGGGAATTTGTCTATTCTGTCTCTGTGTAAAACTGGCCTAGAATTGAAATCATGGCATCCAAAAGCCCCAAACAGAACACTAGCTCAATAAATACCTCACTTATCTTCAGGTCATCAATGTCATCTTTCCAGAAAAAAAGCTAAGAAGCAAATGAAAGTCATGTATTAAAGTCTACAGGAGTGTCCCCTTATCCAAGATCCCTAGTGGATGCCTGAAACTATGAATACTACAGAACTGGACTGATACCAATTTGACCACGCTTCTGTTCATGTCTTCCAATCACAAATGTAATGCCTTTCCCATCTTAACTAAGTACTTGCCATGCCCTGTGGCCATAAGTTTTGCAGTTTGAGGTGCAACAGGAAAATGACATGAATTTGTTTTTCCTTCTTCACAATTTCACAGATAGAAACTTGGTCCTTACCAAGAACCAAGAAACCTCAACATACATATTTTTTTCTTTCCTTGAGAATTTTCACCTTTTCACTTAAAAGAAGCATTTCATGGCTTCTCTTTAGCATAAGTGAATTGCCACCATCATTGCTCTTGCATTTTGGGGCCATGATTTAAATAAAATAAGGGTGACTTGAACACAAGCATGGTGGTACCATGACAGTCAATTTGATAACCTAGATGGCTCCTGAGTGACTAACAGATGGGGAGTGGAGACAGCGTGGAGACACTGGACAAAGGGACGATTCACATCCTGGGAGGGACAAAGCAGACTGTGCAAGATCTCACTGTGTGACTCAGAATGGCGTGCAATTTGAAACTTATCAATTGTTGATTTCTGGAATTTTCCATTTAATATTTTCACACCATAGTAGACTGCAGGTAACTGAAACCACTCAAAGCAAAACCGTGGATAAAGGGGACAACTGTACGTGTACTTTCAGTGAAAAGGGCATCCCTCAGACTTCAGCCTAGTTACTTCCAGTGTACTCAGAATTTTAACAAACATACTTACTGGGATTTTAGCCCACAGAAGAGGAAATTCAGTAACTGAAGGACAGCAAGATTTCTAAAAGTAAACACGCTGACAGCAAAAAGGGAAGAAACAGAAGGAGGCAAAAGGCAGAGAAGACTTGGATGATTTAATGAGTGATGAAGCCACACCCTCTCCAACATCAGTAGCCCTGAGGGGATTTGTTCTTCTAAAATGTGAGCGAGTATTATAATTATGACCAAAACAATGTAAAAACACAAAGGTTCAGCCAATCCTGTTTCAAAATAGTTACACTCAAAGAACATTTCAAAATTAAAGGGGTAAGCTTCACATATCTGGGAAACTCATACGAATAGAAAAACCCACATCCTAGTGACAGGAAACAATGCAATGCCAGATACAGATAAAATGCTGGATACTCATATGTTGCAGCCAGTTTAGAGTTTTATATCTTTTAAACCAAAGTTCAATTTTATTTTATTAACTTTTATTTTAGGTTTGGGGTGCATGTGAAGATTACACAGGTGAATACATGTCACAGGGGTTTGTTGTACAGAGTTCGTCACCCAGGTATTAAGCCCAGTATTCAATAGTTATCTTTTCTGCTCCTCTCCCTCCCACCTTCCCCACTCAGGTAGACCCCAGTGTCTTTTGTTTCCTTCTTTGTGTTCTTAAGTTCTTATCATTCAGCTCCCACTTCTAAGTGAGAACATGCAGTATTTGGTTTTCTGTTCCTGTGGGAGTTTGCTAAGGATAATAGCTTCCAGCTCCATCCATGTTCCCGCAAAAGATGTGATCTTATGCTTTATTATGGCTGCATAGTATTCCGTGGTGTATATGTACCACCTTTTCTTCATCCAATCTGTCACTGATGGGCATTTAGGCTGATTCAATGACTTTGCTATTGTGAATGATGCAATGAACATACATGCACATGTGTCTTTATGGTAGAATAATTTATATTCCTCTGGGTATCAACCAGTAATGGGATTGCTGGGTTGAATGGCAGTTTTGCTTTTAGCTCTTTGAGGAATCACCCTGCTGCTTTCCACAATGGTTGAACTAATTTACACTCCTACCAACAGTGTATAAGCGTTCCCTTTTCTCCACAACCTCCTGACATCTGTTATTTTTTTGACTTCTTAGTAATAGCCATTCTGACTGGTGTGAGATGGTGTCTCATTGTGGTTTTGATTTGCGTTTCTCTAATGATCAGTGATATTGAGCTTTTTTTCATGTTTGTTGGTCACATGTATGTCTTCTTTTGAGAAGTGCCTGTTCATGTCCTTTGCCCACTTTTTTTTTTTTTGAGACAGAGTCTTGCTCTGTCACCCAGGCTAGAGTGCAGTGGCATGATCTCATCTCATTGCAACCTCTGCTTCCCAGGTTCACGCCATTCTCCTGCCTCAGCCTCCCAAGTAGCTGGGACTACAGGTGCCTGCCACCACGCCCTGCTAATCTTTTTGTATTTTTAGTAGAGACAGGGTTTCACCATGTTAGCCAGGATGGTCTCATCTCCTGACCGTGTGATCTGCCCGCCTCGGCCTCCCAAAGTGTTGGAATTACAGACGTGAGCCACTGTGCCCGGCTGTCCTTTGCCCACTTTTTAATGGGGTTGTTTTTCTCTTGCACATCTGTTTAAGTTCCTTATAGATGCTAGATATTAGACTTTTGTCAGATGCAAACTTTGCAAATATTTTCTCCCACAATTTGAGTATTTTATATAAAATGGTCAAACATCTATACTAGGCAAATGAAACAGGTCTATGTCCTAGTCCTCCCTGGTTTGGGTTTTCTTTTGAGATATGATTTATAATACATAATATTCATGCATTTATAGTTTGGTGAATTTAGTAAATCTATACAATTGTGCAACTACAATTGGATCACTACAATCCAGTTTGAGAACACCTGCATCACTTGAAAAAGTTCCCATGTGCCCATGTGCAATCTGTTCCCAATACCCAAGCAACAACTGACTTGTTGTCTCTATAGTTTTGCCTTTAAAAAAATTCATATAAACAGAATCATACAGTACATAGTATTATGTGTCTGGCTTCTTTAACTTCACATAATTTTTCAAGGTTTATTCATGTTATGGAGTGTGTCAGTAGCTCATTTCTTTTTATAATATGGATTCTGTTATATGGATATACCACATTTTGTTTACCCATTCATTTGAATTATTTTCCAGTTTGTGGTTATTATGAATAACGGTGTTATAAACATTCACAGACAAGTCTGTGTGAACATATTTTTCATTTCTCTTGGGTAAATACCCAGGAGTGCAATTGTTTGGTCCTAATATGGTAAGAATACATTTAACTTTTCTAAAGCGATGATTTTATTTTGCATTTCTACCAGCAATTTATGATGCTTTAAAGTGTGTATCCATATCCCTGCCCACATGTTGTACTATCAGTCTTTCTGATTTTGGCCAATCTAGTGGGTGCATAGTGTTACTGCACTTTTTAAACATAGTTGTTGAGATATAATTCATATACCATAAACTCGGCCAACCCAATGATTTTTAGTATACTCAAAGTCGCACAATTATCACTATAATCTAAAATACTAAGATCTAATAATGTAAGTTTTTAACACTGCAAAAAGAAATCCTGTGCCTCTTAGCCATTCCTCACTCCCCATAAACCCCCAGCCCTAGGCAACTGTGAATCTACTGTCTCTATAGATTTACCTATATGAACATTTCATATAAATGGAATCATATAATACATGCAGTCTTTTGTGACTGGCTCTGTCACTGAACGTAATATTTTCAAGGTTCATCCATTTTTTGTTTAACACAAATCAGTACTTCATTCCTTTTTGATGGCAAAATAATACTCCATTGTATGGCTATACTGCATTTTATCTATCCACTCATCAGTTGATAGACATTTGCATTGTTCCTACTTTTTTGGCTACTATAAATAATGCTGCTATGAACATTCAGGTATAAATTTCTGTGCGGATGTGTTTTCATTTCTTTTGGGTATATACTGAAGAAGTAGAGTTACTAGTTCATAAAGTAACTCTATGTTTAACGTTTTGAGAAACTGCAAAACTGTTTTCCAAAGTGGCTGCTCCAGTTTACATTCCCATCAGTAACATAGAAGGGTTCCAATTTCTCTAAGTCCTCACCAATACTTGTTATCATCTCTTTTTGATTATAGCATCCTAGTGAGTATGAAGTGGTATCTCACCAAGGTTTTGATTTGTATTTCCCTAACAGCTAATATGTTGAACATCTTTTAATGGGCTTTCTGGTCATTTGTATAACTTCTTTGGTGAAGGATCTATTCAAATATTTTGCTCATTTTTTTAAAAAATTAGGTTTCCTAGCAACAGTTTCAAGCTTTGAAGTCAATTTTATCATTTTTTTTCGTGAACCTTTCTTATAGTATTATGTCTAAGAAATCTTTGCCTAATCCAAGGTCTCAAAGATTTTCTCCTATGTTTTCTTCTAGAAGTTTTATAGTTTTAGCTCTTACATTTAGGTCTGTGATATATTGTAAGTTAATTTTTTTTGTTTAAGGTGTGAGGCAAGAGTCTAGGATCTAGACTTCGGGTTCATCTTTTTACAAAGAGATGTCAAATTACTCCAGCACTATTTGTTGAAAAACTCTCCTTTCCTCTATTGAATTACTTTAGCACCTTTATTCAAAAATCAATTGACTACATATGTGAGTTTATTTTTGGATTTTCTATCCTGTTCTACTGACCTGTTTTTATCCTTATACCAATACCACGCTGTTTTGGTTATTGTAGCTTTATATATATATTTTGAGACAGAGCCTCGCAGTGTCTCCCAGGCTGGAGTGCAATGGCATGATCTTGGCTCACTGCAACCTCCACCTCCTGGGTTCCAGCGATTCTCCTGCCTCAGCCTCCTGAGCAGCTAGGATTACAGGCACCTGTCACCATGCCTGGCTAATTTTTGTATTTTTAGTAGAGACAGGGTTTCACCATGTTGGCCAGGCTGGTCTTGAACTCCTGACCTCAAGTGATCTGCCCACCTTGGTCTCCCAAAATGCTGGGGATTACAGGTGTGAGCCACTGCACCTGGCATAATGAGTTTTGAAACAGAGTCTAAATCCTACAAAATAGTTACATAAGCTTTTCAAAAATTGTTTTAGGTATATATTAGGCTTTTTGGCTATTTTAGGATTAGCTTATCAATTTCTATTTTTTTTAAAGCCTGCTGGGATTTTTATAAAGACTGCATTAAATATATAATGCCACCTTAATAATATTGAGTGTTCTGATGAAATATCTGTTTATTTAGAACTTCTTTAGTATCTCTCAGCAATGTTTTATAGTTTTCAGTAAATATGTCTTGAACTGCTTTTGCTAACTTTATTCCTAACTATTTGATTGCTATTGTGAATGTAACTGTTTCCTTAATTTCATTTCCGGAGTGTTTGTTACTAGTCTCCTTTAACAGATTCTGAATTTGATGGAACTTTTTGGTGTACTAGATAAATGCTCTTCTTTCATAACTGTATTAGTCTGTTTTCACACTGCTGATAAAGACATATCCCAGACTGGGCAATTTACAA
This sequence comes from Homo sapiens, assembly GCF_000001405.40. Lineage (NCBI taxonomy): Eukaryota > Metazoa > Chordata > Mammalia > Primates > Hominidae > Homo > Homo sapiens. The sequence goes on from NC_000003.12 coordinate 183,078,812, forward strand.
AAGAAAGAAGTTTATTGGACTCACAGTTCCACATGGCTGGGGAGGCCTCGCAATCATGGCGGAAGGCAGGGAGGAGGAATTCATGTCTTACATGGATGGTGGCAGGCAAAGAGAGAGCTTGTGCAGGGAAACACTCATTTTTAAAACCATCAGCTCTCATGAGACTCATTCATGACCATGAGAACAGCGCAGGAAAGACCTGCCCCCATAATTCAATCACCTCCCACTGGGTTCCTCCCACGATACATGAGAATTGTGAGAGTTACAATTGAAGATGAGATTTGGGTGGGGACACAGAACCAAACCATATCATTCCGCTCCTCATCCCTCCTAAATCTCATGTCCTCACATTTTGAAACCAATCATGCCTTCCCAACAGTCCCTCAAAGTCTTAACTTATTTTAGCATTAACTCAAAAGTCCACAGTCCAACATCTCGTCTGAGACAAGGCAAGTCCCTTCCGCCTATAAGCCTGTAAAATCAAAAGCAAGCTAGTTACTTCCTGGATACAATGGGGTTATAGGCATTGGTTAAATACAGCCTCCAAATGGAAGATATTGGCCAAAATAAAAGGGCTACAGGCTCCATGCAAGTCTGAAATCCAGCAGGGCAGTCAAATCTTAAAGCTCCAAAATGATCTCCTTTGACTCCATGTCTCGCATCTGGATCACATGGATGCAAGAGGTGGGTTCCCATGGTCTTGGGCAGCTCCAACCTTGTGGCTTTGCAGGGTATAGCCCCTCTCCTGGCAGCTTTCACAGGCTGGTGTTGAGTGTCTGTGGCTTTTCCAGGTACATGGTGCAAGCTGTTGGTGGATCTACCATTCTGGGGTCTGGAAGACAGTGGACCTCTTCTCACAGCTCCACTAGGCAGTACCCCAATAGGGACTCTGTGTGGGGGCTCTGACCCCACATTTCCCTTCTGCACTGCCCTAGCAGAGGTTCTCCATGAGGGTTCCACCCCTGCAGCAAACTTCTGCCTGGCATCCAGGAGTTTCCATACATCCTCTGAAATCTAGGCGGAGGTTCCCAAACCTCAGTTTTTGACTTTTGTGCTCCCAGAGGCTTCACACCACATGGAAGCTGCCAAGGCTTGGGGCTTCCACCCTCTGAAGCAACAGCCCAAGTAGTACCTTGGCCCCTTTTAATCACAGCTGGAGCAGCTGGGACTGAGGGGACCAAATCCCTAGACTGTACACAGCAGTCTGGCCTGGCCCACAAAACCATTTTTTCCCTCCTGGGCCTCCGGGCCTGTGATGGGAGGGGCTGCCATGAAGACCTCTGACATGCCCTGGAGACATTTTCCCCATTGTCTTGGGGATTAACGTTGGGCTCCTTGTTACTTATGTAAATTTCTGCAGCCAGCTTGAATTTCTCCTCAGAAAATGGGATTTTCTTTTCTACCACATTGTCAGGCTGCACATTTTCTGAACTTTTATGCTCTGCTTCCCTTATAAAACTGAATCCCTTTAATAGCACCCAAGTCGTCTCTTGAATGCTTTTCTGCTTAGAAATTTCTTCTGCCAGATACCCTAAATCATCTCTCTCAAGTTTGAAGGTCCACAAATCTCTACAGCAGGAATAAAATGCTGCCAGTCTTTGCTAAAACATAACAAGAGTCACCTTTGCTCCAGTTCCCAACAAGTTTCTCATCTCCATCTGAGACCACCTCAGCCTGGACTTCACTGTCCACATTACTATCAGCATTTTGGGCAAAGCCATTCAGCAAGTCTCTAGGAAGTTCCAAACTTTCCCACATTTTCCTGTCTTCTTCTGAGCCCTCCAAACTGTTCCAACCTCTGCCTGTTACCGAGTTCCAAAGTCACTTCCACATTTTTAAGTATCTTTTCACAGCACCCTACTCTACTGGAACCAATTTTCTGTATTAGTCTGTTTTCATGCTGCTGATAAAGACATTACCTGACACTGGGCAATTTACAAAAGAAAGAGGTTTAGTGGCTGGATAGGCCTCACAATCATGGTGGAAAGGCAAGGAGGAGCAAGTCACAACTTACATGGATGGCGGCAGGCAAAGAGAGAGCTTGAGCAGGGAAACTCCTGTTTCTTAAAACTATCAGACCTCATGAGACTCATTCACTATCATGAGAACAGCACAGTAAAGACCCATCCCCATAATTTAATCACCTCCTACCGGGTTCCTCCCATAATACGTGGGAATTGTAGGAGTTGCAATTCAAGATAAGATGTGGGTATGGACACAGCGAAACCATATCAATAACTAAAAACAAAAGGAGCCATCTCCTTGTGAAAATAAAATTCAGTCGTACACTCTGGGAACAGCCTTAAGAAGTTTAACTAATTTCTCTTAGGAAGAACAATTTAATATAACCAAACCATGATGTTCTTGAGCATTTGAATGGATTAAAAGGGAAAACAACAGCACCACTACTATTACCAGCGGGCTAATTCCCTTGCTTCAGGCATGTATTGAGCTGCCACTTCACCCTGGTGGGTCATAGGATTGCAAACCTGTTGAGATTGTTCATTGCACGGTACTAACATGCCTTTATTAGTAAACACAGAAAACTAGTATCTCTTGTCCTCCTTAAATCTCTGCCAAAATAATTTATTCCAACCTTTTAGTTTGTATTTACTTTGCTCTGTAACTTGTTCAAGAAGACACACACAAGCAAAGTTGTTGGTTCTACCCTCAAGCAGAGTTTGACAAAAAACTGGCTCTGCCTTCAAGCAAAAATGAGAAGTGTCCTTTCCATGGTGAAGCGGACAAGTCATGGTCTTTAAATTCTTATTACCAAGTGTAAGGTACATAGATGTGCTTTGGTCAAGGAATAGGCTGAGGTGGACATCCAGACCTGCATGACTCAGCAAATTTAGGGCACAGGCACATACTGCACTTGTTATATAACCTGTTTGTGTAAGCTCATATGCCACTATTGTCTGTAAAAGGTATAATTGCCCTGCTAATGCTGTTCAGGGGCTCTTGGGGCTCAACTCGGCTCAACATGGCTTGACATGGTGGGAGCACTGGCACCCAGAGAGAGTGCCAAAGTTGTCCATCTTGCAGCCGGACAGGTGGGAGCCAGGACACAGCTTGGCTTGCTCATGCCCAGAGAGAGAAAGAGTTAAGCTGCTGACCCTGAAGGCAAGGGAGAGCCAGCTGTGCAGCTGCGGGCATGGGAGTGGCAGGAACCACAGAGCCAGAGCAGACAGCTAAGATAAAGGTGAACAGTATGAGAGACCTAGTCTAACTAAGCTGCTAATAAGAGCTGCTGCTGAAGAAAACCATATTCACCTGCCTACGGCCCCCCAAGTGTTCTTTCTGCTCATCCACACACTCTCCTCAGACATCAGCATGGGCTGGACAGACCCTGGGACCGGACACCAAGAATTTCCTACCTTCGTCTGTGATACTTAAAACATATGGGTTTCCTTTTGGTCAACCACAGAGTAGCTGTATTCAGTAAATGACTTGCTATATGCATTTAAGTTACTTGTCAGTGATTTTCAAGTACCTGTAATAAAGTTCCTAACTCTTGGTAGCACATGAAAAAAAAATGGAGCACTTTTATAAAACATTCATGCTCAGGAGCAACTTCAGATAACTGAGGGGACTGAAGTATAATACACATATAGAAAAGCACATTTGCCCTAAGTGTACAGCTCTTAAGTCCATTGTTTACTTAAACTGAATACACCTGTGCAGCCAGTGCTCAACTCAAGAATCAAAACATCACAAGCATTCCAGAGACTGCTTTATGCTTCCTTACAGTTAGGCCTCTTCCGCAAGGCAGTACAACAGTCTCTTTAAAAGCTCAGGTGGTTCTAATCTGCAGACAGGGTTAACTACAACCTCTTTCCCAACCAGAGAAGACTGAAGACAACTGGCAATCGAGAGAACGAGTGTGGCCAGGGCGGTGGCTCACGTCGGTAACGCCAACACGTAGGCAGGCCAAGAGAGAAGGATCACTTGAGCCCAGGAGTTTGAGACCAGCCTGGGAAACACAGTGAGACTTTGTTTCAAAAACAAACAAACAAACAAAAAATTAGCTGGGCATAGTGACGTGTGCCTACAGTCCCATCACAGCTACTTGGGAGGCTGAGGTGGCAGGATCACTTGAGTCCATGAGTTCAAGGCTGCAGTGAGCCATGATCATACCACTGCACTCCAGCCTGGGAGACAGAGTGAGACAACGTCTTAAAAAAAAAAGGCTAGCCTAAAAAATATTTACATCTTCTTGAGTTTCTCAATATAGCCATATCACCAGACATCACCAGAAATTTAGCTCACTTGTAAATTTTACTTTAATTTCTATAAAAGTATGTCAAAATGGCCACATTAAGAACAATTCTAGACTTTTAGAAAACTTCTTTCAAATCACTATACAAGTGTTATTCAATGTCCTTTACTAGATGGCCAATAAGTTTCTTCTTTAAAGTCAACATTAAAGGAAGGTTTGCTCTCCTAATCGGCAAGTATCTTTTTATTAGAGGAGAACTTTGTAAATTATAACCCACCAAATTTCCTTTCTGATCAGGTCTGCCCCAAAGAGCTAAACAGCTTTACTTAGGCTAAATTTTCTGATTTAATTCCAATGTTCATTCACTCATGTTACTTGGCTTTTGCTCTTTTATCCTTTATTTTCACCACTAATTTTTGCAAGCCACCCCAAATCTTCAATATCCAGGCAAAATGATTATTTTTTGAAAATATTTTATTCTTTTAAAAATACTGTCTGAAAGTATGTTATTCTTTTCAAACATTCTTTGAAATATACTTCAAAATAAGTATTATTCCTTTCTCATTGTGTTACAGCAACTAACATGATACTATTCTAAATAGGTACAAGCTTGATAAAGTCCCTGGAATTAGCATATCATACATTTGCTAGAAGGTTCTTATTTAAACTAAAAAATGGTCTCAGAAAAATGGTCATTAAAAAGAAAGTGGATTTTCAATTCTTCAGGAGGCAGCTTAGAAAAGAAAGCAATAATAAAACAAAAAGGAAGCTCATTGGCCTACAAGAAGTAATTTTTAATTAATAAAAATTTCTAATTAAACAACACCTTCCCTTTTTCCAAAATGCAGGGCAAGAAAGTTCTACTGCTCAGTCTGGTCCAATGAATAGGGAATGGGGCTGGGAGTCAGAATACTCTTGTTTAATCCTTTCTCTTTCAATGATTAGACAAGTTTTGATTTCAGATCACTGGGGGATCTTGATAAAAATGCAAATTTTGCATAAATGCAAATTACAGTGGGTTTAGGGTAGGACTTAAAGGCTGTTATTGTTTTTTATTCAGAGATGGGGTCTTGCTATCTTCTACAGGCTGGCCTGGGTTCAAGCAATCCTCCTGCCTCAGCCTTCTGAGTAGCTGGGATTACACATGTGAGCCACTGTGTCCAGCTTAAAAGTCTGAATTTCTAACGAGCTCATAATGTCAAACCTGCTGTCCATGGACCACACTTTGAGTAGCAAGATTTAGATGCTTTGGAATAACATCATGCAACCTTCTGTGCATTAGATGTTATGCCCATAAGATGAAGGTAATACTACCATGGCATTTATGCTTAAATACATGATAAATGCACAAACTGATATTTATGTTAAAGGGCCTGAACTCCTAAGGACATGTGAGATACATATGTATATCTCCACGTACTATTATCATCTCCTTACCCTCCTAAGGACCTTTTACTTCAAGCTGTAACCAAAAAAGCTTCATAAACAAGCATATTTTAAATATGCATTTGTATAAATTAATACCTATTCAGTTTAAGAACACTATTCTAAAGAAGAGATACATCAATACAAAACAACTATACATATTCACTAATTTAGTTAAGGACTTGGCTGGGCGCAGTGGATTACACTTTTAATCCCAACACTTTGGGAGGCTGAGGTGGGAAGATCACTTGAGGCCAGGAGTTTGAGACCAGCCTGGGCAACACAGGGAGGCTCCATCTCTACAAAAATTTAAAAAATCAGCTGGGCATGGTGATGCAAGCCTGTAGCTCTAGCTACTTGGGAGGCTGAGGTGGGAGGATTGCTTGAACCCTCACTGCTGCACTCCAGCCTGGATGATAAGTGAACCCCTGTCTCAAAAAACAAAAATAAAAACAAATTGAGGACTATGTACAAGCTCACTGGGTTGCTAGGAGGTATGCTTAAAAAAATAAAAAGGTGTCAGATATGAGTTCTTCCCTTAGGAAAGCACAAAGGAATTATGGAGGAGCCAACATCTACATTAAACTCGTTAAACAAAGCACTAATTAAGTATAAATATGACTAGAACAAGAAATCAAATGCGGAATGATCAATGTGCTAGAGGAGACAACGAAGAATTTCTAAGGAGAAGGAATTCAGGTGAGGGTGATGGGCAACACTACGGCAATTTACTTTTAATTGTTTTGCCTTCTTTCAATGTTGTTGTCCCTACCTTTGCCCCCACTTCAATCATCCATTTCCCCACCCAGAAGCCACAGCGATTTTATTAAAAAGTAAAGCAGATGGCTTTACTCCCCAGCTTTAAAAAACCTCCCAATGGCTACTCAGAATGAAATACAAACTCCTTATCAAGACCTATAATGTTCTCACTTTGGGAACTGAGGCAGGCAGATCGCTTGAGCCTAGGAGTTCAACACCAGCCTGGGCAACATGGAGAAAGCCCATCCCTACAAAAAATAAAAAATTAGCCAGGTGTGATGGCATGCGCCTGTGGTCCCAGCTACCTGGGAGGCTGAAGTGGGAGGATCACTTGAGCCTGGGTGTTGGAAGCTGCAGCGAGCCATGATTGTGCCACTGCACTGCAGCCTGGGCAACAGAGCAAAGACCCTGTCTTTAAAAAAAAAAAAAAAAAAAAAAAAGAATGTTCTAAATGATGCTACCCCTACCTCTCTCTGCTCCATCGTCTCCTACCACTTTCTTCCTGTAAGATGGTTCTCCCAGCTGCAAATCCAGCCTTCTACGTGGTGCCTTGTGAAGGGGCTCTGCCTGTTTGCCAGTGGGCTTCCTGTTAGGTTTCACCAGTAGGGGTCACTGTAGGGAAACTTGAACAAGGAAGCTTTCCTTCTCCTCACCGCCGGGAAGCGGCCATTGGTTCCAGTCTTCAGGTTCTTTTGGAACTCCAAGAACCAGCCTCATTAAGCCCTCGGCAGCCAGGCAGGGCCCCTCCACAGATCTGAGAACAGCTGCAGAAAGTCCCTCCCCCAGTCTCTCCTTCAGCCCAAAGGGTGGTTTTCAATTTCTGTTATTATTAAAGGGTAATTTCAACATCCCCACCCTGCCTTCAGCTCTCTAACACTGGTGGAACTAATTCCTAAACTAAGTTCCTTCTGCTGAAACGTCAAATGGAATTTTGGTTTTACTGACTATACCTGAATGACACAGCCCCTTACTGCCTTCACTCCAACCACACTGAACATTCTTCTCCCTTGAACACCAAGCTTGTTTTCATCTCAGAGTCTTGGCAATTCCATTTGCCTGAATCGTCTTCCTTAAGTTCCCTACGTGGCCCTAGAATGAGACTGGGAAGTTGGGGTGGAAATATATTTCTTTCTTGCTTATATTTTACCTTGTAATTCAGAGCCCTACCTACCTATTTCTCCCAAAGGATTTGAGCTTGTAGTTTTGAGGATAGAAGAGCTGAATTCTCTCCTAATTTTAACTTGTAATTTAGACCCTCTTTCCACCTATTTCCCAAAGGATCTAAAGTACACAGGATCCAGTAAAAAGGCAGACTGGCTGAGAAATGAGATGGGACATGCCTAGTTTACAATGATAATCCAATAATCAAATGTAAAGATCTTGGGAAAGGCTAAAAATAGAAAATTTCTATAAGTAACTTTGCATCAGTTGCACAAAACGTATTCCTTTTGCACTGCAAATCTCTTCACAACCCTCACCTGTGCAGCAGAGGTCTTGGCCACTTGAATGATTTTCTCCATAGATAGGTAGCTCTGCTGGGAGGGAGCGGGGCCGATGGAATATGCTTCATCTGCCTGTTTAAGAAACATCACATGCTTAAAAGACTTTGTGGCTAGTACATACTCATACACTATACAGAACTGCTTCAGGGTCATTTTATTATTGTAAATAAAAATGCCACTCCCTCAAGAACAGTGCAAGAATTGAAAAACTGAAGTACCAATGTATGTCTACACTATAAAAATAAGCCAGTCTTAGAATCTTTTGCATGAAGAGGGTAACAAAACTTGGTTTTCATGCATAAGCCACACACTGGTGTGAAACTAAAGTGTCTCAGGATAAAAAGCAACAGACATTAGTCATGATATTATTACTAAAACAATAATAACCTTAAATGTATTCAAGGCCAAAAATTTATATTTGATAATAGAAACAAAATATGTGACAGATGTACACAAAGAAAAAAGCTTACAAAGTTGATTAAAGTTTATATAATTATCAGAGTATGATAATGCTTTCATACATTTGTGAATTATTTTATATTATTCCTTAAAACTTACACAAAATCATAGCATCCCTTGAAGTAGACCATTTAGAGCACATCATTCATTCATTCCAAGACTTACTGAAGGCCTACTACGTGCCACACTTTGAGGTGGGAGCTGCCTGTACCATAGTGAACAAGACAAATGTCCCTGTCTAGGGGGAGAGACAGACATTAAAAATACATTCACACACTTAATGACAACTGTGATGAACGTCATGGAGGAAAAACCAAGGGCATAAATGCTGTAGGAGGAAGGCCTGATCTGGTCTGAAGGTGATCAGGAAATGCCTAGAAGGGAAGTCAGGGGAGGCTCCTCAAGGATGATCAAGACTGGCCGGGCATGGTGGCTCACGCCTGTAATCCCAGCAAGGCCAAGGCGGGCGGATCATGAGGTCAGGAGATTGAGACCGTCCTGGCTAACACAGTGAAACCCCATTTCTACTAAAAATACAAAAAAAAATTAGCTGGGCGTGGTGGTCGGCACCCGTAGTCCCAGCTACTCGGGAGGCTGAGGCAGGAGAATGGCGTGAACAGGGAGGCGGAGCTTGTAGTGAGCCGAGATTGCGCCACTGAACTCCAGCCTGGGCAACAGGGCGAGACTCCTTCTCAAAAAAAAAAAAAAAAAAAAGGATGATCAAGACTTTGCCTGGCAAACAGATCAAGAATGTGGAGCTGAGAACAGGAATGGAGCTGAGGATGAGGCTCTCAGGCACAGAAAACAACCTACATAAAGGTGGGAGGAAAACTGGTCCAGCTGAGTGACCGAAGAAGGCTTGTGTGGCTGGAACACAATGAGCAAGGGGTCCAGGGGCCAGAGAGGATGCTGGACAGAAAGCTGGGCACAGATTTCAAAGGGCCTGTGAGAGGTTAAAAAGCTTTGGGCTTTCTCCTAAGGGAGCACACAAAGAGACCATTTTAAATGTTTTGTTGTTGTTGTTGTTGTTGTGTGTTTTTTTTTTTTTTTGAGGTAAGTCTTGCTCTGTCGCCCAGGCTGGAATGTAGTGGCGCGATCTCGGCTCACTGCAACCTCTGCCTCCCGGGTTCGAGCGATTCTCCTGCCTCAGCCTCCCGAGTAGCTGGAATTACAGGTGCACACAATCACGCCCAGCTAATTTTTGTATTTGTAGTAGAGACAGGGCCTCACCATGTTGGCCAGGCTAATCTCAAACTCCTGACCTCAGGTGATCTGCCTGCCTGGGCCTCTCAAAGTGCTGGGATTACAGGCGTGAGCCATGGTGCCCAGCCTGTTTTTTACTTTTAACTCCACAAAACACAAATCTATTCTCATTCTAAAGAAAGTGAATTATAATACAAACGCAAAGTAGCCCTTTGGTACTCCCCCCATTGCAGTCTCCTTCCAGATAGAACATCCACTATAATAAACCTGGGACATATTGTTCCATATCCATATTCCTAACTAGTCATATATGTTTATATAAACACATGCAGTTTTAGTTCTTGTTTTTACATAAATAGGATCATACTATATAATTATCTTCTGCAACTGCTTTTTCCATTAACGGTATGTCTTGGGAACTCTTTTTCTTGCTAGTACACATGTCTATACCTCATTTTGTATAACATTTGCAAACTATTCCATAGTATGGCAGTATCATAGTTCATTTAATCATGTATCTCTTAATGCGCACTTAGGTTATAACGGCAAAAAACTGGATGCAGGCAAGGCTAAAGCAGACATTCCTGTACACGCTTCTCTTAGCACAATATATGTGAGCACGTCTGTGGGACAGAAACCTACAGGAATGTTTGTAGGGTTGGGTTGAAGGATATGCATAGTTTAATAGCTCCTGGTTAATCAGCCTTGAAATGGTTTTACCAATATATATTTCCATCAACATACCAGTTTCTAACCACCCTCATCAACACTGAATATTATCCACCTTTTACATTACTGATAAGCTGGTGCACCCTATAAAGGTTTAAAGCATTTAAGAAGAGGAGTAACTTAAGTACATTTTTATTTTATACTCTCAGTCTGGCTGAAAAGCAGAAAATAGATTGTTGGCTGGGGGTGGGGGACAGTTAAGAGTGGAGGTGGAGAGGCTACTTAGGAGGCTGCAGCATTTGGTCAAGCAAGAGGTGATAGTGGGGCTGGGCATGGTGGCTTATGCCTATAATCCCTATAATCCCAGCGCTTTGGGACAACATAGTGAGACATCATCTCTACAAAAAATTTTAAAAATTAGCCGGCTATGGTAGCAAGTGCCTGTAGTCCCAGCTACTCAGGAGGCTGAGGTAGGAGGATTGCTTGAGCCTGGGGGGTTGAGGCTGCAGTGAGCTGTGACTGTGCCACTGCACTCCAGCCTAGCTGACAGAGTGAGACCCTGGCTCAAAAAAAAAGGTGACTGTGGCTTTGAGTTAAGTTATAGGTGGGAGGGGGTGGAAAGAAGTGGAAAGAAATGTTTGGGAAATACAATTAACAGTACTTGGTCATTTACTAGATGAGGGGGGAAGGATCTAGAGTAGGAAAGAAGAGAGAAAAATGCTCAAAGACTTCTAGATCTCTGACATTATTGTTTTTATTAGCAATGGTGTTGTACTCTACGGGGTTAGGGAATTCTGTAAGAAATGCAGGTTCAGTATAGGTGAAAGGTCATGAGTTCAATTTCAGTCACACTAGTTTGGTACCTGTGACAATATTGAAGTGGAGATGTTGAATGGGCAGTTGGATATATATGTATCATGCTCAAAAGAAAGTCTGGACTAAAAATAGAAATTTGGGAGTTTTTCTCAAAGCTATAGGAGTATATAAAATGATCCAGAATGAGAGTGCACACTGAGAAAAGAGGGCCAAGGACCAAGTCCCAAGAAACTTCAACATAAGGGTCTGGTAGATGGGTAGGGTCTGGTAGATGGGTAGGGTCCAGATAAAGGACACTGAGAGAAGACAAGAAGGCAAGAGGCTGAGAATGCCATGAGAAGAATTTATTTCTAAAAGAAGGGAGCAGTGTACTAGGATGCTAAATGCTGCTGAGGGGTCAAGTCAGCTCAGCCCTGGAGACTCCACTGGATTTAGGGACATGGATAGTATCAGTCTAGTAGAGAGTGGTTGAAGACCCATCATTGAAAAATAGAAGATCCTTTTCTTTTTGACACAGGAATGTCTCATTTTGCTTTATGTTTTATTAATACTGTTAACTGACAAATCATAATTGTATGCATTTATGGGGTACAATGTGATGTTTTGCCACATGCACACAATGTGGAATGATTGAATCAAGCCAATTAACCTAGGCATCATCTCACTTACCTAATATTTTTTCATGGTAAGACATTTAAAATTTACTCTCTTATTTTGGGAAAATTCTTTTTTTTTTTTTCTTTGAGACAGAGTTTCGCTCTTGTTGCCCAGGCTGGAGTGCAATGGCACGATCTCAGCTCACTGCAACCTCCGCCTCCCGGGTTCAAGCGATTCTCCTGCCTCAGCCTCCCGAGTAGCTGGGATTACAGGCATGTGACACCACGCCCAGCTAATTTTGTATTTTTAATAGAGACGGGATTTCTCCATGTTGGTCAGGCTGGTCTCGAACCCTGACCTCAGGTGATTCATCTGCCTCGGCTTCCCAAAGTGCTGGAATTACAGGTGTGAGCCACTGCGCCCAGCCGGGAAAATTCTTAAAAAGACAAGAAGAGAAGGGATCCAGAGCACTGACCTTCGATGGGAAAGATGGATGCAGACATAACTAAGTCAGCAGATTCTGTGGCAGGAACCTCAATTTTATTTTCTCTGTGAAATCAAGATCATCCTGCTGCAAAAAGGTGGGTAGAGGGAGAATTGGAGGTTGGAATGAAGCGAAACAAGTTTGAAATACTCATTGCACAGAGTGAGAAAAACAGTGGCTAGAGAGCCACAAGGGCCTGCTGTACAGTGATAAAAGCCCAGGTGAGGCTGCTCATCATGAATTGATGCTAGTGCTTGGAGTCTTACTGCAGGCATAATGAAGTCCAACAGTGGGAGTCACCTATGCTTGGAGTTATTTCTGGTGGATAAAAGCTAGTGATAGGCTGGGCGCAGTGGCTCACGCCTGTAATCCCAGCACTTTGGGAGGCCAAGGTGGGTGGATCACTTGAGGCCAGGAGTTCGAGACCATTTTGGCCAACATGGTGAAATCCTGTCTCTACTAAAAATACAAAAAAGTAGCCAGGCGTGGTGGTGTGTGTCTGTAATCCAGCTACTCAGGAGGCTGAGGCATGAGAATCACTTGAACCTGGAAGGTGGAGGTTGCAGTGAGCCAAGAACACGCCACTACACTCCAGCCTGGGCAACAGAGTGAGACTCTTGTCAAAAACAAAAACAAAACAAAACAAAACAAAACAAAAAAAACTAGTAATAACTCACCCGTAACATTCACAAACTTCAGGGAGTTGGGTCTTATTAGTTATAATTTTACAGATGAAGCAAGGCTCAGAAACATGAAGTGACTTGGCTAAGATCACTCAGCCAGTAAGTAGCAGGTGCTAAGAATAGAGCCTGGATTGGCTAGGCACGGTGGCTCACGCCTGTTTGGCACTTTGGGAGGCCAAGGTGGGCGGATCACGAGGTCAGCAGATTGAGACCATCCTGGCTAACACGGTGAAAACCTGTCTCTACTAAAAATACAAAAAATTAGCCGGTCGTGGTGGAGGGCACCTATAGTTCCAGCTACTCTAGACGTCGAGGCAGGAGAATCGAGGCAGGAGAATCGCTTGAACCTGAGAGGCGGAGCTTGCAGTGAGTCGGGATTGTGCCACTGCTCTCCAGCCTGGGCAACAGAGCGAGACTCAATCTCAAAAAAAAAAGAAAAAAAAAGAATAGAGCCTGGATCTTTCTCCTTGTATATACGGAATCTGGACATGAGCTACTCAAAGTGTAGTCAGTGGATCCGCAACATTCTGTGAACCGTTTTAACCAATCCTCAAGGAGATAAAGACCTTGCCTGTAAATCAACTGTTCTACTAAGCACACCGCTTAGTTCAACTGATGTTATATCTGAAAAATGTTCCCAAGAATTAGCAGTGAGCAGTTTGAACTTACCTACTTCAACCCTGATAACACTAGCAAATATCAACTGTCATCATAAAGAACGAAAATACTGACACAGTAAACGAATAAACGTAAGACGTGGCTTCCAATTTTTAACACATACCATATCTACATGCATGGAATTTCTGTCAGCCTCACTATAAACCGCCACAGTCTGTACACCCAGTTTTTTGGCTGTGCGCATCACCCTGCAGGCAATTTCTCCTCTGTTTGCAATGAGGACCTTGGTAATGTTTCTTCCTGTTTAAAACACCATGAAAATCACACAGAAATGTTACTGGAGAGCAAAGAATGAGAATGAGAATACGATCTTAACTGGCTGATAAGGACTCGACTGATAAGTTCAAGGTTTTTGGTAAAACTAGCATAACTGAGCCCAAAATGACCACTTTAACTAATATTAGACAGTGCACTTCTTTTCTCTTAAATTCAAGGTACTCATTAACATAAATTACTCAGCTTTTTAAACTTAAAATACAAAGCAACATAAAATAAAATTAAAAGATGCTTTGTTATGCCAAGGATCAAATTATAATAGTGTTAAATTATCATCATTAATAACTACTCTTTTATGTATTTATTTATTTACTTATTTATTTATTTTTGAGACAGTGTTTTGCTCTCGTCCCCCAGGTTGGAGTGCAATGGTGTGATCTCGGCTCACTACAACCTCTACCTCCCAGGGTCAAGCAATTCTACTGCTTCAGCCTCCTGAGTAGCTGAAATTACAGGTGCCTGCCACCACGCCTGGCTAATTTTTGTATTTTTAGTAGAGACGGGGTTTCACCACATTGGCCAGGCTGGTCTCGAACTCCTGACCTCAGGTGATCCACCTGCCTTGGCCTCCCGAAGTGCTGGGATTACAGGTGTGAGCCACCACACCCGGCCAATACTAACTAATCTTTAATAAGCACTTTCTGTGCCTCAGGTCCTGTGCTAAAGACTCAACATCGACTTAAATTTTCACAATAATCCTAATGAAATAGATACTATCATTGTTATCTCAATTTTAAAGATGAAGAAACTAATGCTGAAAGAGCTATTATTTTCCCAAAATTACACAGCTAAAGAAACAATCTGGGACTTCAACCTAGATCTGCGTCACTCCAGAATTTAAGCTTTCAGTCACTCTGCTCCTCTGCCTCTATCCCTATGTACATAGGTGTGTGTGGTTCTCTTGCAACACAAGTGACTCTTGTACCAGTCTACTGGCATGGCACCATAATGACAAGCTACTGCATATATAAAATGTACTTCTAATATCACACGTGAAATAAATGTTCTTTGACAGTTCATAATAAAGTTATTTCTTCAATAGAATCCATAGGCTCAACATAATAAAGTTATTTCTCCTTTTAAAAAAAAAAAGGTTGCACCTAATTTAAAAGTGTTTTTCGATGGGGCTCTATGGAGCCCAAGAGTTGTCACAGGGGCTGATGGATGACATATGTATGAGTGTGGGCAGGGGAAGGAGAGCACAGTAGGTAGAGGGCTATATCCAATCAGCTAGAAGTTATACTTTATTACACTTTTATATGTTTCATAGTTGGGAATTCCATGTTAAATTTTATTTGGAAAAAAAGGTTTTGCTACTTAAAATAGCTTTTTCAAAGAACTGCTTTAGACCATCGTAGTTATGATTTTCCAATCCAATACACTAAGAGGGTCAAATGGACAGAAAGAACAAACGAATATAAAATGTTCTCCATTATTGCCCTCTGTATTTTATTTATTTATTTTTACTTTTTTTTTTTTTTTTTTGAGACGAAGTCTTGCTCTGTCGCCCAGGCTGGAGTGCAGTGGCGAGATCTTGGCTCATTGCAACCTGCGCCTCCTGGGTTCAAGCAATTCTCCTGCCTCAGCCTCCCAAGCATCTGGGATTACAGGCACCCGCCACCACGCCCAGCTAATTTTTGTATTTTTTAGTAGACACAGGGTTTTGCCATGTTGTCCAGGCTGGTCTCGAACTCCTGACCTCAGGTGATCCACCCACCTCAGCCTCCCAAAGTGCTGGGATACAGGCATGAGCCACTGCGCCCGGCTGCCCTCTGTATTTTAGACTTAACAGCAAGAGAGATTTGATACAAAAGAGGTGAAAACCATGACTTAACACTTCCTAGAAAATTATCGTGAAAATCCAAAATTTATGATAACTAATTCTATTATGCATATATTAAGGGATTAAACATTTCCCTTTCTTAAACACTTCCAGTCTGAAGCAAAATCAAATAGAACAACAAAGTCTGTCAGTACCTGTGGCTGTTGTGTACTTCATGGTTCTTTGCCTCCACACCCATGTCCTATAACATAAATCCAAAAGGAATTACAATTAAACAGAATAGGCAACACAATTGTTCTTTCAAAAGAATTTCAGTTTCTTAAAACATGAAACCTTAAGCCAACTAACAGTGCTTTAGTAAGACTTTCTTAGTGGGTAGAAAACTAATCTAGAACTCAAGAGTTAGAGTTCTGGCTGTTTTCCCTCGTACTACCTGTCCTTGAATGAGTCACCTAGCCTGCTTGTTCCTGAGGCTGGCATAAGACCACAGTCAGAGATGATTAAACAACCAAGGTATACCAACATCATCTAGTTTAGCTTTTTTGAAACCTTTTTGGCTACAACTCACAATACAAACTACCCAGGACACACACTTAATGAAAACAGATGTTTTGTTAAAAATGACTCATTCTGCCCTGGCCAGGCACGGTGGCTCACACCTGTAATCCCAGCACTTTGGGAAGCCGAGGCAAGCAGATCATGAGGTCAGGAGATTGAGGCCATCCTGGCTAACACGGTGAAACCCTGTCTCTACTGAAAACACAAAAAATTAGCCGGGCGTCATGGCGGGCACCTGTAGTCCCAGCTACTCGGGAGGCTGAGGCAGGAGAATGGCGTGAACCCAGGAGGCAGAGCTTGCAGTGAGCCGAGACTGGGCCACTGCACTCCAGCCTGGGTGACAGAGCGAGACTCCGTCTCAAAAAAAAAAACAAAAACAAAAAGAACAAAACTCTTTTGGTTCTTTCAGTTGTATCCTATTTTATTAAAATATGCTGGTCAATCTACAGTTTGAAAAATACCAATCAAGTTTAAACATGAGACATGTTTAAAAAGTAAGACCAGAGAAATAAACGGAAGTTAAACAGGGGCAACAGAAAGAATGTTGGCTGTGGGACCAGAAAAGCTGCATTCTCATCCGAGTCCCTCCAATGACCAGCTTGCCCAGGGTCGAGTCACTTTACATCAGTGTTTCTCCAACTTTTTTTTCATTATTACTCTCCTAATGAGAAAACTTTTAAAAGATTTTATTCCTTGTAGGAAGGGTGGGGTAAGGTTGAGCTTTGGAAAGCCGTAAACCATGACAAAATCTAAGATTTCCTGGCTCTCCTAAGAATCAATTTCCACCCTTTAGCGGTGGTATCATCCCAGTTGAGGATGCAAGATTTAATAGCTTGGGCTTCAGTGTTCTCACACACGAGATGAGACTATAAGAGGTGATCTTGAAGGTACCTCTCAGATTTAAAAGTACTATACAATTCTATTCCAAGTCCTTGTATTTAAAAAAATGGAGAAATGGGGAGACAAAATGACTTGAGGTATTTTAATGAGGTAGAAGTCTCAACAATTTTTAAGTTTCGTGATACCTGTGTATAAAATAAAGTAACCAAGAGCTGACAGAAAACAGGCCAGATTCACTTTAGGAACAAAAAAGTATAACGTCTATTAAGTTTCAGCTAAAGAGGATAAGTGGGCTGGGTGCAGTGGCTCACGCCTGTAATCCTAGCAATTTGAGAGGCTGAGGTGGGGGGATTACCTGAGGTCAGGAGTTCGAGACCAGCCTGGCCAACATGGTGAAACCCCATCTCTACTAACAATACAAAAATTAGCCAGGTGTGGTGGTGCGCACCTGTAATCTCAGCTACTTGGGAGGCTGAGGCAGGAGTATCACTTGAACTTGGGAGGTGGAGGTTGCAGTGAGCCAAGATCGTGCCACTACATTCCAGCCTGGGTGACAGAGTGAGACTCCATCTCAAAAAAAAAAATAAATAAATAAATAAAAAGCATATGCAGGGAAACAAACAAATTACAGAAGCAATTCCACCTATCTTTTTGTCTATACCTGGAAGATGTGGTTATAAAGGACTAACTAACCATTTTAGATTATTCACAAAGCACAAGATAAAAGCACAGCGTGTGCATTAGAAACTATGTAACTAGGCAGTAGTATATACATATTATGTATATGACTATGTAGTTGAGCAGGACTAGTATTTCACTGGAGCGGAGATGCAGTAGACATCTACACATCTATATGCGTCTATACACTCATTGCCCTACAATGCACACTCAGATGCTGCCATCCATGAGGAGCTGCTGGGAAGACCCACAGCTTTGGCAGGAGAGTTCCGTGAGCTAGCTTCCTCACGAGGCTGCTGCTTTCCCACACCTTTCCATTTCAGCTGATGTTACCTTCTTGATCCTGAAGGAGGGGGATCATCTTTCCTGATCTTTATGAGGTATTTTCTAGCTCATAGCATCGTCTTCCCTTTACATTCTTCAGATAGGCTTCTGATAAGTTTCAAGGCCTATTCTGGGCAGATGTATCTATTAAATGGTTGCTTGTTGGTAAAGCTAGCTTAAGACTGATTCGGTTTCAAGGCTACTGTTGACCTAAAGCTTTCTTTTGCAATCTTCTAGTGAAGACAGAAGAAGGGAGAGAGGGAAAAAGAGGGAGAAAGAGACAGAGATCCCACTTAACTGTAATCCACTATCCCAACAATGTTCTGATCATCTATTCCATTTTTCACAATTATCTAAGCTGCAACTTAAAAGCAATGGCTTAAACAAGATTAAGAAGCTGCTTCCCCGGAGCTTGCAGTGAGCCGAGATTGCGCCACTGCAGTCCGCAGTCCGGCCTGGGCGACAGAGCGAGACTCCGTCTCAAAAAAAAAAAAAGAAGCTGCTTCCCTGATTCAAGGTAGCTCTATACCAGCTTATTGTCATGTCTATAATTCTGCCACCAGAGATTATTTTCTGTGAGCTACTAAAGATTCATAACATAAAAATAATGTAAACTATCTGTGCTGTTAAGATTTTTTTGTTTTTGTTTTATTTGAGATGGGATGTCACCCAGGATGGAGTACAGTGGTGTGATCATGGCTCACTACGGCCTGGAACCCCTGGACTCAGGCCGTCCTCGCCCTCCTCATCCTCCCAAGTAGCTGTGACTACAAGTGTGTGCCACTACGCCTGGCTAATTTTTTAATGTTTTGTAGAGATGAAGCCTCACTGTGTTGCCCAGGCTGGTCTTGAACTCTTGAACTCAAGCAATCCTCCCACCTTGGATCCCACAGTGCTGAGAAACTGCTGAAAATACAGGCATGAACCAAGTCTCCTGGCAAAGAGTTTTACTTCTATAAGCCATTAACAACTCTAACACTCTCCAGAGTGACATACTTGAGGATAGTTCTTTAGACAATAGCTAAGCTTTGAAAGGGAAGACAGGAAATGGGTCTATGGTACTATCCTGAAGAGCCCTGGAGGCCTAAGAAAAGAAAAACCAGAAGAACAAGAAGAACATTAACATTACTTACACCAACTTTTTTTTTTATTTTTTTATTTTTTATTTGAGACGGAGTCTTACTCTGTCGCCCAGGCTGGAGTGCAGTGGCGTGATCTTAGCTCACTGCAAGCTCCGCCTCCTGGGTTCACACCATTCTCCTGCCTCAGCCTCCCGAGTAGCTGGGACTAACAGGCGGGACTATAGGCGCGTGTCACCACGCCCGGCTAAATTTTTTGTATTTTTTAGTACAGACGGGGTTTCACCGTGTTATCCAGGTTGGTCTCGATCTCCTGACCTCGTGATCTGCCCGCCTCGGCGTCCCAAAGTGCTGCGATTACAGGCGTGAGCTACCGCGCCCCGCCAACTTCCAACAACTTTCTTATGTTTCTCTGGGGCACTCCTACAATTAAGTAACTAAAAAGGGCATCTACAATATTTCTGGAAAATAAAAGCAAGCAAACGTTCATATAAATGGTTGAGTTTGCATTTATAGACTGATCTTATGTACCAGATTGTGCTTAAACCTCATTCCATGAATTAATTCATTTAGTTTTCACAACCCAAGGTACTCGTATCATCTCCAAGGTGAGGAAATTAAAGAAGAAATATTAAGTAACTTACCCAAAGTCACACACCTAGTGAGTAGCTAACTAAGACCTCAGCCTTGACTGCAGAGTCTGTGCCCTTGAACACTAAACTGTCAATCTTTCCAGAATGATGAAGGATGATAACGATGAAGCAAAAGAAGACAAAGAAGCAAAGCTATCTACAAGCCTGAGGGTTTTTTCACTGCCAGAGTTATTGCCACCAAAGCTTAGAGCTCAAAATTTGAAACAGAGCTGGAGTCAGGTGAGCTAGACTGAGTCATCTGATAGCGTTGTTCAAACTTGGGTACAAGAGTTTTTGACAAAATAATTTCCCAGCTCTGTGGAAGGTACATTTGCTCTTCTTGACAACTTCACTCTTCTAACAATGAGAAGGAACTCCAGGAGTCTTTCTCTGAACTGGACACCTGATGGGGCACAGCTGAACTGAAAAATGGCTTTGAGGGCATCCCGGCCCCATTTCTTACTAGCTGTGTTTCGTTGAGGAAGTCGTTGATCCCTTTGGGCTTCCCCGGAACCGGATTATAACAACGCTCCCACCTAAGGGGTGCTGCGAAAGCCCGATGTAAACGGCTACGAGCTGCAGCGACGGCGAGGGGAGCCTGGAGGATGGCGGGCCCAGTCCTCAGAAATGGAAAAACAGAAGCCAAAGGCGCGCTGAAGCGTGGATGTGCGGAAGCGGGGAGAAAGGGAAGGGCTGGTGGGGATGTCTTCCTCCCGACGCCGTGACTGCCGGCAGAACCCCTCCGAAAGTGCCTGGGGTTTTCCTACCGTCCTCCCCACACCGACCCTGGGTTCCGCCGCACCTCCCACCGCTCACGCGGGTCCGTGCACCCCTCGCTCCCGCCTCTGCCCACTGAGCCATGGCCCCTCCACCCACCTCGGCGGCAGGAGCAGGCTCGGGAGACGATGCCACCGGTTCCTCTCCGCCGCCACCAGCAGCACCGACACCGCAGAGGCCGCCGCCATGTCCCTGGAGCCCGGCCACTCCGTGACTCCCCAGTACAGAGGCAGCTGCGTCCCACACGCCAAACCCGTTCCTCCACTACGAAGCCTCGTGACCCCCGCCGGCCACCGTCGGAGCCTGAGCCTACCTTTGGGCTGATCCAAGAATGTGAGGGCGTCTCCACGAACACCAATCAAAGACCAGAGCCCGGCTTCAGTAGCGACGATTGGGCAGTCTGGCCACGTGCTCGTGGGGGTGTGGCCTTTGTTTCTGCGTCCCCTGGGGCCTGCTCTGACTAAGGCAAGGGTTTTCTCCATCCTCCCCCTCTTGGTTGCCTGTCACTGTTTCTTCCTGCATCCCGTGGGGTTTCTTCGCTCTCGTCACCTTCTGGGAGAAGAACCCTGGGGAAGAAGCCAAATGCGGATGGACAGCAGGATACACAATTCTCTAGTGCTCTCAGGGATGAAAAAATAAATAAGCTAAAGTGAAAATCTTTAAACCACCTGAGCTTAAAACAGGTATTCTAACTGACTATTGGGAAAAAGAGGAAGTCAAAGAGCAAACTGAGGAACATCTAGAGAATAAAGAAACTGTAAACACTACATGTAGATGCTTCATGAGGAAAGCAGGAGGGAGAAATTAGGGAAGATAAAGGAATAAATAAATGAATTCAGGAAACCAGTGTCAAAGGACTAATAAACCCACAGGTTCACAAAAAATAAAATAGTTATCTAATCAGAAATAGAGAAAAATGCACATTTGACATGATTTAAAAAACAAGCAGGGGAAAATCACAGACACAGGAAACAAATTATAGATTTGTAAGATGCTAATTTTGCTTAACTTCAAGTGAACTTAAAACTCTGGATGAAATGGATGATGTTACAAGAAAATACAATTTATCAAAATAGATCCTGGAAGAGACAAAATTTAAGCAAACCGTTACCACAGAAAAAATAGAGAAGTTTATCAAAGAACTATCCTTGCTACCACCATGGCCCACTTTCACCTTCACCTTCACCCCTAAAAGTTACAAAAGCCCTCCATGTCTTGCAAGAAAATTCCACACAAATGAGTAATTGACTCAAATGCTATTAATTCTGTCCCAGAGCACAAAAAAGATGGAAGTCTTCCAAACTCTTTTTAAAAAGTAAACATAACTTTGATACCAAAATCAACAAAGATATCACGCACACACACACGACAGACCAATTTCACATGTAAGTATCAGTGGAAAAATTCTAAATAAAATATTAACTACGCTGGGTGCTGTGGCTCATGTCTTGTAACCCCCCATTGAGATGTGACAGCGTGCTGGCAGTCCTCAGAACCCTCGCTTGCTCTCGGCACCTCCCCTGCCTGGGCTCCCACTTTGGTGGCATTTGAGGAGCCCTTCAGTCCCCCACTGCACTGTGGGAGCCCCTTTCTGGGCTGGCCAAGGCCGGAGCCCACTCCCTCAGCTTGCAGGGAGGTGTGGAGGGAGAGACACGAGCGGGAACTGGGGCTGTGTGCGGCACTTGCGGGCCAGCTGGAGTTCCGGGTGGGCGTGGGCTTGGTGGGCCCCGCACTCGGAACAGCCAGCCAGCCCTGCTGACCCCGGGCAATGGGGGACTTAGCACCCGGGCCAGTGGCTGCGGAGGGTGTACTGAGTCCCCCAGCAGTGCTGGCCCACCGGCGCTGCGCTCGATTTCTCGCCGGGCCTTGGCTGCCTTCCCACGGGGCAGGGCTCGGGACCTGCAGCCCGCCATGCCTGAACCTCCCACCCACTCCATGGGCTCCTGTGCGGCCCAAGCCTCCCCGATGAGCGCCACCCCCTGCTCCACGGCGCCCAGTCCCATCGACCACCCAAGAGCTGAGGAATGCGAGCGCACGGCGGCGCAGGACTGGCAGGCAGCTCCACCTGCAGCCCCGGTGCGGGATCCACTAGGTGAAGCCAGCTGGGCTCCTGAGTCTGGTGGGGACGTGGAGAGTCTTTATATCTAGCTCAGGGATTGTAAATACACCAGTCAGCACCCTGTGTTTAGCTCAAGGTTTGTGAATGCACCAATCGACACTCTGTATCTAGCTGCTCTGGTGGGGCCTTGGAGAACCTGTGTGTCGAAACTCTGTATCTAACTAATCTGATGGGGACGTGGAGAACCTTTGTATCTAGCTCAGGGATTGTAAACGCACCAATCAGCACCCTGACAAAACAGGCCACTGGGCTCTACCAATCAGCAGGATGTGGGTGGGGCCAGATAAGAGAATAAAAGCAGGCTGCCCAAACCAGCATTGGCAACCTGCTCGGGTCCCATTCCACGCTGTGGAAGCTTTGTTCTTTCGCTCTTTGCAATAAATCTTGCTACTGCTCACTCTTTGGGTCCACGCTGCTTTTATGAGCTGTAACACTTATCACGAAGATCTGCAGCTTCACTCCTGAGCCCAGCGAGACCACGAGCCCACCGGGAGGAACGAACAACTCCGGACACGCTGCCTTAAGAGCTGTAACACTCACCGCGAAGGTCTGCAGCTTCACTCCTGAGCCAGTGAGACCACGAACCCACCAGAAGGAAGAAACTCCGAACACATCTGAACATCAGAAGGGACAGACTCCAGACGCGCCGCCTTAAGAGCTGTAACACTCACCGCGAGGGTGTGCAGCTTCATTCTTGAAGTCAGTGAGACCAAGAACCCACCAATTTCGGACACGCCATCACTTTGGGAGGCTGAGGTGGGCCTCCCAAACTGCTTAAGCCTAGGAGTTTGAGACCAGCCTGGGCAATATAGTGAGACCCGCATCTGCACAAACATTTTTTTAAAAAAACTGGGCGTAATGATGCACACTTGTAGTCCCAGCTACTCGGGAGACTGAGGCAGGATCACTTGAGCCCAGGAGTTTGAAGCTGCAATGAGCTCTTATCATGCCACTATACTCCAGCCTGGGTAACAGAGTGAGAGAATGTCTCCAAAAAAGAAGCAAAAAAAATAACTGAAGTATCCTGTAGCATGTGAAAAGAATAACACACTGTAAATAAGCAAGGTTTATTCCAGAAGTATAAGGATGATTCACTATTAAGAAATCAATTAATAAAATGAATATTAAGAGTTTAAAAGAGAAAAACTTATATTCACAGAGGCTTAATAGGTCATTGACAAAATCTGACCTTCATTCTAGATTTTAAAACTCAGTAATTCAAGAAGTGATTGGGACCAGTGATTAGCCCTCTGGAAAAAAAAGCTGGATCCCTGCTTACTTCTTACACCTAACACCAAAATATTCCAAGTAGATGAAAGATTAAATATAAAAGATGAAAGCATAAAAGTTCTAGAAGACATTATGGGAGGTCTTAGAGCAGAGAAAGTTTTTTTTTTTTTTTTTTTTTTTTTTTTTTTTTTTTTTTTTTTTTTGAGACGAAGTCTCTCTCTGTTGCCCAGGCTAGAGTGCAATGGCATGATCTCGGCTCACTGCAACCTCCACCTCCCAAGTTCAAATGATTCTCATGGCTCAGCCTCCCGAATAGCTAGGATTACAGGCATCCACTACTGCACCTAGCTCATTTTTTGTATTTTTAGTAGAGACGAGGTTTTGTGTCTGGAATTGGTGGGTTCTTGGTCTCACTGACTTCAAGAATGAAACCGCAGATCCTCGCGGTGAGTGTTACAGCTCTTAAGGTGGCGCGTCTGGAGTTTGTTCCTTCTGATGTTTGGATGTGTTCGGAGTTTTTTCCTTCTGGTGGGTTCCTGGTCTCACTAGCTCAGGCAGGAGTGAAGCTGCAGACCTTTGCAGTGTTACAGCTCATAAAGGCAATGTGGACCCAAAGAGTGAGCAGCCGCAGGATTTATTGCAAAGAGCGAAAGAACAAAGCTTCCACAGTGTGGAAGCAGACCCGAGCGGGTTGGCACTACTCGCTCTGGGCAGCCTGCTTTTATTCTCTTATCTGGCCCCACCCACATCCTGCTGATTGGTAGAGCCCAGTGGTCTGTTTTGACAGGGCACTGATTGGTGCGTTTACAATCCCTGAGCTAGACACAAAGGTTCTCCACGTCCCCAGCCTGGAGACGTGGAGATTAGCCTAGATTAGCTAGATACGGAGTATCCACACAAAGGTTCTCCAAGCCCCCACCAGAGCAGCTAGATACAGAGTGTCAATTGGTGCATTCACAAACCCTGAGCTAGACACAGGGTGCTGATTGGTGTGTTTACAAACCTTGGTGTATTTACAATCCCTGAGCTAGACGTAAAGGTTCTCCACGTCCCCACCAGACTCAGGAGTCCAGGTGGCTTCACCCAGTGGGTCCGGCACTGGGGCTGCAGGTGGAGCTGCCTGCCAGTCCCGCGCCGTGCGCCCGCACTCCTCAGCCCTTGGGTGGTCGATGGGACTGGGCGCTGTGGAGCAGGGGGCGGCGCTCATCGGGAAGGCTCGGGCCGCACAAGAGCCCACGGAGCGGGGGGAGGCTCAGGCATGGCGGGCTGCAGGTCCCGAGCCCTGCCCCGCGGGGAGGCAGCCAAGGCCCGGCGAGAAATCCAGCGCAGCGCCGGTGGGCCGGCACTGCTGGGGGACCCAGTACACCCTCCGCAGCCGCTGGCCCGGGTGCTAAGCCCCTCATTGCCCCGGGCCGGCAGGGCCGGCCGGCTACTCCGAGTGCGAGGCCCACCAAGCCTACGCCCACCCGGAACTCCAGCTGGCCCGCAAGCGCCGCGCGCAGCCCCGGTTCCCGCTCGCACCTCTCCCTCCACACCTCCCTGCAAGCTGAGGGAGCCAGCTCCGGCCTTGGCCAGCCTAGAAAGGGGCTCCCACAGTGCAGCGGTGGGCTGAAGGGCTCCTCAAGTGCCGCCAAACTGGGAGCCCAGGCAGAAGAGGCGCCGAGAGCGAGCGAGGGCTGTGAGGACTGCCAGCACGCTGTCACCTCTCAGTTTCACCATGTTGGCCAAGCTGTCTCGAACTCCTGACCTAAACTGATCTACCCGCCTTGGCCTCCGAAAGTGCTGGGATTACAGGCATGAGCCACTGTGCCCAGCCAGAGAAAGCTTCTCTAAGTATAACACAATACTCAGAAGCTATAATGGAAAAAAAAAGGAAGGATAGCTTCAACTACATGAAAAAGTTTTAAAATCTGCACAGCAAAACATACACATAGAGAAAGTCAAACAGCAGACGGAATAATTTTGCAACTCTTATCACAGATGAAGGGCTACTTTCCTTAATATATAAAGAACTATAAACCGATAAGAAAAAAGATCTGTAATGAAAGAGAAAATGGTCAAAGAATATGAGGAATTCACAGAATAGAAAAAGTAAGCAAATATAAAACATACTTAATCTCACACCAAATAAGAGAAATACAATAATAATACACCATACTTCACCTATCATATTAGCAGATAACATAAAGTTTAGCACACTGTAATTAGTGAGGGGTGTGGGAATATTATCACACTTTACTGTTGCAAGTAAAAATTGGCACAACCATTCTGCATAGTACTTTTACAATATTTATCAAAATTGCAAATCCACAAACTCTTTGACCTAGCAAAAGAATTTCTTGGAATTCACCTACAGATATACCCAAAGATGTTTGAAATGATATATGATTAAGGAAATTTATTATAGCATTGTTGGAAATAGCAAACTGATTAAAGAAACTAATTAAATAATGTACATGCAGGCCGGGTGTGGTGGCTCACGCCTGTAATCCCAGCACTTTGGGAGTCCGAGGCAGGCGACTCACCTGATGTTGGGAGTTCGAGACTATCCTGACCAACATGGAGAAACCCCATCTCTAGTAAAAATACAAAATTAGCTGGGCGTGGTGGCATATGCCTG
Source organism: Homo sapiens (assembly GCF_000001405.40). Taxonomy (NCBI): domain Eukaryota; kingdom Metazoa; phylum Chordata; class Mammalia; order Primates; family Hominidae; genus Homo; species Homo sapiens. The sequence continues at coordinate 183,105,222 of NC_000003.12, forward strand.
TAATCCCAGCTACTTGGGAGGCTGAGGCAGGAGAATTGCTTGAACCTGGGAGGTAAAGGTTGCAGTGAGCTGAGGTCACGCCATTGCACCCCAGCCTGGGCAGCAAGAGCAAAACTCTGTCTCAAAATAAAAAAAAGTACATGCAGAAAAACAATGAATTACTATGCAGTCATTAAAAAAGAATGAGACAGAGCAATATGTACTCATAAAACACACTGATGAGTGAAAAAAGCAAAATAAAAAACCATGATTATTATTTCATCATTTATGTAAAAATAGGAGAAAGAAAATTCCCATATGCTTATATATGTAGAAATATCCTCTAGGCAAGAAAAGTTGTTGGCTTGAGGACAGAGATGATGGAGGTGAATATTTATTGTACACCCTTTTGCATCTTTTGCGTTTCGTACCTTAGGCCTGTATTAGCTATTGTGAAAGTTGTCATAATCAAAAAGGAGTCACTAATGGTAAAAAAGAAGAAAGAAAAAAAAAAACTCTTACAAATAGAGCTGGGAAGGCTATGAAGAGAGTGTTTTCAGGCTTGTATTCCTGATAACAAAAAGTGTCACAAAAGACTGCCAAAATTGGCCTGGTGCAGTGGCTCACGCCTGTAATCCCAGCATTTTGGGAGGCTGAGGCAGGTGGATCACGAGGTCAGGAGTTCAAGACCAGCCTGGCCAACATGGTGAAACCCTGTCTCTACTAAAAAATACAAATATTAGCCGGACATGGTGGCTGGTGCCTATAATCCCAGCTACTCAGGAGGTTGAAGCAGGAGAATCACTTGAACCTGGGAGGGGGAGGTTGCAGTGAGCCCAGATCGCGCCATTACACTCCAGCCTGAGCAACAGAGAGTCCGTAAAAAAAAAAAAAAAGACTACCAAAACTACAACCTTGCACAAAGGCCATCACAACCTTACACAAAAAATACTTCTGCAAGAACATGTGTCCAGCAACTGCCTATGGAACCCTGGACTGGCATCACCCATGTTATTCATCTTTGTAGCCAAGGATAATTATTTCAAAACAATTACATAATACTCCTCATGTTTTCCTTTAAAAAGCTTACTCCCATTGCAATGGCTTATTCCAAAATAAATATCTTTTTCTTTTATAGAGCCTCTCTCTGTTCCTTATTTAGGCTGATACTATAGAAAAACACATAATTTTAAAATGTTTTGTTTTGCTATAACTTCAAACTTACAGAAAAGCTGCAAGAATAGTACCCTTCACCTAGATTTCCCAAATGTTTCTTTGTTCTTTTCTTTCTTTCTTTCTTTCTTTCTTTCTTTTTTGAAACAGAGTCTCGCTCTGTCGCCCAGGCTGGAGTGCAGGGGTGCAATCTCAGCTCACTGCAACCTCAGCCTCCCAGGTTCAAGCGATTCTACTGCCTCAGCCTCCTGAGTAGCTGGGATTGCAGGCGCTCCACCATACCAGGCTAATTTTTGTATTTTTAGTAGAGACGGAGTTTCACCGTGTCGGCCAGGCTGATCTCAAACTCCTGACCTCAGGTGATCCACCCACCTTAGCCTCCCAAAGTGCTGGGATTACAGGCATGAGTCACCACGCCCAGCCCAAATGTTTCTATTTTATCGCATTTGCTTTATCTTTCTCTCTCTCCCTCTCCTCATGCAGATATAGATATATATGTGTACACACACACACTCACACATGCATACACTCACATTTTCTTTTGGAACCATTTGAAAGCAGGCTGCAGACATGATGCCTTTTTTTTTACCTCTAACTATGTCACTGCATATTTCCTAAAACAAGGAGATTTTATCACTTGCCCACAGAATATTTTTGAAGATTGTGAAGTTAACACTGATACATACTATTATTTATTCTACAGACCTACTTTGACTTTCAACAATTGTTCCAAAAGAAAACACTGTAGTGGCCAGGCGCAGTGGCTCACGCCTGTAATCCCAGCACTTTGGGAGGCTGAGGCGGACGGATCATTTGAGGTCAGGAGTTTGAGACCAGCCTGGCCAACATGGTGAAACCCCATCTCTACTAAGAATAAAAAAAAAATTAGCTGGGCATGGTGGCATGCACCTGTAGTCCCAGCTACTGGGGAGGCTGGGGCAGGAGAATCGCTTGAACCCAGGAGGTGGAGGTTGCAGTGAGCTGAGATCGTGCCTTTGCACTCCAGCCTGGGCAACAAGAGCGAAACTCCATCTCAAAAAAAAAAAAAGAAAAAGAAAAAGAAAAAGAAAACACTGTAGTACACATTGCATTGACTCTTAGGTCACTTAATTTGTATTGATTCCTCTGTTTTGTTTTTATTATTATTATTATTATTATTATTTGTTGTTGTTGTTGTTGTTGTTGTTGAAATGAAGTCTCACTCTGTCACCCAGGCTGGAGTGCAGTGGTGTAATCTTGGCTTACTGCAACCTCTGCCTCCTGTATTCAAGTGATTCTCATGCCTCAGCCTCCCAAGTAGCTGGGATTACAGGCGCATGCCACCACGCCTGGCTAGTTTTCTTTTCTTTCTTTTTTGTAGAAACGGAGGTTTCACCATGTTGGCCAGGCTGGTCTCAAACTCCTGACCTCAAGTGATCCGCCCGCCTCAGTCTCCCAAAGTGCTGGGATTACAGGTGTGAGCCACTGCACCCAGCCTGATTCCTCCGTTTTTAAAAAGATGCTGATGATGCTGATATTTTTTATGAATACAGGCCAGTTGTTTTGTACAATATCCTTGAATTTGGGTTTGCCAAAAATAAAATCAGATTAAATTTAAATTCTCAAAAAGATTATTGAGCATACAAAATAACAGTTCCCAAACTAGAGACCTCTGTGCAGCTTCCTAAATGAGGAAGTACGTTGATCTCTGTTGTGCAAATAAAGCTGCATAAGCTTGTTTGTATTGGCTTAATGTTATTACGCTGACAAGGAAGAAAAAGTGTGTTATGGTTAGGGCTAGCATTTTCAGGGAAATCAGGATAGTTTAGGTTTTGACTACACATGGCTGTGGGTTGTTGGCCTAGGGAAATATCCAAACTGTGGCCTCCAATTTTATTTTTCTTTAACCTGTTCATCTGGTATTTCCTCATGATTAGATTTAGGTTATTAGATTTAGGTAATTAGATTCCTCCCTTTTGGCAGGAATACCACAGAAGTGATGTCATACCCATTTCAGTGCATCATATCTGGAGCTACAAAATGTGAGTTTGTTCCATGATGTTAACTTTATCACTTGATTAAATTGGTGTCTGCCAGGTTTCCTCACTGTAAATATTTTTTTTTGACATTCCATATGGTTTTGTCTCCGAGAGGTAGAATTGTGTTTCATTCTCCACCACTCCTTCTCAACATTACTTCTGAATAATTTTCTGCACTTCGCAAAGTTCTACAAGAAACAGACATGACTTTAACAAGAAGTAATGTTTAAATCTGACTGAAGAAAATACTGGGGGGAGGAAGTGGAAGTGGAGGTACAGAGTTAGAAGCTGGTGTGCTGTTCTCTCTATAACTCCACCCACTGATCCTGTTTTAGATCAGGCATGATTATTTCCAATTTCTGGGGCAAGGGCAGTTATACTGATCCATCATCCTCGCACTTGCTCCAACCGAAGTGTAGAACAGCCCCAGTAGCCTCTTTGGTGTTCAATAGGTATATCTGGGATAAAACTAAAGCCCAAAGGAATGACCCATTACAGCATCATATGTATTGAAGGACTTTGATATGCTGGGTTTTTAAAAAATTTTTCTTTTAGGTTCGGGGCTACACATGCAGGTTTGTGGGGTTTTTTGTTTGTTTGTTTTGTTTTTGTTTTTGAGATGGAGTTTTCCTCTTTGTTGCCCAAGCTGGAGTGCAGTGGCGCGATCTCGGCTCACTACAACCTCCGCCTCCTGGATTCAAGTGATTCTTCTGTCTCAGCCTCCCAGGTAGCTGGGATTACAGGCGCCGGCCACCATGCCCAGCTAATTTTTGTATTTTTAGTAGAGACGGGGTTTCACCATGTTGCCCAGGCTGGTCTTGAACTCTTGACATCTGGTGATCCGCCCACCTCGACCTCCGAAAGTGCTGGGATTACAGGCGTGAGCCACCGTGCCTGGCCATGTGTAGGTTATTTATATGGGTATATTGCATGCTGCTGAGGTTTAGCGTACAAATGATCCCGTCACCCTGGTGAGCATAGTACCTGATAGTTCTTCAACTATTGCCTCCCTCCCACCATCTCTCCTCTGGTGGTACCCAGTGCCTATTGTTCTAATGTTTGTATAGATGTGTATTGAACGTTTAGCTCCCACTTGTAAGTGAGAACATGTGGTATTTGGTTTTCTGTTCCCATGTTAATTCGCTTAGGATAGTGGCCTCCAGCTGCATCCATGTTGCTGCAAAGGACATGATTTCTTTCTTTTTTATGGTTGTGTAGTATTCCATAGTAAATATGTACCACATTTTCTTTTCCAGTCCACTGTTGATGGGCACCTAGGTTGACTGCATGTCTTTGCTATTGTGAATGGTGCTGTGATGAACATATGAGTGTGTGTGTCTCTTTGGTAGAATGATTTATATTCCTTTGGGTATATATCCGATAATGGGATTGCTGGGTCATATGGTAGTTCTGTTTTAAGTTCTTTGAGAAATCTCCAAACTGATTTCCACAGTGGCTGAACTAATTTACATTCCCACCAGCAGTGTATAAACGTTCCCTTTTCTCTACAGCCTCACTGTCTGTTATGTTTTTGACTTTTTAATAATGGCCATTCTGATTGGTACAAGATGGATCTCATTGTGATTTTGATTTGTATTTCTCTAATGATTAGTGATATTGAGAATTTTTTTCATATATTTGTTGGCTGCATGTATGTCCTCTTTTGAGAAGTGTCTGTTCATGTCCTTTGCCCATTTTTAATAGGATTGTCTTTTGCTAGTTTAATTAAGTTCCCTATAGATTCTGGGTATTAGACCTTTGTCAGATGCCTAATTTGCAAATATTTTCTCCCATTCTGTAGGTTATCTGTGCATTCTGTTGATGGTTCTTTTGCTGTGTAGAAGCTCTGTAGTTTAATTAGGTCCTACCTGTCGATGTTTGGTTTTGTTGCCATTGCTTTTGGAGACTTAGTCACAAATCTTTTGCCAAGGCTGATGTTCAGAATGGTATTTTCTAGGTATTCTTCCAGGACTTTTATAATTTTAGATCCCTTTAGTCACAATTTTTTTTTTTTTTTTTTGAGACAGAGTCTCACTCTGTCACCCAGGCTGGAGTGCAGTGCCGCGATCTCAGCTCACTGTGAGCTCCGCCTCCCAGGTTCACGCCATTCTCCTGCCTCAGCCTCCTGAGTAGCTGGGACTACAGGCGCCCGCCACTACGCCTGGCTAATTTTTTGTATTTTTTAGTGGAGACGGGGTTTCACTGTGTTAGTCAGAATGGTCTCGATCTCCTGACCCCATGATCCGCCCACCTCAGCCTCCCAGAGTGATGGGATTACAGGCGTAAGCCACCGCACCCGGCCTAGTCACAAATTTTTTGCCAAGGCTGATGTTCAGAATGGTATTTTCTAGGTATTCTTCTAGGACTTCTATAGTTTTAGATCTTATATTTAAGTCTTTAATCCATCTTGGGTTAATTTTTGTGTATGGAGAAAGGTAGGGATCTAGTTTCAATCTTCTGCATATGGCTAGCCGGTTATCACAGCACCATTTATTGAATAGGGAGTCCTTTCCCCATTGCTTATTATTATTAACTCTGTTGAAGATCAGATGATTGTAGGTATGCAGCTTTATTTCTGGATTCTCTATTCTGCTCCATTGGTCTATGCATCTGTTTTTGTACCAGTACAATTTGACATGCTTTTTAATGATGATAAAGATGTTTACATATGTATTATATCATCAGGACTGCTGTTTGCTTGTGTCTCTTTGGGAAAATTATATAAGAGTTCCTTATTCTCCTGGAACAGGCAAACTCAGGACAGGATACACAGCATGGTAAGTCGAGTACAAGTCTGGATTTCCGCTTCTGTCAACCCCTTTGGCTGGGAACCCCAATGCAATACGCAGCACCCTGTATTTGTTACCTTACAGGGTCATTGTGAAGATTAAATAAGTTATGTCAAATGACCTTTTTTTTTTGTTTTGAGATGGAGTCTCACTCTGTCGCTCAGGCTGGAATGCAGTGGCGCAATCTCAGTTCACTGCAACCTCTGCCTCCCAGGCTCAAGTGATTCTCCTGCCTCAGCCTCCCGAGTAGCTGGGATTATAGGCACCTACCACCACGCCTGGCTAATTTTTGCATTTTTAGTAGACATGGGGTTTTGCCATGTTGGCCAGGCTGGTTTCGAACTCCTGACCTCAGGTGATCTGCCCGCCTTGGCCTCCCAAAGTGCTGGGATTACAGGCGTGAGTCACCGCGTCCAGCCTTCAAATGACCTTTGAAGACTATAAAGTGATACATGCATGTGAGTTATTCTTAGGCCTATTGCAGGAAAGACCAGGAGGTCCAGAAGGGCTGTTAACCCAGACTTTGCATTCAAAAAGCGTTTTAAATTTAAACCTTCTCCAAATGAAGTCATTCATATAGTCCCAGCAACACAGTGATCAGACGGACAGAAATTTGAACCTGTGCCTCAGTGCGAGACCACACTCCCTACACTGTGCCATGAATGGATATTTTATTTTTATCTTATAATTATCCTATGAATAGCCACAACTTTGCATTGTAATTTTTGTGTTAAAATGTTATTTTGTTACATGTCAACATGTAAAATATATCGCCATTTTTGAAACATTGTTTTGGCTTTCCTAAATTTAAAAAAAAAAACATTCCTCAATAAATGGAAGTGCTCTGAGTCTCTCTGGTCTTCTGAAAATCCATTTTGTAAAATAGAGCAGGGTTCAGTGATTCTGAAAACAAATGTATGCCAGCTCAGCTTTCTAATACCTAAAAAGGGCCCAGGCATTTTCCTCATCATCAATCTCATCATTTTAAATTAAGCTCTATGACTCTGTTAATCCTACAAATTTCTTGTTGTTCCCCGTGTCAATTAAGATGTTTTTGCCTGTAAGCCACAGAACATCCAACTAAAAATGAGGGAAATTTATTTCACATAACAAGGACAGAAGGTAGGGTGTTTCCAGGACTGGTTAACTCAATAGCTCAATGTTATCACCAAGGATGTGGCCATGTGCTTTCTATCCTGCTCTACCATTTTCAGCAAGTGTCAAAAGAAGGCTGCAGTGGCTCCTACCATCACAGCAGACACAACATCAAGCAAAGACAAGACATTTTCTCTCATGCATATGAGTTTTTCTCCCCTGGTTTAAAAAACCTTTTATTATGGAAAAGCTTTACCATTACAAGAGTGGGTAGAATTATATAATAAATCCCTGTACACATTATACAATTTTAATAATTATCAACTCACGATTAACCTTTTTCATCTATATCCCACCTATCACCACTTCCTATCAGATTTTTCTGAGGCAAATTTCAACCATCATTTAATTTCATCCATAAATATTTCAGCATGTATACCAGCATGCAAACCGTTCCAGACTTTACCCTATGTATCTCTTCATCTGTCTATTTGTATACTTTAAAATATCCTTTGAAGGCTGGGCGCATTGGCTCACACCTGTAATCTCAGCCCTTTGGGAGCTTGGGCAGGAGGATTGCTTGAGACCAGAAGTTGGAGACCAGCCTGGCAATGTAGTGAGACCCCCATCTTAAAAAATAAAAAAAAATAAAAAATAAAAAAAAAATTGGCCGGGCACGGTGGCTCACGCCTGTAATCTCACCACTTTGGGAGGCCAAGGCCGGCGGATCACGAAGTCAAGAGATCGAGACCATCCTGACCAAGATGGTGAAACTCCGTCTCTACTAAAAATACAAAAATTAGCTGGGCGTGGTAGTGGGCGCCTGTAACCTCAGCTACTCGGGAGGCTGAGGCAGGAGAATCCCTTGAACCCGGGAGGCAGAGATTGCAGTGAGCCGAGATGGCTCCACTGCACTCCAGCCTGGTGACAGAGCGAGACTCCATCTCAAAAAAAAAAAAAAAAAATTAACTGGGCTTAGTGGTGGGAGCCTGTGGTTCCAGCTACTTAGAAAGCTGAAGTAGAACAGCAAACTATCGCAAGGACAGAAAACCAAACACCGCTGTTCTCACTGATAGGTGGGAATTGAACAATGAGAACACTTGGACAGGAAGGGGAACATCATACTCCGGGGACTGTTGTGGGGTGGGGGGAGGGGGGACGGATAGCATTAGGAGATATACCTAATGTAAATGACGAGTTAATGAGTGCAGCACACCAACATGGCACATGTATACATATGTAACAAACCTGCACATTGTGCACGTGTACCCTAGAACTTAAAGTATAATAATAAAAATAAATAAATAAAAAATAAAAAAAAGGAAGCTGAGGTGGGAGGTTCCCTTAAGTCCAGGAGGTCAAGGCTGCAATGAGCTGTGATCACACCGCTGTGGTCCAACCTGGGTGACAGAAGATGACTCTGTCTCAAAAAAAAATAAAAAAAAATTTAAAAAAAGGGTCCTTTATAATAAACTGGTAAAAGTGTTTCCCAGAGTTCTGGGAGCCACTCTAGCAAATTAATAGAACCTGAGGAGGGAGTTGTGGAAATCCTGATTTTTAGCTGGTGGGTCAAAAATACAGGCAAAATAACCCAGGGCTTGCAACTGGCATCAGAAGTGCAGAGCGGGTGGGGAGCTGTCTTGGGGGGTGAGCCCTCAACCCGTGGGTGTAATGCCCAACCTTGTTTTTTCCTTATTCACCAGGCCTTGTTTCTCCCTTAGCTAAGAGAACAAGACAAACTCCATCTTGGCTCTTTCACTGGCAGCCTCTTCCTCAAGGACTTAACTTGTGCAAGCTGACTCCCAGCACATCCAAGAATGCAATTAACGGATAAGATACTGTGGCGAGCTATATCCGCAGTGCCCAAGAATTCGTCTGATTGATAACGCCCAAAGCCCTGTGTCTATCACCTTGTAATAGTCTTAAAGCCCCTGCACCTGGAACTGTTTACTTTCCTGTAACCATTTATCCTTTTACCTTTTTGACTACTTAACTTCTGTAAAATTGTTTTAACTAGACCCCCCGCCCCCCTTCCTAAACCAAGATGTAAAAGTTAATCAAGCCCCTTTCTTGGGGCCAAATTTTGAGCGTTAGCCGTCTCTCGGTCGCTGGCTAATAAAGGACTTTTAATTCATCTCAAAGTGTGGCGTTTTTCTAACTCGCTCGGGTACAACATGGGATCTGATGCTGTCTCCAGGCAGTGTCAGAATTGAATTGAAGGAAGCCATCTGGTGTCCACTGCAGAACTGATGGCTTGCTCGGTATTTGAGGGTGGGGAGAAACATACACATTTGATCACAGCAGTTTTCTGTGTTGATTGTTATGGTGTGAAAGAAGAAGTAAGACAGTATTTTCCTCTCAAGTCCCTTTGGGGGAAGAAGGGGAAGAATCTTCACAGGCTCTTCCTCCTAGAGAGCAAGCCACTTATTCAGACAGTGACTCTAGATCTAAAAATTGCCTCGGTTCTGGAAACGGAGCAAGGAATCGTGGTGTTTTATTGGAGTGACCACCCTTAGCCTCCTGCCTCTCCACTGTCTGTTGTTGTTGCTGTTGCTTTAGATGTTAAGCAGGACCCATGCTGGCTGCCCCTGTATTTTGCTCCTAGGGATTCCCTGCTCCATTAACCACATCCACAGTCCTGCAAACCAAGCTCCTTTGGATGCCCCTCTACCTTGCCAGTTGTTATGGTAATGACAGTCTCCCGGCTCGTGGTGCTAAATGCTGCCGCCTGGCTTTGTTTCAGGGGACCCATCATTCCCACACTCCCAGTTCTGGGACCTCTCTCCTACCAACTGTGTTACAAAAAAGAGCCACACCAACGTGCCCAGGGATGCCGGCACCCCTCTGACGGCCTTGATAAAAGATGTATCCTAAGCCCTCTCATGGAAAACAATCCTCTAGCATGTCTTCTGACCTTACTAAAACACATCAATTCAACACTCTCCTCAACCTCCTTATTCCTTCCTCTGCCATCTGCCAGGGCCACCCAGGCATCTCCGCTTTGCTTAGAATTGGCTATCATTTCTTCCAGGCTTCTAAGAGCCATCTCAGCAAGTGTCCATTCCCTGGAGTTCTTGCTGGGTGTTAAATACCATGTTCAAGAATCTACCCTGAGGTCAGTGAATTCTTGCTCACCCAGATTTACCTTTTGGCTCTATTGACCAAGCACCTTCAAAATCCAACCCCAGGAGTACTCACCTGGGTCCAGCCTGTCCGTGCCAGCGGATTCTTGCCATTTTGGGTGTGTGTTGTCTCTTCCCCTACTTATGTTACCAGAGAGAAGGTCCTAAATGCTGCCAGGTGCGGTGGCCCACGCCCGTAATCCCAGCACTTTGGGAGGCTGAGGTGGGTGGATCATCTGAGGTCAGGAGTTGGAGACCAGCCTGGCCAACATGGTGAAACTCCATCTCTACTAAAAATACAAAAATTAGCTGGGCATGGTGTTGGGCGCCTGTAATCCCAGCTACTCGGGAGGCTGAGGTGGAAGAATCGCTTGAACCCGGGAGGCGGAAGTTGCAGTGAGCCGAGATCACGCCACTGCACTCCAGCCTGAGTGACAAGAGCAAAACTCCATCTCAAATTAAAAAAAAAAAGTCCTAAATGTGATGTCCAGGTTCTTGGCGTATTGGACAAATAGTTGAACACAACACCACGGAGTGGGCACAGATTTATTGAAGACGGTCACAGAGTGGGAGTGGGCTCGAGCAAGCAGTTGCTGAAGAGCCCCCTCAAGTAGGGTTTTTTTTAAATTAAGCTAGAAAGAACCCAGCAAAACCCCTAGGAAACCCTCAGAAGCCTCCAATTGGCCACACCCCATGAAGGACTGGCCGGCGGCCAATGGGGGGCTAAAGGGGCTTGTTGTCATGGGAGCGAGGATGTGATCTATATGCTGCACCTGCGGCTCTCCTGCTCATGCGCACTGACTGCACCCGCTGTTCCCCTGCCCATGCGCACTGACTGCACCCGCTGTTCCCCTGCCGGTGCAGACTGGCTGCACCTGCTGTTCCCCTACCCGTGCGCACTGGCTGCACCTGCTGTTCCCCTGCCCGTGAGGACTGGCTGCACCTGCTTTTCCCCTGCCCGTGCGGACTGGCTGCGCCTGCTATTCCCCTGCCCTTGCGGACTGGCTGCGCCTGCTGTTTCCCTGCCCGTGCGCACTGACTGCGCCTGCTGTTCCCCTGCCCGTGCGGACTGGCTGCACCTACTGTTCCCCTGCCCGTGCGCACTGGCTGCACTTGCTGAAACCCTGCTAACCCCAATTTCCCGATTCTCCTGCCTCAATCAGGCCCAGCATGTGTTCAGCTGCATTTTCATACTAGTTCTCAGCCTGGCAAGGAGGAGAAGAGGTGAGGCAACTCCTGAGGGGTCACCTCTTGCCTTGTGAGAGAGGCTTCAGTAGCATCTTCCAGAAAACTGATGTGCTAGCACGAAGTAGGGAAGGCTGGGCTACATCTGAAATCCCAGAGGCTCTGGGCTTTTGCAGAGTCAAATATCACTGGCGGAATCCATCTCAGTGCCCCTGAGCTATGGTTCAGGATCCCGGATTTCCCCACCAGGGCCCTGCACTTTGTATACCAGACCTGCCTGCACCAGACACTCAAATCTCTTTGAGGCTCTGTAGACTTGCAATTTTTTTTTTTTTTTTTGAAACAGGGTCTTGCCCTGTCACCCAGGCTGGAGTGCAGTGGTGAGATTACTGCTCACTGCAGCCTTGATCTCCTGGGCTCAAGCTATCCTCCCACCGCAGCCTCCCGAATATCTGGGACCACAGGTGAGCACCACCATGCCCAGCTAATTTTTTAACTTTTTGTAGAGACAGGAGTCTCTCTATGTTGCTCACGCTGGTCTCAATCTCCTGGGCTCAAGCAATCCTCCCACCTGAGCCACTCAAGGTGCTGGTATTACAGGCATGCGCCATCAAGCCCAGCTTGCAATTAGATTTTTGACCAGCTGTTCAAAACCGAGTCTGTCTTGCCACTGCGGAAGATAATGCCTGTTTTGTAAGCTGCTCCCAAGGCTCTCCTACTCTCATATTTGGTGATTCACTGCTTGTTAACAGCCCTCAGTCTGTTATTCCCCTGCAGGGCCATCAACACAATTTAGTAGGACAGCCCATTCTGCTGTCTTGGTAGGCATTGTTCTCCCATATTGTTAAATGCTTGTGAAATCACACCTGCTACAGCATTCCCCTCCAAAAGCATCTTTTCTCAGGTCACCACCAATGAAATCGTTAGCAACTGAGCTGCCACCCAGGTCCAGGAACTATCTGCGTCCACCTATCAACCAGGACAGTATCCCCTCATCTGCTGGGTGATGGGTGAGCCAGTTCCAAATCCCCTTCCTACTGCCTCTTTTCTTGGGGCACTTTCAGCACCACTTACGTTAGTCTGGGACTTTAAAGAAAAAGATGCCAAGATGGGATTAACCATGCCAGACTTTATCAGGTGAAAAGTCTGTGGGAGAAAATGGTGAGGGAGCCAAGGTGCTGGAGAGTTTTCAGACCATGATGCCAGCTTGAACTTGCATGAAGGAGAAAGGGAAAGAGCACTGGGCAGAAGCATTTCTGCCGTGCAGTCTGGGGAAGTTCTGGCAGTTGAGAAGTTCTCAAGCCAAAGTCAGCTGTCAGATGAGGACAATGTGTCCCGGGAATGGTTTCACCTTAGTATCCCTGCATGCTCAGTCATTGTCTGGGAGCTGCCTGTGGAAGATGCTTGTGGCTTTGGGGCAAACGTGGCAATAGCTCTCTCTCTTTTTTTTTGAGATGGAGTCTCGCTCTGTCACCCAGGCTGGAGTGCAGTGGCACTATCTTGCCTCACTGCAACCTCCGCCTGCCAGGTTCAAGCAATTCTCCTGCCTCAGCCTACTGAGTAGCTGGGATTACAGGTGTGCACCACCATGCCTGGCTGACTTTTTTTTTTTGAGACAGTCTCACTCTGTTGTCAGGCTGGAGTGCAGTGGCACTATCTTGGCTCACTGCAACCTCCGCCTCCTGGTTTCAAGAGATTTTCCTGCCCCAGCCTCCCGAGTAGCTGGGACTACAGGTGTGCACCACCACACCCAGCTAATTTTTTTATTTTTAGTAGAGACGGGGTTTCCCCATGTTGGCCAGGATAGTCTCGATCTCTTGACCTTGCGATCCACCCGCCTCCGCCTCCAAAAGTGCTGGGATTACAGGTGTGAGCCACCGCGCCCAGCCGGTAATGTCTTTTAAAACTGTCCAATTAAAAGTGTCCATCCAATAGCTAGTGAAGCTACAGAGGCAGGTGAGTATAGAACAAGCTTATAATCAGAGCTATCTTAACAGGAAGTGTGGGTAGGGACTCCTGGCAGGTGGTGAGAATAGATGGAGGCCAGGAGATCCTGCTGCCTTGAAAGATTCCTCTTGCTAATCTTGTGCTCAGGCCTAAAACCTCACACATAAAACTTTATGCCTTTGTTTTGTTGTCGATGTTGAGACAGAGTCTCACTCTGTCACCCAGGCTGGAGTGCAGTGGCGCTATCTCAACTCACTGTAACCTCCGCTCCCTGGGTTCAAGCAATTCTCATGCCCCAGACTCCCGAATAGATGGGACTACAGGTGCGTGTCACCATGCCCAGCCAATTTTTGTATTTTTAGTGGAGATGGGGTTTTGCCATATTGGCCAGGCTGATCTCGAACTCCTGGCCTCAAATGATCTGCTTCCCTTGGCCTCCCAAAGTGCTGGGATTACAGGTGTGAGCCATTGCACTTAGTCGAAGCTTTATGCCTTTGGATTAAGGTAATGTCTTTTGACAAAATGCACGTGGCCTTGGGAGGGATAAAAGACGACTCCACAATGGGTTACTAACACATGATAATGAGCCAGGATTGGTGCTTCATGCCTGTAATCCCAGCATTTTGGGAGGCAGAGGTGAGTGGATCATTTGAGCCCAGAAATTTAGACCAGCTGGCGCAACATAGCAAGACCACGTATCTACAAAAAAAAAAATTAAAAATTAGCTGGGTGTGATAGCACGCACCTGTAGTCCCAGCTACCTTCGAGGCTGAGGTGGGAGGATCGCTGGAGCCTGGGAAGTTGAAGCTACTGTAAGCCGTGATCACACCACTGCATTCCAGCCTGGGTGACAGAGCGAGACCCTGTCTCAAAATAAAATAAAATAAAATAAAAAATTTAAAAAATGGCTGTGCACGGTGGCTCGACCCTGTAATCCCAGCACTTTGGGAGGCTGAGGAGGGTGGATCACCTGAGGTCAGGAGTTTGAGACTACCCTGGCCAACATGGTGAAACCCCGTCTCTACTAAAAATACAAAAATTAGCTGGCCATGGTGGTGCACACCTGTAATCCCAGCTACTCAGGAGGCTGAGGCAGGAGAATTGCTTGAACCCAGGAGACAGAGGTTGCAGTGAGCCGAGATTGTGCCGTTGTACTCCAGCCTGGGTGACAGAGTGAGACTCCGTTTAAAAAAAAAATGGAATTGAGTGAGTGAATAACATTGTTGGGGTCAGCCAAAGCATGTTGGGGTGGGGTGGTGGGGCTGGTGGAGGTATGAGGAAGTTAGAAGAATACATGAGCACTTAAGAAGAAAGTTTGCCAGGACAGCATGAGGGAATATCTGGAAAGCAAAAGAGATTTTATAATTTTGATAACAGAATTTATTTCACAATTTTATCTTTAGTCAATCTTGGTCTTAATATAAAACTAGTTAAGTTAAAAACAAAATAAAACATCTCTTTTTTTTTTTTTTTTTTTTTTTTTTTTTGAGACAGAGTCTCACTCTGTTGCCCAGGCTGGAGGGCAGTCCTACGATCTTGGCTCACTGCAACCTCACCTCCCAGGTTCAAATGATTCTCCTGCCTCAGCCTCCCAGACAGCTGGGATTACAGGTGCCCACCACCATGCCTGGCTAATTTTTATATTTTTAGCAGAGATGGGGTTTCACAACATTGGCCAGGCTGGTCTCAAACTCCTGACCTCAGGTGATCCAACTGCCTCAGCCTCCCAAAGTGCTAGGGTTACAGGTGTGAGCCATGGCACCTGGCCTAAACATCTCTTATTTATGCCTGCCAACACTTGACCAAAATTGGCATCTCTTGGAGGCACTAAGGTGGGGTGAAGGGACTTGTTGATGAGCGAGGGGCTGGAGTATTATAAAATGAAACTCTTTTTTCATTGGCAGAGATTCTTCTTCCATTCTTTTTATAGTTTATATTCCTTTTACTTAGTGGGCAGAGGGAAACCTCACAGCAAATCATCCTAGAGAACCAAGACCCGGGTCAGGAAGGAGTGGCTCATGTATTTGTGTCCTCAGACCTTCTTGGCCTTCAAGCTTAGAGCCCCAAACAGGAGTCCAGAGGGGGGATCTAGGACCTTACAAAGCAAGAAAAGTGTGAGAAGAACAAAGGTGGGGCAGATTGGGTAGGGGCTGGAGCCATCCTGGCTACTTTCTTTTAGGAAGGTGAAGCCGTGACGTCAGTGCTGTAGACCAATGGGTCAACACCAGACCCTGTGGTCAATGGACCTTCATCACCAGGGATTGGGAGGCTGTGCTCCTGAGGAGGTGCTACACCTGGGGCAGGGTTGGAAGCAGGCTGGAAAGGGCCTTGCTCTCATCATCCCTTGTATATGTTCCTATTAATCCACTTATCTTAGTATATATACTGGAATTTATTTACTGAAGTTCCCTCCAAAAAGTAAACCACGAATTCCACAATGTTCACCTTGACAGTAGGCACCTGAGGTAGGCAGCATCCACGCTGCCTCCAGGGGTTCCTCCCTCTCCCGGCGCTGTGGTTGGAAGGTGTCCCCCAAACCATATGTTGGAAACTTAATCTACAATGCAACAGTGTTGAGAAGCGGGACCTTTAAGAGGCAGTGGGGTCATGATGGCTCTGCCCTCGTGGATGGATTAATGCTATTATTACAAGTGTGGGGCCCCCTCTTGCTCTCTCTTCTGTGTCCTCGCACCATGTGATGCCTTTTACCATGTTACAAGGCAGCAAGAAGATGCACATCAGATTTGGCCCTTCCATCTTGGACTTCCCAGGCTCCAGAACCATGACCAAATCAACTTCTATTGCTTGTAAGTTATCAAAAAATCTGTGGTATTCTGTGATAATGGCACAGAATGGACTAAAATCTGATATTCGAGCCCTTGTGTAGTCCCCTTCCACAGTGTACCAGAGATGGTTTGTGTGAACCATAAACAGACATGCGATAGTATGTTTCTTCTGTGATTAGGTTATAAAAATATGACGGCTTTCATCTTGGTCAGTCTCTCTCTCTCTCTTTTTTTTTGAGATGGAGTCTCGCTCTGTCGCCCAGGCTGGAGTGCAGTGGCATGATCTCGGCTCACTGCAACCTCTGTCTCCCGGGATCAAGCGATTCTTCTGCCTCAGCCTCCCGAGTAGCTGGGACTACAGGTGCACACCACCATGCCCAGCTAATTTGTTTGTACTTTTAGTAGAGACGGAGTTTCACCATATTGGCCAGGTTGGTCTCAAACTCCTGACCTCGTGACCTGACTGCCTCGGCCTCCCAAAGTGCTGGGATTACAGGTGTCAGCCACCGCTCCCAGCCCTCTCTCTCTTTCTCTCAGATCACTATGGGTAACTAATATAGGACCTCTTATTTATCTCAGCTCCTACAAGAGTATCTGGCATTTAGCAAATCCTTATCAATGCTGATCAAATGAATGAATGAACAAACGTGGCGACATTTAAGCAAACTAGTAATGCAGTCAGTCTAAGCTAAGAGTTGAGACATTTCATATGTAACTTTAATGTGGTTTATCTTCTCAGGAATTCCTACCAAGTGATAATGTGGCAATGGAGAATAGAATGAAACAAATTATAGAAAGATGATTTAACTTATTGATCGGAGCAAAAACCTAAGATGATTGTAAACAAAATTTATACAGCACAAAAATGAATCATAAAAAATAAATGACATGCACAAATCTCCAAAGTAAGTTTTTATTACAAAAACCTTTACTACAATTCAATGTTTTATTAAGACTAAAGTCAGGACCTTGCCAACTTACTGAGTCATAAGGAAACACATGAGGAAAGTCAACATGGTCTCTAGGCTGACTTGAATTATTCCTTGACTAAGAATTCTAGGGTTATGTGGACTTTTCTGTTAACATCCTGACTTAGTTCCTTTCTTTAGCAGCAAAAAAAACAGCAGAAATAAAATTCTTGGCAGGCTGCTCTACAGAATAAAGTGAACAATAGGAAATATGGATATGAAGTGCAGAAGCAGCAAGTTACCACAAGATGGGGCTATACACTCAAGAAAGAACAGTTGGTTAGCGAAGTTTCTCTATTATCAAAAAAATTTAAAAATACTTTGAGTTTATTTGATGCCTTCATCTTTACAGCCCAGCTAAGCAATCCCATAAAAATGAGCAACTGACTAATGTTTTACAAAGCCCCTCAGTCTCCTTCCAGAGAGTGGAGGATTTATTAAGGATAGGCTATTTTGTTATCTGCAAAGCTCTCCTTTCATCTACCCTAATGTCTCATGATCCTGGATAAACCCATTTCCCTGTAAGGTGAGCGTATGCTGGTATGAGGTGTGAGCCTTCAGGCAGAGTGTGGTGTCATTGTTCTTGTAGGTAACTTGGTGTAGGGAGAAGACCAAAGACCTTGATGTCAGACCAACATGAATTCAAGCTCTGGCTCTGCCATCAGTTAGCCAGGTGACATTTAAGTGATTCAGTTCCCTTAAGTCTCAGTTTACTCATTCACCTATAAGTTGTGAGAATGAAATGAGATATAGATAAAGTGCTTAGCCTAGACTCTGGCACTTTGTTAATAATTAAGGGCCATTATTATTGTCTCTTGCTTATTGTTTAGTTCTACCATCTGTAGCCACCTAATTCTTAGTCTAGCGATTCTGGAGCAGGAGTCATCAAGATAAAAAATATAAGCTGATTTGTTCTTTTTGTTGGTTTTACATAAAAACACTTAGACAACCTGAGATATGTTGTTCTTTTTGATGATTAAAAAAAACATTTAAGGCCGGGCGCAATGGCTCATGCCTGTAATCCCAGCACTTTGGGAGGCTGAGGTGGGTGGATCACCTGAGGTCAAGAGTTCAAGACCAGTCTGGCCAACATGGTGAAACCCCGTCTATAATAAAAATACAAAAATTAGCCAGGCGTGGTAGTGTGTGCCTGTAATCCCAGCTACTCGGGAAGCTGAAGCAGGAGAATCACTTGAACCCGGGAGGCGGAGGTTGCCATAAGCCGAGATCGTGCCACTGTACTCCAGCCTGGGTGACAAGAGTGAAACTCCGTCTCAAAAAACAAAAACAAATTTAAAGTGGAAAAGGAGTTAAGTGCTACACCAGGAATATGTATGTTACATGAAACCATAAAACACAGATAGTAAAAGCACTGAAAGTCCATTTGATAACAAAGCAAAGGCTTTGTTAAGATCAAGGGTAAAATAAAATCTTCAATGCACACACAGTAGTATTAGTTACAATTGACCCTTGGTTTATAATTTGAAGGCTTATTCTACTTTACATATATTATGTTAATTCAACATATCTCAAATGTTGACTTTGAGTGGCTAAAATATTCTAAAGGAAACTAGAAAATAAACAGCTCACTATATCTTTCATAAAATAAACAAAAAGTATTTAGAAATTGATGTGCTGCCTGAACTTAAATCACACATGACTCACTTCATTTGAATAGAAGATGGTGGTTTACATTGTTTGAAGGACCCACACTCTGAGGGAATTTCCCAACATCCATCCTGGAAGGGATGAAAGAGTTCTCTAAATTCCATTATTTTCATTCCCCCCGGGCAACAATTAGATTCTCTGGTATCCAGATGATTGACACCTTAGGCGGATTTTATAGACACCCATACCCATAAGGCAGAGACCAACCACGATGGCCCCAATCACAGGAAGCACAATTGTGTAGTCAGACGAGCACTCATCCACTAAGAGAGAAAACAAATACAATACAGTGGGTAAGGTTTGGTGATGCAGTCCAGAAAGCAGGCTAGAGGGGAAAGAAGATGAGCTTTGGCATCAAACAAAGCTTGACTTTTAACTCCACCATTAACTAGCTTTGTGACCTTGGGCAGGTAATTTACCCTTGCAATTTCCTAATTTATAAAGTAAGCAAATAATATGTAAGACTGTCAGAAGATTAAATAACCATATTTTCTTAGTAATTAACATTCAATAATCATAATCCTTATTTCCTGAACTGAGTAAGAAGTCACTCCAGGCATACTCCCTGCTAAGTGGGATATGCTTACATAAAAGAGACCAGCCGGGCACAGTGGCTCACGCCTGTAATCCCAGCACTTTGGGAGGCCGAGGCGGGCGGATCATCTGATGTCGTGAGTTTGAGACCAGCCTGACCAACATGGAGAAACCCCATCTCTACTAAGAATACAAAATTAGCCGGGCGTGGTGGCACATGCCTGTAATCCCAGCTACTCGGGAGGCTGAGGCAGGAGAATTGCTTGAACCCGGGAGGCAGAGGTTGCGGTGAGCCGAGATCACACCATTGCACTCCAGCCTGGGCAACAAGAGCGAAACTCCATCTCAAAAACAAACAAACAAACAAACAAAAAACATTTGTGTGACCAGTGACCAGATTACAGATGATCTCTTGAGAAACATGATTTTTATCCACTTTATAAAACATTTTTGTCACTCCTAAGGTTCTATTGTATTACTTTTAGCTAATATTAGAAAACAGACCAAATTATTTATGAGAGCTTAAAAGTGAGAGTTTACAAACTTATCAAGACTGTTTTTTCTTTATACCATTAGAAAACGCTTACTCAATTCATTTAATGTAATTGATTGGGTCAGAGACTAATAAATCTCAACCGAGGAAAGACGGAGGGGTCTGGGGTAAAAGGGGAAGTTGATAGAATACTCTAATGAAGAGACTGGGAGAAAAGAGCAAATAAATGAAGAACCATGTCTTAGTCATTATAGCTAAAAAGATACATGTGTGAGGTCATTGTACGAACTAACACTGAAATTATGTCCTGAACCAAGGATCACCATCAACCCAATTCAGTGTACCTGAGATCTGAGAAAAAAAGTATCAGAAGAGGTCAGAGAAGACAGAGTGGCAATTAATTAAAGATTCCAGGAAAAAGAAAATTTGGACAAGAAAGAAACTGTGATTGTAGTACACGATTTGGCTTGACAGCAGACAATATTTATAAAACTATAATAATGTGTGCCTTAATACCTTACTGATTTACCCAAAAATAGTTGTGTAACCACAAATCTTTATGTGCTATAGCAGGAAGTCTAAAATGGATCAATTAGGAACTATCATGATAAGCTTTTATTTTTTAGAGTTATGGAGATAGCAATCAGAAGAAATTGTTAAAATTAGTTAAAAGTATCTTGTATCTTGGGGCAGGGAGGCAGAGGGACAGAGAAATGTTGCTTTCCATGATAAGACCTTTTGGAGTACATGAAACTTTGTTACTTATATATGTTTCTCTTTTTTTGCAGCCTGGAACTCCTGACTTCAAGCCATCCTCCCACCTCATCCTCTTGGGACTAGGGGTGTGTGCTACCATGCTGGGCCAATTTTTTATTTTTTACAGATGGGGTCTTGCTATGTGGCCCAGGCTGGTTTCAAACTCCTGGGCTGAAGCAATCCTTGACTTCCCAAAGTGCTGGGATTACAGGCGTGAGCCACCACACTTGGCCTATATTTCTTAAACGAAAAAAGAACTTTGACAAGTTAAGGAATTAAAATGAGTGGGAAAAAATACAAAAAGTTAAAACAAAATGTAATGCACACACCTGTTGACCCAATAATTCTATCTCTAGGAAATTATCCCAAAGATATATTCATACACTATGCAAAGGTATATTACAGCACTGTCCATTTTATGAGACAATTTAAATATACGTAAAAACTAAAATAGTATTCAGACAATAGAAAATAATATAGCCATTAAAAAGAACGTGGTAGGTCTCGGTGTTCTGTAACAGAAGTTCCTTAAGCTCCGTGAAGTATCATGTGAACCCAAACCCATGTGCTTGTGGGTCCAGTGTGAAAAGATACACCAAAAACTGGCAGGAGGACTGGGAAGGAAGTGGAGGGCAACTTTTACTCTCTCTTGTTAAGCTATTAAATTATTTAACATTGTTTAAACATTTCTAAAATGCAAAAGAGTACACAAAGAAAAGAAGTGACTGATCCAATCACCCCATTTCTTCTATTTGAATCAATCACTATAAACCTTTTTGGGCATGTAGTTCCTCTGTGAATGTGTGTGTGTGTGTGTGTGTGTGTGTGTGCACACGTGTGCATGTGTGCAAACTCACGTGCATGCTTAAAGCAAAATCACTCTATTTTAAATAGTCTATTCTCATTATAAATAACTAAAATAATAGAGAAAAAGCACAAACAAAAAAGTAAAACCAATTACCCCAAGACCATCCACCAAGAAATGTCATTGCTAATATGGAGAAACATTATTTCAGGCCTCTTTCTTTAGAACTACAAGGATAGATAGGTTAGAAAAATAAATAGAAATACTTTTATTAAGATAGGATCATACAAGTACTATTTTATTACATTTGTTAATTTCAATTTTACTTGTGTTTAATAGGATAAAAGAACTTGAAGGAATTATCACAAACCAATGTTTCTTTGTCATGGGAAATATTGGTTCATAAAGGGTCCCTTTAGAGTTCTAAAAAGAGATTATGAAGTATGCATTAAACAATTATGAAATACATTAAGAGGTTATGAAATAAATTGGACTTGTGTTTACTAAACTTCGTTTCCAGTTTAAACATTATCTATTGATACTGTTTTGAAAGAGTAGCACTAACAGAGTCCCTTCCATCTCCCCTCTCTTCAACTCCCCCAATTTTTTTTTTGAGACAGGGTCTTGCTCTGTTGCCCAGGCTGGGGGGCAGTGGTGCGATCATAGCTCACTGAAGCCTCCAGCTCCTGAGGTCAGCCATCCTCCCACCTCAGCTTCTCAAGTAGCTAGTAGTACAGGCAAATGCCACCCCACTCAGCTACTTTTTAACTTTTTTGAAGAGATGGGGTCCTTACTATGTTGCTCAGGCTGGTCTTGAACTCCTGGCCTCAAGTGATCCTCCAACCTCGGCCTCCCAAAGTTTCAGGTGTGAGACACTGTGCCCAGACAACTCCAAATTTTGAATAGTTATGTCACTGTTTTTAACATTGTCTATGTTTTTTTTTTCTTTTTTAAAAAGTAAACTGATTTTATTGTGAAATTCTCATAGATGGAAAATTAAATCAAACATTTATTCTGTCCATTTCATTTTATAATAACCTTATCACTGATTTTTGTACCATGCATTTCAATGGCCTGTTAAATGAAAAATGTTTTAAAAACTTTTAATTTTTGATGTTTTTAGCTTAAATTTTTTCATTAAGAAGCCCACAGTGCCAGCAGCCGCCCCCCAAGCCCTGTGTGAACAACGTTTTGGTTGCTATTTCAACTTAAGGAAACAATCTTTGACCTTGATCCATTGTCCAGGTTTATGACACTTCAATTCTATTTGATAACTATCATTCCTGTAGTCTTTAAAATGTGTTCTGACTGGCTGGGCACGGTGGCTCACGCCTGTAATCCCAGCACTTTGGGAGGCTGAGGCAGGTGGATCTCAAGGTCAGGAGATCGAGACCATTCTGGCTAACACAGTGAAACCCCGTCTCTACTAAAAATATGAAAAATAAAATAAAATAAAAAAATAACCAGTTGTGGTGGCAGGCGCCTGTAGTCCCAGTTACTTGGGAGGCTGAGGCAGGAGAATGGCATGAACCTGGGAGGCGGAGCTTGCAATGAGCCGAGATCACGCCACTGCACTCCAGCGTGGGAGACAGAGCGACACTCCATCTCAAAAAAAAAAAAAAAAGTGTTCTGACGATTTAACACTGTCATATGATTTGAAAAGTCAAAATAATACAAGATGCTGTGCATTGAGAAGTTTCACTTCCACCCTTGCCCCTTCCTCTTAGTTCTCCCTGTCCCCATTAGATGATTCCTTTCCTTAGTTCTTGTTTATATTTCTGATGTTTCTTTGTGCAGCTAGAACAATAATGAATATACTATTATGCACTATGATTTTTTGATATAACATATTTTGGAACTCTTTCCTTAAACATACATAGCATCCTCATTCTTCTTGTAGCTGTATAGGATTCCATTGTGGGATGAATCACAGTTTTAAAATCTGGCCCCTATTGATGGACCCTTGGCTTGTTTTCATTTTTTTGCTATTATAAATAATGTTGTAATGAATAACCACGTACAAATATCATTTCATATATGTGAAGGTGTGTTTGTGTTCCCAGGCCCATAATTGTTTAGTATGTTTTATATATAAATGGATCAACATCCTCCCATCTCAGCCTTCCAAGTAGTTTGGGACTACAGTCATGTGCCACCACACCCAGCTAATTTTTGTATTTTTTGTAGAGATGGGGTTTCGCCATGTTGCCCAGGCTGGTCTTAAACTCCTGGGCTCAAGCAATCCTCCTGCCTCAGCCTCCCAAAGAGTTGGGATGATAGGTGTGAGCCACTAGGCCAGGCCTACTGTGACTTTTCTATTCCTGAAGGCTGTTTATTTCCTTGTTTATATTGCGACTCATTTCCTCTCTTGGTGAATTTCATTGTCAACAAATATTTTTTTATAAGGGCTTATTTGTGTTGCATCCTTTGAATTATTTCATGTTTAAGAATATCTGCCTGGCGACAGAGCAAGACTCTGTCTCAAAACAAACAAACAAACAAAAGAATATCTGCCTATTGTCTTTATACTTCATATTTTTGGGTCACACTGGGTCACACTTTCTTTTTCTTAGATCATTGTAGAAATTATTTGCTGGCTTTAAATGTTGTCAAGAAATTGGAGGTCAACTTTAACTTTCCCTTTTTATAGCTGATTTTATTTTATTTTCCATAAAGGCCTAAAGACTTCTTCATGTTTGAAGTTTTATAGCTTGTTTCCAATATGTCCCAGTGTAAAACTTTTGGTATCAATTCTTTTTTGGGACATGCTCTTTTAATCCCAACTTCAATTATTTATCTCAAGGAAATTTCCTTAAATCTTCAAATATATCTTCATTCTATTTTTGAGGTCTATACGTCAGAGGCACCAATTATACTTATGTTGGATGGGCTGAATAGCTTCTATATCTAGTAGCTTCCCTGTAATGCTTTAATCATAAGGTTTATCTGTATTACCTGTAATGATCTCAGTCATTCTCTCTATGAAAATAATATAATTTCCTCCCTATTTATTCTGCCTCTGACTGTTTCTATACATTATGCAGTGTATTGCTTTGACACTCATCTTGTTTTCTTACTCTTTCATTTTAACATCTTATCTTTAAACTCTGATTACCTGGAATTCACATTAAGTGATTCTCAGCATCAAGCAATTGTCAGGAATTTCTTTCTGTTCCTTGAATTATGTTTTCTTTGTATTTTACTATTTTCATTTCTAACTTTCTGTTATGGACTAAATTGTATCCCCTCCCTGCCCCCAAATTTACATGGTGAAGCCCTAACTTCCAGGACCACAGAACATGTATTAGGACACAGGGTCTTTCAAGAAGTCAGTAAGTTAAAATGAGGTCATTAGGGTGGGCCTCTATCCAATATGAATGGTATCCTTACACAAAGAGGACATATGGATACAGACAGGTACAGAGGGAAGACCACGTGAAGACACAGGCCATCTACAGCCAAGGAGAGAAGTTTCAGAAAAACCAATGCTGCTGAGACCTTGACCTTGAATTTCTAGCCTCCAGAACTGTGAGAATATACATTTCTGTTATTTAAGGCATCCAGACTGTGGTATGTTACTAAGACAGTCTTAGCAAACTAATACACCCTCACTCCTTTTTTTTTTTTTTTTTTTTTTGAGACGGAGTTTCGCTCTGTCACCCAGGCTGGAGTACAGTGGTGCCATCTTGGCTCACTGCAAGCTCTGCCTCCCGGGTTGACGCCATTCTCCTGCCTCAGCCTCCCGAGTAGCTGGGACTACATGCGCCTGCCACCACGCCTGGCTAATTTTTTGTGTTTTTAGTAGAAACGGGGTTTCACTATGTTAGCTAGGATGGTCTCGATCTCCTGACCTCATGATCCGCCCGCCTCGGCCTCCCAAAGTGCTGGGATTACAGGCGTGAGCCACCGTGCCTGGCCTCACTCCTTTTCTTAATTTAATTTCAAACTATTCTTATTTTGCTGCAGTATTTTGGCACAGTGGCCATGCAGTTTGTTTTCATCTTGCTCATGCTTGAGCGTGGCAGTCGAGATACTCCATTTCCTATGATGCCGTTTGGGTGAATTATGGTCTTTCTTTCCATTGCATCTGAGATCAGTTAATGTTTCCCTTTGGGTTAGATATTTGGATTCTATTCTCTTTTTTGTAGCATGGAAACTAGCTGCAGCCTGGAGCGATCGTCTGCTTTGGGGTTTCTTCCCCAGTTCACCTCCGTCTGTCCCTCCCTTTACTCTTCCCAGTCTTCCTGGGAGCCATTTTCACTACCCTAGGTTGGAAAACGAAGAAAATAAAGCAACCCACTCTTTTTTTTTTCCTCCAGGTTTAGTAATGGAGGAGTTCACAGAATTTTTTTCCCTCTCATCACAGGCTTCTTAGGGTGAATGTGTGTGTGGTTAGGAGGGGAGGCAGGTGAGGAGCCCAGCTCCACTGCCCCCTCTGCTCTCCACCTGGAAAGTGGGCAGGACTGTGAGTAAATTACACATCCAAGCGTTTATTTACTGGCCATTCCAATGAAACCTTTGCTTTTTGTGGTTACCAGAATGCTAATTCAAATTAATTCTAAAAATAATCAGTACTGGGGTCGGGGGAATAGATAGCAGGAGTCCAAGCAGTGGCCATCATCCAAAAGAACTCACTGAAGAAGGTAGGGAGGAAAATTAAATTTAAGTGGTCATATCCCTCTATACTTGATTTTAAATTCTGCTTCTTGTTTCATCTGCTAGGGGAGAAATTTCCACATGCTAGAAGGTAAATCTTACATTAATCATTCTGCAGAAGAGTGAGTGGCTGGTGAATAAACACCTTGTCCTCTGCCCTACAGAACTTTCGAGTGCCCTTAACACTGGACACAGGGGAGCCTGGAGCAGGTGCCAGTTTGAAGGAGGAGGTGGAAGGAGATCACAGCTCTCCAAAGCCAAGCTCTTGCTGTTAAGCCCGAGTCTCTTTGGGGAACTCCCGGGTCCTCATATCAGATTGTCATCAACATCTGTTTTAAGAGGGAAACAGACATTTTCTGACACTCTGGATGTCTTCAGGGGCTCTTAGTGCTCTTTTGAAGCTGCGGTGTGCCCTCCCCACAGCCCCAATTCTAAGAAAACAAGGAGAGCAAAAATGCCTCCTGGGAGAGTCAGTACATTTCCTAAGTAGGCAGTAGTTTTAGAGTTGTTGCCAAATTTCATAAATGTCATGTTAAAAATAATGAATGGCACCTCTGGAAAATTTGGAAAAACAAGAAAACTTCCAGTCAGTAGAATCAATTAAGAACATACCTCTCCTTTTTCTCTGAATGAAAAACCCCCATCAATGTAATAGGAAACCATGAATAACATCCTAAGCCATATTTTAATAGAATTTTTCCCTCAGATATCAACCGTCCCCCATCAGGAATGTACTGCTTTTGGTGAATGTTTGCGTAAAAGGGAAGTGAGTGATCCTCCAGGCAGGTCTACCTCTTCCTGCTTGCCATTCCATATTGTCTCCCTGCTCTGTCTCCCTCCTGTCCTGCAATGGTCCAAATGGACACATTTACAAGAATAAAATAACATCAAAGAAAAGCCGACAAACCCGGAAAAAAGTAGCTAAGAAGGCAGACAACACATGAAATTGAAGCAACTGAAGGGCTAACATTTATTGAGCCCCTCCTTTTTTGCCATGATCTTTGATATGTGCTTTAAATTAAAAAAGTGAAATAGGCAGTTTCCTAATTTTTTAAACTGATAATACATTACAATAGAGTAGGATATGTTTTTTTAAAATAATAGCATATTAAGATCATCTATAATTTAAGTAAACAAAATTTGGGTAAAATCCAGGAGTTTAAAATCATTTTGTAATCAACTTTGAAATGCATTGGTTTTTTTAAAGTAATGTTTTTAAAAACTGAAAATCAGGACTCTTGAAAATGTATAAGAAAAATCAGTCAATTTGTAAACGTCTTCCCCACAATTCTCCCTCCGGGTTTTCGCTTTCTCCCTTCTCACAAGCACCCCACTCATGTCTCTGCCTATTGCCCCTAATTCCGGAAGCCAGCACTGGTATATTCAGGTATGGCAGAGGGCATCAAGCACACCTGGCATGGCCTCCCCAAAGCAACAGGAGGAAGTAGGGGAGGTGCTGTTTCCCAGCACTGCGGTAGCCCTTTGGTGGAAAGTTAGGTTTCCTAATCAGCTCAGGAGGGTGCAACAGGCAACGAGACAGGTCAATCCTTTCACTTCAGGCTGAATATGATGCTGGAATTCCCAAGACCTTAACTTTGCACATTTTGAAGAAAGTGGGGCTTTACATGCGTTCATATCCTCTACTGGGCCTCTTTCTGGCCACCAGACATGCGGTTAGCAAAATGACAAGCAGTCCTGTGATACTCAGGCCCATGGCCACAGGGATTTCTCTCCTGTTTCTGTCACTGAAGCATTCATCCGCTGTAATTGAAGTCAGAGTAACAAGTGTTACAGACTGGCCACAAATGCTGGGAAGTGGCACTGCCACATCTGCCTCAGCTTTGGAGAAAAGAAGACAGAGGGGAAGATGGAGCTGTTGGGGCTCAGACAACAGTGGGTGAAAACGAGAGGGAAAGGGTCAATACAGTGGATCTGACACGTGTAGCACTGGTAATTAGTTAGGGAGCTTATTAAATTGCAGATGCCCAGACACATGCCCAAGAAATGATAATTCAGTGGGTCTGAGCTGAGGCCAGGGGAATTCTGATGCTGCTTCCAGGCAGATCCAACTTTGAGAAAATGCTAGTTTGGCCTAGAGGGTTGTGATCAGAGTTATGTCTTGACTCTCAAACTAGAGTAATTCCCGGAGCCATATTCTCCAACTCTAGTAATAGTTTGAGACAGAGTCTCACTGTGTCACCCAGGCCAGAATGCAGTGACACAATCTCGGCTCACTGCAACCTCCGCCTCCTGATTTCAAGTGATTTTTATCCCTCAGCCTCCCGAGTAGCTGGGATTACAGGCATGTACCACCATGCCGGGCTAGTTTTTTGTATGTTTAGTAGAGATGGGGTTTTGCTATGTTGGCCAGGCTGGTCTCATAGTCCTGGCCTCAAGTGATCCACCTGCCTTGGCCTCCCAAAGTGCTGGGATTACAGGAGTCAGCCAACACGCCCAGTCCTAACTCTGTGTTTCTTACAGGGGCTGCTCAGATAGCTTGGGGCTCCTAAATCAGCATAATAAACAGCAAAAGAAAAGGACAGCAAAAACCCTAAAACTCAATAAACAAAACACAATGTTTGCAGGCTCCAGGATTTTAGGGAGGAGGAGATTTTAGGAGTCAGGAGTCTACTGTTTGGGATGACCATTATCTTTTACAAGGCTCAGCTTTGACACTTGCTGGATTCCTCTCCAGTTCTTCGATCCCCTGTTTAAAAATCGCCTATCACTCAAGACTTCTTTAGTCCACCCTCTCATCACCAATGCTGTCAGTCACAACTTCCTCTGGGCTCCCATAACCCTTTGCACATGTGTCTTTTAAACACCATATAGTATGGTAACTTGCTCCTCTTTTCCCCCTTCTCTTACTCTCTAGTAGAAAATCCTATTTACAGAATGACATACCTCTTCACATTTGAGCATCTTTAGTGAAATTTGAAGTGCAAAGACTAAGAAGATGGCGTTGAGTTGATACGGTGACAGTGGGAGAACAAGGGGAACATTTTGGAAGTGGAATTGTTAGGGCTTTGTGACTATTTGTATGAGAGGGTGCTGGAGGGAGAGGAGTTAAGGAGAACTCTGAAGTCTGTTGTTTGGAAAACTATCCAGTTAATGATGGTTTTAAGAAAAAAAAAAATGTAAAGACAAGCGAGCTTTTCTATGCATCCCTGTGAACACTGGCGTGCACTGCTGAAACGTTTTATTTCCTACCTCTGCCACTAAGAAGTTTCCCAGACCTGATCACTTCCTGCTTCATAGAGGTTCTGAAGGGGAAGAAGAGCAAGTGTGTACCTTTTTTTAAGATCACACGATTACAGAAGTTTTTCAAACCTTCATAATGATTGTAAAAGAAAGAAATAGTTTTCCAACACTAGCATTTTTGAGAGTGGATGACAAATGGGGCCAACCTCTACTGGCAAATTCTCATATGACTGTGGGACTCCGACAAAGCCTACAGAAACCAGGGGACCCAAGGCAAGCAATGGCCAGTCCTTCCTCTGCCAAATGCTTCCCACTGAGTACATGAGGAGAAGTTTTCTGCTACACACATCTGCAATTTCATGATGGAACCCAAAGCAAAATCAGATTCATATTGTAGACATTTAAAATACGGCTAAACTTCTAGCTAAATCTATTTTTGATAACTGGGAAGTACTCATCACATTTTTTAGTTATTATGAGAGGGATGTTTTAGAAATTGAAGTACATGACCCTCCTGGTCATATGTAGAAATCCTCGTAACACTGTTTTCCTGGAAGGGAGAAGAGGGCTTTTTCTGGCATATGACTCTCCTGGTCATAGGCAGAAATCCTTATAACAATGTGTTCCTGGAAGGGAGAAGAGGGCTTTTCTGGAAAGTCACCCTGGTCTGCTCTTGGCCCTTGCCCAGGGACCTGTTTTCCTCCAGGGCAGTCATCAGGCAAGCTCTGCCTGTGATGGTCAGAACTCAAGGCAGAAGTTAGAGGGAAACTAAAACTGACTATGAGGAAACACTGTTGGGTGTGACAGCTTATAACTGGAGACGAGGGGCTCCAACAGCTTGTAATTGAGATGAGGGGGTCCAACAGAGTTTCCTTCTATTTTGAATTGCTGCATCTTGCTCTTTTCCCTCTGCAGGTGGGGAAGAAACTATTCTGAAATCTTGATTTCAGACATTACTGATACTCAGGATCTTTAAAGTGTTCTCCAAACATATCTGAATTTACACCCAACAGGACATAAAGGGAAGTCGCAGGTGGTATTTCTGTTGTTTTGATTGAGCGCGTGAGTGTTTAAATGAGTAAGAATGTGCGTGAGTCGAAGAGAGTGCAACCCGCTGCGGGACAGCCGTGACTGGGTGGGTGCAGGTGCCTGATTCTGAGGTGGCCAGAGGAGCCTGGCCCTGTGAGCTATGTGGAATCACACCATCCCAGGAAGCTCATGAGATGCTTGCTCCTTCGACAGCTGCAGACAGAAAACACTTTGGATCTACCCTGGGGTCTCTAAAGTGTATGTTTGCAACCTGATCGACCCTTAACTTACCATTTCCAAAGTGGTCATCTTCAAAATCAAAGGCTTGAAGTTGGACATCGGTTGTTTTCACCTGCAGGTGGGCTGACAACTGGAGGCTCTGTTCACTCACGCACTTGAAGGAATGCCCGACTGCTGTCTGGAACATCACCACCGCATGTTTGATTCCTTGGTAAATTGTCTCTGAAAAGGTGACAGATAGATGCATAAGAGTCCTGAGATGTAACCGCTGAGCTCCAGCTGTGGCCGGGCTGCCTGTGCACAGCTAAATGGCCTTCCTTCCTTCCGAGGGGCTTTCTGGGGGTTCTGCCACCTTCTCCCCATGAAAAAACACCCTGGTGCGGTTTGGAGACTTTTTCAGCTGCTCTGTTTGGGGTATAAGGGAGACACCTCACATAAACTGGAATGCGCAAATAATGAAATGAGAACTTTTGAGAATGTGTTCTTTGGTTACTTTAAATCATTGGGGACAGAGTGGGTGGGAACTAGTCAGTACTTGGGGGCTACAGAGAGGCGCCTCCAAAATTTTAGAGATAAAAGAAGATTGCTTTCTGAGACTTAGAAAGTCACAGAACCCTTAATGAATCAGTGAAGGGACATGCAGTCAGCAAATGCTTATCACCAGGCTGAATGTATTAGATGAGCAGGGTCAAGAACTCATTAGGGGCCAGGCGCGGTGGCTCACGCCTGTAATCCCAGCACTTTGGGAGGCCGAGGCGGTCAGATCACCTGAGGTCGGGAGTTCGAGACCAGCCTGACCAACATGGAGAAACCCCATCTCTACTAAGAATACAAAATTAGCTGGGCGCGGTGGCACATGCCTGTAATCCCAGCTACTCGGGAGGCTGAGGCAGGAGAATCGCTTGAACCCAGGAGGTGGAGGTTGTGTTGAGCCGAGATTGTGCCATTGCACTCCAGCCTGGGCAACAACAGTGAAACTCCGTTTCAGAAAAAAAAAAAAAAAAACAACTCATTAGGAGGGGTTGTTGCATCCATCCACAGAAACAGAGAGAAGGGAGAAGCCCATCTCTTCCCTTCTGATCGCCACCTGGGGAGAGAAACCTGCCTAAGGACTGGCCCTCTCTTATGAAAGGTACACCCTGTTCAAGGAAGTGGAGGCTTCCAGGCAGATGAAGTTAAACATTTTAATCATTGAGGCCAGGCATGGTGGCACACACCTGTGGTCCCAAGTACTTGGGAGGCTGAGGTGGGAGGATCATTTGAGCCCAGGAGTTCGAGGTTGCAGTGAGCTATGATCATGCCACCACACTCCAGCCTGGGACACAGAGCAAGAATGTCTCTAAAATAAATAAATAAATAAGTAGGCCGGGCATGGTGGTTGGTGGTTCATGCCTGTAATCCCAGCACTTTGGGAGGCTGAGGCAGGCAGATCACTTGAGGTCTGGAGTTTGAGACCAGCCTGGCCAATGTGGTGAAACCCTGCCTCTACTAAAAATACAAAAATTAGCCAGGCATGGAGGTGGGCACATGCAATCCCAGCTACTCAGGGAGGCTGAGGCAGGAGAATCTCTTGAATCCGAGGGGTGGAGGTTGCAGTAAGGTGAGATCGTGCCACTGCACTCCAGCCTGGGCAACAGAGCCATGCTCAGTCTCAAAAATAAATAAATAATAATAATAAAAGAAAAATAATTAATCATACAATGAACTCCATTTTCTCTAATTCCATGCTTGCTAAGCACCCTTCTGACTATACTGTAGCTTCTTGAATGGTAGAAATTTCACTGGCCAGAGGACCCAACTCTCTGGTCTGCTTAGTAGTTACAGTAAGGAATAGTCCCACGATGAATTAACAAGGTGGCATTAATGCCAGCGTCTGTACATGCAAATGCCCTATACAATGTACTGAATTCTCTGTGTACACTGCCGGGTCACGTGTTATATCCTGGGTAGTCTGCTACTACCATCCCCACTAACATTACAACTGTCACTACCGTAATTACAACTGATTACTATTCTTAATACCCCCACTAACATGAAAATCATCATTACTGTGACTCCTTGAGTTCCTGCTCAGCCATTAGGATCAAGACCTAGAATTGATTTTCCCACACCCTCAGCTTTAAATTAATTTTTGATCAGACTTCCCCTTCCCCCCACCTTTTTTTTTTTTTTGAGACAGAGTCTCACTCTGTCACCCAGGCTGGAGTGCAGTGGTGAGATCTTGGCTCACTGCAACCTCTGCCTCCCGGGTTCAAGCAATTCTCCTGCCTCAGACTCCTGAGTAGCTGGAATTATAGGTGCCCGCCACCATGCTGGGCTACTTTTTTTTATATTTCTAGTAGAGACAGGATTTTGCCATGTTGGCCAGGCTGGTCTTGAATCCCTGACCTGAGGTGATCTGCCCACCTCAGCCTCCCAAAGTGCTGGTATTACAGGCGTGAACCACTGCACCCGGACTCCCCTACCTCTTGAGAGATTTCTATTCTATTGCTGGCTAAAATCTGGTCCATATCTAGTGATAACATTAGCAAATTTATGTTAGCACTCACAATATTTATTCTCTATCCTAAGTGAGGAGACAGATCTAAGTGAATTAACATATATGAAAATGAGTTGTCAACTATGCTATCTTACTTACATTTAACAATCATTGGCAAATCCCCCTGAACATATCACTACAATGTAGCTGATATTTTAAGTAGACATTACTCCACATTTTCATTTCTTGGCAAGTTTCTTTGGCATAAATTCCTTAATTGGTAAAATAATGTTTAAGCTAGTCAAAGGATAGAGCTTTGAAAAGGGGAAAACAGACATGAAAACTCTTAGTACGGTACCTGGCACAGGGGGATACAAACAAATAAAGGTTATTTAACTTTCCAGGGAAACATTTGAGGCCTCTGAGAGACATCTTGTGTGAGTGGGAGCTTTGCTTCTCACACGAGAAGTGAATACTGTAGGAGTTCTCTGAATTTCCCCCACTACTCCACACAACAACCAAAGTGAACCTTTATAAATGTAAATCTGAGGTATCATTTTCTTCTCTCCCCTAGACCCCTCGGTGGCATCCTTTCACACTTTAGAATAAAGTCCAAAGTCCTGACCCTTGCCTTGCCACTGGCTCTGCATGCCCTGGCCTGGCTCTCTGTCCCTCGACCTCACCTGCTGCTTATTCTCTCTCCGGGCACACTGGCACTCTGCAGGTCCTTGAACACATTAGCCAGCTCACCCCTTAGGGCCTGTGCATCTGTTCTTCCTGCCATCTGGAAAGGGCTTCCCTAGGCCCAGATACCCCCAAAGAGCTGAATCTCTCTGCTCAAACTTCACGTCTTCAGAGAGGGCCTTTCTCCCCTGAAGGCTTCCCTAATGTCCCACCTAAAATAGCTTTCGATTCCTCTCCACTCCCCCTGCTTGTGTTTGTTCATAGAATTTATCACTACTGGGCCAGGTGCAGTGGTTCACACCTATAATCCCAGCACTTTGGGAGGCCAAGGTGCGTGGATCACTTGAGGTCAGGTGTTTGAAACCAGCCTGACCAACGTGGAGAAACCCCGTCTCTACTAAAAATACAAAAATTAGCCAGGCGTGGTGACAGGTGCCTGTAATCCCAGCTACTGAGAAGCCTGATGCAGGAGAATCGCTTGAATCTGGGAGGCAGAGATTGCAGTGAGCTGAGACCAAGCCACTGTACTCCAGCCTGGGCGACAGAGCGAGACTGTCTCAAAAAAAAAAAAAAAAAAGAACTTATCACTACTTAACAGAGCACAGGAGTCCCCCTTATCCTTGGGGGATACAACCCAAGACCCCCAGTGTACCAGTGTATGCCTGAAGCCATGGATAGTACTGAACTCTAGATATACTGTTTTTTCCTGCATATACATATATACCTGTGATGAAGTTTAATGTATAAACTGGTCACAGTAAGATATTACAAACAATAACTAATGATAACATAGAAAAATTGTCACACTACAAAAAAGTGATGTGCATGTGAGCTCTCTCTCTCAGAAACTCTAATTGTACTGTACTCACCTGTTTTTGCACCAACCATGAAAAGTGAAACCGCGAATAAGGTCGGGGGGCAGTACTGTATTATCATTTAATGTGTTGTTGTCCTCTTCCTCTTCTAGAATGTAAACTTCATGAGGGTAAGAACTATTAGTTTGAAAAATTATGGATCCCCAGTGCCTAATACAGGGCTTGGCACCTAGCAGGCACTAACTACATTTTAGTAGAATGAATGTATGATTCCCAGAGTATAGAATAAGCTGCACTATCGACAGCAAATCTGTCAAAAAGCCACTAAACTCTTTATTGTTGCCAATCATGATCTCTGACGTAATCTAGTCCAGCCTCCTTTATGAGCAGATGGGCAAATTACAGCACACAGAGGCGTAGTAAAGTCCCCCAAAATCACATTGCTGGCTGCTTTCTCAGTCTGTTCCTTAGAAGCAGCATCGGCCGGGTGCAGTGGCTCACGCCTGTAATCCCAGCACTGTGTGAGACTGAGGTGGGTGGATCGCCTGAGGTCAGGAGTTTGAGACCAGTCTCGCCAATGTGGTGAAATCCCATCTCTACTAAAAATACAAAAATTAGCTGGGTGTGGTGGCACACGCCTGTAATCCCAGCTACTTGGGAGGCTGAGACAAGATAATCGCTTGAACACGGGAGGCAGAGGTTGCAGGGAGCCGAGCGAGATCGTGCCACTACACTCCAGCCTGGGAAACAGAGCAAGACTCCATCTCAAAAAAAAAAAAAAAAAAAAAAAAAAAAAGCAGCATCAAACATGAGAAGATTCAATGGGATGAAAGGTGAGCTAACCAACAGAAACAGCGTCATGGCTGGTCGAATGGGCATTCTGTAATTACTAACCTGGATCTGAGACGGTCAAATAGGCTCCCACTTCACTGATATAATATGATTCTTCATCCTGTAAAACAGTAGGGTGTTAACCTTTGGGTTATCTCTACTCATATGTTTACAATCTTGGTTTATAAACTTTGTTTAAGATTCCAGCTATTAAATCTGGATATAAGGGCTGGGGAGTTACTTGGTACTGGGTCATAATTGTGTATGAAAATTCCAAAAAAGTAAACATACCACAAATAAATAAATAATAACTAACAGTTTTCCCCTGGCCCCAAATTTCCCTACTGCATACTAGTTGCTAGGGCCTGGTATTCAAATTCCACCAGTACAATTTGAGTCCCTTCGGTTGGGCCAAATTTCTCCCTGTTAAAATGCAAGTCCATTGGGAAGATGGAGGAGCAGGAGCATATATTAAGTGTTTACTAGCAATTAATATCTAAGGGTAGGAATTCTTATCCTGAGACCACTCATCCTTTCCTTTTATTTTTAAGACCTTCCATCTGGCTTAGAAGGCTCATCCTTAAGGATACCATGGGAGGACCTCCCGGGGTCCATAAACCCTCTGGGAAAAACAATGTATACAAAATGGTGTGTACATGTTCTTATGTAGGGTGTGAATGGCTTTACACAGATTAATGGGTCTATGTCTTCAAAATGGCTAAATGGGGCCAGTGGGAGGGATTATGGGAAGACATGCCTTACCCTGAGATCCCTGGGTATTCTCTAGAAGAGAACCCCAAGTGGTTGTATTTAAAACCTAAAGCAGCACCCCCACATTTCATCTAGGAATTATCTTTCCAGAAAAACAAAAACAAACTACAAAACAGCCCTATAAAAACAAAGGGTCTGAAACCTTCTAGGGAACTGAATTGGGGTGTAGAAGGGTAAGTTGAAAAGGGAGTTTCTATTTTTTAATTGAGGTGATCCACAGTGTTCTCAGTTTTAAACATTCCTTAGAAAACCATTTACAAGTTAAGAGATGCAAAAATGGCAGAGCAACCCAAATCAAAACCTGAAATTGAATTACTTTTAGAGGTTTCAAATATAGTCATTAGAGAAACTTAACAATACTAATCTTGACCACATTATAGCTCATTTGTGTATTAGTGGATAAAATGTTGATTCATTATACAATCAAAGGGTTCCATAAATAGAAACTGTTTTAGTAAGGTCATTGATACTGATACACTGAGCTCTAGATCCTACAATTCATTGAATAGCACCTACCACACAATAGCTTCTTACCCCGTGTTAGGCACTGTCGCAGGCACTTCCAAGCACTTGCCTTATTTAATCCTCACAATAATCATGAGAGAAAATGAGGCTGGGTGACTTGCTCCAGGTCACAGCCCTAAGAGGTGGCAGGGGAAGATATGACCTCCAGCTCTGCCTGCCTCAAGTCTAGCCTTTAACGTCTCTTTCATACCCACTCCATGCCAGGGATTGTTCTTGGTCCTGGGAGAGGACCTGGTTGCCTCCGTCAAGGTGCTCAGTCTCTTGGTTCTTGAAGGCAAGTTGAACAATGCCTTTAGACAATCCATTTGCTTTAGGGAGAAACATCTCTTTTAAAAAGAGACCATCTTTGTGTTGCTTTAATATACCATTTATTTGGGGCATTTTTAAAATTTGGAGCCTCTTTTAATATAAGAGAGACTTATATTTCAGGGTCCACAGTCCGGGTTACAAGGCCCCCGCCCCATCCCTAAGGGCAAAGAGCGTCCATCGAAGGGTTTTAAGCAGGGCAGTGACATGAGCATAGCTTTGTTTTTGTAAATGGCTCGGGCTGCACTGTGAGATTGATTTGAGGAGCAGCAGAATAGTGATGAGGTCAGCAAAGACTCCTCAGAGGCCTCTTGGAATCTTCCCTTTGGTGTCTCCCTGACCTGTCCCTCCTAAAGGAAGAATGCTTGGCATTTCTGTGAGAGTTTCAGAATTCGCCACGTGCATGCTTTCACTGACATTGCCTCACTTGATCCTTACAACGACCCCGAGACAGAATCGATATTAACAGACCATTTTACAGCTGAGAACAAAGAGGCTCAGAAGAGTTAAGCATCTACCGCAGATGCATGTAGTTTGTAGGTGAGACAAAGCAAGATCCTGCCCTACATTTTCCTCCATGGGATGTGTGGGTATAGAACAAAAATTCATTATGTGAGAATTTACTTTCACATTCCCTGAAATGCAGCTGAAACCTATAACCATTGATGGGAAGCAGGACTGGCTACATAATGAATTTTTGGGGCTTAGTAAAAAATGAAAGTGCCGGGCCATGTGTTCAAAAATCAAGAATTTCATGGGGCAACAGCAAAGCATGAAAACAAGTCTGAGCCCTTCCGGATGCACAGGCAGAACACCTGTGAACCCGTCCCTGATGGGCAGGGCCACTGCTGTTCCACAAGAATCTGCGCTTTCTAGGGCTAATCAAAAAATGAGGCCTTCCGTAAGCAGGGTGCTCACATTCACTCTGAGTTCATCTTAAGGACACACAGGACAGAGTCTGGAAGCTGTACTCAGAATTCTTTCCATTTTGACTGAGTCAAAATTAGTGAAACATTGACTAGGACTAAGCTGATGTCTAGCTTTTTTTTTGAGTTGGGGTCTCCCTCTGTCGCCCAGGCTGGTGTGCAGTGGCAAGATCTTGGCTCACTGCAGCCTCAACCTGCTGGGCTCAAGTGATCCTCCTGCCTGAGCCTCCCAAGTAGCTGGGACTACAAGCACGTGGCACCACAGCCAGCTAATTTAAAAAAAATTTTTTTATAGAGATGGGATCTCACTATGGTGCCCAGGCTAGTCTTGAACTCCTGACCTCAAGAGATCTTCCCTACTTGACCTCTCAAGGTGTTGGGTTGACAAGGAATGAGGCTTGAGGTATAAGCTACTATGTCTAGCCATGATGTCTATCTTTAGAGTAAAGGAAAAGTATCTGTTAGGTGGATTCATGTAAACAAAAGGACAGGGGGATATTTAGTTTTCTTAAGATTACAAGCTTGACTTGACATGATCATACTTCAATTGTCCTACACATCTCTTCTGACTCACCCTTTCCATATGGTATTTAAGCCCTGGGTCTCAGGGTTAATGGCGTGGGGATATACCATCTTGTCTCATCACCATTCAAGACAGACATGGCTTCTGTTCATACATCCCTATTAAGTGTCTCTTTCCAAGAAAAAAAAAGATTCCAAGTTTTACACAATTTATGCTATGGAATGAGGCTTAGACAATTGTACCACTTTATTCTGTAGAATTGTAGTGTTACTGAATATTCTTAAAGGAAATAAAATCGTCTTTGGTAAACTTTTTTCCAGAAATATTTTAGGCTCTGTGGTCCTTTGTTAATCCGTCAAGGAACCTTAACATCCTCCTTAGCAAAACTGTGGGTCCACCAACATGTCTACCTTTCTGCAGACATACGGGGGTCTGGCACCAACCAGCCCAATTCATCCTGCCCAGGACGCCAGCATGCCAATAACCATGGGGTCCTAAGGTCCCCCTGTCCACTTCTGCAAAACACACCGTGGAAGTTTCATAGTCCCAGCTGTTCAGGATGTGGATTTTGTCTTCAGCATCAATCATGTCCTTTTCGCTCAGCATTGTTGTGACTAAATCAAGAAAGCTTTGTTCTGGACATAGCAAAAGGAACCTGTGATCTACTTTTTGGCACTTTGACCCAGAGTTCTCTGCAAAATTTAGATTTTCTCCTTCATTGATACATTTGTTTATCAAACATTGCTAAAGATATACTATATGCGAAGTCGGGGTGAGCACTAGAGAAGAGACGTGAAGGAGCCATAGACTTTGCCTTGGGGATGGCAAAATGTGTGACAAGTGCATTGATGAAGTTTGGGGAACAATGAATAGAGTTTCAGGGAACTAAGAGGAGGAAGTCTCTCATTTTACCTGAAGTGGAAGTGGGGAAGGGGGAATTTCACAGGGTGATGATATTTGAGTTATTTTAAGGATGGATGCTAAAGGAGCTGAGGGGTGGGAGGGGCCTTCTAGGCAGAGGGAAAAGTACCAGGGGAAAAAGAGCATGGAAAGTACAGATCACTTGGGGAGTTCTAAGTGTGCACTGTGAGGGTGTCAACACTTGAACACTGGTCACAGTCCTCAGAAGCCCAGCTCGTAGGCCAAGAGGGTTCCAAATGCCCCTCAAAGGCTCTGGAGACCAGTTTGAGCAACATAATGAAAACCTGTCTCTAGAAAAAAATACACAAATTAGCTGGGCATGGTGGCATGTACCTGTAGTCCCAGCTACTCAGGAGACTGAGAGGTGGAGGATCACTTGAGTCCAGGAGGCTGAGGCTGCAGTGAGCCTGATCGTGCTACCACACTTCAGCCTGGGTGACAGAGGGAGGCCCTTTCTCAAAAAACAAAAAAAGCTCTGGGGAAACAACAGGTGGGTCTGCAGCATTGATTCCAGGACCTCAGTCGGCCAGTGCACTGCCTGACCCTCGCACCTCTCCTCTCTTGATGGTTGATTTCACGAGCCAGGGCTGGAGACCTAGAGCTGCCCGGCCAAAGGGGTGGAGGAGAAAGGGATAGTCCTGTGCACAGAATGAAGTTACTGCAGAATGTTTTAAAAGCAACTATCCCACCAGGAAGGATGTTGTAGGGAGGTGTGGGGAGAGATGCATGTGATCTTGAACTGGAAGGGTCTGAACAACTTTCAGCATGTCACCCTAACCAAATGAGACACTGACAGGGAAAGGTTTTCAGTTCTTTAAAAAATGAAACTGCGGGAAAAAAAGAAAGGAAATCCACCTCTCCTGACCCCTCTAGGGGCCAAATACCACGCTGAACACTTTTACATTCTTTAGCTCAGCACACTCTCATGGCAGCCCAGCAAAATAAGCACTCGTTGGCTCCATCTTATAGAAGAGGAACTGAGGCTCAGAGATCATGAGCAGCCTGTCCATGGTCACAAAGCGAATGATATGGATAATTTGCCTTGATTGAACAACAAGGTTAAGTGACTGATTTTTCTTTATGTTGTTGTCATTGGTAGTATTTCAATTTAAAAAACTACAAATTGGGCTGGGCACAGTGGCTCACACCTGTAATCCCAGCACTTTGGGAGGCCGAGGTTGGGCGGATCAGCTGAGGTCAGGACTTCGAGATCAGCCTGGCCAACATGGCGAAACCCCGTCTCTACTAAAAAATACAAAAATGAGCAGGGTGTGGTGGTGCACACCTGTAATCCCAGCTACTCGAGAGGCTGAGGCAGGAGAATCACTTGAACCCAGGAGGCAGAGTTTGCAGTGAGCCGAAATCATGTCATTGCACTCCAGCCTGGGCGACAAGAGCAAAACCTGGTCTCAAAAACAAACAAACAAACAAAACCCTACAGATTGAAAGCGGGAACTATAGCCTATATTTCTGTTATTTTTCTTTCATAGCCAAGCTCATTGTTAGGGACAAAGTAGGTGCTCAGTAAATTCTTACTAATAAACGAGTTGATAAATCAGGCCTAATCAACATCCATTTATCATTCTACAACTTAGCTCTCATAACATCTATTATATTATAATGAATAAACTCACATTTTCTAAGGTTCTCTTTTTCTCTAGAGCTGTGGTTTTCAACTGCACATGATTTTTGCCTCCTAGGAGACATTTGACAATGTCTGGAGACATTTTGAGTTGTCAGACTGGGGTGGGCAGTTGCTCCTGACATCTTGGAGATAGAGGCCAGAAATGCTGCTGAGCATTTTTCAAGGCACAAGGTAGTCCCCACACAAAGACTTATCTGGCCTCAAATG
Source organism: Homo sapiens (assembly GCF_000001405.40). Lineage (NCBI taxonomy): Eukaryota > Metazoa > Chordata > Mammalia > Primates > Hominidae > Homo > Homo sapiens. The sequence continues at coordinate 183,146,299 of NC_000003.12, forward strand.
TTAATACTGTTGCTGTTGAGAAGTGCTGGTTTAGAAAGCAGCAACATTTCAAAAGCGACTGACTGAATGGTTGAGTCCATTTCTCTTTTGGAAAAATCTAGAAGGCTTTCTTACCTAAATACACTTCATACAATACACCCATTAGGGCAGAAGTCACAGGGTCAGAATCCACAGGCCAAATCTGGCCTTCAGTTGTATGTTTTTTGGCCAGCATGGTGCTCAAATTTTTTTTTTTTTTTTTTTTTTGAGACAGAGTTTTGCTCTTGTTGCCCAGGCTGGAGTGCAATGGCACAATCTCGGCTCACTGCAACTTCCGTCTCCTGGGTTCAAGCGATTCTCCTGCCTCAGCCTCCCTAGTAGCTGGGATTACAGGAATGCGCCACCACGTCCAGCTAATTTTTGTATTTTTAGTAGAGACAGGGTCTTGCCATGTTGGCCAGGCTGGTCTTGAACTCTTGGCCTCAGGTGATCCACCCACCTCGGCCTCCCAAAGTGCTGGGATTACAGGTGTGAGCCACTGTGCCCGGCCCTCAAATTTTTAAAAATGTGTTGCCAACATTAAAAAAAGTGCTTTTCTGGAAAGATCTAGATTTCTGCCTTATCTGGAACAATCAGAAGATCTGGCAATACCACCCTCTCCTTACCACCTGATTGAGGGGACATGTAAAATATTGAGCAACTGTGCCTGTTATTCCAGCACTTTGGGAGGCCGAGGCAGGTGGATCACGAGGTCAGGAGATCGAGACCATCCTGGCTAACATGGTGAAACCCCATCTCTACTAAAAATACAAAAAATTAGCCGGGCGTGGTGGCATGCACCTGTAGTCCCAGCTACTCGGGGGACTGAGGCAAGAGAATCGCTTGAACCCAAGAGGCGGAGGTTGCAGTGAGCCAAGATCGTGTCACTGCACTCCAGCCTGGGCAACAGAGTGAGACCCCGTCTAAAAACAAAGAAAAAAAAAATATTGAACAACTGGCACAGAAGGGAAGTCACTGAGAATGGACATTGGACCATCCCAAATAAATGCCATAAAAGACACTGATAATCCCCGGGGCTAGACACCAGCCCTGCCATTTGCACCATCTGCAGAGCTAACTCCTAGGGAGATGAGCACTCTCCTGTCCCTCCCTTTTGTCTCCCAATTTCTGAGTCCTTCTCAGTTGCTTCATTACTTTGTGCTTACTTTAATATTTTTCTTATTAGATTGAATGGGAATTGAAATCTTTCTTGTCTTTAATTTTTGATGAAGACATATTTTGATCTTCATCAAAACTGGTAAAATAAAAATTTAGGACTGCTTGTTTCAATGAAAACAATTTTTTTTTTTTTACTAGCTTGCTTTGCTCATTAGGTTATATGCCTAGCACCTGTAATTCTTGAATTCAGGGTCCCTGTTTTGGCTTAAACAAGCTCTTATTGATTGATGTCTTTTAGAAACGGAGTCTCACTCTATCACCCAGGCTGGAGTGCAACGGCACAATCATAGCTCATTGCAGCCTTGACCTCTTAGGCTCAAGCAATCATCCCACCTCAGCTTGCATGTGGTAGCTGGGACCACAGGTACACGTCACCATGGCTAGCTAATTTTTAAATTTTTTGTAGAGATAGGGTCTTGCTATGTTGCCCAGGCTGATCTCAAACTCCCGGGTTCATGCAATCATTCCACCTTGGCTTCTGACAGTCCTGGGATTACAGGTGTGAGTCACCACTCCAGCCAAGTTCTTTTTTAAAATGCAGAAATTCAAAGGTGCCAAGAACATACATTGAGGAAAGGACAGTGTCTTCAATAAATGGTGCTAGGAAAACTGGGTATCTATATGCAGAACAATGAAACTAGACTCCTATCTCTTGCAATGTACAGCAATCACATCAAAATGGATTAAGGACTTAAATCTAAGGCATCAAACTTTGAAACCACTAAAAGAAATCACTGGGAAACTCTCCAGGACGTTGGTCTGGGCAAAGATTCCTTGAGTAATACGCCAAACCACAGGCAACCAAAACAAAACTGGACAAATGGGATTACATCAAGTTAAAATGCTTCTGCACAGCAAAGGAAACAATCAACAAAGTGAAGAGACAACCCACAGAATGAGAGAAAACGTTTGCAAACCATCCATCCGACAAGGGATTAACAACCAGAACATAGAAGAAGCTCAAACAACTCAACAGTAAAATATCTAATAATTTGATTTTAAAAATCTAATAATTTGATTAAAAAAATTAAATGCAAAAGATCTGAACAGACATTTCTCAAAAGAAGACATAAAATGGCATACAGGTCTATGAAAAGGTGCTCAACACCACTGATCATAAGAGAAATGCAAATCAAAACTACAATGAGATGTCATCTCACCCCAGTGAAAATGGCTCTTATCCAAAAGATAGGCAATAACAAATGCTGGTGAGGATGTGGAGAAAAGGGAACCCTCATACACTGCTGGTGAGAATGTAAATTAGTAGAACCAAGATGGAGAAAAGTTTGGATCCTCAAAAAACTAAAAACAGAGCCACCATATGATCTTGCAATCCAACTGCTAGATATATACCCCAAAGAAAGAAAATCAGTATATCGAAGCGATCTGCTCTCCCACATCCATTCTAGCACTGTTCACAACAGCTAAGGTTTGCAGGCAACCCAAGTGGCCATCAACATATGAATGGATAAAGAAAACATGGTACATGTACACAATAGAGTACTATTCAGCTGTAAAAAAGAATGAGATCCAGTCATCTGTAACAACCTGGATGCAACCGGAGGTCATCATGTGAAGTGAAATAAGCCAGGCACAGAAAGACAAACTTTGTACCTTCTCACTTATTTGTGGAAATTAAAAATTAAAATAACTGAACTCATGGAGATAGAGAGTAGAATGATGGTTACCAGAGGCTGGAAAGGGTAATGGGTGGGGTGGGGGAAAAGGGGATGGTTAATGGGTAAAAAAAATATAGACAGAATGGGCTGGGCACGGTGGCTCACGCCTGTAATCCCAGCACTTTGGGAGGCTCAGGGGGGCGGATCACGAGGTCAAGAGATCGAGACCATCCTGGCCAACGTGGTGAGACCCCGTCTCTACTAAAAATACAAAAATTAGCCAGGCGTGGTGGTGCGTGGCTGTAGTGTAGTCCCAGCTACTTGGGAGGCTGAGGCAGGGAAATCACTTGAACCTGAGAGGCGGAGGTTGCAGTGAGCCGAGATCGCACCACTGCACTCCAGCCTGGGTGACAGAGCGAGACTCCAACTCAAAAAAAAAAAAAAAAAAAAAAAAAAAAAAATATATATATATATATATATATATATATATATGTATACACACACACACACACACACAGAATGAATAAGATCTGATACTTGATAGCACAATAGAGTGACTGAAGTCAAAAATAATTTATTGTACATTTTAAAATAACTGAGAGTATATTTAGATTTTTTGTAACACAAAGGATAAATGCTTGAGGTGATGAATAACCCATTTACCCTGATGTGATTATTACACATTGCATGCCTATATCAAAATATCTCATGTACCCCATAAATATATACACCTACTATGTACCCACAAACATTTAAAAATAAAATAAAAAATCAAAATAAATTTAATAAAAAGTAAATGCGTAAGTTCCTGGGATAACTAAGGCCAGTGGGAATTTTTACCTTCTGTGAGCCTCTCTGCCTACCTCCCGGCGAAGGTCAGCTACTTTGGGAATTTGTGATGGGGAATGGAATGAATAAGGAACATGTGGCTGGTGAAACTCAAGCAAAGCAGCTATTGCAACACTCGGGGCCATGGGCTGAGAGTGGCTCACTTTGCCCCTTCCTGAAGCTGGGTGAATGGAGGGAGGGGAGGACGACCTGCTGATGCTTCTGGCTCTTTCTGGACACTCATTTCCTGCCCCTACCCTTGGAGGAAGAGGTAATTTGGGAGCTCAAAGGATTTTCAGAAAGGCAGGGACTCAACACTTGGGTGGAGTTTGGTCAGAATCCAGCCCGAAGGAATAGGAAAGGCAGGGTTGGAGCATCAGCAGACAGAAGAAAGTAACATAAAGAGAGGTTGAAAGTGTCAAAGAAATCTCTGTTTGCAGGTCTGCCTAAGGCCTGATGGCAGCTGCCCTTGTGTGCCACAAATGCTGGAGTTTATTGATGCCTTCCATTAGTCAATGAGTCACATGGGCAGTGGGCAGTGGGTCTGGGTCTGGGTGGAACTGAGCCCTGAACCAAAGCATAAATGTTTATGTCTGTATCTTCTGCTATTTTGCCAAAGTGACTTTTTTTTTTTTTTTTTTTTTTGGAGAGCAGTGGTGCAATCATTGAATCATTGCTCACTGCAGCCTCAACCTCCTGGACTCAAGCAATTCAAGCAATCTTCCCACCTTAGCCTCCTGAGTAGCTAGGGCTACAAGCATGTGCTACCATGCCCAGCTAATTTTATTTTGTTTTCTTTGGTAAAGACAGGGTCTTGCTATATATTTCCCAGGCTGGTCTCAAACTCCTGGCCTCGAGTGATTCTTGAGCCACTGTATCCAGCCCAGGGACTTTTAAAGAAATTCTTGTCATCTCTATAGTTTAACTTCAATTTTCCAGGGATAGAGCAGTTACTCTACCCTGAATGTCTTCCCATTTTGTGTGACGGTTGACATATGAAGGATTGTGTCTTTCCCACTTGGTCCCAAAAGGAAACCACTGACTTCTCAAGCGCAACTCTACCTTGTATGCTCCAGGAGAATAAAGTCTTTGTGATCAAGTTAATAATGACAATCATAACCGCCACTCTTCACTGAACATTGTTATCTACTGTGCTAGACAGTTTACATACCCCATTTCTAATCCTCCCAAGGGTCCTACTAAGTAGATGTAATTATTTCCATTTTACAGATTGGGAAACAAGCCCCAACTCCCCTGAGATCATGCAGCTAATCCCAGCTGCAAGGGGTCTCTCAGTGCCTCCTCCTCAGCTCTTACTGGGGCTATTTGAAGGACACTCTGAGGCAAGCGGGGGCAAGTCTCTCCCAGGGGAGTGGGATGACCAGCCCCCTCTGGTCTGCAAGACATTTGCCTGTTTCAATCACTGCAATTGCAGCTGCTGGCTCTTGAGCATCCGCCACTTCCCGTGTATGGGGCATGCTCTTTTTTTTTTTTTTTTTTTTGAGATGGAGTTTTGTTCCTGTTGCCCAGGCTGGAGTGCAATGGCGCAATCTCGGCTCACTGCAACCTCCACCTCCCCGGTTCAAGTGATTCTCCTGCCTCAGCCTCCCAAGTAGCTGGGATTACAGGCGCCCGCCACCATGCCCGGCTAATATTTTATATTTCAGTAGAGACGGGCTTTCACCATGTTGGCCAGGCTGGTCTCGAACTCCTGACCTCAGGTGATCTGCCCGCCTCAGCCTCCCAAAGTGCTGGGATTACAGGTGTGAGCCACCGCACCCAGCTGGGGCATGCTCTTTACAGAGGCAATCTCTAAGTCCTTTCCTCCATTTTTCAAATGCTAAAGACCAAACAGGTTAAGTTGCCTGCCCAGTGTCACAAGGAGAGAAAGCAACAGAGCCAAATCCGCAGTGAGACTCTCTGACCTCGATCTATGACTGCTCTGTCCACATCACTTCCCTGTCTGTCCCTTCCAGGGTATGGTCTGGGAAACCCAGAGCCTGCTCTGGCCCTGAATTTTGCCTGCTGTGGTTGGAAAGAACCTGTTCTGACATTTGATTTCGGTTTTAGAATAATCCTGTTCCTCCGAATAATCCTGTTCCTCTGGGGCCCACTGGGAATTTCTACAGGTTTATTCATCTGCACAACTTCCTCCTTTGGCTGGTTTGCAAAGGGCACGGGTGGTTACGTTCCCCAGAGGTCAAGTCTCCCATAAGAGGCCCTGAAGCCCTTTTTGGGCTGCACAGAAGGAGGCTGAAGGGGGAAGAAGACAAACATAAGATGTTGACACTTCCTCCTCTCCATCCCCAAACCCCTCATTCTTATCAGCAAAGATCTCAAACTGAAGTGTGGGGTTGCACCACCTGGCCCCAGGATGAGGGAGAGGGAAAGCTGTACCAGATGCAGTTTGTGCAAAGGAGCTCAGGCCTCACCTTGGTAAATGTGAGATTCACAAATCCGCCCTGAAAATTCAACAGAAGGTTGGATTTTCGGGTGCCACAGTTCCCAGAGGCTTGCGTTGCGTTGGGGTCGATGTTGAAGTATCTCCGAGGTGAAAAAACCTAAATCAAGTTAGATAGATCAGCTAAATGAGATGTAGAGGAAAACTCTAGCTAGGGAACCAGATGCACAGGCTAGTTTGTGAGCCTGAAACTTAAGGCTGAGGATTCGCTGGAGAACTGCAAAGTCCCCAGACAACACCTCTCGTTTTCAAACTGTTATGTTCAAAAGCTTTCTTAAAGAGGAGTTCTCCCACAGAGAGGAGTTCTTTTGTAAATAATTGATGGCAGGTATGTTCCTGATAAGCTGCATGGAATTTATGTTAAGTTAAACATGTTAAATGATACTAGAGGGAAGGGTTTGCTCTGTAAGGTACCTCTGTCTCAAATGGCAACCTAGATGTGGAAGTTTTATTTGAAATCATTAAAGTTTGCAGAAAGAGAAAATATTATTGGCCGGGCATGGTGGCTCATGCCTGTAATCCCAGCACTTTGGGAGGCCAAGGCGGGCAGATCATGAGGTCAGGAGTTCGAGACCAGCCTGGCCAACTTAGTGAAACCCCGTCTCTACTAAAAATACAAAAATTAGCCGGGTGTGATGGCAGGTGCCTGTAATCCCAGCTACTCAGGAGGCTGAGGCAGGAGAATCGCTTGAACCAGGGAGGTGGAGGTTGCAGTGAGCCAAGACTGTGCCACTACACTCCAGCCTGAGCAACAGAGCGAGACTCCGTCTCAAAAAAAAAAAAAAAAAAGAAAGAAAATATTGTTTTAGTGATTCCTTTAGTATATCAAATAATCGCAATCCCTCTCCCTCGGTTTTCTTGTTCATGTGGATTTCCACATTAATGTCAAAACTGCCCGGAACCATAGAGACCATCTGACTTAAATCTCTCATTTCACGGGAAAGGATATGAGGCTTTTAAGTCTTCTGGAGTGGGAGGGAGGGGCTGAGATCAACGCTGAACATTCTACGACACTCTGCCCATGTTGGCTAAAAGTGAGGTGTGTGAATATTTAAAGTTTTGTTTGCCTTCCTCTCTCCAAACAGTTGCTATTAGTTTCTATTTTCATGTATATCCTAAAACATAATCACCTTTTAATGGAGCACCTTGGAGAGAGATGAGCTCACAGCTATTGGTTTCATTTAAAGACACAGGATGTGGGGAATGCTCATTCCTAGCAAGGCAACCTCCACTCAGACTTTTTGAAGATAGTGTTATAGTCCTGTGGCCCCAACTTACCGACTCCTTGTCTTGAACAATCAGCTGTATCCCCATCTCTGCTTTTATACAGAGTCTGCTTCCGTTTAGAACCTGATAAATTCCAGTCTTGACTGACGATGGCTGAGGTGCAAGGGTGGGCCCAGGAACCGTGGAGGCAGGTGCAGCTGTGCGGGTGGTATTGTGGGCAGCTGCCGTTGTTCCTGGGGCATGGGTGGGTTGAACAGGCTTCTGACCGGTTGTGCTTTTGTGCAGTGCTATCGATAAAGTTGCTGGAAGGGTGGTCTGGTTACTGGGTTGAGTGGTGTTCCCAGTTGTGTGGCTGACGGTTGATGAACTGGTTCCAGTTGTATGAGCTGGTGGGGTGATGGTGGGTGGCAGTGAATAAGGGGCTAAGCTAGGGCCGACTGTAACTTCAGTAACTGGAGGAGCTGTGTGTGAGTTGTTGGGTGTGGCCTGGGTTGTGACCAGGGTGTAGGTAATTGGGCTGGTGGTTGCAGTGTTTTTTGTAGTCGCTGGGGTAGTTGTTGGAATTTTTACTGTGGCCGCTGTTTGAAAGGTGATATGACCATCCATGAATCTTGCTGCTAAAGTTTGGTGAGGTGCTTGCTTAGCTGGTTGCTGGACAGGTTTTTTTATGTCCTGTACTGTTGCTGCTGCAGTAGGTTGAGAATAATCTCTGGTTTCTGGAAATGCTTTTGCTCTCATTTGACTGCCATCGTGCAAAATTACTGAAAATTAGGAAATAAAAGTGTTAAAAACACTAACCGATTGCTTACAAGGTTCCCTCTCCCATCCCCATCTTAATGTCTGTTCATAAAAAAACCTAACATGCATATTTTTATACTTGGGGGAAATTTGCAAGGGTACAACAATGAAGCAAACATCACCAAAGATTCTACCCCCAGGACACAATTGTAATGTTCTGGTTGTATCCATGCCTTTTACAGGGTTATGACAGTTCCACAGCACCCAGCCCCTTTGCCTGTGTGAGGTGTGGTACTAATACACGCCAAAGTGATCATGCTCAGCTAGATATCTAAGTGTCAATGCCTCTTCATTCTCCACCTTCAAATGTGGATCCGGACAGCTGACATAAAATAGTGTTCCTGGGTGAACAGCTGCTGTATGACCTGATAGAGCTGGGGCAGCATGAATGATGGTAATAAAGATTTACAGAGTTACACAGTTTTCACAGAATCATATAATCCCAGGTTTGAAAGGGGTCTTAAAAGTCATCTAGTCCAAACTCCAATCTTTTTTTTCTTTTTTGAGACAGAGTCTTGCTCTGTTGCTCAGGCTGGAGTACAGTGGCACAATCTCGGCTCACTGCAACCTCTGCCTCCTGGGTTCAAGCGATTCTCCAGCCTCAGCCTCGTGAGTAGCTGGGATTAAAGGCACCTGCCACCACGCCCGGCTAATTTTTGTATTTTTAGTAGAGATGGGGTTTCACCATGTTGTCCAGGCTGGTCTCAAACTCATCTTGTGATCCGCCTGCCTCAGCCTTTCAAAGTGCTGGGATTATAGGCGTGAGCCACCGTGCCCCACCCCAAACCCTAATCTGATGTTTGAATTACACCTACAGATCTTTGCCATGCGTTCATCCAATCTAGACTTAACTGTTCCCAATGACAGGAGACTCATCTCTTCACAATACAGTCCTTTCCATTTTTTATCTTGTCACTTGTTGTTTTCTCAATACAGACCAATTCCTGTCATTTTCGTACTTAACTTTTGGAGTGGCCCAGTCTTTCTCAACCAAGAAAGAGAAGTCATAACTGCTCTGATATTTCAGGTGGGTTGTCCTTTGTGTTCTGGCTTTCATGGCAGCTCCTCAGAGCATCTTCCTTGTCCTCCTTATATAAAATAGTTCCCCATATCCATGATTCTCCACTGCAGTGTTAAATTCATTGCTTTCACTGCATTAATTACAACTTGTAAGTATATATGGGGATGGTATTCAAATATTTAACAATCAGCCTGGCCAGTATGTACCAGCCAAATATTTTCCCTGATTAAATGTTTGCTTATTGGTTTATTTGTTGGTTGTGGAACTTTCCTAGTAGATTAAGAGCACCGTGAAGGTGGAAACTGTGTGTACCATTTTTACCGTCAGTGCCTGCACATAGACAGTGTTCAGTAAATATGGGTCGAACGAAAAAATGACAGAATGTGTTAATGAGGACAACAGCATTGTAGGCCTTTTAGGATTATTGTAAGGCTCACATGAGTTGGTTTAAGTAAAACTCTTCATGGACCATTAAGCACACAGACGGTGTCTACTGTTGTCACAGGTTCTCTCCAGAGGCTGTCCTTAAGGGCAGAGGTCCTCCGTTCTTTTCCAACTAGAACAGGTCTATCCTTGCCTCCTTCCAGGCACATAGGGATCCAGAAAAGTGGACAAAACACAGATGTTGGGCCGGGCGCGGTGGCTCACGCCTGTAATCCCAACACTTTGGGAGGCCAACGTGGGCAGATCACCTGAGGTCAGGAGTTCAAGACCAGCCTGGCTAACATGGTGAAATCCCACCTCTACTAAAAATAGAAAAATTAGCTGGGCATGGTGACACAGTGCCTGTAATCCCAGCTACTTGGAAGGCTGAGGCAAGAGAATAGCTTGAACCCGGGAGGCTGAGGTTGCAGTGAGTTGAGATCATGCCATTGCACTCTAGCCTGGGCAATAAAAGCAAAACGCTGTCTCAAAAACAACAACAACAACAACAAACAGACGATGTCTTTAGGAGTCTGTGGTCAGGCACACTGAGAGATGCCTGCGTCCCTTCAATTTTGTGGTTTCTCAGTGTTTACCCACAGACTCTCAGGAGAGCTGGAGCTGTCCTGTGCTGGGCTGAGAAAGGGAAAGGAGATCACGCTATGCTAGTATTTACAAAGTCCTAAAGTTCATACCCAGTAAAAATAATTCATATATGCCTTTTCTATCTCCCTCCACCATTCAATACACTTCTAAGTGGTTACTTTTCTCATATTAATAACAATAAAAATTCCAAGTTACTGGACACTTACTACATAGAAGGCCTTAGGTCAAGGGTCATCTTTTACCAACTTCTCTCAAAAACACTTTGGTGGGTACTACTTTATCCATCTTTCAAATGAGGAAACTCAGGCTTGGAAAATTTCAGCCATTTGACCATAATGACACAACTGGTCAAAGTTGGGGCGGAGACTTGAGCACCGGTACATCTGAATCAAAGCTTGCCCTTGGGTTTGAGGGGTGGTGGAGGTGGGGTGTCGCTGGGAAGAATGGTGAGAGAAGACACAAAAGCAGAGGAGAGAGGAACAGGAGGGTGCCCTCCAGTGACCCCAATTCATGAAAACCTCATAATGATGATCCTTGGTGAGGGTTTCAAAAGTTCATGTGCTGAAAAGGGGATTATTTTCCAGAAGAAAAGTTCTAACTTTAAGCCCAGTAGTAAGACCTGTGAATTATTTCTGTACAGCTGGTTTGCAAAATAGGAAAGACCAAAGCACCAGTTCAAATTGCCTTGATAACCTTATAAAAAGACCGATGACTATTAATGACATTAAGTTATTTGAGATCATTCTTTAAGGGTCTTTTTTTTAAATCGAAAATATCCATTTGGATAAGTTAAATGCATGATACTTGAGAGTGGTAGGTTTGATGGGCTATAGGTTTACCTACAAACTTTTGTAAAATCCCTGCACGTAGAACTTTTATGCCCATGTCATGGAGCTTGGAGAAAGATTTTTCACTTTGAGATTATAATGGAGGTTGAGTGTTGTTGAAGATTTATTTTAGCAATTCATTTGGGTAAAACCCGCGTTGCTGGTTCTCTGGTCAAACACCAACGAAAGCCCCATTAGATTCATACTATTACAATGGAGAAAGAGAATTCACTCTCAACTGTGGCTTCCAGGAATATCTCGTGGTGAAAAGTAAAGATTGCTACAGAGACCTCCAGGAGACTAGAAAACACTTGCCAGTTGTTCTCTTGGGGAAGTGATTATATCCTTGATAAAATCCTACTGTGTATGGCTGGTGTTTATAAGCTAAAGAGAATCTTCTCAACTGAGTTCAGTTTCCTAAACTCAGTAGTGCACCCTTAAAAAAAACAAAAAAAGCCTTCCTCAAGATGCAACTAGAACTCTTCTCTCAGTGGTAATGAATGAACTCAAATAAATAAAAAAAGGACTTAATTGTTCACAAATGAACGGCATCCTAAACAAGCCAAGAAGATATGTGGTACCCGGTCAAGGTGTGCTTCCTATGTAGGAAGCCTTGGTGGGGTGGCTAGAGGTGATGGCAGTTGAGATGTCTTGATACGGTGTGTAGGTGTAGGTGTGTCTCTGGGTGGTAGACAGAAGGCTGGGCTGGCAAATGGCTCAACCAAAAGTGCCAAGTTCATGGGTGTTGGAGATTGAACCTGTCAGAGAAGTATAGTTCTCACCCCTTCTCCTTCCCTCCTCTGGCCCTTCCCACTCTCCTCTTCTCCCTGTGTGGGGTATAAAAGATAGGCAGGTGATTCAACTGGGGTAGGTATCTCTGCATTGTAAAGTAGCTCAGAAAGACCATGAGAGCTACTCTATAATGTATATGACCACACACATGGTCTATGTATACGACCACACATATATGACTGATTTCTGTCGAAATTGGGTCACAGTTTTTAAATGGGATGTTTGGCCCTATAGAGGTTTAGTCAAGGTCACAGGTTTGTCTGAGGCCTAGAAAGAGGGCAGTGGGCAGAAGCAAGGGCAGGCATAGCCCAGACTTTGTCTGGACCCTCCCTCTATACACAGAACATAGTGCTGGTGTTCACACACTCATCTGCCCACCCCCACCCCACCCCACCCCAGCCTCCCCTCTCCAAAATTCAGGAGACTTGGCAAACAAGCACCCCAGGGCCTTGATCCATTGCTTGGACTCCACTAGATGGAAATTTGCATGAAGAGGCGTTAGAAGGTTTTGGTTCCCCTACAACCAGTGGGTGTGAGATGAGTCATTGCCCAGTCCCCTGAGAAAGTCAGTGATCTCACAAGGGATTGTTTCTAGGTATTTTCCTGACAGCCAGTCCCTTCCCAGACAGCCTTTGGTTGGTTTCCCTGCCACACCACTCAACAGTATGTACGGGTCTCCTCTCAGGCAGGCTCTGTACCAGGCACTGGGGGTAGGTCTTTGTTCTCAGGGGCCCTGTGAGGCAGACACATGAGTAAACCACACTTCTCAGTGTGACAAGTGTTTTTTTTTGTCTTTGTTTTTGTTTTTTTTTTCTCCTTGAGACAGGGTCTCACTCTGTCACCCAGGATGGAGTGCAGTGGCATGCTCAGGGCTCACTGTAGCCTCAGCTTCCTGGGTTCAAGCGATCCTCCCACCTCAGCCTTTCCAGTAGCTGCGACTACAGGCATGTGCCACCATGTCAAGCTAATTTTTGCATTTTTTGTACAGTCTCACCATGTTGCCCAGTCTGGTTTCAAACTCCTAGGATTAAGTGATCTGCCTACCTCAGACTCCCAAAGTGCTGGGATTACAGGCATTGGCCACTGTGCCCGACTGACAAGTGTCTTTATCAAATCCCCAGATACTATGAGAGTGTGGGTAGGGTGGGAATCCAACACAAGGATAAATTCTTCAGGCAGACAAAGGAGGAGATGGTTTCCAGACAGGAGGAAGAGAATGTGTAAGGGCGCAGAGGCTTCAGAAGTCTTGTATGTCTGGAGAACAGCAAGGGGTCAGCATGACGGGAACACAGGGACGGTATGGGAAGGGAGGGGTGAGGAGGGGAGACCAGCAGGGAGCAGGCCTGGCAGGCCTTGGAGACTACACACTGTCTGCAGAGCTCTGAGGAGCACAGTCAGGGAGTCATTGGAGCCCCACGGCCATGTCCAGGTTCAGGGAATCACAGTTTAGCCCCCAGCATGTTTTCTGGCACCTCTAGGGGCAGCAGAAGCAGCCCCAGCAGGGTGCAGCAGAGAGAGTCAAGGAAATCCTAGAGCAGAAGGGCCACTATCCCTGTGACAGACTGCTGGCTGACTATTCCAAAACCCAGTCTCCCCTTCTTTCTAACAGTACCTCAAGTTTCAGCTGAGCACTTGTTGCCTGGAATAAAGAGTTCTATGTCTAAACCTCCTTTCTAGCTGGGTGGGAGCATATGACTGAGTTTTAGCAAAAGAAGGGAAGTGTTAAGATCATGTGGGCCTTCTGGGAAGGCTGGGTGAAGGCAGCTCAATCACCTGTGTGGACTGCCTTTCTACAGCCCTTCTGTTTTTCCTCCTTTGACCAACCTGCAACTTGTATGTGATGGCTGGAGCTCCAGCCAACATGTGGAACCGTGAGGAGGCCTTGAGGGTAGAAGTCACATACCTATATGTCGGATCCTAATGACGGATCTCCAGTGAAGCACTCCCACACTAGAACTGACCTGAATTTCTCTGGACATGTTTTCACATGAAAGAGTAACAAGCAACTATCTTGTTTAATCTACTGTTATTTTGGCTTGTGTCTTACGTGTAACTGAACCTAAACTTAACTGACGTGAACTTAAATCCCCTCATTTTCTGGAGGAAAAATTTGAGATCAGGGAAGCAAGTTGACTGGGTAAAGATTACTCAGAGAGTTTACCCAAAAGCTCCGTCTCTCCTAGCAAAACTTTCTGATGATTTTTGCTCATTTCCAATTCAACAAGGATTTCTTGAGCCTATGCATGCAGGATCATGTAGCACAGTAGCGTAGAGCCTGAACCCCAAGGCCAGACTTCGTTTTTGTTTTGTTTTGTTTGAGACACAGTCCACTATGTTGTCCAGGCTGGTCTCAAACTCCTGGCCTCAAGCGACCTTCCACCTCAGGATCCCAAAGTGCTGGGATTACAGGTGTGAGTCACTGTGCCCAGCCAAGGCCAGATGTCTTGAATGCCAGTCTCAGGAATGCTACTCACTAACTGGGAGACCATGAACAATTCCTTAACCTGCCTCTGCCTCAGTACCGCCATCTGTAAAATAGGGATAAGAATAGCACCTACTTTTCAGGGTTCTTATGAGACTAAATAAGTTATAGGTAAGTAGATGTATGAGTAAAGCACATAGGTTAGCTGCTATGGGCACAGACTCTGGTTCAAAGCTCGACTCTGTCACCAGCTAGCTATGTGATCAGGGGCAAGTTATTTAACCTCTTTGTGCTTCTATTTCCTCGCAAGTAAAACGGAGACAATAGCAGTACTTACAAAGCTGTTTTGTGGATTAAAGCACTGCGAACAGTGCCTGGCATGCAGAGAGTGCCAGGAAGCCATGTCCATCATTGTTAATTACCATGTGCTGATGAGCCCTGTACTGAGTGAAGAAGGGGCTCAAGGTCAGGTTGTGAGGTGAATGGGAGAGGGACTGGAGGGACAAACAGGAGATACGAGTTAACATCACTGAGCAAAATCACTGCAGTAATTGCTGTCCAGGTGCTACCTCATTTGTTTCCCCAGTACTCCTAGCAGAGGATATTATTCTCCCCATTTTTCAGTGAGGGAACTGAGCACCCGAAAGGTTGGGTGATGTGAACAAGGCCTCCCTGCTGGGAAGGGTCAGGGCAAGGGTTTGAATCCAGTTCCGTGCCACCCCTCAAAGGCCTCCACCTCTGAGGAAGAAACCTCTGATGCATCCTTCACCTAGCTCACCTCTGAGAATTTGTAGCTCAGAAAGGAACCGGTAATGTGGGCATTTTCTCTCCACTTGCCCTTGCATTTGTCAATACTCACTGTATTTTTATTTTTATTTATTTATTTTTTTTGAGACAGAGTCTCACTGTTACCTAGGTTGGAGTGCAGTGGCATGATCTTGGCTTACTGCAACCTCCGCCTCTTGGGTTCAAGTGATTCTCCTGCCTCAGTCTCCCGAGTACCTGGGATTACAGGCGCCCACAACCATGCCCGGCTAATTTCTGTATTTTTAGTAGAGGCGGGGTTTCACCGGTGGCCAGGCTAGTCTCGAACTCCTGACCTCAAGTGATCCGCCGGCCTCAGCCTCCCAAAGTGCTGGGATTGCAGGTGTGAGCCACCACGCCTGGCCTGTCAATACCATTGTGTTTCTGAGCCTATCCATCCATTCAAGGAGCGCTCACATACAGGTCACTGTGGGTTACCGCTAGGCTGAGATTGTTTTGCTTTTTTAATAGCTTGCCCTGTGGAGCGTGATGATGACTTCCTCTTCTGTCCCCTAAAAGAACCTGAAACTGTAAGTGTGAAAGTGTGGCGCAGGGGAGAACTGCCTAGGCAAGGGCAGCTGGCACGACCCTTCTCACCTCTTCCCTAACATTCCTAGCATTCATGTTACAAGCAAGGGCCACCGCGCCCCCTGCTTGAGCATGTTAGCCGGGCGGTAGGGACGGAGACAGTTCTCTCATGACGTTCGAGTAACCAGGAAACTTCATCACAGGGACAACACCACAGCACCCGAGGACTCAATGTCTAGGGGGAAAAGCTCTGGAGAAAGCGGAGGGTCGGATCATAAAATAATCATAAACTCAGCGTCCCAGACGGCATCTGGGATGGGAAGTACAATGATCATTTAAAAAAAAAAAAGTCTTTGACACTCTTCCTACACCTTTCTGAAATGGCACAATCTGTCAGACCACATCTGATGCAAGGAAAAGCAAGACAGGAGCGCTTTTCCCGGATAACAAAGCCAAGACTCCCATTCCTAAACCCTAGCTCAGGTCTCCATCTCTTAAATCCGAGTGACCTCTACAAACTCTCCCTGAGAAGGTGTCCAGAACCCTTTTGGAAGCGAGGGACAGTGTCACTGTCTTTGGGGTTGACACCTGCTCTGAGTAACTCACGGAAAACAAGTTCCAGCTGGGAAGCCCTTGGACGCGCCACACCTCCCTACCCGCAGCCCGTCCTGTGGCGCCCGGGACTCCAGAGTGCGTTTAGATGAAAGGGGACCGACACGTCAGGGCCACCGCGGGAAGCGCTGAGGGCCACTCACCGGCCAGGGACGCGAAGAGCGCGGCCGCCGCGCTGAGCTGCCGGGGCATGGTGGGCGCTGGGCGAGGTTCTGCAGCGTGCGGCGAAGTCCGGGCAGGCCCCGAATCGGTGCCAGAGAAACCTACCTGTGCCGGAGAAACGAAACCACCTGCTTATGAGAAGCAGCCGAAAAGCCCGCCCAGGGCCGCTGGGCGGGGAGGGAAACTCCGCCGGCCCCCTCCTACCCCTACGGAGCAGGGAGGGGCGGGGACTCGGCGCAGCCGCCGGGGCCCGGGCCTCTGGGACCGTTTACCGCACGCGCGTGGTCCCGGCAGCGCCGGCCTCCTCCGCTCATACCCTGGGTCTCCTCCTTTCTTTTTCTTTTCTTTTTGAGACGAAGTCTCGCTCTGTCGCCCAGGGTGGAGTGCAGTGGCGCGATCTCGGCTCACTACAACCTCTGCCTCCCGGGTTCAAGCGATTCTTCTGCCTCAGCCTCCCGAGTAGCTGGGATTACAGGCATGCACCACCACACCCGGCTAATTTTTGTATTTTTAGTAGAGACGGGGTGTCACCATATTGGCCAGGCTGGTCTCGAGCTCCTGACCTCGTGATTCGCCCGCCTCGACCTCCCAAAGTGCTGGGATTATAGACGTGAGCCACCGAGCCCGGCCAGGGTCTCCTCTTTTATTTCTTTTCTTTTTATTTCTTTTGTTTTGTTTTGTTTTGTTTTGTTTTTTGAGACAAAGTCTCGCTCTGTCGCCAGGCTGGAGTGCAGTGGCGGGATCTCGGCTCACTGCCCTGGTTCAAGCGATTCTCCTGCCGCAGCCTCCCGAGTAGCTGGGGTTACAGGCGCCCGCCACCACGCCCAGCTAATTTTTGTATTTTAGTAGAGACGGGGTTTCACCCTGTTGGCCAGGCTGGTCTCGATCTCCTGACCTTGTGATCCGCCCGCCTCGGCCTCCCAAAGTGTTGGGATTACAGGCGTGAGCCACTGCGCCCGGCCCAGGGTCTCCTCTTTTCTAACAGCTCGGGTACCTTTCTGGGAACCCAGAGACGCTTCTCAGCCGGGAGAAAGCCAGCCACTAGGCGAGCAGGAGCCTAAAAACCCCTAAGCACCCTGACTCCATGTCTTCCCAGGGAGTCTGCGGCAGCCGCGCTCCACGCCCAGGCCTCGCCAGGACCGCGGTTTGCGGGAAGCAACAGGAGCACAGCCCAGAGGCGCTAGGTCTGGCTGGGAGCTCGCGCTGCCGACTCCCCGGCGTGCGGCGTCGGGGAACCTCTAGGAGCCTTGGATTCTTCAGCTGTAAAACGGACATAATAATGCCCACTCCCAGTGTGTTTTTTTATTTTCTTTTTTCTTTTTCTTTCTTTGTTTTTGTTTGTTTGTTTTTGTTTTTGTTTTTGAGACAGGGTCTCACTCTGTCGCCCAGGCTGGAGGGCAATGGCGTGATCTCGGCTCACTGCAAACTTGGGTTCAGGCGATTCTCCTGCCTCAGCCTCCACAGTAGCTGGGATTACAGATGTGCGCCACCACGTCCGGCTAATTTTTTGTATTTTTAGTAGAGACCAGGTTTCACCGTGTTGGCCAAGCTGGTCTCAAACTCCTGACCCCAGGTGATCCGCCCGCCTCGGCCTTCCAAAGATCTGGGATTACAAGCGTGAGCCACTGTGCCTGGCCCCAGGTGGTTTTACAGACCAGAAAATCCTGGAACAAAAAACACACAATATCGTTTTTTTTTTTTTTTTGGAGTCAGGGTCTCGCTCTATCACCCAGGCTGGAGTGCAGTGGCGTGATCTCGGCTCACTGCAACTTCGACCTCCTGGCCTCAAGTGAGTCTCCCACCTTAGCCTCCTGAGTAGCTGGGACCAAAGGCGCGTGCCACCACGCCCAGCTATTTTATTTTATTTTATGTAGAGAGGAGGTCTCGCTGTGTTGCCCAGGCTGGTCTCGAGTTCCTGGCCTCAAATGATCCTCCTGCGTTAGCCAACCATTGGGATTACAGGCGTAAGCCACGGCCCACGGCTCAACAACGCTG
This sequence comes from Homo sapiens, assembly GCF_000001405.40. NCBI lineage: Eukaryota > Metazoa > Chordata > Mammalia > Primates > Hominidae > Homo > Homo sapiens. The sequence continues at coordinate 183,164,621 of NC_000003.12, forward strand.
ACAGGCAACCTTTTAATGTCTTATCTCCTTCCTCTATTAATTGGATTGTCTGTCAAAACAACGATGTTTTGACAGGGCTTGAGTCCCAGTGGGGAATACACATTTAAGCAGTATATTAGGAGACCCTCCTTATCACTAGATTGAGGGCTTTCAGCCTAGCCTCAAATTATTTTCTGAAAAATAACTTTGGCTACAACTATTTTGTCTTACTATGTTGCTCCAAACACTAATCAAGTAAACTTAACCAAAGCTTGCAGTGTGTTTCAGAATGGAATTTTTATGGTGAAAAGTGAGGGTTAACTTGTGCCAGTCAACCTAGTTTCAGCAACTACCTGCTTTCTGATCTTTGAGACAGTTTATTCAAAAGACGATAATTAAGTGGGTATAGACTGTGTGCCAGGCACTCTTCTTATTCCATTTAAGCGCCATAGCCACTCTATATGGACACTGTTGTTATTATCGCTGCCCCATTTCGCAGATGGAGAAACTAAGCACAAAGAAGGGAGTTGCCCAGAGTCACTTAGATAATAAATACCGAAACCTGACCATAAATCTTGTCTGCCTTGAGAGTCTAGGATTTTAAGCACATAGCCGGGCGCAGTGGCTCACGCCTGTAATCCCAGCACTTTAGGAGGCCGAGGCGGGCGGATCACGAGGTCAGGAGATGGAGACCATCCTGGCTAACACAGTGAAACCCAGTTCTATTAAAAATATAAAAAAATTAGCCAGGCGTGGTGGCAGGTGCATGTAGTCCCAGCTACTCGGGAGGCTGAGGCAGGAGAATGGTGTGAACCCAGGAGGTGGAGCTTGCAGTGAGCGGAGATCGCGCCACTGCACTCCAGCCCGGGCGACAGAAGGAGACTCCGTCTCAAAAAAAAAAAAATAAATAAAATAAAGCTGCTCCTCTTACCCTGGAAATTCCAAGGGATTTAGGAGCTCTGTTTCAGGAACCAGGGTCAAAGACCAAGTATTAAAACAAAAGATTCTCCTAGAACTCTGGCATATAAGGATTTTAGGAGCTCTGTCTTAGAAACTGGGACAGAGACCAAAGATATATTATTATATCGCAGTATCATAGTTTATTATTTTCAAAAAACGTTTTCTGGCTGGTACAGTGGTTCATGCCTATAATCCAAGCACTTTGGGAGGCCAAGGTGGGAGGGTCACTTGAGGCCAGAAGTTCAAGTCCAGCCTGGGCAACACAGGGAGACCCTGCCACTATTAAAAATTTTTTAAATTAGCTGGGCATGGTGGCACATGCCTGTAGTCCCAGCTACTTGGGAGGCTGAAGCAGGAGGATTGCTTGAGCCTGAGAGGTCAAGACTGTAGTGAGCTGCGATCAAGCGACTGCACTCTAGCCTGGGTGACAAAGCCAGACCCTGTGTCTAAAAAAAAGAAAAGAAGAGGAAAAAAAAAGGTTTTTATTTCAACTAAGTTGTTGGATTTATTAGCATAAAGCTTTTCATAACAATCCCTTGTCTTACAATATCTGTAGTATAGGTAGTGATGTCACTTCTTTTATTACTAATATTAATAATTTGTATTTTCTCTCTTATTTCCCTGCTAATATTAATAATTTGTATTTTCTCTCTTTTTTCCCTGATAAGTTTGGCTGGAGGTTGATCAATTCTATTCATGTTTTCAAGAAAAAAAAAAAAATTTCATTTCATCGAGTTCCTTCATTGTTCTTATGTTTTCTGTTTTATTCATTTCTACCTGATCTTTATTATTTTCTTTCTTCTACTTAACTTGTGTTTTATTTGCTCCTCTTTCAATAGTTTTCAAAGATGGAACTTGCCTGGGATATCCCAGCACTTTAGGAGGCTGAGGTGGGAGGATCACCTGAGGTCAGGAGTTCAAGACCAGCCTGGCCAACATGGTGAAACTCCGTCTCTACTAAAAATACAAAAATTAGCTGGGTGTGGTGGTGGGCACCTGTGATCCCAGCTACTCGGGAGGCTGAGGCAGGAGAATCGCTTGAACCCGGGAGGTGGAGGTTACAGTGAGCTGAGATCACGCCACTGCACTCCAGCCTGGGTGACAGGAGCTAGACTCTGTCTCAAAAAAAAAAAAAGAAAAAAAAAAAGATGGAAGTTGAGGCCAGTGGTATAAAATCTTTCTTCATCTCTAATAAACAGGTTTACTGTTATGAACGTCCCTCTAATTACTACTTTAGTTGGATCCCACAAGTTTAATATGTTTTCATTTTCATATAATTAGAAAGACTTCCTAATTTCCTTTTGCTATCTCCTCGACTCATGGTTATTTAAAATAGCATTATTTCATTTCCAAACATATAGTTTTTCAGATATCTTTCTTTTATTGATTTTTAATTCCACTGTGGTTGAAAACATAATTATGGACTTAAATCTTACAAATTTATTGATATTTGTTTTTTGACCAAGACTATGGTTGGTTACATTAGTTTTCAGGACTGACATAACAAAGTGCCACAGACTGGGTAATTAAACCACAGACATTTGCTTTCTTATAATTCTGGAAACCAGACATGTGAGATCAAAGTGTCAGCCGGGTTGGTTTTTTCTTTTTCCTTTTTTTTTTTTTTTTTTGAGACAGAGTCTCTTTCTGTCACCCAGGCTGGGATGCAGTGGTGTGATCTCGGCTTACTGCAAATTCTGCCTCCCAGGCTCAAGCGATTCTCCTGCCTCAGCCTCCCGAGTAGCTGGGATTACAGGTGCCTCTCACTGCACCTGGCTAATTTTTGTATTTTTAGTAGAGACGGGGTTTCACCATGTTGGCCAGGTTGATCTCAAACTCCTGATCTCAGGTAATACACCCGCCTCGGCCTCCCAAAGTACTGAGATTACAGGCGTGAGCCACTGCACCCGGCCCGGGTTAGTTCTTTCTAAGGCCTCTCTCCTTGGCTAGTAGACACCTTTGTTTCACATGGTCATCCCTCTGTGCATGCCTTTGTCTGTCCTAATCTCCTCTTCTTATAAGGACATTAGTCAGGTAGGATTAGTGCCTACTCTTTGAACTCGTTTTACCTCTTAAAGACCCTATCTCCGAATATAGTCACATTCTGAGATACTTGGGGTTAAGACTTGTATTAGTCCATTTTCACGCTGCTCATAAAGACATACCTGAGACTGGGAAGAAAAAGAGGTTTAATTGGACAATTCCACATGGCTGGGGAGGCCTCAGAATCATGGTGGGAGGCGAAAGGGACTTTTTACATGGTGGCGGCAAGAGAAAATGAGGAAGAAGCAAAAGCAGAAACCCCTGATAGATAAGCCCACCAGATATCATGAGATTTATTCACTGTCATGAGAACAGCACGGGAAAGACCAGCCCCCATGAATACATTACCTCTTCCTTGGTCCCCCCCTCCCCACAATATGTGGGGATTCTGGGAGATACAATTAAAATTGAGATTTGAGTGGGGACACAGCCAAACCATATCATTCTGTCCCTGGTCCTTCCAAATCTCATGTCCTCACATTTCAAAACCAATCATGCCTTTCCAATAGTCCCTCAAAGTCTTAACTCATTTCAGCATTAACCTAAAAGTCCACAGTCCAAAGTCTCATCTGAGACAAGGCCTTCCGCCTATGAGCCTGTACAATCAAAAGCAAGCTAGTTAGTTCCTAGATACAATGGGGGTACAGGTATTGGGTAAATAAAGCCATTCCAAATGGGAGAAATTGGCCAAAACAAAGGGGTTACAGGGCCCATGCAAGTCTGAAATCCAGTGAGGGAGTCAAATTTTAAAGCTCCAAAATGATCTCCTTTGACTCCAGGTCTTACATCCAGGTCACGCTAATGCAAAAGGTAGGTTTCCATGGTCTTGGGCAGCTCCACCCCTGTGGCTTTGCAGGGTACAGCCTCCCTCCAGGCTGCTTTCATGGGCTGGTGTTGAGTGTCTGCAGCTTTTCCAGGCACCCAGTGCAAGCTGTCAGTGGATCTACCATTCTGGGGTTTGGAGGACAAAGGCCCTCTTCTCACAGCTGCACTAGGCAGTGCCCCGATAGGGACTCTGTGTGGGGGCTCTGATCCCACATTTCCCTTCTGCACTGCCCTAAGAGGTTCTCCTTGAGGGCCCCACAGCTTCCACCCTCTGAACCATAGCCCAAGCTATGCATTGGCCCCTTTCAGCCATGGCTGGAGCAGCTGGGACAGAGGGCACCAAGTCACTAGGCTGCACACAACATGGGGACCCTGGGCCTGCCCCACAAAACCCCTTTTTCCTCCTGGGCCTCCAAGCCTGTGATGGGAGAGGCTGCTGTGAAGGTCTCTGACATGGCCTTGGAGACATTTCCCCATGGTCTTGGGGATTCACATTAGGCTTCTTGCTACTTATGCAAATTTCTGCAACCAGCTTGAATTTCTCCCCAGAAAATGGGTTTTTCTTTTCTGTCACATAGTCCGGCTGCAAATTTTCCAAACTTTTATGCTCTGCTTCCCTTATAAAACTGAACGCCTTTAATAGCACCCAAATCACCTCTTGAATGTTTTGCTGCTTAGAAATTTTTTCCACCAGATACCCTAAATAATCTCTCAAGTTCAAAGTTCCACAAGTCTCTAGGGCAGGGGCAAAATGTGGCCAGTCTCTTTGCTAAAACATAACAAGAGGCACCTTTGCTCCAGTTCCCAAAAAGTTCCTCATCTCCATCTGAGACCACCTCAGCCTGGATCTTATTGTCCATATCACTATCAGCATTTTGGGCAAAACCATTCAACAAGTCTCTAGGAAGTTCCAAACTTTCCCACATTTTCCTGTCTTCTTCTGAGCCCTTCAAACTGTTCCAATCTCTGCCTGTTACCCAGTTCCAAAGTTGTTCCACATTTTCAGGTATCTTCAGCAACGTTTCACTCTACTGGTAGCAATTTACTGTATTAGTCCATTTTCACACTGCTGATAAAGACATATCTGAGACTGGGAAGAAAAATAGGTTTAATTGGACTTACAGTTCCACATGGCTGGGGAGGCCTCAGAATCATGGTGAGAGGTGAAAGGCACTTCTTACGTGGTAGTGACAAGAGAAAATGAGGAAGAAGCAAAAGCGGAAACCCCTGATAAATCCATCAGATCTCATGAGACTTATTCACTATCACGAGAATAGCATGGGAAAGACCGGCCCCCATGATTCAATTACCTCCCCCTGGGTCCCTCCCACAACACATGGGAATTCTGGGAGATACAATTCAAGTTGAGATTTGGGTGGGGACACAGCCAAACCATATCAAGACTTCTACATATGAATTTTGGAGGGACACAATTTAACTCATAATAGTGGACTGTCCTGTTAAATGTTCTGTGTGCACTTGAGAAGAATGTGTGTATTCTCTCATTGTTGGATTCAGTGACCTATAAATGTTAATTAGGTTAAACTAATTGATGTAGGGAAAAGAAAGAGAGATCAGACTGTCACTGTGTCTATGTAGAAAGGGAAGACATAAGAGACTCCATTTTGAAAAAGACCTGTACTTCAAACAATTGCTTTGCTGAGATGTTAATTTGTAGCTTTGCCCCAGCCACTTTGCCCCAGCCACTTTGACCCAACTTGGAGCTCACAAAAACATGTGTTGTATAAAATCAAGGTTTAAGGGATCTAGGGCTGTGCAGGACGTGCCTTGTTAACAAAATGTTTACAAGCAGTATACTTGGTCAAAGTCATCGCCATTCTCTAGTCTCAATAAACCAGGGGCACAATGCACTGCGGAAAGCTGCAGGGAGCCCTGCCCTTGGAAGCGGGGTATTGTCCAAGGTTTCTCCCCATGTGACAGTCTGAAATATGGCCTCGTAGGATGAGAAAGACCTGACTGTCCCCCAGCCCAACACCCATAAAGGGTCTGTGCTGAGGTGGATTGGTAAAAGAGGAAAGCCTCTTACAGTTGAGATAGAGGAAGGCCACTGTCTCCTGCCTGCCCCTGGGAACTGAATGTCTTGGTGTAAAACCCGATTGTACATTTGTTCAACTCTGAAATAGGAGAAAAGCTGCCCTGTGGTGGGAGGTGAGACATGTTTGCAGTAATGCTGCCTTGTTATTCTTTACTCCACTGAGATGTTTGGGTGGAGAGAAACATAAATCTGGCCTATGTGCACATCCAGGCATAGTACCTTCCCTTGAACTTAATTATGATACAGATTCTTTTGCTCACATGTTTTTTGTTGACCTTCTCCTTATTATCACCCTGCTGTCCTACTACATTCCTTTTTGCTGAAATAATGAAAATAATAATCAATAAAAACTGAGGGAACTCAGAGGCTGGTGCCGGTACAGGTCCTTGGTGTGCTGAGTGCCGGTCCCCTGGACTCACTGTTGTTTCTTTATACTTTGTCTCTGTGTCTTATTTCTTTTCTCCGGCTCTCATCCCACCCGACTAGAAATACCCACAGGTGTGGAGGGGCAGGCCACCCCTTCAATTGATAGTATGGTTCAAGAACAAATGGTATCAACTTAGGATGGTTTAACTTATGATTTTTCAACTTTAGAATGGTGTGAAGTCTGTATGCATTCAGTAGAAGGCATACTTTGAATTTTTATCTTTTCCCAAGCTACTGCTATGGGACAAGATACTCTCTCACAATTCTGGGCAGTGGCAGCAAGCCTCAGCTTCCAGTCAGCACCCAATCCCAAGGGTAAACAACTGATACAGCCATTCTGTTTTTCATTTTTAGCAAAATACTCAATAAATTACATGAGGCACTCAATGCTTTATTATAAGACAAGCTTTGTATTAGATGATTTGCCCAACTGTAGGCTAATGTAGGTGTTCTGAGCACATTTAAGGTAGACTATACTATGCCATGATGTTTGGAAGGTTAGGTAAATTTAATGCATTTTCGACTTAGAATACTTTCAGCCTCCCAAATAGCTGGGACCACAGGTGTGTGGCACCATGTGTGGCTAATTTTTTGTGGAGACAAGGTCTCACTGTGTCGCCCAAGTTGGTCTCAAAATCCTGACTTCACGTGATCCTTCCACTCTGGTCTCCCAAAGTGCGATTACAGGTGTGAGTCACCACACCTGGCCGTGTTGTCACACATTTTAATTCTTTATAAATTAGAAACTTCACAACACATTGTTCTTATTTAAAATTTAAACAATTATCTTTAAATATACATAATATATAAATATGTATATAATATATAAATATATACAATATATAAATATATAAGATATATTATATATATAATATATAAATATATAATATATAAATATATAATATGTAAATATATAATATATAAATATATGTAAATATGTAATATGTAAATATGTAATATGTAAATATATAATATGTAAATATATAATATATAAATATACATAATATATAAATATATAATATATAAATATATAATATATAAATATATAATATATAAATATATAATATATAAATATATATTATATATAAATATATAATATACATAAATATATATAATATATAAATATATATAATATACATAAATATATAATATATAAATATATATAATATATATAAATATATATGGGGAAAAAAGCTTTTATACTTACTCATGTGATTACCGTTTCTTGCAGTCTTTATTCCTTTGTTTAGATCCTTGGGATTTTTGTTGCTATGGTGACCTTAGTTATACCAGGCACTTCAAATCTTACCTTGTGTTTAGGAAATGGGCTTGTTTGCCCAAAGGTCTTCCCTAATGTCTGCTCCACCTTCAACTTTAGGTCTTCTCTGCTGTCAGTTTCTCTCTCCATACACTTGTAGCTCTCCCAGGAGTATTCCATCGTTACTTGTTAGTCAGTGCTTATTAGCGGGGTGGTGGGATCTGAGAGGTGAGGTGCTTGGTTGTGATTCTCAGTTCTGATTCCTGCAGGTACTGTGTCCCTGGGCCTTGAAGGGTATGACCAAGCCTCTCTGTCCCTCCCCGCAGCAGTAGTTTTGGGCTCAGCACATATTCCTGCCCCTTCCCCAGAATCAGAGGGTTTTTTGTTGTTGTTGTTTTGTTTTTCAAGTTTTTGTTCCTTTTTCTCCATCTGTGTTGGATTTACCAGCCCCCTAGGAGCGTCAGTATTTGTTACCCTTCCTCCAGGCTTTTAAGGCCTTTGTAGGAGAGATGGGCCAATAGCATCTGAGCATGGTTTTGTGTCTTTCTTGTAGCAACTGATATTCCTCACCCCCAGGTCTATGCCAGGAAGGATGCTTCCTTACATGCCTGTAATCCCAGCTACCGGGGAGGCTGAAGCAGAAGAATCACTTGAACCCAGGAGGCAGAGGTTGCAGTGAGCCAAGATCATGCCACTGCACTCCAGCCTGGCAACAGAGCGAGACTTCATTCAAAAAAAAAAAAAGCTCTTACACTCTTCTGCATATTCTGCAAAGTATACTCTGGGAAGGCTGGTTTAGAGGATCTCTAACTTTTCTAATATTTCATAATGCATGGCTGATGTTTAACATGAACTCAGACTCCCATCAGATTTTACAGATCTGGGTCTGCTTTTAGTTCTAATGCTTCAGCCAGGGCACTTTAATCTGAGGTCACAGCATTCCCAATTGTCAGCAGTATTTTGAAATCTAAGTTCCTCTGGTGGACAACAGGCAACATCATATAGCCACGGAGGATCTGAACAACTTCTAAGTCTGAGGGATTTTATCTGGTGGTTTTGGATTCTTTTCCATTTATACTTAAACAAGGTGACACAAATGTCACTCACAGAAAAGCCACTCTTTTTTCCCCTGTTTTTAAGAAGTCTAAAAATGCACAACTATTTCCTGAATGAGCAGTGTGTCCAGGTGTAGAATAGGGAATGTCGTGTCCACTGGGAACAGACGGTGTACCTGGCACAATTTTATGAGAATTATCCCATGATTCCTGTCCCACCCTGCAGCCCACCATGGGCTCAGTGGGGAGTCTGAGTCTCTGAGCCCCAAAGGGTAGCTTTTTCCCAGACGACACCAGCAAGCAGAGCAGCAGCTTGGGGCTTTGACAAGGAGGCTGGAGTGAAAGGTCATATTGGACCATCCTGGATCACTGGAGGACAATACCCCAGGAACCTCCAGCAATGACTGGTATTGGAATGACTCCCCTGGTCACCCACCTGTGGCAAGACATTTGCAAACAGGGTCTTCCTATGAGGCTTGTGAGGTTTGGCCAATTTGCATTCTGCTAGAATTATTAAGTATGGACATCCTCATAGATCCAGAAAAGGGCCGAGATCCAAAGGATTGAGAATGCTTTGGGGGGTGTTTCCATAGTGAGTGGCTGGCTATTCAACAGTCAAATGTTTGAGAGGATACAAGTGATGTGTTTCCTGAGGCAAGTGGTCAGAACCCAACAGACTCTTCTGTTCAGCTAAGATGAGAGACCATCTGAAGTTCTTACATGTTCTCACAGAGAAATGGATTCTCATAGGGAAATGGATATATTGTGATAGACACTGTAAGCAGAGAAGTTGACTGAGAAACACACACACACACACACACACACACACACACGTCAAGACTGAATGCATAGATGTGTATTATAAAAAGTGTAAAAATACACCACCATTGTAACAGATTGTGTAGGACTATATTTTCTTTTTTTTTAATTTATTATTATTATACTTTAAGTTTTAGGGTACATGTGCACAATGTGCAGGTTAGTTACATATGTATACATGTGCCATGCTGGTGTGCTGCACCCATTAACTCGTCATTTAGCATTAGGTATATCTCCTAATGCTATCCCTCCCCCCTTCCCCCACCCCACAACAGTCCCCAGAATGGGATGTTCCCCTTCCTGTGTCCATGTGTTCTCATTGTTCAATTCCCACCTATGAGTGAGAATATGTGGTGTTTTGTTTTTTGTCCTTGCAATAGTTTACTGAGAATGATGATTTCCAATTTCATCCATGTCCCTACAAAGGACATGAACTCACCATTTTTTATGGCTGCATAGTATTCCATGGTGTATATGTGCCACATTTTCTTAATCCAGTCTATCATTGTTGGACATTTGGGTTGGTTCCAAGTCTTTGCTATTGTGAATAGTGCCACAATAAACATACGTGTGCATGTGTCTTTATAGCAGCATGATTTATAGTCCTTTGGGTATATACCCAGTAATGGGATGGCTGGGTCAAATGGTATTTCTAGTTCTAGATCCCTGAGGAATCGCCACACTGACTTCCACAATGGTTGAACTAGTTTACAGTCCCACCAACAGTGTAAAAGTGTTCCTATTTCTCCACATCCTCTCCAGCACCTGTTGTTTCCTGACTTTTTAATGATTGCCATTCTAACTGGTGTGAGATGGTATCTCACTGTGGTTTTGATTTGCATTTCTCTGATGGCCAGTGATGATGAGCATTTTTTCATGTGTTTTTTGGCTGCATCAGTGCTCTACACGTTCAGAGAAACTTCTCTAGTGACGAACTATAGAAATGATCCCTGAAAGTATAGTCTTAGGACTATATTTTCTTTTGACTTGGGAGGCATGTTTATTGCTGTTAATGCTGCAAAGGGCTCTACGTGCTTTAAAAAATCCCAATCTGTTGCATTCATAAGCCTGGGTTGGATCTAAAGCAGCCTCCCACTTTTGGAAAGGCATCCCCACGACCTTTCCATGGTTGCTGAATGCAGCTGGAGGCAGTCACAGCTGGTGATGTCCGGAGCCCATTCCCCACTGTGCTGGTCTGCAGAACTTCTGCATGCCATTCCCACAAGCAGGTCTCTGCCCTGCTCTCCTCCACCTCCCTTGTCAGAGGAAGTCTGCACTTCACAGCTTTCTGGTCTCAACCCTCCTCCATCCCTACAGATGTGTAAGCAGCAGGAATCAAAAGGTGAAGGAGAGGGGGCAACTCACCTCCGATGGACACGTGAAAAGTGGGAGATGGATAAAATCAAGAAGGAGCTTAAGATATCCAGAAATGTAAACTGTGTTTGGAAAAGTAAGGTCAGGAGAAGCATGGGACTCCTGAGGTTGCTCCCTACTATCTTGCAGACTTGCTGCAGGACCAAATGAAGCAGGATCTGTCAAGCACCAGGGCCAGCTCTTAAGCTTAGTGCCTTTCTGAACCCTGTGACCCAGCAGCCTCCATCAACTCGTCCTACCTGCCATGCACAGCTCCTCTGTGCCCCTGTACCTGAGCTCATGCTATTCCCTCTGCCAGGATGCCCTTCTCCTTCTCCACCAGGAGAAGAACACTTGCCAGTAAGACCCAGTTCTAATGTCACCCCTTCCTGACGGTATCAGGAAGAGTCAGTGATGGTGTTTTATGCTCCCAGAGAATTTGCCACATTGTGTTGTGATTATTTTTCCACATCTGTCTCCCCCACTGGAATGAGAGCCTCACTCATCTTCATACCTCCCTGGTCTCTACCTGGTGCCAGAACCATCCTCAGGGCAGGGGAATGCTCAGGAAATAGATATTGAATAAAATAAGTGTATCCATCCATCCATCCATCCATCCTTCCATCCATCCAGACATATATACATATGTAAACATTCTGATGGTCAAATGGAACAATGTGGGCTGAAGAATAATGCAGGTAGAAGAACCTAAGATTACAGATTCTTGATTTGGGAGGAACTTTATTTTATTGTGCAAACAGTCTACAAATTTGAAACATACTCTATCAAGAAAGACACTGTTGTTAGGAAAGGGCGTGGGAGAGGGTGGCCCCACAAAACAGTGTAAAGTTCTAAAGAATTTGAGAGGAACACTCTGCGGGACCCTGTTCCAAGGGCATCTTTCTAAGAGTCTGTCCCTTAGGCTCTGCCCCTTTTTGGCCACGTTGTCAAAGGCCTTCTTTATGAACGAAGTGAGACACATTATTTTTGTTTTCTTGAATTCTAAAGTGATTGTCTTGAGTTCCCTGGGGGAGACTCCTGGGAGGTGTGGCCCACTCTATTCCAGAAACAAACCAGGAGACTGAAGACTCATCCCAATCCCATATCCCATGAAAATGTGAAATCAAATCACCCCTGACAATTCCAAAACTAACGGAATCCTAACATAACTCTATGTAACTCTAAAGCTGAGTGTGCTGGTAATTAAGCTTCCAGCCCACCCTTCCCAGCTCTGGGGTGCAGGGTCACCATGGGCTCCTTCCTGTGTGCACCCCACCCCACCCCCACTGTCAGCATCCTGTCTCCACCCTGAGAGTGACAGCTGGTTCCAGTAGCGGGAGTTGGTTCCAGCTTGCCATTTTCCTAGCACTCCTATAACCAGCCTGCTGATGCCCATTCAGAGACAGCAGCACGGGCTGGCCATGTCCCCTCTCCAGAATTCTGCGTCCAGCTCCTGGACCTTGAGCTCTGAGCCCTTGGGCCACGTGTACAATTAATAGTGCCTCCTCCTCAGAGGACTAACCCCCAGCCCTAGGGCCACCTTCATATTTCTGAGTTTTGATATTTTCAACCTCTTTTCTTTGTTGTATGAGTCCTTGGGCTGGGAGCTTGCAGTCAAAATCTTCATGATATCTCATTATCACTACTTTTTTTTAAATCTCTACTAGCTGGATAACAATTATTTATATTAAATTCTCTCTTGAAATAACTGATACAGTGTCTCTTGATTGAAACTTGACTAGTAGACTAAGAATTCTAACTCTAAATAATTCTGAGGGCCGGGTGTGGTGGCTCACACCTGTAATCCCAGCACTTTGGGAGGCCAACGCGAATGGATCACCTGAGGTCAGGAGTTGGAGACCAGCCTGGCAAACATGGCGAAACCCGGTCAGGAGATCCAGACCATCCTGGCTAACATGGTGAAACCTCATCTTTACTTAAAAAAAAAAAAAAATACAAAACAAAATTAGCCAGGCGTGGTGGCAGATGCCTGTAGTCCCAGCTATTCAGGAGGCTGAGACAGGAGAATAGCGTGAACCCGGGAGGTGGAGCTTGCAGTGAGCCGAGATTGCACCACTGCACTCCAGCCTGGGTGACAGAGAGAGACTCCGTCTCAACAACAACAACAACAAATTAGCCGGGCATGGTGGCAGGTGCCTGTAATCTCAACTACTTGGGAGGCTGAGGTAGGAGAATTGCTTGAACCCGGGAGGCGGAGGTTGCAGTGAGCCAAGATTGCGGCACTTCACTCCAGCCTGGGTGACAAGAGCAAAACTCCATCTCAAAAAAAAAAAAAAAGAAAAAAAAATCTGACAATTAAATAAAGAACAGAAAAAAAATTTGAATGGCAAATACAAAGCTGAAAAGAAATAACTGAGAATAAATAACTCTGAAAATAGCTCAAAAACTAAATACCTCAAAAACTCTTTAAAAATTCAGAAAATATAATGTTCAAATATGAAGTAATGCTGAAAATGAAATAACTAAAAACCAAGTAACTTGAAAAAAAGAACATAAAAATAAACAACTCAAATATAAAATAACTGAAAATAAATACCTGTGAACATAAGCAACTCGAAAACCAGATAACTAGGGGAAACCCTTCATTAAAACATTTCACTCTGAAAATAAATAACTTGACAGTAGTTCATGAACTTCCAGTGAGTGTTTAATAGTCAAATAAGTTACTGTAAAAATAAATAACTCAAAAACTCCAATAAGATAAAGTGAAATAACTATGAAGGTAAATAACTCAGATAATAATTGTAAAGATAATTAAAAATAAATTCCGGCTGGGCGCGGTGGCTCACGCCTGTAATCCCAGCACTTTGGGAGGCCGAGGCAGGGGGATCACGAGGTCAGGAGATCGAGACCATCCTGGCTAACACGGGGAAACCCCGTCTCTACTAAAAATCCAAATAAAAAATTAGCCGGGCGTGGTGGCGGGCGCCTGTAGTCCCAGCTACTCAGGAGGCTGAGGCAGGAGAATGGCGTGAACCCGGGAGGCGGTTTGCAGTGAGCCGAGATCACACCACTGCACTCCAGCCTGGGCGACAGAGCGAGACTCCGTCTCGAAAAATAAATAAATAAATAAATAAATAAATTCCAAGCAAATTAATTTGAACATCTGTAACTCCTAAAACAAAACAACTACATATAAATAACTGAAAATGAACAACTAAATAACTTTGAAAATAAAGTAACTATAAACCAGTAACTGAAACTATAAAATTAAATAACCAGAAAGCTACAAAGAAATGAAAATCAACTAATAAAACTAAAAATAAAATACAACTGAAACTAACAAAACTCATTTAAAAACTAATAAATCGATACATAAAATACCTCAGAAAGTAACTTGGAACGAACTCTCTCTACAACGAAGCAATCTTGGCACTAACACGAACACCCCATGAACGCTCGCAGGGATGCTGGGAGGCGGACCGGGAGCTCCCAGTCTGCGGCCCCCGCCGGGTTGGAGCGGCTCCGGCTCCTCCAAGGCTCGGGCTAAGCGGCTCTCAACCGATTCCCACCCCGCCCTGGAGAAATGCGGGCGTGTCTGCAGGCATTTTTGATTGTCACGATTTGGGGGCGGGGTGGAGGATGGGGTGGCGCATTCCTGGCACCTAGTGGGTAGAGGCCAGGGGTGCTACTAAACATCCTACCGTGGGAGCACAGAGAAGCCCACGCAGCAAAGAATTGCCCGGCTCCGAATATCGAAGTGCGCGGTCGAGAAGGCGTGGGCTGCGGGCTCTGCTCGCCTCTGCAGGCGCCTTAGAGCAGCTCCGAGGTCCCCCGTGCGGAGCTAGGCGCGCACCCAGGACACCCCTCGGGCTCCTCGGAGGAGGCCCTGGTTGTCCCCTTTCTGCCGCCGCCGAGGCTCCGGCTGCTTTCTGCGTAGCTGGGCAGGGCCCGGGCCCCCACACCGCCTCTCCCGGGAATGCGGGCGCTCTGGAGCCGAGGAGCGGGGGCGTCCGCAGGGAGGTCAGCTCTCCTGGGCGGAGGTCCTCGGGCGCAGCGCCCTCGCCTGGAAACCAGCCGTCGCCCCCGCAGGAGCCAGCCGGCCCGTGGACGCCCCAGCGCGCTCCTCCTCGGTGCTGCGGGTCGCCCTGCAATTCCGAGAAGAAAGTCAGAGACGCCGTGGCCCAAAGAGGCGCTTAGTCTTTCCTCGCTCACACTCACGTTTCCTCCTCATCGCGTTCTTCTTTTTCTCCCTGGCTGCTTTCTCCCCTCTCCAGGAAAGCAGATTTGGAGGAACAGGTTTCGTGACTGTCGTCCGACTGGAAAAGGCCCGCGAGCTGGAAGGGAGGGGACGGGTGCACCCTCAGAGTTATTGCTGGAGGCTGTGGCCAGACCGGGCAAGGTGGTGACTCCCGCTGGCAGGCTGAGGCCCACCCCAGCCCTCCCACCTGGGCCACGGGGCTCTCAGCGGGAGCCCCAGTTATGACCGGACACCAGCGCACCGCCAAGGAGACAGCCACGTGGGGACATGCTGGACTAGGAGGGTCAGAGCCAGTTTGAGGGTCTGGTGACCTCGGCTCCCTGGCTTAACCAGGTCCTTATGGGTGAGAATCCTGAGGAGGGGGAGAGGGATGGAGGCTAGGGACAGGAGGCAGGAGGAGCTGATGAATAGGAAGGAGGGAAGAAGATGAAAGAAACAAAAGGGAAGTAATTACACTCAGAGCACTGCTCTCCTTTTCCATGTCTTCTGCGCCTTCACAGTCTTCAAAGGTGTCCATGGAGCTAAACTCCCTGCTGGAGCAGCCTTAGGGAGAGAAAGGGAAGGATGGGGCCTCTGTGGGGTGGGAGGACATCCCCTCTGCCCATGGCAGGGTGTAGCAGGCAGTGCCTGTTGCAGGCACGGTCCTCCCCATCTCTAACTCCTGCTCTCCAAGGGCCTGCACTGCGCTGGGCTGTGAGGGGGTCTGTGATCTCCAGGCTGCTTTTCCAGCGCCGAGATGCCGTAATTCACCGAGAAGGCGCGTCCACATGCTGTTCATGGCCCTACCTCCCCGTTCCTCCAAGAAAACAGTCATTGTTTTTTGTGTTTGCCAGTCTTCTAACCACGCCTCCTTCCCTTCCTCCTCCCCTGTCTCTTTCTCACCCTCCCCTCCTTGCCTCCTTTTCTCTCCCCTAATTAATGTCCATTTCCCATCTCCCTGGCAGCCTCTGCCAAGTGTCACTGCTCCCCATAAGGGAAAATCAGAGGAACAAGCAAGTGCATCCATCCTGCCTCTCTCTGCAGTGAACTGATTAATTAATCCATCAGTCTTGTCTATGGCGCACATGTTACATCCCTGGGGCGGTGTTGGACACTGTGGGGAACAGCAGCCACTGCCAAATACTGAACAACTGCCCTGTGCCTGGTGGTATGTTAGGCATTTGTCAAAGTTTAAGCCTCACAACCCTGTAAGGGTCTCAGCCCCCTTTACAGTTGGGGAAACAGACAGCAATGGTCACTTGGCCAAGTCCTCTTGGCCTGTGGCAGGGCAGCTGTCTTCTCCAGCACTCCTGCTCTTTACCCTCGCTCTGAGTGAGATGGAGTCTCTGCCCCACATGGCTCACAAGCCAGGGTAGGGAGCAGAGCATCTGCAGAAAGGTCCCAACACAGGACAGCCCCAGACCGAGGGTCAGCTGAGTAGTCTACGCGGCGGGAGCCGTGCTAGGAAAGTGTCTGCTCAGGCGAGAATTCAGGGAGGTTTGGGCAGGACTTGAGGGGCAGACAGGACTGGAGAGGGAGGGCATTCTGGGCAGAGGCATGGCCAGAGGGCGGTAGGCGGCAGTGGAGGGAGCTGCAGTTATCTGGGTGAGCAGGCAGCACAAGTAGCGTCTCCTGGGCTGCTGCCCCAAGCCCCCAACAAGCCACGTTCTGGGCCCCAGGCCCTCCCCAGAGCAGATCAGTGGGGGCTGTGTGAGTAACATGGGGGCGGGGGGGCAGCTGGGCAGCACCTCCCTGGAGGCCCCTCTGAAATCCTGCCTGACTCTGGCAGGCTCCGAGGGGGCTGGACACCCTCCTCTCAGGTTGAAGCAAGTCCTGGTTGAGTTCCTAGTCCCAGGAGGTGGGAGGGGCAAGGGGTGGAGGGCAGAGGAGAAACTGCCTCAGGGATGTGCCCCCTGCCTTCATCCTCCAGACAGGACTTGGGAGCATCTAAGGAAACCCAAGACTCCTCTTTAGAGAAGTCATCCAGCCCTGGGGTCCCCTTATGCCAGGAGCAAGCAGTGAGAATGGAAGAATGATTGTCTTGCTGAAAGTTCTGTGATGGAGGGATAGAGGGACAGAGGGAGCCATGCCCTTGACCATCCCCTGCATGAATAGGAAGGGCTGTGTCTCCAGGGTCCATGGCCTCTGTGCCCCGGATGATGCCAGGGCTGCTAGGGACCATAGAGCCACCCACTGGGAGGCTGGCGGTTGGGCCTGGCTCAGGAGCCTTCGTCAGCCATAGGCAGCCACAGCCTGGGGTGGGCAGGGCTGGGAGGCGACACAGGAACTGAAAAACCTGACAAGCTCTAGCCCCTCCGCAGGGTAAGTGGTACCTCCAGGTAAAATGATTAGTTGGTTCCAGCCCCTCTGCAGGGTAAGTGGCACCTGGGGTAAAATGACTGCCTGGAGCTGGCAGCTGCTTTCCCTGCTCTCGCGGGCCCTGCAGGGAAGCGGGGAAGGGAAGGGGGCACAGCGCTGGGCACAGAGGGGCTCTCAGACCCTGGACTCAACTGTTTCAGGGTCATCTGAAACAGTCAACTGTTTCCTCTAGCCCATTCCCTGCCTCCAGGCGAGGATTTGCCTGAACGTGGAAAGAGGAAGGATCCTCCCAGTGCTGTCAACCCCAGATTCCACCTCCCTGTGGGGGACTGTCAGCGCAGGCCCTGACAACGCAGAGAAAGACACAGGACCCACCTGGGCCAGTGACAGCAGGAGCTCCGGGTGCCACAGGTGAGGGTGGGGATGCCTGGAGCACCACGGGGGGCCTGGTTTAGTCTAGAGCCAGGTTTTCCATACACCTTAGAGTGCAACCTCAGGGAGATGCAAATTTTACCCCCTAACACAGCATACACGCAGAAACACATTTATACAATTCAAACACAAGCGGACGGAACAATATTTACCCTTAGAGTGTGTGAAGTCCTCATCTGTCCCACCTCATCCTATCATGCTTTGTTCTATCCTAGGAGACAAAGCAGGAGGGGGGGCTGCGGAGGTGGGGGAGTCTCATCCAAGCCCTTGGGTGACACGTCTCTCCTGAGACAAACTGCAGCTGCTCTGGGTGTGCCCTCGCCTGTCTCCCTCCAGGCCCCGGGTTCCTGCCAGCAGAGACAGTAACCTATTCACCAGGTATCCCCCAGGGCTCCTGGAAGAAACTCAGAATTCTCAGAACCAGAAAACCTTAGAGAGCATCCTGCAGGCAAAGCCCCTGGTTCTCTGCGGAGGAAAGTGCGGCTCACAGGGTGCCCCGCCAGGGATGGTAATTGACCACCAGGCTGTGTGCCTTGTGGGGACTGGCTTAAGGCCCTGTGGGAGCTGAGTCAGGGCCAGGACCGGGGTGTCCTGACTCCTAGAGATCATGTTCCCTTCCTCACCCAGGCCTTCCAGTCCCAGCCCTGGGCTTTTATTTATTTATTTTGGAGACAGAGTCTGGCTTGTCACCCAGGTTGGAGTGCAGTTGTGTGATCACGGCTCACTGCAGCCTTGACTTCCTGGGTTGAACTGATCCTCCCACATCAGCCTCCTGAGTAGCTGGGACCACAGGCACATGCCACCACACCCAGCTAATTTTTGTATTTTTTGGTAGAGATGGGGTTTTACCATGTTGGCCAGGCTGGTCTTGAACTCCTGAGCTCAACTGATCTGCCCACCTCAGCCTCCCACAGTGCTGGGATTACAGATGTGAGCCATCATGCCCACCTCCTGGGCTGACTTTTGCTGTCTTACATCATCTGCATATTTAATCCCCTGCTGGATTCACTGGTCATGGGCTCTGAGGCCCTAAGAGTCTTAGGCACTAAGGAGCTGGCAGCACTGAGGGGACCCCAAAATCTCAGACTCAGGATCTGGCCAGTCACAGGCATGTGAGGGAACAACTGAGAGGCCCATTGCCCCATGGCAGGAGAAGGTGCTCTGGAGTCAGTCAGACCTGAGGGCAGTCAGACCTGATTCTCACTCTGTCACTCACTAGCTGTGTGATCTTGGATACATCACTTAACCTCTTGAGCATCAGCTTCCTTATCTCTAAAATGGAGATAATAACATCGATTTTGCAGTCTTGGTATGAGGATTAGCAAATCTTCTGATAAAGAAAAATGCCTGGTACATCATAGGAATTCAACAAATAGTACCTGTTATGATTATTGTGTATAGCAATTACAATAATACTAAAGAGAGGGTCTCAAAACAGCTCTGGGCACTCCAGGTGTGCTATTATTACTTACATTTCAGGGAGGTTTGTCTGCCATTGTCTCATCCTCATAAACACTCAGGGAAAGAAACATTATAAGGATAATAAATGGCTTTAAAAAGAAACAGAGCAAACACACACACACACACACCCCTCAGAAAAACCATGCCAAACACACAGGCTCTTGACAAATATTCAATCTGATTATAGCAAAACTGTTTTGTTTTGTTTTGTTTTTTTGTTTGTTTTTGAGACAGGGGTCTCGCTCTGTCGCCCAGGCTGGAGTGCAGTGGCGTGATCTTGGCTCACAGCAACCTCCTTCTCCCGGGTTCAAGCAATTCTCCTGTCTCAGCCTCCAGAGTAGCTGGGACTACAGGCACATGCCACTATGCCTGGCTAATTTTTGTATTTTTAGTAGAGACAGGGTTTCACCATATTGGTCAGGCTGGTCTCGAACTCTTGATCTCAGGTGATCCACCTGCCTTGGCCTCCCAAAGTGTGAGATTACAGGCGTGAGCCACCATGCCCAGCTGATTATAGCAAAATTCTAAGTGATAGTTGTATTCTTGGAAAATGAATGGAACGACTTTTGTCCCAGCCAAGATCTAGTGGTGTGTTGGAGCAGATACACCCTGAGTCTCTGGGGCACTCTCAGTCTATGTATCAGATAAGCATAAGGAGTATTGGTGGAGAAGGACAAGAATGGGAAAGGTGGGCGATGAGAATTCCTGCAGATAAGGACTGGTGAGAGTATTCTCTTTTGAAACCCTTAGTCGACAATCTTTCTGGTGCATATCAGATAAGCTGAATGGTTTAGGAAATCTAGTGTTCACATTTAGTGCTTAGAATTCTAAGCTTTTTTATTTTGCTTAAACAAATGGAATGAAATTTATTAACAAGTGAACCTAGTAATGAGCTGAAATTATTCTCACCAGCATACATATTTTTGGTAAATTATAGACTTTGAAGACAAAATCATGGTGTTTCCCTTACTGTCCAGTGGATGGCACAAAGAGACCATTGTAGATCCTGCTGGTTCAGCGGTAGCTCTCAATCCATAGATATTAAATGGGCAAATTCTATTTTTATTGTCTTTCAAACTAGATTTTTCTCAATGCACAACTTTTTTTTTCTTTTTCTTTTTTTTTTTTGAGACGGAGTCTCGCTCTATTGCCAGGCTGGAGTGCAGTGACACGATCTCGGCTCACTGCAACCTCCGCCTCCCGGGTTCAAGTGATTCTCCTGCCTCAGCCTCCTGAGTAGCTGGGGACTACAGGCGCATGCCACCATGCCCAGCTAATTTTTTTGTAATATCAGTAGAGACAGGGTTTCACCATGTTGGCCAGGATGGTCTCGATCTCCTGACCACGTGATCCGCCCACCTTGGCCTTCCAAAGTGCTGGGATTACAGGCGTAAGCCACCGCGCTTGGCCAATTATGCACAACTTTTTAAGGACCATCTCTATCACATGAACTAAAGGATATCATTTTCACTTGGGGGTGGGAAGTGGTGAGCTGCTTAAAAGCAATGCCTAAACCCCCTGGGCTTTCCTTCCTTTCACTTGGAAGAACCAGGGGGTAACTAACTGCTAACAATTCCATGCTTTCAGAGATCTAGGCGCAAGCCTAAGGGCTTCATCTCATTTAATCCTCATGGCAAGACTGTACAGTATTATCTCCATTTTGTAAAATGAATGATAAAAAGAACTTAAGCACAGACAGGCTATAGAATCCATCCAAAGAGATGGAGCTGCACTTGAGGCTGGGTCTTTGAGACCTGAGTTTGAGCCCTTCATCATTGTGTTGTGTGTGCTGCTAACCAATTTCCCCTCTCTGTCTTCTAGGATTTAATACATGGTGTCACATTCTGTCTGATCCATCCCAGTAGCTCTCCAGAGCTCCCAACAGGAGAGAGTTCCAAAATGTTTCCAGGGGTACTAGGCTCGGTTACAATATTTTGCTTGGTGGCCCAGAGTATAAACGTGGATATCTTAGGCTGGTCTATAGCTGAAACGTCTATTTCATTTGCAAGCCTATCTTTGGCTAAGAGGAAGTGAATCATTCTTGAGAACATCTAATTAATTGCTTTCAGATTCCACATGTTGACATTCTCAGGGCACATTTTTTTTTTCCCGTGCATTTCTGTTGTCAAAGTCCCTGCCAGCTCCTAAGGCAGTCTGAGCTGGCTGTCTTAGACTTTCAGAGCTGCTGGAAGCTTGGGGGAGGGAGGGGCTGTAGGTCAAAGAAACTTTATAACCTAGCTTTACCTCCCAGCTCAGCCACCAGCTGCCCTCAAATGTTCTGGATTGGAATAAGCCCAAAGATGAGTGGCAGGAGGGAAGGGCAAGCCAATACGTCTAGTTTGGTTCAGTCAAAGCCTTGCCCATTTCATCAGAATTTTAATGGAAAATTTCCAATAAGATTAAAATATAAGGTCACCCCAATTTTAGTATGGCTCCATTTAAAAAAAATCATGCATATCTTTGTTTTGCAATGGGGCCTTACTCTTGCCCAGGAGAGGTGCGGTGGTACAATCATGGCTTACGGCAGCCTCAACCTCCTGAGCTCAAGCAATCCTTTCACCTTGGCCTGCCAAATAGCTAGGATTACAGACACCCACCACCATGCCCAGCTAATTTTTAAAAAAAATTTTTTGTAGGTCCAGTGCAGTGGCTCATGCCTGTAAATCTCAGCACTTTGGGAGGCCGAGGCAAGCGGATCACCTGAGGTCAGGAGTTTGAGACCAGCCTGGCCACAATGGTGAAACTGCCGTCTCTACTAAAAACACAAAAATTAGCGAGGTGTGGTGGTGGGCACCTGTAATCCCAGCTACTCGGGAGACTGAAGCAGGAGAATCAATTGAACCTGGGAGGTGGAGGTTGCAGTGAGCCAAGTTCGTGCCATTGCACTCCAGCCTGGGCAACAAGAGTGAAACTCCGTCTCAAAAGTTTTTGTGGAGATGGGGTCTTGCGATATTGCCCAGGCTGGTCTCAAGCTCCTGGATATCAAGTGATCCTCCTGCTTTGGCTTCCCAAAGTGTTGGGATTACAGGCATGAGCCACCACAACTGACCAAATCATGCATTTCTATAGACAACGTCTGCAAGAAGATATTAATGGTGATTATATCTGGTTATGTTGGATTTGTATTTTTATTTGTACTTTCCTGTATTTTCTAAATTCCTGACATTCTACATGTGTACTCCTTTAATAATCAGAAAAGGAAACTTAAAATAGTTAAAACCAATTGGTCAGATATGTAAAATAACCCACCATCTCTCCAGAGAGGGCTGTTTGCTAGAACTTATTTTCTTCATTGAAATACTAGAGTGCCCCAATAAGTTTGAATAACACAAAAAAAAAGATAATGAAAGTAACTAAATTATCTAGGCCCAAAAGGAAATGCCACAAAAATTGGCAAAGAAACAACCATGACGTGCTATACCGGATAGCTCCTAGGCCCCCTTGGAGACCCTGAGGTACCCGACGAGGGACCTGTAGTAAGGCTGGCAGACAGGTTCTTCCTCTGTTAGCTCTGAGGTACAACAGTTATTCTCATTTTTATGTCTTTCACATGGCCAGAACTTTGCAAATCAGAGGCAAAGTGAATTCAGAATTAAAAATTTTCAGCACCATCCAAGTCAGTAAAACAGTCTTAGCTTATAACCTTTATTTTTTTTATTATTTTATTATTTTTTTATTTTTGGATGGAGTCTTGCTCTGTTTCCAGGCTGGAGTGCAGTGGCATCATCTCAGCTCACTGCAACCTCCGCTTCCTGAGTCCAAGTGATTCTCCTGCCTCAGCCTCCCGAGTAGCTGGGACGACAGGCATGCGCCACCACGCCCAGCCAATTTTTGTATTTTTAGTAGAGACGGGGTTTCACCATGTTGGCCAAGATGGTCTCAATCTCTTGACCTCCTGATCCTCCCGCCTCGGCCTCCCAAAGTGCTGGGATTACAGGCGTGAGCCACCGCGCCCAGCCCTTTATTTTTACTGTAAGCTGCCAGTAAACAGCACACCCACCTGTCTGCTGACTGTCCCATCTGGAAGTTGTGTAGGTCCTTACTGAATCTTACCTTCTTCCCTTCCCCTACCCAGACCCCATCCCAGCTGGCACGTGGAATCCTTTCCCTTTCTCCTCATGTCAATAGACCAGCAGGCAAAGAGAGCAGTTACCATAGTGGAAGGAGAAACGGGTCCTAGTCGTGGTGAGGAGGTAGGGCTGCTGCTTAACAAAGGCCGAGAGGGACATGTCTGATGCTCAGGTGATCCACTAGGACATCTCGCAATACTCCCATGCCCAGCTGTAACTATGATGGCCAAGTCCAAGAACCATAGCCTGATAAGAGTCTAGGACCCCCACTATACATGCCACCAGTAGAAGTGCCTGATGGGGAGAGGGATGTCTAGAATGAGTAGGAGGGAATGATGACAAAGCACAGCCAAGGACCAACTGCAGTGGCAGGTGGCAGCCACAGATTGAGTTAAGTAGGATTCTTGCTGTGTTCCCTAGTGGAAGCATCTCCCTTGTTGAGACCCACTGAGGTTAAAGTTGGAGACATGGGGAGAAAACAATGTCCCCGTGTTCATCACTAGAGTCATGATGGGCAAGGTCACAACTCATTTGACTTCTTGGCTCCCAGATTCATATACTCTGCCTCTTGGGGGCACTTCACCATAATACAGCCATTGGTTCAGTTGTATGCTGCATCCTGAGGGACAGCACTCCATCCCCGCAGTGCCATGTCCAAACTGCTGCCCCGCCTCACTCTCAAGAGGCTGTCCCACTACTCTGTCAGGCACCAGCTTCTGAATGCAGTGGTAAGACTCTGTCCTGTGATCACGTCTATGGCTGATTCTCTTTTGCCATACTGAGTCCCCTGATCAAAGCAGTGTTATACAGCCTGGCGCGCTGGCTCATGCCTGTGATCCCAGCACTCTGGGAGGCAGAGGGGGATGGATCACTAGAGGTCAGGAGTTCAAGACCAGCCTGGTCAACATGGTGAAACCCTGTCTCCTCTACTAAAAATTCAAAAATTAGCTGGGTGTGGCATGAGCCTGTAATCCCAGCTACTCGGAAGGCTGAGGCAGGAGAATCACTTGCACCCAGGAGGTGGAGGTTGCAGTGATCCCTGATGGTGCCGTTGCACTCCAGCCTGAGCGACAAGTGTGAAACTCTATCGCAAAAAAAAAAAGCAACGCTTATGATTGATCACACACTGTACTTTCTAACCTGAAGGGGTCTGGTAAAATCAACTTGTCTTCTCAAGGGACAGTACCAAACTGGGGGCTCAGCACTGACCTCTGCTGGCATGTCGGACATTTAAAAGTGGTAGCAGCTAGAGCAGTCTTGAAGACATGGAGCCCTCACTGCTGGGGCCGAGCACTGCTGGGTTCAATTCTGCTACCAAGGCTTCTCCATTTCCGAGCCCATGGTGCAGGCACTGGGGTGCCTAAGAGGAAGTGCACTAACTGGACTTCTGCTATGCACCTTCTTTAGGGGGCATTAAAGCACAGTTCAAAGACTCTCACATTTTGAGTTAACCCCCACAGGCCTGTGTGCCCCTTCTCCAGTCAGGTCATGTTGTCATTTGATCCTAGTTATTATTCTGAAAGGGTTCAGGAAGGGAGGTGGGGACAGATCTTGGAAAGGGCAAACATTGCCTTGTATGCCTCATCTGAGGCTTCCGCATAGTCTTAGGGGACTGGGAACCGTCTTAAGTGAATCTCACCTTCTTCCCTTCCCCCAGCCAGGCCCTAGCCCTACTGGCATGAGGAATCCTATCTCTTTGTCCTCATGCCAGGAGACCAGCAGGCAAAGAGAGCAGTTACCATACTGGAAGGAGAAATGGGTCCTGGTCATCAGAAGGAGGTACTCCTCAAGGGACAGTACCTGAGGGAGACACTTCCACTAGGGAACACAGCAAGAATCCTACTTAACTAAATCTACGGCTGCCGCCTGCTGCTACAGTTGGTCCTTGGCTGTACTTTGTAGTACAAGGCGAAGTAGGCCACTGCTGCCAGCCCAGGAGGTCAAGGGCATTTACCCAGACATCCTCATTCCCAGTTTTTGGGTCCCTTATCTTCCCTCTCAGGATCTAATGACTCATCTACTGGCACTAGGAGTCCAAAATGACCAGATGGCAGACTCGCCTAGGCTGAGAATTCTTCCTTCTCTCAAATTCTGCCACTTTTACCAGCCCAGTCTGCCTCTGCTGTAGGAGATGAGAGGCTAAATGTTGGCAGGGAGGCCCCCTGATTCTGATCCTGTGTTTTAAATCGATAATTAGTCTGACCCTGTTACTTTCTCCCTTCAGTGCATCAACGGGAGGCTCTTAGCAACAGCCTCCCAACTCTACCTTCCTGATAGATAATATTTTCCTCAAAGCTCTCAAATGCTAGAGACATTGCACCAGCTGGTGTGTCCCCATCCACCTGTATCTGATCCCAGGTCACCACAGGTGAAGGTCTGAGCAATCGAACTGCTACAGCAGGCCAGGTACCAGGACTCTCAACACGCCACTTAACACCAATAATGAGGTCCTCATGGCCATTTGGCCTGCAGTGAGCCAACACCAGAATCCCATCCATTCTGGGACCCCTCCTGCTACTAACGGTCTTCAGTCAGGTTCCCCAGAAGCAGATTATGCAAATGTGTTATTGAAAAACGGCTTTCAGATGAAACCTGGAAGACAGTGAAGGCCGAAGCTAGGGCAGGGAAGAAGCCAGGCACAGACGTGGGCTTAGCAGAAGTCTAGCATCAGCCTGATCCCCTGGGCAGTACTGGAGCATGGATGGCACCACAGGTTACCATCTTGAGACAGAAGGACTGGCTTCTGTACCCTGAATCAGTAAGCCATTGGTGGGCCATAAGCCACCCTTAGGGGAGGACATAACCTCACAGGCATTTCCTGGCTGGACGACCCTGGGCAGCTGAGGGCAACTGCCTGAAGGGCACAACGGTGAGCCATTGTCAGCTAACCTCACAGCAGCAGAGACATGGGGCCAACAGCCTATAAAGAGGGTCTGGGCAGGCTGTCAATACTCTCTACTGTAATACTGTATATGTGGTTTATTTTAAAAACTTTTTTAGAAGGCTTTATTTTATTTTATTTTTTGAGAAGGAGTTTCGCCCTTGTTGCCCAGGCTGGAGTGCAATGGCGCGATCTTGACTCACCACAATCTCTGCCTCCTGGGTTCAAGGAATTCTCCTGCCTCAGCCTCCCGAGTAGCTGGGATTACAGGCGTGTACCACCATGCCCGGCTAATTTTTTGTATTTTTAGTTTCATCATGTTGGCCTGGCTAGTCTTCAACTCCTGACCTCAGGTGATCCGCCCACCTCGGCCTCCCAAAGTGCTGGGATTACAGGCGTGAGCCACCGCACCCGGCTGACTTTATTTTTTTAGAGCAGTTTTAGGTTCACAGAAAAACTGAGAGGAAGGTACAAAGATTTCCCATATATCCCCTGTGCTCACACATGCATGGCCTCCCTATCACCATCCCCCACCAGAGAGGCACATTTGTTACAATGGATGAACGTATACACTGAATATATCATATTCACCCAAAGTCTGTAGCTCACATCATGGTTCACTTTGGCTGTTGTACATTCCTTGGATCTAGACACTTTTATAATGACAGGTACAGTAGTCCCCCTTTATCCTCAGGGGCTACTTCCAAGATCCCCAGTGGATGCCCGAAACCGCAGAGAGTGCCAAACTTGACTGCCATCAGTGGGAATATGTTTCTATTCGCCTTCCACCACCACCGGTTTAACGCCTTTTTCATCTTAGTGCTGCTGCCGTAACTTTGGCAGTTTGAGATGCGACAGCAAAATGAGTACAAATTTCTTTCTCCTTCTTCACAATGTCATGGACAGATGATTCCTTCTTACCATAGATCTTAGCAACCTCGGTGTGTGATTTTTTTTCTTTCTTGTTAAATCAACTTTCACCTTTTCACTTAAAGGAAGCATTTGACGGCTTCTCTTTGGCATATCTGAATTTCCAGCATCACGACTGTGCTTTGGGGCCATTGTTTGTTTATTTATTTATTTATTTTATTTATTTTTTTGAGACAGAGTCTCGCTCTGTTGCCCAGGCTGGAGTGCAGTGGCGTGATCTCGGCTCACTGCAAGCTCCGCCTCCCAGGTTGACGCCATTCTCCTGCCTCAGCCTCCCGAGTAGCTGGGACTACAGGCGCCCACCACCAAGCGCAGCTAATTTTTTTTTTTTTTTGTATTTTTAGTAGAGATGGGGTTTCACTGTGTTAGCCAGGGTGATCTCGATCTCCTGACCTCGTGATCCTCCCGCCTCAGCCTCCCAAAGTGCCGGGATTACAGGCATGAGTATTTTATTTATTTATTTATTTTTTCAGACAGAGTCTCACTCTGTCGGCCAGGCTGGAGTGCAGTGGCACCATCTCGCTCACTGCAACCTCCGCCTCCCAGGTTCAAGCAATTCTCTGCCTCAAACTCCGGAGTAGCTAGAATTACAGGTGCACACCACCACGCCCGGCTGATTTTTGTATTTTTAGTAGAGACAAGGTTTCACCATCTTGGCCAGGCTGGTCTTAAACTCCTGACCTCAGGTGATCCACCCACCTCGGCCTCCCAAAGTGCTGGGATTATAGGCGTGAGCCACCGTGCTTGGCCTTGGGGCCATTATTAAGTAAAATAAGAGTCACTTGAACACAAACACTGTGATCCTAACAGTCGATTTAATCACCAAGATGGCTATAAGTGACTAAGGCTGGCGGGGTGGGGAGCACAGACAGCAGGGACACCCTGGACAAGGGGATAATTCGTGTACCAAGCAAGACACAGCGGAAGGCGCCAGATTTCATCGCACTACTCAGAATGGCATATCATTTAAAACTCATCGATTGTTTATTTCTGTAATTTTTCCATTTGATATTTGGACAGCAGTTGACTAAGAGTAACTAAAACCTGGAAAGTGAAACAGTGGATAAGGGGGTGCTCCTGTACTTCTCAATGTGAGACATTTGCCCTTCATGTTAATTCTGCCCCATTAGCTCTACACAAATGAATAGCAGGAAATTGATTTTAAACCACATGGTGGTAAAATGCTTTCTTTTTTCTCCCTCATTTAACTAAAGAAGGGCTGGGCCCTAGGTGATGTCTTCCTTAGCATCTAAGCAGCTGGCATCACCCCACTGCTTCTGTGCTCCACTCTCCCATGGGACCCTCCCTACCTTTAATCCCTCCTGTGCTGGAGGCCGGGTCTTCCTTGCTAGTGGTAGCTCTTTCCATATTTTTAATCCATGGTCCGGATCCTGCTCCACTGCCTTTGCTTTAGAGAAATAAACATGAATATTGAGTCACTGGAAGGAATGACACACGCATCCCTCCCCCACCAGTTGGAGTAACGCTGGCCCACCTAGTGTATCTCTGGTCTAGGTCTCGAGGACCTGCTGCTCCTCCCTCACCTGTAGTTGAAGACCTGCCTCAGGTCAGTAGGTGATACGCAGTAAGGAAATGTCCAAAGGACACTTCTTGTTGGATTACACAGCAAACATCTAATTGGCTGCAAATCTTTTTTTCTTTTTCTTTCTTTTTTTTTTTGAGACAGAGTCTCGCTCTGTTGCCCAGGCTGGAGTGCAGTGGCGCAATCTTGGCTCACTGCAAGCTCTGCCACCTGGGTTGACGCCATTCTCCTGCCTCAGCCTCCCAAGTAGCTGGGACTACATGCGTGTGCCACCACACCCAGCTAATTTTTGTATTTTTAGTAGAGACGAGGTTTCACCATGTTGGCCAGGATGGTCTTGATCTCTTGACCTTGTGATCCGCCCGCCTTGGCCTCCCAAAGTGCTGGGATTACATGGCTACAAATCTTAAAGGGGGAAGAGATGAGGAGGAATAATCCCCTTTGTCTTCTCAAAAATGTTTTCACTGGCTCACTACAGCTCCCTCCTTCCTCTTTACTGACCCAAAATGCCAACTATTATAGTAACTCTTTTGGGTTAGACGAATCCAGTGAATAAACACCTACTAAGCATTGGAGGTCCAAGAGGAATAAGATATGCCTGAGCTAAACCTCATCACCCCCGGCCTTGCTTGCAGAGTGGTTTGCTGGCCTCATCTGATTATTCAATGAGTGCTTTCATTTGTTTATTCACTAAATATTTACTGAGCACCTACAAAAGTGCCTGGCCCTGGTAGATGAGGCCTGAGGGAAGCTAAAACTAATAAGACAAACTCCATGCCCTAGAGGAATTCATGGTCTCATAGGGAGAAAATGTAAACACATCATAAAATTATAGCTTATTAAATGCTGCAATAGAGTACTCCGTAAGAGTGTGGGGGCAGAGAGGAGGGGGAGAAACAGCTGCTTTCTAGAGCCCTCACCTTTTCCACTTCTCTCATCTTTCTGGGTTAGGGTCTAGCGGGGGTTCCATGAGGATCAGGCTAAATGAGCTTAGAAAAACTAAGCAGACTACTGTATCAGAACTGGATCACAGTAGACAGGCGTTTTCAACAAACATATATTGAGTATCCCTGAGTGCTTTGGACAGGAAGAGGAATTATAGACGAAGATTGTAAGTCGCAGTAATAGATGAGGCAAGGAGCACCAGTGAGGACTTAACCCTGAAAGAAGTGTGAGCACATCTTCCTCCCAGACAAGGGGGAATAAAGAAAGGAAGATGATCAGGAGAGTTCTAAGTGGAACTCAGCAGCCAGAGGGGAAGCCGGAGGAGGTAACATCAGAGGGTGCGTTTGCCCACTCAGTAAAGTAGGAGGCAGGGCAGCCTTGTGAAAATAGGAATGGAATAGAAAGCTCAAGAAAACAGCCAAAAGCAAGGGCAATTAGGGGAGGTTTCGAACTGGCAGATCTACCTCAACTGGCAATACAGCAAGCATGCACCAGAAAAGATATCCTAGCTAGCAGTGGGGTTGGGAACTGATTTAATATCCTAGGCTAGCAGTGGGGTTGCGAACTGATTTATTATTTAATTTTTTATATCTATTCATGTATTTATGCACTTATTTATTTTTGAGATAGGCTCTCGCTCTGTCACAGAGGCTAGAGTGCAGTGATGTGATCTAGGCTCACTGCAGCTTTGACCTCCTGGGCTCAAGTGATCCTCCCACCTCAGCCTCCTGAGTAGCTGGGACTACAAGCACGCCACCACCTAGGCTAATTTTTGTATTTTTTTTTGTTAGAGACAGGGTTTCACCATGTTGCCCAGGCTGGTCTCAAACTCCTGGGCTCAAGCGATCCATCTGCCTTGGCCTCCCAAAGTGCTGAGATTACAGGCGTGAGCCACTGCGCCCAGCCAATATTTTTTAAAAATTGGAAATCCCTTGTAATAAGCCAAGTGTTGGGGGAAGAAAAGCAATAAAAGCAATGACATGGACTCAATATGAAACATCCAAAGCATTTGACATGCCTTTAAAATAAAAAAATCAGTACTCACCTCGTGCTCATTTCAAACTGTGGATTTCCTTGGTCTAAAATTTTAAAAAACAAAAAACAGCACTCTCAAATTTAAGCTAATTTGAATTGATTTTACATAGTGATTTTTAAATACACATATATGCATAAAGAGAATACTATAAAAATATATAAAGGTGTGTAGGTCTTGATCATATTTTCCCAGGAATTCAGAAAACGCTGCTACAGTCCCTGGGCTCACGTGGTCCTGGCATCCTCCCCAACGTCTCTACCCCATCCTGCTGAGTTTCTGGCATGCATTGGTTCTGGGTCTGTCCAAGTTTCTACTGTTAGCTCCATTAATACTGAATTAAGGAATAAACAGTGCTCAAATGCTCATTTTTTCCATGTGAGCCCAAATTATGTGACTTGATGAGGGAAAAAATCATGAGTCCCTGGGAGAGCGATAAGAATCACATTCTTTACTAAAGTGTTGTCCCAGGTATGAGAATAACACCAGATCTCAACCTCCAGAGGCCCCCCACTGCCTCCCACAGCATAAAAGCCAAATTCCTCGGCCCGATATTTGAGGCCATCTCAATCTTTTTCCTTTCACCCTATACCTGACTCTCCCAGGCTAGGCTCAGATCGTCACTGAATGTGCTCACTTCGAGGCACCTCTGTGATTTTCAAGGTTCCTGGGCCCACCTTTTACTACCGATGTGACTGCCACATGTTGCCCAGTTGCTAGGATGGGACCGTGGCCTTGATTTCTGCCGGGACTGAGGCTTTGCCTTGTTTCCCACCCACCCTGCTGCCTGCCCCTGCACTCTTCTGGCTGGGGCCTGATCTTTCCCCGCAGTCTCCCTTCACCTCTAGATCACAGGCAGTCATGCCACAGCTGAGGAGCTTGTCCCAAACCTCAGTGCCTGCCTCCCTCCTCGGCTTCTTGTGCTGCTGTGTCTCACCCATCAGTGATGCTCTTCTCTTCCCTGCCCAAGCCCTAGCTGACTCCATAACACCTGGATACAATGTCCTCTTCTGTCTGGTTACCTCCGAGAGGCCCTCTCTCTACATCCCTCATTGGCTCCCAGTGTCATTCCTCTCACCCATGGCCCTAAGGTCACTGTATTCTTTGGCCAGTGTACAGGGTTATTATGCTTAACAATCCACAAAGGTTGAAAGGTGTTGTAGGATGGTGTAAAAATGAATCTGGGTGGTAATGTTTATATGTCAGAGCTTTGTAAAGTGCTCGGCAGGCGTAAGGTACTGACAGTCCTGATATTCCTGATCTTGGAACCTGGGACACCATCTTCTCAACATTGCCCGGATACCCTCAAGGGTATCCAGACAGCCTGAGTTTGCATTCTGTTCCTGGTTCAGCCCAGGGCCCTGGTTCCCGCTCACTCACCATCCACTGTGGGCCCTCTCTAAATTCTTAAAGCCCTTGCCATTTGCATCACTCACAGAGACATTTCATCAGAGCCTACTTGGTGCACCAGGCTCAGGAGACTCAGTTCTGCTGCGGATAAGTTATGTAAAATTGACCCTCTGCTTGCACATCTGTAAAAGGAAGGGGCTGGCACAACACCTCTGGGCCTTTCAGTTCAGTAGTGTTTTCTTTTTATCTAAACCACGTGCTGGGTCCTGGTTTTGCTTCTTATCTAGATTTTTGCATTCCTGTCACAACCTATAAAGCACAGTTCAGGCCTTAAGGAGGGCTTGAGAAATCTCTTTCCGAATTGTCAACTGAATAAGTGTCATATCTTCATAACAAACTTGTCTTTTTTTGCAGGGCCAGGAAGGCAGCAGGGGAGTCAGTTAAAATATAAATTTTAGATTAAGCTTAATATTGTTAAGAAGTCAATTCTCACCAAATTGTTCTAGAGATTTTACATAATCCTAATCAAAATCTCAATAAGGTTTTTTGAGAAGTTGGCAAGCAGATTCTAAAATATATATAGAAGTATAAAGGACACAGAATAATCAAAACAACTTTAAAAAGGAAGAACAAAATTATAGGACTCTAACTACCTCATTTTAAGACTTATTAGAAAGCAGCAGTAACCAAGATAGTGAGGGACTGATGTCAAGGTAGACAAATAGATCAATGGAAAAGAATCAGGCATCCAGAAATAGATGCACTTACATAAATCATCAATTGGAGAAAGAATAGTGTTTTTAACAACTGGCAATGGAAAAACTAGAACATCAGTATGCAAAGGACTGAACTTTGATCCATACCTCACACCACATACAAATCAAAAACAGAAACAAACAAACAAACAAACAAATACTCAAAATGGATCAGAGACCTAAATGTAAAACTATAAAACTTCTGGAAGAAAACACAGGGAGAAAATCTTTATGGCTTTTAGATAACGATTTCTTAGGCAGGATACCGAAAACATGATACATACAGTTTTTAAAATTAAATATTATAAGAATTAAAGTCTTTTGCTCTTCAAAAGTCACTCTTAAGAGAAAAAGATGCCACACACTAGAAGAAAATATTTACAAAGCATTAAAAGGACATATATCTAGGATATACATAAAAACTCTCAAAAGTCAATAATAAGAAAACAATGAGCAAAAGATTTGAACAGACACTTCACCAAAGAAGAGATAAAGATGGCAAAGAAGCACATAAAGAGATGCTCAACCATTAGTTACTAGGGAAAAGCAAATTAAAACCTAATGACATACCACTATGCCCCTATTAGAAATCTGAAAATTTAAAAGACTGACAATACCAAGTATTGGTGAGGACATGGCACAAGTGGAACTCTCATACATTACTATGGGAATGGAAGATACTATAATCACTTTGGAAACTATTTAGAAATTTCCTAAAAAATTAAACATACACCTACCATATGGCCTAACCATTACACTCTTAGGTATTTACCCAAGAGAAATGAAAACACATGTCCACACAAAGACTTGTACTTGCATGTTCATAGCAGCATTATTCAAAATAGCCCCAAAGCAGAAACAAATCGGATGTTCATTAACAAGTAAATGGATAAAGAAAACGGGGTCTAGCCAAACAATGAAATACTACTCAGCAACAACCAAAATATGTACTATTGTTTACAAAATCCAAATAGATGAATCTCAGAATAATTATGCAGAGGAGAGAAGCCAGACCAAAAAAAAAAGTACATAGTGTATTATCTCTTATGAAATTCTAGAAAATGCAAACTAACCTATAGTGACAGAAAGGAGATTGGTGGTCACCTGGGGTGGGTGAGGGAGGGGCAGGAGAAAGGGAATGCAAAGCAGTGTGAACAAACCTTTGGCGGTGATAGGCATGTTCATTATCCTTACTGTGGTGATGCCTTACAGATGTATACAGATGTCAAAACTTATCAGATTGTACACTTTAAATATGTGTGGTTTATCGTGTCATTATACCTCAGTAAAGGAGTTTTAAAAATTGTAGTAAAAGGTCTCTACCTAGAAACCTTAATAAGCTAAAATGTATGTCCCCAGGACTAACCCTAGCTATTCTATAGTTCTGGGGTGGAACCTAGAAATCTGCATTTGTAGCAAGCCCTTCAAATAATTTGAATGCAGGTGGTCCTTAAACCACCCTTTGAGAAACACTGACCTAGTGAGTAAGGATTTCTAAACAAGCTTGTGACTAGAATGTTGTTTCTGCAGGGAACAAGTGACTTTTTCTACTAGAGTTGCCATATCATTCTGTGTTAAGCCTCTAGGACACTCCTACTCAATTACCATGACATATATTTAACATAATATTAATAGTTGTAAAACAAAAGTAAACCATAGTTTTTTTCCCATCTTATCTGTATACAAAGTAAAATCAATGACATAATATTGTTACTAGTTCCTGGCAGTTACCTACAGTTTAAATCAAGAACTTATGTTGCTTGGTTTTTGTGACAGAAAACTGATGTGGTGGCTTTCCAGTTACACTGCTTGGTTTACCTTTTCCCTTATCTTATGATGCACACCCAGCTTTGCACGTTCCTGAGCAGCTGATGATCATAGAAGACCTAGAAAAAGTGTGAGCCAGTTGCATTCCTGCTATCTCTAAAGAAAAAAGTTATCTTTTCATTTTTATGTGATTTTTCTTACCCAAAATGCAAACCACTGCCAGTATAAATGATGGAAGATAGACTTTCCACATGAAACTGGCATTTCTTCACCCTAGTAACATTACCTGAGGGGAAGGTCAGAACTCAATTGATAAAGCTCGCTGTGGATTTTCCCACCAAATATCCCTGCAAACAAAGTGAAAGGATAAAGCCTGCTTAAAGATGATTTGTAATTGTTGAAAGGAGTACAGTGTGTGACATCAGTGAAAATGGTGGAGAAAAAACCCGTCCCCAAATTCTCTTCTTTGTGAAAGCATGGAAAAAACTGGCCAAAAATGGTTAGAAAATTTATTTTCAGAATATCGAAATTTTTTTTTCCTTTTTTTTTTTTTTATTATACTTTAAGTTCTAGGGTACGTGTGCACAACATGCAGGTTTGTTACATATGTATACATGTGCCATGTTGGTGTGCTGCACCCATTAACTCATCATTTGCATTATGTATATCCCCTAATGCTATCTATCCCTTCCCCCTCCCCCCACCCCACCACAGGCCCTGGTGTGTGATGTTCCCTACCCTGTGACCAAGTGTTCTCATTGTTCAGTTCCCACCTATGAGTGAGAACACACGGTGTTTGGTTTTCTGTCCTTGCGATAGTTTGCTCAGAATGATGGTTTCCAGCTTCACCATGTCCCTACAAAGGACATGAACTCATTGTTTTTTATGGCTGCATAGTATTCCATGGTGTATATGTGCCACATTTTCTTAATCCAGTCTATCATTGATGGACATTTGGGTTGGTTCCAAGTCTTTGCTATTGTGAATAGTGCTGCAATAAACATACGTGTGCATGTATCTTTATAGCAGCATGATTTATAATCCTTTGGGTATATACCCAGTAATGGGATGGCTGGGTCAAACGATATTTGTAGTTCTAGATCTTTGAGGAATCGCCACACTGTCTTCCACAATGGTTGAACTAATTTACAGTCCCACCAACAGTGTAAAAGTGTTCCTATTTCTCCACATCCTCTCCAGCACCTGTTGTTTCCTGACTTTTTAAAGATTGCCTTTCTAACTGGTGTGAGATGTTATCTCATTGTGGTTTTGATTTGCATTTCTCTGATGGCCAGTGATGATGAGCATTTTTTCATGTGTCTGTTGGCTGCATAAATGTCTTCTTTTGAGAAGTGACCGTTCATATCTTTTGCCCACTTTTTGATGGGGTTGATTTTTTTCTTGTAAATTTGTTTAAGTTCTTTGTAGATTCTGGATATTAGCCCTTTGTCAGATGGGTAGATTGTAAACATTTTCTCCCATTCTGTAAGTTGCCTGTTCACTCTGATGGTAGTTTCTTTTGCTGCGCAGAAACTCTTTAGTTTAATTAGATCCCACTTGTCAATTTTGGCTTTTGTTGCCATTGCTTTTGGTGTTTTAGTCATGAAGTCCTTGCCCATGCCTATGGCCTGAATGGTATTGCCTAGGTTTTCTTCTAGGGTTTTTATGGTTTTAGGTCTAACATTTAAGTCTTTAATCCATCTTGAATTCATTTTTGTATAAGGTGTAAGGAAGGGATCCAGTTTCAGCTTTCTACATATGGCTAGCCAGTTTTCCCAGCACTATTTATTAAATAGGGAATCCTTTCCCTATTTCTTGTTTTTGTCAGGTTTGTCAAAGATCAGATGGTTGTAGATGTATGATATTATTTCTGAGGGCTCTGTTCTGTTCCATTGGTCTATATCTCTGTTTTTGGTACCAGTACCATGCTGTTTTGATTACTGTAGCCTTGTAGTATAGTTTGAAGTCAGGTAGCGTGATGCCTCCAGCTTTGTTCTTTTGGCTTAGGATTATCTTGACAATGCAAGCTCTTTTTTGGTTCCATATGAACTTTAAAGTAGTTTTTTTCCAATTCTGTGAAGAAAGTCATTGGTAGCTTGATGGGGATGGCATTGAATCTATAAATTACCTTGGGCAGTATGGCCATTTTCACGATATTGATTCTTCCTATCCATGAGCATGGAATGTTCTTCCATTGGTTTGTGTCCTCTTTTATTTTGTTGAGCAGTGGTTTGTAGTTCTCCTTGAAGAGGTCCTTCACATCCCTTGTAAGTTGGATTCCTAGGTATTTTATTCTCTTTGAAGCAATTGTGAATGGGAGTTCACTCATGATTTGGCTCTCTGTTTGTCTGTTATTGGTGTATAGGAATGCTTGTAATTTTTGCACATTGATTTTGTATACTGAGACTTTGCTGAAGTTGCTTATCAGCTTAAGGAGATTTTGGGCTGAGACGATGGGGTTTTCTAAATATACAATCATGTCATCTGCAATTTGACAATTTGACTTTCTCTTTTCCTAATTCAATACCCTTTATTTCTTTCTCCTGCCTGATTGCCCTGGCCAGAACTTCCAACACTATGTTGAGTAGGAGTGGTGAGAGAGGGCATCCCTGTCTTCTGCCAGGTTTCAAAGGGAATACTTCCAGTTTTTGCCCATTCAGTATGATATTGGCTGTGGGTTTGTCATAAATAGTTCTCATTATTTTGAGATACGTCCCATCAATACCTAGTTTATTGAGAGTTTTTAGCATGAAGGGCTGTTGAATTTTGTTGAAGACCTTTACTGCATCTATTGAGATAATCATGTGGTTTTTGTCTTCGGAGAACACTGGAAATTAAATGATGGCTTGCAGCAATCTGGAGAGCATTTATTCAAGGAAAATGGCTGTGTCTCAGTATGACTAATGAGCTTTTTAACTTGCCCTATTTCTATCCTCCCCTTCCTTGGTGGTAGCCTTAGAAATGAACAGCCTGCAATGATAGTGAAAATCAGCAGTCTGGCAGCCATGGGAGGGGCAGAACAGGAATGGGGGAACTATGGAGCCTCATTCTTAGAGAATTATCATTATTTGATCTGTCCACGGGTTTCTAGGAATACCTGACCTGCAAGTCTGTCTTTATTAGGCCTGACTCAGAACTTGCCCAATGTGAAAAGTCTTTTCCCCAAAGGCCTTTGTAGAAAATGATTACAGGCAATTGTTTAACTTCTTGGTTGCTCGAGGTATTGGCTAACAGTGGGGCAAACATGGGCTAATCAGAAGGTTTAAAATGAAATGCTCAGGAATAAGATGCTCATAGAGGGTTGTAAAGGCTCCAAAATATTTATGAGACTCTAGAAGACCATGCACACATTTCCTGTGAACATGTTCAGGACAGATCTGCGAAGGCCCCACGATCTTACCTCTGGCTGATCTTGATGATCTGCACAAACAGAAAGTGAAAGCTAGGCTAGAACTGTCAAGTGCCAGGCTGAGTGTGAAGGTGTGCCCTAATGTGCACACAGAGCCCCTTGGCAAAGACTAGAAGACTTACTGCTTTCAGGTGTTTAAAGAAATCTCTGTCATGTCATTAGTATTTAGATCACTAAGCTAACTGAACAGAGGCTTCAATGGCTGCACATAAATACAGACTTCACAGAATTAGTTTAGAAAAGTCACTATAACAAACAACAATAAACAGCAACACCAACAAACAGTAGAGGTGGGAAGGTCCAATTTCCAGAGTTGCTACATTATGTTATTTAAAATGTGCAATTTTAACAGAAAATAATGAGACATGTAAAGAAATAAGAAAATGCAGTCCATACCCAGGGAAAAAGAAAAACCAGTCAATACAAACTGTTCCTAGGCCAGGTGCAGTGGCTCATGCCTGTAATCCCAGCACTTTGGGAGGCCAAGGCAGGCAGATCACCAGAGGTCAGGAGTTTGAGACCAGCCTGACCAACATGTTGAAACCCCATCTCTACTAAAAGAAAAATACAAATTTAGCCAGGCATGGTGGCGTGCACCTGTAATCCCAGCTACTCGGGAGGCTGAGGCAGAAGAATTGCTTGAACCCAGGAGGCGGAGGTTGCAGTGAGCTGAGATCATGCCATTGCACTCCAGCCTGGGCTACAGAGCAAGACTCTGTCTCAAAAAAGAAAAAAAAAGAAAAAAGAAAAAACTGTTCCTGAGGAAGCCAAGATACTGACTTTACTAGACCAATACTTTAACTATTTTTACATGTTCAAAAAGTTAAAGGAAATCATATATAAAGACTAAAGGAAAGCACAAGAACAAATCCTCATTAAATAGAAAATATAAAGATTTGTTTTAAAGGACGAAACAGAAATTCTAGATTTCAAAAGTATAATAATTGAATGAGAAATTCACTAGAGTGGCTGGCTCAATAGCAGATCTGAGCAGGCAGAAGAAAGAATTAGAGAACTCAGAAATAGGTCAATTGAATCTATCCAGTCTGAGGAAGAGAAAGAAAGAGGAATGAAGGAAAAATGAATAGAGCCTCAGAGACTGTGAGATACCTTCAAGCACGCTAATGACGCATAATGGCAGTCTCAGAAGGAGAGAGGGATAAATGGGCTAAAATAATATTTAAAGAAGCAATGGCTGAACATTTCCCAAATCTGATGAAAACATTAATCTATACCTTCAAGAAAGTCTATAAACTCCAAGAAATATAAATTCAAAGAGATCAAGATCCACACCTAGAGATAACATAATCAAACTGTCAACAAAGACAATGAAATTATCTTGAAAGCAGCAAGCACATAGAAGGACTCTTCAATAAGATTAACAGCTGATTTCTATCAGAAATCACAGAGTTGAGAAGGCAATGGGATGACATATTCAAAGTGCTTAAAGAAAAAGAGGGTCAACAAGGAATTCTATACCTAAAGCCAATTTATCTTCAACAAAGATGCCAAGACCATTCAAAGTGGGGAAAGAATAGTCTTTTCAATCAATGGTTCTAGGACAATGGATATCCACATGTAAAAAAAGGAACTTGGGCCCCTAATTCACATCATATACAAAAATTAACTCGGAATGAGTCAAAGGCTTAACTGTAAGAGTTAAAACTATAAACTCTTTGCAAAGAACACTATCAAGAGAGTAAAAAGACAATGCACAGTATGGGAAAAAATACTTGCAAATAATATATCTGATAAAAGTCCAGTATCCAGAATATATAAATAACTCTTACAATTCAACCATAAAATGACAAGCCAATTAAAAAACATACAAATGAGTTAACTGACATTTCTACAAAGAAGATATACCAATGGCCAATATGCATGTTAAAAGATGCTCAACATCACTAGCCATGAGGGAAATGTAAATCAAAATCACAATGAGATACTAGTACATGCCCACTAGGATGGCAATGATAATAATAATAATAATAATAATGTTATTATAATGAACAATACAAGTGTTAGTAAGGAAATGGAGAAAATTGAACCCAACTATTATATTGCTGGTGTGAATGTGAAATGGTGGTACTGTTTTGAAAGATGATTTGGAAGTTCCTCAGAAAGTTAACAAAAGTTACCATATGGTCTGGCAATTCTACATATATACACCAAAGAAAACTGGAAATAAAGATTCATACAAAAATCTGTACAAAAATATCTACAGCAGCTTTACTTACAGTATCCAAAAAGGGGAAAAACCCCAAATCTTCATCAACTAATGAATGGATAAACAAAGATGGTATATCCATACAATGGACTGTTACTCAGCCATAAAAAGGTATGAAGTACTGATAGATACTACAACATAAATGAAACTTAAAAAAATACGCAAAGTGAAAGAAGCTAGACAGAAAGGGCCATATATGTGATGTGTAGAGAAAACATCCAATAGAGACAGGAAATACATTAGTGATTGCCAGGGGCTGGGTAAAGGTGAGAGATGGAGAATGATTGCTAATTGGTACAGAATTTTTTTGTTGGGAGAGTTATGAAAATATTTTGGAAGTATAATTAGAATTAGGCTGTTAAATACTTTAAAACAAAAAACAGCTGGGCGCAGTGGCTCACACCTGTAATCCCAGCACTTTG
The DNA here is from genome assembly GCF_000001405.40 of Homo sapiens. NCBI lineage: Eukaryota > Metazoa > Chordata > Mammalia > Primates > Hominidae > Homo > Homo sapiens. Next base: position 183,205,140 of record NC_000003.12, read on the forward strand.
GGAGGCCGAGGCAGGCAGATCATAAGGTCAGGAGATCAAGACCATCCTGCCCAACATGGTGACACCCTGTCTCTACTACAAACACACAAATTAGCCAGGCGTGTTGGCGCGCCTGTAGTCCCAGCTATTCGGGAGGCTGAGGCAGGAGAATCACTTGAACCTGGGAGGCAGAGGTTGCAGTGAGCCCAGATGGTGCCACTGCACTCCAGCCTGGGCGACAAGAGCAAAAACTCCATCTCAAAACAAAACAAAACAAAAAACAAAAGTAAGAAGTAAAAAAATAGAATTAGACTGGGGATGGTTATTGAGCCTTGTGAATAATCTAAAACCCACTGAATTGTATATTTTAGACAGTGAATTTGATGGCATGTTAATTATATCTTGATGTTTTAAAAAAAGTAGTACAGTGTCTGAAAGGTAGCATTGGCCATTTGAATCTCTGTTAACATTTTCTTGGGTGGCCATCAGATTTTTGATTAAAGGTGACCTTGGCAATTAAGTGGTGGGGGGAACACAACCAAAAGGGACAAACCAACACAACCACACACAATCACACAACCCCTCCACCTCCACCACAGTGGAAATCAAGCATAGGTGCTTCCAGGGACTGTGAAAATGTGGCCACAGTTGTTTTCCCAGCAAACCATTTTCTTTCACAATATCCCCAATTTGCACATCCCCCACTGAGCTGAAATCAGTATAACTCGACAGACGAAAGTCAGCAGGGGTAACCTACCTTTGATATTATTTTGTTGTTCCATCAATAATTTACTTATTTCTGAAAACCAACAGTCTCTGATTTCTTTTGAAGCTGCCTGCAATCACACATAAGAAAACACTATAAGACTACCATGAGTATTAATTGCAGAGTTTTTATTCTCCCAGTGACCGTTAGACTAATGAGATAGAAAACACTTGTCAAGTCATGGGAACACAATAAGGAAAGAGTAGAGGAGACCCATGGGGAAGGCATGAGCGTTACCTGCAGGATGTATTTCTCAAGTCCATTTCGACTGGCAATCTCAAACTTTCTATGGCTCCCCCTTCCAAGCTGGCGAATTGAAAGTGTCATCAGCTATTATAAAGAGGGAAGAGAAATGTTCTATACCATCGTTTTCTGATTTTAAAATAGTCCCTGTCAATCACTCTAATCCTTTCTATCCTTGACAGCTCTCTTCTTTCATCTTCCTTTCAAGTTTTTGCTTTCCTCTCTTAATGACTCCAAGACAGCATAAAACACAATCTGGTACAGTGTCTTCTGTCTCATCTGTTTCAGAAGGTAACACAGACTGTTAACTTTCTACTGTATCTTTATGCAGGAGGCGCTGCAGCCCTCAACCTTTCAGTGAAGAGATCATTTCTCCTTCAACGTGTATTTTACAACTTTCTACGTAATAGTAACTGAATAAGGATCTATTCAGAAACATAAATAACAAGGCCAGGTATGGTGGCTCATGCCTCTGTAATCAGTCCTGTAATTCCAGCACTTTGGGAGGCCTAGGTGGGCGGATCACCTGAGGTCAGGAGTTCGAGACCAGCCTGACCAACATGGTGAAACCCTGTCTCTACTAAAAATACAAAATTAGCTGGGCATGCTGGTGCGTGCCTGTAATCCCAGCTACCTGGGAGGCTGAGGCAGAATTGCTTGAACCCGGGAGGTGGAGGTTGCAGTTAGCCAAGATCATGCCATTGCACTCCAGCCTGGGCAACAAGAGCAAAACTCTGTCGAAAGAAAAGAAAGAAAGAAAGACAAGAAAGAAAGACAGAAAGAAAGAAAGGAAGGAAGGAAGGAAGGAAGGAAGGAAGGAAGGAAGGAAGGAAGGAAGGAAGGAAGGGAGGGAGGGAGGGAGGAAGGAAGGGAGGGAGGAAGGAAGGAAGGAAGGGGAGAAAGAAAACAAAGGCTACTATGAACAAATTAACAGCTTTAATCACAACAGCATAAATATATATGGGTGTGGCTCCTGTATGTGGGTGTGTGTGTTTCATAGCCTGAGAGCTAACTGGCTATGAAACAGTTTCTAAACAGGTGAGAAAACAATGCTTGGTGTGGGCCTGGGTGCCTTAGACCCCAAGGTCAGGACAATGCCTGCACTTAGACACAAAGATACACCGTTGAGAAGGACAAGTCTAAGATGAAATCCAGCCCATGTTCTCATCACTAAGTCTTTCAACTCTCTTTTACCTCTTTGCCTGGAAGAAAGAGGGTACTTTTACTAATTAGTTTGTCCAGACTGGCTGCCATATAGTCTTTTTTCTCTAGTACAAAGGCACTCCTATGCCAGCCCTGGCCCATAAGCTCTGACCCTGGAGTCAGACAGACCCGGCTATGGATTCTAGCCCTGTGGTGTGGTATTTGGCAAGTTAACTTCACCTCTCTACACTGCAGCTTCCTCATCTGTAAAATAAGGAAAACGATCTCTCTCTTTTCTGCATAGGGCGACTCCCAGATGCAATAGGACTCCCTTTACCTTCATGGTCTTCTTGAAGCTGTAATGAGGAGATAATCCCTGGTCCCCAGGCTCCATTCGTATCTTACAGAACACTATTCCCCTTTCAAATAGGTAGATTTGCCTCTGGCTGGGTTTAAATCGAATCAAATCCTTCATTTTATAACGATCCTTGTGAATTGTCCAGACGCTGAAAGGGCCGTGCAGCAACAGCTTGCCTAGTTTTCCAATATCGTCCTTTTGGAAACACACATACAGGAAAAGAAGCTGTAAAATTACTTGACAGAGAAAGAAGCCTTTGTGGCCTGTTTTCAAATTTTATAAAGCATGCTTCTTTGAGGTTTACAATTCTAAAAGTGCTATTCAGGCTGGTCTGTCACTAAATCAAAACGACAATTTTTTGAGCTTCACTGAGCGTGGTGCCATTTAGTTATATAAGGAAATCAATTCAGCTATGAAAGGTAATGCTATACATAAAGAATGTTAGAAATGCTTGAGCTAGAGATACGGGGACTGTGATATTTTTGACTCAATTTTAACTAGCAGAATTCAATTTCCTCTGTGCTATGTTTGATACATGACAGTCTCCTTCAAAGGGACAAGAAATTAACATTTCAATTATGTCCAGTAGAGATAGAATTTTGGCTGCATTGCGGACCCATGAGCATCTGTGTGTTCCATCTGCATCCTAACTTCTGCTTCAGGTATATGAGGACCTGAGAAAATGAAGCTTGTTCTGAAAAGAGAAAGTTTACTGTGATCTAATCTTCACAACATTGTAATGGAAATAGTAACTGCATTCAACTCTGAGTTTTTCAGAGTGAGTCAACAGTGCCAAGATAATACCAAATGACAGATTTTTAAGAAGTCTGTTTGACTCTAGGCATAAACTGTGATGCCCCTGTCTCCACCAGCAAGGCTGCCTTTGTCATATGTCTGGTTGAAAGTCCAAATGAGATGACCCTGCCTTCTCTGAGCTCTCTTCAAAAGACAGTGGACCAAGATGAGCTGGGAGCGAGGCATTTTATCTGGTATTTTTCAAAACTTCGATTGCTTAAAGCAGATAAGAATTCATTTCCCTGAATAAAAACACCAAAAGGAACAAATTATTTGAAGGGGACCAAGACAAAGAAATCTCCCTAAGTGACCTCTAGCTGAGATCAATCCCTATGATTTCTGAGTTAATACTGGAAATATGTACTTCATTCATAATTGATTGGGCATTTTTATAATTTATTGTTTATATGTTGGGCAAACTCTAGGTATCTTTTTTAAAAAGGAATTGACTTTACTTCTGAAACATTAAAAGAAAAACTTCAAGAGCAATAAACTCTAGTCATTTCTATGGTGTCTATGGCGTTATTTCCTATGTTAATTTTCTATTTTCTTCTTTGGAAAATTTACATATGTAGACTGTGGTGAATAAAACCCTCAAACTCCCAGCCACGAGGCCTTCTTTCCTAAAAGCCAATGCTCCTGTTCTGTGTTAACAGTTCACCACATTCCAAAACAGAAGGGTGGATAGGTCCATGAGGACCCTGGAGAATTTTTTCACTCTATCTGCATCCATCAAGGACCCACTCAAATGTAATCACTACAGACCTTAGTGACTGCTTTTTCCTTTAAATCCATTCAATTCATAATCAATATCGACATAAATAGTGCAGGAAATATGTTTTAGTAAAGGCAACTGGTAGAAGTAGATACTTAATATTTGCCACATAAACAAATGTTATCAGCACAGGTTGAGCATCCATAATTTAAAAAATCTGAAATCCTCCAAAATCTGGAACTTTCTGAGAACCAGTATGACACTGGAGGTGAAAAATTCCATACCTGACCACATGTGATGGGTGGCAGTCAAAACACAGTCAAAATTTTGCTTCACGCACAAAATTATTTTTTATTTTTTATTTTTTTGAGACGGAGTCTTACTCTGTTGCCAAGGCTGCAGTAGAGTGGCACGACCTTGGCTCACCGCAACCTCTGTCTCCTGAGTTCAAGGGACTCTCCTGCCTCATCCTCCCGAGTAGCTTGGATTACAGGCGTGCATTACCATGCCCGGCTAATTTTTGTATTTTTAGTAGAGCCAGGGTTTCAGCATGTTGGCCAGGCTGGTCTCGAACTCCTGACCTCTGGTGATCTGCCCACCTCAGCCTCCCAAAGTGCTGGGATTACAGGCATAAGCCACTGCTCCCGGCCTTCATGCACTAAATTATTTAAAATATGTAAAATTACCTTCAGTCTATGTGTATAAGGTGTCATGAAACATAAATGAATTTCGTGTTTACACTTGGGTTCCATCTGCAACATAACTCAGTACGTATGCAAATACTCCAATCCTCCCCTAAAAAAAAAAAAACTCCAAAACACTTTTGGCCTCAAGCATTTTGGCTAAGGGATATTCAAACTTGTAGTTTCTATCTTACAATGTATTCACTCTCTACCTCATTTTAAACATTCGACGCATCTTACAGAAATATATACAGTATAGACAGATAGAAAATAACCGAGGGAATTAAGGTGAAGAAAAAATAAAGAAGTTGGGAGCTTGGCGCCTGCCTGTAGTCGCAACTACTTGGGAGGCTGAGGCAGGAGGATCACTTGAGTCCAGGAGTTTGAGGCCAGCCTGGGCAACATAGGGAGATCACCATCCCTAAATATAAAGACAATAAATCAGATGAACTGTTCCAGAAGGTGTAGAAGATAAAAGAAAAGATGAAGAGGTTATATGTAAAATGCATATAATAAAGCCATTTAAACTTGATGTAAACTTGGCTCTGACTTTCTAATAGCAATACAGAGGGAAACATGGTGAGTGGTACGATTTATTATGTCTGAAGACATACACAAACCGGTTGTTCAGGAAAAGCACAGCTATTCCTACTAAGACATAAGAAACATTTCTCCCAGTGATATGTTGTCACTGAGCAACATCCTCAACCACGCCCTATGATAGAAAGAGGAACATGTTTTAGGTAAAGCTGCTTGTAAGAACACATTTGGTCAGTGTGGAGGCTCAGCTGTCAAAGTAATTCTAGAAGAGGCTAGGATGATAGGGGAAGGGGGAATAAGTCGAGGTGTACACTCTCTAATGACTTGTGAAGATGGGGTGACGTGAGTTAAGGCATCCACAAGGCTATTGTAGAGGAAACAGCCCCAACCAGAAATGCTGAAGAGGCAGCCTCAGGCAGCAAGGTTTGTGCTTTATTACCTCTGAACTTTCCTCATCACCCCATCCACAGCCATGCTGCTGCACCTTCATAGGCAAGTAATCAGAGGATGTGAATCCAGAGAGGTACCAGCAGCTGACCATAGGGCCCCCAGCATAAAAACAATGTGCCAGGGTTGGGGGTTGGCAATGTGATCTCTCCCTGAACTGAAGAAAACAGGAGGAAGTGGTGACCAGCAGGAGACGGGGCTGTGAGATGCTTTAGGGGAAAGCAGGCAGTGGAATAAACGAGAAGGAAACAGAACTATGAAGAAGGTGAGTCATTAGAAATTATGAGGAAGAGGAAGAAACTGACGGAAGGGAAAAAAACAGTCAGTAGGTGGTAAGAGGGGGGGCGAGCAGGCATGTGGGTGCACTTGACATATACAGGCGGGTCACACAGGTAAGAACCCCGGCTCCCTCCCCAGGCCCAGGCCCCAGAGGTGCTGTGGATCCTGGGTTTGCTCAGTTCCCATCTCCGCGAACTTGGCTTTGCCATCGTGACTTCTTGAGAAGCTGCAGGTCAGCTTTCCAGTAAGCCCATTATTACTGGAAGTGACTCGGGGGGAGTCGCTGGGTCTTTCAAGTCTGGCAGAAACATATGGGCACATATCCTCTGGGTCATGTTGCACAAATGTTCTCAGGACCACACATATGACGGTATTGCCCATCTCCACGCCCAAGGTCCGATCTCCAGCGGGTGAGCACATGCCCTACACGGTGCTGACCAAGGGCAGGCACACACACTGTTCACTGTGCTGTGTGGAGCTGCTCCGCCTCCAACAGGAAGCTGCAGGGACATTCCCTGAGCAGGAGCAAGAATGACCTTTTCCGTCACGTGTACCTTTTCTTTCCAACTAGACTGTAGTTGATCTCAAGGTCGGAGACCACGTTGCACAACCTCTTTCAGATACGTGTTCACCAGTATTTATTTATTTATTGGCATTCCCTAGTATTTATTTATTTATTGGCATTTAGTGGTGCTTGGGAGTAGGGGACAGGAAACAAAATACTCATCACTGTGAGGGAATATTGATTTATCCAAGGAGTTCATTCAGCGACGCCCCTGTACTGGGTTGAATAGTGTTCCCCCAAAAACTCATGTCTATGAGACCCTCAAAATATGATCTTATTCGGAAAGAGGGTCTTTGCAGATACAATTGGTTAAGATGGGGTTGCCCTGGGTTAGGATGGGTCCAAATCCAATGACTGGTATCCTTATAAAAAAAGAAAACAAAGAAATGGAGACGCACGCTGAGGGAACAGCCATGCAAAGGCAGAGGCAGAAATTGGAGTGGCACAGCTGTCAGCCAAGGAACTCCAAGAATTGCCGGCAGTCACCAGAAGCTCAGACGAGGTAAGGAAGGATTCTTCCTGAGAGCCCTCAGAGGGAACGTGGGCCTGCTCTCACCTTGCCTTTGGACGTCTAGCCGTCAAAACTGTGAGGGAATAAATTTCTGTTGTTTTAAGTCACGTACTTTGTGGTTCCTTGCGACATCAGCCCTAGGAAACGAATATACTTCCAACTGTTTTCCACCAGTAACAAAGAAGTGTGGCCATGTCACACGGTGTGTGGAAGAACCTGATGGTTGTGAACTCAGAGATGGAACATAGCGGCTACCTCAAATGAGCGAGCGATAAGTTAGATGGCCTCCTCTGTACAAGAAGTGATAGCAAAATCAATTAGTAAATGCTACCACTTTCACACCTGGGCATTCTGCAGGTAAGAGCCCCGATACAAGGATTTCAAATGTGACTACATTGGCCAAATGAAGAGTCTGGCTGAGAGAGTGAATCTAGGGAAGCTGGCCTCAGCAAGAGCTTCTTTTGGGTGCCCGTGTTTCCATTCCAGGTAGTAAGAGTTAATATGACTGTCACAAACTTACTGCACAAAGAAGCAGGAAACATCTGTATAAATGCGTCCACACAGAGCCTGAGTCCAGAAATGAAAAGCAGAAGCTGTGGGAGCCTGTGATTACAATAGTCAGGGGCAAAGAGGTATCTTCCTTTCCAGCTTGAGCAGGTCCCCATATAACGTACCACTAGGGCTGTTTATTCGGCATCTGTTGGGCGCCAGGCACAGTGCTTGGTGCCTTACCCATCATTTAATTCTCACTTACTCCCGGCAACCGCCTGTAATATAGGTATTGTGGGGGGGTGGGGGGGGTGGGGGGGTGGGGAATGAAGAAGATACTTTGCCTGGGTCACTAGGATTATTTACTTAGCCCTATCTCTGCAGCTAACACTGTGGTAAGGAAAGAGGAAACTGAAATAGAAATAAAATCCTGGCCCTAGCTCACAATGAACTTACAATACAAGTACATCCTTTAGTGGTTTATATAAATTTGTTCCAAAAAGGAAGACTGTTTCATTCAATCTTTACAAGTCAACTTTGGAACTTATCCCTGGCAAGTCAGAATTTAAATGCATCTCTAATATGCATTGGATTTGAAAAAAAAAAAAACTTTTGTTTTTTTTTTGCAAATAGATAGAAGTAAATTATAACTCAGTGTTCCACAAAACAAACTTGTTTGGAAAAGAATTTTAAACTTCTGTGATTAAATTAGACCCAGGACTAATTGAGTACACAGAAAAACAAGAAAATATAAATATCAGAAGGGATTTTTTTCTAGTTGCTTTCTAGTTGTTTAATTGTGATAATTTAATTATCACATTCAATTTCTTTCCTTTATAAAACCAGGTTAATATTAAATTTCAAGCAGAGAAACTAAGAGGTTAAACTGGACTCAGCCATGCATATAGCTGTAATTTATTACAGGTGATCATAAACACCTGTAATAAAACTCTACAAAATGGAGACAAAGAATCTCAGAATCATTTGAGCTGAGTTAGAGGCAGTTGTCAGTCAATTCTAATCAGAAACAGATAAAGAGTGGAATAGCACCCTGATAGGGAATGAACAAGAAATAGTCCAAGGTGACAGCCATGTAATCTTGAGTGAGTTAACTCTTCTTTCCATGGATCTTCTTTTGAATCAGAAGGTTGAAAATTCCAATATCTACTCCTCCATAATTCAACAGGATTATACAAAACTGTCAGGAGAAATTAGCTGATGTATTAGATGTAAAAGTAAGTTAAGTCTTAGTAGAAAAGGTACCAAAAAGCATCTGGCAGAGGCACAATTCTGAGGACACATGGTCAAAAAAGGTCCTTTGCTTTTTGCGTGTAAAATCTCCAAATTCTGTAAGCTGGTTCATCCTATTTGCATGCAAACTGGCTGGGAATGAAATTAGGGCAGAATGTTATTTGCTCATGTTTTAACCATTCTTTTCTCACAGCCTCCTCCTCCTATGTTATTTACACTGTTTCCTGCCCTGTGTATTGTTTCCAGGACATTCATTAGATTCAGGGAAATGAAATTTAATAGGGATGTCTAATACGTAATTCAAGATTTAAAAAGGAACAGAAAGATGCCCTGGATTGACCTAACAAATTGTTCCCTTGACTTTCCTCAGGCGAAGAAAGAAGAATTATTACCAAGAAAATGATCCTTATACACACCCTAACCCTACTCTGCAGTTTATGCATATCCTCTTGAATCATGCATCAGTTGTCATCAGAGACACCTTGGAGTCCCAGGGGACAGTAACAGCATCATGGCTGGGATCACAGCAAACCCCATGGGGCTAAGTTTCTGAGATCCAGGCCCAAGAAATACCAGCGTGGGAAGTAAAAATAACTCATTTTTCGGACCTTAATAACTTTCATGGTTTGATTTATGACAAGGAAAGAAAAGTCATTTCCTCTACCAAGACCTCAATACATGGTATGTTCAAAACCAAATAAAAATGAAAAGAAAAAAAAAGAGAAGGAAAAAGTATAATATAATCACAAGTGACAAAAACGCAGAAGAGGGGGTCACAGAGATGTGATGTAAGAAAAACTTGGCCGGGCACGATGGCTCTCACCTGTAATCCCAGCACTTTGGGAGGCGGAGATGGGTGGATCACGAGGTCAGGAGTTCGAGACCAGCCTGACCAACATGGAGAAGCCCCGTCTCTACTAAAAATACAAAAAAAAAAAAAAATTAGCAAGGTGTGGTGGCAAGTGCCTGTAGTCCCAGCTACTCAGGAGGCTGGGACAGGAGAATCGCTTGAACCTGGCGGGCAGAGGTTGCAGTGAGCTGAGATCATGCCATTACACTCCAGCCTGGGCGACAGAGCAAGACTCTGTCTCAAAAACAAACAAACAAAAAGAAGAAGAACCCAACCTGCCATTGCTGGTTTGTGCTTTATTACCTCTGCTCATAGAAGCCATGAGCCATGGAGCGTGGGTGGCCTTTTTAAGCTGGAAAATTCCAGGAGACAGATGCTAGACTCCAAAAAGGAAAGGAAACACCTTGATTTTAGCCCATGAGACTGTGTTGAACTTCTGACCTTGGAACTTCAAAATAATAATAATAATGAATTTGTGCTGCTCTAAGCCACCAAGCTTATGGTAATTTATTATGACAGTGAAATAAAACAAACACATCTGAATAAAAATCTAGAGTACTTCAAAGTAAAAAACAAAACAAGTCGAATATTAACTATGCTCCAGTCTCAAAGAGATCATACAGTTATAGGGGATGTTTTGCCTGGAATGCCTGGGACCAGCCTGCTCCGGATTAACACTGACGCTGGAGCTCAACTCCCCAGCATTGGCCTCTAACTGCATCTCTTGGGTTTTCTTTAGACTATTTGGATTAATGCATGTACACTATATACTTTTGGGGCCTCTTCTGGGATCTGTGATATAAAATTGGGGCAAGAATATAGGACCTGTTTCCAAAATACTTTTCTTAGAGAAACTCTGAAACAAGAAGACAAATCTTTTACTATTTTAATAGTGCCATGAGTTAGAAAATAAATTGCTCCTCCAGGACTTTTCCTCTGCCCATATATGTTCTGGCCCTTGACTTTCTGGTTTGTCCAGACAGTGGGTCAGTCCCACATTCAGAACCCTGAGGAATAAATCCAAGATTCCTGAAGATGCCAAGGGACAGCTTGGAATCTTGTAGTGCGGGTTTACTGAGCAATTTAGGCGACTGTCCTCAGAGTCCAATTCCTTTACCATAGACGATCTCTCTGACTTTGCCAGAGCATTTCCTCACTGTGTAGTATTGCACCTGCCTTTTGTGTGAGATGCTCTAACACTACTATGGAACATACCGGACATTCAGTCACTGCTGCTAGGTCCACAGCCAACTCACAGGACTTGATCAAATCCTCTATCACTGCCAAAGCTTGTTGTAGTTCAGTTGAGAATGCTGAATCTTTGGTTCTCTTTGGCCCATCCTGTGGAAAACAAATGCCTTGTTGGAAATCAAAAGTATACCATCTGCAAAGTGAAGAAGGAAAACAGGACAGAGATGAGGAGCCAGGGATCCAGCCAACCCTGACTGAGAAGGGTGGATATTGATCTGTCTCCCTGCTCCCAAAGCATGGTGGCTAAAGATGCTTACTGATTTAGGTATACGGCATAGAGACAAGCAAAATCATCTACCTCTGTGCATTGTACTAGTGACGAATGAAGTTCATAAATCATGGAAATTATATTCCTGCTACATAAGAAACATATAGAATTCAGCTATATAGCTGAATTCTATATGTTTCTTATGTGTATATATATTATATAAATATTTATATAGTATATTAAATATTTATATATTAATATATAATTATATGTTTATATATTAATTATATATATTAAATATTTATATATTATATATTATATAAAATATAAGTATATATATTATATATATATATATATATATATATATATTTTTTTTTTTTTTTTTTTTTTTTTTTTTTTTTTTTGAGAGCGAGAGAGAGTTTCACTCTGTCACCCAGGCTGGAGTGCAGAGGCACGATCTCGGCTCGCTGCAACCTCTGCCTCCTGGATTCAAGCAATTCTCCTGTCTCAGCCTCCCGAGTAGCTGGGATTACAGGTGTGCGCCACCATGCCTGGCTAATTTTTGTATTTTTAGTAGAGACGGAGTTTCGCCATGTTGACCAGGCTGTTCTCAAACTCCTAACCTCAGGTGATCCACCCACCTTGGCCTCCTAAAGTGCTGGGATTACAGGCGTAAGCCACTGTGCCTGGCCAGAATTTAGCTTTTTTAAAGCATGGAAAAACCTAGCTCCTTTTAAATAGGCTTCTCTCTCTTTTATACCCCTATTCCCTGGGGCTTACTGAAAAAAAAAATACCATATGGCCGGGCGGGTGGCTCATGCCTGTAATCCCAGCACTTTGGGAGGCTGAGACAGGCAGAGCACTTGAGGTCAGGAGTTTGAGCCCAGCCTGGCTAACATGGTGAAACCCCGTCTCTACTAAAAATACAAAAATTAGCTTAGTGTGGTGGTGGGCGCCTGTAATCCCAGCTACTTGGGAGGTTGAGGCAGGAGAACAGCTTGAACCCAGGAGGCGGAGGTTGCAGTGAGCCCAGATTGTGTCATTGCACTCCAGCCTGGGTAACAAGAGTGAAACCCCGTCTCAAAAAAAAAAAAAAAAAAAAAAAAAAAAGTAGCTGGGTGTGGTGGTGTGTGCCTGTAATCCCAGCTACTCAGGAGGCTGAGGCAGGAGGATTGCTTGAACACGGGAGGTGGAGTTTGCAGTGAGCCAAGATTGCGCCACTGCACTCCAGCCTGGGCAACAAAGTGAGACCTTGTCTCACAAAAAAAGAAAAAAGAAAAAGAAAAAGAATACAATCTGAGTATCATATTCCTATATTTAATGTGGAAGCCTTATTCCTGTGGGAAAAATTATACTTAAAATCATCCCAGAGGAGGACATTTGTAAACTCCTATAGAGACAAAGAACTCCATAGAGGCTGCTAAGTGGAAATTTACTAATGATTTACATGTAAAAGCTATAACATCATATTTCCACACTGAATCTCCCCCAACTCTGTCCTTCCTTCCTCCACTTGTCCCTGGCCCTCCCCACATTGCACCACCATTAAAGATGCCAAAGAGATAAGCCAGCGCTCTGCACCTCCCGAACATAAAGACTCAGCATTCAGCGGAAAAGCAGTAACTAATTAAAGAGACCAATGTTCCAATTACAACCACAGTGACATTTAGGATGTGATTGGGGTGATTGTTTCAGCTCTAAAGGCTTTTGCATGGGCTTGAGGTATTTTATCTCCCTGCTACCTACATGCTGTATTTATCTGTTACCTGGTAAATACACATAAAAAAATTTTGGTTTATTCAATGTATTTTTTTAACATCTCAAGTTCTGCAGTGAAGAACAGCTAGCCCCTTTGCTGCTCCGCATCTGGCCCTGACTCTTTTTGTCCTCTACAGCACAATGTAGTCACAGGGTTTAATATTTTCTTAATCTATGCGGAAGCACTGGGTATTTGCATCTTTGGATGAGAGACATGAGTGACAGGGCTGATGAATGGAATAGATCGTGCTGCTGCCTCTGAAAAACGTATCATGGATTCGTAGCTTCTCATTCATAATAAAGAAGCTTCGCTTCCTGGTAAAAGAAAACAGACTCTCACCTGAATTTATTTTAACAACATCAATAAGGGATTAAGAGTTCTTGGCAGGGCGCAGTGGCTCACGCCTGTAATCCCAGCACTTTGGGAGGCCGAGGGGGGGAGTGGATCACGAGGTCACGAGATCGAGACCAGCCTGACCAACGTGGTGAAACCCCATCTCTACTAAAAACAAAAATTAGCCGGGCGTGGTGGCGGGTGCCTGTAATCCCAGCTACTCAGGAGGCTGAGGCAGGATAATAGCTTGAACCCGGGAGGCGGAGTTGCAGTGAGCCGAAACTGCGCCATTGCACTCCAGTCTGGGTGACAGAGCGAGACTCTGTCTCAAAAAAATAAAAAAATAAGAAATAATTTTTTTTTAAAGTTCTTATACCAGGCATCTTCCTCCTTACCAAACACTGAATGCTCAGTTTCCTTTCAGATCCTCACCTCTTCCCATCCCCCTTCCTTCCGCTAACCCTCCTTCACAAAACACGAGGTGGCTAGGGTTTTGAACTGTATAATGTAGGGTTCAGAAAAATCCTTTAAAACATTATTAAACTCCTCTAACTAGGGCTAGCTCCTCTTGCTCCAGGCTGTAAAAATATGACCTGTGTCCTGAGCTGCTTCTGTTTTCAACAGGTCCTTGTCATCCATTCTGAGCAGAAAGGGCATGCAAATGACTGCCCCATAAGACATGTCTCAAGTGTTTCTTGCTAAAACCAGAATATTCTATAGGAAAGGGAAGAGAAACCGCACTGCTATAACACAGATTTCTTCCTAACCTGGTGTGGTCATGGTCACCATTTATTCTAAGGGAACTTTGGCAGACTCTTAGAGTTCACACACACGCACACACACACACAGAGGAGAACAAGGCATAACATATAGAAATTAGATATACTAAGAGGTACAAAGAAGAAAACATAATCCTACCATTCAGGAAAGCCACAGCAGACATTTTATCATATCTATTTACTTCCAGTCTTTTATGTATGCATTTTACGTATTTGCTTAATTTTGTTCCCATTAAAATTTTTTTGGCTGGGTGCAGTGGCTCACGCCTGTAATACCAGCACTTTGGGAGGCCGAGGCAGGTGGATCATCTGAGGTCAGGAGTTCAAGACCAGCCTGGCCAACATGGCGAAACCCCGTCTCTACTAAAAATAAAAAAATTAGCTGTGCATGGTGGCGGGCACCTGTAATCCCAGCTACTTGGGAGGCTGAGGCAGGAGAATCGCTTGAACCCGGGAGGCAGAGGTTGCAGTGAGCCAAGATTGCACCATTGCACTCCAGCCTGTGCAATGGAGTGAGACTTTGTCTAAAAAAAAAAAAATTATGTGGAAGGAAGAAAATATATTACCACTTCCATTTGGGCTGCAAATCCCTACTTTAAAATTGCCTTTAATTTTTTTGTTTTTTTTCTTGACTGTGAGTTATAGGATACATACTATTTTAGAAAATCTAGATAATAAAGACCACCAAGTAAAATTGCTATAAATCCTCCGACCCATAGACAAACACCATTAATAGTTAGTTATATAAAATGTAATATTTAATATTGAGTACCTTAGCCGAGCCTCCTAGTTCACCTGGGTCTATCTCCATATCTTCAGGAGACTCGAAATCCAGCAGACCCTGCATTAACCCAAAAGTCTTGTTGAAAATTAAAATGTACATTGCCATCAAAATGTAGATTGTCAACAAAATCTACTGTGCAAACTATCTGCCACCAATGCTAAGCTGACTGAGAACGTGTGTAAATGTGTAAGAGGGAAAGAATAAATGATGTATTTGGCACAGGGTCCTTTCCACAAACCTAGAATCATATTGTACACACTATTTTGTAGACTACTTTTTCTCATTCAACCATACCTCATGAATATTTTCCCATGATATTATGTTTTTCTAAAATATGGGCTTTGATTGTGGTAGAGTGTTATATCTTACAGATAAACCATTTTTCTCATTCAGCAATATCTCATGAATATTTTCCCATGATATTATGTTTTTCTAAAATATGGGCTTTGATTGTGGTAGAGTGTTATATCTTAGAGATAAACCATTTTTCTCATTCAACAATATCTCATGAATATTTTCCCATGATATTATATTTTTTTAAAACATGGGCTTTGGTTGTGGTAGAGTGTTATATCTTATAGATAAACCATAATCGAATTATAGTCCCCCTTATCATTAAACATTTAGGTTCAACAATATTTTTTACTATAATAATGATAATAACTTTTGTGCATTTTTCTTAAAGCTAAATTCCTAGAGTGGAATTGTAAATGTTAAGAGTTTTGAGGCATATTTCCAAGTTCTTCAGAGAAGGACTGTCTTCCTGCCAGCTGTATAGGAAAGCCTGTCTCACCAGCCCCTAGCCTACAAGGGGTAGTACCATTTAATCAAAAATCTTTACCAATTGAATGAAAAGAGAAATCCTACCTCACTGTTGTTTTAATTTGACTTCCTTAGATAACTAGAGGTGTAGAACTTTTTTAAAAAAACGTTTGCTACTAGTGTTTATTCTTTTGCAAATTGCTATGTCCTTTGCGCATCTTTTTATTATAATTTCCAAGAGCACATGATTCATTAAGCATACTGATCATCTGTTACATATTTTGTTCACATTTTCCCCAATGTTTCATGAGTCTGTCTTTAATGGTATAAGCTATCACTCATCACCCTCTCCCCAAGATCCCATGATCCTTTCTAAAGCATGAGGCAATCAGTCCAACATTCATGCTCTTTCAAGCCAGCACATGTGTGCGAGATGCAAAATAAGCTCTGCCCCTGGGGATAGAGAAGGTCCTAGATAGGATTACAAGGTCGTTCCTTTCTTTGCAGGCACGTAATGGCCTGAGCTGGTTTCACAGGCACCAGCAAGCTTAGCTGTGGGGACACTGCTCTGGTCTGCCTTGGGTAGCTCCCACGGCTCCTCACAGACCCCCCGCAAAATATTTTGTAGTAATTCTATCTCTTGTTTCTTCAGTGAAAGGCAGCTAACAAAACCTTCTAAGTCCTTTTAACCTGTATTATCTCATTTAATGCTCCCAACAAGCATACCAGGAAAGTACTATTATTATCTTATTTCTATAGGTGAGAAATCTGAGGCTGAGAGAGGTTAAGTAACTTGCCTGAGTTCACGCAGCCTGGAAGGGTCAGAGCCTGGATTCAGACCCAGGTTGTTAAACTCTCGAGTCTGTGTTTCCAATGACGATGCCCCACAGCCCTCTGCGTCTGGTACCGAACCTAGCTCCTATGTAAATGTCACCTCTGTGGGAAAGCTGGAACCTAGGCTGAGGGAGGAAGGACCATCACTTTCGTCCTGCTCATGCCTCACTGGGCCCAGAGGTTGGACTTCTACAATAGGAATGACAGTGACAATGGGACATGCAGAGGAGCATGAGGCCCTGAGTGAGTGCTGGGTCAAACATGCTCTGAGGTGCTGCTCGCTGAAAGAAGCAGATCATTATCCTCATTTCTATGGTGGTGTGACAGTCTCAATGTCTAAGATAACAGCTACACATCATGCAGAGCTTCCTGGGCTGTGCCAAGCCCTCCGCATGTGCTAATCATCTGCTTCATAACGATCTTATGGAGGAGGTTCTAGTACCCTCATTTTACATAGAGGAAAACTAAGGCCCAAGAGGGCAAGGTCTCATAACTGACAAATGGCAGAGTACACCGAGGCTGAAACTGCTAATGGAAAGCTTGAAAGGAGTAACTTTGAAAAAATGTTTTTAAAATTATTTTTACAGATGAGGTCTTGCTATGTTGCCCAGGCTAGTCTTGAACTCCTGGACTGAAGGGATGCCTCCTGCCTCCACCTCCTGAGTAGCTGCTGGGACTACAGGTGTGTGTTATCATGTCTGGCCTGAAAGGGGTAACTTTTTCTGAGGGGAGACTGTTGGGCAATGAGCTTAACCTTCCTGAGCCTCAGTTTCTTCACAGTCCAGAGCATGGCTGGTATGTCTGATTGTGGAGATTAAATAAGAAATACTGTAATCCCAGCACTTTGGGAGGCTGAGGTGGGCAGATCACGAGGTCAGGAGTTCAAGACCAGCCTGGCCAACATGGTGAAACCCCGTCTCTACTAAAAATACAAAAATTAGCCAGGCATGGCGGCGCGTGCCTGTAATCTCAGCTACTTGGGAGGCTGAGGCAGGAGAATTGCTTGAACCTGGGAGGCAGAGGTTGCAGTGAACTGAGATCGCGCCATTGCACTCCAGCCTAGGCAGAGTCTCACTCTGTCTCAAAAAAAAAGAAAGAAAGAAAGAAAAAAGAAATACACGTGGGGAAGTACCCAGTAAACAGTAGGTGCTTGTTTTTGTTTTTGTTTTTGTTTTTTATTAAGAAATAGTGGCCACTGGGCAAGAGCTACCTAAATGCCTTATAGAGGTTAATTCAACAGACAACTTATCGTGGTGGCCCAAACCTTTCTCTCAAGCTCACACCTAGAAAACCAGCCATGATAGGCCCTCATATCCTGTTTGGAGTGTCTGAGAATGCTTGCCTGCAGATGTGCTAGTGTCAATGACTTATCACTAAGGAGGGGTAAAGGTCAGAGAGAGAGAGAGAAAACCACTTAGGGGTTCAGGGTTCAGATATAGCAAAGTTCATTCTGTTAGGCTGCTCTCAGGGTAAGATCCTAAATCTAAGAATGGAGGTCAGTGCTGCAAAAGGATAGAAGACTTCAGTTTTGTCTTCTCCCTTCCACAAGTTAAAATGCCCATAAAACAGTAACTTTGGGGAAAATCACACTCTCGCTCCCAAAGAGCTCTCTTCCCCTAAGCCAGACTCCTTAGTGATTCATGCCCTGAGCTAGACATTGGACTAGTGAGGCCCTCAGGTGCCCTCCAACTCTATGATTCTTTGGTCTTACTCCACATTGAAGAGGGCTGATTTAGAGTTGGAGGAAAGAAAAAGCCTGCAGGATAGACGTATCTTCAGCCTTAGAAGACCAAGGCACAGCTCTACATGTGTAACGACATGGGCACCACAGTGCAGGCGTCTGGTTTCCCACCAAGGAAAAGCACTGTCTCATTGATTTTACCTTCAACAGCATCTGGTATTTTATAAGTCTCTGGCTTGGTCCTTTGAGATACTTAAAAAGAGGGAGATTGTGATCCAGTTGGCGCTGGCATACCTTTAAAAGCCAAATAGAAACAACATAAAGCAAAACAAACAACACACACAGAATAAAAGTGGCAGCATTTAGGTACAAAACACAAAATTGCTTTTCCTGGACAACAGGGGCAGCTGTGTCGAGCAGCTCCATAAGGCTGTGGGGTTGTTCTTTCCCCTAGGAACAGTGTGTGAAATAAGAGAAAGAGGAAAGAGGACGGCTCGGCTAATATTTTTACAGGCATCTAGGGAAGCAGAACCATTTATTTCTTTTAGAAAGCAAGTTCACTAGAAGACAGTGGGGCATTTCAAGTCCTTCTGAAAAAGAGGCCACCTATCTTCAAGTTGGGGGCTGCCAGAGTCTATTCAGGCCTTTTGGAGCCTGAAGGATACAGACGGTTTGTAGACATCATTCCAGGGAGCCCAAAGTGTGACATTTTTTACTTAGTTTCATTTTTAAAACCCATCTTAGAAGAAGACACTGGTTTTCTCACCAGATATAGGTGCTCCTCACAGGCCTATCCCATTACAACTTTTCATGTGTAATTTCAAAGTATGGGACACTTTAAATAAACATAAATCGCAATGCCAAGTTCCTCTCCCTAGTCCCACTTTTGATTTCTTTAACAACTTGATGCATAGAAACATTTTCCAGGAAGAAGTTTGTCTTCTCAACATTACCCCAAAGTAGGCGCAGTCTTGACACTCTTGCCAGATTGCCCTAGCTCGGGGCAGATTCTTATGGTATTTAAAATATATCTGAAGATCTTCTTTCTAGGTGGGAAAAAATTAGAATAAATTAATCAGGCAGCATTTTTCAGTAAGTGGACAGGATGATACAGTTTATTCATTCATTCAACAAGCCAGAGTATTCTAATGTGTAAGGAATTGGGGGTGTACAGTAAGTAATCTTATGTTGGGATGTGTGTGTGATGGAGAGATAAACAGAAGGCTTTAAACAACCATAACTACCAGACATAGATAGGCACAGAGTGCTCTGGGAGCATCTACAAGGGCTATTGGTAAATACATAAGTAGACTCACAAACAGGAATTGGTTTTTATCTTTATCATTCTTTTCCTGCCCTTTGTCCAGGACATCGACATCTCCCCACAACAGGTCTGCAATGAGTAGTAAAACTGACAGAAAAGAGGCTGGTGTTTGATGGTCCCCCTCTCTTCTCTCTCCACCCTCTCCTTGTGGTCATCGTGACACCAACCCTGCAAAGAAGCCCAAGAAACAACCAAAAGATGGAAACATGCCAGAGGGGAGATGTGGTAGATCGGGCAACCAATACGGAGCTCAGTCATTTGGGCAACCCTCAAAGTGACAGGCTCCGCCTCAAACATCACTTTCAACCTGCAGCACAAGACTCTGAGACAGGAAATGTTATGTGACTGTTTCGGAGCTAGAGAGCAAGGAGGACTCAACGTGCTGTTCAACCTGTATTCTCATGGTATCAAAGACGCTGAGAGGTGGGCACATATCTGCCAATCTCCCGGAGAGAAAGCACACTCCAAGCCTCTGGCGTCAGCTTGCCAGCTTCACTCGCTCTATCAGGGAGCCTGGCCCACAGCGGCTGTGCTGGCCACAGATCCCATGCCATTCTGGTGGAGAAGCCCATGTAGCCACCTCCTTGCAGAAGTCTGTGTCCCTGTCCTCCTGCTCAGCCCAACTCTGGATTTCCTTCATGTCAACACAGATGATTCCTTCCCTCTCAGCTTCAATGATGCCTGTTCTACTCCCAAATACATTGCTATAGTGGATGACTTCCATTTCTGTAGCTCTTTCTTTCTCCCAATAGGTTGTAAGTGGTCATTTCAGCATAGGAACTACAGCAACCGTCCTTTGCTATTCCCTCCAGGAAAAAAATGGCACACACATTTAAGACAGATGGCCCTTGAAAAATGTTCAGACTGGTTAAGGAGCTAGAATAATAACTCAGAGCTTAACAATATAGTATTGACCTAAATTGCTCTTCTAAAGGCTAACAGTCCAAAATTCCTCAGAGAAAGGATGTCCACTAACCAGCAACATACAAAAGTGCCCAATTCTCCTAATCTCCTTATAGAATGAATCAGGAGGCTATAAAATTGCTACCAGAAACTCATATTCACACAAGAATACATACTTGCTTACGGATTAAGACTGCGGGGCTCTGGTGGCGGATGGTCCAGGTTCAGTTCTTGGCTTTGCCAAATACAAATCATATGGCCTAAAGTAAGTTACCTAACCTTCCTAGACTTCAGTTTCCTCATCTGTTAAGTGGGCCCATAACAGTAGTCAACTCCTGTGACTGTTGTGAGATTAAATGAGATGATGTATAGAAACCTCTCCACAAATGCCCAATGGATAGAGTACTCAAAAAATGGTGGCTATTGTCAAAGCACTTTTTACTTTATGGAATCCTCTGCATACATTATTTTGTTTCCCACAACAACTGTACATATTGGTACTATTAGCCTGTTGTGTGGAGGAGGAAAGTGAGATTCCAAAGTTTAAGTTATTTACTGGAGGTCATGCAGATAGCAAGTGGCTTGACCAACATGATAAATCGGGTTTCCTGACTTACCAGTTACTCCCACATATCAGTGTGAGCACCCATTCCAGTGCTCTTTCCATTTTACCATGTGAGATCTCAGAGTACTTGGAACCCACAGTACACTATGGACAAATATTATTCTATATAGAACATGGTCTCTGGAGGAGAATTGTTTCAGAAGATACAGGCTAAAGAGGCTGATTAAAACACTTGGTCAGAAAACTATTTCAAAATTCATTATCTTGGAAGGCCGAGGTGGGCGGATCACGAGGTCAGGAGATGGAGACCATCCTGGCCAACATGATGAAACCTCGTCTCTACTAAAAATACAAAAATTAGCCGGGCGTGGTGGCACATGCCTGTAATCCCAGCTACGAGGGAGGGTGAGGCAGGAGAATCGCTTGAATCAGGGAGTCAGAGGTTGCAGTGAGCCGAGATCACGCCACAGCACTCCAGCCTGGTGACAGAGCGAGACTCCGTCTCAAGAAAAAAAAAAAAAGTACTACTTGTATTTTGTCTCTAACATCATAAATCACATAGGGCTAAGTCAGTGTTTTCTGGCTGGGTTAATGATTTACAATGTTCCTCCCAACATGGCGGGGCGCTATCAAAAAACTTTGTAAAACTTTACAATTTAGGAGAGGAATTCAGAAAAGGTATTTAGTTAATAATTCTCTGACAATTTCCTCATATTTGAACAATTTGATAATATCCACTTTCCCACAGGAACTTTGCCCATTTCTCATTGAGCAATTTAAATAATCTTTGCAGTAATGACATACATAACCATAAAATACTTCTAATCTCTGAAACTAGATTTCACATTAGTCGTTTGTTAAGTGCAAAAATTCAAAATAGTATATAAAGCACTAATAATGTAATAGTTCAAAAAAATTAATGAATCAGAATGAGTATAAAATAGTTTTCAGTGTACATTGAATTCTGGTGCTTTGACACAAAGCCTATGATGAGTTGACATGGAAAGCCATATGGGGCCACCAAAAGGCTCTGAGCATGGAAGATTCCTTCTCTCCATTAATGTCAAATATCTTGAAACCTGGAGGCTTTGTTTGCTTCCAGTTATCATAAGTATTGCTCTCAGCCTCAGTCATAATATGAGTTGCTTACAACTTTAAGTTGTTTGATCTGTTGCCTTGGGTTCACAAAAATAAAAATAAGAAAGAGAATGAGAAGGACTAGTTGAGAAAGAGAGGAGAAATGAGAACTATTTAGAAGGCACAGGGGGTCAGGATCATCTCCATGGTCGTGTCCTAGAAAGTACCTGGTGGGGATTGATGTTGGGTGGAACATTTCTCTGTGGCAGCTCCCACTGGCCCATATAGCCTATTTGTTGCCTAAAACAGGGTGGAGAAACAGGGAAAGAGGGAAGAAGTCTGGGAGGTGGGAAGAAGGGGTAGTTGGAGGTATAATGTTGTAGGCCAAGATGTTCATAAATTGAGTACTAAGCCTAAAGGAGGCTGTAGATTTAGAATTTTCGAATCATCCTCTATGTTGTAAAAAATAGAATGGAAAGAAAATGTATTTCCTGAGGTTTTTAGTTTAACACCAGTGCTTCTCCTCTTGAGAGCATTAGTACAGCTTTATTGTGGGACTCTAACCTCGCTGTATGATTCTTGTTTTAAAACGTAGTTGAGTCATTCAGAAGAGGATCCTCTGCTTTGGGGACCATGGATGGCCAGCCTTCCATTTCATGGGGCTTTGCAGGAAGCCAGGCTTGCGGTTACTCCCACATATCAGTGTGAGCTCAGTCAAATTGGACTCATTCTCACCTTGGATAAAGTCAGATAAAGTTGGGAGGCCAACTCATGTTTTCCATTCAAAGGGCAGATACAAGATATACTGTCTTGACAAATTGCAAGTGTACAGTACAGTATTATTCCATGATAGTCGCCATGCTGTGCGTTACATCTCCAGGACTTACTCATCTCATAACTGCAAGTTTGTACCCTGTGACCAACATCTCCCTACTTCCTCTAGACTCCAGCCCCTGGCAACCACCCTTCTACTTCAATGAGCTCAACTGTTTTTGGATTATATATATATACATATACACACACACACACACACAATGGTAATGAATGTATTCATTAACTTGATTGCAGTAATCATTTCACAGGGTGTAAGTATATCAAACCATCATGTTGTATAGTTTGAATATATGCAATTTTTATTTACCAATTATACTTCAGTAAAGCTTGGAGTCGGAGGGAAGCAGATATGTTTTTAGACCATTGATGTTTCCATTTGTCCTTGCCACTTAACGCAGAAATGTAAGGGCTGACTTTAACATGATTATTTACTGGGAGTACAGACTTACTCTCTTGAGAAAGCAATGTGCCAGAAGTTCAGGGTTCTCAGCACACTTTTCCAACTCTTTTAGAAAAGTCCTAGAAAAATAAAAGTATACAAGTAATAATGTTTTGATTTTGACATGTAGGTAATTAATTTTTTAAGTACAATCACATAAGGTTTCAAGAGGTGCCTAGAAAAATGTTCTCCAGGCCTTCTTGCTCTTATCTTCTACACATTGATTCAGAAAAAAAAGCTGTATTCTGAGGTATTACTACAATTACCCTGAAATCACTCACAACTTTAAGTTGTTCGATCTGTTGCCTTAGGTTCACAAAAAGAAAAATAAGAAAGAGAATGAGAAGAACTAGTTGGGAAAGAGAGGAGAAATGAGAACTACTCAGAAGGCACAGGGGGTCAGGATCATCTCCAATTATCAGAACACAGCTGTTCGGGTAATTCTAAGCACTAGTCATAGATAGACTGGATACATTCACTGATGCTCTCTCTTACATGAAAGTAACGTTCATAAGAACTGCTGCTGCTGCTGTTGCTATTACTAATATCATTGACAGCTTACTATAAGCCAGGCATAAGCTAAGTGCTCCGCAAATAGTATCTCATTTAATCCTCAACCAAAGATAGGGTTTTATAAATATAAAACCTGGGGCTCAAAGAGGCTACATAACTTCTCTGGGGAAATCAACAGAAATGGGTTTCCATTTCAGTTTTGCGTCTGACCAACGGACGAGGAATGGGGTTAGGAAGCAACTGTGGTTCAATTCACCAAGCAGCTTTTCTCCCTCTGTGAATTAGGTGTGCAATCTTGGGGTCATCATAGCGAATAAAGAGAGTTAACAAGTTACCATTCCCATATGTGTAACATGAAAGGGTTTGAAGATGATTTCCAAAGTCCCTTATTCCTGCAATTCTCTAGAACTCAATATCCAAGCAGCCCCGAGTTAAAAGTACAACTTGTTTGAGCAGTCAGCATTTTCTAACACCCTAGTTCCCAGCATCCCCTTATGATAGTAGTATGGAGATGTGTATCTTGGTCATCTTTGTATTCCCAATGCTGAGCACAGTGCCTGGCACAGAACAGGTGCTCAAAAAATGCTGATGCATGAATAAATAAACAAAGGAACACTCAACTGCATACAACATGGATGTCTGACACTGGGTCCCTGTTCCTTTGATGTCTCTTCCCTTTCTCTCCAGGGATCCTGTGGGGCTTCTCCCCTCCTTTCACTCCAACCCACCCCAATCCAATCCACTGACTCCAAACCACTTGCTTAAACCTGAAAACATCTAAGTGTTTTCATCTCTCAATTCCATCAGTCTCATTTCCACCCTTCTCTTACTCTCCATTCTTTCTGATAACATGAATTATTATATACCTGTTGTGAAATTCGTAAAGTTCTCTAATATTCCCAAAGAGAAAGTCCTTGTTATTCTGAAGAACATCTGGAATTAGATGCTTTAGCCAAATAAAATCCATTGGAGTGATATATCCCTGCAGAGGTGCAAACAAGGTAGGTGTTACAAACAGGAACATACCAGAGATCATCTGAATTAGCTACTGCAAAACCCAAAACTTTAGTGAAATGATTGAAGAATATAGCACACTTGTTTCTTGAAAGCTATCGTATTGAGTACTTTCTTTTGATATCATTTTCCTCATGTGCCCACTTTCAGAAGGAGATGGCTTAATGGCAATGATCATAAAATGGCATTTTTGTGGGAAGAACAAATATATTTAAAAATGTTTATGTTACACAGGTTTAATCTAAAAGAAGGGAAAATGTACCCACTGTTTTATGAACTAATACAATTACTATTATTATTATGATTATTATTAATATTGAGACGAAGTTTTGCTCTTCTTCCCAGGCTGGAGTGCAATGGCGTGATCTCGGCTCACTGCAACCTCCGCCTCCTGGGTTCAAGTGATTCTTCCGTTTCAGACTCCCAAGTAGCTGGAATTACAGGCACACACCACCACACCTGGCTAATTTTCGTATTTTTAGTAGAGACAGGGTTTCACCATGTTGGCCAGGCTGGTCTCAAACTTCTGACCTCAGGCGATCCACCCGCCTCGGCCTCCCAAAATGCTGGGATTACAGGCGTGAGCCACTGCATCCGGCCCAATAATTATTTTTTAATATCTGAATAATGTTTACTCAGCATATATATCATAGTTTACTAAACATTCCCTTTTTATGGACATTTGGGTTGCTTCTAATATTTTATGGTAAAAATGTGATTATAAATAATCGCGTACATATAATTTTTTCCTTAAGATTATTCCCTTAGGAAAATAGGGAAAACATGCATTTTTACTCTTAAGAAAAAGACTACTTTAAAAAAACAAGAAATAATCTTCCCTTATTAAAGTATCAGGAACACTTATAATATCCTTTGTTGGCAAGAAGATGGTAAACCTATTTGGGCTTTGCTGGAATCAGTGTGAACTGGCTTAATTCTTTGGAAACTATTTGGCTACATGGATCAAGAAACCACAGGGATGTTCTTATTCCTACTGGAGACACTTGTAATATTCTAAGACCTGAAACCTTGGTGGGAATTCTGGAGACTTCTGGCAACTATTTTGAGTCTCTTTGTACAACAAAACATCTGCAGTTTGAATATATGCTTGATACCCCACTCCCCAAATCTACTTACATCAATTATGCTTTTAATCTCTTTTATGTAAATCTCTTCAGTCTCAAGCAAGTCACGTATAATGCGCCTGAATCACAGCAGCAGGTGGGAGGGTGAAAGAGAGAGAGACAGGGAGAGGAGAATGTTCTTTTAGAATTCTGTTAGAATAATGCTCATCAATACAGTTCCCTTTTAGTGGCTCACCTACTTAGTTTCTGGTCAGTTCATTCTGTTCTATTGAACACCCAAGGTCAGCATCTCACAAACGCACACTGTGATCACACTGGTATCAAGAAGAAACAGCAAGGTTAGAGAACTCAAAATCCTTTAGGCAGCCAGTGAATGACCTGTCCTCTGGGTGGGCCATATAGTGTGGGGGTCAAGAAGGGAGATGTTGGAGTCAGAAATACCAGGTCTGGATCCTTAGTCAAGGAAGGTCTGCCTGACCCCACCCCCACCCCCTATATTGTATACATTGTATAAGTGGTTTCCTAGATTTTCTCTCCAGCTTTCTGCTCACATCAAGCTTTCTTTTCCTTTTAAGAGAAAGGGTCTTGCCCTGTTGCCCAGGAATGAGTGCAGTGGCATGATCATGGCTCACTGTAGCCTTGAACTCCCGGGCTCCAGCAACCCTCCTGCCTCAGCCTCCCAAGTAGCTAGGGCTACAGATATGCACCATCACACCCAGCTAACGCCTTTTTTTTTTTTTGGTAGAGATGAGGTCTTGCTATGTTACCCAGGCTGGTCTCAAACTGCTACTTTCAAGCAATCCTCCTGCCTTTGCCTCCCAAACTGCTGGGATTATAGGTGTGAGACACTGTGCCAGGCCAGATCCAGATCTTTGACCCATATGGATGTATTTTGTTGTACATGGGGTTAGATGTATGCTAGCTCCTTCCTCTGGCATTGGATGTTTCACTGTGATTTCCTAAGGCAAAAGATATGACTTCTGTCTGCTTCTGTCAAGGAATGCAGGTGGAAGATGTGGTGGACAGAATTTAAGACGGTCCCCAAGACTTCTGGCCCCACTGCACATACGCCTCTTCCAATCAAACACTAATTTAGGGGATGCTGTGGAAGGATTTTGCTGTTCATTTGATAGGTAATCCAGTTGGGCCTGTCCTAATCATATGAACTCAGATCTATATGGGTCAAGTGGTCAGAGACTGGAAGCATAAAAAAGATTCAACACAAAGGAGATTCCCCTTTGCTGACTTTTGAGATGGAGGGGGCCAGATGGAATGGAATGTGGGCAGCCGTAGGAACTGAGAGTGGCTCCCAGCTGACAGGCAGCAAGGAAGGGAAATCAGTCCTATAGTTGCAAGGAACCGAGTCCTGCCACAACCACGCGAACTTAGAAGAGGATCCAGAGCTCCACATGAAAACACAGCCAGCCAACACCTTGACTTTAGCCTTGTGGGACTCCTGTCCCAGGGAAACTGTAGGTCTCCTAAGTTTGTGGTCAGTTTTTATATAGCAATAGAAAACCAGTAGAAAGAGTAAGGCCAGTCCCCACATCTATCCCAGACAGACTTTCTTTCTCTCCTCAGGCTACGTGGCCATATTTATTATTTCTTTTAGGAGTCCAAGTAGATGAGTGTTTATACATGTGTCCTTGTGTAGAATATATATATTTATTCTTGTTAACTATTGATGGATTATCTATTAAATGGCAGCCTCTCCTAGAAAATGATTTGTTTTTCTCTCATAAAAATGGATGTGACAAATGATCCAATAGAAAAAAATGGGAAAGGACACAAAATAGGAGATTCACACAAATATTCAAATGGATATGAGACTCGTGGAAAAAATACTCAGTACATACATTCAACGAAGGCATATTTTAAAAGAGCAACAATTTTCATCTATTAGAATATTAAACATTTCAAACCTCATAGAAAGACTGGTAAATGAGGGTGTGGAAAAACCCTCACACAATATTGGTAAAATGTGTAAATTTGTGCAAGCTCTTTGGAAGGTAATTTAGAAACATCTCACCCAAATGTAAAACACGTGCTCCTTGGTTCAGTAATTTCACTTCTAGGAATGTTCATTGTTTATAATTAGGACAATATAACTTCAACAACAACCAGATATAAACTGGTTACTTAAATGCTCATCAAAAAATTATGGTACATGGGCCGGGCATGGTGGTTCACCCCTGTAATCCCAGCACTCTGGGAGGCTGAGGCAGGTGGATCACTTGAGGCCAGGAAATCGAGACCAGCCTGGCCAACATGGTGAAACCCTGTGTCTACTAAAAATACAAAAAATTAGATGGGTGTGGTAGCGCATGCTTGTAATCCCAGCTACTTGGGAGGGTGACGCAGGATAATTACTCGAACCCAGGAGGTGGAGATTGCAGTGAGCCGAGATCACACCATTGCACTCCAGCCTGGGCAACAAGAGTGAAACTCCATCTCAAAAAAAAAATATATATATACATACATATAGATATAGATAGATATATGTGTGTGTGTGTGTATATATATATACATATATATGGTACATACATATAATGATGAAATACCATGCAATTGTTAAAAAGAATGAGGCTGACTAAAACACTGATATGACAGAGGCCAGGTATTTTTAGTGAAAAAACAAAACAAGACGTAGACAAGTAAGCATAGTATGACTATTTGTGTAAAAAATGAATGTGTATGTAGAAATATACGTAAAACTGTATATGCTCAGAAAATTTATGCAAAGAAACTTAACACATTGTTAAAAGTGATTGCTTTTGGAGAGTGGTACTGAAAGCTAAAGTATGGGAAAGGAGAATTTCTACATCTTACTCTATACCCTTCTACAATCTTTTTTAAAGTGAAACATTTACTGCTTTTATAATGGAAAAATAGGGTTTACATAATATTTTAAAATGAATGTTACTGGAGGTAATGATATGTAAACCCTATTTGATAGATATAAATAAATAATACAATTCACATATTTTACAGCTCATTATTCTTTCTTATAATCATTTTTGTGTCTATTTATAAATACTTGTATAAGACAAGACTGATAAACAAGATGTACCACAGAGGATGTAATTTCCGGAAGTCTAAAACTCCCAAAAAGTTACTTAAACATCATACTTTACTAAGTCACTGAGAAAGAGGTTCCTATGCCTTTTATAAATCACCCGGAAACAACAACGGTTTCTATGTCAGAAGGAAGTACAGGCCTCAATACCAATATGTTTCTACGAGCCCTGGCATCAAGTGGGACCACAGCAACAGTTAAGCATTCATGGAAAACCTGAGTACAATCAGCCTCTTATGCCTTCATGAAGCACTGGGCTTAAGCAACTTGGCAAGCTGGCTTCAGGATGCATTGACAATTAAAGGAAGTCAGAAGGCAGAAATAACCAGGAGGTGGACAGAAGTCAAGGTTATTATCCAAAAATGATCTATGAACTTAAGAGACTCTTAGGAGCTTTTAGGACTCTAATACAGGAAAATATTCACATCTCTGAAGGAAAAGAAATCCCTTGGTCATATTCTGGATTACAGTTTGGAAAAAAAGTCTAGAAATCTCATCCAACTGCTTCATTTTACCTGTTGGAGTG
Source organism: Homo sapiens (assembly GCF_000001405.40). Taxonomy (NCBI): domain Eukaryota; kingdom Metazoa; phylum Chordata; class Mammalia; order Primates; family Hominidae; genus Homo; species Homo sapiens. Next base: position 183,234,501 of record NC_000003.12, read on the forward strand.
CAAGAGATAAAATGCCAAGGATAGGAACTCCACTGAAGAATGTAGGCAAATCAATATTCATTAAATACATTCAAATTAATATATGACTTAAAAAGAGCCCTCACATCAGTGTTAGGCCATTGCTTTTCCTTGCTTCTCTTGTTTTCCTTTCAAATACCTTTATAAAATAGGAGAAAATGTATGACTCTTTTTTTTTTTTTTTTTTTTTTATTATACTCTAAGTTTTAGGGTACATGTGCACATTGTGCAGGTTAGTTACATATGTATACATGTGCCATGCTGGTGCGCTGCACCCACTAATGTGTCATCTAGCATTAGGTATATCTCCCAATGCTATCCCTCCCCTCTCCCCCGACCCCACCACAGTCCCCAGAGTGTGATATTCCCCTTCCTGTGTCCATGTGATCTCATTGTTCAATTCCCACCTATGAGTGAGAATATGCGGTGTTTGGTTTTTTGTTCTTGCGATAGTTTACTGAGAATGATGGTTTCCAATTTCATCCATGTCCCTACAAAGGATATGAACTCATCATTTTTTATGGCTGCATAGTATTCCATGGTGTATATGTGCCACATTTTCTTAATCCAGTCTATCATTGTTGGACATTTGGGTTGGTTCCAAGTCTTTGCTATTGTGAATAGTGCCACAATAAACATACGTGTGCATGTGTCTTTATAGCAGCATGATTTATAATCCTTTGGGTATATACCCAGTAATGGGATGGCTGGGTCAAATGGTATTTCTAGTTCTAGATCCCTGAGGAATCGCCACACTGACTTCCACAATGGTTGAACTAGTTTACAGTCCCACCAACAGTGTAAAAGTGTTCCTATTTCTCCGCATCCTCTCCAGCACCTGTTGTTTCCTGACTTTTTAATGATTGCCATTCTAACTGGTGTGAGATGATATCTCATAATGGTTTTGATTTGCATTTCTCTGATGGCCAGTGATGATGAGCATTTCTTCATGTGTTTTTTGGCTGCATAAATGTCTTCTTTTGAGAAGTGTCTGTTCATGTCCTTCGCCCACTTTTTGATGGGGTTGTTTGTTTTTTTCTTGTAAATTTGTTTGAGTTCATTGTAGATTCTGGATATTAGCCCTTTGTCAGATGAGTAGGTTGCGAAAATTTTCTCCCATGTTGTAAGTTGCCTGTTCACTCTGATGGTAGTTTCTTCTGCTGTGCAGAAGCTCTTTAGTTTAATTAGATCCCATTTGTCAATTTTGTCTTTTGTTGCCATTGCTTTTGGTGTTTTGGACATGAAGTCCTTGCCCACGCCTATGTCCTGAATGGTAATGCCTAGGTTTTCTTCTAGGGTTTTTATGGTTTTAGGTTTAACGTTTAAATCTTTAATCCATCTTGAATTGATTTTTGTATAAGGTGTAAGGAAGGGATCCAGTTTCAGCTTTCTACATATGGCTAGCCAGTTTTCCCAGCACCATTTATTAAATAGGGAATCCTTTCCCCATTGCTTGTTTTTCTCAGGTTTGTCAAAGATCAGATAGTTGTAGATATGCGGCATTATTTCTGAGGGCTCTGTTCTGTTCCATTGATCTATATCTCTGTTTTGGTACCAGTACCATGCTGTTTTGGTTACTGTAGCCTTGTAGTATAGTTTGAAGTCAGGTAGTGTGATGCCTCCAGCTTTGTTCTTTTGGCTTAGGATTGACTTGGCGATGCGGGCTCTTTTTTGGTTCCATATGAACTTTAAAGTAGTTTTTTCCAATTCTGTGAAGAAAGTCATTGGTAGCTTGATGGGGATGGCATTGAATCTGTAAATTACCTTGGGCAGTATGGCCATTTTCACGATATTGATTCTTCCTACCCATGAGCATGGAATGTTCTTCCATTTGTTTGTGTCCTCTTTTATTTCCTTGAGCAGTGGTTTGTAGTTCTCCTTGAAGAGGTCCTTCACATCCCTTGTAAGTTGGATTCCTAGGTATTTTATTCTCTTTGAAGCAATTGTGAATGGGAGTTCACCCATGATTTGGCTCTCTGTTTGTCTGTTGTTGGTGTATAAGAATGCTTGTGATTTTTGTACATTGATTTTGTATCCTGAGACTTTGCTGAAGTTGCTTATCAGCTTAAGGAGATTTTGGGCTGAGACGATGGGGTTTTCTAGATAAACAATCATGTCGTCTGCAAACAGGGACAATTTGACTTCCTCTTTTCCTAATTGAATACCTTTTATTTCCTTCTCCTGCCTGATTGCCCTGGCCAGAACTTCCAACACTATGTTGAATAGGAGCGGTGAGAGAGGGCATCCCTGTCTTGTGCCAGTTTTCAAAGGGAATGCTTCCAGTTTTTGCCCATTCAGTATGATATTGGCTGTGGGTTTGTCATAGATAGCTCTTATTATTTTGAAATACGTCCCATCAATACCTAATTTATTGAGAGTTTTTAGCATGAAGGGTTGTTGAATTTTGTCAAAGGCTTTTTCTGCATCTATTGAGATAATCATGTGGTTTTTGTCTTTGGCTCTGTTTATATGCTGGATTACATTTATTGATTTGCGTATATTGAACCAGCCTTGCATCCCAGGGATGAAGCCCACTTGATCATGGTGGATAAGCTTTTTGATGTGCTGCTGGATTCGGTTTGCCAGTATTTTATTGAGGATTTTTGCATCAATGTTCATCAAGGATATTGGTCTAAAATTCTCTTTTTTGGTTGTGTCTCTGCCCGGCTTTGGTATCAGAATGATGCTGGCCTCATAAAATGAGTTAGGGAGGATTCCCTCTTTTTCTATTGATTGGAATAGTTTCAGAAGGAATGGTACCAGTTCCTCCTTGTACCTCTGGTAGAATTCGGCTGTGAATCCATCTGGTCCTGGACTCTTTTTGGTTGGTAAACTATTGATTATTGCCACAATTTCAGAGCCTGTTATTGGTCTATTCAGAGATTCAACTTCTTCCTGGTTTAGTCTTGGGAGAGTGTATGTGTCGAGGAATGTATCCATTTCTTCTAGATTTTCTAGTTTATTTGCGTAGAGGTGTTTGTAGTATTCTCTGATGGTAGTTTGTATTTCTGTGGGATCGGTGGTGATATCCCCTTTATCATTTTTTATTGTGTCTATTTGATTCTTCTCTCTTTTTTTCTTTATTAGTCTTGCTAGCGGTCTATCAATTTTGTTGATCCTTTCGAAAAACCAGCTCCTGGATTCATTGATTTTTTGAAGGGTTTTTTGTGTCTCTATTTCCTTCAGTTCTGCTCTGATTTTAGTTATTTCTTGCCTTCTGCTAGCTTTTGAATGTGTTTGCTCTTGCTTTTCTAGTTCTTTTAATTGTGATGTTAGGGTGTCAATTTTGGATCTTTCCTGCTTTCTCTTGTAGGCATTTAGTGCTATAAATTTCCCTCTACACACTGCTTTGAATGCGTCCCAGAGATTCTGGTATGTGGTGTCTTTGTTCTCGTTGGTTTCAAAGAACATCTTTATTTCTGCCTTCATTTCGTTATGTACCCAGTAGTCATTCAGGAGCAGGTTGTTCAGTTTCCATGTAGTTGAGCGGCTTTGAGTGAGATTCTTAATCCTGAGTTCTAGTTTGATTGCACTGTGGTCTGAGAGATAGTTTGTTATAATTTCTGTTCTTTTACATTTGCTGAGGAGAGCTTTACTTCCAACTATGTGGTCAATTTTGGAATTCCCTGCTTTATTATTCTAAAGCAAGCTTGTCCAACCTGCGGCCTGTGGCCCAACACAAATTTGTAAACTTTCTTAAAACGTTATGAGATTTTTTTTGCGATTTTTTTTTTTTTTTTTTTTAGCTCACCAGCTATCGTTAGTGTTAATGTATTTTTTGTTTTGTTTTGTTTTGAGACGGAGTCTTGCTTTGTTGCCAGGCTGGAATGCAGTGGTGCAGTCTCGGCTCACTGCCACCTCTGCCTCCCAGGTTCAAGCAATTCCCCTGCCTCAGACTCCCGAGTAGCTGGGACTGCAGGCGTGCGCCACCATGCCCAGCTAACTTTTTGTATTTTTGTAGAGATGGGGTTTTACCATGTTGGCCAGGATGGTCTTGATCTCCTGACCTCGTGATCCACCCTCCTTGGTCTCCCAAAGTGCTGGGATTACAGGCGTGAGCCACCTCGCCTGGCCAGTGTTAATGTATTTTATGTGTGGCCCAAGACAATTCTTCTTCTTCCAGCGTGGCCCAGGAAAGCCAAAAGATTGGACACCCCTGTTCCAAAGCATGTAATTTTATTCACAGAAAAGACTCTCGGCCGGGCGCGGTGGCTCACGCCTGTAATCCCAGCACTTTGGGAGGCCGAGGCAGGCGGATCACGAGGTCAGGAGATGTAGACCATCCTGGCTAACACGGTGAAACCCCGTCTCTACTAAAAATACAAAAAATTAGCCAGGCGTGGTGGTGGGTGCCTGTAGTCCCAGCTACTCGGGAGGCTGAGACAGGAGAATGGCGTGGACCCCGGAGGTGGAGCTTGCAGCGAGCCGAGATCACACCACTGCACTCCAGTCTGGGCAACAGAGCGATATCCGTCTCAAAAAAAAAAAAAAAAAAAAAAAGACTCTCAAGGATTTACCATCTAAAATCATCAAGTGTATATCATGCAGATGAACAACAGAAAACACTGGGAGTATTCAAGTAATTAAAAATAACCTTTCAGCACCAACAGCAATTTCTGTCCTGATGGCAATCTACTCAGAGCTAGAGGACTGCACTTAGGATACCAAAGGGAGCTTAGGATGCAAGAGCAGCCTGCACTAATGTACTCTGCGTTAGTTTACATCCGGGCACTTTGCTTTACGTTTCAAAACAGACGCCGCCCTTAGCTCATTAAAGGGGAAATGGAGGTATAATGTGTTTTAAAGGGATGTTTCTTCTCTGAAGCCATATTTCAGGGTAGCATGAAAACAGAGCTTTGGATATCTGGTTCCATTCTACATGACACCTCATGCTTGTTTCAAATGACACCACAACCAAGGGGCAGGAATGAAAGGAATATGCTAAAAAAAAAAAATGCAATCCTTTTTAGCAAGAAAGATCATTAAGGATTTCCTGATAAGTTTCTTCTTTGTTCATGTGCCCTCCTCTGCTCCCCCTTTGAACTACTGCCCCTGTCACCCCCCCTTCCCCGCCTCCCCGCCGTTTCTCAGTTCTCCAATAGGGATCCAGTCTGCCAGAGGTCTATTTTTGCTCATTATTGTCAACACAATTTGCCATCAAGAGTTTTCACTTACTCCTGCTATCCTATCATCACATTATGCATGTCAGAAAGCATTACAGATTTTTACTTTTCAAGAACCCGAACTCAGATTTCCAGGCTTCTGTCCTTCCTGTTTCATGCTGTTGACTCTCCCACATCTTTGTCTTCCTCCTAGACCTTTGGTCACTCTTGAGCCCACATTGCCAATGGTCTATATCATTTTCACCTGGATGCCTCCCAGACACCTCAGTCACATCAAGTTGAAATAGAACTAATTAGACAGAAGTAGCATGTGTTTCAGTGGAACTGACATTTTTCTAGGGTCCCTAAAACACAGGTGTTGTTTCAAACTCCCCCCTCCAACATCCCTTATATTCTCTCTGTCACCCAGGCTCCTTATATCATCTCTCAACATGCTTCCTGGGTGACTACTGACTCTCCACTTCTGGTGACACCCCACAGAGCAAGCTTTCAATTCCTGTCATTTAAACACTTTAGTGCACTCATAGAATCTCATCCTTCTGAGATTTCTCTTCCACCAGTCTATTTTGCAGACCACCAGGCTACGCCCTTCCAAAAGCTCCTTTGAGATGGAGTTTCACTCTTGTTGCCCAGGCTGGAGTGCAATGGCATGATCTCGGCTCATTGCAACTGCCACCTCTCAGGTTCAAATGGTTCTCGTGCCTCAGCCTCCCCAGTAGCTGGGGTTAAAGTTGCCTGCCACCATACCCAGCTAAATTTTGTATTAGGGGTTTTACCATGTTGGCCAGGCTGGTCTCGAACTCCTGACCTCAGGTGATCTGCCACCTAGGCCTCCCAAAGTGCTGGGATTACAGGTGTGAGAAACCACGCCTAGTCCCCCAAAGCTCCATTTTTATCCTGTCTTCATTCTCTCTTCAAGAACTTGCCCACAGCTGCCAGAGTTCCTTCTAAGAGTTTAAGACTCTCTGTTCATGTGGTAAGAATCTTCTTAAGGAGCTTGCTTTAAAGGTAAAACCAGATTTACACATCAGAATGGGGAGAGGTGGGTGGGAGCTAAGATGGAATCTGTAATTTTCACAAGTGCCCTGGATGATTCTACTGCAGATGGTCTCCTATTCAACTAAATAGCACTCATCTGACCCACTCCTTTTAGACCCCACTTCTGTTAAGCCAGTGTTATCGCTATTTTCCACTTTCTTTCAAGTTCTAATCATCCTTAAAACTCCAACAGCTTCAGCTGAAATCAGTACCACACTCTCATCCTTGTTTCCCACCCAAAAACTATTGTACTAATTGACCAGACATGTATTGATGCCCTACTATGAGCCTGGCTCCATGATAGGCACTTGGGATAGAGAAATGTACCATAATCCTGACCTTAATAAATTTAGAGTCTAATGGAAGAGATAAAAAAAATCAATGATTCCAATGAGTGTGATAAGGTAAGGCTAGTCAGAAAAGTCAGGTGCAGAGGAGGGGCAACTAATTAAACCAGGGGTTGGGGGAGACACTGCCAACTCTGTGTTGAGTGAAGTTTAAGCAGAGGTTTTTCTTTAAGTAAAAAATCAGTTTTTTTAAATAAAAAGTTTTTTAAAAAGTAAGGGGGAATAGAAGAAGGAGGTTTGTCCCTAAGGGGAACAGTGTGGAGGAGGAAAGGAGGTGAAAGTGTATGCTATTCTGTGTACTGGCAAATTCTTTGGTGGGTGATATGGTTTGGCTCTGTGTCCCCACCCAAATCTCACCTTGAATTGTAATAATCCCCACATGTCATGGGAGGGACCCAGTGGAAAGTAATTGAATCATGAGGGCAGGTTTTTCCTGTGCTGTTCTCATGATAGTGAATAAGTCTCAGGAGATCTGATGATTTTATAAAGGGCGGTTCCCTTGCACATGCTCTCTTGCCTGCCACCATGTAAGACATGCTTTTGCTCCTCCTTTGCCTTCCACCATGATTTTGAGGCCTCCCCAGCTATGTGGAACTGTGAGTCCATTAAACCTCTTTCCTTTATAAATTACCCAGTCTCAGCTATGTCTTTATTAGGAGCATGAGAATAGACTAATACAGTAAATTGGTACTGGTAGAGTGGGGTGCTGCAGTATCTGAAAATGTGGAAGCAACTTTGGAACTGGGTAACAGGCAGAGGTTGAAACAGTTTGGAGGGCTCAGAAGACAGGAAGATGTGGTAAAGTTTGGAACTTCCTAGAGACTTGTTGAATGGCTTTGACCAAAATGCTGATAGTGATATGGGCAATAAAGTCCAGGCTGAGGTGGTCTCAGATAGAGATGAGGAACTTGTTGGGAATTGGAGCAAAGGAGACTCTTGCTATGTTTTAGCAAAGAGCCTGGCAGCATTTTGCCCCTGCCCTAGAGATCTGTGGAAATTTGAACTTGAGAGAGATGATTCAGGGCACCTGGCAGAAGACACTTCTAAGCAGCAAAGCATTCAAGATGTCACTTGAGTGCTGTTAAAAGCATTCAGTTTTATGTATTCACAAAGATATGGTTCGGAATTGGAACTTATGCTCAAAAGGGAAGAAGAGCATAAAAGTTCAGAAAATTGGCAGCCTGATGATGTGATAGAAAAGAAAAACCCATTTTCTGAGGAGAAATTCAAGCCTGCTGCAGACATTTGCATAAGTAAGATGGAGCCAAATGTTAATCACCAAGACAAAGGGGAAAATGTCTGCAGGGCATGTCAAGGACCTTTGTGGCAACCCCTCCCATCACAGGCTCAGGCCTAGGAGGAAAAAGTGGTTTTGTGGGCCCAGCCCGGGGACCCCTGCTCTATGCAGTCTAGGGACTTGTTGCCCTGCATGCCAGTTGCTCCAGCCATGGCTGAAAGGGGCCAAGGTACAGCTCAGGCCATTGGTTCAGAGATGCAAGCCTCAAGCCTTGGTGGCTTACACGTAGTGTTGGGCCTGTGGGTTCACAGAAGTCAAGAATTGAGGTGGATGTACAGAAATGCCTGGATGTCCAGGCAGAAGTTTGCTGCAGGGGTGGGGCCCTCATGGAGAATCTCTGCTAGGGGAGTATGGAAGGGAAATGTGGGGCTGGAGTCCCCACACAGAGTGCCCACTGGGACACTGCTTGGTGGAGCTGTGAGAAGAGGGACACCATCCTCCAGACTCCAGAATGGTGGATCCACCAACAGTTTGCACCATGTGCTTGGAAAAGCTGCAGATACCCAACACCAGCCCATCAAAGCAACCACAAGGGGGGCTGTACCCTGCAAAGCCACAGGGGCAGAGTTGCCCAAGGCTGTGGTGGGAACCCACCTCTTGAATCTCTATGAGACATGGAGTCAAAGGAGATTATTTTGGAACTTTAAGGTTTGACTGCTTTATTGGATTTCAGACTCGCATAAGGCTGATAGCCCCTTTGTTTTGGACAATTTCTCCCATTTTGAACAGGTATTTTTACCCAATGTCTACACCCACATTTTATCTGGGAAATAGCTAACTTGCTTTTGATTTTACAGGCACATAGGTGGAAGGGACTTGCCTTGTTTCAGATGAGACTTTGAACTGTGGACTTTTGAGTTAATGCTGAAATAAGTCTTTGGGGGACTGTTGGGAAGGCATGATTTGTCTTGAAATGTGAGGACATGAGATTTGGGAGGGGCCGGGGTGAAATGATATGGTTTGTCTCTGTGTCCCCAGCTTCATCAGGATCCTCCCACACATCCCCATTCTAAGTTGCAGGGTCCCATTCTTTTCCAATCAATGCCCTCATTTTAACAGTAGACACCTGGTGAGGCTGTGCATGCACCTTTCATTGCAGGTCAGCCGCTCCCATGATAAGAGCTTGTATCTGATTTTCCACAATTTCAGCTCTTTCTCTACAAGAGATAAGACTCTCACTCTGGACAATCTTAGAAGATTTGAGGCTCAGTGTATGCTTCTGGAGCTGGGAGTTAGAATCCCTAAGTTCATGGTTTTCTTCTATCAGTTTGTCCAGTGAACTTAGGAGCAACCAACCAACTTCGTTATATTCCTTGGTCCTCTATATATGGTCAAAGGTATTATGTATAGAGTCATTAAACTCCTTGCCTCTCATGAGTGGTGAATCAGGAGTACTGAATGCATTTCTTTTGCATAAGTGTTTGAACAGTTCGTGCCAAGGACTATCAGTGTTCTCCACACAATTAGAAGTAGAGTCCTTAGCATTTTGGGGTCTAATCATATTAAGCAACCAACTCCAGAAACCCAAAAACCAACTAAAGAAATCTATCCTTCTGTAATCCCAGCACTTTGGGAGGCCAAGGCAGGCGGATCACGAGGTCAGGAGACTGAGACCACAGTGAAACCCCATCTCTGCTAAAAATACAAAAAATTAGCCAGGCATGGTGGCGGGCACCTGTAGTCCCAGCTACTCGGGAGGCTGAGGCAGGAGAATGGCATGAATCCAGGAGGCGGAGCTTGCAGTGAGCTGAGATTGCGCCACTGCACTCCAGCCCGGGTGACAGAGTGAGACTCCAGCTCAAAAACAAAAAAAAAGAAAAAAAAGAAATCCATCCTTAAAATTCTGTTCCTCTAGAACCATTCCCAGTACCAAAATCTGATTAAAAAAAAAAAACAGGCAGAGGAAGGTGGAAGGACTAGATCTTTCTCCAGTGCTGGATGCTTCCTGCCCTGGAACATCAGACTCCAAGTTCTTCAGCTTTTGGACTCTTGGACTTACAACAGTAATTTGCCAGGGGCTCTTTGGCACTTGGCCACAGACTGCAGGCTGCACTATCAGCTTCCCTATTTTTGAGGTTTTGGGACTCAGACTGGCTTCCTGACTCCTCAGCTTGCAGATGCCTATTGTGGGACTTGGTATCTTGTGATTGTGTGAGTCAACTCTCCTAATAAACTCCCCTTCATATATTCATCTATCCTATTAGTTCTGTACCTTTAGAGAACACTGACTAATGCCGTGGGGTTAAGCCAATCGTCTAGTAGGTTCATAAAATGCTAAAAGCAGATATAAACTTAAAGACGATCCAGCTCATCTCTTCATTTTACAGATGTAAAAACAGAAGTAGAAATAGAATTGGAACCCCAGTTTCTTGAAACCCAGTGTTTGCATAATACCATGCTAATTTCATTCTAATTTGTGTTTTATTTAATAATCAGGAAACAGTTCAAATAGAGGCCCAGGGCTCTGAAACATTGCCCAAGGTCTATGGCTTTTGCAAAGCAAGTACTGTTTCTGCTACTTTACCTAGTTGCTCTTGGCCTATGTTTGGGGTGCATCTAAAGAACTGTTTGCTGATTATTAAATAAAACACAAATTAGAATGAAATTAGCATGGTGTTATAAAAACACAGGGTTTCAAGAAACTGGGGTTCCAGTTCTATTTCTACCTCTAGGATACAGGGTAAGTCACTTCCTTTCTCAGATTCTGTTTCTTTGTATGTCAAAGGGCTGGATTAGATAAACTTGACTTCCCCTCTTGGCCCTCATGTATCATTCTATAAATATGTTATCATTTCTAATAGACTGTTTGATGTAATCTTTTGTCTAATGGCCCCTGCTTTTCACAATAAATGAAACAAAGGTCACAAGACTTTTATTCATTTGCAACCCTGATTAACTAACAGTTAATGTGTAACTGGAGTGCCACATAGAAACAGAAAGGAGAAGGGGAATGGATTGGGTTGGAGAAGGTGAAGTCTGACCTATCCTCTACAAGAGGTACAGGGTTTATCCAGGAAGACAGGAGTGCCATGAGGAGTAAACTCCAGCAGGGGCTGGAGTCATGGCCACACACAGGGCCTTACAGGATCCAGGCTGCCCAGAGCAGAGTTTGGATGGGGGCTGGGAGGCTGGGGGAGCTAGCTGAGGAGATGGTTGTCATGCCAGGCCACGAGTGTGGATGAGTGCTGGCCAGGGGAGGTATAGGAGATTGATGGGGCTGTGGCAAGCAGGGCAGATACCCTTCCAGGAACCTGTTTCATTAAACACAGAATACAGTCCTGAGGGCTCGGTCTCAATACAGTCCTGAGGGCTCGGTCTCAGGAAAACATGTTCTTAAGTTTTACATCCTTCTTCTGTTTTGATTAGGTGTTTCCTGATTATAAAATAAATTCCTAGAACTGTTAATGGTAACAACACAAAGCACTATAGACCCATACGAGGATCATATTGAAACCAATGACATTTAAGAATAAAAGATCTGATGAATATGAACACTTCCCTGGTTCCTAGGAGGATAACAGTTGAGTTTTGCTCAGGTAATCTGCCTTCTCTTCCTTCTTCTCTGCTTTGTATCTCAGTTTCTATATTTTGTCTTACATTAATAGGATTTGTTCTCATTACCCTGATGATTTTATGGTAAACTACCTCAAATTCTTTTTGGAAGAAGATGGGATATAAATTATTTTTAAAGTTTATCTGAATAGATGTTCTTCAATATCACACAATAAATAATGACAATGTAACTTTGTGCATATAGCACTTTAAGAGATTGATCATAAACACAATCCTATTAATCTTAATTCAAGTTAATAATGCTTGCATTTGTATGGCATTTTAGGTATTATAAAGTTTTTTTTAATTGTGGTAAGATATGCATAAAATTTACTATTTAAACCTTTTTGAAGTGTATAGTTCAGTAGTGTTAAGTACATTCACAATGTTGTGTAACCATCACCACTAGCCATTTCCAGACTTTTTCATCATCCCAAACTGAATCTCTGTACCTATTAAACATGACCTCATTCTCCACCTCCCCACAGCTCCTGGGAACCTCTATTCTACTTTCTGTATGAATTTTCCTATTCTAGGTGTCTCATATAAGTGGAATCATACAATATTCATCCTTTGGTGTCTGGCTTATTTCACGTAGCGTAATGCTTTCAAGGTTCATTCATGTTGTAGCATTTATCAGAATTTGATTCATTTTTAAGGCTGAATATCTTCCATTTTATGTGTCTACCACATTTTGCTTATCCATTCTTCTGTTGATGAACACCTGGGTTGTTTTCACCTTTTGGCTATTGTGAATAATGCTGCTATGAACACTGATGTGCAAGTACCTGTCTGAGTCTCTGCTTTCAATTTTGGGCATATACCTAGAAGTGGGATTGCTGGATCATAGGATCATTCTATTTTTAACTTTTTTGAGGAATTGCCATACCACCCGCTACAGCAGCCGCATCTTTTATATTGCCAACAGTGCACAAAGGCTCTGATTTCTCCACTTTCTGGTCAACATTTAGATTATCATTCTTTTTTTAAAAAAACGTAATAGCTAACCCAATGGGCATGAAGTAAGGTTGTTTTTGTTTTTTGTTTTTAATGTGTGCGTTATCTTACTTGATCCATTAAATCCCTAACAAGAACTCCTCTAGGGCAGATGTCCTGTCTTATTCATCCTTGGCCCCAGTGTCTTGCAAGCAAGTGAATTCTCAATAAGTGTTAATTGAATGGATGGTTGATAGATTTATAGGATGCATGCCAATTCTGTGGACGAGAGTAGGTACTAATTGTTATTTTCATTTCACAGAAGAGCAAGTCAGGGCTCCGAGCACTAAGTGACTTGGCTGAGGTCAAACTGCCTGCAAGTTTTATCTAATAGTGACAGAGGAACCAATGTGTCGAGCATGAATGTCAGTCCATTGAAACAGTGCCCACTTTTCTGACTCTGCTCCTTAAGAGACAGGGCCTGTACAGCAAGGACACAGAGAAGCAGGTTACAGAAAAAGGGCTGGCTCATCCGTGTATGCCTGGCATTTGAGGAATGTGGCTGAAATCTCAACACTCTGGTTCAGAAGCACATCTGCAATCAAATATAACAAGACATGGTATGAGAGATGTCTGGCATACCAAGGAGATTCCTAGAATACAGCGGATAGGAAAACCTCATTACTTCAATTCCCAAGAAAGAGTACTACTGGTAGTAATCCCAACAGGAGTATCCAAGTAACTCGGTAATCTTCAGTAAAGAAAAGAAATTGTGAAACAATTATAGTCAGTCCTCCATCTCTGTAGGTTCCACATCTGTGGATTCAACTCACCTCATATTGAAAATATTAATAAATAAATAAATAATAACAATATAACAATTAAAATAATGCAAATTTTAAAAGCATAACAACTATTTACATAGTATTTATATTGTATTAGGTATTATAAGTAATCCAGAGATTATTTAAAACATATGGGAGAGTGTGCATAGGTTATATGCAAATACTACACCATTTTACATAAGAGACTTGGGCATCTGTGGACTTTGTTATCTGCAAGGGTCCTGGAACCAATTCCCCATGGATACTGAGGGTCAACTGTACCAAGTTGAAAACAAAACAAAAGGAAATCTATTGCAAAAAGGAAATTCCCAAAGATAAAAAGCATGTCTATGAAATAGTCAAAGAGCCGAAAATGTTGGGAAGACCCACACTGCTTTCCCTGCCCTGTGCCCCTTTTTGCAGATCTATTTGTGTCTTTATCTACCAGCAGATATTCTATTATTCTAATAGATTCCTGTTTTTCCCAAGAGGGTTTACTTATTTATTAAATATGATGCAAACATCTCTCTCAGAGATGTTGCTCTCTCTTCCTAGGATTCCTTAGCCCTAAATCTGCAGAGCCAATTAGGTATTAATATTGGGCTTTACAACTTTGGACCATCTGACCACCAAGACTGATTCATTAAATGTATATGGTTTCAGATCACATTAATTTATCATAGACTTTAGAATTGGCTTTTTAGAAGTACTGCTATAAGGAAAATCTCAGCATAGCAAGTTTTATCTAATAGTCTACTTGTATTAAAGAGTACTCAATGTAAACCCTAGGAAGACTTTTAACTGCCTTTTGGAAATTGGTTGAGTGGGATTTGAACCGTGTACTCTCTGTAAAGCAGGAAATTATCACTTAGTAATTACTAAGTATTTAAAAATGGGAAATAGAAAATTACATTTCAGACCTGGTGCAGTGGCTCATACCTGTAATCCTAACACTTTGGCAGGTGGAGGCAGGTGGATCGCTTGAGCCCAGGAGTTCAAGACCAGCCTGGGCAACATAGTGAGCAACTCCATTTCTACTAAAAATAAAAAAAATTATTTGGGCGTGATGGGGTGCACCTGTAGTCCCCACTACTCAGGAGGCTGAGACAGGAAGATTGCTTGAGCCTAGAAGGTCAAGCCTGAGTGAGCAGTGACCGGCCATTGTATTCCAGCCTGAGCAACACAGCGAGACCCTGTCTCAAAAAAAATGTATATTTTTAAAAAAAGAAAATTACATTTTAGTTGTTCCATAAATATCAGTACAACCAAACCTAAGTGCAAAATTCCCAACACAAATGATCGCCTCTGGGCCAGCCATGTAGCCCCCATCTTGCTGTCAATAATCATTTCCAGGGGCTGTAATTGTCTTCCTTCCCCCTGTACCACCCCATCACAGGACACAAATTGTTTTGCTTAGTTTAGATAGCTGTGACTAAACTAAGTGCCAATTGTCTTTTAAAATATGTGTTAATCAGCACTCAAGATTGTTCCTACAAAAATGTCACTCCCTCACTCAATTTGCATGTGCCCTCCTGAGTAGGAGAGAAAGAGCTGAGTTAGAGGCAGCCCTCTGGGACCTGCACAGAACCCTGTATGCTTCCGGGAGTGTGGAGTGTGTGTCTGATCTGCTGCTGGGAAAAGGAGAAGAAATGCTGAGACACTCACTGCCAGGGGCTGGTATCAGGCCATTTTCACAGGGGCTGTTGGAGGGTTGACAGCACAGCTCTACTGGACCAGGGAGGGTCCCAGCCAGCAGGGCCTGCCCCTCCGAAACTGTCCCTGTCCCTGTCCCTGAGAGGCCCCACTGAGTGTCAGATGGCACATAAGAGATTTCCTTATGCGTTGGTGTGAAGGAGATGATCAGTTCCAGGAGGCCCCTCCCCCATGCAGAAGAGAAGAAAATGGAAGAAACCGGGTTCTCAGAGTGGCCTGCGGGTGAGTGCCGCCTTGTGCTGTCAGTTCCCTTCACCTTCCAGTTCTGGGTGTACCTAGTGTGGTTTCATCAAACTGCTGAGGCCCTGGAATTGAGGGAGGATGCTGAAGGGTGCCAGGCCATAGAAGCAGTAGCAGGAGCTGCAGCAAAGAGCTAGTGTGTCTCCAGCGTCAGCTTTTGGGCCTTGGTGGCATCAAAGGAGACGTACACAGGGCCACTGTACTACGGATGGGATTCTTGGAACAAAAGTTTGAATAATTGATGAGTGTGGAAGTGCTATGCAAAAATTCAATTCAACCTGCAGTTACCAGGCATTCATTCTGTGACAGGCATTATTGTGAGGGTGGCAAGGAGACGGGGAGTCTCTGAGAGACTCAGAGAAGAGCAGGGCATGGTGTCCACCCACAAGAGATCTGAAGACTTTCAAAGTAGTTGGGAAAACAGACATACAACTTTTTTCCCCTCCCCACAGCTAGTTGAGGCAAAAGACATATAACTTATACAGTGACAAAATACTACTGACTGTTACTGACACATAACAGCCTGGGCTGGGTCACTGGTGAGAAAAAGGAGGATTCTTGCTTTTGGGGCATTCAAGTCCTGTCCATTAACCATTTCCCAATCCCATATTTATACATCCCATTTTAGACATATTAAGCTGAAGATTGATGTGACATACCCAAAGACACTTAAGGTTGAAGCTGAGAATCTGGGCTAGAAATATAAATCAGGATGGGCTGGGAGCGGTGGTTCACGCCTGTAGTCCCAGCACTTTGGGAGGCCGAGGCGGGCGGATCACTTGAAGTCAGGAGTTCAAGACCTGCCTGGCCAACATGGTGAAACCCCATCTCCACCAAAAATATAAAAAATTAGCCAGGTGTGGTGGTGCATGACTGTAATCCCAGCTACTCGGGAGGCTGAGGCAGGAGAGTCACTTGAACCCGGGAGGCAGAGGTTACAGTGAAAGGAGATCGTGCCACTGCACTCCAGCCTGGGTGACAGAGCGATACTTCGTTTCAAAAAAAGAAAAAAAAAAAAAAGAAAGAAATGTAAGTCAAGATTAAAGACAATGGGTGAGATCAGCAAGGAGCATGTGTGCGGAGAAGAGAACACCAAGGAAGGCTGCGTGTGGTGGGAGGTGGCCGGGGGGCAGAGAAAGAGGCGGCGGAGCCAAGGAGATAGGGCATCGTCTGAATGGTGATGCTGTATCAACAGATGTGAAATTCCCAGAGGTGTGAAACACAGCAGATCCTTTACAGCACGATGACAGGACACAGCATGAGCCTACCTCTGCCAGGTGAGAGGAGCTTTCTGCAACCTGTGATGGGCTCAAGGATGCTGACCATTCATCCGCCCATTGGGATAGCCCAGGCTCTGAGCTCAGCACTCCACCCGTCACTGCGATTGCACTAATCCTCACCCACCCTTGCAGGCAGGTATTACTGTGGGCACAGAGAAGTTTGCTAACTTGCCAGAGATCCTGTGTAGGAAGCCAGGTCAGGAAACAACCAGAGTCTCTCTAACAGCCCAGGCCTTGAATGAACACCGGCCTGCTTCAGAATACATGGCCCGTGATGTGTTTGAATTCACAGATTCACTGGACAGGTTCCCTATAGGGCCTGTGAGGAAATCTGGTCTAACAGAATCCAGAAAGACAAATTTCGCTAAACAGGTCAAGCCTGATACTGCTGCTACACTTCAGCTGTGTTAAGCCACTCGGTTATCAGACCTGCTTCTCCTTTCATGATTTTAGTAACACAGGCCTCTTCCTTGGGCCCCTGTTGCTCCCACCATCTCCCAGGTTCTCTTGTACTCAGGGTTTAGTCTCCCCTCCCCACTACTAATGATGCATGTGCCTTACTCTCTGATCATCTCTCCTAAATCTGCTACTCCTCTGCTCTTTCTGTGCCTTATCTATCCCTGCCGAGTCTAACATGCAGATTTTGGTCATTCCAAAGTCATGTATAGATCTAATCACAGGGCTCTCTGCTTACCAGCTGCTACTTGGATAAGGAAAGCATGCCAACACGGTCCTCCTTCTTCATGCTGGCCAAGTCAGCATCATTATTATTACCTAAGTTTATTTCTAACACATCTCAATATCTTCATGCACTCCCTCTTGATAAAAGTAACTGAGCATAGCACCATCAATACCATCAAATCTGTCATTCTCTTCCCCTCTCTCTGGGTGGGACAGGAAGCCAGGCTGCTCTAGGAAATCTTCCCTAACAAGCAAAGGGGACTTGCCTGTCCTCTCGCATGTGTGATCTGAGCTTGTGTGGATCCCAGAGTGGGCATTCTGGACTACTTGACCTTGCCTATCTCTCCTTCACACCCTCTCATCTCTCCCTCCTACCACCAAAAAACTTGCATCGTATTTCCAATCTCCAGACATACTTTTGAAACCATTTATCTATCTGGTGTGTTTATCTGTATCTAGTATGATGTGAATATGTGATTTGTATGTGTGTCTACCACTGTTTTGGTCAGTTTGTATTTCTCGTGGGTACAGTTCTATGTGCTCATGTATGTGGAACATATGTATACTGACACATGGACCTAGCTCCAAATGATCTGAAAGGAATATAATTGTAATTGAATATTTGCACAGATATACAACATACACATGTGATGGCTGGGGGAAATGCATGTGGGATTTCAGTCAGCATTTTATTAGAGAAGGTATGTCATTAGTGCTGTATTAACAATGAATCAGCTTATTTGTGGGTCACTGTCAATGACTCCTTTGCAAATCACACATGTAAATATTTCTGTCTGTGGTCTGATGAACATGCAGTGCCACAGTCTGGGAGATGCTGAGCCATGCCCTGTGTAGGCAGCATATGAAAAGAACTGCATGATTTAAAAGATGCTGACCAGCTTAAGGAAAGCAATTTAAAAACTTCCTAAAAATCTAGTTTGAATGAACAACAGTTTTCATTTTGTGTGTGTGTTTTTTCTTTTAGAGATGGGGTCTTGCTATGTTGGCCACGCTGGTCTCTAACTCCTGGGATCAAGCAATCCTCCTGCGGCTCAGCCTCCCAAAGTGATGGGATTACAGGTGTGAGCCACCGTGTCTGCTGGCCCCACTGTTTTAAACCCTGATTCGACAATCATACATTTAACTCATTACCTGTCTTGTTCCTTTTACGACAAACTCAAAGCTTTTATTTTACTAAAGTATTTGGGTTAATCTTTTGCTTTTCTGTCATGTTCTGAAATATGTACAATAACAGAATCGCTCAAAATATTATCTCCGTTAAATGTTTTGTGGCTTTAGGGAGAGGTCTAACAACATGCGGGAAACAAGAAATCAAGCGCATCCAGGATTCATTTATAATCTCTCTCGTTGAGTAGAAGTCCGCATCTCTCGATATTGTCTGGTTACCTGCATGAAGTATTCTAAAGGAGGAAAATAGCTCAAAGAGGACATTCATGTGCACTCTGGCTTCCAGTTGGCCATTTGAGTAAGTGATCGCAATTAACTGACGAGCGGCAGGGAAACACTTCCTGGAATTCTCATCTACAGACAAGAACAAACTGGGGCGGGGCCCATCACCTTCACCTACGCGCCGGGAGGGTGGCGGCTGGCGGGCGGGGCCGGGCTCGGGCCGTGACGCCGAGAGTGCGGGGCGCGCGGCTGGGAGCCTCGCGCCCCCGCCCGGGCCCGCCCCCATCCCGCCCGCATACAGCCCGCATCCCGCCGGGGAAGCGAGCCCAGTCCAGCGCTGCCCGTCCAGTCCTCGCCCAAGATTTAAAGCCCGCAAGTTTTGTTCTTGAGACCAGCGACTTTAGCTCCGATGCGGGAAGGAAAGCCGACCTCCGATTTGGACATTTAAAGAGCTGGGCTTGAACTTCGTGAGTTTCGCTCTAAACTGCCCTTGAAATGAAGCTGGACTTGGAGGTAAAGTCACTGGGAAGCTGGCCTGGGGCGGGGTTTCCCCCTCTTCTCGTATTTTAGAAACGGACAGCGGCAGTGCAGCCCTAGTTTGCTGTAAGTTTCCTTACTTTGTTACTGAGGCCCCCAGAGCTCCACGCATAAGTGGTGTGACCAGAAACCTTTTAACAAGACCCGCCTGAGCCTGCGTTAGAGCTCCCGCTCGGAAAGTAAAAGACCATCCTAATCCGCGGCGCTGCGGAACCGGTGTCCCGTGTGGGAGGAACCGCGGCGTTCCCTGGGCGTAGGGCCCGCGAGGCCAGCACAGTCCGCCTCTTGGCGGAGCGCCCTGGGCCGGTGGTTCCGCGCGGAGTTAGTCTGTGGTCAGTTACGTGGTGAAAACACGGCTGTGCCGCGGCCGCATCTTTCCGCGGCCGAGGCCTCTCTGGGTGGGAGTGTTGGCTTCCTTTCCGGATCGCTAAATGGGGAAAGTTCTGGCCGCTCGGCGGGATACGTCTCCAGGCCACGGATGGTTCGTTCTCCGTGCCGCGGCCCCGAGCTGGGCTCCCTGGGTCTCCAGCGCGGGCTCCCGGCATTGGGGGCTGCGGGCCGGCCCCTCCGCCCCGCCCCCGCCCCGCCGCGCCTCCTCGGCCGAGCGGCTCGCGGTCTCCGGCGCGGGAGGCTCCGAGTCTGCCCACTCCGGGCCGAGCGAGGTCTCTGGAGGAGAAGAGTGGCGAGGAGGTGAGGGCACGCCGGCCCTCGCCCGGCGGGTGGCGCCAGGACTTCAGGTGGGAACGCGCGCTTGGGCCGGGGGCGCGTGGCTGGCGTGGACACCGGATCGGGGCCCGCCGCCCTGGCCCGGACCGCGCACGGCCCAGCGCCGGGAAGTCGGGAAGCCGGGGAGGCCTCTCCCACCGCGGGCCCCGGCAGCCCGCCCTCTGAAAGCGCGGCGGAGAAGGAGGCTCGTCCCCTCCCCGGAACGCCTTTGTTCCCTCCGGCCTGCCCGCGCGGGTGGCCAGCGGCTGGGACCCAGGCCGGGCCGCCGCCCAGGTGCGGCAGGTAGGCTCGGGGGCCGGGCAGCTCCGGTTGGGGCGGCTTCCCGGGGCCTGCGGGTCCCCGTCCCTGAGGAGCTCCGGCTCCTCGGTGGCGGGACAGGCCCGTGCGCGGGAGCCGCGAGGCGAACGCCGCGCCCACCAATTCGGTTGCCGGCCGGGGGCCCCAGGCTTGCGGCCACCCGCCTCCGGCTGGAGGGCTGAATTCGAGTCGAAAGCCCGTGTCGGGCTGGAAAGAAGAAACCGCCAACCTGAGAACGCTTTCGGCGAGTTACTGGCGGGGGAAATGGGGACAGGGAAGTGGGCAGGCGGGGAGACTGCAGCCGCAGATCTCCCTGGCGGGGAGGTCGTGGCCACTCTTTCCTTTGACTCTGCCTCATTTCATTTTGAATCCTGATGTGACAGAGGCAATTGCTTGCTTGGATACCATATAGGTAAAAGTAACAGTTTTCAACTCGACTCTTGACTACACCCTGTACATTCTTGGCCGGTGTTGGTTTTCTTAGGTTATGGATCATGTTAAAGGTACACCGATGTGGTAACCGCACAGTGGCCGATGGTGGCCTGAGGCTCATATTTATGGTAATTATCTGATGAAAGTACATCCATCAGAATTGGATTTGTGCGTCTGTGCCTTTATTTTGGGAAACCTTGCCTGTTCCCTGTGGGGGATGGGAGAGGAATGTGAAAAGCCGAAGTTGACCCAGAAAAGGATGATTGAAGGTAGTTGTATTAAGTGGTGGCACCGAAATGATTCCACCCTGAACTTTCTGAAAGGGTGATTAGTGATCAGCAGCAGACGTTATAACTTTCTCAAAATAAATTTATGGTAGATTTTCTATCTGGTCACAAGTGAGGAGGTGAAAGCTGCTTTTTGGGGCCAACTCTTTGCTTTTAAAGCAAGCTAAACGCAATACCAGAAAGGTTTCCATTCTGTACTTAACCTGCTTGTCCTTCTCACTCTTCCTTATCCTCCCGCACACGCTCTGAGCATTGACTGAGCACTCTGAGGAGGAGGCTGACTCAGGCTGACCCTTCCCGGCCCTGCAAGGCTCTAAGGTAGAACCAGTGTTATCACAGGAAAGGCCCAAGCCAAAGCTCAGAGCAGCTGTTCCTGAGAAAGTGGGAGATGAGGATGAGTAGGAGGTAGAGATGCTTATAACTGCTCTGCCCAGAGAAAACTCAGAAGGTGCAGAAGAGTTTTCAAAATAAAGTGCAGGCCCCATCAAGTAAAAAATGAAACATTGTATTTCATTAAAATGGTGATCAGTTTTCTCTTTTCATAAAAGACATTCAAATGGTGAGATTGTAAAAAAAAAAAAAAAGAAAAAGAAAACTTTCTAATTCTCAAAAATAGAACAGCTTGAATAATAACTCATGGGTTTTGAAATGGGTCATCTTTTAAAATGGGTCACTTTGGCTAGAATCATTGCACTTGGTGACTTTCACATTGTAAAGGGTCCAGTTCTTTCTGAGGCCCAATTGCACTAGAATCTGCATTTCAGAACACAGGAGGTATCAGGAAGAAACTGGGAGAAATTCAGAGGGAAATTGTCTCTTCTCAGAGTAACAAAATGTCCCCTATTCAGGGGGAATTTTATATATGCTGAAGTAAATAGATCTCAGCTTTGAATTTTTATAATACATTATGCCTTTTCTGAAATATTTCCATAGCCATTATTTTAATGCATTGTTAGAATAACCTTGTAAGGAGAGGAATTCATTGTATCTGTGTTCCAGAAACTGAGGCACAGTAAATTACAAGAGCTCTGCCCTTTGATATCGAATCTCTGTGAGCGAAGATGTAACCAGAACAGTGTAAATCTAGAATTACTTTCCTTACGGTATGCAATATCTAATTATTATGTATTAGTTTACATATATATAGGGGATGTAAGAATCTTTATATTTAAAGGATAAGAAACTTGATCAGGTGAGATACAAGATTTGAATAAAAAAGCGATTTTTTAGAAACATTTTAATTCTACAAATTCAGTTGCTGGCTTTGATATGTAACTTATTCAGATTTCTCTTCCATAGAAGGCTTTAACACTAGAAGCCAGTTCTCTACAAAAGAGAATGTTCTACCAAGTGTGTAGGCAACAAAGCCCAAAAGTTCAAGTTCAAAATACTGTTCTACAGCCTAAGATCCACCTAATATTTCAGATTTGACTCTTTTGCTCCTTTCCTATAACTTCCTATAACTTTTTCATAGTGCTCTAAGCAAAGTAAGTTCAAGGATGGACTCACCTCAAGTTTCCTTCTCTTACTTTAGAGGACCATATAATCTTATACCTGTGTCATCCTAATTGAAATGTATTTTAAGTGCTTGTGGGAACAAGAATAACGGAAGACCGTTATTCCATTAATGGAATAATGGGGAACATGAGAAGGACCATATTCAGTCAATTAGGGATGATACTTCTGCCTCAACAGTATTTGCGATGTGTTAAATGGCCCTTAGCCATCAGATCAGTATTTTTAAAAACTCCTACCTAATTAATGTTTTTTGAGAAGAAGCATATTATGAGTATAGCTCAGTATTCTAAAAAGAAAAAAACCTGAAAAAAAAATCAGCCATCCATTAACTAACCCATCCTGGTAAAGCTACACAAACAGATTCTAGAGAAAGGAAATTTGCACAGATGGAACATCTAATCTGGACTGACATTGTCAACAAGTTATCTCAAATGATCCTGAGAAAACACTGGTACATGGTTTAGAGACAAGTCGAGCTCATGTGACTAGTAAATGGAGAGGCACAGTATACATCTACTTTTGTTGGCATTTAAACACTCTCGGCTTTTTTACTCTCTTTCACCACCATCAGGTCCAGATTCCAGCTTGCACTGGAATATTTATTGACCCTTTGATAGAAGAGCTACACCTGAAACATCTCTGAAGTCTTTTTAGCATCCTATCCTGCCCATGGCCTACTACACAGTATGTGATAAGTTAATGTTTGTTGAATTAGTTAAATATACGTATTAACCTACTTTCAGGGCTGCCCGCTGTAATGCCTAGAATAGGGCAGGCACTTAATAAATGGTAGTTAACTTAGACTAAATGTTGATCCACCAAGACAGAAACATGTTACATATACCTCTTGTTTTACACCATCTTCTACTTTTTGTACCTCTGTGTTATAAACCCTCTATCAAGTGTTGCTTCTAAAGACAATGTCCAGAATGGGACGTAGGAACTGCCACTGGGCAACAGGCAGACACTGGGTTATATCGTCATCCTGTTTCTGAATCCTGGTTTTTCTTATTATTATTCAACCACAGCTAAACTTTCTGATCTCCTTTTTTCCGTTTTTTCCCTTTACCCTAACTTCTAGCCAAACTAAGTGATTTGACATTTCCCCACTCAAGCCACAACTTTTTCTCTTATGTGCTTAAAAAAAATTCCTGCGTAGTCTCTCTTGGAATGTCTTATTCCTTGCTCCCTCCACTTCACCCTTTTTTTTTTTTTTTTTTTTTTTTTTTGAGACGGAGTCTCGCTCTGTTGCCCAGGCTGGAGTGCAATGGTGCCATCTCGGCTCACCGCAACCTCCGCCTCCTGGGTTCAAGCGATTCTCCTGCTTCAGCCTCCCGAGTAGCTGGGATTACAGGCATGCTCCACCACACCCAGCTAATTTTTGTGTTTTTAGTAGAGATGGGGTTTCACCATGTTAGCCAGGATGGTCTTGATCTCCCGACCTCCTGATCCGCCCGCCTCGGCCTCCCAAAGTGCTGGGATTACAGGCATGAGCCACCGCACCCGGCCCACTTCACCCTTTAAGCCAGTTGAAATGCTCCTTGCCCTACTCCTCCCTTCTCCTTTTCTTTCTCCCATCCAAGTACTAACCAGGCCCAACCCTGCTTAGCTTCTGAGATCAGCCAGGATCAGGTGCATTCAGCGGGGTATGGCTGTAGACTTCTCTTTCTGAGCTGTGTCTTCCTCCTTTCCTCCCCAAACCCACATTTGAATTCTGTTCTAGCTCCTGCTCATTTGCCACCTCTCCCACAAAGCCTTCCCCAGTTTCCATCTTCTCCCTGCTTCCCTCATCTCAGAGGAAAGCTCTTCATTCACAGAGCACCTGGTTTGGGGTCCATAGTTTGTTGTCCCTCAGTATCCTTGGGGAATTAGTCCCAGGACACCACCCCCCCGCCCCTGATATCCATGCATGCTCAAGTCCCTTATATAAAATGGTACAGCATTTATATTATAACCTATGCAATATTCCCATGTACTCTTTTTTTTTATTTTTATGTGTTTAGAGATGGGTCTCACTCTGTTGTCCAGGCTAGAGTGCAGAGGCATGTAGCCTTGAGCTCCTGAGTCAAATGATCCTCCTGCCTCCGCCTCCCAAGTAGTTGGGATTACAAGTATGAGCTACCACACCTGGCCCATGTACTTTAAATCATCTCTAGATTACTTATAATAACTAATGCAATATAAATGCTATGTAAACAATTGTTACACGGTATTGTTTAGTGCATAATGACAAGAAAAAAATGTGCATGTTCAGTACAGACACGACCATAAATTTTTTTTTCAAATGTTTTTGATCTGTAGTTGGTTGAATCTGAGGATGCGGAACCCATGAACGTACACGACCAACTGCATATGGGTTTCTAATAACAGATTTGTGGATGAAGCCCACCCAACATAATGCAACATTTCAAATGTATCTTAGTCAGTTTTTCTGGGGCAAAGCCAGCCTAACAAATCTCAAGAATGTTTGAAAAATTCTAGCTTGAGTGAACGTTGTTCTTCTAGTGACTCAAATAAAGCAGTCATTGTGTCTGAGGAGTCCTAGTGGGGTGGCAGGGGTGGGGCTAGGAGTAGTGGCTGTTTGTAGCATGTTTTATATCACATTAAAGGGCTGGGTATGCATTTTAGGCAATAATTCTTACTCTTATTGATAGGAGAACTTGTATTTTTTATTCATCTACCTTATGATGGATAACTGGTTTACATCTCTTCATCAGGTTTACTTCTTACGTGTCATTTTATGAGCTGACTTTGAATATATCTTCAGATTTTCCCTGCCTTTACACATGAAAACGGTTTTGATACAGCTTTTTCATTAGAGAATGGCAGCTTTTCCAGGCCAGGGTGTCTGTGTCTGACTCCTCGCCTTTCATTTTACCCAATACTTGCTTAAAACATCCTCCCTGAGTCCGGTACTTTTTTGCCTCCTCTCCTTCCTTCCACCCCACCTCTTTTTGTCACCCTCCTGCGACTTTGGATCTCCATCCTTGGAGTCCCTGAATCTTTTTTGTGGTTGAAAGACTACACCCAAAGGACACAGACTGATGAGGTCACTTCTGCCCACTGTCTAGTACTAGTGAGACCAAGAAGAAGAAGGAGGGAAAACTGAAATGGAAGGTTTGAAAAAGAGTGTGTTAGTGAAGGAAGTAAGAACAGTGCTAACAGAATGCAGCAAAACAGAAATGACTTCACACTTCTGGCAGTGAAGCAAATTCTCATCCATCTTGGGTTGCTTCTCTTGACCCTGCCCACCTCCTCCCCTGCCCTCCCCTCCCGATGAGAACTGCAGGAACACCTGTGCCCATGCCAAGGAAAAAGGGCAGGTGAGGAACACAGGGATGGGGCTGGGACTCACAAGCTGCTCTAAGCTGCCACAGGGTCTGGAATTTGTTGACATTACATGGTTAACTCGGTATCTCGATGCCTCAGTATCTTCTGCAAAATGTGGAGGGAGATCCTTTCTTCCTCAAAGGTTGTTGTAAGGCTTAAAGAGCTACCACATTCGTAAGGCATTTGGAACAGGGCCTGGTATATAGTAGACATACCCATGGTAGTAACTGTTGCTAGACTGGGTAAAAGGAGAAGTTTCTTAAGTAGGCAAGAAAAAAACTGACAACAGTTATATTTAAAAGAGCAAGCAACCGTGTCAGCCCAAACAAGTGTGTTGCAAGAATGAGCACAGAGGGCCAAGCTCAGAAAAGCGAGTGTTTGACCTCTCTGAGACCTCCTTTATATGTCAGCTTTTTTATTTGTTTCAAATTTTGCATAATCAAACTGGTTACTGGGAATTATTGAGTTCATATAACTTCCCTAAAATCTAAGAATAATCTATAATCCCATGCCACCAGTCCCGTTAATAAAGACTTAGGGTCTGTCTTTACCCATTTGTTCATTTGAAATTCCCCGTCTTTACTTCCCCCATAACCAGGAAACAGATCTACACCCATGTTTAACTTATAAAGAGATATAAGTGAGTTTACATAGGTGGAGATCTTGTACCTGGATTCACATTGTAGGTTTTATTACCCAGCTTTCCCCTCTATCCCAAAGCCATGATTGCCATAGTGGAATTTAAAGTCTTTGGACTAACACTGAATCAAGAACTAACTCTACAAATGTATTCTCTGCAGGAGGATAAGAATTCCAAATGGCTTCTAATTGTTGCCCATGGCTTGAAATAAAGTTCCATATAGCTAAAGCCCCAGCACAAAAACACTTGAAGACAGCCATTAGGTAGAATTTCTTTTCTTTTTTAGAGGTCTTATATTGGAAATGTAACAGTTGCAAAGATATCTAATGTTTCACCTTAAAATGTGAGTTATAAATTCACATTTCACATTGCCTCCTTCCTCCTTGAGCAAACAGACTAGGCAATTAGTACCAAATAGTAACTAGTTATATTTCTTAACACCGATTATTGTAAGTAATTTATTAAGAAAAAATCTAGGAAGATCAAATTATAGCTTTTCCAGTAAATCTGGGGCTTTTTATTCCTGATCTCTCTCAACAAGGCAGTTTGGCTTCTGAAGATTGGTCCTAGCTATACTTAACAGGAAACAGATGACGAGAAGAAGCCAGGAAAAAATACTTGGAATATAGAACAAAATGCAGCATAAAGATGGTACAGAAGATTTTATCTTTCTTTCCTTTAGTTATGTGTGGACAGGAACTAAAAACTCTCCCACGTGGGACTTTATTAAGTAATAAAAGTTTAAATGTAAAAGATATAAAGGAATGAGGATATAAAGGAAATTTTTTTAAAAACTGTGACTCACCGGAGGAGCCTTATATAGTCTACTTTCTAAGCATATCACTTTTAAAGGGATCATTATATTTTCATGATGCATGGGGATATTCCAAGTATTAAATTGATTTTTTAAATGAAGAAAATTATCAGTTCAGTCTTGTTTTCTATGTAGGTTTCACTACAGTATTTTATTTCCCCCGCAAGGAAAAAACCAGAGCTAGAATGGAATGATTAAATTTCTTAGTTTTCTTCTAATCTGTTAGTCTTTCCATTAAATTATACTGCCTTCTTATATAGAATTTCTGGGTTTGTTCTTGTTTTGGCAATAATTGAAGTAAGAGAGGATGATTTTATGGTAGAGGTTTGATTCCATTCTAGATTGGTGTTTTTCAGCTATGTAGAACACAATCCATTCATGGTTCAGACAACCGTTTTAGGAGGTTTTCATGTCCAGCATTAAAAAAAAAAAAAAAAGAATAGAATTGGGCATTCATATATATATATATATATGAATATTTATTAATAAAAGTTTAAAAGATATAAAGGAATGAGGAATGCATATATATTATATATATATATACCAAATTAAAGTATCATAATACTAATACAAGGATTAGTATCGTTTTATGATACTTTATTATATACACTAAGGGTTAGTCTTGTTTTATGATACTTTATTATATACACTAAGGGTTAGTCTTGTTTTATGATACTTTATTATATACACTAAGGGTTAGTCTTGTTTTATGATACTTTAGGTTGGTATACATACATATACTAAGAATGCAGACATGTCCATGGAAGTTGGCAATATTCAGCCCCCAGCAGGCCCCAGTCAGCAGGACAGGGATTAGGGGAGTCAGGTGAGGCAGGGCTGTATAAGTGCAGGGTTGGAGCCTGTCTTGGTTTACCGTTTTGACATTTTGTTCACTGTGGATTTTTTTCAGTAACTTTGATTTTTTAAAAATATTGCATCAAAATATTATACTGACTACGGAGTTTTTGGTACCCCCTTAAATTGTGCACCTAAAATAAGTGGCTCCCTTGTCTCCCCCTAGTCCCGGCCCGATCAGTATGTTTTATAGAGGGAATGGTGAGTGTTGGGGAACTAGGGAGCCCATGAGGAGGCGGCCCAGAAGGGGAGGAGGAGCTGATGGTGTGTCTGATGTCTCCTCCTTTCTCTAGGAAGCAGACAGGAGGTGAAGTCTTCAGGGTGGGGGGGACAGAGCCTGGGAGGGGGAGATTTAGCATGGCCGCTGAAGAGACTGGGAAAGGGAGAAGGTTCGGGACAAGTTCAGGAACAGTCACGTAGCACTGAAAACTGCTCAAAGCTAGATAGTGCCATTTGTGGTGACGCTGCCTGCCTGGTAAGTCCCATTTCCCCAGCAGCCCTGGAGGTGTCATAGGAACAGGAAGATGGGAGGGCGCTGGGGTCTGGGGTTGTTGGGGTGGGAGGGCAAAGGTGTCCAATGATTCTGCATCTGAAACGGGGGAGGTGTGTGAGGAAGAAAGGTCAGGAGACTGCTGGGCAGGGTGGGGTGGCAGAAGGTTCTCGATGAATATTTAGAAGTTGCAGCTGAGGAGTGAGTGTACTATAGAGTGAGTATCCTGGAATTTGAGGTCTCAGAAGAAATGCAGTTCTCAGTGAAGCCATGTAAACAACTTCCTGGCTGATAAGGTGTCTTGAGTGTTGGGAGATCACATGATCAAAATGGTATACACACCATAAGGTGTCCTTAGACTTGAGTGTGGTGTAAGTCTACTGAATAAAATGCAGAAATACAGTTCACTGTTGCTTTTCTTCCTGGAAATTGCCCTCCCCAACCTCAAACCAGCCCCCAAGTGGGGCAGGGTCCATCTTTAGACCCTCCTGTAGCACCCAGCACAACCCTAACTATATGGTCAATGTCTCTCTTCCCCACTTAGAGCTCCAAGACCAGGGCCTTGTTTGTCCTGCTTACCCACTCTACCCATTTGTTAACCCCATCTTAATTTTCTGATGAATGAGCCCTTTTTTCATTGACTCCTCCTTTCTCTCCTTCTCCGGAGTTTATTTTTCCTCCAGGCCCATTGCTGTCTCTCCACCTAGAGAGCTTATCCACATTCATGAAATTAGTCATCTTCATGCTCAGAGTACCCACCTGGATCTCTCCAGTCCTGTCTAACTCGTCTTAGATTATTACCCCCTGGACATCTGTACCTTCTTGTCTCTCCATCGCCTCGAACTCAATGCGAGTCTAAAATCAAATACTCCTTCACTCCTAACTCAGGAAACCAGTTTTCCCTCCCTTGTTGGTAATGCTTGAAATTAGCTCTTACTTCTCTTCTTCCTCCTTTACTCGCCATCCCAGGTCATTCATCAGGTCCTGCTAGGTCTTTGATTTTCTTGAAAGGGCCTTCTTTATGCCTTCCTTCCGTCCCCATTTCCACCACCCTCGACTAGGCCTTCCTCACCTCATCCGGCATCAGTGTGAGCCCTTGAGAAACCAGCGTCCTGATCTTCAGGCATTCTGCATTTCACCCCATACCACCATTAGCCAGTTTAATCCCTCTTGCTCAAACTTAATAAATACTGAGCAAGGGAGTTACTATAACAAACAAAACCAGAAATTTCTATGACTTCCTGCTGCTTTCTGTACCCCCCTAAGACTCCTCTACCTGATTTTCAAGGTTCTCCATAAGCAGGTTCCCACCTCTCTGCTTTCAAATCTTCTATCTGCCATACACAGTTCTTGTCTAAAACAAAGATTGTTCCTACTCCTGCAGCCACCTAAATCCTAGTCGTCCTCAGGCCCTCCTAAAATCCTGACTAATCCAACCCCCACCGATTTCTCTACTAGTCCCAGAGACTTCCCTCTTGTGCCTGGGGTTGGTGTCATGCAGACACACTGTACCTTACCAGGATTTGCCCATTGTTGTCTGTGGGAACTATGCTTTCATGTGGGAACTACGAGTCTTGTCACAAATAGAGTGTAAATGCTTTGAGATTGGAGACTGTAAAATACTTCTTCATGATCTCCCACTGTGTCTGGTATAAGAACCCGCAGAGTAAATACTCATATACTTGTAGGATTAATTGAAACAACTGGAGACTGAGGTTGTTTAACTTGTACTTAGAAGTGTGGACCTCCCCATCTTGATTAAAACTTCAAAACGGATAGCAGGTTTCACATATTATCTCAGCATCACAAAAGTAGACTCAACAAAGAAATGAGTTGACAGCAGGGGTAAGGTTTACAACAATCAGGGATTATTGCAGGGAAACTTGTAGCCTTTGGGTGTTCTAACTAGTTTTTTCCCAAAAAGTTTAAAGAGCTCTCTTGTGAAAGAATATTCTTATGAGTAACTGAGGGGCACGGCTCCTAGACTGAAAAGTATTTGGGATCTGTCACCTCTTTTCTGATGTTCCTACTTCTATTCTTTATTCTTCTGACTACCTCTATTAGAAAAGATAATACTAAGAATACCTGTCCCTTCTTCTCAGTCCAAATAGAAGCAAACCCAGGTTGTATCTGAGATATCTGCATATTTTCTTCTAAGCAATTCTTTGTCCTCTTCTCTCCCATGCTTTTTCTATTTCCTATTTTCAGCAGGCTCTGAAGTCATTTATAATTTTTACTGCCCCTCGGTGACATTACATGGATATTCATCCCTGATTTGCAGATTAAAGCACCGAATCAGAGTGAGGTGAGGGTTGCCCAAGGTTACACAATAAATCTGGCCCCAAACAGGGGTAACCCTTGAGTTTCTAGTCTGTTGATTGGCCACTGACCCGTGCTGCAGGCACACAAAGGAAGCTGCACCCACAGCAGTCTGTTGTGGATGGTTGCTGAGCTGCGCATTCGGCATTGGGCTTGCTTTGTTTCCTGCCAGGCCCAGCATTTTCTTCTACCAGATCGGCAGGCTTGTGGGCTTCTTCCTAGGTCCCTCCCCTGCACTCTGAATAGGAAAGCTGGAAGCTGTGCTTTAGAGAAGCTTTAAGACGCCGAAAGAAACCAGAAGAGTGAGCGCCAGTTGTATGTGCGTGGTCTCCATCCGCAAAGCCGGAGCTGGGCGCAACAGTGTTGACTTGTAATTGATCAATTTAGATCGGGCGCAGGCCGGGGGAGGGCAGTGCTTTTGATTTAGGCTGGGAAAGGCCTCCTAGTGACTATGTTCAATTTGGAGGAATTCAGATGTTCTTTTGTTATACAAGTGAAGCTGTGTAATACAAATGAGGAGTTTTACTTTTCCTAAATCTTCCCCTTATCATTCAAGTATTGAGGAGTTTTACCTTTCCTAAATCTTCCCCTTATCATTCCAGTATTATCAGTGAGATCTGGTTGTGATTTATGTAAATGGTGGCTAAAAAATTCAAACTACTGAGGGGGAGAATTCTCATTTTACAGCTTCACATGCTGTGCTGAACTAAATAAGTAGCGTGGGATGTTGGCTTTGTGACAGGTCTTTTGTCATTTTTCAGAAAGCATTTTGACTTGTTGATGTCAATTTGGAACAGCTGAAAAAATACAGGAAAATAAGATAAATACGTACATGTTGAGGGTGGGGACAAAATGAAGGTTCTGAACCAGCTGCCGGCTTACAGTAGCCATATAAGCAACAGCAGCAATGCACCAACCTGGTGAGTAATAGGCCTGATTCACTGGAGAGATACTAGCACCTTTAATGAGTCAGATAGATGCACAATGGGTGTGGGAGCAGTTGGACTTGTGGGCACAAAGTCTAGCAAGAAGCTCAGACTTGCAAACAACTGTAGGACGTGCAAAGCAAGCTGGCATTGGAGCTTGCCGGGCACAGCTGCTCAGGAATAGGCAGCTGGTTTTCCCTTTGATCCCTGAGATTCCAAAGGTTACTTTCCTCTTTGTTCCCTTCCCAGGGTCAATTAGAGTAGAAACTGCAGATGCTTTTCAGTTGAGAATTTTCCTAGAATTCTCAAAAATGTGTATGCTGGCTTAAAATCTGCCATCAAGAATTCTGTTACCTTGCTTTAAGCCTCCAGTTCCTTCCAGATGTATGGTGGAGGAGGCCAGAGGGCCCTTGTTTTGGGGCTTCAGAGGATGGTTGTTATCTGGATGAGCACTGTGGAAAGACTGAGAGAGCAACTGAGAGAAAGTGGGCCCCTGAATGAAAGTGATTTCGCAAATTTTAGGCAGATGCCACCATCAGAAACTGATATTTTCTGACGTCTTTCTCACCTTCCTCTAGAGCATTCAGTCCAGAAATGACCAGCCTGTCCAAAGGGGGAAATTACTGATATTGATCTGTTCCTTAGAGCAGTGTTTCAGTCTTTTTTTTTTTTTTGAGATGGAATCTCATTCTGTCACCCAGGCTGGAGTGCAGTGGCACGATCTCGGCTCATTGCAACCTCCACCTTCCTGATTCAAGTGATTCTCCTGCCTCAGCCTCCCAAGAAGCTGGAATTACAGGTGTGCACCACCACACCCGGCTAATTTTTGAATTTTTTATAGAGATGGGGTTTCACCATGTTGCCAGGCTGGTCTCAAACTCCTGACCTCAAGTGATCCTCCTGCCTCGGCCTCCCAAAGCGCTAGGATTACAGGCGTGAGCCACCATGGCCGGCCTTCAGCCTTTGTGATATTAAAGCACAGCAACACATTTCCCATTACACCCCTGAACACACACACACAGAAAACCCAAAAGTTTCACAAAATGATTCTTGCTCTTACTACTCTCAGTACACTCTGTATTTAAAAAAAAAAATGCTGGTTGTGGCTTCCTAAGTGGTGCGTGCAGTTTTCAAATCAATGCCCTTGGCGATAAAGTGTGCCCTATACTGATTATCTCTGGACAAAGTCTGAATGGGGCTTGGCTCTAATCTCTAGTCCTCATTGGACATTTTACATACCTGGCCTTTGCCTCCACCCTGATGTGGAGTGATCATGGGGGTGGGAAATATAGCTGGATCCGAAAGCTCTGAAGTGGGGATGGAGGTGTCACAGCTGAGGCTAGGCCCATTCTGCAGGGCACTCAGTGTGTACAGTTGGTTTTCTATCAGGGGTCAACCGGCGGGGGGACTTGAGAACAGATCTCTGGGCACAAAGCAGGGCCTTTGCCCTGGGGCTTGCTATGTGGCTCAGCCTACACGGCTCTCTCCCCGTCAGTCCTGTCCAAAGCCCAGGAAACTAATGTACCACCCCCGAGGAAGAGAGCCTACCTTTCCATCCAAGGAAGTGTTTTACCTGTGGTAAGCACGGGGGACAGAATTCTTGAGGAAGGAGGGTGCTGCGTCCCAGTGGTGGAGGAAAAGAGAGGACCTGGTGTAAGCAGCCATGGCATGGACCTCATCCGAGGTGGCACCTGGCTAGGGTCCTGACCTCCAATCCTTCCCCAGTAACCATCACTTTGAGTAAACAGTGGCTCCACCCCCGGCATGGTTCTTTGCACCAACATTTGGGGAATGCCTACCAGGGGTCACACACTGAGCTGGATGCTGAGTGTAGGGTGTCCACAACATCGTGCCTAAAAAGTCTCTGTATGGGGTATAAGAAGGTGCTGGGGCAATACAGATGAGATGAGAAGCATCTTTCAGGGAATGGGTTGATCCCAATTCAGGCTTCCCAGAGAAGGATGTCTGTAGACTTCATATTAGCAAGGGAGGAAGGTAGCCAGGCCACAGGACTGCTGGTGTAAAGACCAGGGCATATGAAATGGCAAGTGTGACTGTGCTTTCAGCCAATAATTTGGTATTGTCAAATGATGGGACCAAACAGCTGGAGAGGCAGATCCTAAAGGGTCCTGTGGGCCAGGCTGGACTTCATCTTGTCACTAACTAATGGAGAGGCTCTGAAGGAGTTAAAAGAGCTCAGTTTGTCTCGTGGTTAAATCCAAGTTTTACAAAGGTCACGCTGACTGTAAAGTGGAAGGTGGGCTGGCCAGGGGATCATCTAGTCTGGGTGAGAAGTGATGATAACATGAAGGGGTGAAGAGAGATTTAGAAGAAGTGATTCACAGGATTAAACATTTAAATAATGGAAGTGGAGAAAATGGGGGGGGCGGTTCCAGATTTCAGGCATAGATGAAAGAAGTGCAGTTAGGCACATGTAAAGAGAAACAGGAACAGCAGGTTTTAGGGGAGAAGATAACAGAATGGGTGAGAAATGACACTTGAGTACCCTAGTGTGCTAGGTAATCATCTGTCTACTTCCCTTCATTTGTCATGTATATTCCCATTTAATTTGCATAAAGACTTCGAGTTAAACGGTCTTACCCCAATTTGTCAAATTTCTGCGCATGATATGGTACAAGAAACCGTAAGTGGCTAAGGCGGCATTGGTGTTCAAATTGCCTGACTACAAAGGCAGTGCTTGTTGGCTACATTCTGTTGCTTCCCAGTTTAGAACATGTTACATTGAGGCGCCTGCTGCATTTCCAAATAAAAAAGTACAGAAAGAAGGTGGCTGTATAAATCTGGGGCTCACAAAGTAATTTTGATTACTGAGAGTTTGCTTTCAAGGAGCAAACTGTGACTCCTTGATTATGAACCTTAATTTAAAAAAAAAGAAAAAAGAAGTCTTACTCTTATTCCTGCCTTGTCTGGGGCAAGCCTTAATGGATTTTTACTGCTGTGAATTTTCTTTTCATTGAAGATTTTGCCTTGATCTATGTATCTGCTTTCATCCTGACCATATTCAAGTCAGTATATTCATGAATGTACCTGTTTGTGAAATTTGAACTTAAGTATACACGATTATAGCCGTTTGGGAAGCTTTTTTTTTTTTTTTTTTAAGAGTAGGAGTAGAAAAAGGTCTCTGTACTCTGAATGGGAAGACAGTGTAAAGCAATTTTTTCCCTTTTCCTGTCCTCCTTTAAAAAAAATAAACAGCCGTATGCCTCTGCTAAGTACTAACTACCTCATCACCTTTTGTGCAGACAGGGCAGGTTACATTTGGTTTTAAGGAATTAGGAATATGTTTCTTTCCAGCACCTTAGTAACCCACGCGATTGTGATTCTTTTCTCTTCTTGACTGTGATAGGTGGCATGGAATATTCACATGGGAGAGCCGCATGAGGCCGCCCACCACGCTTCCTGAAGGATGCCCGTGTGGAAGAATTTTGACGTGCCAGTGTCCTCGTTCTACAGGGTGTTCCATTCTTCCGCAATCTCAGAAAAATGGGACTAAAAGAAACTATTTTGTAAAATAAGAAGACTTCCATTTTTAATGACCAACATGTATTAAGATGGACACCTACTCTACGAAACACGAAGTTCTATGGTCTCGAAGAAGCCCGTGCCTGTTTAAAACTGATCCTAACTAAAAACAGACTTGAGTGGATATGAGAATGTTGGTTAGTGGCAGAAGAGTCAAAAAATGGCAGTTAATTATTCAGTTATTTGCTACTTGTTTTTTAGCGAGCCTCATGTTTTTTTGGGAACCAATCGATAATCACATTGTGAGCCATATGAAGTCATATTCTTACAGATACCTCATAAATAGCTATGACTTTGTGAATGATACCCTGTCTCTTAAGCACACCTCAGCGGGGCCTCGCTACCAATACTTGATTAACCACAAGGAAAAGTGTCAAGCTCAAGACGTCCTCCTTTTACTGTTTGTAAAAACTGCTCCTGAAAACTATGATCGACGTTCCGGAATTAGAAGGACGTGGGGCAATGAAAATTATGTTCGGTCTCAGCTGAATGCCAACATCAAAACTCTGTTTGCCTTAGGAACTCCTAATCCACTGGAGGGAGAAGAACTACAAAGAAAACTGGCTTGGGAAGATCAAAGGTACAATGATATAATTCAGCAAGACTTTGTTGATTCTTTCTACAATCTTACTCTGAAATTACTTATGCAGTTCAGTTGGGCAAATACCTATTGTCCACATGCCAAATTTCTTATGACTGCTGATGATGACATATTTATTCACATGCCAAATCTGATTGAGTACCTTCAAAGTTTAGAACAAATTGGTGTTCAAGACTTTTGGATTGGTCGTGTTCATCGTGGTGCCCCTCCCATTAGAGATAAAAGCAGCAAATACTACGTGTCCTATGAAATGTACCAGTGGCCAGCTTACCCTGACTACACAGCCGGAGCTGCCTATGTAATCTCCGGTGATGTAGCTGCCAAAGTCTATGAGGCATCACAGACACTAAATTCAAGTCTTTACATAGACGATGTGTTCATGGGCCTCTGTGCCAATAAAATAGGGATAGTACCGCAGGACCATGTGTTTTTTTCTGGAGAGGGTAAAACTCCTTATCATCCCTGCATCTATGAAAAAATGATGACATCTCATGGACACTTAGAAGATCTCCAGGACCTTTGGAAGAATGCTACAGATCCTAAAGTAAAAACCATTTCCAAAGGTTTTTTTGGTCAAATATACTGCAGATTAATGAAGATAATTCTCCTTTGTAAAATTAGCTATGTGGACACATACCCTTGTAGGGCTGCGTTTATCTAATAGTACTTGAATGTTGTATGTTTTCACTGTCACTGAGTCAAACCTGGATGAAAAAAACCTTTAAATGTTCGTCTATACCCTAAGTAAAATGAGGACGAAAGACAAATATTTTGAAAGCCTAGTCCATCAGAATGTTTCTTTGATTCTAGAAGCTGTTTAATATCACTTATCTACTTCATTGCCTAAGTTCATTTCAAAGAATTTGTATTTAGAAAAGGTTTATATTATTAGTGAAAACAAAACTAAAGGGAAGTTCAAGTTCTCATGTAATGCCACATATATACTTGAGGTGTAGAGATGTTATTAAGAAGTTTTGATGTTAGAATAATTGCTTTTGGAAAATACCAAATGAACGTACAGTACAACATTTCAAGGAAATGAATATATTGTTAGACCAGGTAAGCAAGTTTATTTTTGTTAAAGAGCACTTGGTGGAGGTAGTAGGGGCAGGGAAAGGTCAGCATAGGAGAGAAAGTTCATGAATCTGGTAAAACAGTCTCTTGTTCTTAAGAGGAGATGTAGAAAAATGTGTACAATGTTATTATAAACAGACAAATCACGTCTTACCACATCCATGTAGCTACTGGTGTTAGAGTCATTAAAATACCTTTTTTTGCATCTTTTTTCAAAGTTTAATGTGAACTTTTAGAAAAGTGATTAATGTTGCCCTAATACTTTATATGTTTTTAATGGATTTTTTTTTAAGTATTAGAAAATGACACATAACACGGGCAGCTGGTTGCTCATAGGGTCCTTCTCTAGGGAGAAACCATTGTTAATTCAAATAAGCTGATTTTAATGACGTTTTCAACTGGTTTTTAAATATTCAATATTGGTCTGTGTTTAAGTTTGTTATTTGAATGTAATTTACATAGAGGAATATAATAATGGAGAGACTTCAAATGGAAAGACAGAACATTACAAGCCTAATGTCTCCATAATTTTATAAAATGAAATCTTAGTGTCTAAATCCTTGTACTGATTACTAAAATTAACCCACTCCTCCCCAACAAGGTCTTATAAACCACAGCACTTTGTTCCAAGTTCAGAGTTTTAAATTGAGAGCATTAAACATCAAAGTTATAATATCTAAAACAATTTATTTTTCATCAATAACTGTCAGAGGTGATCTTTATTTTCTAAATATTTCAAACTTGAAAACAGAGTAAAAAAGTGATAGAAAAGTTGCCAGTTTGGGGTTAAAGCATTTTTAAAGCTGCATGTTCCTTGTAATCAAAGAGATGTGTCTGAGATCTAATAGAGTAAGTTACATTTATTTTACAAAGCAGGATAAAAATGTGGCTATAATACACACTACCTCCCTTCACTACAGAAAGAACTAGGTGGTGTCTACTGCTAGGGAGATTATATGAAGGCCAAAATAATGACTTCAGCAAGAGTGACTGAACTCACTCTAAGGCCTTTGACTGCAGAGGCACCTGTTAGGGAAAATCAGATGTCTCATATAATAAGGTGATGTCGGAAACACGCAAAACAAAACGAAAAAAGATTTCTCAGTATACACAACTGAATGATGATACTTACAATTTTTAGCAGGTAGCTTTTTAATGTTTACAGAAATTTTAATTTTTTTCTATTTTGAAATTTGAGGCTTGTTTACATTGCTTAGATAATTTAGAATTTTTAACTAATGTCAAAACTACAGTGTCAAACATTCTAGGTTGTAGTTACTTTCAGAGTAGATACAGGGTTTTAGATCATTACAGTTTAAGTTTTCTGACCAATTAAAAAAACATAGAGAACAAAAGCATATTTGACCAAGCAACAAGCTTATAATTAATTTTTATTAGTTGATTGATTAATGATGTATTGCCTTTTGCCCATATATACCCTGTGTATCTATACTTGGAAGTGTTTAAGGTTGCCATTGGTTGAAAACATAAGTGTCTCTGGCCATCAAAGTGATCTTGTTTACAGCAGTGCT
The DNA here is from genome assembly GCF_000001405.40 of Homo sapiens. Lineage (NCBI taxonomy): Eukaryota > Metazoa > Chordata > Mammalia > Primates > Hominidae > Homo > Homo sapiens. The sequence goes on from NC_000003.12 coordinate 183,272,881, forward strand.
TTTGTGAAACAATTATTTATTTGCTGAAAGAGCTCTTCTGAACTGTGTCCTTTTAATTTTTGCTTAGAATAGAATGGAACAAGTTTAAATTTCAAGGAAATATGAAGGCACTTCCTTTTTTTCTAAGAAGGAAGTTGCTAGATGATTCCTTCATCACACTTACTTAAAGTACTGAGAAGAGTATCTGTAAATAAAAGGGTTCCAACCTTTTAAAAAAGAAGGAAAAAACTTTTTGGTGCTCCAGTGTAGGGCTATCTTTTTAAAAAATGTCAACAAAGGGAAAATAAACTATCAGCTTGGATGGTCACTTGAATAGAAGATGGTTATACACAGTGTTATTGTTAAAATTTTTTTACCTTTTGGTTGGTTTGCATCTTTTTTCCATATTGTTAATTTTATACCAAAATGTTAAATATTTGTATTACTTGAATTTTGCTCTTGTATGGCAAAATAATTAGTGAGTTTAAAAAAAATCTATAGTTTCCAATAAACAACTGAAAAATTATCATGAGATGTGTATTTAAACTTTTTCATGAACATTGCTTATATAATCATTCCTTCTGTCTTAATGTACTACATGGTCTTAGCCCTGTTCCTATAGGATTATCATGTTCTCTGCATTATAGAGCCACCTAAGATGTACTTTTTGTTAAATGACTCATGCTGGAATATCTGGATGGGGAGATGTTCTTTCCTAATGTAGTCATGTGCCACAAAATGACGTTTCGGTTAACGATGGATCACATATATGATGATAGTCCCATGAAATTGTAATGGAACTGCCCTATACAGGTGTACCATTTTTTATCTTTTATTTCAGATTTTTACTGTACCTTTTGTATATTTAGATGTGTTTAGATACACAAATACTTTCCATTGTCTTACAATTGCCTGCAGTATTCAGTACAGCAACATGCTGTACAGGTTTCTAGCCCAGGAGCAATAGGCTCTACCATATATCTAGGTGTCTAGTAGGCTATTCCATCTAGGTTCTCGTATGTATAACCTGGGATGTTTGCACATCGATGTGGTCACCTAAAGATGCATTTATTGGCCAGGCGCCATGGCTCACGCCTGTAATCCCAGCACTTTGGGAGGCCGAGGCAAGTGGACCACCTGAGGTTAGGAGTTTGAGACCAGCCTGGCCAACATGGTGAAACCCCATCTCTACTAAAAATACAAAAATCAGCCAGGTGTGGTGGCACACACCAGTAATCCCAACTACTCGGGAGGCTGAGGCAGGAGAATTGCTTGAACCTGGGAAAGGGAGGTTGCAATGACCTGAGATTGTGCCACTGCTCTCCAACCTGGACGACAGAGCGAGACTGTCTCAAAAAAAAAAAAAATGCATTTCTCAGAACTTATCCTCATTGTTAAGCAATGCATGACTATAATCTGTTGAGAGAGGGATGAAATCACCTGTAGTTATAGCGCTTTAAGATACCATTTGAAAAGGTTACGTTTTCCTTTTCTTTGACACGGTTAGCTGTCTGAAATACAGTCAATTTTAACCCTAATCTCTTAATATCAGGAATGCCCTTACACCTACTTTGGAGTGTCTGGTGCTTCGATATAGTTGCATGTAATGTGCTCTCATCTGTTTTTACCTGATTCCTGCTCAGTTCTTCACATGGCATATTGTGTAACTCAATCTATATTTAAAACTTGTAAGCATCCGAATTATTTGTTTATGGTAGAACTTTTTACTTGCAAGTCGTGGTAGGAGTGTTTGTAGTTGGTACTAAAATGTGATGACTTGGAAGAATTAATTAATGACCTATATTTGGGGACTTTAATTGGATGCTATAGCTGCAATGAGAATAGAACCAGAGAACTCTTGATATGCAAGGTTATTCATTCTGTGATAATAATGAGAGGAATATTCGATGTCTCTTTGAGTCAGTTTTCCTTCCGATCACTTCCGCATTCTGCAGTGACACAATCCTTAATCATAGCTTTCATTACAATATTCCTTTACTCCAGACCTCAAAGACTCCTCACTGCCTCCAGCATCAAATCTAAACTCTTCTACCTGGTTTTCAACGCCCTACGTAAACTTTTCCTCCTTCATTCCCTATAGCTTGGTTTTTTTTTTTTTATCACTGCCACTATTATCTATCACAAATGTCAATCATGACCATACCTTGCTTAAGTTGGTTTCCCTTGCCAAGAGCACTGTTTTTCCTATACCTGTTGAAATTTTGGAAATCCAATTCTACCTCCTCTCTTCCCTTAAGCATCTCTTCCTTCCCTTCTCCCCAAATTTATATTTAGTCACATATATTATCGTACTACCTACTAATCATTCCATGTGTTTTTTTACGAGCTGTAAGTTCTGAAGGCAACCATGCCTTGTACAGTGTCCACTTAGGGTTCTGAATAATTAATCATCTCCCCAAAATCTGAAAGCCTTCTATATACCAAGCAAATTTGTTTAGTTATGCAGCAAAACTCAAATCTATAAAATCAAAAAGGAATAAGGAAATACAGATTAAACAGTTGCAGCAAAGACTGGTGATCTTAAGGTATTTAGTCAAAGCTGGTGGTAGAACAAAAACAGTAGTCTTACAGATTCTACCTCTTGATTAACTCAGTGGCTAATTTTGCCTTTTCTCAAAGTTCTTTTGCAAGAACATAAAGATATTTTTGTTTCTTTAGTTGAGTGCTGTAACTTTATTCCTTTGTGTTTCTCATAAGTATGATTTGGCAGTCTGCCATACGTTTTTTGTTTTTTTTCTTCCTCTTTGAGACAGGGTTTTGCTCTGTCACCCAGGCTGCAGTGCAGCTGTGTGATCACAGCTTAGCTCACTGCAGACTTAGCTTCCTGGGCTCAAGCAATCTTCTCACCTCAGTCTCCTGAGTAACTGAGACTACAGGTGCACCCCACCACATCCCGCTAAATGTTTTAATTTCTTGTGGAGATGGTGTCTTCACTATGTTGCTCAGGCTGGTCTTCAACTCCTGGGCTCGAGCAATCCTCCTACCTCAGCCTCCCAAAGTGTTGGAAAGTGTTGGGATTACAGACCTGAGCCACCACACCTGGCCTGTTATAAGTTAATACAATAATTCATCAACTAACTTAAAGAACACTAAGACTCTTACAAAAGTAGGTATGAGTTTTAGTAAAAGTCTCAAAAGATAAACTGTCACTTAAGGAAAACTAGAGAACATATCATTGCCAAATGGTGTTTTTCAGAGATTATACCATTCAACGCCCACATGCTGAATTGGGCCATTCATTATAACTCCAGGAACATGGCAATCAGTAAGAGCCCACATGTTTCTTTGAATACACCGTAAGTGAAAGAATATAAAGTAGTCTAGTTAATATTATGTTTAATCAAGGAGCACATTCCTAAAGATGTTTGTTCATTCATTCTACAGACATTTTTCAGAGGCCTGCTAAGAGTCAAGCATTATGATAGACGCCATGGATAAAAGCTTACAAGTCAACCAGCGTGGGTATAAATAATGTGACTAGCACTAGAACAGGTATCATGATGGGGATTCTGAGTATAAATATTTTTTTAAAATAAATTTCCCCGTGTTATTTTTGGCTTTTACCTCCCTAATTTAGGCTTTCTAAATGGCACAGCATTTCTGAGGATGCAAACACCTTTCTACAGAGCAAAAACAGCATTTGTATAAATTTGTGTCTTTGGGGAACCAAGAGACTTTAAATGTGTTTAAACCAATAATTCAGTCAATATCAACATTAGCTTACATGTAATATTCTCTTGATAGCCCAATTTTTTAAAACACTGTATTCTTAGAAGTTTGGTTTCTAAGATGTCACTTTAAGCTCTTTTGCTTGTTGCTTTTGTGGGATCCACAAATTTTGTTCTCAGGTACATAAATGAAGGTTAGTATAGAGGATAAATATTATGATTCTTATCTGGGAAAGACAGGTGCTGAGGTGTAAAAGAGAGGATCCTCGCCACCCATGCCCCGCACCCCCTCGCCCCCTGCACCCACGGATGTGCAGTCTTACCTGCGGGGGGAAAGGTCTCCGAGCCTGGCCTGCTGCTCCAGCTCAGGGTTCCCCCTTTCATGATGGCTTTCAAAGATTTCTTCACTCTGAAGTGAAAGAAATTTTGGTAAGATTTGATATTGTAGGGACCTCCTAATCTATATTTTTCTCTCTCCCAATTTCTGTGTTTGATTTTGGTTTTGAGTCTCTCGATAAGCAAAATATCCAGTTTCTCATGCCGCTTTCTCAGGTTTTCCCCAGCCACTCTGGATCCATTATGGTTTGCCCTTTTTGGCTTCCTTTAGGCACACTAAAAACTCCTTCCCAAAAGCAGGTATCGGCCGGGCGTGGTGGCAGGCGCCTGTAATCCCAGCTACTCTGGAGGCTGAGGCAGGAGAATTGCTCGAACCTGGGAGGCGGAGGTTGCAGTGAGCCAAGATCACACCATTGCACTCCAGCCTCAGCAACAGAGCGAGATGCCATATCCAAAAAAAAAAAAAAAAGCAGGTGTCCTTTCCCCTTAATCATGAAGGGCTATTCATACTTTACTGCCCCACCCCTATTGATTCATAAGAGGACAGTAAAGCGATCACTGCATTCAACATCTCCTTTTTTTTTTTCTTGTAAGAAATCAAGGTCTGGAAAAGTTGCACTCGCCCTGAGACCAGAAAGTGCTGGAGGCAGAGATGAAGTAAGCCCAGTGTAGGCTTTCACAGATGCGTGATAACAAGTCTAACTAAAGAAGTACCTGGGATACTAGTTTTGCCAATTCAGCTCTAAAACAATATGGCAATCTTATATTCCAAATATATATATATATATTTGTATTTATAGTAGAGATGGGGTTTCACCATGTTGGCTAGGCTGGTCTTGAACTCCTGACCTCAAATGATCCACTGACCTCAGCCTCCTAAAGTGGAGGAAACATATATATATGTTTTCCTTTTAAAATAGGATGTCAGTCCAATAAGAATCTAAATTTTAGTTCCCTCTAATATATATATCTGACTAGGGACCAGATAATATTTTTCATGTGTCAATATATAAAAGTTGGCCAGGTGCAGTGGCTCATGCCTGTAATCCCAGCACTTTAGGAGGCTGAGGTCAGTGGATCATTTGAGGTCAGGAGTTCAAGACCAGCCTAGCCAACATGGTGAAACCCCATCTCTACTAAAAATACAAAAATTAGCCGGGCATGGTGGCAGGCACCTGTAATCCAGCTATTTGGGAGGCTGAGGCAGGAGAATCACTTGAGCCTGGGAGGCAGAGGTTGCGGTGAGCTGAGATTGCACCACTGCACTCCAGTCTGGGCGACACAGTGAGACCCTGTCTCAAAAGAAAAAATATATATATATATATATTTTTTATTATATTGTTTATTAAACAAATAAAAATAAAAGATATCTCATCAGTTACGATGTAAATGAAAAAATTGTGTGTGTGTGTGTGTGTGTGTGTTATGATGTACTTCTTGTGAGTTGTGGTCAGGCTTTGAAAGCCACTATGTATGTGTGTGTGTGTGTACATAAAAGTAAGTATCAGTCCCAGGATTCAAATTCGAACCAGTCCCAGTCAAATTCAATCTAATTATTTTCACCACACTACCAAAAGTCTTTCTTCACATTTTCTATATAAAGTTGAACTAATTAATACAGCAGTGAATGTTACATTGTATCCTTTTGCAGTTTCTCATCTATGACATTACTATGCCTGAATTCCCCACTGGACTTTGAACTCAGTCTTACTCATCTTTGGATCCCCAGCGTGTAATACAGGCCCTTCATAAAGAGTGACCATTATTACTAACAAAATTTCCTCTCACTGTGAAACCTGCTCCCAATTATAAAATGAATTGTGCTCTTTCGAACTCCGTTGATCTATTGTATGCAGGGTGGATCATAGAGTCTTATTTCATAATAACCTAGTGATGGAAAAATAACAATGATTCAGGAGTAGGTAATGGACCTTGTCATCTTTTACACTGAATGATGAGATTTCCCTAATTTATAGATTTTGTCATGCATGAGATGCCCTCAGGAGCTTGCAGAAATGCCTTGGCACGTTGCTCTGCTGACATGTGTCAGATGGCTGGTGTGGAGGTAGAGGGAGTCTCCTCTGCCAAGCAAGTCTAATGGAATATAACACTGGTGCCATTGAGGATGCAATGAGAAGGACCCACAGCAGATCCAGAGACTGCATTCATAAAAGCTGCACAGTATACCATGTTTTATTAAGGTATAGACAGATTAGTTGTGTTCTAGCATAGTGGTTTTCAAAGCCTGACCACAACTCACAAGAAGTACATAACACACACACACACACACATACACACACACATTTTTTCATTTACATCGTAACTGATGAGATATCTTTTATTTTTATTTGCTTAATTTTTTATTTCTTTTTTTTTTGAGACGAAAGGTGAATTGTAGCCAAAGTACTTTTAGGAAATTTTAAAATTACACATTTTGAAAGCTCTAGGAGGAAGAGAGCATATTCAAGTAAAACCTTTCTTTTATTCAAATAGTAGACTAAAAAATTGACCATAGACTAACTCAGCAATTGCTGCCATATTTCTTAGTGAGGGATTCCTTATGAGCTCCATTGAATGATAAAAGGATACTCTTCCAAATCAGAGCAACAATCGTTTCTTGTGACACTGCATCCTTTTTCCCTTCCTTCACCCTGAATTGCCCCTAGGGTATACCTAGGAGAGGGAGGGCTGGCAACCAGCTGCTGTTGTGAAAGGGATGTCATTCATGGCCTGCCCTATTGGGAGGCCAATCAGGCGGAACAGCCCCTCTCCCCTTATGGTCATTTTATCCTGAAGAAAAAGGGTGGCAAAAAGATGGCAAAAAAGATTGCTGATCACAGATCACTGTTACAAATACAACAATTGGCTGGGCATGGTGGCTCACGCCTGTAATCCCAGCACTTCGGGAGGCCGAGGCGAGTGGATCACGAGGTCAAGAGTTCAAGACCAGCCTGACCAACATGGTGAAAACCCGTCTCTACTAAAAATACAAAAATTAGCCGGGCATAGTGGCGCATGTCTGTAGTCCCAGCTACTCAGGAGGCTGAGGCAGGAAAGTCACTTGAACCCGGAGGTGGAGGTTGAGTGAACCAAGATTGTGCCACTGCCCTCCAGCCTGGGCGACAGAGCAAGATTCCGTCTCCAAAAAAAAAAAAGGAGGGGGTGGCAATGAGACAGGGAACTGCTCTGGGTCCAACTCCCCTCACATAGCCCCAACCCCCATATCCACCCCACAAACCTCCACCTCCCCACTTCCAGCCTCTCCAGTTTCAAAGTGACGCTTACCAACACGCAGGCTCTCCAGGAGCACCTTGAAAGGTAACTTCTTACATCTTTCCAAAACACTTATAATCTAATTGTTCTTTCTCCCCTATATTTTGAAGAAATGCATGCTCTCAAAATTGAAAAAAACGCCTAGAGGAATTTTGTAAAAAAATTATATTTTTCCAGTTTCTCCAAAGGACATATAAACCCTTTTTAAACTTAGATTTTGAAAAGTCCCAATAGCTGATTTTCAATCGATTATTGAAATTGTTTTTTTTTTCTTCCCTAAAGGGGAGATACCAACCTTTGAACAAAATTAAATTAACTTTTCCCCAAAGTTAAATGATTTTACTTTGTGATTTTAGGAATGTGTAGAAAGTGATTTCAGTTCCAACTCTTTTAAAGCAAGGGTATCTGGGCCAGGCGTGGTGGCTCCCTCCTGTAATCCTAGCGCTTTGGGAGGCCAAGGTGGGGCAGATCACCTGTGGTCAGGAGTTCGAGATCAGCCTGGCCAACATAGAGAAACCCCATCTCTACTAAAAACACAAAATTAGCTGGGTATAGTGGTGCGCGCCTGTACTCCCAGCTACTCGGGAGGCTGAGGCAGGAGAATCGCTTGAACCCGGGAGACGGAGGTTGCAATGAGCTGAGATCACGCCACTGCACTCCAGCCTGGGCAACAGAGTGAGTCTCTGTCAAAAAAAAAAAAAAAAACAAACAAGCAAACAAACAAACAAAAACAAGGGTATCTGGTAATTTAAGGTGAAAGTATTATTCACTATTATAATCAATTTTCTTAAAAACAGGAGCTATTAGGCCCAATTCTGAGGAGAGAAAAAAAAGCAGATTTCAAGGGCCCGTGCCACCTTCTTTGTTTAAAGCATAGAGAATGATAATAAAATGTTAAAGGTTCAGCATTTTCTGGCATTGTAAATTTAATTAATTAATTATGTAAATTAATTATGGAAATGAGAAATAAAGTGAAAAGGTATGTCAAGTAAGAATCAATAATTATCAAAACGTTCTCTACCAAATGGGATGCAGGGGAGAAGGGTGAGAAGAAGGGAAGGAAATAAAGGCAAAGGCATTTGCCCACAGCCTCAGTCCAGGGTGTTCTACATGACGCAGCCCCAGAGTAAAAAATACTAGCCACAGGAATGAGTGGCTCTGTCTTCCTCTCCAGAACTGACGGGCAAAAGAGGGGGAACCTCACCTTTTTTTTTTTTTTTTTTTTGGAAACTCACTGGGTTTTGATATGGAGAACAGGAAGAGAATCTACCCTAGCAGCACATTCACAGATGGTTTGTCTGCCCTATTTGCTCCATCTCCCTGGCTCTTCCTAGCACTTCTTTTCCTACTTTCCATTTTCATTGGCCGCAAAAGCCACTTAAATATTCCTTTGGAAAACTGGGCAGTCTGTCCCCTTTTTAAAACCACAACTATTTCCAGGAGAGTTAAAGGGCTTTCGGACTGCCCATCATTCATGCATTGTGGTGAACTAGCTCAGACTGCCTCTACCTTTAGTCCAGATCAGCTGCCTTGGGAGGGCGATTCCTGGAGGAAAGGATGAGGAGAGGAAGGTTTTAGGACATCGTATGGACTGAAGCCCCGTTGGAGGGGAAGGGCAGGCTTGAGGAACAAGCCTCAGTGTTCCTGAGGCTTTGTGGAAATGAGAAATGAATAGAGAAAGATAAGAGACTGGATCCTAAATGCAATTTTGCCTATTTCAAAATTTTCACAGGGTCTTTTTTTTTTTTTTTTTTTGAGACAAGGTCTTGCTCTGTCACCCAGGCTGAAGGGCAGTGGTGTGATCATAGCTTCCTGAAGCTTGCAGCCTCGAACTCCTGAGCTCAAGCGATCATCCTGCTTCAGCCTCCCAAAGCGCTGGGATTACAGGCATGAGCCACCACCCCCAGCCTCAGGGTCTTTTTAATCCCTAAGATCTTAAATTTCCCAGCTACTATTGTTAGTAATGAGTTCAATTTACTTACTGGTTAAATTGGCTTTTATTATTATTATTATTTATTTTATTTTATTTTATTTTATTTGAGACAGAGTCTTGTGCTGTCGCCCAGGCTGTGGTACAGTGGTGCAATCTCAGCTCACTGCAAGCTCTGCCTCCCTGGTTCATGCCATTCTCCTGCCTCAGCCTCCCGAGTAGCTGGGACTACAGGCACCCGCCACCACGCCCAGCTAATTTTTTGTATTTTTAGTAGAGACGGGGTTTCACCATGTTAGCCAGGATGGTCTCGATCTCCTGACCTCATCGTCTGGACTAATACTCTAAACGCTATTGGCAATAGTTTGTTTACAGGAAAAACATCTTCTTATAAAGCTGACTGCAAATGTTTTAATAAATTTGCAAATATGTAATTCTGTTTAAAATATCAGGAAGTGAGAAACATGTTATGTGATAACTCTTTCCCATTCCCGAACCAAGAAAATGTAAAGGCAGTAAGTGTGCCAAGGACACTGAAAGGAAGCTGCCCGTACATCTTTGAATCTTCTCAGGCTGTTTGGTTTCATCTGATTTTAAGCTCCATGGATAAATTTCATTGTAACAATTTTTATGTCTGTAAATCTTAACCCATAAATAAAATCACAAATCAGAAAAGTACTTTATTAGGCCAGTCTTTGTCCAAGCAAATTTGGTCCCAAAGCTAGTTTACAAATAATTGCCACACAGCTACAAGGCCAGTGGGTTGACTATCGTAGCATCAATGGTGTGGGCAGGGCTGCAGCCTCTGGGGCAGCATTAGCCCCAACTGACAGAGGGTATAGGTGCTCTTAACAATCTATGAGACCCCCCACAACCTGGACTCAGCTGTCATAAGCCTTTACTTCTTATGTTCTTCCTAAGTACTTTATCGGGCCAACAAATTCATCCCATGAGGAATCCAAGATGGAAACGTCAAAACTATCTTTGGTATCATGCTTCCTCCCCCTACCTTCTCTGCCTTGATCCCCTCCTTCATTCTACACATTTTCTCTGATAGTCGTGTTCTAGCCACTAGGGAGAACGTTTCAGTCAATGGGTATGATTTCTGCTCACCTCTTTTTGCCATAGCTATTAGTAAGCTCTCACCACTGATGTCTCAGCTGACTGTGACAACTGCCAGCGGCTGGTCAGCCTGCCTGCCTTCATCTAACCTGCTCTTTACTGTCTACCAGAGTCAGCTTCGTAATACACAGGTGCCCTCCTCCTCCTGTCAACATTCCTCAACCAAAGCCTCAGTAAACTGTCTCTCATCTACCTTCCCAGCATTCTTGAGCCATTCCCAGGATAGCCTAGGCCCTTTAGACCTCTGAGATGTTATACCCTTCCTCATTCTGGAATGCCCTTCAGTGTCTTACCCACCTTTCAGAGTTCTATTTATTCTTTTTTTTTTTTTAGATGGAGTCTCACTCTGTCACCCAGGCTGGAGAGCAGTGGCACCATCTTGGCTCACTGCACCCTCTGCCTCCCAGGTTCAAGTGATTCTCCTGCCTCAGCCTCCTGAGTAGCTGGGATTACAGGTGCCCGCCACCATGCCCAGCTAATTTTTGTATTTTTAGTAGAGACGAGGTTTCACCATGTTGGTCAGTCTGGTCTTGAACTCCTGAACTCAGGTGATCCACCCACCTCAGCCTCCCAAAGTGCTGGGATTACAGGTGTGAGCCACCACGACCAGCCTTATTTATTCTTTAGAGTTGAATTCAAATGCCACCTCCTTTGAAAGCCATCCTTGATGTCCTTGTGAGGAATTACTTTCTCTACCACATTATATATTCCTTTTACTGTAGAAACGTCATTCTGCTTTATATTATAAATTATTAGAAATATGTTGTTTCCCCCATGAAAGTTTCAAGTTTCCTGAGTTTAGGCCTGATGATACAATCATTTTCATATGACTCACAGCAATTGCCTTAGTATATATTAAATTGAGCTGAATAAGCCATGTACCCAGTTGAACACACCAAATATTTTAGTGATGTCATTTCTTTATTGGTGAAAGAGCAAGGCCAACGTTGATCTTAATGTTATTCTCTCTTTTATCTTATTCAGCTCCCTCAACAAAAATACATTCTCATAGATTAATGTAATCACCACCTCACTCCTCTCAACTTTAGACCCTATACTAGCCTGAGAAATCCAGATCCAACTTAATGAGTTCTCCTTTATCCCAAGTCCTCATGACCTATAAATGTAACCTCTAGGACAATGTTACAAAGAGTGAGATCTTTATACCACCTGCATTCTTGTCACCAAACGTGTAAGTTAAAAATTCAGATTCTGAGTGTGGTGACTCACGCCTGTAATCCCAGCACTTTGGGAGGCTGAGCCAGGTGGGTCACCTGAGGTCAGGAGTTCGAGACCAGCCTGGGCAACATGGTGAAACCCTGTCTCTACTAGAAATACAAAAATTAGCCAGGCATGGTGACAGGCACCTGTAATCCCAGCTACTCTAGAGGCTAAGGCAGGAGAATCACTTGAACCTGGGAGGCGGAAGTTGCAGTGAGCTGAGATCACTCCATGGCACTCCAGCTTGGGCAACAAAGTGAGACTCTGTCTCCAAAAAAAAAAAAAAATTTAGATTCCAGGACCCGACCCTACACCTCCCTAATTAGAATCTCAGAGAGTGGGGCCCTGGGAATCTGCATAATTCATAACCTTCTCAGAGCTCTGGTACACAAGAAACCATGAGAATCTTTGTTCTGGAAACTTCAGAGAACTTGGCTGAGGGCCACCCCAGGATTTGGTGGCGTCCCTGAATCTCCCATTAGCTCTGACACTGACTAGACTTCAAATATCACAGAAGGCAAGCATTGAAGTGTGTTTATATTCAAATAGTTTTCTTGTTGAGAATCAGAAATATTAATAAAACTTTTGGGAGTCAAAGTAATGAGAAGACAAGGAACTGAACTTGCCCCCTGATCTGTTATCATTTGGCAGTAAGGTACATATTCAACAATAGGATAATTCTGTATAAGACCTGAATCTGACCTTCTTTCATCTTTCACACTGACAATTCTGTCTCTAAACACAGGATTAAATGAGGAACTAAAATTCACCAAGATCCTGCTAGGTGTCAGGTACAGTGCTAGCTGCTTCCACACATTTCTCATTTAATCAGCCACCTGTGAAATTGCTATGATTTATCACCATTTGGCAGAAAAGGACATTTAGGGCACAAGAGATTAAATAAGCTGCTGGTTGGGTACATTAAGTATTAATAAATAATCAGATAGATAAGTTAGGTAGTTAAGTAAGCTGCCAGATTAGTAAACAGCTAGTTTCAAATCCCAGCTCCAACATTTACTAGTTGTATGACCCTTGGGGAAACTCAACCTCTGAGTCTCATGGCACTGCTGATAAAACGGAAAACATCATCCTCACAAGGTTCTGAGGACTAGGGATGGACTCAGGTACACACAGCACCCAGTACAATGTCTGGCCTTCAGCCAGTGATAGCAACCCTTCACTCACCTCTCCATTCCCTTCCAGCCCCTGCATTCAAAAACTTTTATTTATTTATTTTTTTAATTTAGGAGGCTCTTTGCTCAGAATCCTGAAAAGGCTTTTGTTACTTTATTTTTTCTTTTTTTTCATCTTCTGGGAGCACAGAATAGGCTTCTGCTCCTTTAAATAACTTTAACAGGCACCAAAGGAACACTGCTAGCTCTTTCTTAATTCTGTAGGTCCACATTTAGGAAAAAGAAATTGTCAGCCTCTGACTTATTTCCAGCTTACAAAAAGGCTGTGATGTTGGCAGCCCGGGGAAAGCAGTTCCCGTGAGTCATGCTTTCACCTTTCAGCCAGTGAAGAACAGGAAATAGTCACATCACTATTGCCAACAAGCACAGCGAATCGCTTCCACCACCGGGCTTTCCCAGATGACGTCAGTGAGCCAAGTGCAGGGCATCACCCTTGCCAGATGGCCCCGGAAGAGTCTCAGCTGCCCTGTCAAGTTTAGCTTCTCAAGCTCCCCAGAACCAGCATGGCAAGGATCACCCCTCCAGAAAAGGAAATGATTTCTCTGATCATGATCAAACCATGTCATAATTTTAGCTGTAGGTGGTGAGTATCAGTGACTGTATTATAGATGGTTTTGGTTCACAGCTATTTTTTTTCTCGGTATATTTACTCTCAAGGGCAAAGGGGTGGCATTTATCACAATGCTATGATTCACTCTACTAGACTGGCTGGGTTTCATTTCATCTTTGAGTTCTAGACCTAAGGCCAAAAGGATGTCAGAATCGCCACCCAGAGCTAGATGCATGCTCAATGCAACCTGGCCATCTCTCTCGGACAGTGGCCACTAAACACAAGCTGCAATGATTATTGTTGATGTTAGTCAATTGATTTGTCCCCCTTTTAATAATCCATGATCCACACAGACATGAATCTAAACCTTTTTTTTGAACCTATCTTTTTCTTACTAGTTTTCTTACATATTTTGGAATAACAATTTCCCTGGTTATAATACACAATGTGTGAAACACTAATTGCATTTATTGGTCCTAAATTCATTCCCAAGTCTAGGATTTGGGGATTTAGTGCACAAATCCACTTTCTTCCTGCTCATGTTGTTCATGACTTTATGGATTCTGCTTACATTTCCTCCCAAAGCCTTGGTCTTTCTAAGCAGAAATCTGACCAGCCTCTGTTCCTACTCTGCTTCCTCCACCACCTTGACTGTTAACATACACTGTTGTGGGAGAAGCTTTTCATTAAATACGCAAACAAATCAACAATAAGGAAGAAAACAACTGAAGCACAGAAGGATGATTGTAACATGGACTTGTGCTTGTTTAACAGTACCCATACTGTTTGGTGAGTTGCCTAAATACAGAGGGAGATGGCAACTTAACAGGATGGGTTTGGAGTCTGAATTAAATAAACAACATGGCAAAAGAAGGAAGAAACCAAAAGTTGGGTGACTAGGGCTTCTTGGATTCTACTCAACACTTTCCACACCTACAGGCCTCTGATTCTATCCCCACCGCTGCTCCTACACTGTCTATGTTTCTCTTTTACAACAACAACAAAAAAATAGCACTTGTTTACTGTTCACAATTATTGAAATAAATCACTCTAATTTGGATTCCTTTATATGAGAACTTCCATATGCTTAAAACTCCCGTAGCATTTTTATAGTGTACAGGTCATAAACATGTTGTCTGAAGATGGGCAAAGTAGGTCGTAGAGATAGGAAGTGAGTTCACATCACGGCGTGAGTCAAGGCAGCAGCATATGAGCTCAGGGGCCAAATCTGAGCTGTGATCATGTGACACAGTCCTCACCTTCAGAGATGACATTCTCCCAGAAGTCCAGGGTGCAGAAATGGATAGGCTGATGTTCACTTTTGAAGAGGACCACAATGAAACCCTTTTAATATTACTCAATGATTCCACAGACCTCCTGGGTGTTAAATCAGGTGAATCTATTTTTAAAAATTGCTATTTACTTTTTTAGGTGGCTGATCAGGACAGTATGAAATTTCATACAGTTTCCTAACTTGAGAAAACATGGTGATGCAATTCCTCCAACCAGGAGGGATTTATGGACAGCGGTGGCTACGTCCTAATCTGCCCAGAATACAGGATGACTAAACAAATTGGCAAACGGACGCAGCTTTCTCTCTCTCTAAGAAAAGTCTGCTGAGAACCCTCGTTCCCACTCTGTTTCTGCCTCCAAGAAGAAAAGCCTAAAACTCACTTTCTTCCGGACTCTTTCAAGGTCAGTGGAGTTCCTCTGGGGTTCATATTCAGATACTTTGGGGATTGATGATGGATCATAAATGTTGCTGAAGTTCATTTGAGCCCATGGCCTCTGGTTTCAGAACCATTCAGCCAGTCAAATATTTAAATTTTAGTGAGGCAGGGGAAAGGGAACCCCTTCGGGGGCTGCTATACAGCAACTTATATTCACAATTCACAATTAAATACACTTCAGTTTCTAAATATATGTTACTTTAAAATTATACAGTGCTTAGCAATTTTCAAATTTTCATTTTGTGCTCAAAATATTTTCAGGAGGTAGCTGTTGTTATACCCATTTGTACAAGCAAGAAACTGAGGTTTCAAGAGGTTATGTTGCTTAAACCCAGATCTGCCTGATTCCAAACCTTATGCTTTTTTTAAACTTCTATTTTGAAATAATTATATTAAGTCACATGAGGTTGCAAAGAAATGGAAAGTCTCATGTCCCCTTTCTCCAAACCTCATCCAATGTTAACATCTAAGAAATTGACACTGGCACAATCCACAGAGCCTATTCAGGGTTCACCAGTTATTCACGCACTTGTGTGTGTGCATGTGTGTGTGCAGCTCTGTGCAATTTTGTCATGCTCTTTTTTTTTTTTTTTTTTGAGACATAGTTTCGCTCTGTTGCCCAGGCTGGAGTACAGTGGCACAGTCTCTGCTCACTGTAACCTCCAACTTCCAGTTTCAAGCAATTTTCCTGCCTCAGCCTCCTGAGTAGCTGGGATTACAGGCATCTGCCACCACGCCCATCTAATTTTTGTATTTTTAGTAGAGACAAGGTTTCACCATGCTAGCCAGACTGGTCTCAAACTCCTGACCTCGTGATCTTCCCACCTCGGCCTCCCAAAGTGCTGGGATTACAGGCGTGAACCACCGCGCCCGGCCTGTCATGCTCTTTTTATACATGAACCATACACTGTTCTGCCAATTTTAAATATGAAGGCAGATTACAGAAATAAATAAAATGATTTTTCTTTTACTACAACAGTATCTACCAATAATCACATACATGACCAAATAGCTTTCACTTCTAGCTGCCGTTAAGAAGAAAGAAAAGGATGAAAAGAAAAAAAATCCTATAAACCCCAGTTCTTGAAAGCATTAGTCTGTGCTATGTGCCTTAGGTACAGATTAAGGAAACACAATTTGTTGATTTATTGATAATTGTGACAGCAATCTTCCCTCTTGTCAGGAAGTTCTATAAGTAAAATAAAGGTAATTTTACCTTGACTTCAAATTTAGTCTCATCATCTTCCTTTCCCCGGGAGTTCAACTCTGTCTCCGTATAAGGTTCCTCAGACGTTCTCAGAGGACGAGCTAGAGGGACTAAGAGAACCTGCCATTAGTGTGGTTATTTAACTTATAAACTATAACTCAGTGCACTTTGTCTGATTTGGACAAATAGCTGGACCACGTCAATGTGGCTAACTATAAAAGCTCACTTGAGCTGCTGCGTTGATTTCCTAGGGCTGGATGAAATTGGAGGTGAAGGAGAGACACAGAGGAGAAATAGAATCCTTGACTCCAGGGACTTGACATTTCAGCAGAAGAGAAAAAAGTCACACCCAGCACCATATGAAACATTAAACTACAACAAATCTGTACATATAGCAATGTGGTAAAGAATAGTAGATTTTCTGTCATTCCCATTTTTAAGGCCCAGCTAAAAGGTCACTTTTGGCTGGGTTTGGTGGCTCACACCTGTAATCCCAGCACTTTGGGAGGCTGAGGCGGGCAGATCACCTGAGGTCAGGAGTTCGAGACCAGCCCGGCCAACATGGTGAAATCCCGTCTCTATTAAAAATACAAAAATTATCCGGGAACAGTGGCAAGTGCCTGTAATCCTAGTTACTCGGGAGGCTGAGGCAGGAGAATCACTTGAACCTGGGAGGCGGAGGTTGCGGTGAGCTGAGATTGCGCCACTGCACTCCAGCCTGGGCAACAGAGCTAGACTCCATCTCAAACAAACAAACAGACAAACAAACAAAAAGGCCACTTTCCTCATGAAGTCTTCCATATTACAAACTTTATGGATTCTTTTATGCACTGCTGCTTTGGCATGCATCATGTGTACAGCATAATGTTGCACTTGATGTTGTTCTTGGATTCAAAGACTAAATTCTAGGTACTACATTGTATTGAATATATTTTCCATTATAAAGGTAATTAATTTTTGCTTATTACAGAAAATCTGAAAAACACTAAACTCTTAACGCTGAAGCACAATCACTTAGTATATTTCCTTACAGTCTTCTTTCAAATGCTCTCCCTCTTTTTACACACATACATGTACACACACAATCATACTATGATTGTATTGTAAGAGGATGGCCATGCCTGCTGCTCTTGCTCTTTTCTCTTGGCCACTCTATCTCCCTTCTCCCCACCTGGGAAATATCCTTTCTTCAAGCTCCATGGCCATTTGGTAGTAAAATTGGGACTTGAGAGGAGAAGGCCTCAAGGCTTCCTAACCCACCTTACCAGCTTTGCCAAGCATTGTGGGTGATGGCCACAAGGCTAATAGATAAGAGGTACTTTGAATTCTTATTTGTCACAGTCACCACCCTTGCATATGCTGGTCCCTTGGGAAACTCACAGGAGACATGATTAATCCCAGGCAGGATTTGAGCATTTCTTTCTTTCTTTCTTTTTTTTTTTGAGACAGAGTCTCGCTCTGTCGCCAGGCTGGAGTGCAGTGGTGTGATCTCAGCTCACTGCAACCTCCGCCTCCCAGGTTCAAGCGATTCTTCTGCCTCAGCCTCCCAAGTAGCTGGGACTACAGGCGCGCACCACCATACGCAGCTAATTTTTGTATTTTTAGTAGCGACGGAGTTTTACCACGTTGGACAGGATGGTCTTACTCTCTTGACCTCATGATCTGCCTGCCTCGGCCTCCCAAAGTGCTGGGATTACAGGCGTGAGCCACTGTGCCCAGCCAATTTTAGCATTTGTAGGTCCCAAGACCAAAATGCCATTCATTGAATGCCACCAATATATCACCCTGATTCTTAGCTATGGTAGACTTGATGGAGGTTGACCATCTGATCTCCAGAGGCCCCTTCCAACCCTTCCATTCTGTGAGCCAACTGGAAGCAGCTTGGGCTTTCTATGGGTTTTTCATAGATGTTATGTTGAAAATCGCAGAAAATTACACTGCTACCCCAGGTTATACATATTACCATTAATGCTGCTTTGTAATAACAGACAATCCTTTGGGCTCCTCCCTCTCTGTGGGATCTCTATAAAGTGAGTGATTCCAGGCACAATAACTAGATGCTAGAAATGCATGCACTATAATTTGTGACACCATGACTGAGAAGCGCCTGTCCTTGACACTGTAAGTAGAGTGAAGCAGTGAAAGGCGGGGCCACAGAAGCCACACTGCCAGTGTTCAAACCTTGCTCTTCCATGCACGAGACAAACATGATTACAGTCACCTCTGTACCTTACCTTTTTCATCTGTAAAGTAGGGAAAAATGAGAAATCCTACAGTAAAGGGCTGTGATAAGGCTTTAATGAGTTCATTTGTGAAGAATGTAGATCATATACAATGCATAACACATTTTAGCTATTATTGCCACATGGCACTAAAAAGTTTTTTCACGTTCCTTATGAACTTCAGAGGTGTTAGAAGTTGTAGCCAAGGCATCCAGCTAACAAGAGTCAGAGCTGAAATTCCAGCTCTTAAGCCCCTCCACACATCTTCTTTATACTGTGAAATACAATTGCTTATCTTGGCACAGACTCAGTTACTAAGGAATCAGACAAAAATGTTTGAAAATCCTTTTAGTGACTTGCTGGAGTCCACACTCAGTAGATACTTACCAAAAACAAAAGTGCAGGATTGTTCTGCAAAACGAGCTAGTTGTTTGACTTAGGTCAATGACAACCTGTTCAGACTTGACAAAGACCTATTTATTCTGGGAAGGAGTGTTATCTATTATGAAATCTTGTATTTGAAAAGCTGAGAAACAACCCTGTAATTCCTGCTTTATTTACTTGAAACAAACATATGTACCTGGAAACAACGAATGAGGCCAAGTCATAGATGTGAACATAGTTTAGCTTGAGGACAGACGAAAGGTCAAGAGAACCAAGTTCTGTTTCCAATCATCTAAGAAGGATGTCTCTGTGTATGTTTGGGTATGTCTGTGGTATGTGTGTGCAAGTGTGTGAGAGTGTATGTGTGTGGATGTGTGTGTGTGTGTTTGCAGATAAAAATTCAGGAAAGAAATACACTAAATGTTATCAAGGCTTACTTCTAAAAAGTAGGATACATGGTGGAAGACAAGGGATCGTAAATTGTACTAAATGGAGAATTACCAAAACACCCCACAATTTTCATATAAACAAAAACTGAAAGAATTTATTGCTAACAGGCCAGGCATGGTGGCTCACAACTGTAATTCCAGCTCTTAGGGAGGCAGAGGCAGGAGGATAGCTTGAGCCCAGGAGTTCGAAACCTGCCTGGACAATATAGCAAGACCCCGTTCTCCACAAAAAGGAAAAAATAAAGACAAGAAAAGAATTTGTTGCTAGTAGACTCCCCAACAATAAATACTAACAGAAGCTCTTTATTCCGAAGAGAAATGACACAAGATAGTAATTCAAATCTATAATAAGGAATGAAGAACCCCAGAAATGGTGAATAAGGGGGTATGTACACACACACACACACACACACACACACACACATGCACACACACACGTATGTATTTCTCTTAATTTGATACATGACTATTTAAAGCAAAAATTATAATACCATAGTGGGGGATTAACATATATAGATGTGATATTTATGATAAGAATAGCACAGAGGATGGATGGGGAGCATATGGAAGTATGACATTGTAGTATGTAGTATGATTTCCTATATTTTGCATAGAATGGTATGAAACTAATTCAATAGATCATGACAAGTTAAGGATGCATATGGTAATCCCCAGTCTGGTGAAAAACAGTACAAAGAGATATGATAACAAGCCAATAGAGGAATTAAAACAAAATATTAAAAAATATTTACTAACCCAAAGGAAGGCAGGAAAGGAGGAAAAGAGGAATAAAAAGCACATGAGACATGTAGGATAACAAAACAGGAACTCTAAATCCAACTATATCAATAATGATGATGGATGTAAACATAAAAATCTAATCACTCCAATTACAAGGCAGAGGTCACAGTGTATAAAAAGGCAAGACCCAACTATATGCTGCCTACAACAAATATACTTTAAATACAAAGACAGAAGAATAGAAAACAAAAAAAATATGTTCTGCAAACACTAAGCATGAGAAAACTGGAATGGCTGTGACAATATCGCACAAGATAGACTTTAAGAGTATTTCTAGAGGTAAGGAGGGAAGGAGAGACATTTCATAATTATAAAAGAGCTAATATATCTGAAAGACATAAAAACCATGAATATGTATGTGCTTAATGACAGAGGTCCACAATACACGACACAAACAAATGACATGTACATCCTGCCCAAGGGCAGTTTATTCCAAGGATGTACAGTTGTTTTAACATTTGAAAACAAATCATTGTAATTTACCATATTAACAAATAAAGAAGAAAAACCATATCATTCTCTCAATACATGGACCAAATAAGCATTTGAAAACTCAATAATCATTCACGATAAAAACTCTCCTAAAAAATAGAAATAGAAGAGAATTCCCTCAATCTGATAAAAGACATCTGTGGAAAACCTATAGCTTACATCATACTTAAAGATGAAACTTGAACTCTTTTCCTAATATTGGGAAAACACACAGATGTCTGCTCTCACCATTTCTATTTGACATTGTAGTGGAGGTCCCAGTCATTATAATATGACAAGAAAAAAAGTATAAAGATTGAAACAGAAAAAAGTAAAAGCATCCCTATTCACAGATGATAGGATTATATTTCTATATAGAAATCTATTCCTATTCTTAATTATATATGGTAAATTCCATTCATTATAGGGTTAAAAAAATGTTAAATGCCTAAGGCCTTTACACTCAAAACGACTGCATTGTTGAGAGAAATTAAAGATGACCTAAAAAACATAAGTTATAACATATTCAGGAATTGGAAAAGTCAATATTGGTAAGATAATAGTTCTCTCCAAATTAGCTCATATATCCAGTGTAATCCCTATCATAATCCCAGCAGAAATTGAAAGGTGATTCTAAAATTTATGGAACAATGAAAAGGACCTAAAATAGCCAAAACAACCTTGAAAAAGAACAACGTTGGAACATCGCATGACTTGATCTTAAAGGCTGACTAATAAGCTATGGTAATCAGGACCATGTGGGATTGGCATAAGAACTTACCTATTTTTTAAATCTTTGCTCAAAGAACCAATTTTACTACTCCATTGCTAATAAAACATGGGCCTTTTAAAGGTCCTGAATGGGGTCTATTTTATGCTGTTATTATTATGTTATTATTATGATGCATTTGTTGTTGTTGTTGTTGTTGTTGAGACAGAGTTTTGCTCTTGTCGCCCAGGCTGGAGGGCAATGGCGCAATCTCTGCTCACTGCAACCTCTGCCTCCCGGGTTCAAGCAATTCTCCTGCCTCAGCCTCCTGAGTAGCTGGGATTACAGGCGCCCGCCACCATGCCCAGGCTAATTTATTTATATATATATATGTATATATATGTATGTGTGTGTGTGTGTGTGTATATATATGTGTATATACATATATGTGTATGTGTGTGTGTGTGTGTATATATATATATATATATTTTTTTTTTTTTGAGACGGAGTCTCGCTCTGTCACCCAGGATGGAGTGCAGTGGCGCCATCTCCGCTAACTGCAAGCTCTGCCTCCCAGGTTCACGCCATTCTCCTGCCTCAGCCTCCCGAGTAGCTGGGACTACAGGTGCCCACCACCACGCCTGGCTAATTTTTTGTATTTTTAGTATAGATGGGGTTTCACCGTGTTAGCCAGGATGGTCTCGATCTCCTGACCTCGTGATCTGCCCGCCTCAGGCTCCCAAAGTGCTGGGATTACAGGCGTGAGCCACCGCGCCCAGCCTAATTTTTCTATTTTTAGTAGAGATGGGTTTCAACATGTTGGCCAGGCTGGTCTCGAATTCCTGACCTCAGATAATCCACCCGCCACGGCCTCCCAAAGTGCTGGGATTACAGGCGTGAGCTACCGCACCCGGCCTTTATGATGCATTTTTATTATTCCTTCAGTAGATTGTGTGTTTCTCCTTGCATCCAGGCACTTGGTGTTATCTAAGTGTTTATGTCTTCCATGTCTGCACTATGCTATATCTGTAGTTTGTTTTAAATAGTATCTGTTAAAACAGCGACCATTATCCATTGTAGACAACCAGTCACAGTCCTCATGGTGCTGATGAAACACAAAAGCCACAAAGCTTCTTTTCCTCAAATAACCTACCCGAGGTGGAGGGCTGGCTGGTTTTTGATGACACCCATTTTGGTGAAGACTCAGGATGTGGGGCCACAGGTTGCACTGGACGAGTCTGTTTGGCTGCCAGTTTCATCAGACTCACTTGCCTCTTGTGAAATATTTCCTGGACATCATCCAGCCTCTGCAAAACTTTCTGGGCTTTGGCCTACAGTAACAAAAGCAAATCATGATGAACAGGTCTCTCTGTATACAGCCTGAGGACACGAAGCATTCCCTTTCTCCCACCTTCCCCTACTCCCCCCATCCCTACCTCCCTCAGGTGACCCCCTCTGGGCATCACTATGCAAGTCGCTGCAGGTCCTGCCATGCTCCAGAATTGGGTATCTAAGGATTAGCCTCTCCTACTTGAGACCCTTGAGGACAATGACTACATCCTTTCACTATGGCGTCTCCAGTGCCTGGAACACCCTGGCACAGGAGTTTGAGACCAGCCTGGTCAACATGGTGAAATCACATCTCTACTAAAAATACAAAAATTAGCCGGGTGTGGTGGCTGGCACCTGTCATCCCAGCTACTTGAGAAGCTGAGGCAGGAGAATCGCTTGAACCCAGGAGGCAGAGGTTGCACTGAGCCGAGATCATGCCACTGCACTCCAGCCTGGGCGACAGAGCGACTCCATCTCAGAAATAAACAAACAAACAAACAATTAGAATACAATGTGGCTTGTGTCATGTTAGACAGAGCAAAGAATTTTGGCCTGAGTCCATGGATGGACTTCAGGGCATTCCCCAGAATTACACAAACAGTTAGACAGGCTGGATATAATCTGTTTGTTCCTCCACTGCATCTTCTCTTCCTTTCTTTGTGCCCAGGAAGCTGATTAAAAGAAGCTCCTAAACCAGAGGTGCAGACAAGGTGATGATGTGGCTCTCAGAGGAAGGTGTGCTACCTACAACCCTGCTGGCTTCATGGAAGAATATGCTTCTCAAATGCAAATCCAATCAAGTTATCTCCCTGCTTAAATCCAAACTCGCTCATGTGGCCCACAAAGCCTACCTTGCCTGCCTCTCTCTAACCTCACCCAAAACACACTTCCATTGCTCTCTAGGTTCCAGCACCCTGACCTTTTGGTCTGCACTGTGCCAGGCTCCCTCCAGCCCTGAAGCCTTTGCACATGCTGTTCCTCCTGTCTGGAAAGGCTCTCCCATCTTGTCTATTCGTTCTCCAGGCTCAAGTGACTCTTCCTGAGAGCCTTCTCTGACCCCAGTCCAGGTCAAGTTCCTCTGTCACATGCCTGACCCTGCATCCCTCCTTGACAGCACTTATATCAGCTTGTAACACATTTTTGTGTGATTATTTTGTTAATGTCAGCCTCTCCCACAAACTGTAAGCTCAGTGAGGGATGGAAGCATGCCTATTTTTAATCATCATGGTATCCTCAGCACTCAGCACAGCACATGGTACATCAGGAATGCTCATAAGCATTAATAGAGAAATGACTGATTTGAGTCAGACGAAGACTCAGTATGCCAGGACGTTCAGGCCGAGAGTCTAAGAGGCCGCCGGAGGGCTTCGGAACCAGTGAGCCCACTCAATTCAGCCTGCTCAGTACCCTGTGTGTACTTTATCAGGAAGAAGGTACAGTCCCTCCCTCCCCTATCCGTTTCCCAACCACAGGATCAAAATAACCCGGAAGCATTACCTTTGCATCGAGGGTGAGCAGCAACTCAAACTCGTTGTAAAACTCCTTGGGGCTGAGCAACGGGTACTCCTTGACTGTGCCCAGGAATGTCGCAATGTCGTTCAAGGCGATATCAACCCCTTCTCGAGACTGGCACTTGTCTACAGCTTGGGAAGCCAAGAGGTAGATTCCTGCCTCACACCATTGGCTGACCTTTTGGAAAGAAACAGTGCCCTGTGCACTTCGCCTGACCACAACTCAGAGCCACCGTAATCCTCAGCAGGTCTGAGCTTGTAAGGTGTCTACAAGGATTCCCAGACAATGGGAAATTGTCATGGGACGGCATCGAGTTTAAGGGGTCTAACCACTGTAAATTACACTATGAGGGGGACAAACCCAAACCAGCTGATACCTGTCCACTTCTCAGGGAAGTCACTCGGTCAGCAAAATGAGTCTCTTCCATTAACAGTAATTGCTACATCTCCAGGAGGAGACAGCTAAATATATATTTAATTAAAGACAGGGTTTCACTCTGTCACCCAGGCTGGAGTACAGTAGTGCAATTATGGCTTAATGCAGCCTGGAGAGGTCTACCCCAGGCTCAGGTGATTCTTCCACCTTAGCCTCCTGAGTAGCTGGGACTACAGATGCATGCCACCACACCAGGCTAATTTTTCCTTCCTTCCTCCCTTCCTTCCTTCCTTCCTTCCTTCCTCTTTCTTTCTCTCTGTCTCTCTTTCTTTCTTTCCTTTTTTTGAGACAGGTTTTGGCCATGTTGCCGAGGCTGCTCTCGAACTCCTGGGCTCAAGCAATCCTCCCACCTCGGCCTCCCAAAGTGCTGGGATTACAGGTGTGAGGCACTGCACCCACCCAGCCTTATAGCTAAATATCTCTTAGGCTGGTCTAACCATAGAGAAATGTAATCAATGGCTTTTGGGGTTTACCTGCTAGTCCACTCTTCTTGCATCCGAATTGGTTACCAGAACACAGGGTGATTAATAAGACATTAGACCTGGCCCTTACATTTCCTGGGAGAAGGGCATGTCCCTTTTAACAAAAACACAACTTTCATCTTTGGATTCCCAGGTGATCCCTATTTGCATTTACTGGCGTTTGTCTTTCGTAAGGAAGCAAGAATGCAAAGCTTTGTAACTCAGCACAGCGATACTCAAGAGTTTCTGGATGCTGGGAGGACATTAGATAGGTGATGAGTTCTAATTATTCAATTTTTAAAAAAGACTCATTTTCTTTGCTCTTTTGAACTCCACTGAGACACTTGAACAGAAAGACAGGGAGCCCTTATGCTACCTGAAGAGTTATATGAAAAGAAGTTTCCAGTGCCAATACCTCTGCATTTCCATTTACCATGTGACCTGAAAAGCAATATAAAGTAACTATACAGAGAAAAAAGATCAAAATGCAACACGCCAAAGTGGTTGTCTTTCTAAGTGGGAAAATGATAGGCAACTTAAGTTTTTGTCTTATTTTTTTCCTAGATTATTTACAGTGAATATGTACCACATTTAGAATAATAAAAAATCATAAAGATATTTCAGAATTAATAATTACCATTATGTAGGGATGGGGGATAGTGGGATATGTACGTGCCCATGAGTAACCTTTTTCTTCCTACATTTTTGGATTTCCACAATAATATGAACTCATGCTTTGATATATGCTGTGAAAACTTTCTCTTTACACATCATGCCCAGATCTGCAAAAAACATTAGGCTGGGATTTTCTGTAGAGTTACTATGGCTACTTGCTTTCTCTCTCTCTCTGTCTCCCTCTCTCTCTCTCAAACACACATGCACACACACACACACACACACACACACACCAGGCTTATAATCTCTGGAGCAAAAATGGAGTTGGGAAAACAGCAGCTGATCCCACAGCGAGCTCAGCACACAGAGCAGGCTGCACACCAGCCCCTTCGGAGCTACTTGCTTCTGAAACAACTATATTTCATTGACATTAAAATCCCTTTAGCAATGGGATGAGGTAAGCGCCTGGGTGGGTGCCCCCTGCCATGCAAGAGGAACAGCTGTGGGGATGGAGCATGCTGACTCATTGCCGTCAGCCACATGCTGCCTGGGACCAGCTCACAGGGAAGACTCCAGAAACCGCTGCTCCTGCTGACTGGGAACATACCCTAGAGGTCACCTCCAAAGGGCACCCCTCTCCTTGTGGGCCCCTGGCATGCGCCCTTGCTGTCTATCCTGTGAAGCCTTGGTGTGGAATCTGGCAGGCCTGACTTTAATTCTGGCTTCCCCTGTGTGCACCATGTGTGGTCTTGGGCAGTCATTTACCCCAGGGTTTCTTGGTGACATCCCTGCACCACCTGCACCAGAATCATTTAGACACTTTACTAAAATACTAGTTCCTGGGCAGTATTCCAGACCTATCGACGCTGAGTCTTCAGGGCAGTGCATAAGGGAATCTGCCATATAACAGCTCACTAGGTGATTCTCGTGTGCTACATTTTGAGACCCAGCAGAGTATCAGTTTCTGCCTCTGCACAATGAGGCCATTAATACCTTCCTCAGAGGTTGTCTTGAGGATTATAAATAGATGACATAATTATGTTCCTGGTAGGAATGCAGTAGGTGCTCGATACATGGTAGGGGGTATAAAATGGTTGTTATTACTTAAGCTTCTCCAAAAAGAGTCAAAACCCTTTGCCTTTATATGAGGGAAGCACTCTGCAAATATAGTGCTTGGTTCTCTGTACACCTGAAAGGGAATCAAGAAGTGTTCCCACAGGGCCAAGCCAAAACACACTCTTAAAGTCCGGCTCCACACAGATAGAAATGGGCTTCAGTTAACTTTAATGGGATGTGGTGGGATGGCCAGAGCACTTTTTACCTTCGTGCCAGGTATACTTCTACACCCCAGGATCTGCACAGTTTTTAATGCCTCTCGAACATCTTTTCACATAAAGCACTCAAGCCTCTCAGCAATCACACAAGGAAGGGAGGACGAGTATGATGGAAGCTTCTTCACAGAAAATCTTGCAGACATCATGTTCTTGGCTGTGTTTTGCTCACCTTGTCCAGCTGTCTATGAAACTCTAAGGACTTTCCTAAAATGTCCCATTTTTTCTTGTTTCCATTGATGAAATCGTCACAGAGGTGCCTGAGCTCCACACACCGGGGCCTGATGGCATCTGCTGCATAATGGTGGCTTTGGATGAGCTGGTCCCCAACCAGTGCCAGCAGCTGGGCCTTTTCCAGGGGCTCCTGCAAAGTGAACACCCACAGCCAGGCGTCAGAAGTCAGAGCATCATGAGGCTGAGAGCTGCCTGGTACTGTGTGCTCCAAGCCTGGAGGGAGGCTGTGGAGATGCTAACCCAGGATGAAGGCTGGAGAACCTGAGAAAGCTCGGAATGGTTCCAGGCCCAGGAAGTTAAGCCTGGCCCAGAGTTGTCCACATGCTGAACAACAGCAGTCATTCATTCAAATACCTGTTGAGTTCTGGGCTAGACATCGAGGATATAGTGTTAACAAGCCCAAAATTTTCAGATTAATGGAGAATTCAGATATCAACTAAATTACACAAATCGTTAAATTATTACAATTGCAATAAACTCTAGGGCAGAAAAGCATGGAGTGCACATAATAAGAGATTTTGAATACCCCTATTAACTAAAGGAACAAGAAGAGGGACTGACACCTGTCCTTGAGGAGAGTGGGGGGTGAGCTGAAGTTGAAACACTGGTGAAAATTGGATTTGGACAACTCAAAGGTGGTCATGACACTTAAGAAATATGCTTGTCTAGGCTGGGCGTGGTGGCTCCCACCTGTAATGCCAGCACTTTGGGAGGCCGAGGTGGGCGGATCACCTGAGGTCAGGAGTTCAAGACGCGCCTGACCAACGTGGAAAAACCCCGTCTCTACTAAATACAAAAATTAGATGGGCGTGGTGGTAGGTGTCTGTAATCCCAACTACTCAGGAGGCTGAGGCAGGAGAATCGCTTGAACCCGGGAGGCGGAGATTGCAGTGAATTGAGATTGCGCCACTGCACTCCAGCCTGGGTGACAGAGCAAGACTCCATCTCAAAAAAAAAAAAAAAAAAAAAAAGAAATATGCTTGTCTAAACCCTTTCCCAAAGCCTGTAAGGGCCCTGTCTACACTGACCCTGTCTGCTCAATCACATTTCCTACCTCTTTCTGCATGACACTTCGCTCTAACCACACGTGCCAAGTTTTCCTGTTTGTTTAAGCATTCCTTCATTCATCCTTCTCATATTATTGAGAACCTGCTATTTGCCAAACACTGTCATAGGTGCTGGGAGTTCATTGGTAAAGAAAGCAGGCAAAAACCCCCACCTCATGAAATGAAGCTTACATTTTAATGGGAGACAGAGGCAATAAACAAGTGCATGTGTAGGTCATATGGTATCTTAGACAGTGATGAGTATGTGGAGAAAAATTAGATGGTGGGGAGGGCAGGGAGTGCTGGAGCTAGTATTTTAAATCGGATGGTGAGACAGTCTCCCTGAGAAGGAGTACTCAAGCTATGCAGAAAAGACTTCACATAGAAAGCCTGAGACTAGGCCGGGCTGTGGTGGCTCACGCCTGTAATCCTAGCACTTTGGGAGGCCGAGGCAGGCGGATTGCCTGAGTTCAGGAGTTGGAGACCAGCCTCGGCAACACAGGGAAACCCCATCTCTACTAAAACAAAAAAAATTAGCCAGGCATGGCAGCATGCGCCGATAGTCCCAGCTACTCTGGAAGCTGAGGCAGGAGAATTGCTTGAACCTGGGAAGAGGAGGTTGCAGTGAGCCAAGATCGTGCCACTGCACTCCAGCCTGGGTGAGAGCTAGGCTCTGTCTCCAAAAAAAAAAAAAAAAGAGAAAAGAAAGCCTGACACTACAGCCTTAGAAAGAAAGACCCGATTTTAAGATTGGCCCTTTGTTGGCATCTAGGAACTTAGATTTTTGGGAAGGTTTCCTCCATTCCCTGATGTGAATGGTTCATGATCCCTGAACTGTTTGTGCAAACAGTATGGTTTATGGTGATTACTTGCTTTTTCTTCTGGGAGTCTGAAATCTTGGTACTTGCCAGACAGAAGCTGCTGACATGACCAGCCACCAATAAAACCTCTGGGCATTGAGTCTCTAATGAGCTCCCCTGGTAGACAACATTTCACACATGTTGTCACAACCCACAGACGGGGGCAGGAAGTATGTCCTGTGAGACTCCCACAGGAGAGGATTCTAAGAAGCTTGTGCCTGGTTTCCTCCAGACTTCACCTCGCATGCCTTTCTCCTTTGCTAATTTTGCTTAGTACTTTCTCATCTTAATAGATCATAACTCTAATACAGCTACATGCAGAATCCTCCTAGTGAATCTTCGAAGAAATGTGTGCATGGTCTTGGGAGCGCTCTGCATACAAGCTGAGACCTGAAGTCAGGGACAAGCCGTGCAGTACTTGGCTGGGAGGTGAAGGCGTGTTTGACAAGTTTGGGTAGCAGGAAGGAGGCCAGTGTGGCTGCAGCAGAGGGAGCAAGAAGGAAATGAGTGGAAGACTAACTAGAGGAAAGAGGGGGTTCCATAGCCGGGGTGAGAGGAAAGCCCCTGGGTTTGGAGGGAGGATCTCGATCATGTTTTTGAAAGGACCACTCCCGGTACAGTGTCCAGAATAAGAGGAAATGCAGGGAGACTCATTAAGGGGCTGCTGCAGGAATCCAGCCGAGAGATACGGCTTACGGCTGGTCACCAAACTAGCTCCTGACTCGACCCTTCTCTGGATTGTTCTTCCCTGGGTCATGCAGAGCTGAGTTCCTGGGTCACCTCCTCACAGCGCTTCCCTGGCGACTATATCTTAAGTCATTCTCTACAACCTATTCGCCCAGTCACCTAGGCCCTCTCCCACACTTTAATTCTTTAACAGCATTATCTCTATCTAAAAACTATTTTCTTTATTTACTTTAATGTAGAATTCCTCCCTCCTGGCTGGGCGCGGTGGCTCACACCAGTAATCCCAGCACTTTGGGAGGCCGAGACGGGCAGATCATGAGGTCAGGAGATCGAGACCATCCTGGCTAACACGGTGAAACCCCATCTCTACTAAAAAGACAAAAAATTAGCCAGGCATGGTGGCACACACCTGTAGTCCCAGCTACTCGGGAGGCTGAGGCAGGAGAATAGCTTGAACCTGGGAGGCGGAGGTTGCAGTAAGCTGAGATTGTGCCACTGCACTCCAGCCTGGGCAACAGAATGAGACTCTGTCTCCAAAAAAAAAAAAGAATTCCTCCCTCCTCCACTCACTCCCACCAAAATGTAAGTTCCATGAGAGCATTTAGTAGGCATGCAATAAATATTTGATCAACAAAATAAATGAATGAGCCAATGAGCTACATGATGCGGTGACCTGCTTGGCTGGAACTCTGTGAAGCAATCAGCACAGATGACTGCCACATTCCAAAAGGTCTCCAGGAGCAGAGAGCCCATGAGCCCCCTTGCCAGCCACACTAAGCATCCAGTGCATCACTGCACTGCTTTAGCTGTTTACAGTAACACAAGGAGTCACGGTAACTCCAGGTGCGTACATCTTGCCCCTCTCTTAACTTGCACTGGTTTATGGTTTCAACAATTTCCAAACCCCTTTCCTCTTACCCTCCCAGTCATTCACGAAGCCCCGCAGGGACCGTCGCCTTCTTAATGCCTTTCAAATTCTGACCCCATCTCTGCCACCTCCTTGTCACTGTCTGCTCAGGCCTCATGGCTTCTCATGGGGACAACTGGTCTCCCTGCTTTTCTTCAGGCTCTCCTTCAAATCATGCTCCAGACTGCTGACAAAGGAGCAATTCCAACATATCTTATTGTGTCTACATCACTCCCAAGCTTCAAGCCCTTTCCTGGGCGCCCAGGGTCTTCAGGAGCAAGCTTAAACTCTTGAGCAATGCACACGGGGAATTTCATTATCTAGCTCATACCTGGGTGTGCCTGACTTACCAAGTCCTCTTCCACTTCCTCAACTCCATTCTCTGCTGCAACCATACTAATTATCCACTTATTGTTCCCCAAATATTCAGGCAGCTTCAGGCCTCCATCCCTTCTCCACCTGCTGTCTGCCTAGAAAGCCCATCCTTCCCTACTCCCCCTCACCCATACTCCTCTGGGGCCAACTCGATCTAAATCATATTTCAGACTTCACCTTCTCCAGAAAACTTTCTCTGTGCTTCTCTTGATCAGAGCACCTGCTTCATTATGTTGTGACCACTTATCTGCTGCCTGCGCTATGCCACAGACACCTATGGTCCAGAACCAGCTCTTATTCAACTGAAAACAGTGCATGCTGCATCTTAGGTACTTACAAATAAATGCTGCACAAAACAAAGAGGAGTACTGGTATAGAAACAAGTGACACAAATCAAGTAGTGGCTAGTTAAAAGGACTGAGGCAAAAATACCCAGAACACTTGTTCTAAACAGCAAAGGCCCAGGTGCACTGGTTACCACCCCTACAAGATGACTGGAATACTCATTCCCTGGGCAGTGATTTTTTTTTTTTTTTTTTTTTTGAGATGGAATCTTGCTCTGTAGCTAGGCTGGAGTGCAGTGGCTTGATCTAGGCTCACTGAAAATTCTGCCTCCGGGGTTCAAGCGATTCTCCTCCCTCAGCCTCCCGAGTAGCTGGGACTATAGGCGCCCACCACTATGCCTGGCTAATTTTTTTTTTTTTTAATTTTTAGCAGAGATGGGGTTTCACCATGTTGCCCAGGCTGGTCTCGAACTCCTGAGCTCAGGCAATTCACCCGCCTCGGCCTCCCAAAGTGCTAGGATTACAGGCGTGAGCCACCGCGCCTGGTCTGGGCAGTGATTTTTGACTCTTTGGTTCACTGCTGTGTCCTCAGAACTTAAACAGTACCTGGCATGGTAGGAGATGAATAAATATTTGCAGAATAGATGTCGAATGAATGACAGACCTTTCCTAGCACTGCTCAGCTACCGCAGACTGAACCTAGCACATGTTCCATAGCCCAGAATTTATCCCTCTACCTCTGTAATGTTAATAACAACAGCTAACATCTACTGAGAGCTTAACAGATGCCAGGCACTGTTCTGAATGCTTTACATTTGCTTATTTCCTTAACTCTTCACAACAAACCCTTTGATACAGGTACTGTTTTACCAAAGGGAAGTGGAGCACAATGGCCCAAGGTGACCCAGGTAGGAAAGAGAAGAGCCAGGCTTCAAACCCAGGCAGTCTTGCTCCAGGATCTGGCTCAGACCAACATACACAGAGAAAAATGGCTGCACTTGTTCTGCCTAAACTTAGAGACCTCATTTGGTTGCTCGAACTTGTCTGACTTTAGTCAAATATAGAAACATGAGACTTGGCATGAAAGTCTCTGTTGACACTTTTTTTTTTTTTAAGTCCAGCTGCCTAATTTATTAAGAACAGGGCAGAATTTTCTGGGTCCAGGGAAATTCACCACAGGATACTTCCAAATCACCCTGTGGTGATCAGAGCCTGCCCTTCCCTCAGCATACAGTATTTCACCCTTCAGAATTTTCCAGAAGACATTTGAGATGTTAGAGGGAAGATGTGTGTAACAGGTCCAAATGGGTCTAGGGAGAAACGCCCATAAAGGCAACTGAGGAGGCCGGGCGCAGTGGGTCACGCCTGTAATCCCAGCACTTTGGGAAGCCAAGGCCGGCGGATCACAAGGTCAGGAGTTAGAGACCAGCCTGACCAACATGGTGAAACCCCATCTCTACTAAAAATACAAAAATTAGCCGGGTGTGGTGGAGGGTACCTGTAGTCCCAGCTACTTGGGAGGCTGAGACAGAAGAATCGCTTGAACCCAGGAGGCGGAGGTTGCAGTGAGCTGAGATTGTGCCACTGCACTCCAGCCTGGGCGGCAAGAGTGAAACTCCGTCTCAAAAAAAAGGGCAACTAAGGAGCAACCCGGATTCAGCCACCACATGGCTGGAAGGTCACTATTACAGAATTGAAAGGACAACAATAGTTTCTGACCACTGACTACTGACCACCAACCATATTGCAAGCTGACCACATGAAGTCCCTACCACACATCTAACTCATTTAATCTTCACAAGGTCTCTGTGAGGCAGGAATTATTACCTCTGCTTTACAGATGAGGGGGACCATATTCAGAAAGGCTACGAAACGTGACTAGGGTCATACAGCTGGTACTTGTTAGAGCCAAGATTTGAATCCATCCCTATCCGACTTCCAAAGCCTGTGTTCTTGTCACCTTCCAGCCCACCTGGCCTCTACACATGTGCTATGAAATCCTCCTGGTGCCTGCAAAGAAATTTATGGTGAAACCTCCAAATTGAAGCTTATTTTTTTAGTTTATATACCTCCCACTCAGGATAAATAGTCATCAAAATCTCCAAAGTAAAAAAGAAAGAGTGAGGGAAAAAATGGCTAAAATCTTCTGATCACAAGCCCATCTGGGATCTTTCAGATGCTGAAAATTCCAGAAGGCTGGATCGTCAAGTTTCAGCTTAGAAGTTGCAATCAGAAATCTTTATTGAAATAAGTTTATTTCCCCCCGAGGACTCTGCTGGTATAACAGATGAGAGATGAGAGTGCCTACTAGGGAAGAAAGTGGCGAGAAAGCGAGTGATGCTACTCTATCCGGGAATCTAGAACAAACCCACAGAGGATCCACAGGGATGGAGTGTGTGTATGGGGAGGTGGGCCAGATGAAACAAGAAAGGCAGAAAGCTAATGGTTGTTGAAATTGAATGATGGACACTTGGAGTTCATTGTGCCAGTCTATCTGCTTCTCTGTGTGTTTGAAAATTTCACACATGTACACAAAGCCATGACCCTCCAACAAGATGACATCCTTAGATGTTAATGGCCTGGGTTCCATGCCTTCTTAGACACAGCACCCTTATGGGGAGAGGTCAAGGCTGAAATCAGGTGGTTCCTCCACCCTGTCCTGGTCTGTTCCCTGCTGGCCCCTCAGCAAGGGTCTCAGTACGGCCCACAGTCAAAACCCTGCAGCAAGTTCTGCTTTTATAGAAGACCTTCTGTAAGTGGTTGAAACTACTGTTTTTCAGAATCAGGAAGGAGCATTCAAAAGACTGCTAAACCCTCAAACGAGAACAAGATAAAGAACAGGCTGAATCAGCATGCGACAGGAGCCTGGTTAGTGAGTTGACTGAGGTTACTTGTGAGAATGATGTCACTGTGTGGAATAAGGAAGCTGGCAACACCCCAGAGCCAGCGTGTGGCTGTGCTGGGAGGGAGCTGGCCCCTTAGTGCCGAGTAAAGGACAAACTCCAGGCAGATATTTGTCAGATTGTGGCCAGACACAGTCTTGTTCCTTTAACACTTTAAAGGACAAATGGAAAGATTAGCCAAGCCCTAATCATCTGAAGAAGCCATGTGTCTGAGAAGTCTGAGGGAAGATATATTGAAAACGATCTCAGTTACGATGAGACAGCTTTGTTTGATTTACGCAAAGGCAGAGACACAGGTGTACTACATCCTTCAGGAAGCAAGTTTAGAAATAAGATCTGCAAGTCATAGGATGTGACAGGTCTGCAAATCCTGCAAGTCACAGGTCATCCACAGTGGGCTAGTCTAGCTGCTTCAAGAATGTTGCCCACGAAAGGTGGGTCATGGGTTCACAGAGCATTCCTGTGTTCCATAACCACAGGTTTCATCCCTAACTCTGGTCAGCAACTTTTGAAGTATATACCAAGGACCACAAGTTCAAGGAAGTGGGCAGAAGAAAGAATGTGATGCAGTCATGCAGATCCATCGCCACTATTCAAGACACAGCCCAGAGCGCCTTCCAAGGGCTTTCTGTTCCACTGAGAATAAAATTCAAATCCTCACAAAAGATCTCAGGGTGCAACAGGACTACCTGGCCTCTGCTCATCTCTGTTCACTCATTTCCTCCTGGCCCACCTGCTCTAGCAATGTTCCTTGAACTCACCAAGCTCATTTCCACTTTAGGACCTTTGCACCTGCAGCTCGCTCTTGCTTTGATACTATTCCCTAAGTCTTTGCATGATTACACAGATCAAACAGATCTCAGACCAAAGGTCGTCTTCTCAGGCCTTTCCAGACCATTCTAGCTAAAGTAGCATCCCCAGTCACTTTCTATTATATCTTGTTTTCTTTTTTATATCACTTGTTACTATCTGATGTTATTATTTATTTGATTGCTTTTTAGTGAACTGTCTCTCTCCAGTAGAATGTAAGCTCCATGAGGGCAGATTCTGGACTGTCTGGCTCACCGCTGCACCCACGGAACCTAGGATAAGGAATACCTCTTGATGAATAAATAACCCTCTGGATAGGTCAGTAGCTACTTTCATATATATATGAAGGCATTTTTTTTGATGAGGCACTTTTTCTTAATATATGAATAAGCAAAAAAATATAGTATCTATATTCAGTAAAAAATTATTTTGAAAAAACTAAAATGATATAAGGTTGGGGCTGTCCTGGAGAATCTAAGGTATCTAGTCATCATATATATGAAATTCAACTTTTCCATTGTTTGATAAATGTTCCTGATGACTCATGTGTCTTTAGCACTAGTTTATCTGTCAAATGGTCACTGGTAAGAGAAAGAGCGCTCGCTGTGAAGGGATGGGATTCCTGAATGGGGATCTGGATACACAGCTGGGTTTGTGTGTTCATGCATGTGCACAAGCACCTGCAGCTCAGAATCTACAACCAACAGCTCTTAGAGTCAGTGTGGCCTTGGTATACTTTGTTTTGTATCCTTTAGGGGTGTGTGTCTCCAACTTTAACGTACAAGTCAATCACCTGGGGATCTTCTTAAAATGCAGATTCCAATTCCAGGGTGGGGTCTGAGATTTTATATTTCTAATTAGCGCTTACTCAGGTGACATCTGTGCTGCTGGCCAGAGGCTCACACTTTGGCAAATCTCTAGTACTGCAAAATTGCCGTCTGAGAAACATGCCTCCAGATTAGCTAAGAAAGGAAGCGCTAACCACAGGGGACTTGGTCCCCAAGACCCAAAAATATAGAGAACCTAATTTCAAACAAGCAGAAAGGAACTTCTCTGGAAAGAGACGACTCAGCTTTCTTCATTTGTAATAAACCAAATCTGTAAACACTTAAAATGGAATCATTTCTAAATGCTGACTTGTGTGCGGATCTGGGACACTGTTTAATTCCAGTATGGGACTGTAAAATACATATTCTTTTACAAGTTTCACATTTACAACTCTTGGGACATGAGAAAGGAGAAAGCTTTGCCAATTCTGTGTAGCAATGGAACTAACATGGACCAATTTCCCCCATCTAATTGTCTTGCTCCAGGTATAAAACTAGTTGTTTTTTTTTTTCTGGTTTCTCCTTTGAAAGTTTCCCATCCTTACTACCAACCCCACAACCCCCAGCCCCCTAGTCCAGGCTCCAGGGAGGAGCTCAAGCTGATGGGTGAGCCTCTGATATAATTGTTCTGGTGAGTGATGAGCCTGTTGTGACCTTCTCCCACTTGGCTGCTGACCACGTGAGAGGGCAGGGCTGGTCCAGAGTCCTCACCCGACCTGAGCGTCCAACTGCAACTGTATGTTCCGGCAGCTTTAATAGGACTCTGTGCTGCCCGTATTATTCATAGCAGTTGTTAATGTGCCTCTCTCCTTGGGATCCTGGGGTGACTGAAGGGCAGGACTGGGCATTCCTGTGTCCTTTAGCAACCTTCCAATAGCAATGACTGGACATGATCCATCATTGTCCACAGCAACCTCCCTCCCAGTACACAAAAATGTCAGAAAGCAAACCTGGCTTTTTTCCTCCAGTTTTTTGTGTTCCTTAAGAATCTGCTCCACGTGCATCACGCTGTCTCCAATGCCTGTAAACTCTGCTTGCTCTTCCAGCAAATTATCCAGGGCAAGCTTAGCCTACAAGAAACATTAGAACAGTCCAGAAGTAAACCAACACTCACTCACCTGAAGGTATAGGTTTGTTATGCTTCAAGAAAACTCAAAATTCCAAAAAGGATTCAAGACTTGTATATATCTATATATGTTAAAAATTTTTTTTTTGCAGCTCACTAACTTTCAAATTAAGCTGGGGGTGCAGAATTCACCTGTAGCTGAACTATTAGAACTATATTCAACAGATAATCAATCAAAAAGGAAGACAGCTGGGTCCAGTGGCTCATGCCTATAATCACAGCACTTTGGGAGGCTGAGGCAGGAGGATTGTTTGTGCTTGGAAGTTCGAGGCCAGCCTGGGCAACATAGGGAGACCTCGTCTCTGCAAAAATATTTAAAAATTATCTGGGCCGGGCGCAGTGGCTCACGCCTGTAATCCCAGCACTTTGGGAGACCGAGGCAGGTAGGTCACAGAGGTCAGGAGATTGAGACCATCCTGGCTAACACAGTGAAACCCCATCTCTACCAAAAATACAAAAAATTAGCTGAGTGTGGTGGTGGGCACCTGTAGTCCCAGCTACTCAGGAGGCTGAGGCAGGAGAATCGCTTGAACCTGGGAGGCGGAGGTTGCAGTGAGCTGAGATCGCGCCATTGCACTCCAGCCTGGGCAACAGAGTGAGACTCCAACTCAAAAAAAAAATTACCGGGTGTGATGGTGGGGCATGCCTGTAATTCCAGCTACTTGGGAGGCTGAGGTGGGAGGATAGCTTGAGCCCAGAAGATCAAAGCTGCAGTGAGCCATGATCACACCACTGCACTCCGGCCGGAGTGACAGAGCAAGACCCTGTTTCAAAAAAAAAAGGAAGATAAACCATCACTGAAATGCCATGTACATCAACAGGTAAATGGGATTCTAGAACAGTTTGACTCCACTGAAAAAGTGAGAAGGGGGTTGGAGGGGGTGGTCTGTAAAGAAGCAAGGAGATAAGGAGAAAGCTGGATTAGGGAAAAGAGGGAAACCCCATACCAAAGAGTGAGGAGGGAGAGAAAACCAGAGGTCCCGGTACCAGAAAAGAAAGTTACAGTAAACAAGAAAAGAATACCTTACAAAAATCGTGCTCAAAATGCTGTAGTTGTAGGCACTGGTTAAGCTTCAGATGATGCTCAGACCAAAAGTGACTAAAGGCTTTTTCTGTTTCATCCAGTTGAACTAATAACCTTTCAAGAAAGAATGAGAAAGTGATGTTAGGTTAGCATTCATTTCCACAGGCATCCATATAGGCCTATGGCTAGAACACCTGTGTCTTCGGTCAGTGGTGTCAATTGTGACCATCTCATTATTATGAAAGCATGTGTCACCTATGCCTTTCTTCTGGCTCAGCAGGCTTTGCACCTTTCATTTTCCAATCAGGACATCCACAGTGCAGGCAGTGACTTTGCTTCAGATGCAGCTGCTGTGCTTTAGAATGTGCTCCGGCTGATCTTACCTTCATGCCTTCTTTCTTTCTACCTGAGACTACACGAATATAAAGCACAGCTCCAAGCTAAACTGTTACTTGGAAATGAAGCCCAGTAAATACTACCCTCTCCCTCAAAATCCTAGGGTGGGAACATGTCATATACATTGAAGAGGGGGGAATAGAATGCTCATAAAAAGATCTCTGTATGTGGATGCCAGACGGACGTATTCTTTTTTCCTTTGTTGTCTCAAATATTCTTCTTCCTTGGCCCCACCAAGACCCAATATTGGCTGTTCCAATCTGTTCTTGGTTGCTCCAGAACATCTAGGTCTACATATTCTCTCCTGAAAAGGCTGATTCCACTTCACTCACTCACCTTTCCATGGTAGTTACATTCTCAAGTTGGTTGAGATTGAGTTTGCTGTTGGGACATTTGGTTGCTGGTTCTTGGATGCATGACAGCAATGTGGTCCCCTGCTTTCCAAGTAATTTCAGCTCATCCTAGAAAATAAAAGTAGTCTCTCTTAGAACGAATTAGAAAAAACAAATTCTTGGTAGAATTGAGGTGAAGAGAATAGTAGATCAGTACATTTTTCATTTAGGAAATTAAATGCTGATGAAGTCAAGATGCAGCTTTAATCAATTAACTTATCCTTGACAGGTAACACACCGACATGATACAAAATTCAAAATATCCGAAAGGGTATACATCAAAAAAAGTATATTTTTCCTCTTCAAAATCAACATCTGCTTTTTGTATATCTCAAGCTATTGTTGTAAATTAAAAGCAAAACTAGTTAATACAATCTAGTTTTAATCCAAGATAGTGACCAGAAACAAGAAAATGATAGATACTGAATGTTGAACGCTAGAAACTACTGAGCAATAATAATGTAATAACTGCTAGTTGATCATAAAAATACTTCAGTTGGTCTCATCAATAAACACCTGCCTCTCCCTCCACCTGCCAACCAACTATGGCCTTGTTTAATTATTTAAGTTTGGCAGATATGGGCAGCAATTTCATTTTAACATGGAAAGATTCATACTTCCAAGCCAACCCCCCATTCTACTCTTTTAACAGAGACTTAGTACTATGCAGCTGTGGAAGGCTACTTCCTTCCAAAGCCAACAGCTGTAGTCCTTTCCTTGGACAGTGCAGGTCATCATTCGTTGCCCTGAGCCTTACCCATAAAGAAAGTCCAGACTGCAAAACAAAAGTGGCAGAGCCTGACCTAGAATTTTGTGCTTGGGAATTATGGGTTTGGTTCCTGGGTCAGAGGAGGCTGGTTTGGTATGCCCTTGAGCATTAGAACAGGCCCATACTTCTAAAACAAATCAAGGGATCACCTCTGCACGCAAACACTGAATCACTTCCTCTAGGCCCAGCCACCTGTGTGGTCTTCACACAGCCTAGAGCTCATTCCCTGTGGGAAGAGTTTTAGACCTCCCCACTCTGATC
Source organism: Homo sapiens (assembly GCF_000001405.40). NCBI lineage: Eukaryota > Metazoa > Chordata > Mammalia > Primates > Hominidae > Homo > Homo sapiens. The sequence goes on from NC_000003.12 coordinate 183,312,734, forward strand.
ACACAGAAGTCCTGGACCCTCTCAAGCTGGTACCTTTGTTCCTTGTGTCCCATCCTACTCCAGAATTTCCCCTGGAAGGGTTACATTGCCATACCCATCCTCAAACCTGGCCCTGGATCTGGCTGATGATGGACTTGGCTTCCCTGAGCTGGCCCTTCAGGGTTCTTTGGACACCTCCTCTGGCTCTGTCCACTCCAAACAGTGCCCCACATTAGCCACATGGCTGGCACTTTTGCCTGGGAATCAGGCATATCTCTTCTTTTCCATTCTCATGTGTCAGCCCTCATTTCTTATCTCATCAATGCTCATGAAATATTTGTAGGTTGGATAAATTAATAACAGCCTAAAAGAAGTCAGGTTGCAGATGAATAAAGACAAATTAGATATGATGGAAAAATGTACTCTTGGGTCAGTATCTTAGCCATTTCCTCATCCCACCTACTAAAGAGGGTCTTGGCTTTTCCCACTCATTTTCTTAACTGCTGCTGAGCTTCCAGCAACACACACACACACACACACACACATATCCATATGTGAGGAAGAGTTGGGAAGAAAGGTGGAGAGGCTAAAGGAGAAACGCCATATTGGTATAGCAGAAGGAGACACTGGAGGGGGAAGCTGGGAAGAGGGATACATCCAAAGTGCGGCAGAGCATGAATGAGGAAAGTGTGTGAGACAGGGAAGGTGAATCTTCACAAGTGATGTCACACACTATATATCCCCTTTACACTGTTTAAAAAGGATACAAGCAAAAATTGTGACCTGGTGACTGCTTTGGGATTCAACCACAGGGTCAACTTGAGTAGGGTTACAAAAATCTGTCATGAACACAGACGGAAAGATGGAGCAACTACGGTACTTGGAAAGGGTAAGGGGAAGTTGCTCAGCCTTTTTAAAAATGGAGTTTCAGTTTCCATGGAAAGAAAATAAACTTTTTGGGTATTTAATTTTTTTACTGCCCGCACTCAGGCTGGAGGAGAAACTCAGGGCACTATCTTCCAGAACATGTGTATAAGTTCATGCTCCCTTTCGGAGAGTCTCCTTTTCCCTGTGCAGACAGGGTCCCGTTGGTGGCAGGGTAAGGACTGCTTATAAACTGAGAGATAGCTCATTGCCTACCAAAGTTCCCTTTCCTCAGAAAATGGGAGCCCCACCACCACCTTGGAACAGGATCCAACTGGCAGACGAGGTGGAGGTGCCGTTGTGCGTGTGCCCTGAGCACTTGCTCGTACTCTCCTTGATGGGTGGAAAGGCACACAGCAGGAATGACGGGCAGCTGAGTCCTGTCTGCTTGTCTCACTCATCAGGAGCTGAGCTCTCCCAGGGAAGGCTAAAGCTGCTTGTGTTTACAAGACTTGCTCTTCCTTTCTGTCCCTCAGATGAGAGTGAAATCACAGAGAAAATAAGGTTTCAAATTTATCATGAAGCCCAAGGTGCCCGCAATTTGATTGGAGAGAAAATAGCACTTACTGAAGTCGGGAGCACTCTCTGATTGTAAGAATACATTAAGGCCCAAACTGTAGCTCAGGCTGGGGGAAAGAATTTATGTTTCTGGGGAAGAGCCTTCTTTAAAGTCATCAGTTTGCTTAGAAGTTTGATACGATTGTTCCACTGTGGATGTTTAGAGATTTTTTTCTGTGTGAACATACTGGTTTAATATACTGAAGGGCCAAAAGAAAAGAGGTTCTACTGGAAGATTATTTTGAACAAAATAGTAACAACTCCCTGGAGAAATAGCAAGTAAGGCTGAAAACCTCTCCAACTCAATGGCTCTCCTATTCTGTTTGATTGTTTGGGCGACCAGACACATATACCTAAGATAAGAGATCTCAAAAATCCCAGGAGAAAGGAATTCAAGAAATCAAGCCAAATCCCCTAAGCTGTGCTAGTTGTTTAGGAAAAAACACTCTCCAGGCTGGGAGAAAATGGTATATCACACGCTACAACTTTTATAGATAATTAAATAGATATAAAAGTTCACTGTACTGAAGAATGAATCTTATAATAGTTTTTCACTTTTCCAGCTGGAAAAGAAATTATTTGACGACATATAGAATCTTTGATTAAAAGGTAGGTAAAAGACCACTCACGGTAAAATAAAATATGCATAAATAACCACAAAAACCTACTAAGTTATTAATACAAGTTTAAACAGTATCTCTTTTTTTCTTTTCTTTTTTTTTTTTTTTTTTTTTTTTTTTTTTTTTTTTTTTTTTTTTTGAGACAGAATTTCACTCTTGTTGCCCAGGCTGGAGTGTAATGGAGTGATTTCAGCTCACCACAACCTCTGCCTCCCGAGTTCAAGTGATTCTCCTGCCTCAGCCTCCTGAGTACCTGGGATTACAGGTGCCAGCTACCATTCCCGGCTAATTTTTGTATTTTTAGTAGAGATGGGGTTTCACCATGTTGGCCAGGCTCGTCTCGAACTCCTGACCTCAGGTGATCCACCCCCGCCTCGGCCTCCCAAAGTGCTGGGACTACATACAGGATTGAGCCACTGTGCCCAGCCTGTATTGTCTTTTAAAGGATGTTAATATTACTTGGTAAAATAAAGATAATATTTTAAATCCAAATTCACTTAATATTCTTAATCGAGGTAAACACTTGGACAAATTAAATCGCTTTGAGAATTTTGTCTTAAAATAATTTTAGGTCTTCACCATGATTTTAGAGCTGCATGGAATATAAATGCAAGCATTTCTTTTACTAAAAGGCCAATTAAATGGAACCTTCTAATTTCCTTTCACTTGTCTTACAGGTTGGATAGGGGGTGTTTAACCAAATTAATGTAATAGAGTATAAATGTCAAATAATACTTCTAACTATGTGGCCTCCAAGGTTACTCCAACCCATAACCTGAGAGAAGTCTTAGCCTCCTTTGCTCAGAGCTGCCTGTTTTAATTCTGAGAACAGCTGGTTAGCATGCATAAGGAAATCCTCTTACTCCATCCTGGAAGCTGGTTCTTTCCCACCTTTTTACCTCTGCAGAACTCTTTGCCTGTGTAGAGAAACTATAGAACACCCACTCATCTGCCTTCCCTGTCCCCACCCCTCTGCCTTGCCCACCAGCATATACAGCAAGACCTGACTGGCTGGTTTTCACCCCCTAGTTATGTGTCCTTATCTAAAAATCTAAATGTTTTAACCTTTTCTCCAGAGACCTTCCTGACTGACCACATTGTCATCCCGGTGCTTCTGCTCTTCGACCTCTCCACGCCCTTCTTGGATTGAGGCAAAGAACGCACCGTGCTCATGAGCCCAAGGCACACAGCTCAGTTTCACAGTCCTTGCCGCGCTGGGCGTCCTTCCCATGACACCCCTTTGCACCAACAGGACCACTCTGCAGACTCCTTTTGGTCAGGGACCACCTGTGGGCCTGTGCAACTGCAAACTCCTTCCTAGCACACTTCATGGAGGCACCTGGACCCTGCTTTCAGCAACTCATACCTCCTAGGAATCACGTGAACTTAGCCAGTAGGTTTGGAAAAGCAAAGGCCAAGCTTCTCAGAGGCATTTTCAGGGAAAATTTTCATGATGTCATCAGGATTTTACAATTTCAGTCCAGATTTTTTTTTTTTGTTTGTTTTATTTTGGTGTTTTTTTGTTTTGTTTTGTTTTGTTTTGTTTTTGAGATGGAGTCTCACTCTGTCACCCAGGCTGGAGTGGAGTGGCATGATCTCGGCTCACTGCAACCTCCATCTCCCGGGTTCAAGCGAGTCTCCTGCCTCAGCCTCCTGAATAGCTGGGATTACAGGTGCCTGCCACCATGCCCAGCTAATTTTTGTGTTTTTAGTAGAGACAAGGTTTCCCCATGTTGTCCAGGCTGGTCTCGAACTCCTGACCTCAGGTGATCTGCCCACCTCAGCCTCCCAAAGTGCTAGGATTACACGCATGAGCCACTGCACCCAGCCCATTCCAGATATTTTGATTACTGACAGTAATCTTTGGAATATATTTTTTCTCTTTTGTTGTTGTTGTTTTTGTTGTTTTGAGATGGAGTCTCGCTCTGTCACCCAGGACAGAGTGCAGTGGCGAGATCTCGGCTCACTGCAACCTCTGCCTCCCAGCTTCAAGCAATTCTTTCACCTCAGCCTCCTGAGTAGCTGGGATTACAGGCACCTGCCATCAAGCCTGGCTAATTTTTATATTTTTAGTAGAGACAGGGTTTCACCATGTTGGCCAGGCTGGTCTTGAACTCCTGACCTCAAGTGATCCGCCCACCTCGGCCTCCCAAAGTGCTGGGATTACAGGCGTGAACCAACTACGCCCGGCCATTGTTTTTTTGAATAACAACCTCCTTAAAGACTGAATTTAATGGTGTTCCCTGTCACATGGAAGCATTAATTTGCCTCAATTACTAGACTCTGAGACTCTCCTAACTAGACTGTGTTCGTTAAGGTTGAGTTTTTGGTTTTCCTGGCAAGTAGTGGTAGGTGCTCAATAAATGTTGAATAAACGAACAAATCAACCATCTAGCAAAGCATTTTTGCAAATTTTTGGTCACAGACACAACAGTTCAACTCTTCCCAAGTTCCATGAGGCCAAGACACATACACTGACCGTCCAATCCTCATTTTGCTGCCCTATTGAAAACTGGGCTTCTGTGAAATAATGGGTTCGTTCTGTTTGTGCTTCTCAAGGTAGAAAGGTGCCAACACTCATCCAGGGAGAAGCCCCGGGAAGATTTCCCTGTACTGCATGAGTGAAAGAACCTGCCAAGCTCCCTTTTCTCGGCAGGTTCTGACGTGCTTTTACGAATCATTTAATAGGTGCCTGACCTTCAACTCAGGACAGGGTGCCTTCCGTAGTCCTTTTTCTCAAATTCATCCCCAAATAAAAAGATGCACTCCTGAGAAAGTGAAGCAATAAGTCCGCTTATTAGTCTGCCCCAAAACTTTACAACCACTGCTGGAAAGCTTATACTTCAAAAGCCAGCCCCTACCCCTGCAATTTCAGCACGTTCTGTCTTGCTCTGTCCTGAGCAGGATCACGAGAGGGCAACCCTTGAAAGGGTGCTCACATGCCTCAGCTCACCCGGACAAAGCTGGAAAAGCCCTTCCCTGTGCTGCTTCCCACCGTTCTTCACTCACCACCCAGTCTCAAAAGACTCACTCACCACCCAGTCTCAAGAGACTCACTCACCACCCAGTCTCAAGAGATTTCTTTCATTACAAACTGCCTGTCTGGAAGGTTTAAGATGATCAGTGGCTTCCAAGTCACTAAAGAAGAAGGAAAACGAGGGCTTAACTGTTAATTCTGCTTCCAGCTCTCTCCGAGAGGCAGGCATACCTGCTGGCACAGACACTGGCCTCTGAGAGGTCACTGACCGCTCACCTGCAGCTTGTCCCGCTGCCTTGTGTGGGACATGAGAAGGTCTTCCGTGGATAGCATGCTTCTGGGCAGCTCTGCTGTGGCCAGGCAGGACCCAAACGTCTGCAGCATCTGGGCAGTGGTCTTCAAGGTCAAGGCAAAGTTTTCGATGGCCTGGAAGGTCAGACAATTGTAACAATATGGAGAGATTAACATTCACCAACATGCTGTCTTGATGGAAAGACAACAGATTTAGTTGATAAAATTAGTGAATAATCACCTCACCTTGGAAATGGTATAGAGGACCTGATTCTGATAGGGAGATTAAAAAGAGGCTGGTTTTAGTCTCAATGCTGCCACTAGTTGACCAAATGACTTTGGATAAGTCACCTCTTTACACTGAACGTCAGTTTATTTATCTATAAAATAAAGTGATTGAGTCACACGATCTTTAAGATTCCTTTGAGTTCTAACTTTCTGAGTCTCTCGTTCAAAGAGGTGACACCCAGAAAATGCACTGTCACACAGAAAAGAATCTATATATCTCACTTATAAAACAATATGTACTGTATATGTGTGGTTATATTATTCCTAGTTATATATACAGGCAAACCTCAGAGATATTGTGGGTTTGGTTCTAGGCCACTGCAATGAAGCCAATGTTACAATAAAGTGAGTCACAAAAATTCTTTTGTGTCCTAGTGCAAAGGGAAGTTATGTTTACAGTATACTGTAGTCTATTAAGTGTGCAATAGCATTATGTCAAAAATTCCACATACCTTAATTTCAAAATACTTTATTGTTAAAAAATGCTAACCATCTTCTGGGCCTTCATCAAATCACAATCTTTTTGCTGCCGGAGGGTCTTGCCTCAATGTGGATGGCTGCTGACTGATCAGGGTGATGGTTGCCGAAGGCTGGAATGGTGGTGACAATTTCTTAAAGTAAGACAACAATGAAGTTGCCACATCAATTGACTTCCTTTCATGAAAGAATTCTCTGTAGCATGCGAAACTGTTTGGTAGCAGTTTACTCACAATAGAACTTCTTTCAAAATTGGAGTTAATCCTCTCAAACTCTGCCACTGCTTTGTAGACTAAGTTTATGGAATATTCTAAATCCTTTGTTGTCATTTCAACAATGTGCATAACGTCATCACCAGAAAGATGAAGAAATCACTTTTTTTGCTCATCCGTAAAAAACTGTTCTTCATTCATTCAAGCTTTATCATGAGGTTGCAGCAATGCAGTCACATCTTCAGGCTCCACTTCTAGTTCTCTTGCTATTTCCACCACACCTGCAGTTACTTCCCCAACTAAAGTCTTGAACCCTTCAAAGTCATCCATGAGGGTGGGAATCAGCTTCTCTCAAACTCCTGTTAATACTGATATTTTGACTTCCTCCCATGAATCACTAATGTTCTTAAAGGCATCCAGAATGATGAATCCTTTCCAGAAGGTTTGCAATTTGCTCTACTGACACCCATCAGAGGAATCACTATCTATGGCAGGTATAGCTTTACAAAGCATATTTCTTAAATAGTAAAACTGAAAGTTGAAATTGCTCTTTGATCCACAAGCTGCAGCATAGATGTTGTGTTAGCAGGCATGAAAACATTCAACTCCTTGTACATCTCCATCAGAGCTCTCAGGTGACCAGGTGAATCTCCAATAAGCAGTAATATTTTGAAAGGATCTTTTTGTCTAAGCAGGAGGTCTCAACAGGTGGCTTAAAATATGCAGTTAACCATGCTGTAAACAGAAGTGCTGCCATCCAGGCTCTGTTGTTCTATTTCTAGGGCACAGGCAGAGTAGATTTAGCCTCATTCTTAAGGGCCCTAGGATTTTTGGAGTGGTAAATGAGCATTGGCTTCCATTTAAGGTCACCAGCTGCATTAGCCCCTAACAAGAGAGTCAGCCTGTCCTTTTAAGCTTTGAAGCCAGGCATTCACTTCTCTAGTTATGGAAGTCTTAGATGACATCTTCTTCCAATAGAATGCCGTTTCATTTACATTGAAAATCTGTTGTTGAGTGTAGTCACTTTTTCTTTTCTTTTTTTTTTTTTTTTGAGACAAATTTTGCTCTTGTTGCCCAGGCTGGAGTGCAGTGGCGCGATCTCAGCTCACTGCAACCTCCGCCTCCCGGGTTCAAGCGATTCTCCTGCCTCAGCCTCCTGAGTAGCTGGGATGACAGGCACCCGCCACCACGCCCAGCTAATTTTTCATATTTTTAGTAGAGACAGGGTTTCACCATGTTGTCCAGGCTGGTCTTGAACTACTGACCTCAGGTGATCTGCCCACCTCGGCCTCCCAAGTGCTGGGATTACAGGCATGAGCCACTGCGCCGAGCCGAGTATAGCCACTTTCAGCAATGATCTTAGCTAGATCTTCTGGATAACTTGCTGCAGCTTCTGTAGCAGCACCTTGCACTTGTATGTTACAGAGAAGAATTCCTTCCTTAAACCTCACAAACCAACCCCTGCTAGCTTCAAACTTTTCTTCTGCAGCTTCTTCATCTCTCTCATTAATAAAGTTGAAGAGAACTAGGGCCTTGCTCTGGATTAGGCTTTGGCTTAAGGAAATGTTGTGGGTGGTTTGATCTTCTATCCAGGCCCAGACCACTAAAACTTTCTCCATATCAGCAAGAAGGCTATTTTGCTTTCTTATCATTCATGTATTCACTGGAGTAGCATTTTTAGTTTCCATCAAGAACTTTTCCTTTGCATTCACAACTAGGCGAACTGGCTAGGCTAAGAGGTCTAGCTTTCTGCCTGTCTCAACTTTTGACATGCCTTCCTCATTAAGCTTAATCGTTTCAAGCTTTTGATTTAAAGTGAGAGACAGGCCATTCTTCCTTTCACTTGAACACTTAGAGGTCATTGTAAGGTAATTAATTGGCCTAATTTCAATATTGTTCTGTCTTAGAGAGTAGGGAGGCCCGAGGAGAGGGAGAGAGACAGGTGATGACCAGTTGGTGGATCAGTCAGAACACACACAACATATATCCATTAAGTTCACTGTCTTACATGGATGCAGTTTTCGGCACCCCAAAACAATTACAATAGCAACACCAAAGATTGCTGACCACAGATCACTGTTACAAATATAACAGTTGGCCGGGTGCAGTGGCTCATGCCTGTAATCCCAGCACTTTGGGAGGCCAAGGCGGGCAGACCACTTGAGGTCAGGAGTTCAAGACCAGCCTGGCCAACATGGTGAAACCTTGTCTCTACTAAAAATACAAAAATTAGCTGGGCGTGGTGGCGCGTGCCTGTAATCCCAGTTACTTGGGAGGCTGAGGCAGAAGAATTGCTTGAACCCAGGAGGCTGAGGTTTCAGTGAGCTGAGATTGTGCCACTGCACTCCAGTCTGGGTGATAGAGCAAGACTCTGTCTCAAAAAAAAAAAAAAAAGAAAGAAAGAAAAAGAAACCAAATATAATAGTAATAACAAACTCTGAAATATTGCAAGAATTGCAAAAATTTGTCAGAGAGGCACGAAGTGAGCACATACTGTTGGAAAAATGGTGCTGATAGACTTGTTCAACACAAAGTTGCCACGAAACTTCAATTTAAAAAAATTGCAATATCTGTGAAGCCCACTAATGTGAAGCATAATAAAATGAAACACGACTGTATGTGTGTGTATAAAAAATATATACATGTAAAAGGCATGTAAAGAATATCTCTGGTCTTTCAATACTAGTTGTATTTTTTAAAGTTCACTAGAAAATGTTCAGCACATACACAACCACAAACCATGGCTACATACTAGGCCAGGGATGGCCTATAACAAAAACACCTTAGGCTGGGTAATTTATAAGCAGCAGAAATTGATTTCTCACAGTTACAGTTCTGGAAGTTGGGAAGTTCAAGATCAAGGCCCCAGCAGATTTGGTGTCTGGTGGAGGTCTGTTCCTCATAAAGGATGCCTTCTGTGCCCTTACAGGGCAGAGGGGGCATAACAGCTCCCTTCAACCTCTTTTGCAAGGGCACTAACTCCATTTATGATGCCAGAGCCTTCATGACTTAATACATCCCAAAAGCCCCCTCCTCTTAATGCTATCACATTAGGTTCCAACATGTGAATTTTGAGGGGACGCCAACATTCAAGCCATGACTATGAGTTTTGATCTTTTTCCTCAATATTACTGAAACTCCTAACTTAGCATAACAATCACCAGTATCAGTAGGTAGGAAAAAGTAAAATACTATATATCAGGTGCTTTCACAGACAATACATCACTTATTCCCCACATCAAACTTTCAGGAGGCTTTCGTTAGTCCGGGGTTTCTCAGCATTGGCTATTCACACTTTGGGCCAGAGGATTCTTTGTTGTGGGAGGCTGTCTTGAGCATTGTAAGGTGTTCAGCGGAGTCCCTGACGACCCACCAGATACCAGTTAACTTTCCCCACTAAGTTATGACTACAAAAAAGTCTAAAGATATTGACAAATGTAGGAGGCAGGCAAAATTATCCCCTATAGAGAAATACTGTGTTAGTCCCATTTTAACAGATGAAGAAACAAGCTCAGAAATGCTTAGAAACTCACCCAACATCAGACAACATGTTATTGTGACAATTTTTTAAAATTAATTTCAACTTTGATTTTAGATTCGGGGGTACATGTGCAGGTTTGTTACATGGGTATATTGCATGATGCCAAGGTTTGGGGTACAGTTGATCCTGTCACCCAGGTAGTGAGTATCGTACCCAATAGTTCTACAATCCTTGTCCCCCTCCCACCTTCTCACCTATAGTAGTCCCCGGGGGGTGACACTATTTAAATGTAGCTTCTTCTGACTTCATGGGTGTCAATATGTATGTACGTTAGAATCATCTGGGGAGTTCTGTGGTGTGTTAATGTCTAAGACCCATCCCACATGAAGTAAATTAGTTTCTCTGAGGTATAACAGGCTATTGGTGTTTCTGGAAACTTCCCAGGTGCATTCGAAGGTAAGTGTCCCAAAACCCCCACACCGGGAGATGCAGTGGGGTAAGGTGGTCAACAGGAGAAATCCCAGCCTTCGCCCTTCCACACTCCTTCTTCCCCACCCTGTGGCTGAGAAATCCCAACCACCCCAAGGTCAGGCAGTCACAGGGTGACCTCCTGGCAGTTGATCTTTAACTCCCCCACCCCATCTTCCAGAAAACAAGGAGAGACAGTGAAAAGCACACGTAAGCTGGTACTCACAGTGCGGTGATTTACCCACTGACCGTGGCGATATTCCAAAGTCCCCCCTAATTCCCGGGTCAGTTGGCTTTTGTCGATGTAGCCGTGAAGGTCAGAGACAGAGTTTACCATGATGATCTGTAAGGTAAAAATTTAATTAAACATACTCCTCATTGATCATTAAATAATAGCTCATTTACATTCTATTCTTATCATAATTATATTTTATATTCTATTATTATTTAAATGATACTCCAACTTTGCTTTATCAGGCATTTATATTTAAAAATGGTTACAGCCAAGCACAGTCGCTCATGCCGGTAATCTCAGCACTTTGGAAGGCTGAGGTGGGAGAATCATTTGAGGCCTGGAGTTTGAGACCAGCCAGAGCAACATAGCAAGACCCCATCACTAGAAAAAAAATAAAAAAAAAAATTAGCCAGGCATGGTGGCATGCACCTGTGGCCCCAGCTACTTGGGTGGCTAAGTCAAGAGGACTGCTTGGGCCTGGAGGTTAAGGCTGCAGCAAACAGTGATCGCACCATGGCACTCCAGCCTGGGCGACAGAACAAGACCACATCAAAAAAAAAAAAAAAAGTTACTATATCCAGCAGGGAAATATTTTAAAGTCTCTTCCATTTTTTGCTTTTGAGTGAGAAATACCAAAGCGTGGTATAGCCTGTGACAAAATGTTGACTTGGCTCAGGGAACACAGTTCCAGGCTACCTAGAAGTCAGGCCTTGCTTTACGTGAATTTTCAGTCATAAGTTCCCAAGCTAAGGTACACCTTTCAGCCACCAAAATCAAGTGTTGTGCAATGGCCTGAAAGTCTACCATGAGAAGCCCAATCAAAGCTGGTCGGGTAAATGTGAAAATAAAACTAGAATACAGGGAAACACAAAGAGTATGCATTGAAAAGACTCACTACACTGGTGCGCCCCGATGAAGAATATTGATGTGTCCCTACTTTAGCTTGCACTGAGGGGATCTGGAGGTGACAGGGCATTGGGTTTTATAAGCTAGCAGTTCCGCTGATGAGCGAACACTCACACATCCAGAGGAAGCTGACGCATCCCCAATTGCCCCTTTCTATTCCTTGGCAGTAGTTCTGGCCTGGGTGTGGTTCTGGCTCACTCAGTGACTATATCACACCCTCTACTCACTCCTGAGTGGGACAAGGACTCCTCACTCCTATCTCTGAAACACATCTTTGAAGCCTTTAACTATGACATTATATTTTTTCACTCCCTGTTGATTATTTTGAAAATTAACTCTTGGTCAGAGGACATAAGAATATGGACTTCCTTCTATTATTGTAAAGTATTAGTCAAGGAATGAATCCACTTTGGAATGAGAATATAAATTAGAGACCAGCCAGGTACGGTGGTTTGCACCTGTAATCCCAGCTACTCAGGAGGCTGAGGCAGGAGGACTCCGTGGGCCCAGGAATTTGAGGCTCCAATGAGCTGTGATCGCATCACTGCACTCCAGACTGGGTGATAGAGGGAGACCCCATCTCTTAAAAAAAAAAATTGTGGCCTAAAGTCTATAGGCCAAAATTATGCAACAAAACTGATTTACTCTTTCAACAGATATGTATTGAACTACTAAAAAAAAGTGCCAGGTTATTCACAATAGCAAAGACTTGGAACCAACCCAAATGTCCAACAATGATAGACTGGATTAAGAAAATGTGGCACATATACATCATGGAATACTATGCAGCCATAAAAAATGTAGAGTTCATGTCCTTTGTAGGGACATGGATGAAACTGGAAACCATCATTCTCAGCAAACTATCACAAGGACAAAAAACCAAAGCATGTTCTCACTCATAGGTGGGAATTGAACAATGAGAACACATGGACACGGGAAGGGGAACATCATACTCCGGGGACTGTTGTGGGGTGGGGGGAGGGGGGAGGGATAGCATTAGGAGATATACCTAATGCTAAATGACGAGTTAATGGGTGCAGCACACCAGCATGGCACATGTATACATATGTAACAAACCTGCACATTGTGCACATGTACCCTAGAACTTAAAGTATAATAATAATAAAAGAAAAAAAAGTGCCAGGTACTGGGGGATAATAAGGTAAACAAGACAGACCCTGTTCTAGAGAGACTCAGGCTCTGTGGGATTTGATTACCACCTATCACCACCTTAACCTTGTCAGGCCCCATGTCTTGCTCCTCCACTTCTGAAAATGGTTTGGGGCTTTTAAAATGTATCTTTATAATATGAGAATGGATAAAAACCTGAATCTATCTGTGCCTTTCCCACCTAAAAATTTTAAACCACTTATGGGAGTTTTTAAAAGGTATTTATTCTTTCTAAAATTAGAAATTTTAGGACAGGTCGTTAGAAATTATCAAGCTAAAAATGTATTTTGCTTCTTGGAGTATGAGTTGCTATGGTAATAATCGACATTTTAAAAAAGACCCAATGTGCAACATTGTATTAGGCAAAAGTAACCTTGCACAGGGTCTGGAGTTTCAGAAACCTATCCTGCCAGGCTGCATATTTTCTGTACCATGAGGGAGGTGTGATATCCCACACTTGCCAAAACTCTGCTTTCTCATCTTAAGCTTTAGATGACGAAGAGGAATTTTAAGTTGAAAGCGAAAAGTGAAAATTAAAAACAAAGGATTATATTAGAAGAGTTAATACTGTTAAGTATTGATCTGTAGAGTCAAAACAATTCCATAATCAAAATCCCAGCTGACTTTTTATAGAAATTAACAAACTGATTCTAAAATTCATATAGAAATGCAAAAGACATCAAATAGGTAAAACAATTTTGTAAAAGAAGAAAAAAGTTGAATGAGTCACATAAGTTTTGTCAGTTTCAAAACTTAATAAAATTGCAGTAAAGAAGAGTGTGGTAATGACAAAGGATGGACAAATAGATCAATGGGAAAAAAAAAGCAAGTCCTGATAGACCCACACAAATACGATCAATTGATTTTTTAAACTTTTTATCCTGTGAAGAGGCTGGGCGCAGTGACTCATGCCTGTAATCCCAGCACTTTAACAGGCGGAGGCGGACAGATCACCTGAGGTCAGGAGTTCGAGACTAGCCTGGCCAACATGGGGAAACCCCATCTCTACTAAAAATACAAAAATTAGCCGGGCATGGTGGTGGGTGCCTGTAATCCCAGCTGCTTGGGAGGCTGAGGCAAAAGAATCGCTGGAATTCAGGAGGCGGAGGTTGCAGTGGGCCGAGATTACACCACTGTACTCCAGCCTAGGCAATGAGAGTGAAACTCCGTCTCAAAAAAAAAAAAAAAAAAAAAAAACAAAAAAAAACCCACAAACCTTTTTATCCTGTGAAGTAATTATAGATTCACAAGAAGTTGCAAAGATAATTATAGTTTCATAGGAAGTTACAAAGGCAGTACAGAGAGGTCCTAGGCACCTTTCACCACCAATGGTTACATCTTACATAATTACAGTACAATATCAAGACCAGGAATTTGATATGCTTATAATGTGTGTGTATGTAGCTCTGTCATTTTCCCACATATGTTGTTTCCTGTACCCACCAGTACAAGCAAGATGCAAAACTGTCCCATCGCCACAAAGACCTCCCTTGTGCTGCACCTTTCAGTCATCTCCCACCCCCAAAATCCCTCCCTGAACCCCGGCAAACACTAATCTGATTTTTTACAAAGGTGCAAAGGTAATTCAATGGAGAAATAATTCTATTTAAACAAATGGTGCTGAAACAACCGGACATTCATATGTAAAAATAGGAATCTTGACCCACACCTATGAAAGTAGCCAGAATCAAAACAGAGTCACTAGTATTAAAAAATAAATAAATAGGCCGGGCATGGTGGCTCACACCTGTAATCCCAGCACTTTGGGGGGCCGAGGCAGGCAGATCACGAGGTCAGGAATTCGAGACCAGCCTGACCAACATGGTGAAACCCTGTCTCTACTAAAAATACAAAAATTAGCCGGGCGTGGTGGCAGTCGCCTGTAATCCCAGCTACTTGGGAGGCTGAGGCAGGAGAATCGCTTGAACCTGGGAGGCAGAGGTTGCAGTGAGCCGAGAGAGCACCACTGCACTCCAACCTGGGTGAGAGAATGAGACTCTGTCTCAAAAAATAAATAAAAATAAATAAATAAATAAATAAAACCTAACCAATAGGCCAGGGAAGACTGCAAAGAAAGGGTTCTCACACTTGTATGCCTGATAACAAAACTATCACAAAGGACGGCAAAAACTACAACCTGGCACACAGGCCATTGCAACATTCAACTGCCTGTCCAACTTCCGACTGGCATCGCTCTTGTTATTGATCTTTGTAGCCAAGAATAATGATCTCGAAACAATTACATAATGCTCCTCATGTTCCCTTTAAAAACCTCTGTCTCCCTCTACCTTCCTGAATAAGCACGTAGTTTACTATGTCACACATATTCCCATTTCAATGCCCTGTTCCTGAATAAATATTTTCTTTTAGAGAGCCTCTCCCTGTCTGTTATTTAGGCTGACATATCTCACATCTTATACAAAAATTAAGTCAAAATGGATCATAGATCTAAACATGAAACATTAAACTTGGAAGAAAATGTAGAAGAAAACTGTGGTATAGTAAGAAATGTATTCAGTCTTTGTCCCTGGTTCCTGGTACAGAGTTCCTAAAACTCTTATAATTTCTTGAGTGATAGGAGTATCTTGTATTATTTATAATGAACCCCTTTGGTCACACCTGAGTTTACATGAATGCGGTGACTCAGGGTGGGAACTCTAGATAGCCTCTGGATGGAGCTGGTGTCCAGAAAAAATAAGTGATTATAATTTGGAATTTTCAGCCCCACTCACTGACCTCTGGGAAGAAGAAGATTAAACTCTATAGAAACTCTAGAACAAGGAGATTTAAGGAGCTCCCAGGTTGGTGAATACACCAAGGTCCTGGAAGGGTGGTATGCTGGAGACAGCGTGGAAGCTCTGTGCACCCCACACACCTTGCCCTATGGATCTCATTCATCTGGCTGTTCCTGAGTTATATCCTTTATGATAAACCAGTAAACATAAGTAAAGTGTTTCCCTTAGTTCTGTGAGTCATTCTAGCAAATTATAGAACCCAAGGAGGAGGCTGTCAGAACCCCCCTAATCCACAGCTGGTAGGTCAGAAGTACAGGATGCCCAGACTTAAAATTAGCATCTGAAGTGGGGACAGTCTTGAGGGACTGAGCCCTCAACTTGTGGGATCTGATGCTAACTTCAGTGTCTGAATTGAATTGTAGAGCCCCTGATTGGTGTCTAGACAGTTGGAGAACTGCTTGGTGTGAAAAAAAAAAAAAAGCAGCCTACACATTAGTTGTCAGAAGTGTTGTGTGAGTAGAGAAAGTGTTTTCTCAGAGAAATTTTAGGAGAAATATTTGGGTTAGGCAAAGAGTTCTGTGATATGGCACCAAAAGCATAACCCATAAAAGAAAAGCTGATAAGCTGGACTTCATCCAAATTAAAAACATTTGCTCTGCAAAAGACACTGTTAAGAGAATGAAAATCCAACCTACAAACTGAGAGAAAATATTTGCAAGTCATATATCAGACAGTGATTTATATCCAGAACATATAAAGAACTCTCAAAACCCAACAATGTGAAAACAAAAACCCAATTAAAAAAGGGCAAAAGATTTGAACAGAAGCATCACCAAAGAACATATACAGATGGAAAATAAATACATGAAAAGAGGCTCAATATCATGAATCATTAGGAAATAGCAAATTAAAACCACAGTGAGATACCACAACATGCCTATTAAATGACTAATTAAAAAAATACCCTCGTTTTTGAAAAGGTGGTAAGAGTATGAAGTAGCTGGAATTCACATACATTGCTGGTGGGAATGCAAAATGATAGAGCCACTTTGCAAAAACAGTTTGGCAATTTCTTTTAAAGTTAAACATAAACCTACTCTGTGGCCCAGCAAACACATGTATGTGAATGTTTATAGCAGCTTTATTCTTTTTTTTTCTTTGAGACAGCGTCTCGCTCTGTCGCCCAGGCTGGAGTGCAGTGGCATGATCTCGGCTCACTGCAACCTCTGCCTCAGCAATTCTCCTGCCTCAGCCTCCAGAGTAGCTGGGACTACAGGCACACCCACCATGCCCAGCTAATTTCTGTATTTTTAGTAGAGACGGGGTTTCACCATGTTGGCCAGGCTGGTCTCGAACTCCTGACCTTAGGTGATCCACCCACCTCAACCTCCCAAAGTTTTGGGATTACAGGTGTGAGCCACCATGTTTGGCTGCAGCTTTATCCTTAATCACTAAAAACTAGAAACAACTCAAATGTTCTTTCCTGGTGAATGGTGAACAGATAAACAGGGACCTCTATAATGTGAGATAATATTCAGCAATGAAAGGAAAGAACTATGGGCATACCCAGCAACATGGATGAACCCCAACTGTTTTATGCTAAGTGAAAGAAGTCAGACTCAGACTCAAAGGCTACCCAGTATACACAGTCATGTGTCACTTAATGACAGAGATCAATTCTGAGAAAATCGCCATTAGGCAATTTTGTTGCTATTCAGTCATAAAGTGCATTTACACAAACCTAGATGGGACAGCCTGCTACATGCATGGGCTAACTGGTGTAACCTATTGTGCCTAGGCTACAAGCCTGTACAGCATGTTACTGTACTGAACATTGTAGGCAAGTATAACACAATGGAAAGTATTTCTGTATCTAAACACATCTAAACACAGAAAAGGGGCCGGGGCAGTGGCTCACATATGTAATCCCAACACTTTGGGAGGCTGACACAGGAGGATCGTTTGAGCCCAGGAGTTCAAGGCCAGCATGGGCAATACAAGGAAACCCCTGTCTCTACAAAAAATAAATTAAAAAAAAAAATCAGCCGGGCATGGTGGTGCGCACCTGTAGTCCCAGCTACTGAAGAGGCTGAGGTGGGAGGATAGCTTGAGCCCCAGAGTCTGAGGTTACACTGAGCCATGATCACACCACTGCACTCCTGCCCAGGTGACAGAGCAAGACCCTGTCTTGAAAAAAAAAAAAAAAAAAGAAGAAGAAAAAAAGGAAAGGAAAAGGAAAAGGAAAGGAAAGGAAAAACTTTTTTTAAAAAGTACAGTAAAAATAGAGTTTTATAATTTTATGGGACCACCACTGTATATGTGGTCCGTTGTTGACCAAAATGTTGTTATGCAGCACATGGCTGGAATTGCATTTGTATGACTCTCTGCAAAAAGGCAAAACTATAAGGATGGAGAGCAGATCAGTGGCAGCCAGGGATTAGGGATGGGGAGAGGGGCTGGCTACAAAAGGGCAGAGTGAGGAAGTTTTGCGTGGTGATGGGGCTGTTCTGTATCTTTATTGTGGTGACTGGATAACACCACGCATTTGTCAAACTTCATAGAACTGTACACCAAAGAGAGTGAATTTTACCTGATGTAAATTTTCAAAAACAAATGAGAGGCAGTTTCCCCACATTTTTTTTCTTCTTTTAATCTTTACAGGATAGAAATGTTTAAAAAGTTTTTATATTCTATATAGTGAAGAAAAAAGGCAGAATAATTGTGCTCATCAAACCCACAGGACACACTAAGCATGTAAAACTGGCCTTAAAACATTTTTTCTGTCTTTTCTTGGATTCTGTTTTTGTCTATTTGGCATCCTCTCATTACAGGGTCAATTACATGAGCCACATTTTCTTATTTTCTGTACTCTTGAGGCTCTGGCATTTGTGGCCTCCATGACTAGGAAGAGACTGCCCCGCCACCCCCACCCCAGGGCTAACCACTTCTTAGAGACAGGGAAGGGGTTAGCTGGGAGCAGGTCTTTCATACGCAAAACAACCAGTCTCAAATCCAAATCCCCAACCACCACCTTATCAAACTCTCACACACCAGGCCATTGTTTACCTTGCCCTAAGTCATCCCAGGGCCAGGTGCCATGTAACAAAGAGACAATCCTTATACCCCAAAGACTGCAGGAGTTATTCAAACTAGTCCATACTAAATCCTGCCTTGCTTTGCCTGCAGAACTCCAGTAAACGCTCTGTCCTAGACTTTCCTCTGCCTCCTTCTTCTGCCTCCTGACCAAAGCTTGGTGCTTCCCCAGTAGCCCATGCGGCGTGAGGTGACCCCGACCCCTGGACATGTGGATATTATAAACTTCTTCCTTCCAAGCCTGTCTCTTCCTGTGGCCCCACCAACTTTACCATACGTGCATATTCTTGTAACAATTGTTAAAAGCTAAAAATGTCTTGTTTCTTTTCCTTTTCTGTATACATTTGTGTTCTTATCTATAGATGCTTAAAACCGTTCTTTCAAAGAAATACATGGTCTTTTAACTGCACAAGAAGCATTTCCTGTATTCTGACACAAACTCCATTTTAAGCAACCAATTTCCACGATCATAGCCTCTTCAGGAGTTTTACAAGACTGCCTTGGTGACTTCACATTAACAGTTTTATGAGGCTGCTATGAGTACAGCTGTTCCAGAATAGGGAAGTGCCTGGCCAGCAACAGGGACTCAGAAACCATCTACTGGGAGGCCAAGGCAGGAGGATCACTTGAGCCCAGGAGGTTGAGGCTGCAGTGAGTCCTGATGGAGCCACGGCACTCCAGCCTGGGTGACAGAGCAAGACACAGTTTCAAACAAAACAAAACAAAAACAAACAAAAACCATTTACTACATGAAAGTACTTCCCCTCCATAGATAAAGGTAGAGGGAGGCTGTCACTTGGCTACAATTACATCCTTGACCCACCTGATTCCTATACCAGTCACACAAAATAAACTCCTTTCCCCCCAACACGTGAAAATGTAATTATCTAACTAGAAATGACCAGGAAGATGTTATAATATAAGAGAGGCTAGGAAGCTACAAAGTAAAGTGCTAATATCACAACACGTTTTAAAAATAAAGAAGATAAACTGACAGTTTGAACTGTCATTGAGAAGGCAACACGTATTGAGAAGTTAGATTTCATTAAGCTTGATAACTTCAGACTCTGCCGTTTCTGGAGCATCAGCGCTACCAGGGAGTGTGACCTTGTGCGTCAGGTGAAATGGTTACTTACGGAGTGAACTTGCATTAAAGAATGCCCTACTCAATGTGCCCAGGGTTTGGGTGACTGAGAGCTTTTTCAAAAGTTGATTTTAAGTTTAAAATTAAAAGCAGGTCAGGCAGGGAATCAACCTACACTACCACAAATAGAGGTAGCTAAAGTCAGAATATCGAGATAAAGTAGATGTTCAGTCCCTCCTAGGTGTAGATGCATCACCTGAGAAGGAGGGCATAAGTCACAAATGTATCTGTGTACATATGAGCACACCTAGATCATATGTATCATATGTATAAAACACGTGTTTTATATGCAATCAGGGAAATACGCGTGACATTTGGTCAAATGCTCAGTTCCAACTCCAAACGTTTTTGAGTGGCAAGAAGAATTGATGAGTCTTCATTTCTGAAGGGGAGTCACGAAGGGACTCGTGAAGATGATGACACGTCATCGGCTTCTTGTCAGTCTCCATCTCTTCCCAAACATCAACAGTTACTCAAGTTAGGAAAACTGAGCAAAGAACTCAGGCCTCACATTTTCCTTAAACACTCAAGTGTTTCAAAAATGAGTATTTAAAATAGAATGGGAAATTCATTTTGAGTTTGGCTAATCCCCAAAGTAGAAAAGAAAGGATTTTCAGAAATTTGATTATTAATACAGGATGGAACCAAAACAAGGAAAATAAGAGTAGGAAAGGAGAGAGAAAAATGAGAAAAATCCCTTGTCTAAGATGGCAAGTCTTCACTGAGATGGGTTTAATATTCTTTCAGGGTAATTTTATTTTTATTTATTTTTTGAGACAGAGCCTTGCTCTGTCGCCCAGGTTGGAGTGCAGTGGTGTGATCTCATCTCACTGCAACCTCCGCCTCCCAGGTTCAAGCAATTCTCCTGCCTCAGCCCCCCGAGTAGCTAGGACTACAGGCATATGCCACCATGCCTGACTAATTTTTGTATTTTTAGTAGAGACAGGGTTTTGCCATGTTGGCCAGGCTGGTCTTGAACTCCTGACCCCAGATGATCTGCCCACCTCAGCCTCCCAAAATGTTGGGATTATAGGCTTGAGCCACTGCGTCCAGCCCTCTTTCAGAGTAATTTTAATTAAAGCTATTTTTTGTTAATTTTGAACAGATAATATTTATAGATAGTAATAAATTTGAACAGAAAAAGTCTATCTAAATAGAAAAATCCTCCCCCTTCCCACTTACTCCCAGCCATCTAGGTGGAGATCCAGAAGGCAACCACTTTAACCAGCTTCTTGTATATCTTGTGTATCCTTCTCAAGATGATCTATGCACAATCATACATATAGCCCTCTTATTTTATCCAAATGGGAACTTACTGGATACACTGTTCTCCCCTTGACTTTACCCTCACTTAAATATACATCTTACATGGACTGAAATTTAAGGTATCAGTATGAAGTTGTGATTTCTAGGATATTTGTAATTACAAATGTGTACATGTATATGTGCATATACGTGCATATATTTACAGCTTCTGTCTGCTGAAAGAGCCTAAAAACAAAGATACCAAGTAGTAATAGCACATCTTGCATCCAGATCTTGGACTCTAATATTTTCAACACCAAAAGGAACCAGGGCTCTTAAGAGAAATGGCCGGTAACAAAGCTGGATCAGAGCATGCCTGAGAGGGGCCTAGATGATCATATTAGGCCAGAAAGTAAGGAAGTGCCAAAAAAAAAAAAAAAAAAAATGATAGGGACATGTCACAAGGACACAAGAGTCAGCTTGAAGGGGTTCCCGCTGGCCAAATCTGGGACAGCTGGAGCACCACGATAATTGAGAATGGCAATGAATGACAAACCACTGAAAAACTAAGAATCCAAAACGATAATAGACAAATAGGTGAGAAGGGAAAGCTCTAGCTTACAGTAAAATACCAACTTCTGATTAGTAAATGATGAGAGTGCTGGAGTTGGATAATCATTATTTTGTAACCAATAAATAAAGGTTGTTTCAGGCAAGAATCTTTAATGGATACTAAAGAGAGATTGGACTTTTTTGAGGAGCAGGATATTTGCATGATCTTAAAGTGTCTCTGCAAAGATTGTTAGTTGCAAGGGAAAGAATCTATTTAATATTTGGGAAAGTGGACAACACTTTGACTAGGGGATCAAAATTCACATCACCAATAGGGGACAGATGAGCACCGTGGGCCTCCAGGCGATACTCCAAGAAGGACATGTATCACTTAAGTAGCATAAAAGACAAAGAAAGGGCCGGGCATGGTGACTCACGCCTGTAATACCGGCACTTTGGGAGGCTGAGGTGGGTGGATCACCTGAGGTCAGGAGTTCGAGACCAGCCTGGCCAACATGGTGAAACCCTGTCTCTACTAAAAAAAAAATACAAAAATTATCCGGATGTAATGGCAGGCACCTGTAATCCCAGCTACTCGGGAGGCTGAGGCAGGAGAATTGCTTGAACCTGGGAGGCAGATGTTCCAGTGAGCTGAGATTGCGCCATTGCACTCCAGCCTGGGCGACAAGAGCAAAACTCCATTTCAAAAAAAAAAAAAAAAAAGACAAAGAAAGGGCCAGGCACAATGGCTCATGCCTGTAATCTCAGCCCTTTGGGAGGCTAAGGCGGACAGATGGCTTGAGTCCAGGAGTTTGAGACCAGTCTGGGCAACATGGTGAAACTCCATTTCTACAAAAAAATTTTAAAAATAGCCTGCATGGTGCAGCGTGCTGGTGGTGCGTACCTGTGGTAGCAGCTACTCAGGAATCTGAGGTGGGTGGATACATTGAGCCCAGGAGATGGAGGCTGCAGTGAGCTGTGATGGCACCACTGCACTCCAGCCTGGGCAACAGAGAGAGACTCTGTCTTAAAAAAAAAAAAGAAAAAGAAAAAAGACAAAGAAAGGCTATGAAAATGTTTTAGATTAAAGAAAACTAATGAGATATGATAACTAAATCCACGACCCAATCCTAGAGTAGATCTTCTACATATATCTTGTATATATGTATTCATATTAAATATATTGTGTATGGATCTCTTTATATGTATATTTATTCTAAGTATACAGATAAATACATATGCATTACAATACATATACAGAAGCAATACATATAAATACATAAACATAGTCTACATATAAATACATAAACATATTCTAAACATACATATACACTATAATACATGTTATGGTTTCAATGTATGTTGCCCTCCAAAATTCATATGTTGAAACCTAGTCACCAAGGTAATGATATTGGAAGGTGGGGCTAGGAGGTGATTAGGTTATGAGGGCTCCTTCCTCATGGATGGGATTAACACCCTTAGAAAAGGCTTGAGGGTAGCTGAGCATAGTGGCTCACACCTATAATCCCAGCATTTAGGGAGGCCCAGGCAGGAGGATAGGTTGAGCCCAGGAGTTTGAGACCAGTCTGGGCAACACAGCAAAACCCCCTCTCTAAAAAAAATTAAAAAATCAGCCAGGCATGGTGGTGTGTGCCTGCAGTCCCAGCAACCTGGCCAGGATGATCGCTCAAGCCCAGAAGTTCGAGGCTGCAGTGAGCTATGATCCTAAGCTATTGCACTCTAGCCTGGGTGACAGAGAGAGACCCCATCTCTAAAATCAAAACAAAACAAAACATAAAGGGCTTGAGGGAGTGAGTTTGCTTCTTTTGCTCTTCCATTCTCCTTCCATGTGAGGCCAAAGCGTTCGTCACCTCCCAAGGAGGGAGCAACAGCATGCCATCTTGGAAGGAGAGACTGGGTCCCTCACCAGACACCAAACTTGGTGGCACCTTGATTGTGGACTTCCCAACCTCCAGAACTGTGACAAATAAATTTCTGTTCTTTATAAATTATTGAGTCTGCAGTATTTTATTATAGCGGCACGAACAAACTAAGGTAATACATACATAATACATGTAACTGTAAAAATATTATTCTAAGTAAACATAAATATATAACATTCTTATGTGTATATATATATCATATAAGTATATATAGAGAGAAGCAAATGATAAGAAATAATCAGATGATGATAAAATGTTAACAATGGGTGGGTGAATCTGGACAAAGGGCATGTGATATTCTTTGTGCTATTCTTATTCTTGCAACTTTTCTGTTGAGTTTGAAATTAGTTTCAACTAAACATAAAACATCCAAGAATATATATTAGAAAATGTAATATGTAATCACTATAGACTCATGTTATCTATTTTTTATTTTTCAATGGACTAAAATGCTTAAATTTTAAGGATAGAGTTCAATTCATTTTGATAAATGTATATAGACATGTAACACCACCCAATCAAGATATGGAACCTAGCCGGGCGTGGTGGCTCCCACTTGTAATCCCAGCACTTTGGGAGGCTGAGGTGGGTGGATCACCTGAGGTCAGGAGTTCGAGACCAGCCTGGCCAACATGGCTGGTCTCGAACCGCATCTCTACTAAAAATGCAAAAATTACCCAGGCGTGGTGGCGGGTGCCTATAATCCCAGCTACCCAGGAGGCTGAGGCAGGAGAATTGCTTGAACCTGTGTGGGGCAGAGGTTGCAGTGAGCCAAGATTGTGCCACTGCACTCCAGCCTGGGCAACAGAGTGAAACTCCATCTCAAAAAAAAAATATATATATATATATATATGGAATATTTCCTAGAAAGTTCCTTTTGTCTCCTTCCAATTAGTCTCCACCACCCCTCATCCCTAACAGCAGCTACTGTTTTGATTTTCTATCACAACATAGTTTTGCCTATTTTGAAATTTTTCTAAAAGGAATCATAATCATACTGTTCAGTGTCTAGCTTCTTTCTCTCAAGAGAATATATTTGAAATGTATCCATGTTGTTGAACGCATCAGTACTTCACTCTTTTTTATTGCTTAATGGTATTTACATTATATAAATGTGACACAACTTGTATATACTTTTCCGCTGACCAGCTGATGGACATTCTTGTGTATGTCTTTTTGTGAATTTGTGTTTTCATTTCTTCTGGTTGGGTCATAGGTTAGGTGTATGTTTAAAGAAACTATCAGCTAGGCACAGTGGCTCACGCCTGTAATCCCAGCACTTTGGGAGGCTGAAGCGGGTGGATTACTTGAGGTCAGAAGTTCAAGACCAGCCTGGCCAACATGGTAAAACCCCGTCTCTACTGAAAATACAAAAATTAGCTGGGCGTGGTGGCAGGCACCTGTAATCCCAGCTACTTGGGAGAGGCAGGAGAATGGCTTGAACCCAGGAGGTGGAGGTTGCAGTGAGCTGAAATTGCGCCACTGCACTCCAGCCTGGGCACCAGAGCAAGACTCCATCTCAAAAAAAAAAAAAAAAAAGAAGAAAAAAAAGAAACTATCAGCCGTTTCCATTGTGGTTGTACCATAACTTACCACTTTTATTGGCTACAAAGTATTTCACTGATTGGGTAGCTAATTATTTAACCAGTCCCCTATTGTCAAGCATTACGTTATTCTCAATCTTTTACCTTTATAAACAGCTTAATAATGAATATCGCTGTCTAAGCAGCTTCATGCAGATGTGTGAAAATATCTGTAGAATAACTTTACAGATGGGTGAAAGAGGGTGTACATTTGAATTTTCTATAAATACTGATAATTAGTCCTTCACATTGCTCATTACCAAATCCATTCCTACCAGTGAAATATAAGAGTGCTTGTTTTCTCATATCTGTTTGCCAAAGTTATAGGTAAAATTTTGAATGTTTTAGTTTTAATTTGTTTTTCTCTTCTGAGAATCACAATGTTGACTTTTTACTTTAGTTTCCTGGATTTATGTCACCCCTATATTTTAGATCCGTGTTTTGTTTCACCTGTACAACTTAGCTTCCTCCCAAGTCCCTTTCTATCATCTTAGACACCACCTTCAGACTAATTTTACCATGTCACTTCCCACCTAGAAAACCTTCCCTGGGGCTGGCATGGTGGCTCATGTCTGTAATCCCAGCACTTTGGGAGGCCGATGCGGGTGTATCACCTGAAGCCAGGAGTTCGAGACCAGCCTGATCAACATGGAGAAACCCCGTCTCTACTAAAAATACAAAAATTAGCCAAGCATGGTGGCGCATGCCTATAATCCCAGCTACTTGGCAGGCTGAGGCAGGAGAATCACTTGAACCCGAGAGGCGAAGGTTGTGGTGAGCCGAGATTGTGCCATTGTACTCCAGCCTGGGTGACAGGAGCGAAACTCTATCTCAAAAAAAAAAAAAAAAAAGAAAAAGAAAAAAGAAAACCTTCCCTGGATCCCCACTGTCTACTGAATAAAATCCAAAACCTGCCTCCTCACACTGAAGATCTAGTCCTTGTTTCTTACTCTTTCCTCCAAAAGATTACTGTTTACGTGCTCCAACAAAAATGAGGCTTCCCATGGGCCTCAGTCCATTGTGTACTTCCTGCCTCTATGCCTTCACACATGCGGTTCCCTCAGCCCAGAGAACCCTTTTCTCCCTCTCTACCTGTTGAATCTTATCTTGCCCAGAAACCCTGCCCAAATGCCATCTTAGCCAGAAGCCCTAACCAAATGAGACAAGATGAAAGGTCTTGCTTACCGGCACTTTCGTTTTAAACTCATTTCGATAGTATTTAATGCCAATGTCAGTGAATGTCCTCTGGATAAAGCGAGATGGACGAAGGATGAATATGAGCTGTAAGTTTCCTGGAAATGCCACCTGCAAGCATCAGGAAAAGTGTCAGGAGGAGAGAGAAAAATGTCATATTCGTTACCAGGGTCTACTTTGGTCTCCCCTTGCCCAAGATTAAGATCACAGAAGGAAAAGTTAAAACGGATGCCATGGATGTAAATTTCACCAGATTTCAGGGCTAAAAGAGACCCTAGAGGTCAGATAATCCTAACCCCTCCTAAAAAAACAAAGCAAACCAAACAAGCAAGAAAAATGTTTTCTGATTATAAAAATAATTCATATTATTTATAGAAAAATTGGGAAATTAATAAAACTATACATTAGAAAGTGAAAACTCACCCATGGGTTTTTATAGCCATACTTAATATTTCCATCTGTTCACTTATAGGATGTTTTCTCTGTTTAAATATCTTTACCATGGCTCATATTCTTAAAATATTTTGTAACCGGCCTTCTCACTTAATGTTATACCATAGGCTTTTATTCCTGTTATTAATAAATTCTTTGGAAATATTATTTTTTACGGGTGTACAATTTATTTAACCAATCCCTTATTGTTAATCATTTAGGCTTTTTGATAATTTTACTATTGTAAATAATACTGAGACGAACACCTTTATCCACATCTTGGAATATTTTCTTAGGCTAGAGTCGTAAAATAATTACTGAATCAAAGAGTTCGTATTTTAAGTATTCTTGATGTATATTATTGCTAAGTTGCTTTCAGAAAGTATCGCCCACATCGCAAGGCAAGATTCTGAGCAGGTTCATGTAATGCTTCGGGGCAGACTTAGGAACCCAGGTCTCCATGGAAACTGCCATGGCTTTCCATTCTTCCAGTGGTTCCCCCAAAGCAACCTCCTATGGGGATTTTTTTTTTCTAAATCAGGTCTTTACTCCAGACTATTTTGATTCATTAGGACTGGGATGAAATCTAGGTATCAGTATTTTCAACGAGCACCTGAAGAGATTCTGGCAGGTAGCCAGATTTGGGGATCCCTGCACTACAGCATGTTTTACATATAAAGTGATCAACGTAATTCTGGGACAAATTAGGCTCAGACATTAGATTACTCATGTATTATGTATGGACCCTGGAAAGCCAGAACTCTCTAGAGGCCAGACCTCTGGAATAGTCATGGGCATCAATCATGGCTGCAGTTATCCCAAAGATAAATCCTATATCCACAACTAAACTAAAGGGAGAAAACAATCCATGCGGCAATGGGAGGACTCTCTTCCCCATCTTTAAATGCAAGCTCCTAACAGAAGAACCTTGCGCTTTGTTGTGCCAAGACGGAAAGTATTAGCTGAGACATAATTTGTGAATTTGGATGAGGCTCTAGAGCGATCTGAGAGGGACTCCGTGTGTGTGCATGTTTGCATGTGTGACTCCTTCTGCAAGCAGGTTTAAGTGAGGTTTCAAATATCCCTCTCCTGTCCTGCTTTACCACACTACCACATCCATCCTCTTTAGCCAGTCCCAACTGCCCCAGAGGGCCTATGCTCAGGTAAAAATGCTGACTTAGCTGGCCCTAAGGTGTCTCTGCTTGTGGTGGAGTTCACAAGTCTGAGGTCCCTACAGAGGAAGGACACATCTACTTGCTGAAAGACAACAGATAGGGATCAAAATCAGACTATAAGCAAAAGGAGGCCAATCCAAGGTGATATAATTTAATGCAAATGCAAGCACACCTCCCACCATGCTACTTAAATATCATTGTGTCTGGTTTTACCATTGTCTTTCTAATATATGAATAAATAATTTGGCTAGGTGCAGTGGCTCAAGCCTGTAATCCCAACACTTTGGGAGGCTGAGGTGGGCAGATCACTTGAGGTCAGGAGTTCGAGACCAGCCTAGTCAACATGGTGAAACCCCGTCTCTACTAAAAATACACAAATTAGCCAAGCGTGGTGGTGCACGCCTGCAATCTCAGCTACTTGGGAGGCTGAGGCAGGAGAATCTCTCGAACCCGGGAGGCAGAGGTTGCAGTCAGCTGAGATTGCGCCACTGCACTCCAGCCTGGGCGACAGAGTGAGACACTGTTTCAAAAATAATAATAATACTGAAATAATAAATACTGTCTTAAATTGAATTGCCCCCAAAGCAAATCCTCAGACAAGGATTTAAGTACAGGTAGTTTGTTGGGGAAGTGATTCCAGGAAGCACGAATGAGGGAGCAGGGAGGAAGACAACAATGAATAGAGTGGCAATGTCTCAATGAGGGGGTTACTGCCGTAGGCAAAGGGGGCTGAGACCCTCTGGGATACTGTGTGGAACACACCTCAGAATTGCCCCACTGCGGATCTGGAAGCTGAGATATTTATCTACCAAATCCTTTAACTCAGTGGTTGCAGGTTACTCCCCGGGCATTAACTTTCCAGCACTCCCCAACTGCCCCTCTTCAGTGACCAGAGAAGTCAGTAAGGTAGAGAGACTTAGGAAGTCTTTGACATGCTCAGAATTGTTTGCAGGTGACCTGCAGATGGCAGAGGAGATAGGGATGTGACATAACAGCACCTGTTACAAAGACCTTCCCAAAATTTGACATAAAATAATTGCCTTTTCCCCAGGACTTTGATATGAAATAGTTGAACAGACAATTTAAATGACTTTTATAATAAAAGCACAAAAATAAATATTTACAGCTATTCGTGTCAAGGATGCCTTTACGGAGCTCCACTTGTCTCTTCGTCTGTCGATAACAACAATGAATCCAATGCTGGCAGCCTCCACACTGCAAAGAAGGGTGGTCAGTGTCAGAGATTAGGTGAGACCCATATGCTCCATGTGGCTCCCACAGCAGAATACACCCTGAAGCCTCCACAGCACTCCAGGCTCACCGTGTAAACACCCTGCACAGCACAACCAACTCCCTCTCCCAGTCTAAGCCTGGTAATCTTAACAAAATAGATACTTTGTTTCTCAGACCCACTGGAGGACTCCCTTTCTGGCTGGCAAATGCATGAAACACCAAAGGAACACGTGTTCAAGCCCAAAGGAAATATGCACGTGTCAGGTGAGCATCACATATTCCCAATGTAGGCGGAGGACCTTGAGGTTGAGCTCTGCCATCCTTCCGCTCCCAAAGCAAACATTCACAGAGCTATCAGTACAGTAACACGCTCAGCTATGAGGCTCTAGAGCAGTCTGAGAGGGAGTAATGAGAGAGGTGTTTAGAATTAACACGTCAGTGGGAAAAGCAACCCCCTGGCAGTGCCTGGCTATAAATAGGCCAATAGACAATATGCTTGAGAAGACATCATTGTCACTAAGACCAAAAGGAAGCTGTTTGGTCCCCTCTCAAGTCCTCACGAAATTCTCACAGAATCTTTCGAAAGTAGAATTCTAAAAGTGAAAACATTTTTTTTCTCTCCTTTGGGAAGAAGCACGGTACAGAGGAAAGAGCAAGGTCTTTGGGGCCTGGTTCAAACGCTAGTATTGCCACTTACTAGCAGTGACACACAGAGGAGTTCACCTAACTCTTCTAAAATCCGGTGCTCTTCTCTGTAAAATGAGAATCATATTACCAGTAATGAGATGGTTAAAAGCACAGATTCTGGAACCAACTTGACTAGATTTGAATTCTGAATTCTATTTATATATTGTGTGTGCTTTTTGGGGGTTGAGGGGTAGTTACTTAACCCCTGTAGTTTCTCAGACTCTTCGTTTGTAAATCTGAAATAATAAAATAGTATCTACCTATGAGGTTGATGTGAAGATTAAATGTGTGTGTGTGTGTGTGTGTGTGTGTGTGTGTGTGTGTGTGTGTGTGTGTATGCATATATGTACAAACATGTAAAATGCTCAGGACAACGCCTGGCACTTGGTAATACTGTATAAGCACTATTATTCTTTCTTTCTTTTCTCCACTTCTATTAAGTCTTATGTGCTTGTCACAGAGATTAAAAGAGATATAGTACATGATAAGTAGTTGGCCTATAGTAAACCTTCAATTTTGGGTAAAAGGTGGGCTTTACCCTACAAAAGTGTGTATATGTGAATGAGGCAGAAGGTCTAAGCAAAACCTGCAGGAAAACATAAGAAGCTAATCTCAGTTAAGCATCATTGGGTTAATCGATTCTCACAGCCCCATACTGACCCAGGTTATCTTGCTGAAAATTCATTTTAAAAATGAAAGTGAAATAAGGACATTTCCAGACAATAGAGGTGAGAGAATGTATTGTCATTAGATATATACTTGAAGAAATATAGGTTCAGCTGATGTTTAGGAAGACTTTCACTCCTACCAAAAACAAACAAAACACTGGTGAAGTTAAAAGCTCATATTTTTCCTTAAATATGAGAGAACTCTGAAGACAAAGAAATATAAATGAACAAATTCCAGAGAGACTTAAGACCTTCCATAGAGAGCAAATACTAGAGCAGACTTTTACATAAAGTGGTGCTTGCCTATTCTGAGAATAGGCAGGCAAATGAATGAATCTGAAGGGAAATAATCCAACATGATAACTTGATTTTTTTTTTTTTTTTTGAGACGGAGTCTCACTTTGTCACCCAGGCTGGAGTGTAGTGGCATTCTCTTGGCTCACTGCAACCTCTGCCTCCAGGGTTCAAGTGATTCTCCTACCTCAGCCTCCTGAGTAGCTGGGATTACAGGTGCCCACCACCACACCCGGCTAATTTTTGTATTTTTAGCAGAGACAGGTTTCACCATGTTGGTTAGGCTGGTCTCAATCTCCTGACCTCAGGCGATCCACCCACCTCAATCCCCAAAGTGCAGGGATTACAGGCGTGAGCCACCATGCCCAGCCCAACATAGCAACTTGAATCTGCAAGAAGAAATAGAGAGTTATGTAAATGTTATGTAAACGTTAAATATGTGAATAAGTATTATCAACTGTGTTTTTTATTTCTCTGAGGACTACTAACTAATCAAAGTAAAAATAACACAGTATTATTATAAAATAAATATGTCACAACAATAGCATGAAGAACGGAATGCAGTAAGTAAAATTACTTTTACTTACTATTAGCCAGGTGCAGTGGCTCACACCTGTAATCCCAGCACCTTAGGAGGCCAAGGCAGGAGGATCGCTTGGGCTCAGGAGTTCAAGGCCGGCCTGAGCAACAACAAGATACTATCTCTACTAAAATTTAAAAAAATTAGCCAGGCCTGGTGGTGTGTGCCCGTAGTCTCAGCTCCTCAGTAGGCTGTTCTGGGAGGATTGCTTGAGCACAAGAGATAGACTGGGCTCAAAACCAAAACAAAAACAAAACCACCACCCCCCCCAAAAAAAGTACTATTGAAACTAGTATTGGGTGAAATTAAACTATACTATTTATATTGTATATAAAGTGGTATGAAATTAATCCCAGGTAGATTGTGCTAATTCAAAAACACATACTGTGACATCAGGAAATAACTGCTAAAAACTCAATAAAGGAGATAAACAGAATACTGAAAATATTTGAATAATTCAAAAGAAGGCAGGAAAGGAGAAATAAAGGAACAAGTCACAGATTGGCAGATTAAAACCCAACCATCTTAATAATCACATTAATTGGAAATGGCCTATAACGCTCCATTTAAAAGGCAAATAGCCACGGCAAAAACATACCAAAATGTAAAGACCATCAACACTATGAAGAAACTGCATCAACTAATGTGCAAAATAATCAGTTAGCATCAGAATGACAGGATCAAGTTCACACATAACAATATTAACCTTAAGTGTAAATGGGCTAAATGCCCCAATTAAAAGACACAGACTGGCAAATTGGATAAAGAGCCAAGACCCATTGGTGTGCTGTATTCAGGAGACCCATCTCATGTGCAAAGACACACACAGGCTCAAAATAAAGGGATAGAGGAATATTTACCACACAAATGGAAAGAAAAAAAAGACAGGGGTTGCAATCCTAGTCTCTGATAAAACAGACTTTAAACAACACAGATCAAAAAAGACAAAGAAGGGAATTACATAATGGTAAAGGGATCAATGCAACAAGAAAAGCTAAGTATCCTAAATATATATGCACCCAATACAGGTGCACCCAGATTCATAAAGCAAGTTCTTAGACACCTACAAAGAGACTTAGACTCCCACGCAATAATACTGGGAGACTTTAACACCCCACAGTCAATATTAGATGGATTCAGAAAATTAACAAGGATATTCAGGACTTGAACTCAGCTCTGGACCAAGCAGACCTAACAGACATCTACAGAACTCTCCACCCCAAATCAACAGAATATACATTCTTCTCAGCACCACATAGCACTTATTCTAAAACTGACCACATAATTGGAAGTAAAACATTCCTCAGCAAATGTAAAAGAATGGGAATCATAACAAACAGTCTCTCACACCACAGTGCAATCAAATTAGAACTCAGGATTAAGAAACTCACTCAAAACTGCACAACTACATGGAATCTGAACAAACTGCTCCTGAATGACTAGTGGGTAAATAACGAAATTAAGGCAGAAAGAAATAAGTTCTTTGAAACCACTGAGAACAAAGACACAATGTACCAGAATCTCTGGGACACAGCTAAAGCAGGATTTAGAGGGAAATTTGTAGCACTAAATGCCCACATGAGAAAGCAGGAAAGATCTAAAATCAACACCCTAACATCACAATTAAAAGAACTAAAGAAGCAAGAGCAAACACATTCAAAAGTTAGCAGAAGACAAGAAATAACTAAGATCAGAGCAGAACTGAAGGAGATAGAGACCTGAAGAACCCTTCAAAAAATCAATGAATCCAGGAGCTGGTTTTGTGAAAAGATTAACAAAATAGATAGATTGCTAGCCAGACTAATGAAGAAGAAAAGAGAGAAGAAACAAATAGACACAATAAAAAGTGATAAAGGGGGTATCACCACTGATCCCACAGAAAAACAAACTACCATCAGAGAATACTATAAACACCTCTATGCAAATAAACTAGAAAATCTAGAAGAAACGGATAAATTCCTGCACACAAACACCCTCCCAAGACTAAACCAGGAAGAAGTCAAATCCCTGAATAGACCAATAACAAGCTCTGAAATTGAGGCAGTAGTTAATAGCCTACCAACCAAAAAAAGCCCAGGACCAGATGGATACACAGCCAAATTCTACCAGAGGTACAAAGAGGAGCTAGTACCATTTCTTCTGAAACTATTCCAAACAATAGAAAAAGAGGGACTCCTCCCTAGCTCATTTTATGAGGCCAGCATCATCCTGATACCAAAATCTGACAGAGACACAACAAAAAAAGAAAATTTCAGGCCAATATCCCTAATGAACATCAATGCGAAAATCCTCAATACAACACTGGCAAACTGAATCCAGCATCACATCAAAAAGCTTATCCACCACGATCAAGTCGGCTTCATCCCTGGGATGCACTCAACATATGCAAATCAATAAATGTAATCCATCACATAAACAGAACCAAAGACAAAAACCACATGATTATCTCAATAGATGCAGAAAAGCCCTTCGATAAAATTCAACACCTTTATGCTAAAAACACTCCATAAAGTAGGTATTGATGGAACATATCTCAAAATAATAAGAGCTATTTATGACAAACCCACAGCCAATATCATACTGAATGGGCAAAGCTGGAAGCATTCCCTTTGAAAACTGGCACAAGACAAGGATGCCCTCTCTCACCACTCCTATTCAACATAGTATTGGAAGTTCTGGCCAGGGCAATGAGGCAAGAGAATGAAATAAAGGGTATTCAAATCGGAAGAGAGGACATCAAATTGTCTCTGTTTGCAGATGACATGATTGTATATTTAGAAAACTCCATAGTCTCAGCCCAAAAACTCCTTAAGCTGATAAGCAACTTCAGCAAAGTCTCAGGATACAAAATCAATGTGCAAAAATCATAAGCATTTCTATTCACCAACAATAGACAGAGAGCCAAATCATGAGTGAATTCCCATTCACAACTGCTACAAAGAGAATAAAGTACCTAGAAATACAACTTACAAGGGATGTGAAGGACTTCTTCAAGGAGAACTACAAATCACTGCTCAAGGAAATAAGAGAGGACCCAAACAAATGGAAAAACATTCCATGCTCATGGATAGGAAGAATCAATATCATGAAAATGGCCATACTGCCCAAAGTAATTTATAGATTTACTGCTATTCCCATCAAGCTGCCATTGACTTTCTTCACAGAATTAGAAAAAACTACTTTAAATTTCCTATGGAACCAAAAAAAGAGCCCGTATAGCTAAGACAATCCTAGCCAAAACAAAGCTGAAGGCATCATGCTACCTGACTTCAAACTATATTACAAGGCTACAGTAACCAAAACAGCATGGTACTAGTACCAAAACAAATATATAGACCAATGGAACAGAACAGAGGCCTCAGAAATAACGCCACACATCTACAACCATCTGATCTTTGATGAACCTGACAAAAACAAAGCAATGGGGAAAGGATTCCCTATTTAATAAATGGTGTTGGGAAAACTAGCTAGCCATATGCAGAAAACTGAAACTGGACCCCTTCCTTACAACTTATACAAAAATTAACTCAAGATGGATTAAAGGCTTAAACATAAGACCTAAAACCATAAAAACCCTAGAAGAAAACTTAGGCAATACCATTCAGGACATAGGCGTGGCAAAGACTTCATGACTAAAATACCAAAAGCAATTGCCACAAAAGCCAAAATTGACAAATGGAATCTAACTAAACTAAACAGCTTTGGCACAGCAAAGAAACTATCATCAGAGTGAACATGCAACCCACAGAATGGTAGAACATTTTTGCAATCTATCCATCTGACAAAGGGCTAATATCCAGAATCTACAAGGAACTTAAACAAATTTACCAGAAAAAAACAACCTCATCAAAAAGTGGGTGAAGGATATGAACAGACACTTCTCAAAAGAAGACATTTATGTGGCCAACAAACATATGAAAAAAAGCTCATCATTGCTGGTCATTAGATAAATGCAAATCAAAACCACAATGAGATACCATCTCACACAAGTTAGAATTGTGATCATTAAGAAATCAGGAAACAACAGATGCTAGAGAGGATGTGGAGAAATAGGAACGCTTTTACACTGTTGGTAGGAGTGTAAATTTGTTCAACCATTGTGGAAGACAGTGTGGCAACTCCTCAAGAATCTAGATCCAGAAATACCATTTGACCCAGCAATCCCATTACCGGGTATATACCCAAAGGATTATAAATCATTCTACTATAAAGACACATGCACAAGTATGTTTATTGCAGCACTGTTTACAATAGTAAAGACCTAGAACCAACCCAAATGCCCATCAATGATAGACTGGATAAAAAAAATGTGGTTCATATACACCATAGAATACTATGCAGCCATAAAAAAAGAACGAGTTCATGTTCTTTGCAGGGACATGGATGAAGCTGGAAACCATCATTCTTAGCAAACTAACACAGGAACAGAAAACCAAACACCACATGTTCTCACTCATAAATGGGAAGTGAACAATGAGAACACATGGACACAGGGAGGGGAACATCACACACCAGGACCTGTCAGTGGGTCGGGGGTCGGGTAGGGGGGGCGAGGGGAGGGAGAGAATTAGGACAAATACCTAGTGTAGATGATGGGTTGATGGGTGCAGCAAACCACCATGGCACATGTATACCTATGGAACAAACCCGCTCATTCTGCACATGTATCCCAAAACTTAAAGTATAATAATAAATAAATAAATTTTTAAAAAGGCAAGTAGAGACGGAGTAAATACACTGCTTACAAAAGATACACTTTTGTGTATGAGGAGAGAGTTAGATTGAAAGAAAAGGGTAGTAAAACATACACCATGCTATCACTAGTCATAAGAAAGCCAATGTGGCTATGTGAATATTTTTCAAAGTAGTATTTATGACAAGGAGTATCGGCAGAGATAAGTTATTCATAAATATAAAAGGGCCTTTTTATCAGGAAGACATAAGAATCCTAAATGTCTA
This sequence comes from Homo sapiens, assembly GCF_000001405.40. Lineage (NCBI taxonomy): Eukaryota > Metazoa > Chordata > Mammalia > Primates > Hominidae > Homo > Homo sapiens. The sequence continues at coordinate 183,348,837 of NC_000003.12, forward strand.
AGCGTACAATAACATTGCCCCAAAGACACAAAGCAAAAATGGGTAGAACTAAAAGAAAAACAGATAAATCCACAAAGTTTGAGATTCTAGTATTCCTCTCTCAGTAATTCATAGAACAAGCAGCCAAAAATTAGTAAGAACATAGACCCGACTTGGAAGAACACAACATCTAGCAATGCAGACGATATTCTTTTCAAATGCTCATGGAATATTTAACAAGATAGACCATTGTCTGGGTCATAAAGCAAGTATCAACAAATTTTACATGATGCTAATCATAGAGGGTGCACTTCTGATCACCATGGAATTAAACTGGAACTCTACTATTCCTCTCTTTTCTATTTCATTTATCTTTGGTTCTTTTTATTTTCCTTTACAATTTCCTTCCTTTTGTTTTCTTTGGGTTTCTTATTCTCTTTTCAAACTTCTTAAGGTATAAGATTAGAGCACTGACTTTAAGCCTTTCTTCTTCTCCAATATAAGTATTTCAAGTTACAATTTCTTCCTAAGCACTACTTTTATCTATATCACATGAATGTTGACATACTGTTTTTGTTATTGCTCGGTAAAAATGTTTTCTCACTTCCTTTGTGATTTTTTTCTTTGATTCATAGGTTATATAGAGGTGGTTGCTTAGCTTCCGAATGTTACTGGGCACTGATCATAGGGGACACAGAATGAGCAAAACAGTTCTGCTGCACTAGCAAAAACGTGTGAACGTCAAACACAACAACAATCATTCTAGATAGTCATAGCTGCTATTTATTGAGTTCCTATCATTTGTCAGACTTATTTGTTTTCTGTCTCACTTAACCTAACGAAACAGATGTTATCTCCTTTTAACAGCAGAAGAAACCAAGGCTGATAGAACAGAATAACTTGCCTGATATCACACTAGCAAGCCTGGCTTTCAGACTCAGCTGTCTGATACTGATGCTCTTCACCCTATTCCACTGCTCCCCTTCCACTGTTTTTTTCACAGCAAACCTGCTTGTACCTTGTGGCAGCTTGATTTTGTATATTTTGCTGCTCCTTTTTTTTTTCTTTTCTACTTGAACCACGTAATCATTGAAGGAAGTTCTAAGGGAGCCACCAGGACTCTTAAACAAGGTGAAGCTGGGAGAGGCTTAGCAAATATTAGATCGTTTATAAACACAGGCTATTCTTTCACCTATGAAATAAGCAGCTGCTGGCATATATGGTCTCCCCGGCCAAACTGAGGGCAAATGTTCCTCAGAACAAGACTCCTCTTCGCTCCACACAGACTAAGACCCAACCAGAGCATCTGGGTAAATGGAGTGTGGGATCTGCTGGAAAAATACCTGTGAACAGAAAGAGCTGTGTCTCCTGACATAATTGTATATAGGCCACAGTTCAGAAAGAGACAAGGAATCACGACAATGACTTTAAATCATCCTCCCATAAGGTATACATGCTAGACAACACTCAGTAATGACTGCTGGGGTGGGATTTTTTTTTTTCACCCTCTCTTATTCAACAAAGGTATGAAAACGTCAACTAAACCAAATGCACAGGAAATGGGGTTTCTGGCCAATGTATTTCTTAAGGTAACACTTGGTTTTTACCCCTCTTGTTCTTTTTAACACCAAAGCCCTATGATGTGTCAGACACCTGCACAAATACTCTTTGATATGATTGTCATACTCGCTCTATGAGGTTGGTGATAACATTTTCATTTAATAGACAAGGAAACTAATCCTCAAGAATGCTTCGAAAAATAACTTGCAAAAGTCACACCCTATATGCAGAGTTAAGAGTCATTAGAGGCCGGGCGCGGGGGCTCACGCCTGTAATCCCAGCACTTTGGGAGGCCGAGGCAGGTGGATCACGAGGTCAGGAGATCGAGACCATCCTGTCTAACACGGTGAAACCCTGTCTCTACTAAAACTACAAAAAATTAGCTGGGCGTGGTGGCGGGCGCCTGGAGTCCCAGCTACTCCAGAGGCTGAGGCTGGAGAATGGTGTGAACCCGGGAGGCGGAGCTTACAGTGAGCCCAGATAGCGCCACGGCACTCCAGCCTGGGCGACAGAGCGAGACTCCGTCTCAAAAAAAAAAAAAAGAGTCATTAGAAGTCTTCAGACTCCAAGACCAATGCTCATGCCACAAAATTCATTATGTCTTGTTATAGAAAATATTGTAACACTATACTCCTTCATTTTCCAATCTTAGTAACTCCTCTGTCACAAATGTAATTGAACTTTTGATGAGTCACACCTGATATTCTGAAAATCACTAAATATAAATATGTAAGTATAAGAGATTGAGGTAAATATGTTCTGATCCCAAAATAGCAAAGAAGCATTGTGGTGTGTGTGATATTTATTTTCTTAAGTATATATATATATATATATATATATATATATATATATATATATATATTTATTTATTTATTTATCAGAACCCCAGGGCTCAAGCAATCCTCCCATCTCAATCCTCCCATCTCACCCTCCCAAGTAGCTGGGACTACAGGTCATATCACTGTGCCAGGCTAGCTCTGATGTTAATATACTTTCCTATGATTTGCCTTTTTTGGTAAGCAAGGTATAGAAAATATTTTGGTCAATTGAAATTTTATTGCATTGCCATCAGAACTGAGTCAAATGTAGGGTGACAAACCATCCTGTTTGTCTAGCACTGAGAAGTTCCTGGGACACATTATTTTCAGTGCTAAAAACAACAGTCTCAGGAAAATCAGGACAATTGGTAACTCTGATTCAAATACCTAATTCCAAGCACTAATATGATTGTCATAGATATACTGCACATGGGGCTTCTTACTGGAAGAAATCAAACTACTATTCAGGACTGTCTATGTTTGCTGATGGTTACACTGTGAACTTAAGCAAATTTAGGAATTCCCTCTTGAATGGCAGTGCCCAGAGTTGTTCCTGGTATAGGAGATAAGATGATTAGCCTATGTCTTTTTAAATTTATTAGTCTAATTCAGAAATAAAGTATCCATAATGCTTTCTAGTCTTGTGGCATTCTTTTGGCACCTTCATCTGCAAAATGGTGGGGGCTAACAGAAGCTCATCTCAAGCCCTCCTTCCAATTTTAACATTCTATGATTTACTGATTCTGTATAGTGACTTCAAGTCGCTAGGGACCATGGATATGCTTCTACAAATTCAGTTGAATTGGGTTGATCATTTTTATAGGGTTTGGAAGATATGATAAGATACAACCAAATTAAGAATGGAAGACATATGGGATGATTTTGTCGATCTCTCAAGTACTTCAGCATCTTCATCATACTTTCTCTCTCATCTGACCTCATCTTATCTTTTGCTATTTTCTTCAATGCCTCATCCTGAGTGGAAAGTCACTCTCCATGTTCTATGTAGGAGAACTAGCATCTTCACTTAGAATGGACTAAAGGTGAAGCCGGGCGTGGTGGCTCACACCTGTAATCCCAGCACTTTGGGAGGCTGAGGCGGGCAGATCATCTGAGGTCAGGATTTCGAGACCAGCCTGGCCAACATGGCAAAACCCCATCTCTACTAAAAATGAAAAAATTAGCCGGGCATGGTGGTGCGTGCCTGTAATCCCAGCTCCTCAGGCAGCTGAAGCAGGAGAATTGCTTGAACCCCAGAGGCAGAGGTTGCAGTGAGCTGGGATTGTGCCACTGCACTCCGGCCTGGGCGATAGAGAGAGACTTTGTCTCAAAAAAAAAGAACGGACTAAAGGCTGAGACTCTAATGTTTTCTGTGGTATAATGGCAAGTCCCTGCCCAAGCCAATGGAGAGAAGCAGACGTGCTTCCACTGCACAGGAAAGCCAGCAAAGAACAGCGCTTTGAGGGACATCAGTAGCTCTTGAGTAAAAAAAGAGAGAATCTGCAGAGCAACCAATGGCAGGGTATACCCCTCCTCACTTCCCTTCTGGATCCTGATTTCAACTAACTTATTAGAAAAAAGGATACTTGGAGATATATGAAAAATGACTGAACTATTTGGTTATATTAAAGTATATTTTGTGATGTGATGATTGTATTATCATTATGTTTTAAAAAGAACCTCTGTCTTGTAGAAATGCATGCTGAAATATTTGTAGGCAAAATCTACTCTTTAGATAATAACTTAACCATTTCAACCAATTACCAATCAGAAAATGTTCGATATGTTATCCGCTTCGAGGTAACGATGAGAAGGAACATGGGTGGAGACACACATGAAACAGATTGTCCATGAGTTGGTAATTGTTGAAGCTGGGTGATAGAAACATAGGTGTTTATTATACTAGTCTGTTGGCTTTCGCAAATGTTTAAATTTTTCTGTAGTTTCCATTTAAAAAATTTAAAAATTAAAAAAAACCCAAAGCCTCTTAAGTGATTCATGAATAAACAATGTAGAGTTATAGAAAACTGAAGCTTTAGGAATCAGCTACACTCATTCATAGAAAAGACCATATTTAGAGGATACTTCCGCTTTACAGAAGGAAGAAACATGGTCAATGCCTTAGTTCCGTGCTTTAATAATGAAGGAATCCCCTTCCACATCCCTGCAAGATGCCCACCCAGTTCCACCAGACACATCCAGTAATGGGATGTATTAGCCCGTTCCCGCACTGCTATAAAAATATATCTGAAGCTGGGTAATTTATTTTTTAAAAAGAGTTTTAATTGGTTCACGGTTCTGCAGGCTATATGGGAAGCATGGCTGGGGAGGCTTCAGGAAACTTACAATCACAGTGGAAGGCAAAGCGGGGCAGGCACGTCTTATCGTGCCTGGAGCAGGAGGAAGAGAGTGAGGGAGGAGGTGCCACACAATTTTAAACAACCAGATCTTGTGAGGACTCTATCACAAGAACAGCACCAAAGGGGAAATCTGCCCCCATGATCCATTCATCTCCCACCAGGCCCCACCTCCAACACGGGATTACAACTTGACCTGAGATTCGGGCAGGGACACAAATCCAAACCATATCCAGGGCCTCCACTGCCTCCAAGCCAACGTAATTCTCTGCTAGGGTGTCCAGAAAATAAGGCAGCCCTTTCCCCATATTCAGTCAAATATTCCTTTCTATAGAGCTTCCACATTTCAGATTCCATCCTCTCACCACACTTTTTTTTTAATAGGAAGAGGAGTAGGTGTAAACCAAAAATAAAATTCTAAGCTCCCCAACCAACTGAATGGACCCTTCTTCTTGGCCAAGTGGATTTCAAAGAAACCTAAAAAACTAGTTCAGGCCATAACAGAAAGCGGGGTCAGACTTGCCTCATTATACCCTCTTCCCTTTGGAATTCAGGCTCAAATGTCCAGCATTAACATTAAAAGAGATCTTAAGACTAACACAACAGATTCTTTATAGCAATAAGATGCCAAGTTCCAACCTGACTCTAGTACAGCGTCACATGACAGCAGGCCCTGAAAGAAATAGAATTATTTTTTCTGCAAAATATATTTCTTTGCCATATTTTGAAATGATCCCGCAAAGCTGTCTCTTGTGGGGAAAATCTACATTCTGCAGAGAATCCCCTTCCCTTTCCAGGTCTTTTCCTGATCCAGGAGAGAGATTTAACTGAGAGTCTGGCACCTTTTACGGTCTGATAAGGGACATTTACCATCTATTCTCTCTAAAGCCTGCTACATACCAAGAACCTTGGCTTCCACAACCTGCACCCTCCCACCCCACCCCACTTATCTTAACCCCCAGCATTTCTTTCTGCTGACTTCTACTCTTTAGATAATAACTTAACCATTTCAACCAATTACCAATCAGAAAATGTTTGAATCCACCTATGATCTGTAAGTCTCTCACCCAGTGGTTCAAGTTTTCAAGTTGTCTCACCTTTCTGGACCAAACCAATGTACATCTTACATGTATTGATTGTTGTTTGCCTGTAACTCCTGTCTCCCTAAAATGTATAAAATCAAGCTATTACCCAATGACCTTGGGCACATGTTCTTAGGACCTCCTGAGGCTGTGTCATGGCGTCGTGGTCCTTACATTTGGCTCAGAATAAAGTTCTTCAAATATTTTACAGAGTTTGGCCCTTTTGAGTCAACATAGGTATGTTACTGATCAATAACGTAGTCCCTATAAGCATGCAAAGGGAATAAATCCATCATGAATGCATGAATAAATACAGAAATAAATGTAAGAATTAAAGCATGTTTCCAGGTCTTTGTACTGTGTGAAGTGATATAAAATAATTGTTTAAAGCACTGGCATAAAATGCTTCTATTTATTTTAATAATATTATTTATTATTCATTATATTATTTATTATTTATTTTATTTTATTTTCATAAGTCTAATGGATCCCATCCCCTCCACACACTCCACCACAACTTTCTTTACATGATATTGATTTCTAGAATTTACATGAAATGTTTGAAAATGAAAAAAACTAGGGGATTGTGAGGAGGAAGCAAGAGACAGGTAATGTCACTAGAAAAGGATCAGATCTTGTTGCTTGTGGATATGAATGAATTCCTCTTTCTAAGGATACTGACCTTAGAAAATGGAGGGGAAAATGCTTGAAGGCCTCTTAGAGGCAACTCCAACACAGTCTTACTCTTTCAGTAGAGGGGGGCAGAAAGCAGGAATAGCAAAATAATTACTTAGCTACCATAATCAACAATTCCTTTCCTTTTTTTTTTTTTTGAGACGGAGTCTCGCTCTGTCGCATAGGTGGAGTGCCGTGGCGCGATCTCGGCTCACTGCAAGCTCCGCCTCCCGGGTTCACACCATTCTCCTGCCTCAGCCTCCCGAGTAGCTGGGACTACAGGCGCCCGCCACCACGCCCAGCTAATTTTTTTTTTTTTTTTTTTTTTTTTGGTATTTTTAGTAGAGACAGGGTTTCACCGTGTTAGCCAGGATGGTCTTGATCTCCTGACCTCGTGATCCGCCTGCCTCGGCCTCCCAAAGTGCTGGGATTACAGGCGTGAGCCACCGCACCCGGCCATCAACAATGCTTTTCAAGTCCACACCAGTCACCTGAGGGTCCTGTTAAACATAGCAATTTCAAGTCATGAAGCTAGGGGTGATGCCCCAGATTCTGCATTTCTGACAGGCTTCCAGGTGATGTTCATTCTGGGGCCTCACTTGGAGTGACTAGGGCAGTGGGCCCCTCCTTCCCCCCTCCCCTCCCCTTGTGAATAAAGAGCAGCTGGCTGTAGCATTTGCCCCATCTGCAGCCTTGCAAACCTCTTCCTTCACAAAGTAGATTTGCCAGGACAGTGCCTAGGCTATAGGAGTTGAAGCTAAGGAGGAGGAAGAGCAGTGCCTGAAGAAACTTCAGACCATATGCAAGAAAGACTCAAAAGAAGAATACAAAGAGCAGGTCTTTCTAGAAATAAAATTGACTTAAAAAAAAAAAAAAAACTCTGCCTCTAGAGCAAAGTACTCTTTATTATAAAAAAAAAAAGTATTGCCGGGCATTGTAGCTCACACCTGTAATCCCAGCACTTTGGGAGGCCAAGGCAGGCTGATCACGAGGTCAAGAGATTGAGACCATCCTGGCCAACACGGTGAAACCCTGTCTCTACTAAAAATATAAAAATTAGTTGGGCGTGGTGGCATGCACCTGTAGTCCCAGCTACTCAGGAGGTTGAAGCAGGAGAATTGTTTGAACCCGGGAGGCAGAGGTTGCAGTGAGTCGAGATTGCGCCACTGCACTCCAGCCTGGCAACAGAGCAAGACTCCGTCTCAAAATAAATAAATAAATAAAATAAAAGTATTGCCTACTCCCTAATCAAGCATCCCTAAAGGAAAATCTATTTATAGGACCCACTCACTGTTGCAGAGTCTACTGACCTCAATTTCCTCCCATTCAAGTGCAAGTACCTTGGTTAAACAGAGCTACCCAATTGCAAAGGAAATCCAAGTCAGATAATTATATTTACAACATAACCCTTCAAAAATATAAAAAGGCAACCAAAGATCTTCTGAATTGAATAAAAGCAAAGCATCAAAGAGAAAGACTGAGGTGAACAAACAGAACAGCCAATCTAGAAACAATGAAAACAACTACAAAAAAGTTTATATTTTTTCTAGTCAGTAATCTCAGACTGTTGAAAGAATACTCCATCCATAAAACAAGAATACACTCTTATGAAAAGGGAGCAATGGGAGAATAAGAAATAGTTCTCAGAAATTAAACATATGATGCTAGAACCTAAAAATGTATAGAAGAGTTTTTGAAAAATGCACATGGCTGATAACAAATCAGTGATCTGAGATAACTGATTAGTCATCTAGTAATGAAAGCATTAGTGATCTGAAATCAGTGATTTGAAGTTTATCAAAAATAAAACAGAGGGACTTCTGGGTAGCTGAGCAAAATCTGAATTGTCACATATCCTCTCAGAACCATGCAGATAAACCAAAAGAACAAATAGGGCCACACAAATCCCATGCCTTGAGAATAACTAGAAGATTAAGAACACTACAAACTTCAAGCTACTTATAAACATTTTTAAAAAAACAAGCAAGATACTAATTTTCAACAGAACTACTTCTTGAGCTCCTGCTACTAGCTTTTGCAGCGATCTAAGGAGTGCTAAGAGAAGAGGCCATTGAGATAAAACTACTCACAGGAAAAACAAAACAAAACAAAAAGAGTCCACTTTAAGTGCAAAGATACAGGTCAATCATCCTTAATCCAAAGATCCAAAATCCAAAATCCTCCCAAATCTGAAACTTTTTCAGCACTGACGTGACACCAAAAGTGGAAAAACCCAACACCTGACTTCATGTAACAACTTGCAGTTAAAACGCAAGCATACGACACACCATTTATTCCATGTCCTCAAGGGGAAAAAGACTGTCCGGCCCTGTTCAGCTGCAGTGTATCTTTTCCATGCACACCCTGACTCCCCTATGCAAGCACGCCCATGAAGGGTAATAAAATGGCATGTGTACAGGCCAGATGCATCAAAGGCAGGTTCCCCAATGCTCTGCATGGGACCAAGACCTACAAGTAATACTCACTGTGGTTTTCCACTTATTCTCTTCTCCATGATGTAAAGATATTTTTCAAAATGTCCAGAAAAAAAAAAAAAGGCCGGCAGACACCCCTATGAGTAACAGTGATAAGAAAAAGAGGAAGCTTATGTTTATCTATAGCACAGAAATTCAAGCTGTTGGAGAAACTGGACAGCAGCATAAGTGAGAAACATCTTACAGAAGAGTATGGTATTAGTGGCCGGGTGCCGTGGCTTACACCTGTAATCCCAGCACTTTGGGAGGCCGAGAAGGGCAGATGACCTGAGGTCAGGAGTTCAAGATCAGCCTGGCCAAGATGGTGAAACCCCTTCTCTACTAAAAAAATACAAAAAATTATCTGGGCATGATGGCGGGCACCTGTAATCCCAGCTACTTGGGAGGCTGAGGCAGGAGAATCACTTGAACCTGGGAGGGGCAGAGGTTGCAGTGAACCAAGATCCCACCATTGCACGCCAGCCTGGGCAATGAGAGCGAAACTCTGTCACAAGAAAAATAAATAAATAAGAAAAAAAAGAAAAGAAAAAGAAGAGTGTGGTGTTAGAATGCATACCATATATGACCTAAAGATACAGAAAGATAAACTGTTGATGCTCCATGCTAAAAGTGATGAACAGAAATGAACAAAAAATACAAAAACACTACATAAAGTTAAAAATGAATCTCTTGATCATGTATCGAAAGAGTAGATCCATCAGCACTGCAGTGAACTTGTGCAACTTAATGGTGTGCCGCTCATGAAACAAGGAAAAATCTATCACAATGAACTGAAAATTGAAGGGAAGTGTGAATATTCAACAGGTTGGTTACGGAAAATTTTTTGTTGTTGTTCAGAAACAGGATCTCATTCTATCTCTCAGGCTGGAGTATAGTGGCTTGATCACAGCTCACTGCAACCTCGAACTCCAGGGCTCAAGCAGTTCTCCCACCTCAGCCTCTCGAGTAGCTGGGACTACAGGCATGTTCCACCACCTCCAGTTAATATTTTTTTTTTATCTTTGTAGAGACAGGGTCTTGCCGTGTTGCCCAGGCAGGTCTTGAACCCCTCAAGTAATCCTTCTGCCTTGGCCTCCCGAAGTGCTGGGATTACAGGGTATGATTACTACCATGCCTGGCCCAGAAATATAAGAAAAGATAACATTAAATGTTAAAAGATAAAGCATCTGCTGATCATGAAGCAGTGGAAAAGTTCATTGGGTTTTTTTTTTTTTTCTGTTTTTCTTAAATTCTAAATCTTTACTGAAGCAGTGCAGAAATTCATTGACAAGTTTGCCAAGGTCACTGCTGATGAAAATTTGATGCCAGAATAAGCCTGGGATGCTGATGAAATATCACTGTTTTGCACTATTCCCCCAGAAAGACATTGACTGCACTGATGAGACAGCCCTTACAGGAATTAAGGATGTCAAAGACAGAATAACTGTGCTGGGATGTGCTAACACAATAGGCACTCAGAAGGCAAAAGCTCGTGTGCTCACTGCTTTCACAGAGTGAATTTCTTACCAGTCCATTACTATACTAACAAAAGGTCATGGATCACCAGGGACATCCTTTCTGATTCGTTTCACAAAGATTTTATACCAGTGGCTCATGCACTCTGCAGGGAAACTGGACTGAATGATGACTGAAAGATTTTCTTATTCTTTAACAACTGTTCTGCTCACACTCCAGCTGAAATTCTCATCAAAAATAACATTTACTGTCTATGGCCATATCACCTTGAACACACCTGAACTCATCTGATTTCAGAAAAATAATGTTTATGTCATGTATTTTCCCCCAAATGTGACTACATTAATTCAGCCATGAACAAGGTACCCTTAGGTCGATGAAAATAAATATATAAACACTTTCTTGAACAGCATGCTAGCAGCAGTAAACTCAGTAAACTAAGGCACGGGTGTGGAGGTTTTCAAACAGAGTTTAGCATGAAGGGTGCCATATAGGCTGTTGTCAACGCTTGGAACACAGTGACTAAAGACACAGTTTTGCACCAAGACCTGACACAACCTCTGGCCTGTTCAGTGATGATGATGAATAAGGTGGGGACTTTGAAGAATTCCACATGTCAAGTGAGGAAACAATGATGTCTAACCTTCTTACATGTGCAAAAGATGTATCTTCAGAGTCCATCACGAAGCTGGAAAACGTGGGTATTGAAATTTTTAACATTGATTATGAGGCTCCAATTGTTCATTCATTAACCAATGATGAAATAGCCAAAATGGTTCTGAATCAAGCCGATTGTGATAATAGTGATGGTAAAGACGATGCTGTTAACACTGCAGAAAAACGTGCCTAGAAGACACGGTGAAAATGTGTAATGGGCTTATTGAAGGACTACAGCAGCTGCATTCACAACAGAACAAGAAATTATGCCAGTTTACAAAATCAAAGAGAGCTTCTAAGATAAAACCCACTGTTAATGAGGCAGATGACTCTGGAGGAAACATTTTAAAAAGCCATCCAGGCCAGATTGGGGTAGAAGGGGGTGGCTCATCCCTGTAATCCCAGAACTCTGGGACTCTGAGGCAGGAGGGTCACTTGAGCCCAGGAGTTCATGATCAGCCTGGGCAACAGAACGAGATACTGTCCCCACACAAAAAATTAAAAATTAGCTGAGCATGGTGGCATGCCTGTAGTCCTAGCTACTTGGGAGGCTGAAGTAGGAGGATTGCTTGAGTCCGGGAGTTCAAGGCTGCAGTTAGCTATGATCATGCATGCAACTGCACTCCAGCCTGGGTGACAGAATGAGAACCTGTCTCAAAAAAAAAAGCCATTTGAGAGAATGTCTCCTCATCCTTAGAGGATCCACTTCTTCCTGTGCCTTCAACTACTTCTGATGTTTCTTCTCACCTAGAAAAATAACATACAGTGTACTAGGCCAGGCGTGGTGGGTCACTCCTGTAATCCCAGCACTTTGGGAGGCTGAGGTGGGTGGATCACCTGAGGTCAGGAGTTCTAGACCAGCCTGGCCAACATGGTGAGACCTCATCTCTACTAAAAATAGAAAATTAGCCGAGTGTGGTGGCGCATGCTTATAATCCCAGCTACTCATGAGGCTGAGGCAGGAGAATCGTTTGAATCCGGGAGGCAGAGGTTGCAGTGAGCTGAGATAGCACCTCCAGCCTGGGCAAGAAGAGTGAAACTCAGAAAAGAAAAGAAAAGAAAAGAAAAGAAAAGAAAAGAAAAGAAAAGAAAAGAAAAGAAAAGAAAAGAGAAAAGAAAAGGAAGAAAGGAAAGGAAAGGAAAGACCAGATAAGACAGAAGAGAAGACAAGACAAGACAAGACAAGACAAGAAAAGAAAAAAGAAAAAGAAAAGAAAAAGGAAAAGAGACAGGAAGAGAGCGAAGGGAAGGAAGGAAGGAAAGAAGGAAGGAAGGAAACACATAATGTACAATAACCTTTTAATCAAAACATGGCATCATAGGTGGAAACTGAAAGCCTGCTGTTGTTTGTCCTTGTTGCTGTTGTTTAACAGCAGATACAAGAATGCTGGTAATGCTACTGTACTGCTTAGTTACTGATATGGTTTGGCTCTGTGTTCCCACCTAAATCTCATGTGGAATTGTAATCCCCAATGTTGAGAGAGGGACCTGGTAGGAGGTGATTAGATCATGGGGGCAGATTTCCCCCTTGCTGTTCTCATGACAGTTAGTGAGTTCTCATGAGATCTGATGGTTTAAAAGTGTGTGGCACCTCCCCTATCACTCTCTCTCTCCTGCCGCCATGGTAAGGCATGCTTGCTTCCCCTTCGCCTTCCACTGTGATTGTAAGTTTCCTGAGGCCTCCCAGCCATGCTTCCTGTACAACCTGTGGAAATGTGAGTCAATTAAACCTCCTTTCTTCATAAATTAACCAGTCTCAGGTAGTGCTTTATAGCAGTGTGAGAACGGACAAGTACAGTTACTCTGAACACATTATTTGTTTTTGCTCTAATAATGGCATGTCTTATTATTTACTATTAAATACTTAAGTGTGAATAAGTATAAGATAATAGCTGTTTATCAGTAGCATGTAAGTTCAGATTCAAGAATAACAGTGATGCCAAACAAGCACAGACTGTCCACATGGGTGGCTGAGAGAGTGACATCTTTGCTTTCTGATGGATCAATGTATACAAACTCTGTTTCATGCACAAAATTATTTAAAATAGTGTATAAAATTACCTTCAGGATATATGTATGTGAAATATAAGTCAATCGTGTGCTTAGACTTGGGTCCCATCCCCAAGATATCTCATTAGGTATACGCAAATATTCCAAAATCTGAAAACATCTGAAATACTTCTTGTCTCAAGAACTTTTTTTTTTTTTGAGTTGGAGTATTGCTCCATCACCCAGGCTAGAGTGCAGTGGTGTGATCTCAGCTCACTGCAACCTCCACCTCCTGGGTTCAAGCAATTCTCCTGCCTCAGCCTCCTGAGCAGCTGGGACTACAGGTGCACACCACCACACCCGGTTAATTTTTGTATTTTTAGTAGAGATGGACTTTCACCACCTTGGCCAGGCTGATCTGGAACTCCTGACCTCGTGATCCACCTGCCTCGGCCTCCCAAAGTGCTGAGATTACAGGCGTGAGCCACCACACCCAGCCTCTTGTCTCAAGAACTTTGGAGAAGAGATAATCTGTACTGAAAAAGAGTTCCAGAGCATCAGGGCACTGACTAGAGAAGGAATCAAAGAGGCATTCTTGGAAAGGCATAGCTTCTGGGAGAGAAAATGAAAAGAAAAGCAAGACAGTGGCTGTCTGGTAAAGGCAAAAAGAAGTAATAGGTACAATTTAGCATCTTACAGGATTAAAAAAAAAAAAAGATGAGGATACAAATCCCTTCCCTTAACCTCTGAAAAAAAAGTTTTTAAGGCCATCTATCAAAGAAACTATGTTTAGATACACTAACAGAAGATGATATATCTTGAACTAGAAATCTTGTAAACCACCCCAAACCACCAGCCCTGTCAATTAAACGCAAGATGCAAGCAGTAGTCATCTACATAAAGCTACTATAAGGAAGAAAAAAAGAAAATTGGAATAAAAAATGTTTACTTTCAGTAGAATAAGAAGACGACACATTTCTTTACGTCTTTATATCTTATAAAGAAATGTTATCTAAAATATACAAAGAACTGTTAAAACTCAACAATAAGAAAATGAACAACCCAATTTAAAAATGGGCAAAAGACCTAAACAGCACCTTACTAAAGAAGATTTACAGATGACAAATAAACATATGAAAAGATGTTCAACATCATATGTCATTGGGGAATTGCAAATTAAAACAACAATGAGATACTACCATATATATATTAGAAAAATCAAAATCCTAAATATTGACAACACCAAATTCTGGCAAAGAGCAACAGGAACTCTCGTTCACTGCTGGTGGGAATGCAACACGGCACAGCCACTTTAGAAGACAGTTGGGCAGTTTCTCACAAAACTACACATGCTCTTACCATAACAAAACTACACATACTCTTACCATAAGATCCATTAATTTTGCTCTTTAGTATTTACCCAAATGAGCCAGAGATGTATATAAACACAAAAACCTGCACACAGATGTTTATAGAAGCTTTATTCATAATTGCCAAAACTGAAAATACTCATGATGCAGACGAATGGAAAAACAAACTGTGGCATGCCAGATACTGGAATATTATTTAGCACTAAAAAGAAATGAGCTTTAAGCCATGAGAAGACATGGAAAAACTTAAATACGTATTACTAAGTTTGAGACCAGCGTGGGCAACATAGGGAGACCCCAACTCTACAAAAAAATAATTAGCCAGGCATAATGGTGCATGTCTGTAGACCCAGCTACTCAGGAGGCTGAGGTGAGAGAATCACTTGAGCTCAGGAAGGTCGAGGCTGTAGTGAGCCATGATTGCGCCACTTTTGAGACCCTGTCTCAAAAGCAGGTAGAAAGAAATACACTTTAAACAGGAGATTTTAATATACTACTTTAAGTACAAGACAGAGCAAAGAGACAATATATCAGTAAAGTTATAAAAGACCTACACGACATAATCAATAAGGAAGATATAATGAATATGTCTTCAGCTTTACATGCCAGTAACAGAGGATTCACCATCTTCTAAAGTACACATGGAACATCCACAGAAATTGATCACAATGTAAGGCCACAAAGAAAATGCTTGAAAATTTTAAAAATTTACTATTAATAACTCTTTGGTAAAGGGAAAATGTAAAGTAAAATTTCAGAATTTCTAAAATGTAATGACAAAGAAAACACTACATATCAGAATTTGTGGGTTTGTTTAAAGCAGTGAATGGAGACAATTCATAGACTTAAACATTTATATCATCAAGATAAATGAATGAAATAAATTATTCACTCATAAATGAGAGAAAATGAAGCAAACCAAACCGAAGAACAGGAAGACAATATTAAAGATAAAGGCAGAGGCCAGGAGCAGGGGCTTACGTCTGTAATCCCAGCACTTTGGGAGGGCGAGGCGGGCGGATCACAAGGTCAGGAGATCGAGACCATCCTGGCTAACACGGTGAAACCCCGTCGCTACTAAAAATACAAAAAAAAAATTAGCTGGGCATGGTGGTGGGTGCCTGTAGTCCCAGCTACTCAGGAGGCTGAGGCAGGAGAATGGCGTGAACCCAGGGGGCGGAGCTTGCAGTGAGCCAAGATCACGCCACTGCACTCCAGCCTGGGCAACAGAGCGAGACTCCATCTCAAAAATAAAAAAAACAAAAGATAAAGGCAGAAATGAATAAGGTAGAGAATGGAAAAACCAATAGATCTAATTAGTAAATCAAATTCCTACTTTTAAAATTAACAAAATAAATTAACCACTAGCTAACTTAAGAAGAAAAAAGAGAAGGGGAGGAAGGGGAAAGCACAGGTACACAAAATAAGAAATGGCAAAAGGAACTGAAGCAAAAAATTAAAAATCCCTAAGAAACGACTTTGCACATCCCTATGCAAAAAAATTTGAAAACCTGGATATAAATAAGTAATTTCCTACGAAAATATAGGTTACTTAAATTAACCTCATCAGAAATGTAAAACTTAAACAGGACCAGTTTAGCTGAACGTTATCAAGGCCCAGATGGTTTCACAGGCGAATTCTACAAAATCAATGACCACATACACATAGTCTCAATGCCACAAAATTGTTTCAGAGCTCTAAAAAATGAAAGAAGACTTTAAAATACTACTTATAAAGCAAGTGTAATATTGATATCTAAACTTAATAAAGACAGTACAGAAAGTAAAATTACTAGTTAAAGGATATAATGGTGGATAGATCCCATTTACAATAGCAACAAGAGATCAAAAACTTAACAATAAAAGTACAAAACTATGTCAGAAAAAAATTGTTAATATTCCTGAAAGACACAAAAGTAGACTTGAACAAATAGAAAGACACTTCTTTTTGATAGGATGATTTTAACACCAGAAAAATTTCACTTTGCCCTACACTGATTTATAAATTTAACACAGTCCCAATGACAAGATCAACAAGTTTTTCTTTTCTTTTTTATGAAGCTAGACAAATAGAAAACAGGAAAGAACAGTTAGGAAAACACTAGAAAAGAAGGCAAAGCTTAAGGGATGGGGAGAAGTGATTAATTTCACTAGATATTAAACAACGTAAATCCACTATAATTAAAAGTTTGTTGCTCATTTATGAATAGACAGACACACCAATTAATTCTCAAGTCACTGAGGCACAGATGGACTTTTAAAATTAATGGTGTTCAGATAACTGAATAGCCATTTTGAGAAAGATAAACTTGGATCTATACTTCATACCAACCACAAACAATCTCATCAGAGCTGACAGTAAAAATAGAAAGCATACTACATTACAGGAAAGCATGGATGAATTACTCTATAAGCTAGATTTAGGAAAGCTTTCTAACAATGACTCAAAATTCAGATACAATAAAAGAAAAATCAATACATTTGATGACATAAAAATTCTTCACGGCAAAAAAACATCCTAAGCAAAGACAAACGACAAATTAAGAAGTGAGAGAAAAACATTTGCAATATACCTCACAGATAAAGGGCTAATACACCAATTACATAAAGAATTCTTTAAAAAAATGAGAGAAAAATAAAAATCAAAAACTCAATAGAATAACGCAAAAACATGAATAGACAATTCAGTACATATATATATGAGTAAAAAGTAAAGTGATAAAGAGATGAAAAATAGAAACAGAAACAGAAAATAGAGTTGAAGGGGAGAAATACTCAAAGAAACAATAGTGAAAAGAATTCTAAGCCTAAGAAAGACTTTATGCAGGTTTGAAGGCCCAGGAGAAAGAAGGAAAAAGGTTTGAAATTTCAAACCTACAACAAAATAAACAGTTTACCTATAAAGAAATGAGACAGATCTTTGTGAGAAGGATTAGCATTGTTATCAGTAACACTGGATGCTACAAATCGATGGATCAATGTTTTTTACATAAAAAAATTCCATTCCCAGCCAAACTACTGATCAAATACGAGGACAAATACAGCCATTTTCAAATGTTCAAGGTACTGTTAAGATTTATTTACCGGCTGGGCGCGGTGGCTCATGTCTGTAATCCCAGCACCGTGGGAGGCTGAGGCAGGCAGGCAGATCACCTGAGATCAGAAGTTCAAGACCAGCCTGGCCAACATGGCAAAATCCTGTCTCTACTAAAAATACAAAACTTAGCTAGGCATGGTGGTGTGTGCCAGTAATCCCAGCTACGCGAGAGGCTGAGGCAGGAGAATCGCTGGAACCCAGCGGGGCAAAGGCTGCAGTGAGCCGAGATCGCACCACTGCACTCCAGCCTGGGCAACAGAGCAAGACTCCGTCTCAAAAAAAAAAAATTATTTACCATACGTGCTTTTGGAAGATAAAATAATTGTTAAGTGTTTCAATGAAAATGAAATCCAAAATAGAGGGGACTTTCCCAGAGACTCAGTGAAAAACACTTCCTGGTTGACAGCTTGCAGTAGATCTAGACAGCAACAATCCTGAATTATAAGAGCAGACCAGAGGGCCTCAAAAGAATATCTTCAAGAAGTAAGTGTATGCATTACACACTCTATAATAAAGAATCTGCAAGATAGTAATAATGCAATAAAGGTATATGCCACTTCTGTAAATAGGGAAAAAAGAAGGGCAATTAGAAATGCCAGGTGAAAATGCACATAAAAAAGTCATTGTCTGACTCTGAAATGAATTAAATTATGGCATGATTTTGAGTAACTGATGGGGTATAAGGAAAGAGAACCCATTTTACTTTACCATTTGTAGCTTCCTCCTTTCAGTGATACAGGTTTAATGACACAGGATTACAACTGTCACTTGAGAGGTCCAATCTATTATGTATACATAATGTACATCACAGAATGCATATAAATGCATTTTAATGATTTCTTTTCTTTCTTTCTTTCTTTTTTTTTTTTTTTGAGATGGAGTTTCTTTCTTGTTGCCCAGGCTGGAGTGCAACAGCGCCGTCTAGGCATACTGCAACCTCTGCTTCCTGGGTTCAAGCGATTCTCCTGCCTCAGCCTCCCAAGTAGCTGGGGATTACAGGCACCTGCCACCACACCTGGCTACTTTTTTTTGTATTTTTAGTAGAGATGGGATTTCACCGTGTTGGCCAGGCTGGTCTCAAGTTCCTGACCTCAGGTGATCCACCCACCTCAGCCTCCCAAAGTGCAGGGATTACAGGCGTGAGCCACTGTGCCCGGCCTACTGATGTCTATTACTTAAAATCAACCTATAGTCAGACAAAAAGAATCTATTTGTAGAATAAATGTAAATACATTCTACATCTTAGCAACATTATATAATAGGCAGAAGAACATGAAGGACAAGCATAGAGAAAGATGGAAACACGTGGTAGAAAATCAACAGATACTATCTAAGGTAGCTGGATCACCAAAAAGAAGTTAAGTATGTTGTTTCAATTAGATCACCAGTATGTGATCTAAAAATAACAATGTAACTAACAAAAATGAGAGAATGAGAGAGAGTGAGGTGAGAGAAAGCATCATAATACGCAAAACTCATTTTTCACAGTAAAGAAACACAAGATACTGTCTAAAGTCGATGAATCAAGAAATACAGACATAAATATGCATGTTAGTATCATGGAGCTAACCACCATTATATCATTTGAAAACTGCATGACATGGTGGAACAGCACTGAGCCAGGGGCCAGAAAATCTAAATCCTAATCAAGCCCTAAGTTTTTCCTTTACCAGCTTGTGAGTTTACCCAAGTTCTTTCTTCATAGTCTTAATATCCACCTCTGTAAATGAGCTTGGACTAGACCAGCAGTTCAAAAAGTGTGTTCCCCAGACCAGCAGCATCAGCATCTCTTGGGAACTTGTTTGAAATGCAAATTATTTGGCCCTACCCCTAGACTTACTGAATCAGAAATCTTAGGTTGGGACCAGCAATTTGTGTCTTAAAAAGTCCTCCAAGTGATTCTGTTGTGTCCTAATGCATGAGAACCACTAATCTAGACCACTGGCCAACAAACTACCATCCATCTGCCAAATCCACCCCACTCTCATCTTTGTAAATAAAGTTTAATTGGAACACAGCCAATTTAAGTATTGTCTATGGTTGCTTTTGAGCTACAACAGTAGGGTTCAGTAGTTGAGGTAGAGGCACTATGGCTCAAAAAGCCTAAAATAGGCCTGGTGCAGTGGTTCACACCTGTAATCCCAGCACTTTGGGAGGCCGAGGCGGGCAAATCACTCGAGGTCAGGAGTTCGAGACCAGCCTGGCCAACATGGTGAAACTCCATCTCTACTAAAAATACAAAAATTAGCCAGGCGTGGTGGCAGGTGGCTGTAATCCCAGCTACTCAGGAGGCTGAGGCAGGAGAACTGCTTGAACCCAAGAGGCAGAGGTTGCAGTGAGCCGAGATTGTGCCACTGCACTCCAGCCTGGGCGACAGAGCAAACAAACAAAACAAAACAAAAGCCTAAAATATTTTTCCTCTCTGGTTCTTTACAGAAAAAGTTGGCCGACCTCTGACCTGGACTACTCTGATTGATAATACTGAATGTACATCATTACTAAATTTGATGCCATGTTTATCATCTCCGTGAGGATGATAATCTTTATGAACCCATGAAATTCATAAAGATTATTCAATCAGAAAGGTATTTGTGCAAATGCTTAGAATCCTTTAAGAAGTGTGTGGACTAATTCTGGCAGTGGTACTAGAATCCTTCCCCATATTCTTGACACAATAGAATAGTAAATAATAGTAAAAAGTCACTTAATAAATAGTGTAAGCTGAAAATAAAATTCTAAGTCCCCCAACTGACCGAATGGACCATCTCTTAGCCAAGGGAACTTCAGAATAACCTTGAAAACCGAGTTCTAGGCCATGATGGAATGAGCAGTCTTACACGCCTCGTTATCCCCCTCCCTTGCTAACCACAATTAGGCTTTCTTCCCTAAGGCTTTCACAGAAACCAGCCCTTTCAAAAGACTCTACCACTGATATTAACCAACCACCCAACACTGCTTCTCCTTTTTTGCCTGATAAGAGGCCACTGATCACAGAGTGGTTCTGGCCAGTCTATGGAGAATGTGCAGTAAGGGTTTTCATGTCTTCTGCTTCCCTTTTTGACATCAGAGGGCCAAATATTCCACCCTCAGATCATGCTAATGCTGCCATTTTTTTGTACATGAGACCCATGAAGGGGCAAGAAGCTCAATTGTGTGTGTGCACGTTTCTCCTTGTATAAATATTCAGACTCTTCCTATAGCTTACTGAAGTATATTTGGCCACCCTGCTCAACATAAATTCCTGTTCCCTCTAGACCCTCTCTTGAAGAGTCCATTTCCAGCTTCTGGCAGGAGGCTATGCTTCCCAGCCTGTCAGAATGGTCACCCTGCAGGTTGGAACTCTTTATGAGAAATAAAGCTCTCCTTTCCAAATTTATGAACCTCCTCATTCTTTAGTTGACAATAGTAAATAAATAGTAAAAAGTCAAGCCCTCTCTGGCTCATAGTCTTGGAAAACTTTCTTGATTGCATAATAAATGTTGAAGGGCGTGGCAAACAGTTGTCTACTCTACATCCAAAGTTTGATTTTAAAAAGGCAACATTCACAAATTTTATAGCTAATCGCTCACCCACTAACTTCTCCAACTTCATCTCAATTCTTCACTGTAACAACCCATATCACATAATAAATAGGAGAGGAGGCTGCTTGTTATGGTATGTGGCTATCATCTTTATAATTGATCATGAGAGTGGCAGGAGGCAGCCAAATGCCCAGGCAGATATGGGCAGGTCCCCGGTGAAACCCCCTCTCCAAGCCGAAGATAGTTTAAAGCCTGAAAGCCAAGCTACAAGTTAAATCCTCAGACCGGATTGAGAACTTGTCTTCCCATTTGTCGAGCTTTCCTGTGATGGATCCCCACCCCTCATGTATTTTACATATACCTACCCTTTCCTAATTGTTCTTCTACACTGTCGTGTGGAACCAGCAGATGCGGATGCAAGCTATAACACAGGTGAGCTGGGCCTCAGTAGTGTGGCCGAGCAATGCCCGGGTGGGGCATCGGGCAAGGCCCAGGGTCTCTGGCTTGCCAAGTGACCAAGAAGAAAAATCATGCATCAAGAATTCCACTAAGACCAAATTCCAGATGTTTACAATCATTAGCACTCATAAATTCAAGCAAAAGTTGTGTTTTGAATTTCTGAAGCAATCTAAATTGAAATGTCGAAAGATGGAACGTGGGTTTCTATCTGAACAAAACAGAATAGATGACGCAAAGGCAGAACAGTGAGGAGGTATTCTAAAACAATCACCCAGGCAAATGAACAAAGAAAAGCCATCATACACATATGAGGTCATTCCACTGGGAAGAAGTAACATCAGACCCCTAGTTTTTAAATAGAGAAGGACAAGAGCCTGGCATATTAACTTTGTTTCCTGCCCTTTACTACAATTTACTTAAATTCTCGTGACATGTAAGACTTACTTGCCAGTGCCACCATTTACTCTTAATAAAACCAAGGAGTGCCTTCTGATTTCAGGCCTCAGTTGGGTGCCCAAAATCTAGCCTCTCTGGTATCCTCCCTGAGGGCTCTGAAGCAAATCTACCCTCCTTGGGCAACACAGCTGCCCACATGACTGTACACTCTGGATTGACAAGTACACTCTGTACTCGTGACTGTACACTCTGGATGTACATCCTGATGAGTCAGATGAATGAATTCATCTCCCTGACCCTTTGAGTCACAGTTCCACAGCCAGTCCAGCGAAAACCACACCTCACCCCAGCTACTCCATCAAAGCAGCACTTTTGCTCGTTAATGTTGTTTAGACACTTGAAAAACAGTATTTTCCATTGCCTTCTGTGAACCCAAAAGTATCTGAGACAGGTCTCAATCAGTTTAGAAAGTTTATTTTGCCATGGGTAAGGTCGCACCTGTGACACAGCCTCAGGAGGTCTTGACAACAAGTGCCCAAGGTGCTGGAGGCACAGCTTGCTCTTATACATTTTAAGGAGACGTGAGACATCAATCTATACACGTAAGATGTCCATTAGTCATTCAGGAAAGGCAGGACAACTCCACGGGTGAGGGGGGTTTCCAGTTCATAGGTAGATAAGAGACAAAAGGTTGCAGTCTTTTGAGTCTCTGAGAAGCCTTTTTTTTTTTTTTTTTTTTGAGACGGAGTCTCACTGTGTCACCCAGGCTGTAGTGCAGTGGGGTGATCTCAGCTCACTGCAACCTCCGCCTCCTGGGTCCAAGCAATTCCCCTGTCTCAGCCTCCCAAGTAGCTGGGATTACAGGCTTATGCCACCAGGCCCAGATAATTTTTCTTTTTTTTTTTTTTTTAAGTAGAGATGGGGTTTCACCATGTTGGCCAGGCTGTTCTTGAACTCCTGACCTCAAGTGATTCACCCTCCTCAGCCTCCCAAAGTGCTGAGATTACAGGTGTAAGCCACCGCACCCGGCCTCTGATTAGCCTTTTACACAATACACAATTTACATGTGAGAAGAGGGTAGAGGAATAGTCACTTATGCCTCAGTTTGGCTTAGTGAAACAGGAGGGCAGAGGAAGCAATCAGATAGGCGTTTGTTTCACAGGGGCAGAGGGATAACTCTGAGTACTGTCCGTCTTTTTTCCACGAGGAATTCCTTGTGGGCAAATTGTGAGGGAGGTATATAGTATTTTTTATCTTTAGGGAGGTATATCGTTTTTTTTTTTTTATCTTTGTAGCTATCTTCTTTAGGAATAAAATGGGAGGCAGGTTTGTCTGATGCACTTCCCAGCTTCACTACCCTTTGGCTTAATGATTTGGGGGTCCTGAGATTTATTTTCCCTTCACACTTCATAATAGTAAGAGGCCCAGATTGCACTCACTTCTCTGACGAGGCTGGTTTCTAAAGCTGAGTAGTTATTATAATCCCACTGAGTCTTTCAATACAAAGGAGTAAGTCTCATCACAATTCACAGGCCAAATAATAACACTATTCTTCTCCTATTCCTTCCTAGAGTACTAATATCAGACCCCATTTTAGGCCACTTATCATAAAAAGAGGACACAACGAACACCAAAGACTATTCATCACACTGTATGTGAGGAAAATGAATGTAGAAAAATTACTCTAACTTAAATAGGTCCCTCAACAGATTCCGTATAGAAAAGTCCTTTAGAAATAGAAACAATCCCAGCCTGGCCAACATGGTGAAACCCCGTCTCTACTAAAAATACAAAAATTAACCGGGCATGGTGTCACGTGCCTGTAGTCTCAGCTACTCAGGAGGCTGAGGCAGGAGAATCACTTGAACCTGGGAGGCGGAGGTTGCAGTGAGCCGAGATTGCGCCACTGCACTCCAGCCTGGGCAACAGAATGAGACTCGGTCTCAAAAAAGAAAGAAAGAAAGAAAGAAATAGAAACAATAACAAAATTAACCATTGATATGAAATACTGCTCTTGTACCATCTAATAAAAGTACTTTCTCCAATCCGTTTCTAATAATGAACCCAGAACTGGAAGTTAAAATAAGGAAACTAAGTAGAGAAACACAGTGATAAATATCCATGCTTAGTTATACAAATGTTGATTTGTAGGACCAACAACTATGATTGAAACGCAGTTAAACTGTCCCATTCTTCAAGGACATTTTGTTAGGGAGGCAGGAGCCTAGGAGACTGAGGGTGACCCAAGTTCAGCTCCATCTCTGTGGCTCAGAATATTTTACTAATGTCTTTTCAGACCATCTGGCTCTACTCTGTAGCCACAGGTGACATGTTTTAAATGACGATATCTTACATTCTGAGAAAGTGACCACTAGGATTTATTGTGCTATTGTTATAAGCTGGACTGTGAAAACCACTAGTAGTACAATTTATATAGCAGACGGCACCTGATGGGCTAAAACTGGCCCTCAGCTGTTTTTGGAAACAGAATAGAGATGTGGTAATGATTTCTGTGTATTTTTGAATATTTATTTATTTTAATACCATAAGATTCATGTGGGAAGGTTTGTAATTCAATAGTTCCTTATGTACAGTACTATACATAATTCACAAAGAAATTCCAGGGTCAAGGAAGCTCAAGAAATTGAATCTTTTTATATATTGATTTTAAGGAAAGAAATACAGAACTGTGATAGCAAAAGTAAAGGACGTGGGAACAGCCCTCCCTCCAACTTTCAATTTCTGCACATTCACTGCCACCTCACTTTATCCAAAAGCTAAGTCGGATTCCAGGTTTTCTTCTTCACACCCCTCAAATGTCTGTTCTGTCTCACCATAGCTTCTCCCTATCCGCTCCTAGCACAGACACTCTCATCCCTGGCTGCACATGGGGATCACCGGTGAGATTTAGACACCGCTGAAAATCCAGGTTTCACCCCGAGAAATCCTGATGTAATTCATCTGAATTATAGTCTGGACATTGGGAATTAAAATCTCCCTAGGCAATCCTAAAATGCAGTTGAGGTCGAGAACCATTGTCTTAGCATGGCTTTGATTAGAAAAAGTTTTAAAATAAATCACGATGAGACCATCAAACCCAAAATGAGGCCTGAATTCCACACAGAATACTCCACACACCAGACTTAGAGTAATACGAGATAATTGTAAGGCTCCTAAAACCAAGCGTCTTCCGTAGCTTCTCCCTCTTCCTCCTTCCCGACCTCCACCAGTCCCCA
This sequence comes from Homo sapiens, assembly GCF_000001405.40. Lineage (NCBI taxonomy): Eukaryota > Metazoa > Chordata > Mammalia > Primates > Hominidae > Homo > Homo sapiens. Next base: position 183,373,983 of record NC_000003.12, read on the forward strand.
GTGCCTGTCTTCTTGTCCATCCCTTCCTATCCAGTTCTCATGCCATCATCCCTCTTCGTTTTGCACCTGTCTCAGTGTAGAATCCCCTAATTGGTCTCCCTGCCTCCCTTTCCTGCTCTCTCCAATCCATCCTACACACCACCACCAGATCAATCTGCTCCTCACTCTGCTCCTCAAACCCTCTTGCAGGAAAATGGCCTCTTCCTGCTCACTGTGCCTCAACTCCTTAACTTGGGGGTAAAGGCCTTGCCCAATCTGTTTCCAACTTTTTCCAGCCCTCGTTTCTCAATACTGTCTGAAAAGCAGCCTCACTCTGTTCTGGTGAACTGGGATGCTCTGTAATTCCCCAAATATGCTCTGTTGAAAACTTCAGACCCTGCGTTAGATAGAAATAGAAGCCAGGTCAGCTGGGCGCAGTGGCTCACGCCTGTAATCCCAGCACTTCGGGAGGCTGAGGCGGGCGGATCACAAGGTCAAGAGATTGAGACCATCCTGGCCAACATGGTGAAACTCCGTCTCTCCTAAAAATACAAAAATTAGCTGGGCGTGGTGGTGCGTGTCTGTAATCCCAGCTACTCGGGAGGTTGAGGTAGGAGAATCACTTCAACCCGAGAGGCGGAGGTTGCAGTGAGCTGAGATTGCCCTGCCGCACTCCAGTCTGGGCGACAAGCACGAAACTCCGTCTCAAAAAAAAAAAAAAAGAAAGAAAGAAAGAAAGAAAAAATAGAAGCCATGTCATTTGCCCCAGACCACCTAGCTAGTGAGCAATAGGATCTGGATTTCAATCCAGGTTTGGGCTGTGTTCAAAGCTCTTCAACACTATCCTTTTCTCTCTCTGGAATGCTCCCTTCTGTATCTATCTGTAGCAACTGTACCATCCCCTCAAGGACATTTTGTTAGGGAGGCAGGAGCCTAGGAGAGTGAAAGTGACACAATTTTAAGTTCAGCTCCATCTTGAGAGTAACAAGGCACATTCCTTGCCAACCAGGACCCATGGTCATAAGATGTTTATGGTTGAGAAAACAGCCTAAGGATACTACAACAACAGAAAGTCCAGATGTCCCAATACCATAACAATATATGTTTTCAAAAAATTATAGTTATGCTTTGATGTTCTCACACACTAAAATGTCAAGGATAGTTTTCTTTAAATCAATAGAATAATAAGTTTTGTCACACTGTCTGCCCATCCGCACATAGGCACAGCTTAGTTTAATCTTTATATAGACAAGATCCCTATATAAGAAAAACTTAAAGTCAATGCGTTCCTCCTTTTGCTTTCTGAGGGCACCCTACTCTGTAACAGTAGTTTCTAATAAGCTTGCTTCTTTCACTGCATTTTGTGACTCTCCTTGACTTCTTTCCCACATAAGATCCAAGAACCCTCTCTTACAGGTCTGGATTGAAACCCCCTTTTTTCCTGAAGTTTTCCCTTTTTTTCCTGTCGAAGTGACTTTCTGTTTTCTGAGCTCCTATAGCACTTTGTTTACATATTTCACAAAAGATATTGATAACAGAGTCATGTAATGAGTTTCCTGCGGTCTGAGACATCGTCTTGAGGTTTTTCAGTCCTTTACAGCATCGTACACCGCACCCTACATGCTGTGGGCTCTCATAGAGGTCTGCTGAAGAATGAATTACTGTGGGAAGCCTTTCTGTACCTGCCCAACCCACTCACAATGCGAGATCCTAATTAATTTCAGGCACAAAGATAGCATTTCCCAACCCCAAGTATCCTGCCATTTTCCTATTCTAGTGTATCAATTCTTTTTTATCCATCCACGAGCCCTCTGCCACCTGTCTATAAAACATTTTGCAATTGGGAAGGACTCTGGTACTGGATAACTATGTAACGTACAAAAAGATGCAAATTGTGATAAACAGGAGTCATAAAACGAACAAGGGTGGTTTCATTCTTTGAAATCTGACATGGAAATTAGACATAGGTCCAAGTCAAGTTCCCCTTTCAGGCCTTCTCACCCTTTGTCTCCACTTTTTGTGGAAAGGAACAGGGGAGGGGCAGCAAGTAGTGTGAGCAAAAGCGGAAGAAGAAAGGCGAGGGGAAGAACTGGCCAGACAGCCACTCTTTCCCGAAAGACAAACAGCATTCTAGGAAAAGAAAATATTCCCTAGGTCACAAGAAATTGTACCAGGAGCCTACAGTAGAACAAAGAAATCCAAAACAGAAGCCCCTGTTTGATCTCCTCATCTCCATCTGTGAGATAGGGGTGATAACCCTGCCTGCTTCTTGCCACACAGTCCGGGGGGCTGAGCTATCTTCAGCGTGATTTGGAAAAGGCTGCAAATGCAAAAGGAAAATCCTCCATTTAACTTAGCATTTGACTGTATCCCTGGGGATTAAGTAAAACTAGACATCGAATTTAAAACAAATATAAGGAGAATGGGGACAGGGGACACTCCTCCTATTGTCTACATCCCTATTCACCCTCTTCCTTGCCGCTCCCACAGAAGTTGCTAAACTGATGGGATATTGTCCTGAAATGCCACTGGGCCAAAGACAGAGTTCAAGTTCAACTTCTTAAAACCCAGGTTGATAAAGGCAGGAATGAAGAGCTGGGGTTCCCCTCCGTCAGGGTCCCCCTTCTCACTGTAGGAATGGAAAAACTTCACCTCTATTGTCTTAGGGTCCTGGCTGGGTCCAAGAGTTAAATCGACAAAACACAGATTAACATGAGAAAAGCATAGACATTTATTCATAAATGTTTTACATGGCACAAGAGCCCTCATAAAGAAATGAAGACCCAAAGAATCAGTTAGAGTCAGTTACTTCTATACTGGATTGAACAAAGAATAATAAACTATGAAAATGTGACTAAATTATGTGGGGAAGCTTAAAAAATAGAATTTCTAACAAGGTCTGTGCAATATTCTCTAAGTTACCTTTCCTTCTAGTCCCTAGAGAGTGTCTTTCACATAGGAATTCCATCTTCTCCTCTTAAGAAACAGCACAAAGGTCAAAGTGATATTCTTGTACCTGCTGTTTTTCAAGTGCTTTTAACTTAAATAGTCAATATTCCAGAATGGCATTTTTAAATTTTTACTTTAAGTTTTGGGATACATGTACAGAACATGCAGGTTTGTTACATAGGTATACATGTGCCACAGTGGTTTGCTGCACCTGTCAACCCATCATCCAGGTTTTAAGACCCGCATGCATTAGGTATTTGTCCTAATGCTCTCCTTCCCCTCGTCCCCGACCCTCCAACAAGCCCCGGTATGTGATGTTCCCCTCCCTGTGTCCATGTGTTCTCATTGTTCAACTCCTGCTTATGAGTGAGAACATGTGGTGTTTGGTTTTCTGTTCCTGTGTTAGTTTGCTGAGGATGATGGCTCCCAGCTTCATCCATGTCCCTGCAAAGGACATGAACTCATTCTTTTTTATGGCGCATAGTACAGAATAGCATATTTTAACCCCTTCATCACCCTACAACAAATACCATTTGTTTGGAATGACTCATTATCAAAACTGAAAACTCTACCAACATTACTTTTGAGAACCAACCAGGTGTTGGGCACTGTGCTAGGGCTGGAGATTTTAAAAACGAAAGAGAAGAAAAGCAAAGCATTGGCCCCTACTCTTAAGAAGTTCACAGTCTACTGGGAGAGGCAGAAATAATTTCCATAGACAAATAACTTCCATAGGCAAAGGTAAACCTCGGGGTTCTGTGGAAATTTAAAAAAAGACTCTGTGAAAGCAGAACTGGGGTGAAGGAAGGTTTCATCGAAGAGATGAGGTCAGAGTTGAGGGTTGATGAATGTGCATGAGTCAGGCCTAGAAGAGGGGCAGAGGTGTGCCACAGAGAAACACCTGAGCAAAGCCGTGAGACAGGTGTGGTGTCTTTCCCTCACAGCAACAAAGGATTCCCCACATCCTTATATCTGCATTAACGCGTGGCATATGGCAGTGGCAGGGAGGAGGAAAGGAGGAAATTGATGAAATATATTTAAGTACTAACTTTGAAGAAATGCATTCAAAATAAATCCATAACCTTCTCTGAAGAAATAAGATGGGCAAAAGAAAAAACTAAAGAAAAAGGTGTAAAAGAAAAAACATATTTTTCAAGTGGGTTTGGTTAAAGCAATCAACTTCCTAATCTCCACAAGTGGTATCAGACGCCAGGCAGCCTCTCAGTCACAAAGCTGCTGTTTACCTCTAAATCATAGAAGGCAGGTGGAAAGCAGGCAAAATACCACACACCTGGCCACTGTGTACATTCTAAACCACACTATAGTCAAGGGAGGGGTGGGGGCTCATAAGCAATGCAAACCCATGGAGGGAAGGCCTTTCCCAACCAAGTCTTCTCTGCTGGAGGTGGACACAGCACTGCCTAAGGAGGGGGTTTAGACCCCGCTCTGCCCCGGTCTGTGAAATGGTGGTGACCAATGTGGACTCTGCCCACACTCCATCCCCTCGAAGACCTGGGCCCATACCGATTTAAGCGGCATAAAGAGTTGAGGCCCAGGCTGGAGAGGGTGGAAGAAGATGCCAGAAAGCATTTCTATCATGGGCTCAGCTACAAGCACAGTTTTTTTCCCTGGCCTTGTAGTTTCCTTGCTCTGTGCCTTAGTTTCTCCATCTGACAATGCAAATGACAACAATCTGCCCCTAATTTTCTTATTTCGGAGAGAGAAATAACTCCTGACACAGTTGGAGTTCCCTAAACAAGGGTCATGTGTCCTAGACAACGCGACCCAGGAAGCCAGAATAACCTTTAGCTAAAGCAACAGCCTAGGCCGGGCACGGTGGCTCAAGCCTGTAATCCTAGCACTTTGGGAGGCCGAGGCAGGCGGATTACTTGAGGTTAGGAGTTCGAGACCAGCCTGGCCAACATAGTGAAACCCCTCTCTGCTGAAAAAAAAAAAAAAATACAAAAATTAGCTGGAAATTGCTTGAACTCGGGAGGCGGAGGTTGCAGTGAGCCAAGATCGTGCCACCGCACTCCACCCTGGGCAACAGAGCAAGACTCCATCTCAAAAATAAAAAATGAAAATAAAGCAATAGCCTAAGGAACAAAGGCAACACAGCTGCTCAGTTTTCCATCCACCCGACCATGTTTACTCTGTCCCTCCTGTGTGCACAAGAGAGTCAAAACTGAGGCTTGTTTGTCATTGTTTTCCAGTCCCTTTCCACATTCCTTGCTCGTGACTGATGGGTGACAGAAGCCAGCTGGGTTATTATGCATACCAGGGTACACCATGCTCATGGAAGTATATGTCTCAACCCAGCCCTGCCACATGGGAAGTGTGGAATAAAGCCAGTGCCTAAGGCGGCAGGACACTGTGCTCAGCTCACCTGGGGATGCTAGTCAGGTAGGTCATGACATTCAGGAAGTCTTCATCTGGGATGTGTTTGAACCCCGAAAACTCTGGGAACGTGATGATGGGGGCGCCATCCTCCCCTCGGCCTCCTGCAACAAAAACAGGTGGTCAAAATGTTAGCAAAATGTTGTCCTGTCACACCTCTGCAGGGAAGTTGGGCGAAAGAATATCGGTCACCTCTTTTCCTACCTATATTATCTCAGACTAGAATTTGGGAGAAGTTAACACAGTTATTTTGAACAAGTCTCTCTTCTCATTCATGCTGGCTCCATGGCATTGTAAGAATTCAATTTTTGAATCCTTTGAAGAGAGTTACTGTGTAAAAGGAAATACTGATTTAATTATTCAGCATAGGTAGAATAGTAAATAATGCCAACACAAATATGTAATATTGCTCTTCATTTTTGTAGTCAGTAAATGTCAAAAGTAATATTGCATGGTGGTTAAGAGAGTTAACGCTAAAATCAGACAGCCTGGGTCAAATCTGCTTTGCCACATTGTTGCTATATGATTTTTGGCAAGATACTTAATGTGTTTCTTTCATATTTATATATACATATATATGTATGTATATATATAGATATATATGACCTACCATTTTATTATATAGGAATAATGCTTGTACCTACATGGTAAGGTGAGGATTAAATGACAGCACAAATGAGAAGCACCTTAGCAGGGTGCTTATTATATAAAACTGCTCAAAAAATGGTGACCATGATTATAATTATTATTATTACAAGGAAGCAATAATCAGCTTCCCTTCAAGAATTTATAAATAGTAATTTAAGATATCCCTGTGAAAGTAAAAATATGAAAATTCACATTTAATTCAGAGCAGAGACCACCAAATTCAATAGATTCTATTTCCCAGTCCCCTTGCAGCTGCATGGAGCCATTTGACTAAGTTCTAGCCCCACAGTCCCCAAACTGTGTCGCAGGTAAGCAGGGAACCACAGTAAATTCATGGGAGCACTGTGACTGTTTTAAATTTTTGAGGGAAACACAGTGACAGTTGACATCTGTCAGACACCATATGCACTACTACTACCATATGAACTACTTGAGGTAGTTCCCTATTTCTTTTTCCTTTTATTGAGACAGAGTCTCGCACTGTCGCCCAGGCTAGAGTGCAGTGGTGCAATATCGGCTCACTGCAACCTCTGACTCACAGGTTCAAGCGATTCTCCTGCCTCAGCCTCGTGAGTAGCTGGGATTACAGGCGTGCACCACCATACCCAGCTAATTTTTGTATTTTTAGTAGAGACGGGGTTTCATCACGTTGGCCAGGCTGGTCTCAAACTCCTGACTTTAGGTGATCCACCCGCCTCGGCCTCCCAAACTGCTGGGATTACAGGCATGAGCCACCACGCCCAGCCCAGGTAGTTCCCAACTTCAACATCAAATTGCATTATATTCTTGCAGATGGTGTTGCATCTTTATAAAGCTGGGGGTTTGGTACTTGCTGGAATAAAAAGCAAAAACAGTGTGCAAATCAATGTGGAACAAGACATAAAGGTGGTGATATCTAGTTTGATTGCAAGGTTTAAGATAGTTGTAGTTATTTAAGAATAAAAATGAGAGAAAAAATAATATTTTAATTTATATGTATTATTTTTTCAAACAGCTACTAAGTTGTTAGGACATAGATACATATTAAGTTGTTTGACATGTTAGTTATTGCTTTTGGCCTAGGGGGGCCATGAAAAAAAGACTGAGATGCTAAGGCGCAGAGAATTGAGAGGGTTTGGGAACCTCTGCCCTAGCCAGTAGTATAGGAGCTTAAGCTGCATGCACCTCCCAAGTTATGTCCTTGAAGAGAAACCACTTGAAGAGGAATCATGGCTCTCAAGGCAAGGCCAACTACAAATGACTGAATGTATTCAACATATCTGAGACACACATATCAGTGTGGGGTGTGGTTAGTGGGGACTGTGTGATTAATGAGGATGTGTGGTCCACGAAGAAACTATAGAAGAGGAGGACTCAGAGGAGCAAAGGCGGGCAGTGTACAGCCAATGCTATTCTAAGGAGAGAGGGCCAGCCCACTCTGAGAGTCCAACCCACGTTACCAGTCTATCTGATGACACCACTGTAAGATCATCCAGCCAACTCTCTGGTGCTGACTCCAAGCCTGATAAGAATCTTCTGTTTATAATCTGATTTTCCAAGTAAATTGTAAACTTGTTTCAAGAAAAGGAATGTGTTATTGAGCAAACATAAGTATATTATGTAAAGAATAAGTTAGCGCTGTGGTTTTTCTGCATGAGTCTCTTGTGAGTGTTGTTAATATGGGTCTTAGGTGCTCAGAAACCAATTGCTGTAGAACGAAACCATGTGAGATTTGTCTGGATGGTCAGTCATCCCTCCACAGAAGGTACCTCTTTATTAATCCTATATGTTTACTCTAAATTTCCAAAGATGAGATCTACAGATTAGATGTTTATCAAGACAAGTATATTGAACTACCTCATTACAGTGACTGATGAGGATATTAACAGCTTTCATCTAATAATATTCTTCCTCTTTGCAGTTTCACAACTATGGGAAGTTTCAGAGAAATGTGCATTCAGAGAATTTGCGTCTTTGAAAAGCTAAATTAAGATGCATTATAACACTGTAGTAATTGCATAATCAACATTTGCTGAGGGACTGGCTAAAACATTTCAAGGAACTGAAATACCCTAAAATATTCACTAGAATGTGATTATGCCATTTAATTTCACCTTTTATTATTATTATTATTATTATTATTAGATGGAATCTCGCTCTGTCACCCAGGCTAGACTGCAGTGGTGTGATCTCCGCTCACTGCAACCTCCGCCTCCCAGGTTCAAGCAATTATTGTGCCTCAGCCTACCGAGTAGCTGGGATTACAGGCACATGCCACCACGCCCAGCTAATTTTTGTATTTTTAGTAGAGACGGGGTTTCACCATGTTGGCCAGGCTGGTCTCGAACTCCTGACCTCAACTGATCCGTCTGCCTCGGCCTCCCTAAGTGCTGGGATTACAGGCGTTGAGCCACCACACCCGGCCAATTTTACCTTTTTATAGTTGACTGTATTAAAGCCATCCTCACCTAAATGAAAAAAGGTGAAGTTTTCTTCTACCTTGGTTACTACCAATACTGAACAGCAGAGAGGCCCTAAGGTTAACTGTGCACACCCACCTACTGTTGAATATTAGTCTTAAGAGGCAGAAGCATCAAGGAAACAGAGCTGGACTTAACTGTGGGGCAACCTACAACATGGCATCTAGTGCCACCTTCTGAGGAAACGCGGTAATGCAATAGGAAGAAAGAATAATTATTCCAAAGTCCAGTGCATTCCTTGAATGCAAGGAATACAAACAACCCCAAATTATTTGGTACTAAGTAAAATGATAACTTAAAATAAACTTTACTCCTCCTACTATGATTTTGTACCTTTTCATTAAGTGAAAGACAAATAGTTTTAGTGCAGAAAACATTAAGCGCTTGGGGTACATAAGGTGATTGCTGAAAGGGCCCTGGTGATAGCTGGCATGAAGGCTTCATGCACAGGTGAATTGAGAATACAGGAAATCCTACAGGAAGATGGCAAAGACCAATGATGGGGAAGGTTGCAAAGCATCTTCCTACTGCTCTTTGCCTTCCAGTATCTATTTTCCCTTTCTCCTCTACACAAGGTTTTAACTGGGGAAATGGCAGAACCATTCCCTGGTAAGCACTTTGGAAATCTCAGGGCCTAGGATACTAAATGACCCATTCTCCATAATAAAACAAAGAATTGCCCCACATGCTACGTGACTTCCAAATGTCTTACCAGAGGCTTAATTTAAGTGAAAAATCCATTTAAAATGCTCTGAACCTAGACTCTGTTTTTACAAATAATCATAAAGAATTTTTATATTTATTTATTTATTTTATTTATTTATTTATTTATTTTTTGAGATGGAGTTTCACTCTTGTTGCCCAGGCTGGAGTGCAATGGCACGATCTCGGCTCACCACAACCTCCGCCTCTCGGGTTCAAGCGATTCTCCTGCCTCAGCCTCCCAAGTAGCTGAGATTACAGGTATGCACCACCACACCCGGCTAATTTTGTATTTTTAGTAGAGATGGGGTTTCTCCGTGTTGGTCAGGCTGGTCTCTTAACTCCCGACCTCAGGTGATCCGCCCACCTCGGCCTCCCAAAGTGCTGGGATTGATTACAGGCGTAAGCCACCATGCCCGGCCAAGAGGTTTTTTTTTAATCTTAATAAAGTCACTCCAGGTATCTGATCACCCCACCACATCCCAGCATTTGCACCCATCACATTTTTGGTGACTCCAAATTGAGGGGCAAGCACCTCTTTCATTATTCTCATGTAGCTAGACATGCATGTGGAAATACATACTATTGAAAGATATGTTACTTTACTATAATTAGTTTCCTTTGATTCCTCCTTTACAGTTCCTTATATTTTATTTTTTAATTTTTAAAAATATGTGCATAGGTAGGTGTGGCTGTTCACCTAAGTTTTCCCTTCCTGGGCATATAGCTACACTACATTTCCCAGCTTCCCTTGCTGTTAAGTTTGTTCAAATGACTGTGACAAGTTCAAGTCAATGGAATGTGCTGTATGCTATCTCTGAGCTGAGAATTTTAAGAAGCACTATGCTCCTTCCATGTTCTCTTAGCCTGTCTGCTCCCCAGACACGCATAACAACAATAAGAACCAGAAACTCAAAGGAGCCTTCATTCCTGAACCTCCACATGGAGAAAAGTTGTCTGCTGACCAGGAACATACATGCAGAACTGGTAAAAGAGTAAGAACTTAATTTCTGTTATGTGTGTTTTGAAACCGCCTTTTCAAAATCATGACTGAGACAGTGAAAGGGATCTAACTTAACCCACTCCATCTTGCTTCTAACATCCAAGCTCTCCTTGTTCATTCCTGGGCGTAGGCTGAACTAACTTTGGGAGAAATTTAGTTTAGTTTAAACAAACATGGTAACAGCCCTTTCCTAAAGCAGACCTCCATCTTGCCTGGGGATTAGATTGCCTTTGTAGGACTAATATTAGCCACAAGATTAGAAATGATGGTTTAGGAGTCATGCAGCTGGAGGCTGCAAGGTCCTGACCCTCCCTAAACTGCTCCTAAGATCAGTGCTTGAGATATTTTGCAAACCCTGCACTTGATGGATCAGCTGGCACCATCCAGATCAATAAATGGGTTTACCTGATCTGTGGCCCCCCGCCCAGGAACTGACTAAGCACAAGAAGACAGGTCCGACTCCCTGTGATTTCATCTCTGGCCAATCAGCACTCCTGGCTCACTGGCTTCCCCCCACCCACCAAGTTATCCTTAAAAACTCTGTTCCCTGAATGCTTGGTGAGACTGATTTGAGTAATAACAAACCTCCAGTATCCCACACAACCGGCTCTGCATGAATTACTCTTTCTCTATTGTAATTCCCCTGGTTCTGTCTGGGCAGCAGGCAAGGTGAACCCCTAGGGTGGTTACAGTTGGAGCTCTATACTCTTTGGAGTATATTCGTTGTAGTTGTTGAGCCCACCCTTGCAGATATAGTATCTATAAATTTTATGTTAGGATGGCAGAGGGCAATACAAATCATTTGTTATAAAAAGGAGATATTCAGTCAAACATGACTGAGAACCTTCCCTCTCACCTGCACTACCGAATCCAACAGCCACTAGACACATGTGATTATTAAGCACTTGAAATGGAACCAGTCCAAATTGAGATATGCTGTAAGTATAAAACACAAACTAGATTTCAAAGACTTAGAATAAAAAAGGTAAAATCCCAAAAATGTTGAATATCGAGTACATGTGGAAATATTATTTTAGATATGGGTAAATTTAAAATATATAATTAAAATTCATTGTATCTGTTTATTTTAACCTTTTTAATATGGTTACCATAAAATTTTAAAGTACATGTGTGGCCCACACTGTATTTCTATTAAACAGTCCTGCTCTAGATGTCGCCCCTTGGTTCTCACCTCCCAGGTTTCAGGTCACTAGCTCCATATGTAAGCTAGGAGTTGGGGCTCCGATCTCTTCCTTGGTTTGACATTTTCCATTGTTTCAGTTAGGAGCCTCCCACTCACCCCTGGGAGCCCTACCCTCCACCAAACCTGGGCTTCATTGGTGTGTATGAGGTGAAACTGGGGACTCTACAAGCCTAAGAGTATTGAGCAGTTGATTTCTTCATCAATTATTTTCAAAAGGATTCAAGCTGCCACAAGAGACAGGCAGAGAAAGGGAGCAAAGAGGGAGAGAAAGTGAAAGAGAGAGATTCAGTTCACAATAATTCCAAGTGGGAAACAACCATCAAGATAAATATAAAAGGACAATTCCTTATAATTAAAGGAAAGGAGCTGTGGCAAACGTTGATTGATGGCTAATTCACTCCCAGTCCCCTTTTCCCTGACCACCGTCTCCTGTGGCAGTTAGAAAGCTAAATGCTTGCCTTCTGAGATTCTCTTGCTGCCAGGGAATGGCTGTGTGACAGAATTCTGGAATGAGACATAAGCAGAAGGCAGCCAAGAGTTTCTACAAACAGAACCAAAGAAGCCAGCATTTTCCTTCTCCTTCTTCCTGCTTTGGACACTGACCTAATGTCTGGAATTGCAGCAGCCACCTTGAATCAAGAGTTGACAAATAAGAAGAAAACATCAAGAGAATCATAAAGATGTCAGCCTTAATGTCATTGAGCCACTGATCCAATACCAAGAGTTTCTATCGTCAGACCTCGTTATGCAATTTAAAAAACAAACCAACAAGTCTCAGAGGCTAAGTTCCCTTGTAGTCAGATACCATGCTGAGTGAAACTTTTCTTCTTACAGATGAAAAACTGGGGTTTGGAGCCACCTACTGGTTGTGTTGGAATGTGAACCCAGAATTGTCTGGGTCCAAAGCCCAGAGTGTTTCCACCACACTAACCTGCTTATACTCTCTTGTTTCCTAGCTAAGCCCTGAATTTAGAAATATCCCAAGTTCACTGTGAACATGCAGGTGTCTTCCAACGTCAGAGCTACCAGAGGCCCCAGCCCTGGTCAATATCCAATTCCCGCTGGTGGCCCTGCTCACAGGCTTCGCATCCAGAGGCCGCAAACCATCGGGCCACAAATCTGGGTCAGGCTTCATGTAATGAGCCTCTGCTCTTCTACCAGCCGTGGGAACACATGCACAGTTCAGCAGACCAGGCAGCTAGGGCTGCATTGAGGGAAAGGCTCTATCCTCTCCTTCACAGCCTTCCCGGTTGACAGGGTCTCTGGCTCCTTCCAGAGATCAGTGAAATTGGTAGAAAATTTTGTAGGGAAAATCTTTACCTTACTTGCCTGAATCAGGAAAAGGAAGCTGCTATGAGTTGAGGCTGAGGCTGCAGCTCTTAGGCTACCACAGCCATGGGAAAAGACCTAATTAGAGAGATTTCTGTTTTACAGCAACAACTATACAGGCCCCCACAACAGCCTCCTTGCTGACACTTGCTGTTTCTGCCAGAATAAGAGAGATGGTTAAAGATGAAAAGCAGGCCTCTGATTCCAAACAAAGTGCTGACTCAGAGAGACCCACGGCTGCCGCTATTCTTGCAGACTTGCAAGGCTGTAATTACTATCACAGCGAATCCATGCTTCTGCTTCATAAGAAAGGCAAATTTGGGCCAGACACTCTGGCTCACGCCTGTAATCCCAGCACTTTGGAAGACTGAGATGGAAAGACTGTTTGAGCCCAGGAGTTCCAGACCAGCCTGGGCAACATGGCAAAACCCCATCTCTACAAAAAATTTAAAAATTTTGGGCATGATGGTGTGCGCCAATGCCTGCCTGTAGTCTCAGTTAACTCAGGAGGCTGAGGTAGGAGGATCACTTGAGCCTGGGAGGTCAAGGCTGCAGTGAGCCAAGACGGTGCCACTGCACCCCAGCCTGGGCAACATAGCGACACCATGTCTCAAAAAAAAAAAAAAAGCAAAGAAAAAAAGAAGACAAACTTAAATGACAAAAGGAACTCAGAAATGAAGGGTTATCTTTATTATGGTCAAAGTACCTTCCTAAAGCAGAAGTGTCTTCTGCGCCCAGTGTGTGTTTCCACAGTTCTCTGTTCTACGTTAGGGAGTGACAATTATCTCTATTCCTGACTCAATGGTGGCATTGTATACCATATTTATTGTGAGCATGACATTGGTTCCTTATAAAAATTATCTTACTTGTAATAGAACCCCAAAATAAACATTTTATAGAACTATAAAAAGATATCAGAAAAAAAGAGAAACACTTATTCAGCAGTTGCAATACTAAGTGTTTTTCATACATTATGTCATTTAATCCTCAAAATTACTGGCTGGGTGTGGTGGCTCATGCCTGTAATCCCAGCACTTTAGGAGGCTGAGGCAGGTGGATCACCTGAGGTCAGGAGTTCGAGACCAGCCTGGCCAACATGGTGAAAGCCCATCTCTACAAAAACACAAAAATTAGCCGGGCATGATGGCGGGTGCCTATAATCCCAGCTACTCAGGAGGCTGAGGCAGGATAATCACTCGAACCTGGGAGGTGGAGGTTGCAGTGAGTTGAGATCGTGCTATTGCACGCCAGCCTGGATGACAGAGCAAGACTCCATCTCAAAAAAAAAAAAAAAAAAAAAAAGAAGTTACAATAACCCCATCATACAGATGAGGAAACTGAGGTTTAGAGAAGTAAGTTGCCCAAGGTGATGCTGCTAGTAAGTACAGAATCCAAATTCATATCTGGAGCTGTCTGATACCAGTTCATGTTTTTTTCTATATTGCCTCTAAGTCATAAGAACAGAAAGAAAGGCCTCAATAATACTCAAAGGAGATAAATTTGGATCATAAATGTATTAATTAATCTGTCACTAGACTGATTCCTGAGATGAGCCATTGTGTAATTATATAAGCCAGAATCATGCATTGAGGCCTCAGAGCTTTAGTCTAAGGCTCTAGGAATCTACCTGACCCCAGCCCACCCTGTCATCCATTCCAGACCTTGAGCTGCATGGTGGTCTCGGGGCCTTCTGTGGTAGGGCAACAGTTTCCAGGAACCCAGAGAACAGACCCCATTCTGCCTTTTGTCTTGCGCAAGCCCAGACTCACAGTGGGAAGCCATGAGACTGTGCCTTCAGGAGGCTGGTTAGGTCCTCCCACAGGGGCCAATGGTGCCTAACTAGGCATCTGGGGAGCAGGGAGACCACCGGCCTCGCAGAATAGACCACAGGGACTTGGATATTTTTGTACTGAGCACCTTTTATGTTCCAGTCTCTGATCTAAGCATTGGCAATACAGACAGAAAGAAGAAAAAGGAGGACCCTGTATTTATGGAGCTTTCAGTGACTATGTGCGCAGTGACTGATATGGCGGAAAGACCAGAGAATTCCCCCAGAATGTCCTGGATTGTGTAAGATGTGGTCACCCAGGAGGCAATGCTGGGGTGGGGAGAAATATCCCAATAATAACTGAGTTCGCATCTCCTTCAAATCAGTGGGATGAGGAGCTTGGAGCAGATTAAATGTGATTTGGAGAAAAGAAAGAGATGTGACTTTTTTTTTAATATCCCATGTTGTAGAATAAAATTCACACCAACTACATATTCTCTCTGTGATGTAACTAAGATGGCTTTGTTGTTTTTTTCAGAACAGATGTAAAAGTTGAAAAGAGTAACTTGCCACTTTATCCCTCCATGTTATATACTAAGGATATCTAATGTCACCACTTCATTCTCCTAAGTTGGGTCTAACCATAATTTGGGGTTTGGCATGTACTTCTAGTTTTAGTAATTAAAGTCATGTCACCTTTGGCTGAGCGAATAAGAAAGAACAGTATTCAAGTCATGACAACCTTTCAGGGTTGTGTCTAGGCTCAAAAAATGCTAGACTTTTAGTCAGAACAGCCTCTCTTCATTCCCAATCAAATGCTTGATGGAAATCCCTTAAATGAGCTAAGAGTAAAAGACAATTCTCCCAGAGAACAAACAACCTCAGCAACGCTCGGGAACCCTTAGAACTAAGACCTTTGTAAGGCTGAATCTTGGAAGAACATCCAAAGGAACATTGGAAGAACATCATGGTGGCAGCTGATGTCAGTAGTTGTCTCTTTTTCTTTCCTCAAAATCTTTTCAGCTCTGTTATTTACAACCACAAAGAAATGTGCTCCTTTGGGAAAGATCAGATTGCACCAAACAGCAAAGGGAATAATATGTATGAGATCCCACCCTCTTCTGGCAGGATAGGCCTCAGCCTGTTCTAGTCCCGGGTGAAGCCTAAGGGGTGAGTGAGATTTGAGTATAACATTCCTCAAGGTTCAAGAGGCTGGACCTTCCCATCAAGACCCCCCCATCAAAATCTGGAAATGCAAATGAATGTGCCCCTTACCTGAAAGAATGGCAAATTGTCTGTGAAGTTGTTCTATTATCTCCACCGCCATCAGGGGTCTGACTTCCTGCTGCATAATTTCATCTGCACAAATGAAATACAAAGTGGGTTAGTTAAACATGTGCAAATTACAAGAAGAAATTAAAAAGAAACAAAGGCAAGTTGTACTATTGGGAAATCTGGGACTTATCAAGAGACGGTGCTGGCACAACATTCCCTTGAGAACTTGATTGCTGAGATCCAGGGCTGTATCTGGATTTGTGTGCTTTGGAGCTTATGCATCTGAGCGTGGAACACATTTCTAGAGCCCCTACCAAGGCTTTGGGAGGGACCAATACAAGGAAAGAACCCTGAAGTTTAAGCTCCAGCAGCTTCACAGAAAACCTGCTGGATGACCTCATTACGAAGGCAGGTATTTGCCTACACCTTTGGGTCTGCAGAAGGACATTTTAAACACAAACAACATAAGTTACTAGAGCTCCTTTCAAAACAGGTCATAAAATCAATCTGGGATTCATGAGGGTTCTTTAATTTTTATTTTCCTCCCTACCTCACTTCCTTCCTCCCCTACTTATCTCCATTCCTTTTTTTCCCCCTTCCAGAATACTTTAAGGGGCCTCTTCCTACTGCTAAATGTATATAAGAAGGCACTTTTTCATTTTTCTATTTAAAGATTCTCCTAACTGAATAATAAGTTATATAGGTTTCCAATGCAAAAATCCAATCCTTTCAAGCACAAATCTACAAAGTTCCTCTAACCCTAGAAAGTGACTTATAAGCCCTGTGATTTGCCCTCATTTCCATTTGGGGAAAAGGAATTAGAGAGAGGGGAGGACCAACTGGAATCTTTCAACCTAGGCTGAAGAGAGGAAGGCATTTTCATGTTATCTCTGCCTAAGATATTATCTTCATTCAATTATTTCCCAGGGAATCTTAAAGAATAAACTGGTGGCTGGGTACTGAGGCCGAGGGGGAAGGACTATTTGAGGCCAGAAGTTTGAGACCAGCCTGGTCAACAGAGTAAGATCTTGTCTCCACAAAAAATTTAAAAATTAGCCAAGCATGGTGATGTATGCCTGCGGTCCCAGCTACTTGGGAGGCTGAGGCAGGAGAATCTCTTGAGTCTAGGAGTTTGAGGCTGTCGTTAGCCATGACTGTGCCACTGCACTCCAGCCTGGACAACAGATGGAGACCCTGTCTCAAAACAAAACAAAACAAAACAAAAACAATAACAAAAAATGAATGAACTGGTTATTGTTTCTACAGGAGTTAAACATCTAGTTAGATTAAGGCATGAACCAAACAACCTGTGCTCTGATGCTAGGTGGGAATTTCCTACTGATTCATTATGGGGTCATGGTAACATTATGATATTCTAGTGTTGACCAATCAGAAGGTAATATTTGGGAAGGTCCTCTCTGAGTCTTGGTCTACTCTCAGCTTTTTGGTGTGGAGGTTAAAGGAGATAATATATATGGAGATGTATATAGAGGGTGCTGAGCAAATGCTAGTTATATCCCTTGTTCTGAACAGACAGGCCTTTCCCAAATTTGCTTTCTAAAAGCCTTTTTTTGTTTTTTTCTGAAAGTCTTGTAAGGGGTGGGCCAAGTGCCAGCTTAAGCCCCAAGATCCCCTTCAATGAATTCCCCCATTGTTTTGGGTAAAGGGGATAAATCTAGACCAGAGCTTCTTCATCCCAATACCACTTCCACCCTGAATTCACTAAAAGTTCAAAGAACTCCTTCGTCACTGTTCATTCGGTGGGTGTAATAACGGCATGGTAGTCACATTTTATAAAAAGGGGGCCTTCTCTGTTAGAAACACAAATTGAAGCATTTAACAGTGAAATGATATGAAGTCTGAGATTTGCTGACAAATACTCCAGCACTCCCCTTCACTAAAACTATGCATGGGGTGGAAGTGGGGGGTAGATGAAACATGCTGACAAAATGTGGATAATTATTGAAGCTGGTTGATGGGTCCACAGGGGTTTGTTACATAATTCTCTTGCTACGTTTCAAATTTTCTGTAATAAAATGTAAAACACAAGTAGACAACAACATAGAGAATTTCAGCAGAAACGGAAGTTATGTAATTAAAGAGTTTTCAGAGTACAATCTCCCAGTGGTCTAGGACAGTGGCATACTCAGAAATAGAGCTTCAGTATTATTTGTTCATACCTGAGCATTTTTTTGATTTCTCTTTTTTAAGATATAGGATCTTGCTCTGTCACACAGACTAGAGTGCAGTGGCATAATCATAGCTCACTGCAGCCTTGAACTCCTGTGCTCAAGCAGTCCTCCTGCCTTGGGCTCCCAAAGTGCTAGAATTAGAGGCACAAACCACCACGCCTGGCCAAGCAAGCATATTTCAGAGATGATGAACCGAGAGAAAAACAAAAATCATAAGGTGTAATTTATTGTTCTTACATGTCAATATTTGAGGTGTGCTTTAAATTAAACATTTTAAAGATGTAAGATCTGAAAGGGGAGCAGACATTAGCGAAGTCAACGATCCCCACGCCATCTCATTTTTCAAATGACAACATGGAGACCCAGAGAGATCCTAAACTTGCCTGTGGTTACACAACAAATAACTGTAGAGCCCGGATCACCTGACGCTAAGAGGGCAAACCTCGGCCACGCGTGATAGAGTTCCCAGACCCTTGGCCTTGAGTTGCAAAGGCTCCTGCAACCCTGAGAGGCTGACTAGTGTCATGGGAATCTGAGGTTTGCCCATCCCCCCAGCCCCCGACAAGAGACCTTTCTCGCTAGCCTCCTGTGGCTATCAAATGAACAGGACTAAAATTCATAATTTGTTTTTCTAAGAATAGCAATGAGCTGCTTTGCTTTAAGTGCAGGTTTTGCTGAGAGTGCTTGCTCTCCAGCCAGGAAGTGACATGGTTATCCTTGAAGTCTTCCTAGCAAAGGAGCCACATGACCCAACCTGGCCAGCTGCAACAGATCATGAGGCTTTCCCAGACTCATCCTCTGACTCGGCATGGAGATGACTGCAGATACACCCAGCCTTCAGTTGCCTGACACTTGTGGTCCTGTTGGAATAGGGCATGCTCTGTTCTGCCCCCAGTAAAGTACACTTATGCTCTACACCAAGAGACACAAAGATCACCCTGCGGCTGGCAGGCCCTGCCTCCCACTCCTGTATAGGTAGGTAGGGGAGGAAGTACAAGAAGTCTTTGGTTCTGAAAGAACACCTCCACTGCAATGGGAAAGGATCTGCTTCAGATTCAGACAGGCTTGCATGCAAAGGCCCTTTCTGCCACCTTCTAGATAGGTGATCAGGGCAAGTACACTCTGAGTCTCAGTGTTCTCACCAGTAAAAGGGTTTTTCCTTCTCCCAGGAACAGGTGAGCAGAACCATGACCCACCAAGGCGCTGGTGCCTGTTACACACCTGCCCTGGCCTCACAGAGGTCTGTGGAGGCTTCCTGCTTCTTTGCCATTTTTGGCATGCACAGATTAGGGAGAAACTTGTCTCTTTTTTTTTTTTTTTTTTAAGGTGGAGTTTCGCTCTTGTTGCCCAGGCTGGAGTGCAATGGCATGATCTCGGCTCACTGCAACCTCCACCTCCCGGGTTCAAGCGATTCTCCTGCCTCAGCCTCCTGAGTAGCTGGGATTACAGGCACCTGCCACCACGCCCGGCTAATTTTGTATTTTCAGTAGGGACAGGGTTTCTCCATGTTGGTCAGGCTGGTCTCCAACTTCCGACCTCAGGTGATCCACCCACCTCGGCCTCCCAAAGTGCTGGGATTACAGGTGTGAGCCATTGCGCCTGGCAGAAACTTGTCTCTTTGTTACCCACACAAGGCAAAGGGAAGTGATAATTCAATTTCAACACAATTTCTATCCTGGGCAAACAAATATACTAGGGAAAAACTTGTCTCTTTTCTATCCTTGATAAGTACACAGAAGTGTGACTCTATTTTACCCTGAGCCCACAGTTCCAGAAATACAGACGGTATCAAAGGCCAAACACAACCTCCAGACTCTTACGCGATGAAATAATAGTCCAGCATGTCCCATGGGAATTCCACTGCAGGCAGCAAGCAATATCCCTGTGTTGCCCACTTCCCAGGCTGAGAGAGCAGCATGCGCTCTGGAGCCAGGACCTTTGCTAATGACTGGAGCCATCCTCCTTACAACAGAGGGCAGGAAACAGGGCTGATGATATCTCAACACTGTCTGACTGCTGCAACTGCTAAAGGATAAAGGGCAGTGAGACCCTTAGCCTCCCACTCTTGCTCTTCTGAAATTTCTGTCACACTATGATTTAAAAGATTCAAGTATGATCTGAGGGGAAAAAAAGAAAAAGAACTAAATAAATAAATACCTAGGTTAAGGGGGAAAAAGTATGGTCTGGAGCAGAGAACAGCTGCCCCAAGTTTGGCAGACCCTGTGACATTACTGCTTTGCCCAGAGACTCAAGGGGACAGAAGGAACAGAAGGATCTGCCAGTTGATCAAACTAGATCTCAACAACTGAGTTTGCAACAACGCGTAACAAGCCATGAACCAGGATCTCTGCTCTCAGGCGCTGTGTAACAAGACCCTAACTGTTAATAACATGAATAGGGCACCAGCTGTGAGCTGGACACTAACTTTGCACGTCACAGATTAACTGGTTGAATCAGTTGCACAATGACAGAAAAGGAATGTGCCCTAACACTCAAATGAACCTCTTCCAGCCCGCCCCACCCTCCTACCTCCACAACCAGACTGGACTTGACCACTGAGGAAACTCTGGACCAGAGGCTCAGAGACACCAGTTGCCGGGCTGGTACAAAAAGCCAGCCCATGGGGCATAATGCATTTCACTGCTCTGTTTTATTGGCCAGGTCAGAAATAACACAAACATATTTCCTTCTTTTACTGGGTCCTGCGCTATAGCGATGCTTAACCTGCCCCATAACAGTGACTTTTATCTTATCCATAATGAATAATGAAGTAAAGGCTTTTGAAAGCAGACAGAATAATTGTTTAGAAGGAAATTTAAAGATTTTAAAAATCAAGAACACTAGAAAATGTCCAACTTCCTAGTCATCAACAAATGAAACTTAAACAGCAACAAAATATCTCACTTCATCCATAAAATAATTGAGATTCTAATACACAATGCTGGGGTTATATTGGAAAATCAGTACTTCTGCAGAACCTCAGGGAGTGAAGCAGGTAGCATCCTCTTGGAAAGTCGTTTCTCAATCTTTTACCTGGTGATTATTGAGCACTTATGTGGTCGATTCCATACCAGTACTTTATATATGCAACCTCATTTAATCCTTAAATCTACTCTAAGGATGATATTGAACTAGATTTGAAGTAGCTTGTCCAAGATCATGCAGAGCCAGAACTTGAATCCAGCTCATTCTGACCTCCAAAGCCCAACGTCTTAACCATTACAGTCATTAAAATCTCCATAATATTTTATGCACTCATCCTATATCTGAAAATGTATCATGAGAACATAATAAAAACTTTATATGTAATGGCATAGACTGTGATGTTTTTACCAGAGTGAAAAAATGGAACCAATCATTATACAAGTATAAAGACCCACATTCACCGAAAAAGATTTAAGATACAATGTCAAGGACACAAAAATCCTACAAGTGGTGAGATTATAGTCAGATTTTAAAAAAGAAAGAAAAAACCAAGCGTGTGATATGTTTATGCACATATGTGTGGGTGTATGAGAAAAGAATATATGAAACAGTTGTGTTAAAGTGATGGAATTATATGTGGTTACCCCTTTAGTTTACATACGGAAAAGTATGCACTGGTAGCCTTTATTTTTTATGCTATTGGTACTTTATTGAAGTATAATTTACATGCAATACAATGCACAAAGCCTTAAGCATACAGTTTGAGGAATTTTGACAAATATACACTGATGTAACCATCAAACAGATCAAGAAATGGAATATTCGGCGGGGTGCAGTGGCTCATGCCTGTAATCCCAACACTTTGGGAGGCCGAAGTGGGAGGATCACCTGAGGTCAGGAGTTTGAGACCAGCCTGGCCAACATGGTAGAACCCCGTCTCCAATAAAAATACAAAAATTAGCCAGTGTCGTGGCACGTGCGTGTAATCCCAGCTACTCAGGAGGCTGAGGCAGGAGAATTGCTTGAACCTGGGAGGCGGAGGTTGCAGTGAGCTGTGATCATGCCACTGCACTCCAGCCTGGGCAACAGCGCAAGACATCGTCTCAAAAAAAAAAAAAAAAAAAAAGAAAGAAAGAAAGAAAGAAAGAAATGGAATATTCCCCTCCCCCCACCTCCAGAAAGTTCCTCGTGGCACCGCCTGCCCAGACCCTCACTTTGGAGGGCTCAGTATCTCACACCCTCCCCCCATGAACATATGTATTAAAGAACACTTGGCTGCCCTGGGCACTCATGGTCCAGTGCTCAATGCTGGCAGGTGCACATAGCCCTGGAAATCTACTCTTTTAACGCTGCTCAGACCCAGGGAAATACTCCACAGCTCTTGGTTTATGTCCTCAAAAGAAAATGTGACCGCATCCAAATGCTAGGGTGGTTTGTGGGTTGCACCACTGCTGACATCAGGGACACACACTGCTTCAGAGTGCAGGGAGGATTTGAACTGTGGAAGTGCTTAGATAAGAGAAAAAATAAATGAATTAACTTGAGAAATCCTTCCTCTCACATAGCATGATGCTGTAGATTCTTTGGTAATGACATAGCCAGTCCAATAGAACCAAGCATCAATGCTCTTAGTTTTCTTTTGGTAATTCATCATGCAAATATACTCAAAGTTTGAACTTGTTAAACACAATTACATTTTACTTAGATCACATTGACTTTAGATGACTGTTCTCAACAGTTCAAAGTGAAAATCTCAGCTATACCAACACTGATTTTGCTGACATGAAGGCAAGAAAAAATATATTTTATGGAATAAGTAATGACTTATGGATTCTGTATATATTTATTATTAATTCACATATCACTGGCCCATAAACAGTGAAGCCTATTGGCTGGAAATGGTCTGTGGACAAAACAATAATAATAATTATTATTATTGTATATTCAGTATACATGCAATAATATGGAATAGTATGATGAGATGAGAAAGGAGGTTAGACAGAGAAACAGAGGAAGACAGAAACATGGAGAAAACCATGTGAAGATGGAGACAGATATCTGAATGATGCAACCACAAGCCAAGAAATAGCTACAGCCCCCAGAAGCCAGAAGAGACAAGAAACTGAATCATCCCCAGGGCCTCTAGAGAGTGGCCCTACCAGCACCTTGATGGTGGACTTGTGGCCTCTAGGACTGTGAGAAAAATTAATTTCTATTGTTGTAAGCCATCAAGTTTTATGGTCATTTGTTACAGCAGACACAGGAAACTAATATAATAGGCATAGACTGAAAACAGACAATTCATAGAATATAGCCAATAAATTTATATTGAAACATGTTTAACCACAAGTCTTAGTCTGTTCTTGCTGCTATAACAAAATACCTTCGACTGGGTAATTTACAAATGTAGAAATTTATTTCTCATGGTTCTGGAGACTGGGAAGTCTAAGGCCAAGGCACCAGCAGGTTCCGTGTCTGGCAAGGACTTCCTCTCTGCTTCCAGGATAGTGCATTCTTGCCGCATCCTCACATGGTGGAAGGGCGAAAGGGGTGTACACTGAGTCCTCACGTGGCAGGAGAGATGGAAGAGGGAGGCAGCTGTCTGAAGCTTCTTTTATAAGGGCACTAATTCCATTCACAAAGGTGGATTCCTCATGACCTGTCCACCTCACAGAGGCCCCACTTTCTAATACCATCACCTCGGGGGTTAGGTTTCAACATATGAATTTTGGAGGGCCACATACATTCAAACCATGGATAAAGAAATCTAAATTAAAACAAAATGAGATCTTTTCTGCCTGATGGATTAGTGATTATCTTAACAATGAATAAGATTGGGTTGGTAAGAGTGTAGGCAGATTATCTATGAGTAAAATATAAATAGGTACAATCTTTCCATTAATTAATTTGAAAATCTGTCAAAATATGAAATATGCAGCATTTTAGCCAAGAAATTCCATGTCTAGGGATTTCTAAGGTAATATTAACACAAGTACAAAATAAATGGGTTTGAAGATGTTTATTATAGCTTGTTCTTTTGTTGCAAATGACCATTAATAGAGGATTGGTTAAATAAATGATGATAAAGCCATAGAATACTACGGAGGCATTAAATAAAATCAGATACATCTATGCTACTGACAGGAAAGGAGGTTTAAAATACATTAAGTTTTTTAAAAAGAAAGTGAGATAGAGAACAGAATGTTGTTTATGTTTATATGTATATATGTATAGAGGTACTGCCTAAGTTCAATTGCAATGAGCCATTGAAGCAGAGATGGCTAACTGCCCATCAAAATGTCACAGATCCTCTTCCATACAGTAGCTTTACCACTGAAAGGCAGTTGTCTAGCCAGGGACTCAATCTCCCACCCACCCCTTTACCTTCAGTTATTGTCATGTGACTGTGAATGCCAATGGGAGGTAAGCAAAAATGATGTCTTACTTCTAAGCTAGGGTATTTAAAAAACAAGTTTGCTTTCGCCACTCTCTCTTCCCTCTCCCAGGCTGCAAGGTGACAACTCCAAGTATTGCAAATGGCAGACCCACAAGATAGAGGCAGCCAGGGTCCCTAAAACACTGAGAGAAGACAGCTCTCTGACTGAGGACAGTGTATTGGAATCTATTAATCCATTGAAATTTGGGTGTTTGTTACAGCAGCTGGCGCTACTCTAACTTAGAGGAATTCATTTTATAATATTAATATAATATATTTATAATCATATGTTATAAATATAATATGCTTTTTTCTTTAAAAAAAGAAAAAAGGGAGGAGGGACAGTCAGTGGAAAAGCAAACACCCAATTGCTAACTCTCCTGACTCCCCAACAATTACATAAACTATGGGTCTTTATTAACGCATATTCCAATCAGCATGTTATCTCTAGTTTAATTCCCCTAATCAGTGTTGCTTTAGTCCGAAAAGTCAGCTGACAGTATCTCATGAATATAACGTGGCAGTAATGTCAGAAAGGTCTTTTAGATACTCACAAAACTTACATTAACATACTCAACTTTCACTGTTGTCTTGAGTCACAGAATAAAATGACTGACAGCTAAAGAATATAGGTGAATGTTTCATAATCTTCTTTAGTAGGGAAAAAAAGAAGGCATATATAATGCTGTGAGCTTAGGATTTGGAAATCTTACTCTTCTTTCAAAT
The DNA here is from genome assembly GCF_000001405.40 of Homo sapiens. Classification (NCBI taxonomy): domain Eukaryota; kingdom Metazoa; phylum Chordata; class Mammalia; order Primates; family Hominidae; genus Homo; species Homo sapiens. The sequence goes on from NC_000003.12 coordinate 183,398,975, forward strand.
TATTTCCTCTCCTCACTACTAACAGAGTTGGAAAGCTCTTGTAATAATTTAATTTTAATAAAATTAGGGCAATCATATATATACACTTCAATTCAAGCCTTGTAAGGATTTGTGTGCATGCGCAGGTGAGCACACATGTTTAAATATGGAAAGCAAAATCTAACAAGTTGTCCTTCTCTAAGTAGCAAATATATAATAGCCATTGCCTTTGAGAATATAATTTATGCATTATCTACTATATAAGTATATGGTATATAACTATGAATCATGTCTCAATCAGAAAGTATACTGCAACAATGATTATTTTTAAAGCACACTTCATTTAATAACTTCCCACTGTTGAAGAAACAGGTTCCAAGTATAAAGAGTAATGAGAGAGCCTAAGACATTTGCTTTAATCACCTTTTCTGGCCTGTGATCCAAAGGGAATAAATGTATTATAAACATTTTCAAGGCAAAAAATAAAAATAAAAAAGGTGGGAGCATACCAATAAGTGCATTTCTAAAAGAAGCAGTCTTAGAAACAAGTAGCTGCTTCAGCTTTGAGAACATCTGTCCTGCTGGCTTCCAAGTACACGGAAAGCACACTTAGAAATGATGATTCTTCTCACCAGCCCATCGAAGGGAAGCGCTTTTCTTTTTCTACTCTGAGACCATCAGTCTGTTATCAGTTCATGCATCTAACATGAAGCCTTTCAGACTTGACATTTTTCTTCAGGAATATGAATTTCATAATCTGGATTCTTATTTTCATTTTAATAGAAGAAATATAGAAATATTGAAATGGTAAAGGTTCAGATCCTGAGACGGAATGTAGAGCGTCTCCTGAACTCCTCCTGAAGATCAGCTGCAAGTACAATCTGATTCTCAAATGAAGGATATTCTTTGCCTGCCATGAAGTGACCAAGATCCTACTTACTACCACTTGGACAAAAGCAAGATATGTTGGTAATTTTAAAAAATAGAAAATACAACCAAACAAAATTAAGTAAAACTTATTCCTTCAACCAAAATTAAGTAGTTATCTCATTGGTATACAATATTCAGTGCACATATATGTATGTGCAGACATATGTAGGCTTTCAAAACAAGCTCATACTTACACGTTCCATATTATAACCTAATTTTTCAGAAAATGTTTTTATTATGAATCTACCTATGAACATATCAATAAATGACCATCTACAATATTGTAATAGCTAATTAATGCTTTTTTTAAAAAAGTCATTTTAAAACTTCTTCACAAAAAACTTGAGACGGTACTGCAAAGTAAGATTTTTTTTAATGTAAAATTTCTTCGCTTTAAATCATTATGCTAAGAATGAGGAGAAATAAAACACATACATAAAACACATGCATCCTTGCTTCCACACTACCTTTTTTTGCCATATATTCCAGCCTGATGCAACTTCCTACTAAACGGTGATAGGCCCTCATCTCTGCCTCTGTTATCCGCACCAAGGTGTAAGGTGAGTATCTAGGATCTTGCTGCTCACACTTCATGCACCAGACCACGACTGGATTCCAGGAAACGGCGCCACCTCGCTCGCTCTCCATTTCTCTCTAGGCACTGCACTCACACAGAAATGTTCAATCCTTTCTCCCGGTTAATCTCCCTGAAGTTCACTCGAGGTCATTTCGTGGCCGAGAGTTGATCCTTTTGATTGGTGAGTGCTCACAGGATTACAGCCCCAGCAGATTATCAGACGTACTCATTTAGAAACAAAAGGAAAACTGGGGGATGACAGCGAGGGACATCCTAGCCTCAATGAGAATCAGAATTTTTTTTTTTTAGAAGTATCACATCATCACAAGACACAAATCAGGCCACCAGATACTTAAAATAAAACGATAGGGATAAACTTTGTAAAGGATGATTTAAAAAAAAAATAAAAACTTATTCCAGGCCACAATTCTACCCTCCTTCTCTTCTAACCTCTCTAGGCTGCCAGTAATAAAATCCAGAGGCTTAACGCTGCAGCCAGTAAGATTCACTATCTGAGCAGGCACCTTAAATTGACACGGCAAACGGTAAAGGTTCAGATCCTGAGACAGGATGTAGAGCGCCTCCTGAACGACTCCTGAAGATCAGGTGCAAGTATAGTCTGATTCTCAAACAAGGATATTCTTTGCCTGTCATGATGTGATCAAGAGCCTACTCACTACCACTTGGGGAAAGTGAGTTCACCTTTCAAACTGCCGTGCAGAGAGGATGATATACTCAGAGAGAGGCTGCCTTTTCCTGATGCATTTTATTTTGGTTCCTCATGCTTAATGGTATTTATTAATAATGTGTTTCCATAGTTAAAGAAAGAGCACAATGTGAAATAGCCAATCAGCAAGTAATAAATGTTTTTACACAAGCTTCTCATCTTTGTATCATTCAAGCTAAAATTTCAGAGTAAGCCTTGCCATTGGCCAACAAGAAACTGGAAGACTTTTTTAAAAAAAAAATTTTTTTAAAGGTTTTTAACTTAATTTGGGGGGAGGGATAAAAATGTACAAATATGAAACTATACATTTCGGTGAGCTTTGACAAAAGAATACATCCATGTAACCCATCCCTCTTTCAAGATGCAGAACATTTCCATAACCCCAGAAGATACCTTCAAGTCCCTTCCCAGTCAACCCTGGTTCCCAGGCAACCACCACTGTGACTTTTTTCGATAGAGACTAGTATTGCCTGTTCCAAAACATCATATGGTGTTAATAATACAGTATTGATTCTTTTGTGTCTAGCTTCTCTCAGGATAACGCATTTGAGATTCATCCACAGTAGGTATCAGTAGTTCATTCATTTTCATTGCTGAGTTTCATGTCATTGTATGGACAGCTACTGCTTGTTCATTCTCCTACTGATGGACATTCAGGTTCTTCCCCAACTTGGGCTGTTTTAAATGAAGTTGCTGTGAATCTTCATGTAAAGGCCTGTGTGTAGACATGTTTACCTTTCTCTCAGACAAATATCTAGAAATGGTATTGATGAGTCAAAGGGTAGGTGTATATTTAACTTATAAGAAACTGTCAAATCTTTTCCCAAAGCAGTTGTACTAGAAAGCACTTCAAGATTAGAGACTACTCTGTTGAGTAATTAGAGCTAGTTCTTTGTTGTTGTTAAAAGTACAGTAAGTTTGTGGGGATGGGGGGAATTAATGAAATGATTATCAAGTTTATTTGAAAGAATATAGGCCGGGCACGGTGGCTCATGCCTGTAGTCCCAGCACTTTGGGAGGCCGAGGCAGGCAGATCACGAGGTCAGGAGATCAAGACCATCCTGGCTAACATGGTGAAACCCCGTCTCTACTAAAAATGCAAAAAAAAATTAGCCGGGCGTGGTGGGTTTTTCCCGGGTGCCTGTAGTCCCAGCTACTCGGGAGGTTGAGGCAGGAGAATGGCGTGACCTCGGGAGGCGGAGCTTGCAGTGAGCCGAGATCACGCCACTGCATTCCAGCCTGGGCTACAGAGCGAGACTCCATCAAAAAAAAAAAAAAAAAAAAAAGAATATAAAAGGCTAGAGGGTAGAAGGGTTAAGAAAATGGTTTTTTGGCCAGGCACAGTGGCTCACACCTGTAATCCTAGCACATTGAGAGGCTGAGGCAGGAGATCGCTTTAGCCCAGGAGTTCGAGACAAGCCTGGGCAACATAAGGAGACCATGTCTCAAAAAAAAGGTTTTTAAAAAAACAAATGCTTGAAAAAGAGAATTTCTCCTGGCAGGTATTTTAAAGTTATTATGTTAGCACTAATAAAATAAAAAGAATGAAACAAGACCAAGAAATAGATTATAAATTCAAAAATAACAATATGTAAAGAGTGAGGCATTGCCAATCAATGAAAAAATACTTAATAAATGCTACCGAGGAAACTGAGTCTCGCCTCATATCATAGACAAAAAATATATATATATATACGAAATTTAAAAGTTGTGTAAAAAAATAAAACCACTAAAAGATACTTAAAAAAAAAACACTTGATGATTATTTACTTATTCTTTACTTGAGGAAGGATATAAAAAGCAACAGACGAGGCCAGGTGCAGTGGCTCATCCCTGTAATCCCAGCACTTTGGGAGGCTGAGGCGGGCAGATCACCTGAAGTTCGAGACCAGCCTGGCCAACATGGAAACCCCGTCTCTACTAAAAATATAAAAATTAGCTGGGTGTGGTGGCAGGTGCTGGTAATCCCAGATACTCAGGAGGCTGAGGCAGGAGAATCACCTGAATCCAGGAGGCAGAGGTTGCAGTGAGCCGAGACTGCACCACTGCACTCCAGCCTGGGTAACAGTGAGACTCCGTCTCAAAATAAATAAAATAAAATAAAAGCAACAGAAGAAATTATAACCAGCAAAAGAGTCTTAGCGCTCACCGTTTGTGGAAAGAAGTCAAAAATAATGACGACTTGTGATAAGAGAGAGTGAGATTGTATTATCCGTGCTAGCAGGGGAAGAGTAGAAAGCAATTCCACTCTTCAATTTGTGGAGGGAACATGGGGGTTTTTAAACAAAGAGCTTGGAAAGTAGAAGAGGCAAATGGGCCTATGAGATGCCAGGTGGCGAGACTTGCTCCAGTGGCCTTCTTGAATTATTGTCTCATTTGGTGAAGGGGCTGGCACCTTTGTGGATCCTGCCAGGTTGTAAATTAGTCAGTCTTCAGCTGGGTGTGGGTTCCATCCTCGAAGGAATCTTTTGTTGAAGAGAGAATTCTGGAGGTGCCTGGTCCCTATCAGGATCTGACTCCTGAAGCTTCTACGGAAATATATGACCAGATAAGACAGCATGGTCTGTGCTTAATAAGCATTAGGTAAATAAATGTTCATAAGGCATGAGAGTATAGTATGGGAAAGGAAAGGGAGTGGAGGTTCACAGCACATTCCATTGCTGTCTTTTAAGATGAGAGGTAACATACATGCAGTTTGTGTCAAAGTTATATCTTGAAACGGACAGGGGGAAGAGGAAAAGGGAAAGAAGAAAAAAATGTTTAAAAAGTGGTTTGAGGCTCAGCTAAGCTGATGGTTATAAAACAACAAAATAAAAGATCTATAGATTTGACTACATACAATTTTAAACCTTTTATGTTAAAAGACATCAAAAACAAAATTATAAACAGAAAACTGTAGAATAAAAAAACCTTCTATAAACTTAAGAAAGGTTTAATAACTTTAACATTTAAAAAATTTATGCACAAATACCTTGGTCCCAAGCCAAATATTAATAAAACAGCTAATAAAAACATTAAAATCATTAGAGTTCACTCATAATTTTTTAAAATTCATTAAAATGAATACAATAACACATTTATCTATCAAACAAGCAAAAATTCAAATAAGAAACAATAAAAATAGGCATCACCAGAAGGCTAATATTACAGGTACGGCATCATTCCCTTAACATGCATTGTTTTAAAACAACCCTGTAAGTTCTGTCATTAGCTCATATGTCATACAAAATCACAAGTGCTGATAAACAGATCAAGTGAAAACAAGAACCCCACATCCTGTTGATGGGTGTAAGTTTCCCAGAAGGCAATCTGACCAAAACGTATTTAAAAACTTCACACTTACACTCTCTAATCCAATAATATTTTCTAGAATTCTACTTGTAAAACAATATGGGCTGGGCGTGGTGGCTCACGCCTGTAATCCCAGCACTTTGGGAGGCCGAGATGGGTGGATCACGAGGTCAGGTGTTCGAGACCAGCCTGGCCAACATGGTGAAACCCCGTCTCTACTAAAAATACAAAAAAATTAGCCGGGCATGGTGGTGGGCGCCTGTAATCCTAGCTACTCGGGAGGCTGAGGCAGAAGAATCACTTGAACCTGGGAGGCGGAGGTTGCAGTGAGCCGAGATCTTGCCACTGCACTCTAGCCCAGGCGACAGTGCAAGACTCCATCTCAAAAACAGAAAGAAAAAAAAAATCTGAAATGTGTGCAAAAATTTCTGACTAAAGATGCTCCTTGCATCTTAAAAATAACATTGGGAAACTGGGAATAACCTATATGAACAACGTAATTTATGGTGAAATCATGTAGCAAAAAATTATAAAGCCGTTAAAATATTATCTATGGAGATGTCTTAATAGAATTTACAATATAATTGAATGTACAGTATAGTTTTCATAAGCAGAATATAATCTATATAATTCTATCTGTAATATGTATTATACATATAAAGAAAGCTAGATCATATAATCTTAACTATGTAAAAATGCCAAAGGAACAAAAAGCTAGAGAGATATAGCTCAAAAGGTAACTGATTATTATTAGAAAATGGGATTATAGACTTTCTTTCTTGTACTTTTCTGTATTTTCCAAATATTGAACAATGAGCATGTATTATTTTTTCTGTATTGTTTTTGTTTGCTAATTCTTCTTAAATTTGTTTTTTTAACCAATAGTATAAGTCACTCTTTTGGGAATACAGTTCTATGAGTTTTGACAAATGCATGGAGTCGTTTAAGCATCGACACAATCAGGATACAATATAGTTGATTGCCCCTGTGAGTCAAACCACTCACCCACCCTTAACCCCTGGAAATCACTGCATTCCTATAGTTTTACCTTTTCCCAGTATCATAGAAAGATTAGTATGTACCTTTTGAATCTGACATCTTTATCTTAGCATAATATATTTCAGATGTATTCATATTATCATCTGTATCAATAAATCATTTCATTATTGAATATGCCACTGGACAGATGTACCTCAGTTTATCAATTCTCCAGGTGAGGGACACCTGGGTTGTTTCCAGTTTCATTTTGTATTTTTTAGACAGGGTCTCACTCTGTCGCCCAGTTGGAGTGCAGTGGCGTGATCTTGGCTCACTGCAACCTCCGCCTCCCGACTTCAAGCAATCCTCATGCCTCAGCCTCCCCAGTAGCTGGGGTTATAGGCGCAAGCCACCATGCCCAGCTAATTTTTGTATTTTTAGCAGAGACAGGGTTTTACCATGCTGGCCAGGCTGTCTCGAACTCCTGACCTTAAGTGATCTGCCTGCCTCAGCCTCCCAAAAGTGCTGGGATTACAGGCGTGAGCCACCACCACACCTGGCCCTGCTTCTAGGTTTTACTGATTAAGAATAAAGCTGCTATAAATATTCATGAACAGATTTTTGAGTGACCGTGAGTTTTCATTTTCTTGGGTTGCGATTACTGAGTCGTATATTAAATGTATGTTTAACTTTATAAGACACTGCCAACTGTTTTCCAACATGGCTGTACCATTTTACATTCCTACCAACAGTGCGTGTAAGATATCCAGTCCCTTGTCATCTTCACCATGTCTTGGTATCGTCATTTTTTTTAGTCACTCTAACAGGTACACAATTTCACTGATGACTACTGATATTGAGCATATTTTCATGTGTTTTTTGCCATCTGTATATCTTATATCTTCCTTGATAAAGTATCCATTCAAATCTTTTGCCCATTTTTAAATTGGGTCATTTGAGTATTTTATTACTCAGCTTGAGAGTTCTTTTTATACATTCTGGATCGAGTCCTTTGTCAGATATGCTATTCACAAGTCTTGGTTTTTTTTGAGACAGAGTTTTGCTCTTGTTGTCCAGGCTGGAGTGCAGTAGCACAATCTCGGCTCACTGCAACCTCTGCCACCCGGGTCCAAGCGATTCTCCTGCCTCAGCCTCCCGAGTAGCTGAGATTACAGGCGCCTGCCACCATGCCCAGCTAATTTTTGTATTTTTAGTAGAGACGGGGTTTCACCACATTGGCCAGGCTGGTCTCGAACTCCTGACCTCAGGTGATCCACCCACCTTGGCCTCCCAAAGTGCTGGGATTACAGGCGTGAGCCACCACACCCAGCCTATTCACAAATCTTTTTTCCCCAGATGGTGGGTTGTCTTTTCATTCTCTTAACAGTATTTTTTGCAGAGAAAAAAAAATGTCAACGTTACCAAAATCTAACTTAAATCAAATTTCTCTTATGAACCAGACTTTTGGTCTTTGTGACCAACTAAGGTCACAAAGATTTCCTCCTATGTTTTCTAACAGATTTTTTATTAGGTTTTACATTTAGGTCCATGATCCACTTTGAGTGAATTTTTCTATATGGGGTGAGGTATACATAAGGATTCAATTGTTTTGCACACAGATGTCTAATTGTTCCAGCACCATTTGTTGAAATTGCCACTACATCATACTCCACTGAACTGCCTTTATACCTTTGTCAAAAATCATTTGGCCATATTTGTATGATACTATTCTGGAATATCTCCTCTGCTCCATTGATCTATATGTCTATCCTTTTGCCAATACCACACTGTCGTGATTACTTTGCTTTAAAGTAAGTTTTAAAATTAGGTAATGTGAGTCCTCCAAATGTACTCTTTTAAAAAAAAATTGTTATTATAGTTCTTTTTGCCTACTATAGTATCTCTTTTAGCTGATTCTCAATTTCTACAAAAATATACAATAGATTTTTTATTGAAGTCGTGTTTAATTCATGGATCAATTTGGGAAGAATTGACATCTTGAGTCTTCCAAACCTTAAATATGGATGATATGTTAGTTTTATAAACAGAGGTTTTGAAACCCTTATGAAATATCACATAATGCTCATTCTCCTCCCTCTTTCTTCTGCTTCTTTTTTAGATTCTACTGCAAAGCCACAGAAAATGACCAGGAAACATGATCTTTCTTTTTAAAATCTGGGTCAGTTTTCCCAAGGCACTGAGGGAGAAAATGGTCACCTCACATATGAGGTTTGTGTAGTGGAATTTTCCTTCTCATTTCTGCAGAATATGTCAAGGTCTAAAATCCCATTTCACAGCCTGCGGGCTTGTTCCTCCTTTGCAAGCAAGGCTAGAGGTATAAATATTGCAATAGAAATAAAATGGAATGAAGAATAGGAGGATGAGAATGCAAGAGTTCATAAGGCCTGTCATTCTAGTCTAGGTCCTGCACCAAACCCTCTTCACGGCGGGGGAGAAAAAAGAGGAAAGAGAAAGATGCTATGGGGTATGGGAGGTGCCAGTAAATTGGTGAGGGTAAGGGCCTGTGAAACCCTGAGGGCTAGGGTGGCCAGGGGACACTTTTGACACAAAGATGCCTCCGGCTCCATTTCAAAGTGTCTGTGTTGCTAGACGGTAAACATTTGCTCTCCCATCTTCGGAAAATTACCTTGTCCCCCCCAATCTTCTGTGTGCATGATTTTTGAGACACTGGGAGAAAGAGCTGGATTTCACAACTAAACCAACCAAGTGCAAAAGAAAGGCAGCCACTGTGAAAACTGGAGCCCAGAGTAGAGAGGCCAGGAGACCACAACATCAGCCCAACAATGAAAGAGAACCCTGGGGAGGCTTGGGACTCCACGAGCGACCTGGGAATGATGGCTAACTTTGCCTAAATACTGTCTTATGTTTGCTTAATGTCTACCTCCCCATTAGACCGCAGGCTCCAGAAGGACATTCCTTCATTCCTCCTGGCCCCCATTACACCTGAGGAGCTGCGCAGGATGCTGCGGCTGCAGCAGTGGAGGTGGTGGCCTGGTTCTGGCCCCTAGGGACCTATGGCCATGGGCAGGGGTTATCCCCACTCCTTCATATCCCATCCTTAGACCTGGCCCAGTGCCCAGCTCCCGCAGGCCTTCATGAAATATGGTTAGTCTTAAATTGGGGATTAAAGAGGAGAAACAGGCAGAAGGACCTCTTTCCCCACAGCAATTTAATTAATTCTAGCTTCCCAGGGTATTGAAAGAGAAAGCTAAAATGAATGTGAACTGATCTAACAATAGGTAGAAAAAAACAGACACACAATCCAAAACCTGGGCTGGACAGGTTCAGTTCAAATAACTGAACAAAGAAATCCAGAGGCAACTCTTCTAAGCCTCTGTGCTCATTTTGAACACCTGTAGTTTGTCCACATGCATACAGTTTGTACTTATAACTCCCTCACAGTAAAGTCCTCTAAATACAGAAAGTCTTCTATACTAAATAAAAGTGCATAGTGGTGCTGCCACCTTGCCATGATAATGGGAGGTTATAACTTTATTAGATTATTAGACTTTTTGTTTGTTTAAGACTCTAGTGCTTAGCATGGGAAATGCAATTAGGCAAACATTTCTTCCTTAACAGGCTTATTATCCTTATTTAAGAATTATGTATGTATTATTTCTGCATGTTTAAAGACTACAAAGTAAATCCTCTAGCTTTAGCTAACAGTTTTTCTTTGGAAGAAAGTGACTATTAATAAGCCAACTTTTCGAGTGGCTCATAAAATACTTAAGATTCAGGGATTAATGCTTTCATTTTCTATTTGATTTTTTCAAAAGATTTTTCAAAACTCAGTAATAGCACTTTGTCATTTACTGGTTTATATATCACTTTGTCATGGGAAATTAAAGCAAATGTGAGCATTCAAATGCCTCAAAGCCAGCCAGACCTGACTTTTGATTCTGACGTTTCCTCTTGCTATGACCTTGGGCAAGCTTCCTAACCTGCTTAAGCCTCAAATTTCTCCTCCATATAAATAGACTGCACTTACCATTAAACTTAATTAAATAAAAATGTACATAATAAAGCACAACTTGTGACACTAAAAGGCAGGAAATAAATGGTAGCTAAAATTTCTTTTTTTTTTTTTTTTTTTTGAGATGGAGTTTCTGCTCTGTTGCCCAGGCTGGAGTGCGATGGTGAAATCTCAGCTCACTGCAACCTCCACTTCCTGGGTTCAAGTGATTCTCCAGCCTCAGCCTTCTGAGTAGCTGGTATTACAGGTGCCCATGACCATGCCTGGATAATTTTTGTATTTTGTAGTAGAGGCGAGGTTTCACCATGTTGGTCAGGCTGGACTCAAACTCTTAACCTCAGGTTATCCAGCCACCTTGGCTTCCCAAAGTGCTAGGATTACAAGCGTGAGCCACTGAACCCAGCCAATAACATCATTTTAAATGTTATTTCCATATCCTCTAGCCTTTCCCAATCTCTTAACTCCTAGAAAAGGATCTATATGAGGAAGGAAAAACAGTGAGACACCATAGGTCTGCCTTCAAGCTTGAGGTCATTCTTTCTTTCAAGGTAAAGCTCACTGTTGAGCTTTGTTGTCCAAGGAAGGGTTGTTGACCATGGAAGCCTAGGCAGAGACTACAATAAATTGGACAACTAGTGCAGAAAGACCAATGCAATCTCTAAAAGTGGCTATTCCCCTTATCCCGCCAATTAAATAGCTTTCCCCTCTCCATCTATCTAAATCTTTTCCTTCCTTCAAGATCAGCTCAAGTCACATCTCATATGAAGCTTTTTCCAGTCACTGAAGCTCACAATAACTTCAGCCTCCAAACTCTCACAGCACTATCTATATTGGCAATTGATCAAGCATCAACTTGTGACTTTTTGCAGTCTTTCTTAATATAACTATCATATTGGGCCTTGAACTCCCCTCCAGTCCAGTGGCCTACAAGCGTCCTCTCCAAACCCCTCAGATCATTTGTTATCTGGATAAAGCAGGGACCCATGGGTGACTCAGCCAGTGTTAAGAGCTCAGGCCCTCAGATTCCCCATAATTCTCTCCCCATGACAGCTTGTGGGCCATATGCCCGGGCCAGTGCCTTGGTCGTGGTGGGTGCTGTCTAAATACCATCCGTTCATTGACCAGTGACATCTTAATGTAGTTATGGTGCCCGAGCACCTAGGCAGTCACACAGGGGAGGTGGCACACTGAATATGGGGCAAGGTTCCTGTTTTTCCCAGGCCAGCCTGTAAAACCGTCTAAGTATTTTACATTCTTAATGATTCTAAAAGTTGAAAGCATAATGCCAGTACTTCCCAAGTTATTAGACTTGTTTTAGGGTGACTGTTCACCCCAAAGCCCTCTTCCCCAAGGACTTCTACCCCCATCCCAAGATCCAGCCACTCTCTAAATCCACAGCTGAATAAAGAGCTGATCTGCAGAGAAAAGCAGAAGAATGGTATAGACACAGGAGGGAAGCAGAGCACAGTGACCAGGTGACACCAGAGAGAGAACAGCTGTCTTAGCTCCTGACTGTGCACCTTGCTGATGAGGCCCAGGGGGACCTCCTGCTCTGAGGTTCTGTGAGATACTCCCTAGCTTGGAGAGCACTCAGCACAGACTAGCAGTGGTCAGGAACTCAGACTCTGAGGCCAAGACCACCTGGGTTCAAATCCTGGTCCTGCCACTTACCAGCAAGATGCTCCAAAAGGAGCTAATTTTTTTTTTGGCTTTGTTAATGTGAATTACATATGCATGTCTTTGGTAATGTCAGTGTGTTAAATTCCAAAATCTCTTAAGTTGATTATAATAATTATTGCCTGCCAGTATGAAATAAGTGCTTTAATTTCACAAGTCCATGACAATGAGATAGTCTTCCTTTTCAGACTCATTAAAATCAATCAATCCCCATTTCTCACAATCAGCAGAAAGAGCACTTACACTCATTTGGGAAGAGCTGGTCCATGGTGCCAGATTTGGGCTCAGAGGCCCTCTGGCTGGGTCATATTCACTAACACCCGAAAGGGAGCCAATGTGATAACAGCCTCACCCTTCAAAGAAAAATTCCAAAACAAGCAGGACCATTTCGATTTTGATCCTCAATGATTTCAAGTATCTGGCAAAGATTTTTAAATTAGCTATATTAATTAAGTGTAATTTCTGTAGAAATGTTAGGCTACTTGAAGCTTTTTTTTTTTTTTAATAGGGAACACACATGAGCCTTTGGAACACAAAGGATGGCCTGTAGCCATAGCTGAGAAGTACAGGAAGCCCTGATAAGAGGCCAGCTACCCAGACTCCCTGACATCAGAGGTCCTTGCCTTAGTTGGTTCCTGGATAACAAATGATAGGAAGCATTTTATCAAGCTGAGCATCCTTGAAAATGAACTACAGTTGTTTAACATTCAAGATCCTTGACATCTGGCTAAGCACAGAGAAAAACTTTGAGACCCAGTTTTCTGGTATCGCTTGCAAAGATGGTAGTATGGCAAACTCTGTAACATGCTGGACAATGCTATGACGAAGGAAAGCTGTGTACGTGAATTACGTTTTCTCTGTGAAATGCACAGAAGGTTAAAAAGCCAAGGAGATGTTCTGCTTCCACTAGAAGCCAGAATGCTAGAAGGAGGCTCAGTACTACCCTAACAACAACAACAACAAAAACCCAGATAAACTACAAAATCATAAGTTTTCTTAAATGCATACAAGCAAATAAGAAGCAATCACCTAGAAGTTTTAAATTAATTGTATAAGACTGAGTGAGAGTAGACTAATGGGAGCATGTAGAGCCCCTAGGAGTCAGTGCAAAGGGAATTCACAGCTACTTGCAGGCTCTTCTCTAATTGTTTGTTTGTTTGTTTGTTGTTGTTGTTGTTGTTGTTTGAGACAGAGTCTCCCTCTGTCATCCAGGCTGGAGTGCAGTGGTGCGATCTCAGCTCACTGCAACCTCCACCTCCCAGGTTAAAGCAATTCTCCTGCCTCAGCCTCCCGAGTAGCTGGGATTACAGGCACCTGCCAGCCACCACACCCAGCTGATTTTTGTATTTTTAGTAGAGGCGGGGTTTCACCATGTTGGCCAACCTGGTCTCAAACTCCTGACCTCAAGTGATCCACCCACCTCGGCCTCCCAAAGTGCTGGGATTACAGGCATGAGCCACCACACCTGGCCTTCTCTAATAGTATTTTTAGTGGATTCCCTAGGATTTTCTATATACAAGATCATGTCATCTGCAAATACAGATAGTTTTACTCCCTTTCCAATCTGGATGCCTTTTATTTTTTTTATTTTTATTTTTTTTCCTAACTGCTCTGGCTAGAACATCCAGTGCAATGTTGAATAGAAGTGGTGAGGACGGACATCCTTGCCTTGTTCCTGTCTTTGGGGGAAAGCATTCAGTCATTCAGCACTAACTATGATGTTAACTGTGGGCTTTTCATAAATACCCTTTATCAGGTTGAGGAAACTTCCTTCTACTCCTAGAAGTGTTTGTTTTTTATCAAGATAGGGTGTTGAATCTTGTCAAATGACCTTTCTGCCTCTACTGAGATGCTTATGTGGGTTTTCCCCTTTGTTCTATTGATACATGTATTATATTGATTGATTTTTGGATGCTAAACCAACCTTACATTCCTAGGAAAAATCCCACTTGATCATGGTGTATAATCTTTTTTGTATGTTGCTGGATTTGGTGCTAGAACTTTGTTGAGCCTTTTTGTATCTATAGTTGACCTTTGAACAATGTAGGAGCTGGGGTGCCAAACTCCCTCATGGTTGAAAATACCTGTATAACTTTTGACTCCCCAAAACTTAACTGCTAATGCCTACTGTTGACTGGATGCCTTACCAATAACATTAACAGTTGATTAACACTAATTTTGTATGTTATATGTATTATAAACTGTATTCTTATAATAAAACTAGGGAAAAGAAAATATTTTAAGAAAATCATAAGAGAAAATATTGTTAGGGTCACCCCAACCAGGCTGTTGCCCTCCCTTCCCATGGGTCTTACAATGCAGTCCTTTGTGACCTCCTCACAGCTCCCCCAGGGCTAAAGACAAACCCCACTTCACTGACCCCTCCAGTAACTGTTTGTCCAGGCAGTTACACGATGCAGTTAACATGTCTGCTCACCTCGCATAACAAAGCTGGCAAAAATATCTCCAGGATGCGGTCAAGACGCCTGCACCCCCAACTCAGCTCCCTGACCCTGACCCAGTTCCTCGCCCTGTAAAGCCCTGCAGTAGTCTGTAAGCAGGGCTGCCTCCTCTGCTTTTGTCAGGAGGTAGACCAGCAGGACTGACAATAAATCAGCTTGCCTGAACTTGGGTCTGTTGGCCTCATTCCTTTCTCGGCTGTCCTTCCAATTACTCCTTACAAATATATTTACTATTCATTAAGTGTAAGTGGATCGCCATAAAGCTCTTTATCCTCGTTGTCTTCACCTTAAGTGGGCTGAGGAGGAGGAAGAAGAGGAGGGGTTAGTCTTGCTATCTCAGGGTGGCAGAGGAGGAAGAAAATCCACGTATAAGTGGACCCGTACAGTTCAAACCTATGTTGTTCAAGGGTCAACTGTATATTCATAAGAGATTTAGCCTATAGTTTGCTTTCCTGTTGCATTTTTCTCTAGTTTTGGTATTAGGGTGATACTGACTTCATAAAATGAGTTGTGGAATATTCTCACTTCTTCTATTTTTTGGAAGAGTTTGTGAACAATTGGTACGAATTCTTCTTTAAATGGTTGGTAGAATTCATGTGAAGCCATCTGGTCCTGAGCTTTTTTGTGCGGGTGGGTAAGTTTTTAAAAAATTACTAATTCAGTCCCATTACTTGTTATAGGTCTATTCATATTTTCTATTTCTTGAGTCATTTTTGGTAGTTTGTATAGTTTTAGGAATCTGTCCATTTCATCTAGGTTATCTTATTTGTTGGCATATAGTTATTCGTATTATTCCTTTACAGGCCTTTTTGCTTATGTAAGGATGGTAGAAATGTCCCCTCTTTCATTCAAGTCATTTACGCCTTCTCTTTTTTCTCTTGTTACTCTATAGCTAAAGGTTAATTTTTTCAATTAATCAACTTCTGATTTTGTTGATTTTCTGTATTGCTTTTCTACTCTACATTTCATTAATTTCCTCTAATCTTCACTATTTTCTTCCTTCTACTTTATATTTAGGTTGCTTTTCTTTTCCTAGTGTCTTCAGTGTGGAAGATTGGGTTATTGATTTGAGATCTTTCTTCTTTCTTAATGTAAGCATTTGCAGCTATAAATTTCCCTCTCAGCATTGCTCCCATTGCATCCTCTAAGTTTGAGTATGCTGTGTCTTGATTCTCTCTCATCTTAAAGTATTTCCCTTGTGAGTTCTTGTTGACTCATTTGCTCTTTATATGCATGCTATTTAACTTTCACATTTTTGTGAATTTTCACATTTCCTTCTGTTGTTGATTTCTAATTTTATTCCATTTTGATTAAAGAACATACTTTGTATAATTTCAATCATTTTACATTTATTGAGGCTGTTTTAGAGTCTAGAATATGGTCTGTCCTGGAGAATGTTCCATGTTCCTTGGAACACTTGAGAATATTCCAAATGTATATTCTGCTGTTGTTGAATGGAGTATTCTGTGTTGGGTCTGGTTGATTTACAGTGTTGTGTAGGTTTTCCATTTCCTTGTTGATCTTCTGCCTGTTTGTTCTACACATTACTGAAAGTGACATACTGAAGTTTCCAACTATTATGTTTAATAGTTGAACTGAATTTTTTTTTTTTTGAGACGGAGTCTCGTTCTGTTGCCCAGGCTGGAGTGCAGTGGTGCAGTCTCTCTGCTCACTGCAATCTTTGCCTCCCAGGTTCAACCGATTCTCCTGCCTCAGCCTCCCAAGTAGGTGGGATTACAGGTGCCCGCCACCACACCTGACTAATTTTTGTATTTTTAGTAGAGACGAGGTTTCACCACGTTGGCCAGGCTGGTCTCAAACTCCTGACCTCAAGTGATCTACCCACCTCGGCCTCCCAAAGTGCTGGGATTACAGGCGTCAGCCACCGCACCCGGCCAATAGTTGAATTTTCTATGTCTCCTTTCAATTCTGTCAGTTTTTGCTTCATGTATTTTGGAGCTCCATTTTTAGGCGTTTGTAATTATTATATCTTGGTGATAGATTAAGCCTTTTATCACTATAAAATATCCTTGTGTATCTCTAGTGACTTTTTTTGTTTTAAGTCTACTGTATCTGATATTAGTATCATCACCCCAGTGTTTGTATAGTTACAGTTTGTATCATACATCTTTTCCCATCCTTTTACTTTTTTATATCTTTGAATATACTAGTTGTATCTTTGAATATAAAGTGTGTCTCCAGGAGACACTATATAGTTGGCTCTTATTTTTTAAACCTAGCCTGACAATTTCTGCCTTTTGATTGGATCATTTATCCATTCACACTTAATATTACTGATATAGTGGGATCCATGTCTGTCATTTTATGTTTTGTTTTCTCTATATCTCATATTTTTTCATTTACTGCTTTCTTTTACATTAATAAAAATTTCTAGTATAGCATTTTAATTCCTTTGATAATATTTTCATTATATTTTAAGTAATTTTATTAGTGGTTATTCTATAGTTTTTCATATACATCTTATCAAAATCTACTTCAGATTTATACTAACTTAATTAAACTTGAGATACAGAAATGTTACTTCTATATAGTGCTAATCCTTCTTCCCACTTTGCTGCTATTATTGTTATACATAGTATATCTACGTATGTTATAAACCCAACAATATGTTGTTATAATTACTATGTTATATAACTTTATGTTTATTACAGAATCTGAGACAAGAAAGGAGAACAAGTATATATTTATAGAGTTTGTAACATTAACCTTATTTACTATTCCTGGTTCTCTTCATTTGTTCCTATGGATTTGAGCTACCCTCTGGAGTCATTTCTTTATTCCAAATGCAGCTTTTCTCCTACCCACCTCCCCTGTGCTCTTGTTAAATATATTATATTACTGAATATATATACCCAACAGTACATTATATGCAGACATTCCTCAACTTACAATGGGGTTATGTCTTGATAAAGCCATCATAGGTCAAAATAACTGTAAGTCAAAAATGCACTTAATGCTGGCAACACAGCAGACAATCCCTAATTTATGATGGCTTGATTTATGATTTTTCAACTTTATAATGTTGCAAAAGCAATATAATTGGCCCTCTGTATCTGTGGGCTCTGTATCCATGAATTCAACCAACTGCAGATCAAAAATATTCAAAGAAATAAAAAACAATACAACAATAAAAAAATACAAATTCAAAATATAAAGTACAGCAACTATTTACACAGCATTTATATTGTATTAGGTATTATAAGTAATTTAGAGATCAGGCTGGGAGTGGTGGCTCACACCTGTAATCCTAGCACTTTGGGAGGCTGAGGCGGGTGGATCACGAGGTCAGGAGATCGAGACCATCCTGGCCAACATGGTAAAACCCTGTCTCTACTAAAAATTTTTTTAAAAATTAGCTTGGCGTGGTGGGGCGTGCCTGTAATCCCAGCTACTCAGGAGGCTGAGGCAGGAGAATCATTTGAACCAGGGAGTCAAAGGTTGCAGTGAGCCAAGATCGTGCCACACCACTACACTCCAGCCTGGCAACAGAGTGAGACTCTGTCTCAAAAAAAAAAAAAAAAAAAAAAAAAAAAAATGGTAATTTAGAGATCATTTAAAGTATACAAGAGGATGTGCATAGGTTAATCATTTACATCATTTTATAAAAGGGACTTGAGCATCCAGAGATTTTGGTAAACACTGGGGGGTACTGGAACCAATCCCCCTTGGATGCCAAGGAATGGCTGTATGCATTCAGTAGAAACTGTAACCCCATCATAAGTCATAAGAAGCTCTTCAACTTATGATGAAGTTACATCCTGATAAACCCATTGTACAGTCAAAAAGTTGTAAGTTGAATCATTGTAAGCTGGGGACCATTTGTACTTTTGTTTAACATAATTGCTTTTCAAATCAGTTAAAAGAATGAAGAAATATGCATTTACAGTGTCTTACATAATTACATAATTATCTTTACTGATGCTCTTTGTTTTCCATATGGATTTGAATTACCACCTGGGATCACTTGCTTTCAGCCTGAATAACTTCCTTTAGTATTCCTTAAAAGGTAGATCTGTTAGCAATTAATTATCTGTTTTTGTTTATCCAGGAATGTCTTTATTTTGCTTTCATTTCTTAAAGATACTATGTTAGTCCGTTTTCACACTGCTATAAAGATACTACCCGAAACTGGGTAATTTATAAAGGAAAGAGGTCAAATTGACTCACAGTTCCACATGGCTAAGGGAGGCCTCAGGAAACTCACAATCATGGTGGAAGATGAAAGGGAAGCAAAGCATATGTTTACAGGGTGGCAAGGGAGAGAGAGGGTGCAGTGGAAACTGCCACTTTTAAAACCATCAAATCTTGTGGCGGGGCCTGTAATCTCAGCACTCTGAGAGGCTGAGATGGGCAGATCACCTGAGGTCAGGAGTTCGAGACCAGCCTGGCCAACATGGCAAAACCCCATCTCTACTAAAAATACAAAAATTTGCTGAGTGTGGTGGTGCGCACCTATAGTCCCAGCTACTTGGGAGGCTGAGGCAGAAGAATCACTTGGACCCAGGAGGCAGAGGTTGCAGTGAGCTGAGATCATGCCACTCCACTACAGCCTGGGTGACAGAGCAAGACTCCATCTCAAAAAATTAAATAAATAAATAAACCCATCAGATCTTGTGAGAACTCCCCCACTATCATGAGAACAGCATGGAGGAAACCACCCCCATGATCCAATCACCTCCCAGGAGGTCCCTCCCTCAACATGTGGGGACTCCAATTCAAGATGAGATTTGGATAGGAACACAGAGCCAAACCATATTATTCCACCCCAGCTCCTCCCAAATCTCATGTCCTTTCCACATTTCAAAACCAATTATGTCTTCCCAATAGTCCCCCAAAGTCTTAACTCATTTTAGCATTAACTCAAAAGTGCAAGTCCAAAGTCTCATCTGAGACAAGGCAAGTCCCTTCTGCCTATGAGCCTGTAAAATCAAAAGCAAATTAGTTACTTCCAAGACACAATGAGGGTGCAGGTACTGGGTAAATGTTCCCATTCCAAATTAGAGAAACTGGCAAAAACAAAGGGGCTACAGGCCTCACACAAGTCTGAAATCCAATAGGACAGTCATTAAATATTAAAGATCCAAAATGATCTCCTTTGACTTCGTGTCTCACATCCAGGGTAAACTGATGCAAGGGATGGGCTCCCAAGGCCTTGGGCATCTCTGCCCCTGTGGCTCTGCAGGGTACAGCCACTGCAGCTGCTTTCACAGGCTGGCGTTGAATGCCTGCAGCTTTTCTGGGCATACAGTGCAAGCTGTCGGTGGATCTGTCATTGTGGGGTCTGGAGGATGGTGGCCCTCTTCTCACAGCTTCACTAGGCAGTTCCCCACTGGGGACTCTTATTTCTCCTCCACACTGCCCTAGCAGAGATTCTCCATGAGGGCTCTGCCCCTGCAGCAGACTTCTGCCTGGATATCCAGGCATTTCCATACATCCTCTGAAATCTAGGAGGTTTCCCAAACCTCACCTCTTGTTCTGTGCACCTACAGGCTCAACACCACATGGAAGCTGCCAAAGCTTGGGGCTTGCACCCTCTGAAGCAATGGCCTGAGCTGTAACTTGGCCCCTTTTAGCCACAGCTACAGCTGGAGTGGCTGGAACACAGGACACCATGTCACAAGGCTACACAGAGCAGTGGACCCCTGGGCCCGGCCCATACAACCATCTTTTCCTCCTAGGCCTCTGGGACTGTGATGGGAGGGGCTGCCATGAAGGTCTCTGGCATGCCCTGGAGACATTTTCCCCATTATCTTGGCTATTAACATTCAGCTCCTTATTACTTATGCAAATCTTTGCAGCCAGCTTGAATTCCTCCCCAGAAAATGGGTTTTTCTTTTCTACCACATGGTCAGGTAGGCTGCAAAATTTCCAAACCTTTATGCTCTGCTTCCCTTTTAAACATAAATTCCAATTTCAAACCATCTCTTTGTGAATGCATATAACTGAACACTTTCAGAATAAGTCTTGAATACTTTGCTGTGGCTGGGCACAGTGGCTCATGCCTGTAATCCCAGCACTTTGGGAGGCCAACGTGGGTGCATCACTTGAGGTCAGGAGTTTGGGACCAGCCTGGCCAACATGGTGAAACCCCATCTCTACTAAAATTACAAAAATTAGCCAGCCATGGTGGCATGCACCTGTAGTCCCAGCTACTCGGGAGGCTGAAACACGAGAATCACTTGAACCTGGGGGGCAGAGGTTGCAGTGAGCTGAGATCGTGCCACTGCACTCCAGCCTGGGCATCAGAGTGAGACTCTGCCTCAGAAAAAAAAGAAAAAGAATGCTTTGCTGCTTAGAAATTTCTTCTGCCAGATACCCTAAATCATCTCTCTCAAGTTCAAAGTTCTACAGATCTCTAAGGCAGGGGCAAAATGCCACCAGTTTCTTTGCTAAAGTATAGCATGAGTGACCTTTACTCCAGTTCCCAATAAGTTCCTCATCTCCATCTGAGACCACCTCAGCCTGGACTTCATTGTGCATATCATTATCAACATTTTTGTCAAAACCATTCAACAAGTCTCTAGGAAGTTCCAAACTTTCCCACATCTTCCGGTCTTCTTCTGAGCCCTCCAAATTGTTCCAACCTCTGCCTGTTACCCAGTTCCAATGTCAATTCCACATTTTCAGGTTATCTTTATAGCAGTACCCCCACTCTTAGTACCAATTCTCTGTATTAGTCTGTTTCCACACTGCTATAAAGATACAACCTGGCCAGGTGCGGTGGCTCATGCCTGTAATCCCAGCACTTTGGGAGGCCAAGGCAGGTGGATCACAAGGTCAGGAGTTCGAGACCAGCCTGACCAATATGGTGAAACTCTGTCTCTATAAAATACAAAAATTAGCCGGGCGTTGTGGCGGTCACCTGTAATCCCAGCTAATTGGGAGGCTGAGGCAGAAGAATCACTTGAACCCCAGGAGTGGGAGGTTGCAGTGTGCTGAAATTGCGCCACTGCACTCCAGCCTGGGCGACAGAGCAAGACTCCATCTCAAAAAAAGAAAAAAGATACAACCTGAAATGGGGTAATTTATAAAGGAAAGAAGTTTAACTGACTCATAGTTCCGCCTGGCTGGGGAAGCCTCAGGAGACTTATAATCGTGACAGAAGGCAAAGGGGAAGTAAGGCACATCTTCGCAAGGCAGCAGGAGAGAGAGTGCTCATGCAGGGGAATCTGCCACTTTTAAAACCATCAGAACCCGTGAGAGCTCCCTCACTGTCAAAAGAATAGCCTGGGGAAAAACCACTCCCATTATCCAATCACCCCCCACCAGGTCCCTCCCTTAACATGTGGGGATTACAATTCAAGGTGAGATTTGGGTGGGGACACAGAGCTAAACTATATCAGACAGTTTTGCTGAATACAAGATTCTTGGTTGACAATTTTCTTTAGCACTTTTTGCTTTCTGTCATCTATCATCTCTGATGAGAGTTGGTTGTTACCCTCATTAAAGTTTCTTTGTATGTGATGAGTCATTTTTCTCTTCTTTCAAAATTTTCTCATCTTTCACTTTCAGCATTTTTACAATAATGTGTTTGGGTGTGGATCTCTTTACCTTTTTCCTACTTCAACATCATTGAGCTTCTTTGATGTACAATGTTTTTCATCAATCTGGGGAATTTTTTAAATCATTATTTCTTCTGATACTTTTTCTGCTCCTCCTGTAGCTCCTCTCTTTACATTCCATTTATATTAGTGCACTTACTAGTGTCTCACATTTTTCTAAGGCTCTATTCATTTTTCTCTCTCCTTCAGATTGCATAATCTCTATCAAATCTATCTTCAGTTCCTTGAGTCTTTGTTTTTCCAGTTCAAATCCACTGTTAAGCTCCTCTAGTAAATTTTTAATTTCACTTATTTTCGTTTTTTATAGAGACAAGGTCTTGCTATGTTGCTCAGGTTGGTCTTGAACTCCTGGCCTCAAGCAATCCTCCTGCCTGGGCCTGGGATTGCAGGCATAAGCCACCACACCTGGCCCCTTTGAACATATTTATTGCGGCTGTACTGAAGTTTTTGCTAAATCTGACACCTGGGCTTTCTCACAGGCAGTTTCTGATGCCTGCTTTTTGTTTATTTAAGGGTCACACTTTCCTGTTTGTTTGAAGGTCTCATAAATTTTGGTTCAAAACTGGACATTTTAGGTAATATACTATAGCAACCATGAATACTGATTCCTCTTTTCCCCATCTCTGGGGCTTGTTTTTGTTTGTTTGCTTGTTTAGTGACATAGCTAGACTGTTTTAGTGAAGTATATTTCCCTTGAAGTGTAAAGACACTGATGTCCCTCCTCAGACAATGTTGCTTTGGTTGTGCCCATAGTCTGTGTGGGTTTAACAGAGTTGTACTGCCTGTCTCCCTTTCTGATCTCTCTGTTGTCTGCCTTTGTTTATATCATACTCAGCTGTTAAACTCCACCTACCTACTGCTTGCTTTATCGTTTTCAACAATGCCCTGGGGCATAAAATTGCTCCAGTCTTATTCAATTAAATTCAGGCAAAGATAGTTTTTGAGGCCAATCTTTAGGTTCCATATAACTCTAGTTGCCTCTTTCCCTGGTTCAGAGGACTCTCTGATAAACAAGCTGGCCTATGGTTTAGCTTGTTGCTCTCACAAAGCTACCAGACTCCTCTTAATTTCTTACTCTCAAAATCTCCATTGTATTCAAGAGTGCCTTTAGACTTGAGCTTTCCCACACTCAGTTTTAGCTAAAGTCAGTTATTTGGGGGAGAGCTTCAAACCCTCTATTCTTCCAGACTGTCTCTACTTCCAGGCAAAATCTCAGCCAGGGCAGTAGACTGGTCTTGGCTTGCCTCTCTCAATGTTGAATCTCCATTTCATGAGGGAGCTGGGGCAAAAGCAACCAGGTCTCAGTATTCTCAGCCCGCTGTACCTGGGATAAAGCTTCTGTCCTATGAATGGGGGCTGGGTGGAAAGAAGCAGACCCTGACCTCTCAGCTGTAGGCTCTCCAGGAACTTGGCCTCAGCAACTTGGAGTTAGAGAAGATGAGAAATGCTGGACACCTGCCCCTCCTGGCAAGGGACTATATCCCTTGACTAAAAGCTGAGGAGAGAGGAGCTGGGAGGATGAGAGCAGGTCATGCTCAGGTACCATAGACACTCACTATTATTACCAAGATTTAGTAGATTTTCTTGAATAAATGTATTTTTTTTCATTTGCTGCATGCCCTTCAAACAACTTCCAGAGGCTTTAGAAGCCTGGCTTTTAAAATAATTTTCACCAAGTACAGTTGCTTCACTGAGGAATGGATCCCTGGGACTCTTCACACTGGCATTTCTGGAAATGGAACTCCAACTCCACAACTGTTTCTTTTTAAATGTGACAAAATGGTAAGGGCAAGGGAGCTTTTGTAGACATTTAAATGTTTCTTAAATTTTATTTTGCACTTTTAAATTTGTCGATCAATTTTTTTAGGGTTCAAACATTTTTAGTAGCCCTTGAAGAGTCTGTGAACACTAGGCACAGTGTCTACAGAGCCTAATCGAAAAATAGCCCAAATATAGTCAGATGGGGGAACATGTCCAGCCATCCCCACTGGGCACATTCCCACCTGATTAGCAGATACCCTACTCTAATTAGACTCTTCTTTCAGTACCAACAGCTGAGGCATGGACTCTAGACATTTCAGCTGCTAACAACATTGTATAATAATGAGCCACGGGCTGAATTTCTCAGTCTAGTATTTTTCTGGCTGCATGTTATCAATGTTGACTGTGTCCCAGAAGTAGCAACCTGGGTTACAGATCAGTATCCTAGAGCCTCTGTCACCAAAATAGCCACCAATCCGATCTCCAATGATATAAGGAATGTTTCAAAGGATATTCTTTTCTGCTTCACAGTTAATTGGGTGTAGCCAAACATATGAAGTCATTTTAGAACAATGATAAGATCAAAATGTAAAATAATTATGTCTAATATGAGGGGGCAAGGTGGAAAGTGAGCCATGCTGGAAATGCAAAACCTCTATGGGGAGTTACTGACGTGGACCATTTTTTAAATTTTATTTGTTTTTTTTTTTTTTTTTTTTTTTTGAGACACAGTCTTGCTCTGTCACCCAGGCTGGAGTGCAATGGCGCAATCTCAGCTCACCGCAACCTCCGCCTCCCGGGTTCAAGCGATTCTCCTGCCTCAGCCTCCCAAGTAGCTGGGATTACAGGCATGCATCACCACGCCTGGCTAATTTTGTATTTTTAGTAGAGACAGGGTTGGTCAGGCTGAACTCCCGACCTCAGGTGATCTGCCTGCCTCGGCCTCCCAAAGTGCTGGGATTACAGGTGTGAGCCACTGCGCCCGGCGACATGGCCCATCTTGATGACTATGGGTTTCTAGTTATTGGAAGCCCCCATGTGAGCCATATGTGCCCTGTCTATCAAAATCCTAGAGCAATCTGAGATGCATTCATAGATAGTCCATGTTACTTAGACAGCACACCTCCACATATAAATAGCAGTACAGCAAATTTGCAGATATTTCAACAACCGAAAAGGGATAGGATGAGGAAAATCAAACAATATTTTTCTGACACTGAAATTCTGTAAACCAATGTGACTCTATGGTCCAGAATCAAGGGGAAAGGATGGTCCTACATGTGTCCTGCATGGATGAAAACACATCTAGACATGTGTTCACATGTGAACTGCATATTTTATAAGAGTTCCTGACTAATGGACAAAATCCAAA
The DNA here is from genome assembly GCF_000001405.40 of Homo sapiens. Classification (NCBI taxonomy): domain Eukaryota; kingdom Metazoa; phylum Chordata; class Mammalia; order Primates; family Hominidae; genus Homo; species Homo sapiens. The sequence goes on from NC_000003.12 coordinate 183,424,306, forward strand.
GAAAGAGGCCCCTAGAGTGAAGCACATCACATGAGGAACACATGAAGGGCTTCATGTTTACTTTCAAATGGGGTTTTGGAGACAAAATAGTTATCTACAAATATTTTATAGCTGTCCTTAAAAGTGTAAAAACTGCCTGGTACTCAATACTCCAACTCCATTCCAAAACACAATCATTCATCTATTCAGCAAACATTTATTCTGCATCTCCTTAGAGTGAGGCCCTGTGTTAAGTGGCTATCTAGGGTACATAAGACTCTTCGTAAGTAATGAAGAGTCTAGAAGCAGAGCAGGTTAAACAAGCGCACGAATAACCCAGTAACCATAATACAGGGGAGAGTATGATGGGCACAATGCGAGCAGAACAAAGCTTACTTTGGAATTCAGAGTCAGGAGTCATCATGTCCCACCAGCAAGATCAGAAATGATACCATGAAGGAGATGGCATTGTATTGGGTTTCAAAGGTGTGTACTATTTCTGTGAGAAATATACTAAAGACTTATTCCAGGTGGGGGGTAAAAGTGCAAATACTTAGAGGTGAGAAAAGGTCTGGAAAACATAATGGGACAGAGCCAAAGAACTGAAGAGTTCAAGTTGTCCAACCATAGGTGTAGAAATCTCAACTATTAGGGGATAAAGCTAGAACTTTATAGGCCAAACAGTGAAGAGCTTGTATCTTAGGCTGCAGAGAATGACTAGGTGCAGGTATTATTAAAGGCTTTGGAATATAGAGTGTCGTGTTTGTTTGGCTCGTAGTATACATCAGAGGCAGACACAGAGAGACAGGAGGTTTGCACAACGGCTAGTTAAAAGGAAATGAAGTCCTGAAGTAGGATTGAGGCAGGCAGCAGTGGGGATGGACATGAGGAAAGAAAGCTGCGAGGTGTTTCTGAAACTGAATCAACAGCAGCCAAGACACTTATGGAAATATGGGAGTGGGTGAAGAGAGATGACTCAATTACCAAGTCTAAGGGACATGGAAAGAGCAGAAACCCCTGCTGGAGGAGAAAGTGACTCAGGGTCAGAGGAGGCCGAGTGAATACGGAAGACAGTGTGGCTACCCTGGCAAGTGGCTAGGATAGGACCCGGAGAATGTTCCAACCCAAAGCCTTGCTCCAAGCACCTCTCAAACCTTCCCCAACTCATGATCACCTCCTCAGAAGCTACTTGATAAGGAAATACCTGAAAAGAACAGGCAAGCATAGAGCCAATCTACCCTTGAGAAGCTCCACTGGCTACCCAAAGTGACCCTCCGTGAAGGCTGAGGCTGTTGCAGGGTTAGAGAAACGCCCGCTCCACCTTGAGGTCCCCCAGTAGGGGATATGAAGAGCTACCTTCCTGCCCTGAGCCTGCCACTCACTCCCCCTGAAACCTTAAAAGATGATCCTCTCTCACTTTGGGAGGCCAAGGCCAAGGCAGACGGATCACCCGAGGTCAGGAGTTCAAGACCAATCTGACCAACATGGAGAAACCCGTCTCTACTAAAAATACAAAAAAAATTAGCCGGGCGTGGTGGCACATGCCTGTAATCCCAGCTACTCGGGAGGCTGAGGTAGGAGAATCGCTTGAACCCGGGAGGCGGAGGTTGCAGTGAGTCGAGATCACACCATTGCACTCCAGCCTGGGCAACAAGAGCGAAACTCCATCTCAAAAAAAAAAACAAAAAAGATGATCCTCTCTGAGTCAATTCCTTCATTTGTAAAATAGGGGTAGTAATGAGTACCCCACCCATTTCACAGGTTTTATTAGATTAAGTATGAGGAGACAGAATCTTGCAAAGCACACAAAAGCCAAGGGTCATTAGAGGTTGAAAGGAGAAACTACAACAAATTCCTATGTGTATCCTGCATGGAGCTGTCTATAGAAGGAGGGAGGGAGCAAGGTAGGCAAGAAAATACCATAGCCTGGGCGCCACAGGCAGCTAAGTGTTAGTCAAGGAATACTGCCTGCCAGATTTTCAAGAAGAGCCTGCTCCAGAGAAATAGGAGGGACCTTTAAAATCATCCAGGTCAACCCCTCGTTTAACAGATGGGAGGCTTCGCCCTGAGAGAGGCCCAGTAACCCACCAAAGATCTTTAGTGGCGTGACAGAGGGACCAGGGATATGTCTAATAACTGAAATGTCTGTATAATCACAGTGTACACAGTATTTCTACCCAAATTATCTTACTTATCTTCACAAGTAGCCTTTGAGCTGAGTGGGAAAGTACTATTAAAATTCCTATTTTTCAACCTGAGGTCGAATGACTTGTCCAGGGAAAGATTCAAATCCAGACGGTCACACCCCGAGTCCACTGCTCTTTCTCTATACCACAACTTCATGCCTGTGCTGGGTTTTAGCACAATCATTTCAACTTTCATCATATTGCAGATTCCGAATTCTGTTTCATTACAAGTTCTTTTTCCTCTTATTTCACACTGCCTTCAGCAATATTTCACATTCAACCTTACCTGGTAGGATCCTACTGATCTTTTGTCGTAAAAGTTCAGTGCCCACAATTGGCACCAGAAACTTTTTTCTAAACTTGAATTATCAAAACTGGGCCTTCCCATATAAATCATCTTTACAAAGTATGTCCTCACAAGTGTATCATTTGAGATGTGCACGATTATTACAGCAAACACGTTGGACTAATTGAGGCAACATTTAACATGCAAGTACCAAGAAAGCAGCTTTCACAAATGTGTAGAAAACCAAGGCAAATAGTTCCTGGCTTTATCAATAAAAGCTGATTTGCATTCATGGGAGGACCTCCAAGCACAGTCAGCAACAGAGAAAATGATCCCGATAATTCCAGTTGCCCACATCCAGAGGTTCTGAACCTGAATGTGTGTCTTTACTGAGGGAGGTCCAGGGAAGGCCAAGGGGAAGAAAGTGCTAAGAAAAAACTGACTGGGAACTGTCTCAATGTCCTCTTGCCCTTACTTAGTCTGTGGGGCCTGACGTTCCATCACAACCCTTATTTCAGGAGCAAGCAATGCATGTTTTGCTCCTCTTTTCAACTCAGGGAAGAAGATTAAAATTGCTCAGTCTCCTTGGCTTGCAGAGATTTCTCGCGGGGATCATCAGGGGTGTGCTTAACCCTCCAGGCAGCACAGTAAAACAGGCCTAGCGGCCGAGCTGCGCAGGGGCGCTCCCATGTAACCTGCCTCTCCCTGCACTTTCTTATAAACAAGCCTTCAGTGGCGTGGCAATCATTTCTGCTGAAAAGCACTGGCATTCGTTCCTCTTATGCCCTCTCCTTTCTCACTATCCCCAAAACCAGAACATAACTTCCCACCCACCCTACTCCCGTCAGAAGCAGCTAACGGATGGTAACAGCCCAGCAGCCCTCGGTTTGGAGCTCAACGGACTCGGCAACCACCTGGTGAAGGCACCAGCCTCGGCCCCCCGACCCCCACCAGCGGCGCGCCCCAGGGATGCCCCCCGCTGGGCACCGCAGGCAGGACCCAGAGCAGCGAGGCCCAGATGCCGGGCAACCCCCCAGGAAGCGCGCTGCCCCGGGGCAGCGGGTGAGGCCAGGAGCCAGATGAAGCCCAGAGACCATCCTCACCCGCCATTAATAAAACGCAGGAAAAATTAAAGCTTCGTTTACCGACATGAGTGATCACTGTGGCCAGTCGCCGGGTGAGCTCCTGGGGAGGCATCTCTTCTTTTAAGCAAGACAGCATTTCACTGAAAAACCATTCCGTATAAATAAAGCCAAACAAAACTGTTTCTACCGCTGCGGTGGATGATTTTTTAAAGGCATCTCCGCCCAAGGATGCTCTGCCCTCGCCCTCTTCCTGGCTCTCCAGGCAAGAAACGAGAGTCCCTCGCAGCCTAGGCCAGCTCTCCCTCGCCACGCCCCGCGGGGGCTCCCGTGACAGACCAAGTCTGGCGCTTTCCCAGCGTCGCAGCTGGACCGAGAGAGGAGCGGCCGTTCTGCAAAAGGAAGCAAGTCGCCAATCTCGCCGGAACCGCGCCCCGGCTCCTCCGGCCGGGCGAGCTCCGGGGCTTCCAGAATCGCGGTCCCGGCCGCCAGGTTTCCGGCGCCGCCTCCAGGGACTGTAGAGTGAGGGATGCTCCGCCAGGTGCAGGGGAGGCGGCAGGTGGCCGTGGCTTCTCTGCGCCGCCGGCCCCACGCCCCAGCGCCCACCTCGTCCAGCCCACGGGTGGCGCCCGGGGCTCTCGGGGAGGCACGCACGCTCCCAAGCGCCGCTCGTTTTGGGGTCGGGAACGCTGCGCACCTTTCCCTGCGGGGAGCCCGCGCTCCACCCCCGGAGTGGAGCTCCGGTCCTTACTCGGAACCGTGGGGCGGGGAGACAGTGACTGAGGCGCTCCAGTCGCACCGGGGTCCGGATCATCAGACGCGCGCCGGCCAGGTCTCCGCCCCTCCTTCTTCCGCGCCGGGTGTCTGCGGAGGAGCCGCGGAGAGAAGGGGGCTGGCCCGGAGAGCTGCCGCCATCCGGCAGGACCCGGAGCGGGAGGCTGGGTGAGGCGCCGCTGCTTGCCCCACCTCCTGACCCCGGGGGCGGCTGGCGTGTGTTTTCCCCCACTTGGGGTTGTTCCACGCAGTTCTTGACCTCCGCTGGCCACACCTGCACTGGGAGCCCGGCGCCCGGGCTGCGCTCCGACAAGGCTGAGCACGCGTGGGCGCGCTCACCCCCTATGTGGGCGTTTTCCTTCGTGCAGCTGCGCCCTTGCCTCTGCTCCGTCTGTCACCTGTCAGGCACGCCAGTGCTACCTTCTGGAGGGGCTGTGGCACATCCTCCATGCTGGTCCTCCTCCCCATCAGCCCATTATCCCGTGGTTTCCCTAGTTGGGCCCAGACACTTTCTGACTGGCAGCAAAAGACTAACCCCAGTTCAGCAGAGCGCTACGGGAAACGCCTGAGCAAATGCGAATTCGGTCAGGTTGTCCCCCAATCCTTTCTACAGCGGGAGTCCCTGAATACTCAGCAGGCGGAATGGCGGGACCACCCAGGCGGATGTTCTCAGCCATCTCTTTCCTCTTCGATATGTAAAAAGCCAAGCCGCAAACACCCTGGATCCAAATTCTAGGAGTAGCCACCCATCACAGGGGGCTGAGGGTATTTTTTTAATGCTTTCTCTTTTCTTCTTTTTTTTGGAGACTGAGTCTGGCTCTGTCGCCCAGGCTGGAGTGCAATGGCGCGATCTCAGCTCACTGCAAGCTCCGCCTCCCGGGTTCACGCCATTCTCCTGCCTCAGCCTCCCGAGTAGCTGGGACTACAGGCGCCCGCCACCACGCCCGGCTAATTTTTTGTATTTTTTAGTAGAGATGGGGTTTGTTTCACCGTGTTAGCCAAGGATGGTCTCGATCTCCTGACCTCGTGATCCGCCCACCTTGGCCTCCCAAAGTGCTGGGATTACAGGCGTGAGCCACCGCGCCCAGCCCTTTTTAATGCTTTCTCTAACAATTGTGGGCTGTGATTGAGAAGCGAGGTCAGTTCACCTGTGTCATGAGATTTGTGGAGAGGTTCTTCCCCCTGTGAAGTTTGGGCACTTTGCACTCTGCCTGCAAAACAGAGCAAGGATTTTCTTTTTCTTTTCTTTCTTTTTTTTTTTTTTCGTTTTTAGAGATGGAGTTTCACCATATTGCCCAGGCTGGTCTCAAACACATGGACTCAAGTGATCATGCCCGGCCACTGAGCAACCATTTTCACAACCACCTTTTGCAAGAGATTCAAAAAAGGGTTAAAAGGCCGGGCGTAGTGGCCCACGCCTGTAATCCCAGCACTTTGGGAGACCAAGGCGAGCGGATCACAAGGTCAGGCATTCAAGACCAGCCTGGCCAACATAGTGAAACCCCATTTTACTAAAAATACAAAAATTAGCTGGGTATGATGTCACGCACCTGTAATCCCAGCTACTCGGGAGGCTGAGGCAGGAGAATTGCTTGAACCTAGGAGGCGGAGGTTGCAGTGAGCCAAGACCGTGCCATTGCACTCCAGCCTGGGCAACAGAATGGGACTCCATCTCAAAAAAAAAAAAAAAAGAAAGGTTAAAGATCCGCAGGAGGGGAGGCAGCTTTTGAATTATGTTTCCGGCGTTCAAGGGTCACAAGAATTTTCAAGGAACCAAATGAGATGTTTCCTACTGATAGTAGTCAGAACCCTGGTGCCCAGTCACAGCCAACTGTGAGTTTTGGTCAGCAGAAACCAACGCCTAGTAAAGAAGACAATGATGTGGGGTATGTTGGACTTGGAGTGTCAGAGCCACTTTGAAGATCCAGTAACCTCAGCTTCCTGGCTTAGGCCGGGTCCTTATGGGTGAGAAACATGAAAAGGAAGAAGAGAAGGAATGGAGGAGAGGAAAAGGAGGGAGGAGAAGCTTATGATTAAGAATGAGAACAAAAAGAAAACAGAAAGGAAATAAATCACACTCAGAGTGCTGCCCACATCTTTGGTACTTTCACAGTCCTCAAAGGTTTCCATGGAGATAAATGAGCTCAAGTTATGGTGAGATGTAGCAGGCAGTGCCTATCCTCAGAAACTAATTCTGCTCTTATCTCTGACACTTACTCTCTCAGGGCCTTCACTGCTTCCCCTGGGCAGTAAGGAAGTGGGTCTGTGATCTCCAAGTTCCCTTTTCCAGCTCTGAAATCCTATAACTGGAATTAAGAAGAAATGATCGGCTGGGTGCATTATCTCACACCTGTAATCCCAGCACTTTGAGAGGCCGAGGTGGGTGGGTTATCTGAGATTAGGAGTTCGAAACCAGCCTGGCCAACATGACGAAACCCCATCTCTACTAAAAATACAAAAATTAGCCGGGCACGGTGGTGGGCGCCTGTAATCCCAGCTACTCAGGAGGCTGAGGCAGGAGAATCGCTTGAACCCAGGAGGCAGAGGTTGCAGTGAGCCAATATAGCACCACTGCACTCCAGCCTGGGTGACAGAGTGAGACTCCATCTCAAAGAAAAAAAGAAGAAGAAGAAGAAGAAATGACCACATAGTGTTCAATAGCTCATACCTCCTTGTTCTTCCAAGAAAATGGTCATTGTCTCCATTGTTCTCATGAACACTGACATTCTTTCTGTCTTCTTTCTTCCCACCCTCCCACCTTCCCTGCCTGTTTTTCTCCTTCCTAATTATGATCTCTTATATTATGCCTCTTTGTGCTGTGGTTTCAATGTGTTCCCCAAAGTTCATGTGTTGGAAACTCAATCCTCAATGCAACAGCATTGAGAAAGAAGACCTTTAAGAGGTGATTAGGTCATAAGGGCTTTGTCCCGAGTTAATGCTGTTATCTCTGGAGTAGGTTCCTGATAAAAGGAGGAGTTGGTCCCCTTCTCCCTTCCTCTCACCCATGTGATGCCTTCCACCACGTTATGATGCAGCATGAAGGCTCCCAGCAGGTACACCCCTCGATCTTAGACTTCCCAGCCTCCAACACCAGGAGCCAAAGCAATTTCTGTTGATTATAAATTGCCCAGCCCATGGTTTTCTGTTAGCGCAGCACAAAACAGACTAAGACATCTCAGCTGGCAAAATCAGAGAAACAAGCTAGAAAAGCCTGCTTCCTTCTCCAGTGAACCAATTAACAATCACTCACATCTACTGAACATCCGCTATGGTTGTGATAGGCAGTGTCAGGTACAGCAACTACCACCACCATATAGCAAGTGACCGTTCTGTGTCTAGTATGATGTTAGACATTTTACAAACACCATTGAGGCCTCACAACAACACTCTAAAGGCTTTAGCCTCATTTTGCAGATACCACTGTAAAGGACCAAACTCTGTCCTTTACAAAACCTAGACCATTCTCTCCCTTCCGGTAAAGAACTGCTCAAGCTGGCCAGACGCGGTGGCTCACGCCTGTAATCCCAACACTTTGGGAGGCCGAGGCGGGTGGATCACCTGAGGCTGGGAGTTCGAGACCAGCCTGACCAACATGGAGAAACCCCGCCTCTCCTAAAAATACCCGGGTGTGGTGGCACATGCCTGTAATTCTAGCTACTCGGAAGGCTGAAGCAGGAGAACCACTTGAACCCGGGAGATGAAGGTTGCGGTGAGCTGAGATGGCACCATTGCACTCTAGCCTGGGCAACAAGAGTGAAACTCTGTCTCAAAAAAAAAAAAAAAAAAGAATTGCTCAAGCTCCACGTCCCTGTAGATTCCACCTCACTATGGGTGAACTGTCAGTGCAACCTCTGACAAAGGAAAGACAGACAAAGGACCTCCCTTAGAGAGCAGTGGCTGGCACTACAGCCTCCTCAGCCCCTGATGCCACAGGTGAGGGTGGAGATTCCTGAGGTATCAAGGAGGCCCCCAGTTTCATCTACATCTGTGGTTCGCAGACTTCAGCAGCATCACCTGGGAATAGAAGTAATTTTTACAAAAACAGATTTCTGGACCCCACCTCCAGGATTCTGATTTAGTAGTCTGGATTGGTACCCAAGAATCTGCATTTCTAACAAGTCCCCAGGAAAATTGATGGTACTAGTCTTGGGATTACCCTTTGAGCACCACTGGCCTAGATGACAGCTCTTCAAACTTCTTAGTTGCAAATCATAGTATGATTGTGCTATGAGAAAGAGATTTGGCCTTCACCCCAAGGTCCTGGCATATAGCTCCTAAGCCTCTTGGAATTTCCTTAATGATAATGTGATAGGAGTGTCTTTTGTTCTAATGAAGAGACTCCTAGCAGACCTCTAGATAGCTTCAGAACACAGCCTGGTCACCAGAAAGACCAAGCCTTGGTTAGAGGGTTAGAACTCTCAGCCTTATCCCTCAACCTCTAGGAAAGGGAAAAATGCTGGAGGTTGAGTTAACGACCAAGGGCCAATGATTTAATCAATCCTGCTTACAGATCAGACCCTCCATAAAAATCCCAAAATGAGGCCGGGCACAGTGGCTCACACCTGTAAATCCCAGCACTTTGGAAGGCCAAGGAAGGCAGATCACTTGAGCTCAGGAATTCAAGACCAGCTTGGGCAACACAATGAAACCACATCTCCAAAAAAGTCAAAAACTTAGCTGGGCATGGTGGCATATGCCTGTGGTTCTAACTACTTGCGGGGCTGAGGAGGGAGAATCCCTTGAGCCCAGGAGGCTGAGGCGGCAGTGATCTGAGATCACACCACTGCCCTCCAGCCTATGTGACAAAATGAGACCCTGTCTCGAAAAAAAAAAAATCTCTAAATGATGGGGTCTGGGAGCTTCTGGATTGGTAAACACATCGAGTGCTGGGAGGGTGGTACGCCTGGAGAGGGCATGGAAGCTTTGCAGACCACCACCTCCCATACTTTGCCCTGTGTACCTCTTCCGTTTGGCTTTTCCTGAGTTGTATCCCTTACAGTAAACTGGTAATGATAAGTAAAGCACTTTCCTGAGTTCTGTGAGTCATTCTAGCAAATTATCAAACCTGAGGAGGAAGTCAGGGGAACTCTCAATTTATACCCAACCAGGCTGAGGATTTGTAATTGGTGTCTTAATTGAGGGGCAGTCTTATGGGACTGTGCCCTTAACCTGTGGTGTCTATTCTAACTCTAGATAGTTAAAATCAGATTTGAATTGAATTGCTGGACACCCAGTTAGTGCCAGAGAATGAAAAGTGGCGTTGGAAAAGATCCCACTTACTCCACAGCTGATTGAATAGACGAACCTAAGAACTGACATGACGCCGGGCGCGGTGGCTCACGCCTGTAATCCCAACACTTTGGGAGGCCGAGTTGAGCAGATCATCTGAGATCGAGAGTTCGAGACCAGCCTGACCAACATGGAGAAACCCTGACTCTACCAAAAATACAAAATTAGCCAGGCATGGTGGCTCATGCCTGTAATCCCAGCTACTCAGGAGGTTGAGGCAGCAGAATCGCTTGAACCTGGGAGGCGGAGGTTGCGGTGAGCCGAGATAGCACCATTGCACTCTAGCCTGGACAACAAGAGCAAAACTCCGTCTCAAAAAAAAAAAAACAAAAGAAGTGACACGTTGTTGTACTTGAGTAAGTTAGAGAAAACGCCACACTTTGAGACGAATTAAGAGTCTGTTTATTTAGCTGGTGGCTAAGAGACAGCTAACGCTTAAAGTTCTCTCAGCCTTGAAGGGGCTAGATTGTTTTTTATACTTTGGTTTAGAAAGGGGAGGGGGAGTCTAGTTAAAACAATTTTACAGAAGTAAAGTAGGCAAAAAAGTTAAAAGGATAAATGGTTACAGGAAAGTAAACAGTTCCAGGTGCAGGGGCTTTAAGACTATTACAAGGTGATAGACGCGGGGCTTTGGGCGTTATCAATCGGACGAATTCCTGGGCACTGCGGATATAGCTCGCCAGAGTATCTTATCAGTTAATTGCATTCTTGGATGTGCTGGGAGTCAGCTTGCACAAGTTAAGTCCTTGAGGAAGGGGCTGCCAGTGAAAGAGCCAAGATAAAGTCTGTCGGGCTCTTTTAGCTAAAAGAGAGTCAGTTCAGGTAGAAACAAAGTTAGGTGATTAAAGGAAAAAGAAAGTCTAAAAACAAGGTTAGTAAAAACAAGGTTAGGCATTACGATGTTACCTGAGCTCACACCATCCTAACAGTCATTCCACTGCCATCTTTTTGTTTTCTGAAATCAGCCTGCCACCCTGGCATAGGGGTGTATGTGTGCATGATGTGCACACATGGGGGGTAGGGCAGCACATCTGCCTCTACCTCTGCACTGCCACTCTCTCTTCCCATGTGTGTCCCTCTGTGGTTTTATCTCATCTCACAAGTGACTGAATTACAACACACATTTTGTGTGTGTAATGCTGAGGACATTTTGCCCCTAAATTCTTAGGAGTCTTCTTTGCCAGTAGAAGTATCCTCCTTACTGCCATCTGAGGGATTAACCCTGCATTCCCAGAGAAAACTGTGATGGCCTCCCCTGGGTCAGTTGCCTTTGCAAAACAATGCTGATTCTCTTCAGGATCCATTTGCTTCTAGACCTATAACTCAAGTCCCAGCAGGCCCCCTGTAACTCATTCAGCAGGCGAGTTACAAAGTATGCCCCATGCAGGGGTATACTATACTTCAAAAGAATAACTTGAGTTTTCTAATTTATACAGACAAAAATCTGGGGAACGTATGTGGGAATGCATATTAAAGGCATGAGATATTGACATAAAGAACATAAAGCTGGATCAGGCTGAGTGTATTGATATGGGCCCATAGAGCAGAGATTCTGCCTTTAACATTACAGCTTAGAGTTAGAAAGGATTCTAACAGTCTATTTGGTTGGTTGGCTGACGCATGGACAAAAAGGTGGCTCATGCATTCAACATATGTTTATGTGTTGAAATCCTAATCCCTAAAGTGAGTTAGAAATTCCTGACCTGCCTTGGCTTAATATAGAGGAAGGGATTCAAAGGCTTAGGGAGATTGGATTGTTAGAGCAGATTCATCATTTAAGACCTACTCACCCACCTTGGCAGGGTACAAGAGATACCTCTTTCACCACAACTGTGAGAAATGTCTGAGGGGAGCCCTGGCATTCTTAGAGCTCTGTGATCTTTCTTTTCTGTAGCCAGGCCTTACAGTGGGAACTACAGTCACTGAGTTGGGAAACTTCAATGCAATAGGAGTAATTGGATCTCAGGGTGGCAGGGACCAAGTGGCAGCACTCAGTCATCAAAGGTGAGGTGAATGTGATTACCGCAAGGGACAGCAAAGTCAAAGCAGGAACTGAAACAGTCTGACTCTTGCAGACCTCAGCATTTGCTAGTTGATCATGATCTTTCCAAAAGTAGAACAGATAGGAAGCCTACTAAATTCTTACTTGATTTGTATCAGCAGAAAGGTTTCTAGGTCAAGTGAACAAAAGTCTGACTTGAATCATAAAAACGGAGAGTCACAACCCCTCATTCAATTCCAGGATTTGAGCCAGTTTACAGTCCCAGAACCCCTTGAATTAAGATAAAATTGGGTCCCCTTTTGGAAAGAAGCCAAAACCAAGCAAAATTTTATACTGTTAATCTTTCTCCCAGCCTTCCCCAAAGGACATGTGGCATTTTACTAAGGTAGCTATACATTAGGGAAAAGGAAATAATAAGACTTTGGAGGGATTATAGGACTCTGAACTGACACTAATTCCAGGACACCAAAAACATCACTGTGGCCCACCAGTCAGAATAGGGGCTAATGGAGATCAGGTGATCACTGAAGTTTGCTGTAGTCTGAATGTTTTTGTCTTTCCAAGATTCATATGTTGAAGTCATAACTCTCAAAGTGATAGTATTAGGAGGTGGAGGCTTTGAGGTGTGATTAGGTCATAATGGTAGAACCCTCATGAATGGGATTAGTGCCTTTATAAAAGAGGCCTGAGGGGAACTTGGTTGTCCCCTCTGCCACATGAGGACACAGTGAGAAGTTGGCATTTTGCAACCTGAAAGAGGGGCCTTTGCCAGAACCTGGCCATGCTGGCACCCTGATCTTTTACCTCCCAGCCTCCATTAGTGTAAGAATAAATTTCTGTTGTCTATAAGCCACCAAGTCTAAGGTATCTTGTTACAGCAGCCCAAACAGACTAAGAGTTTTAGCTCAAGTATGTCCTACAGTGGGCCCAATGGGGCCTCTGACTCCCATCCTGTGGTTACTTCCCCAGTTCCAGAATGTATAATTGGAATAGATACACTCAGCAACTGGCAGCATCCTCATATAGGTTTCCTAACCTGTGGAGTAAAGGCCATTACGGTGGAAAGGCCAAATGGAAGCCACTGGAACTGCTTCTACTTAGGGAAATAGAAGTAATATTGCATCCCTGGAGGAATGCAGTATTCCTGCAGAGCTTAGAGCCACCATTAAGAACTCAAAAGATGCAGGGGTGGTGATTCCCACCGTATCCCCCATCAACTTGCCTATTTGGCCTGTGCAGAAGACAGATGGATCTTAGAGAATGACAGTGGATTATCAGAAGCTTAACCAGGTTGTGACCCCTATTGCAGCTGCTGTACCAGATGTGGTTTCCTTGCTTGAGCAAATTAACACACCCTCTGCTACCCAGTATGTGGCTACTGATCTGACAAATGCTTTTTTCTCTATATCTGTTCATGAGGACCACCAGCAGCAGTGTGCTTTCAGCTAGCAAGGCCAACAATACCCCTTCACTTTCCAACCTCAGGAGTACATTGACTCTGCAGCCCTATGTCATAATTTAACTCACAGTGATCTTGACTGTCTTTCTCTTCCTCAAGATATCATGCTGGTCTATTACACCGATGACATTATTGCTGAAGAGACTTAGTGAGCAAAAAGTAGAAACTTGCCTAAATTTATTGGGAAGACATTTGCATGTCAGAAGGTGGGAAATAAATGTAACGAAAATTCAGAGACCTTCTACACCAGTGAAATTTCTATGGGTCCAGTAGTGTAGAGCATGCCAAGATATCCCTTCTACGGTAAAGAATAAGTTGTTGCATCTGGCCCACAACCAAAACAGAGGCACGATACCTAGTGGGCCTCTTTGGATTTTGAAAGCAACATATTCCTCATTTGGGTGTGTTACTCCAACTCATTTACCAAGTAACCTGAAAAGCTGCTAGTTTCAAGTGGGGCCCAGAATAAGAGAAGGCTCTGCAACAGGTCCAGGCTGCTGTGCAAGCTGTTCTGCCACTTGAGCCACATGATTCAGCAGATCCAAATGGTGCTTGAAATGTCAATAGCAGGTAGGGATGCTGTTTGGAGGCTACGGCAGGACCCTATGTGAATTGCAACACAGGCCCGTAGGATTTTCTTTAGCAAAGCTCTGCCACTCTCTACAAATAACTACACTCATTTTGAGAAACAGCTCTTGGCATGCTATTGACTCAATGGTTAACCATAGACAACCAAGTTACCATGCAACCTGAGCTGCCCAACATCAACTGGGTGTTATCTGACCCACCAGGCCATACAGTTGGGTATGAACAGCAGCACTCCATCATCAAATGAAAGCGACATAGATGTGATCAGGCCTGAGCTATGAAGGCACAGGTTAGTTACAAGAAGAAGGACTGAAATGCTCATTGCACCCTGCTACACTCTCTCCTCTCTCCCAGGCTGCACTTATGGCCTCACGTGAAGTCCCCTGTGATCAGCTGACAGGAAGAGAAAACTTGGGCCTGCTTTACAGACGCAGTACTATATGCAGGCACCATCTGAAAGTGGACAGATGCAGCTCTGCATCCCCTTTTGAGACACTCTTGAAGGACAGTAGTGAAGGGAAATCCCCCCTACTGCAGTGGGCAGAACCTTAAACAGTGCACATGTCACTTTGTTTTGAAGGAGAAATGTCCAGACATGTGATTATATAGCAATTTATGAGCTGTAGCCAATGGTTTGGCTGAATGGTCAGAAACTTGGAAGGGACATGATTGTAAAAGCAAGGAAATTTGGGGAAAAGGTATATGGATAGACCTCTCTGAATAGGCAAAAATGTGAAGATATTTGTGTCCCATGTGAATGGTCACAAAAGGGTGATAGCAGAGGAGGATTTTCATAGTCAAGTAAATAACTTGTTTTGTGGATATCAGCCAGCCTCTTTCCTCAGCCACTCCAGTCATTGCCCAGTGGGCTCATGAACCAAGTGGCCATGGTGAAAGAGATAGAGAGTATGCATGGGCTGAGCAACATGAACCTCCATTCACCCAACCTGCAATTGGCAGAGTGCCCAATCTGCCAGCAGCAGAGACCAACACTGATAAGGCACCATTCCCTGAAGAGATCAGCCAGCTTCCTGGTGGCAGGTTGATTATATTGGACTACTTCCATCATGGAAGGGGCAGCAGCATTTGTAAATTTCTGGAATAGGCACTCTCAATACAGATCTGCCTTCCATGCACACAATGCTTCTGCTGCAACTACCATCCGTGGAGTTAAAGAATGCCTCATCTACTGCCATCGTATTCCACACAGCATTGCTTCTCATCCGGGAGCTCACTTAACAGAAATAAAGTGTGGAATGACCCACGATCATAGAATTTACTGATCTTATGTTCCCCAGCATCCTGGAGCAGCTGGCTTGATAGAACAGTGGAATGGCTTCTTGAAGACTCAGTTATAGTACCAGTGAGGTGGTGATACCTTGCAGGGCTGGGGCAAGATATGCATATGCTCTGAATTAACATTCAAAATATGATATTCTTTCTCCCATAGGCAGGATTCATGGGCCCAGGAATCAAGGGGTGAAAATGGGAATGCTTATACCCTGCTGGTGGGGATGTAAATTCAGCCATTGTGAAAAGCAATTTCTGAAATAAATTAAGTCAGAATTACCATTCGACACAGTAATCCCATTATTGGGTATATGCCCAAAGTAATATAAATCATTCTACCGCAAAGACATATGCACCTGTATGTTTATTACAACACTATTCACAACAGCAAAGACATGGAATCAAGCTAAATGCCCATCAATAGTAGACTGATTCATGAAACTATGGTACATACACACCATGGAAAACCACAAAGCCAGAAAAAAGAATGAGATCATGTCCTTTGCAGCAACATGGGTGGAGCTGAAGGACATATCCTGAGCAAACTAATACAGGAACAGAAAACCAAATACCACATATCCTCACTTATAAATGGGACCTAAACAATGAAAATGCATGGACACAAAGGGGAATAGACACCACGGCCTGCTTGAGGGTGAACTGTGGGAAAAGGGGGAGGATAAAAAAGCTACTCTCTTGTTAGGTACATACACATTAAGGATTGTTACACCTTTGTGGAGAATTGAGCCTTATAATTACATAATGCTCCTCTTTATTGCTGATAATTTTACTTGCTCTGAAGTTTGCTTTATCTGAAATTAATATAGCTACTTCAGCCTACTTTTGATTAAAGTCAACATGGCTTATCTTTGCCTAGTTCTTTACCTTTATTCTATATGTCTTTATATTTAAAGTGGGTTTCTTGTAGACAACATACAGTTGGATCTTGTGGGTTTTTTTTTTTTTTTTTAATCCATTCTAATAGTCTTGTTCTTTTAACTGTGTATTTAAACCATTTAGATTTAAAATGATAATTAATATAGTTAAGTTAATATCCACCATATCTGTAACTTTTTTTATTTGTTGCTTGTGTTCTATTTTTTTTTTTTGTCTTCCACTCTTTTTCTGCCTTCTCTGGTTTTAATTCAGCATTTTATATGATTCCATTTTTTCTCTTCTGTTGGCATATTGTAGGAAACCAGAATATGTCACCCCAAAATGTGCCTCATTGACATAAGGATTACTTTGAGCTGATCGTTTTGAAAAACAACAGACACAAGACAAGCTCTGAAAACAAGAGTAACATTTACCCTCTTGTGTTATGCCATTCTTGTGTTCTTATAAAGGAATACCTGAGACTGAGTAATTTATAAAGAAAAGAGGTTTAATCAGCTCACAGTTCTGCAGGCTTTACAGGAAACATGGTGCTGGCATCTGCTTCTGCTGAGGGCTTCAGAAGCTTAGAATTATGGTAGAAGGCAAAGGGAGAGCAGGCAGTGTCACATAGTGAGAGAGGGAGCAAGAAAAAGAGGAAGGAGGTGCCACACATTTTTTTTTTTTTTTAAGAGACAGAATTTCGCTTTTGTTGCCCAGGCTGGAGTGCAATGGTGCAATCTCAGCTCACCACAACCTCCGCCTCCCGGGTTCAAGTGATTCTCCTGCCTCAGCCTCCCAAGTAGCTGGGATTACAGGCATGTACCACCACGCTCAGCTAATTTTGTATTTTTAGTAGAGACGGGGTTTCTCCATGTTGGTCAGGCTGGTCTCGAACCACCGACCTCGGGTGATCCGTCTGCCTCAACCTCCCAAAGTGCTGGGATTACAGGCATGAGCCATCATGCCCGGCCAGTGCCACACACTTTTAAACAACCAGACCTCACAAGAATTCACTCATTTTTGCAAGGACAGCACCAGGCCATTCATGAGAGATCTGCCCCCATGACCCAAGCACCTCCCACCAGGCCACACCTTTAATACTGGAGATTACATCTCAATATGAGATTGGAGGGGATAAAGATCCAAACTATATCACCTCTTGTAAGGGCAATTCACATTTATAAAGAACAATCTCCATTTGTAAGGGTGTCTTCCTTCTCTGAACCAGGAAGACAAGGATAATTAAATCACAAAAAAAAAATTCTCATTGATGGAAAAGGTATCAACTTAAATCTGCATAACAGACCTTACTCTTGTTTGCCATACTTTTCCTGCCATACTTTTCCTGATCACTTCTCTATAACTGGCCTCCCCGACACCATTCTTTCTTTATTTCAGCTGAAGATAGTATTTAAGCTTGAATTCTAAGCAAGGAGGGAGGTGCCACACACTTTTAAACAACCAGATCTTATGAGAACTCACTCACTATTGTAAGGACAGCACCAAACTAAGTAACTCTCTTTGAGAGTTACTCATTTTTCCCTGGATATCTCCCACATATAGACAAGGATACATAGTCATAAGACAAAATTACAACAAATTTAGTTTAAAGATCTTAATTAGCTTTTATTTGCAATTCCAGAATCAGGCAACATTTCAATCTATAGAATAGAATGGGCCAGGCGCGGTGGCTCACAAGGTCAGGAGATCAAGACCATCCTGGCTAACACAGTGAAACCCCATCTGTACTAAAAATACAAAAAACTAGCCAGGTGTGGTGGCAGGCACCTGTAGTCCCAGCTACTCGGGAGGCTGAGGCAGGAGAATGACATGAGCCCAGGAAGTGGAGCTTGCAAGTGAGCCGAGATTGTGTCACTGCACTCCATCCCGGGAGACAAAGGGAGACTCTCTCAAAAAAAAAAAAAAAAAGTTGAATGGATGTTCTGATGAGCTGAGCAGAAGGAGCTGGTTTTATAGAAAGAAATGTTGGTTTTCCTCTGTTTCTAAGGAAAGCAGAAACAGAGAACAACAACAACAAAAATGGATTGGTCATTTCAAAGTCAAAGGTTAAAGCAGAAGAGACTTTTTTTATCATGCTAGCTAAAACTGGCCTGTTTGGGAATTGGATATTTTCTCTCTCTCTCTCTCTCTCTCTCTCTCCCCCCCACCCCTCCCGCCTCTCCCCTACTCCCTTTTTCTCTCCTGATTTCTCAAAAAGTCAGATAAATAACTTAGTTTCAGCTTGGTAGCATGGAACTTTAGTATGATTCCATTTTGGTTTGGTCTATTGGGCATAGGAAAGGATCTCAATTTAAATCAGTCACCTCCTATAAATTTTATTTAACACATGTTATGTTAATAAACTTGTTTGTTTTTCTATGGTTAATCTTCATTTGTTACAAGGGGTCCCACCTAAGAAGTATGAAGGGTAGAGGAAAAAAATTTTTCTCCCTTACAGTTTCAATTATACATCTTTTTAAAAAAAGTTAGTGATGTCCTAGAGTTTTCCATTTACATTTACAACTAATATAAGTAAATCTTCTTTCAAATAACATTACACCACTTCATATGTAGTACAAGTATCTTAATGACAGAGTATTCCCAATTCCTCCCTCTCATCCTTTATGACGTTTCTGTCATTTACTTCACTTATCTAGAAGCGATCATCACTCAGCACATTGTTGCTATTATTATTTTTAACAAACTATTAACTGCTAAATAAACTGAGAATCAGAAAAATAAGAGGTTATACATTACCTTCATTTATTCTTTCTATAATGCTCTTTCTTTAATATGAGCTTTTGAATTATTTACCTTCTTTCTGAAGAACTTCTGTTAATGTTTCTTGCAAGGCAGGTCTATTGGTGACAAATTCCCTCAGCTTTCATTTTTCTAAGAATGTCTTTATTTCTCCTTCATTTTGAAGGATAATTTCACTCAATACAGAATTTCAGATTGATCATTTTTTCTTTCAATAATTTAAATATTTCACTTCACTCTTCTTGCATGGATAGTTTCTGAGAAGTCTAATGTAATTCCTCCAAAGGTAAGGTGGCTTTTTTTTCTGGCTACTTTCATGATTTTCTCTTTGTCTTTGATTTCCTGCAATTTGAATATATGTCTAGATGTTGATTTTTTTTGTTCATTTATCGTGGTTGGTGTTATGTCACCTTCCTGGATTTGTGAATTGGTATCTGCCATTATTTTTGGAAAAGTCACAGCCATTATCACTTCAAACATTTCTTCAAATGATTTTTCCTTTCACTCTTTCTGATCTTTCTGTTGTTTCCATTATGCATATGTAGGATATAATAAATTCCTCTTCAAAGGTTTGAGCCTGTAAATTGTTAAGTACAACGAGTTCTGAGATCCTCTCCAAAGAAACAATGTATCAATGTGTTCAGCTCCCCGTTCTTTGTTCTTCATTTTAAAGTTTAACTTCCTCGTTCTCCTCGTGTCCTTGCCCCTAGTTTCAGTAAATAACCCACCAGTTCTAATCAGTCGTTCACATGTGTTCTCCTGGTCACCTGCTCCTTCCTGAGTCACCCCTGGTCACTTGCTCTGACCTAAGTCACCTTTAGTCACCTGTTCCATAACTGTCTTTCTCGCCAAAGCTACTCACCCTGTCACTCCAACTCATACCCCACTGTCTTTAAAATAGCCAATTGGAATTAACTTAGACTGTTTGGTCCAACCCTAGCCAATAGGGGAACAACACAGCAGTAGGGGCTACCTATGTCAGGAATAAAAACCCCTTCCCCTCCCTTGTTCAGGTGTGCTCTTGCCATTGCTCCATCCACGAGTCACACCCTTCTATAGAAGTAAAATTGCCTTGCTGAGAAAATTAAATTTATGTTTTAGTGCTATTTCTTTTGTGGCACCAAAAATTTGCTTCTAATACATATGTCACACTATTTGTAATTGTCCCATAATTCTTGGATACAGGCATACATTGTGTTATTACACTTCACTTTATTGCACTTCACAGATATTATGCTTTTTACAAATTGAAGGTTTGCGGCAACCTTGTGTCAAGCAAGTCTATTGGCACCATTTTTCCAACAGCTTGTGCTCACTTCATTAGCATTTTATATGCACTGGGAAACCAAAAATTTAGTGTGACTTGCTTTGTTGCAGTGGTGTGGAGCCAAGCCTGTAATATCTCTGAGGTGTGCCTATATTCTGTTCGATTTTTTTCGTTCTTTTTTTTATTCTTTTATTTTCAGTTTGGGAAGTTTTTATTGATATATCTTTAATTTCACTGATTTTTTTCTTTGGATGTGTTCATTACAATAGCTAAAGCATGCATGTGGTACAAAATTTGAGTCAAAAGAGTATACAATGAAAAGGAATTTCTCCTACTTCTTTCTCTGAGCCACCACATTTTCCTTCCCAGAGGAAACACCTGTGTATACATGTAAGTAATCGTGTCTATGTTTCCTTTTGATTTTTTAAATAAAACTTATAGCATAATATATGCATTTCTGTATCTTGCTTTTTTTTATCCTTCAGTATATTTTACAGATAATTCCATATCAGTATACATGATGCAGAAACTCTAGAATTTCAATTATTTTCAATGACTGCATAGTAACCCATTGTATGTATGGCTATCCTATAATTCATCAGTTTTGCACTGATGGGCATTTAAACTCTCTTATCTTTGCTATATGAATTTAGAAATGAATTTCCTTAGTCACCCGTCATTTCAGCATGTAGGAGTACACCTGTAAGATAAATTCCTAGAAATAGAATTGCTAGGTCAAAGGTTTGTAAATTTGCAATTTGGGTACTTATTGTTAAACTGTTCTTCATAGCATTATTGCCAATTTCTGCTTCCATCAGCAAAGTATAATAATGCCTGTTTTCCTGCTACTTCCTCAATTACAGTATATTTTAAAACTTATATTTTCTAAAATGAAATATATTTTTTTATTTTGAATAAAATTGAGCCCTTTTATTCTGTATTGGTGTTTTCTGTGAACTGTTGATATTGTGTTGATTTTTCTAATGAGCTGCTAATACTGTTGAATTATAGGTACTTTCTCATGTATTAGGGAAATTAGTCCATCGTCTGTGACATGAGTTGCAATTTTTCACCCAGATTGCTGTCTGCCACTTTTAGTTTATGTACTTTTGCTGCTTTTAAATTTTTTTAAGTAATTGAATGTATCATTTTCTCTCTTACGGCATTTGGGTATTGCTTTATAAAATTTCCTGTGCTACAGAATGTATGAGGATTTAATGAAGTACACTTATACTTCATTTTTTCCATTTAATCTTTATCTGGAATTTATTTTGATGTGAGGTATGAGTTTGAGTTGGGATCCAACTTTACTTTTTCTAGATGGCTACCCAGTTGTGTCAATATCATTTGCTGAATTTTACAAGTTTTTTTAAAAATCAAGAATGTATGTTGAATTTTAACAAATACCTTTTTTGCATTTTGGAGATGACAAATTTTTCTTTTTCTTTATAACGATGTTTAGAGATGGGAGGTCTCACTACATTGCCCAGGCTGGCCTAGAGCTCCTGGGCTCAAGGGATCCTCCCACTTCAGCCTCACAAGTAGCTGGGACTACAGGCACAAGCCACTGTACCCAGCTATTTCTAGTAAAATAGAAATACTTTATTATAATTTTTATTTGATTTAGGATTTTTCCAGTAATATTCATGAGTATGAATTTTTTTTTTTTTAATTTTTTAGAGATGGAGTCTTGCTCTGTCTCCCAGGCTGGAGTGCAGTGGTGTGATCTTGGCTCACTGCAGCCTCCACCTCCCGAGTTCCAGCGATTCTCCTGCTTCAGCCTCCTGGGTAGCTGAGATTACAGGCACACACCACCAAGCCTGGCTAATTTTTGTATTTTTAGTAGAGACAGGGTTTCACCATGTTGGCCAAGCTAGTCTTGAACTCCTGACCTCAGGTGATCTGTCTGCCTTGGCCTCCCAAAGTGCTAGGATACAGGCGTGAGCCACCGCGCCCGGCCATGAGTAAGAATTTCTATGGTCAATGTATACGTATATGCTGTATGGGTGTTTTATGAGACTTTGGTATAAATGTTATGCTCACTTCATGAATAGAATTTGAAATGCTTCCTCTTTTTTCTGTGCTTAAGGCAGAATCAACAGCAACCAACTCTCTGTTCCTTAAGTTTTCACAGAATTATCCTATGAAATAATTTGGGCCTGGTGCTTCTGTGGATTCAGCTATGGAGAAATGCAGTTCTCTAATAACATCTATTTCTTTTTTTCCTTTATTTTGAGACCGAGTTTCGCTCTTGTTGCCCAGGCTGGAGTGCAATGGCACAATCTCGGCTCACCGCAACCTCCGCCTCCCGGGTTCAAGCAATTCTGCCTCAGCCTCCCGAGTAGCTGGGATTACAGGCATGTGCCACCACGCCCGGCTAATTTTGTATTTTTAGTAGAGACAGGGTTTCTCCATGTTGGTCAGGCTGGTTTCAAACTCCTGACCTCGGGTGATCTGCCCGCCTCGGCCTCTCAAAGTGCTGGGATTACAGGCGTGAGCCACCGCGCCCGGCCAACATCTATTTCTTCTATGGTAATTGGTCTACTTAGAATTTCTATCTCTGGAATGTTTTGGTAAATTATATTTTCTTGGAATCTTGTCCATTTCATTCAAGTTTTCAAATTTATTATGTAGAACTGACTGATCATGCAATGCTTTTAAGTTTTCCTGTATCTATGGTTATTTCCCCTTTATCATTTTGTATTTTGATGTGCTCCTCTTTCTTTCTTGAGCCAACCACCCTATTGTTGCCTTTTTCAAATCTCTTATTAGTATTCCCATTTCCATTTCTATTTTTTATTTTCTTCTTTTATTCTTACGAATTCCTTCTTTCGGCTTTTCTTAGGTTTACCTTGCTATTTTTTCTGAATTATTTAATTTACTTTTATTTTGAATTTTTAAAAGCACTGTATTGGTATATCCCACAGGTACTAATATGCAGAGCTTGCTCTTTTTTTTTTCATTTTTAAGATATTCAGTAATCTCAGTTTTGAGATGGTTAAGAGGATTTCTTAATCAGTTTTTTTTTTTTTTTACATTTTGAAAATGTTATACAATTTTGCATTGTTTTATTCTCCACTCCTTTGTATCCTACGACAGTCTCCCGCCCCGTTTCTTCACCTCAGTTCTCTAAAGATTGAAGGTCAAGAGGAGGGTTTCTTGCCCTGGAGCCTGCGATAGGGTGGGCCCTTGCGGTTCTTGGGCGGAAACGGCGATAGGGACACCCAGGGCCTAAGGAGGCTGGGGACAGAGCAGATCCTCCCAGCCCCCAACATCACCCCGGAGTAGATGCAGACCCCCAGGGTCCCGGAGGCCGAGACCACACCCCGCGGGCACGAGCCCGATTGGCAGATTGTAGCCGAGTGGTTTCAACGGTGACGCCCCCCACCCGAATGCCTCGCTGGGATTGGCTCATTTCTTGGTTCAGACCTGGACGGTGGCCAGAGGAGGACAAGAGGCTTTTACACCGAACGGAGGTGATGTGGACGACAACGGAGACGCAGCCGCACTTCACCAAGCGGCCGGTCCGAGGGGACATGGCGGCAACCTCTGCAGCGTCAGTGCTGCTGGCGGGTGCAAGAAACTGGTGGCGACACTGCCTGAGCCCGCTGCTGTTGCCAAGGTGACGAGGCATAAAGCCGCGGTGGATCGGTGCGTGGGGGCGCGGGGTGGGTGGTGAAGGGAGAACGAAGCTCGAGCGGAAAGACAGGACCGCGACCGCTTGTCAGGGGATTCGGCTTCCAGTCCCCCTTCCAGAGGGCGTCCTTCTGCAGCCAGGCCTCTGTCTTCCCCCGCCCCCACACGGTACGAGCTACAGAATGCTTTTCTGTTTTCTCTTTTTCTATAGTAAGGAAGCGCTTTCCTTTCTCCCCCGTTTATTCATTTGCTTACTTCTGGTTCCCGTGTCCTTTTAACATGTCCCCCCGTCATTCTCTGTTTAAGGACACAAGATGTTCCAGGCTCATCTTGTACTTAGCTCCTGCCTTGGAATCAGACATTTCTCCAAAGAATCCTGGTTCCTTTTTTTGGAGAATGCTATTTTACAGCCGTATCTGGGCTGTAGGTTGTGTTCGTTGCTACTAGGATGCCATCGCTTCTAGACTGTCTCAGCAGACAACGCTAGGAAATTTTATGTATATATATATGTAGAGAGAGAGAGATGCAAACACACATATTTATGTACATATGTGTGTGTATGTACGTATATATACATGTATATTTATATGTATACACACACCCTCCCCACACACATCCATACATGCATCAATCCAGGCACATCTATATCTGTTTTATATCTATCTATCTACATGTATGTTTAAAAAACAGCTGACTTCATACTGTTAACTCAGTTCCAGTGCAGCATCTCACGGTTCAATCAGATTTGCCCTTTCTGTAATTGTAACTGTTTTCTGAGAGTGAGAAAGCTGGCTCTCCTTATCCACAAGATATTCACTTTTTTGCTCAATCGTGTGCAAAAAGTAGATTCAAAATTGCTAACCCATACCACTGTGTAAAAACAGACCAACTAGCCAGAGTTCAATATTGGTTTACAGTTATGTTTGTCTTTAGTTTCTGTAATTAAAACTGTATTATACAGGTTATGAAGGCAGTCATAGAGGTTTTATGACTATAGAGGTTACAAAGTCTCTATAATTAAGATGTGGAACTAGTGTGTGAATAATATAAAAAGACAAGTAGAATAGAATAGAAAATCCAGAAATAACCCCAAGTGCAGGTAGAAAGTTAAAGATAAAGGTGCTATCACATATCATTGGAGCAGAGTTGGGCTTTGTAATACACAGAGCTGGGCCAACTGGTTGGCCATTTGGAAAAAGATAAAATTAGATCTACACCTTATAGCGTAACAAAAATGAAGTCTAAATGGATCAGGGATCTAAATGTGAAAAATGAAACAATACAAGTACTAAAAAGAAAAAGGCTTTCTAACTATGACTCAAAAAACCATAAGCAATAAAATAAAAAGTTGATAAATTTGACCACATAAAACAAATAGCATGGCAAATACATCATAAAGTCAAAAGACAACTGAAAAAAAAAACTGGATTGGGAGAAAATATCTGTAGCACGTATCACGGGTAAAGGATGAAGATCTTTCATATTTAAATTTGAATTTTAAAACTTTTCCAAATCAATTTTCTCTGTTTACATTCAGCAGTGGCAAAGTGACTTTATCTTTTACATAAGAATATGTCAAAAAAGTAGCAAGTTATACTGCTTTTAAAGATAAGAGTCATCCGTTTAAAAATACTTATTATATCATGTGTCTTAGGGCCCCAAAGGAAACCCTAACACAGGAATTCCTGTGCAAATAATTAGAAAGTTTCCAGGAAAAAATCACAGGGTAATAGAGAAATAGAATAGAAAGGGAAGGAAGGCCAGTGAGCAAGCTGCTCTAAGCCTGTTCCCCTGGAGGTGGCTCAGTGCTGCTTAACTCTAAGTCAGTGTGCATGGTCAATCCCTGGAGTCGTCCTTACCAGAGAACCAGCAGGCTGGTGTGTTTATGTCTCTACCGAGTCATTAGTTAAGGTCTGCCCTCAGGGAGACCTAACTTCCCAGATACTTCGGGTTTTATAAAAATATAAAACATCATACTTAAGACTTAGTATAAAGTTGTCCATTCAGAACCTTCTTTTTAACTATTGTCCCTGTATGCAGGGAGTTTTTGTTTCAAATTAAACAAAAACTAGGGTTGCAGATATGGTTTATAGGACTGTATCTCAACAGACTGACAAACTGAAGCTTTCTTTCTGGGTAGACTGGGATCCATGCCTTTTCTGTTCACTGTTGTCAAGTTTAAATGCAGTGTGCAACATGAAAACCGCAGTGATGTGTTATTAGTTGGGAATCTTTGTCATTTGGGATATCTGCATGCTATCTGTTTTCAGAGCTCACTGCTGTATTAGCTATGAAGTAAAGCTTGTTTTAACAAAGCAATAGGCTTCATTAAGATCAAGGCTGTGTATAAGTCATGGTTTCCTACTGGAAAGATAATTATCTTTAAGGTAAATGATAACCAGTGAATACATATCGGAACAACTTCCCTGGAGATGTCAATGCAGAGCTTATTCCCTGTTTATACATCTTAAACACAGAATAATAATGTAGGAAATGTCTATTTTGATTTTTCCTAGGCCTTTTTTTAGCCAGTGATATTTAGGATATGGGAGGGAAAATAGCCTAATGAAGCAAGTTGCTACACATGAATATCTAGAGGTGATACTAAGACTTTCGAAAAATAGACTTTATTTTATTTTTAAAATGGTTTTAGGTTTCCAGAAAAAAGTTACAGGTTTACAGAGAAGATAGTACAAAGAGTTCCCATATACCTTGCACCCTATTATTCCTGTTATTAACATTTTATGTTAGTATGGTAAATTTGTGGTGTAATTATATTATGGTTATTATGATACCATTTTTTTCTTTTTCTTTTTTCTTTTCTTTTTTTTTTTGAGACGGAGTCTTACTCTGTCACCCAGGCTGGAGTGCAGTGGCATGATCTCAGCTCACTGCAACCTCCACCTCCCGGGTTCAAGTGATCCTCCTGCCTCAGCCTCCCGAGCACCTGGGACTACAGGCGCACACCATCACACCCAGCTAATTTTTGTATTTTTAGTAGACAGTGTTTCACCATATTGGCCAGGCTGGTCTCGAACTCCTGACCTCATGATCCACCTGCCTTGGCCTCCCAAAGTGTTGGGATTACAGGTGTAAGCCACCTCGCCCGACCAGTGTGATACAATTAATGAACCAACATTGATGTGTTATTATGAACTAAGGTCCACAATTTATTCAGGTTTTCTTAGTTTTTATGTAAAGTGCTTTTTCTGTTCCAGAATCTTATCCAGGATACCACATTCCATTTTGCTGTCATGTTTCTTTAGACCCCTCTAGGCTGTGACAGTTTCTCAGATTTTTCGTATTTTTGGTGACCTTGACAGTTTGGAGGAGTATTACTCAGGTATTTTGTAGGATATCTTTCTGTTAGAATTGACTGATGTTTTCCTCTGGATTAGACTTGAATTTGGGGCTTTGGGGAGGAAGACCACAGATATAAAGTGTGATTCTCTTTTTTTTTTTTTTTTTTTTTTTGCGACAGAGTTTTGCTCTTGTTGCCTAGGCTGGAGTGCAATGGTGCAATCTTGGCTCATTGCAACCTCTGCCTCGCGAGTTCAAGCAATTCTCCTGCCTCAGCCTCCCGAGTAGCTGGGATTACAGGCATGCACCACCATGCCTGGCTAATTTTGTGTTTTTTGTATGGGGTTTCTCCATGTTGGTCAGGCTGGTCTCGAACTCCCGACCTCAGGTGATCCGCCTGCCTTGGCCTCCCAAAGCACTGGGATTACAGGTGTGAGCCACCGCACCCAGCCTAAAATGTGATTCTCATCACATCAGATTGAGAGTTATGATGGTTGCTGTTGACCTTAATTACATGGCTGAGGTAGTATTTGAAAGGGTTCTGTGCTAGAAAGTTACTCTTCTACCCTCCTTCCACTCTGTACTATTAGGAAGGATATCACAATGTCCAACTCACACTTAAGTGAAACATTTTTTCCTAACTTTTCAAAAGGAGCAGGTTGTTTTGGATGAAGCAGATAAAAATGTTGAACCAAGGAATTAAGGATCAAATCCATGAGATTTACTAGAAATTAAATACAAGTACTCATGTGTGCACATGAGTTTTCTCCAGCTGGCAGGTTGGATTCATTGTTACAATATAGCTGTGAAGTGCTATGTTGTCCTTGCCCCCTGCTCAAAGCAATTGTTTCCCACAATCTCTGTCTCACTCGGTTCTATAGTAAGACATGGACGCTTGGTCTCAAACATTATTTCTCTAAGTATTGTTATGAAACTATTACATCTCCTTAATTGATTTGCCAATATAATTAGTCATTGTCTTTTTTTTTTTTTTTCAGAGTCTCACTTCATCACCATGCTGGAGTGCAGTGGCACTATCTGAGATCACTGCAATCTCCGCCTCTCGGATTCAAGCGATTCTCGTGCCTCAGCCTCCCGAGTAGTAGCTGGGAGTACAGGCATGTGCCACCATGCCCAGCTAATTTTTGTATTTTTGGTACAGACCTGGTTTCGCCTTGTTGGCCAGGCTGGTCTCGAGCTTCTGACCTCAAGTGATCCGCCTGCCTCGGCCTTCCAAAGTGCTGGGATTACAGGCGTGAACCACTGAGACTGGTCAGTTATTGGCTCTTTTTAAAGATTGTGTTGCTTTCTGCCTCAATATTAATATGTTGGAAGTTACCAAGAAGTTCATGACAGATCTATTTCAAATTCTGGTGAAGAAGGAAGAATTGGCCCTTGAAAGAATCAGTGTTTTACAATAATTTTGAAAGAGGGTAATGTTTTTCTAATTGATATACATAAAAACCATAGCCAGGGATTTAAAATTTACCTTCTTGTTTAAGCTCTGTACTAAAATTGCAGAAACTAGTATCGTGTCTTACCATTTGTAATAAAGCTATCAGAGAAAACCCAAGGAAAAAAACAGCTGTACCAGATAGAAAAACTGAGTTGAACCTTTTTTTTTTCTTTTTTTTAGATGGAGTCTCACTCTGTCACCCAGGCTGGAGTGTAGTGGCGCGATCTCAGCTCACTGCAGTCTCCATCTCCTGGGTTCAAGTGATTCTCCTGCCTCAGCCTCCCAAGTAGCTGGGATCACAGGTGCCCACCACCATGCCTGGCTAGTTTTTTGTATTTTTAGTAGAGACAGGGTTTCACCATGTTGGCCAGGCTGGTCTTGAACTCCTAACCTCAGCTGATCTGCCTGCCTCGGCCTCCCGAAGTGCTGGGATTACAGGCGTGAGCCATCGTGCCTGGCCTGAGTTGAACCTCTTTTTTAACAACAGGGTACTTTGTTCTAAGATTTGGTACAGTAATATCTATATTTAAGCAGAATTAGTAAAATCAATGAATAACTATTCTCTTCCAATGGTAGGGATGAGGTATAGAAATCAAATGGCTTTTTATTCCAACTCTGACATGAATTAACATTTTCTTCTTGGGAATACTATAAGGAAGGAAATTGTATGCTCTTTATGACAAGAGATTGACCAGTCAGGTTGTTCCTTGTAGAACACAGAGTGAAAGGTATCCGGGCTTCTAAGAAACAGCATATGCCAGTTTCTGGTGTGATAAGAGCTGCTCTTCCCTAGTATTGCTAATTAAGATGCTATTAATATCTGATTATAGTTGAGCCTTGAACGACATGATTAGGGGCACCAACCCCCATACAGTCGAAAATCTGCATATAATTTGACTCCCCAAAAACTTTACTATGAACAGCTTAATGTTGACCAGAAGCCCTACTAATAATAGTCGATTAAACACATATTTTGTATGTTATACATATGATATATTGTATTCTTACAATAAAAGAAACTAGAGAAAAGAAAATGTTATTAAGAAAATCGTAAGGAAGAGAAAATACTTTTACTATTCATTAGGTGGAAGTGGATCACCATAAAGGTCTTCATCTTCCTCATGTTCATGTCAAGTAGGCTAAGGAGGAGGAGAGAGTGGAGGGGTTGGTCTTGCTGTCTAAAGGGTGGCAGAAGGAGAAGAAAAGCCACGTGTAAGTGGTCCTGCCCAGTTCAGACCCGTTTCCTTCAAGGGTCCACTGTATTTTCTTAGTAAACTGAGGCAGGATCTAGTTACATTGTAGCTGTGAAGTGCTGCATTGTCTTTGCCCCCTGCTCAAAATAAAACTGTTACCTTTCAAGCCCTGTCTGCCATGGTGCTGTAGCAGCAGGGATGTTTGGTCTCATACATGTTTACCAATTTAAGTACTGACTTGACAAATGACTCTTGAGAATTAGGGGTTGGTGGTGTTTTGCAGGTAGCGACAGAAGGAAGAAAACATTATCAGGAGGGAATTCAGATAAAGGACAAACCATATTTTGACTGCTACTGACTTGTTGGTAAGTATTCCATTTCTTTATTTAATGACAGTATCTATCTAGCAAAATTTGGTTTAGAGGGAAAGTTTATAGTAGACTTTGCCAGCTGAAGTTGTAGGGGGATAAAGATCACACTCCACAGTGAACTATGCTGTTATATATAGTTCATTACTCTTATGTGGCCTAGAAGAGTATGCAGCAGTTGCTTTTTGAAGCATAAATATACTATCATATCTGAGGTTCTTGTTGCCCAGAAGGAGTCAGGAGTGACAGATAACATGTGACTATTGAAATGCGCTTAATGCAACTTTTTTTTTTTTTTTTTGAGATGGAGTTTTGCTTTTGTTGCCCAGGCTAGAGTGCAGTGGCGCAATCCCGGCTCACTGCGACCTCTGCCTCCTGGGTTCAAACGATTCTCCTGCCTCAGCCTCCTGAGTAACTGGGATTACAGGTGCCCGCCACTACTCCCGGCTAATTTTTGTATTTTTAGTAGAGACAGGGTTTCACCATATTGGCCAGGCCGTTCTCGAACTCCTAACCTTAAGTGATCCACCCGCCTTGGCCTCCCAAAGTGCTGGGATTACAGACATGAGCCACCACGCCCAGCCTATTTCATTTAATTTTAATTAATTTAAATTTAAATAGCCATATGTGGCTAGTGACTATTTATTGGACAGCATAGTCCTAAACAACAGTGAACATTTCAGAGCTGGCATCTGTAGTTAATTCTGAAAGTGTATCAAAATGGATTCATAACTGTTCCTTTTGTTTTGTGCCTGGTATTTACTTCTGTCCCAGACTGACATGACACCCACTCTTGGCTGGCCCACTTTGGTAGGGGCTTTAATTTTACTACCCTAAACCCAATACTTTCATCTGCTTTATAAGTAATAATGTTCATTTCGCAGCCAGATGAGCCTTAACTCCGTTTATACTAAATGCAAAAGAAATCTTTTGTTTTTCTCTAGATATTTTGATCAGTATCTTGTATTCCATTTAGAAGCACTCTACATATAATTCTGGCAAATAAACAGCCACTGATGATTAACTAGTAGCTCAGATTGTTCAGTGGTTCACGTAGTACTTGCTGAATAATATTCTGATTCATATGTTTTCTTTTGTTCAGAACTGGCAGTCGGGGTCAACTTGGGAAGACAGCTGTGACCATAAATATTAAAGAAGACAAAAGGATTCTTTGTGACACTGAGACCTTCTGCAGTACCACAGTGGAGGAAATGCCAGTGTACACAACTGGCCTCATTTAATTCCTGGGAGGAGATAGTTTGGGATGCAGTGCTTGTTGTTGCTGAGCAGGCGATCACAGCATGCACTGTGTTTCTTTCTTTGAGAATATTTGAATCCTGCCTGAATACTCGTAACAGATGAGAGACGCAGGTTTTGATAGCATAGATTTACGCTGTCATTAGTCATGAGCTCTTGGGACGAAAGTAATTGGTTTTATCCTGTTTAGAGTTAGACCCTGTGGTTGGGTATGAAAGATGAGTGTCTGTAAAAATCCTTCTTAGAAATGTATTTCCTCAAGACTCTGTCTCAAAAAAAAAAAAAAGAAATTTATTTCCTAGTTCTGTAAAAATCGCTATATTGAGTGTTCTCTATCACTTAATAATATACTTATTATTAAGTGGACTTAAAGATATGCAGTGTATAAAATCAGCTAATTACGTTAAACCATGGTATCTCCCTTTATTGTGTTAGACTGAATAGAACAAACTTTAAAATAATTTTTTAAAGAATATATTTGAATTCATTTTGTTTGATAATATGTTTTTATTCAGAAAAGCATTTTATTAGCGCTAGGTGTGAACCCGAGCCTTTTGCTAAATACCAGCAGCAATCATGTCCTAGAGTTAAATCCCAGAAAAATTGCCATATTATATATTAAAGGTTCAATAAATTACAATAAAGTATTTTTTCTTTAAAGTGATTTGGTCCTTATTCCTTAAAAATCATACTTTTTGCCATAACTCCATATTTGCAAAGGAAGAAGATGAAATGAAATAGTACTCTATAGTAAATATTTTATTCCAGTTACAAAATTACATACAAATGTGGCTTTTTATAAAAAGGTTTAATAGTTCCAAATTGGGCTGGGTGCGGTGGCTCATAGGCCGGGCACGATGGCTCATGCCTGTAATCCCAGCACTTTGGGTGGCCCAGGCGGGCAGATCACCTGAGGTCAGGAGTTCGAGACCAGCCTGACCAACATGGTAAAACCCTGTCTCTACTGAAAATACAAAATCAGCCAGGCGTGGTGGTATGTGCCTATGATCCCAGCTACTCGGGAGGCTGAGGCAGGAGAATCGCTTGAACCCGGGAGGCAGAAGTTGCAGTGAGCCAAGATCACACCACTGCACTCCGAACCTGGGCGACAGAGCGAGACTCTGTCTCAAAACAACAACAACAACAAAAGTTCCAAGTTAGCTGCTGCTTGGCACTAGCACAAAGACTGATCAATGAGGGTGTTCATCAGCACCGTCTGCCAAGCATTATCTGCTTCTTATGAGAAAAAGGAAGCAATTGAACATAAGATTTTTCCCTCTTCTGGTGTGGCAAAAATTTTCTGGTACATGCAAAGTAGTTACATAACAGCAAAGTTTTCTTTGTTAATGGACTAATATTAATCAGTAAAGTTTTTTTTTCCGTAACAATAACACAGAGTAGATATAATGGGTCCTATAAAAGAAAAATTGACATTGAACGTGATCTTTTTTTTAAAACAATAGACTTTATTATTTAGAGCCATTTTAGGCCAGCAGAAAAACTGAGCAGAAAGTACAAAGAATTCCCATACACTCCCTGTTCTCACACACGCACAGTCTCCCACACTTCTCCATCCCACACCAGAATGGTACATGGGTCACAATCACTGAACCTCTATTGACATGTCATTATCACTCAAAGTCATAGTTTACATTAGGGTTCATTCTTGGTATTGTACATTCTATGGATTTAGAGAAATTTATGATGAGGTGTCCACCATTATAGCACCATACAGAGTATTTTCACTGCCCTGAAAATCCTCTGCTCTACTGATTCATCCCTCCCCGCAACCCCTGGCAACCACTGATTTTTTCTTTTCTTTTCTTTTCTTTTTTTTTTGAGACGGAGTCTCGCTCTGTCGCCCAGGCTGGAGTGCAGTGGCGTGATCTCGGCTCACTGCAACCTCTGCCTCCCGGGTTCAAGCGATTCTTCTGCCTCAGCCTCCCAAGTAGCGGGGACTACAGGCGCCCACCACCATGCCCGGCTAATTTTTGTATTTTTAGTAAAGACGGGATTTAGTAAAGACCGTGTTAGCCAGGATGGTCTCGATCTCCTGACCTCGTGATCCATCCGCCTCAGCCTCCCAAAGTGCTGGGATTACAGGCATGAGCCACCGCGCCCAGCCGACCACTGATCTTTTTACTGTCTCTATGGTTTTCCCTTTTCCAGAATGTCATGTAATTGGAATCCTACAGTATATAGCCTTTTCAGATTGGCATCTTTCACTTATATCACTTAAGCTTCCTCCATGTCTTTTCATAACTTCATAGCTCATTTCTTTTTAACATTGAATAATATTGCATTGCTTGAATGTACTACAGTTTATCCATTTGCCTACTGAAAGACATCTATGTTGCTTCCAAGCTTTGGCAATTATGAATAAAGCTGCTATAAACATCAACGCACAGGTTTTTGTGCAGACATAAGTTTTCAGCTCCTTTGGGTAAATACCAAGGAGCGTGATGGCTGGATCATATGGTAAGAGTATGCTTCATTTTGTAAGAAACTGCCAAACTGTCCTCCAGCTTGGCTGTGCTATTATATTCCCACCAGCAGTGGATGAGAGTACTGTTGCTGCACACCTCTCCAGCATTTGGTGTTGTCATGTTTTGATGACAGACATCAGATTCTTATTTTTCCCACTCAAATTATTTATCAAGGGCCAGGCATGGTGGCTAACGCCTGTAATCCCAGCACTTTGGGAGGCTGAGGTGGGCAGATCACTTGAGGTCAGCAGTTCAAGACCAGCCTGGCTAACATGGTGAAACCCTATCTCTACTAAAAATACAAAAATTAGCCAAGTGTGGTGGCTCATGCCTGTAGTCCCAGCTACTTGGGAGGCTGAGGCAGGAGAATTGCTTGAACTGGGTAGGCAGAGGTTGCAGTGAGCCGAGATTGCACCACTGTACTCTAGCCTGGGCTACAGAGAGAGACTCCGTCTCAAAAAAAAAAAAAAAAAGAAATCAAGTTTTGTCTTGACCACAGTTTATAATTTGTTAAAAGAACTTGTCTGACATGCAATGAATGTTCTACCAAATAGTATCGCCTAGAAAATAATATGTTAATGAATTTCGGGAAAGAGCCCCTGTCCTTTCTCAGTCCCAGTATTGGTGCTTGCCATTTTCTTCACCATAAAACTGCTGCTGTCACAAGGTAAATGCTAGACTCCTTGGAAGTATCATATCAATTAAAAGTTATCACTGCCTTCAGTAAATAAATGTGCAAAAGGAGATCCAATGAATAAGCTGCAGGAAATGGCATCTACCCTGATGTCCATTCCCTACAAAGTGTAGGAGACAGGTGGAGAGAGCTGCATAAAGATGAGACAAAAAATCAAAACAGGCCAGTCGTGGTAGCTCTTGCCTGTCATCCCAGCACTTTGGGAGGCCAAGGCGGGCGGATCACCTGAGGTCGGGAGTCTGAGACCAGCCTGACCAACGTGGAGAAACCCCGTCTCTACTAAAAATAAAAAATTAGTCGGCCATGGTGGTGGGTGCCTACAATCCCAGCTACTCGGGAAGCTGAGGCAGGAGAATCGCTTCAACCTGGGAGGCAGAGGTTGCGGTGAGCTGAGATTGCACTGTTCACTCCAACCTGGGCAACAAGAGCGAAACTCTGCCTCAAAAAAAAATTTTTTTTAAATCAAAATTAAGCAAAACCAGCAAACAAACCCTAACGTGCTGTATTAGGAAAAGGCATAACTACATAATTTACTAAGTAGCCTTTACAGCCCTGTGTCTTAGTGTGTTCGGGCTACTGTAAGAGATGACCATAGACTGGATGGCTTACAAACAATAGATATTTATTCTCACAGTTCTGGAGGCTGGGAAGTCTAGGATCAAGTCACTAGCAGATTTGGTGTCTGGTGAGGACCCATTTCCTGGTTCATAGATGGCCACCTTCTTCCTGTGTTCTCGCATAATGAAAGCGACAAGGGAGCTCTCCAGGGTCTCTTTTATAAGGGCACTAATCACATTCATTAGGATACAACCCTCTTGACCTAATCATCCCCTCGAAGTCCCACCTCCTAATAACCCTCACACTGAGGGTTAGAATTTTAACATTTGAATTCGGTGGGTCGGAGGAAACAAACATTCAGGCTATAGCATTCCACCCCTGGCCACAGCAAATTCATGTCCTTCTCACATGCAAAATATATTAATTACATCCTAACAGCCCCCAAAATCTTAACTCATTCCATAGTATGATCTTAAGGTCAACTCTATAGTCTAAAATCTAAAGTCCTATCTAAATATCTAGATCAGATATGGGAGAGACTCAAAGTACAATTCATGCTGAGGCAAATTGCTTTCTAGCTGTGAACCTGTAAAACAAAACAAGCTATGTGCTTCCAAAATACAATAATAGAACAGGTATAGGATGGACATCTCCATTCCAAAAGAGAAAAATAAGAAAGAGGAAAGTTATAATAGGCCTCAAGGATGTCCAAACTGTAAGACAAACTCTATGAAACTTTAGGCTCAAGAATAATTCTCTTTGGCTTGATGCTCTGCCCTCCAGGTCCACTGGGGAGAAGGTCTTGCCATTCAGTCCCACTGAGGTGGCGTTTCTGCTCTCACAACTCCACTTGGCAGGGATTTTGTCCCCAGAACACTAGGTAGTTCACACAGGTTTGGACAGAGGCAATCTGGCCTATTAAAAGCAAGCCAGTGATCCCCCTTTTGAGACCAAGAAGGCAGCTCTGATCGTCCCTGAATTGCCTTTAGGGCCATTCTTCCTTTGTCTTGAAGAATAGTGCACATTCCTAGCCAAATGGTCCCATTTGGCTATCCAAGAAGTCTGACAGCCTTCCTTCCTTACTTCCCATCTTCTTCCCCTCCACACATTCTTCTTAGGTGTCAGTTCAACTGCTACTTTTTCTCCTGGTGTGACTAATTAAATTCATGATTCACATCCATTCTAATCTCCCTTTCAAATGGTTGCTTGGCAACACTCTGAGCATTCTCATTTTTCACAATATGGATAGCTGGGAATTTTTCAACTGTTTAAATTCTGCTTGCTTTTTGCTTTAAAATTCTGTCTTTAAGTCATTTCTCTCTTCTGGCATTTTACTATAAGCAGTCAGGAGGAGCCAGGCCACGCCTTCAACACTTTGCTTAGAGATTTCTTCAGCCAAATATCCAATTTCATTGCTCTCAAGTTCTACATTCCGCAAAACAGTAGAACATGAACCCAACTCAGCCCAGTTCTTTGCCACTTTATACTACAGACCACCTTTCCTCAGGTTTCCAGTAACATGTTTCTCATGTCCATTTGATACCTCACCAGAATGACCTGTACCGTCCATATTTCTACCAAAAATCTGTTCATGTTTATCTAGTGCATTAGCCCATTCTCACTTTGCTATAAATACCTACGTGAGACTGGGTAGTTAATAAAGAAAAGAGATGTAATTGACTCACAGTTCTGCAGGCTGTACAGGCCTCAGGAAACTTACAACCATGGTGGAAGGGGGAGGGGAAGCAAGCACATCTTCACGTGACAACAGGAGAGAGTGAAGGGGGAAGTGCCACATACTTTTAAACCATCAGATCCCATGAGAATTCACTCACTATCACAAGAACAGCAAGAGGGAAACTACCCCACGATCCAACGACCTCCCACCAGGTCCTTCCCCCAACATTGGAAATTACAATTAAACAAGAGATTTGGATGGGGACACAGAGCCAAACCATATCACCTAGGTATCTATAAGAAGATGGAGGCCGTCTCTCCAGCAAGCCTCGCTTCCTTTTGAGCCCTCACCCGAATCACCTTTCCCAGTCACTTAGTGGCAATATCAGCTTTTTCTTTTCCTTTTTTTTGCTTTGTAAACAATATAGTTGCATACAAATATAAAGTTATGTACCTTCAAAGGTGTGACTACAGCAAACAAAACATCTTAAAATGTTTTAACAATGTACAAATACATTCATAAAATAATTAATTTTATTAATTATGAATAATGAATTTTATGAATGAGTTATGATAAATAATCAGTTGTGAGAAAAACTCTGCCAGTTGAACTGAAGGGGAAGGAGATGAGAAGAAACGAAGGAAGGCTGTCAGGCTTCTTGGATTTTATAGGATGGGACCATAGTGCTATTTGGCTAAGAATGTGCACCACTCTTCAAGACAAGGGAAGAATGGTTTCAAAGACTCCAACAGAGTTTATAGTACCTATAATACAATCTGCAGGTGCCTACAGTGATTTATAGGTTGGTTTAATTTGAAATTATATGTATTTCTTAGTTTAAAAGAAGTCACTGGCCGGGAGCAGTGGCTCATGCCTGTAATCCCAGCACTTTGGGAGGCCGAGGTGGGTGGATCACGAGGTCAAGAGTTCGAGACCAGCCTGGCCAATATGGTGAAACCTCATCTCTGCTAAAAATACAAAAATTAGCCGAGCACGGTGGTGCATGCCTGAAGTCCCAGCTACTCGGGAGGCTGAGGCAGAAGAATTGCTTGAACCTGGGAAGCAGAGGTTGTAGTGAGCCGAGATCACACCACTGCACTCCAGCCTGGACAACAGAGTGAGACTCCTTCTCAAAAAAAAAAAAAAGAAAAGTCATTAATACAAATGCATGATTTACAATGTCCCCATTATAGCAAGAAAAAATATGCATAAAATAAAATGTATTTTAGACCTTTATTAGGTCAAGTATTTAATGATTATTCTCACTATAACATAAGAATAATGCTCTTTTAGTGGTAAAAGATTTCACTGGACCAAGGACCACTGAAGAGCTTCCATAAGTTCCAAGAAGTAAAATCTTGCTATCCAGTCCATAAAATAAATACAACGGCAGAAATCTCTGCGTTTCCCTTAAACTATGAAGATTCTGTTTATATTAATTGGGCCTTAAGAAAAAGACTTGTTACAAATAAAAACAAATAAAATTTTAGAAACTAGTTAACACCACTGGCCTGAATTTGGTTTTTACTTGCTTGCGAATCTCTAGGATGAGAAATTTCACCATGAAGTGCATATTAAGTTGTAAAATTTACAATTATTTCTAAGTTCTACATAAGCCAAAGTGCTCACTTTTATTATGGAAACAAACCTTTCTTCTGAAAATGATGTACAGAAATAATAAGTAAACACATAGAACTTTGAGATAGGCTAAGAACATTTGTCTGTGTTCTACAGATCAAAATGATGCAAAGGTCTCCATTACATATGTTTATGAACACAAACATTTTTATTAATTTGTGATATATGGACATTACATAAGTATATGCATACATGTGCATACCATAAAATACATTTTAATAATGTTTCCAGCTGCATCATGCCTTCAAGCCTCAACTGTTAGAAAAAAAAAGCAAACTTAGTATGAACACAGCTTTTCCTCTTTTAAAATAAAAATTGTCAGTGGAAAAACAAATCCAACTTATTTGCAGCATGTACTGAACTCTAAAAGGTTCAGAGTCAAGAATCTTGTTAGTTGCTCCCTGATGTAACAGAACATGTATGTTTTCTCTTTCTACTCAGGGAGTCTGATTATCTCCAATATTTTGTCCTATGAACTTTCCAAGATAAGACATAGCCGTGCTGGTTAAATTCTTTCTGCTACCCATTTTACACCTGATGTAGCCAGATAGCTTGGCACCTTATTGCACCACAGCTCTGATGATCACTGCGAACCACCGCACTCTGAAATGAAACAGAGCATCAAAGGAGAATATCACCCACAGCACTGAATAGATAAGCCCCAACCAGAAGATGATGCTGCCTCTGGCACAGCTTTGTTCTCTTGAGGGGATGCCTTCCTAGCCTTCCTGGACTCAAATACCCAATGGCTCATTCCACCAATGCAGGCCAACCATTAGTCTACCTATGACATTACATTGCAACATCAATATCAGCTTTTTCTAGCAGGTACTGCAAAACTCTTCCAGCCCCTACCCCTTACCCAGATCCACAACTGCTTCTACATTTTCAGATATTTATTACAGCAACATCCCCATTTCTTGGTCCCAATTTCTTAGTTCATCTGGGTTGGAAAGTCTGAGATCAAGGCACTGGCAGATTCCGTGTCTGACTTCCTCATAGATGGTCATCTTCTCCCCTGTCCTCTATGGCAGAAAGGACAAGGGAGATCTCCAAGGTCTTTTTTTTTTTTTTTTGAGACAGAGTCTCGCTCTGTCACCCAGGCTGGAGTGCAGTGGCGCGATCTCAGCTCACTGCAAGCTCTGCCTCCTGGGTTCATGCCATTCTCCTGCCTCAGCCTCCCGAGTAGCTGGGACTACAGGCGCCCCCCACCACGCCCGGCTAATTTTTTGTATTTTTAGTAGAGACGGGGTTTCACCGTGGTCTCGATCTCCTGACCTCGTGATCCACCCGCCTCGGCCTCCCAAAGTGCTGGGATTACAAGCGTGAGCCACCGCGCCCGGCCTCTCCAAAGTCTTTTTTTATAAGGTAACTAATCTCATTTATGAGGGCTCCACCCTTATACATAATCACCTCCCAAAGTCTTCACATCCCAATCACATCACAGTAGAGGTGAGGATTTCAATATGTGCATGTGTGGGGTGGGGGGCTGGGCACAAATATTTAGCCTATAGTACCCTGCTAATTAATGTGGATTTTATTCAGCAAGGGTGGGGATCATTCATTATCTCCATTCAAGGACACCTTTGATACTTTTTTGAACTTCGTAGCACAAGGCACTCCTTCCTCCTCCACATTTCCCCTTCCAAGGGCCCCATTCCCACTTTCTTCCTCCCACCTCTCTAACTCCCAAGGCTCCTTTCACATGCCATTAAATGTGACCCTCTGCTATCCTCTCCACACTCTTTTATTTATTTATTTATTTATTTATTTTAAGACAGAGTCTCACTCTGTAGCCCAGGCTGGAGTGCAGTGGTGCAGTGAGCTCGGCTCACTGCAACCTCCATCTCCGGGGTTCAAGCAATTCCCGTGCCTCAGCCTCCCGAGTAGCTAGGACTACAGGTGCATGCCACCATGCCCAACTAATTTTTGTATTATATTAGTAAAGACGGGGTTTCACTATGTTGGCCAGGCTTGTCTCAAACTCCTGACCTCGTGATCCACCTGCCTTAGCCTCCCAAAGTGCTGGGATTACAGGTGTGAGCCACCGCGCCCGGCTCTCTCCACACTCTTCTTAGATGTCCCATCTGCTCCTCCAAGCATCAGACCAGTGTTCCCCAGGTGTGTTCAGTCAGATGACCTGTTGGCACCTCAACATGTTCAAAGCTGAACTTACCATCTTGCCACATTGCTACTAACCTCATTACCTTGAACCTCTTCCCTAATCTAGACTTCAGCAAACATATCCAACTTTTCCTACCTTTGGTCTTGTTTTATCTAATCCATTTACTGTGCAGCCCCCAGGGTACAGAAACAGCTGGATTGTTACATCATAGTGTTTGCCTTATTTGAACACAGTTCGAACAGTTGGCCACCTTTGGCCGAAACTCAGTGATTGGTACAAGACTAGATTACAGTCTGTTTACATATCCAGTTAGGTGACACTTCACTATGTATGGAGAAACCTTTAGGCTGAACTTAAAATATGTAAGGAGGCAGCTTTAGCCTAAACTTAATTTAACAGGTGGTAGCAAAGGTTCTAAGGAGGGAGATTCTTCATTCAACAAGCAGGGAACCCTACCCGAGAGGGGCAACATGAAGGCACGCAGGCTTGGGCTCACTCCTGTTTCCCAGCTCATCCTTGTAATAAATGTTTTTCACCATCAGGACATACTTCTTGTTTACATATGACCTTTAGCAGAATACGTATACATGATATAAAACAGGATGATTGCCAAGTAGCAATTTTAACTGCTACAATACACTTTATCAGCTCTCATATATCTACCTGTTTGAAAATGCTTATCTGGGCCAAGCGCAGTGGCTCACACCTGTAATCCCAACACTTTGGGAAGCCAAGGCAGGTGGATCATCTGAGGTCAGGAGTTCAAGACCAGCCTGGCCAACATGCTGAAACCCCATATCTACTAAAAATACAAAAATTAGCCAGGTGTGGTGGCGGGCACATGTAATCCCAGCTACTTGGGAGACTGAGGCAGGAGAATTGCTTGAGCCCGGGAGGTGGAGGTTGCAGTGAGCCGAGATCGCGCCATTGCACTCCAACCTGGGCGACAGAGCAAGACTGTCTCAAAAAAAAAAAAAAAAAAAAGAAAGAAAAGAAAAAGAAAATGCTTATCCCTTTACTGAAATGAAATACCTTTTCTTACTTGTCCTGCGTGGCAAATTCCTACTCATCAAAAAGGTTTTTTTTTTTTTTGAGACAGAATCTTGCTCTGTCGCCCAGGCTGGAGTGCAGTGGCGCGATCTCGGCTCACTGCAAGCTCCGCCTCCCGGGTTCACGCCATTCTCCTGCCTCAGCCTCCAGAGTAGCTGAGACTACAGGCGCCCGCCACCACGCCCGGCTAAATTTTGGTATTTTTAGTACAGACGGGGTTTCACTGTGTTAGCCAGGATGGTCTCGATCTTCTGACCTCGTGATCTGCACGCCTCGGCTTCCCAAAGTGCTGGGATTACAGGCGTGAGCCACTGCCCCGGGCCATGAAAAAAGCTTTCAGTGTTCCGATGAGTTCCCTGATATGCCCAGGATATGCTTGTATTACACTGTATCATAGGGCAACCCAGTTTTAGAGAGCCAACCTGGAACACAAACTAGACGAAAAGGACAGATAATAAAGTAACATAAAATAAATATATGTGTGTGTTTACTTTAACATAAAAATATGAAAAATGGGAGTTTATTTGAAATTACATATTATTCTGTATTGTTTACTTTTATGTTACATAAATGCTATTATTTAAGCAAAAGAACAATAAGAAATTATCAGTGACAGTAGTAGCAAATACTAGTACTGATTAAACAAATAATATGTGTGAGAAAATATAACAATATTTTATAATGTTTCTATTCTCTGATATAGCAATTTATTTTAATTCTCTTTGTTGCATAATTAAATTTGGCAGACTATTATTACGTATTCTTAAAATGAACACTTTAAAACAGAACATGAATACATTTGGAATAAACAGTTTATGACCTACATTTAATTTAAAATAACATATTTTTTGGTCCCATAATACAGAATACTTTTTCTGTTTCCTTTTCCAATAATATTCTCTAACTACCTGCAGCCAGTTTAGGGCATCTGTCTTGTCTTTTATATAGTAATAAAACTGAACACATTCTAGTGTAAAAATTCACTTTGCCTTGCTGCGCTGCTCTTATACAACCCCCATTACACTGATTCCCGGTGCCAGTCCATGAGGACATCAAGCTCAGTATCCTCTCAACAAAAGTATTTGAGCATGGAATACTTGGGATTTACTTAGGAGCAAGAGCAGGTTTTCAGACTTGCAGGAATTTGTTTCCAGCTCTCCAAGGGTGCCCACTCGCTTTGCAGCCACAGGCTTGTTTTGACTGATCAGCTGTTTGTCAGTCAGGTCCTTTGCTTCTGTTAACATATGGCTGGCAACAATGATAGCTGTCTTGTAGGCACAATCTAAGGAAGCCATCTCCTTCCATTTTTATAATGTCAGAATTTCATTAAGTGATTCTGCACATTTTGAGAACATTGAAAAATGACCAAAACTTTCATTGTGAAAACCCTCAGTATCACGGTAAGCAAATCACACACCCCACCCTTTTTTTTTTTTTTTTTTTTTTTTGACAGTCTCACTCTGTTGCCAGGCTGGAGTGCAGTGGCGCGATCTCGGCTCACTGCAACCTCCGCCTCCCAGGTTCAAGCAATTCTCCTGCCTCAGCCTCCCGAGTAGCTGGAACTACAGGCATGCACCACCACACCGAGCTAATTTCTGTAATTTTAGTAGAGACAGGGTTTCACCATGTTGGCCAGGATGGTCTCGATCGCTTGACCTCATGATCCACCTGCCTCGGCCTCCCAAATCACACCCCTTTTTAACAGTGTTATGTATACAGGATATGCAGGATTTTTCGCAGGTAAGATCTTTGCATTCTGTTA
This sequence comes from Homo sapiens, assembly GCF_000001405.40. Taxonomy (NCBI): domain Eukaryota; kingdom Metazoa; phylum Chordata; class Mammalia; order Primates; family Hominidae; genus Homo; species Homo sapiens. The sequence goes on from NC_000003.12 coordinate 183,467,345, forward strand.
AGAAGTTCATAAACAGAATCGAGTTTGCCAAAATTATATGTACTATCTGCCAAATATATGCAGAGACAGTCAAAGTCCAGTTGGTATTTATTTGGATAAGATAGCAACAATTTTTGTTTTCTCCCATTTTATGAAAATTTTCACAGAAATAAAGAAGATAATTTCAAACTGCATTTTTCAAACCAAGTACCTACAAACGAGGGAGAACATTTTTTTGTTGCTGCTGCAATTTGATATACTGCTTGATACAGTGTAGAAAACCCCTGTAGTAATATCTGACAGATGGCAGTTCTCCACTGTAAGGGGCCAATATATCCATTATCAAAATTTTCCTCTGGCCTGGGTGTGGTAACTCATGCCTGTAAGTCCACCACTTTGGAAGGCCAAGGCAGAAGAATCGCTTAAGGCCAGGAGTTCAAGATTAGCCGGGGCAACATAGCAAGTGATGAATCACTACTAAAAATTTTAAAATGAGCCAAGTATGGAGGCACATACCTATAGTCCTAGCGACTGGGGAGGCTAAGGCAGGAGGATCACTTGAACCCAGGATGGAGGCTGTGATGAGCTATGATCATGCCAGTGCACTCTAGCCTGGTAACAGAGCAAAACCCTGTCAAAAAAAAAAAATCCCTTTTGCTCACCCTTGGGAGATTTTAGTTGGAACCTGAATCAGTCATCTGAATGTGATTTTATTGGGTCTCACAAAGCAATCAAAGAAATGATAATATATGGTCATTCACGTGTTCTGCCCAAACTTATTTAGCAGCTGCTATTTTCAACTGGTAAGTGTCTTTGGGAGGGGATGAAATTTTTGATTGATTTAGAAGGACTTGCCTGTCTGAGCTCAGACATGTGAGATTCAGTCTTCATATATGCTTTCCCATCCCCTTCTTCACCGCTCTTAATCCCAAATGCTTTTCTGTCTAGTGTGCAGAATGTACTGTCTTGTTTATTTACCTTCCTTATCCTTATTTTGTTGTTGTTGCTGCTGCAATTTGATGTACTGCTTGATACAGTGTAGAAAACAGTCCTTCCATCCATCATTAAAATAACAGTCATTTAACTTTCTTTTATGATGATGTTTATATCATGCTAGCTTTGGTATTGTAATCCTTCTCAGTTTCATTTCCTGAACTCTTAGAAAATATGATCACATTACTCACTGTGTTAAAATTAAACTAGCACTATCTCAATACTAAACACAATAGAGAATCCACAGGCCAAATCAAAGATGAGCTGTTGACACTCACACTTATCATGCACTTAGGTCATGAGTTTAAGTTGCATCACTTAGAGTAATGCACACATGGATGGCATCACTCAGAGTAATGCTCAAATTACTTAGAGTAATGCACAAATCAATTATTGTAAACTGCCAACCCTAATGGCCGACATCAATAACCAGGAGGGAAAAAAAGACCATAGCAACTCTGGAAAGCAGTTAATCTATGCTGTATCTATTCACCACTAAAAACAGTGTTGCGGCCAGGCACGGTGGCTCACGCCTGTAATCCTAGCACTTTGGGAGTCCAAGGCGGGTGGATCATCTGAGGTCAGGAGTTTGAAACCAGCCTGGCCAACATGGCGAAACCCAGTCTCTACTAAAAATACAAAACAATTAGCCGGGCATGGTGGCACATGCCTGTAATTCCAGCTACTTGGGAGGCTGAGGCAGGAGAATCGCTTGAACCCAGGAGGCAGAGGTTGCAGTGAGCCAAGATCGTACCATTGCACTCCAGCCTGGGGAACGAGAGTGAAACTCTGTCTCAAAAACAAAACAAAACAAAACAAACAAAAAAAACCAGTGTTGCTTTCAGGCCTATGGGGGAGGGGCTGCCATATGGATTTATACATTTTCCCCAACTTTCCACGCCCGTTGCTTAAAATTGGGACTGTTCATGTACTGGGAAGGGTTTCCTGGGAACCCTGTGGCCTCACTGGGCACACCCTGGTCTCCACCTGCTTACTGTAGCTTCCTGGATACTGAAGGTTTCTGACTTAAAGGTGCTCTTGATTGTGCATTCATAGATATATAACCGAAACAAAGTTGCACCAAACAATATTTACTCTTGCTATAGGTGATACATATTTTCCTGCTTCGTTTTTTCAATTCTGTTGGTGACTCACAATTCCGTGAACCATTTAGTGGAAACCTGCAATTTGAAGAGAACACCAATAGGGGGATCCAAAGTTCTATCCAACTGTAAAGTGATCCTAACGCTTGATCATTGCCAAAACAAAAATAAACCCCATGGTGAAACCCCATCTCTACTAAAAATACAAAAATTAGCCAAGCGTGGTGGCGGGCGCCTGTAATGCCAGCTACTCGGGAGGCTGAGGCAGGAGAATCACTTGAACCCGGGAGGCAGAGGTTGCACTGAGCTAAGATCACACCACTATGCTCCAGCCTGGGTGACAGAGCAAGACTCCGTCTCAAATAAATAAATAAATAAATAACCCCCAAAGTTCATGTAAGTAGGTAACACTATTCAAAAGAAAAACTAGTGTACTGTAATCAGGGGATATTCTATGACTATCAGAAAAAAATTAATTCATTTAATCATTCCATTCTGATTCCAGTTTTCTCTCTTTGTTGAGGAAATAATGAAACCTGCTCTTCTGAATGTTTCTGTCTTCTTTTTTTTTTTTTTTTGGAGATGGATTCTCGCTCTGTCACCCAGGCTGGAGTGCAGTGGTGCAATCTTGGCTCACTGCACCCTCCACTTCCTGGGTTCAAGTGATTCTCCTGCCTCAGCCTCCTGAGTAGCTGGGACTACAGGCACCTGCCACCATGACTGGCTAATTTTTATATTTTTAGCAGAGATGAGGTTTCACCATATTGGCCAGGCTGGTCTCAAACTCCTAACCTTGTGATCTGCCCGCCTTGGCCCCCCAAAGTGCTGGGATTACAGGTGTGAGTCACCGCACCCAGCCTTCTCTGTCTTCTTTATGGAAAATACACTCAAATTTTAGGTCTCTTGTTCTAGTCTGAACAGGCTCATATGAATTAGGAAATGGGACTGGCGTTCTAATTAAAAATCAATCTGATATTCAGAATGCTCCATGAGTCACATCAGTATTAAAGATGAAACTGAATCAGGCTTAAAAGTCATGGTCATATCACCTGAGGTCAGGAGTTCAAGACCAGCTTGGCCAACGTGGCAAAACACTGCCTCTACTAAAAATTAGCTGGGCATGGTGGAGGGTGCCTGTAATCCCAGCCACTCAGGAGGCTGAGGCAGGAGGATTGCTTGAACCTGGGAGGCGGAGGTTGCAGTGAGCCGAGATCACACTACTGCACTCTAGCCTAGGCAACAGAGTGAGACTCCACCTCAAAAAAAAAAGAAAAAGAAAAGAAAGATAAAACTACCTGTAAATTCTCTGTTACATCAATTTCTACATTTTAATTATTTTTTTCTTTAGTTTGTTGTGATCTATTCCTTTTTAAACAAATATGCTCCTGCTAAAACTAGTCCAAGAGCCATACTGACATGTTTTTAAAAATCACAAATCACTCAGTATTTACTGAAAAGCTTGTAATTTCAACTTCACAGATTTTTCTTAGTAAATCCATTGTAGTAAATGACACTGGGAAGCATAAATGGTTACCATTTAGTAGTAGTGATTTATCCTGTCCACCTAAGTAAGAAGGGAACAACCTAAAGTTTGCACTTATAACCCACATTTTAAGTGTAGAAAATGATATTTTCTCTCAGTTTTTGTATCATTTGTTAATTCAATTTGAGAGCTTCCAATTTGTTTGAACAGAAAATATAAAATTCTACTCAGTAGCTGTCTTGGAGTGTTTGGTGGCTGTGACTTGAGCCAGGAAACTTTACCTCAAGTCATGGGCAAAGATTAGGGGCCATTTGGAGCTATTGTCCCTCTAGACACACACACACACACACACACACACACGCACAGAGCATTTGTATTAGAATTAGTTCTTGATTTAACATTAGTTCAAAGACTTTAAATTCCAACTGAGCATAGGTATGGGACAGAGGGAAAATCTGAATTATTTTATTCTCTCTCACTGCTGGCAACGTAAGACCTACTGTCTAAATTCAACAAGATCCCCACCTATTGCTGAAAGATATAAACTGTTATATCTTTCCTCACAAGTTAAACATGGGTGTAGATTTCTGTTCAATAGCATGAAAAAATAAAAGCAGGGAAATGCCAAGTGAACAAACAGGCAAAGATGAGCCCTGAATCTTCACTCGGGAAACTGATAACACAGAGATTATAGAGTGTTATCAAATTCTAAAGGAGTTACACTAAAAGTCATTTTAAAATTCCCAGTAACTAATCTGATTATGCAGAAGTCAAAACTCATTAAAAAGGCTGAAATATAAAGTAGGTCTCAGAGAAGTCAAACATTTGCTTTTCTTAATTGGCCCTGAGTATTTATTCTTGAGACACAATTGTTTTGCTAACATCTGCTTCCTTTTCTAAATATAATTTTTGTCCATGTTTTTTCTTTTTTTTCTTTCTTTCTTTTTTTTTTTTTTGAGACGGAGTCTCGCTCTGTCACCCAGACTGGAGTGCAGTGGCGCGATCTCGGCTCACTGCAAGCTCCGCCTCCCGGGTTCACGCCATTCTCCTGCCTCAGCCTCCCGAGTAGCTGGGACTACAGGCACCCGCCACCGCGCCCGGCTAATTTTTTGTATTTTTAGTAGAGACGGGGTTTCGGCGTGTTAGTCAGGATGATCTCGATCTCCTGACCTCGTGATCCACCCTCCTAGACCTCCCAAAGTGCTGGGATTACAGGCGTGAGCCCCCGCGCCCGGCCTGGTTTTTCTTGCCCACTTAGGAAACAAAGTTCTCCTTTTTCGGGTTACTTATTTTCATGTTGACATAATTTGGATATTTGTTCCTGCCAAATCTCATGTTGAATTGCAATCCCCAGGGCTGGAGGTGGGGCCTGGTGGGAGGTGTTTGGATCATGGGGCAGATCCCTCATGAATGGTTTGGTGCTGTCCTCACGATGGTGAGTGGGTTCTCGTGAGATCTGGTCGTTTAAAAGTGTGTGGCCCCTCCCTTCCCACACTCTCTTGCTCCTGCTCTGGCCACGTGAAGTGCCTGCTCCCGCTTCACCTTCCACCATGAGTAAAAGCTTCCTGAGGCCTGCCCAGAAGCAGATGCTGGAGCTGTGTTTCCTGGACAGCCTACAGAACCATGAGCCAATTAAACCTCTTTTCTTATAAATTACCCAGTCTCACCTATTTCTTTATAGCAATTCAAGAACAGCCTCACACATGTGTGTTTATTATACAACAGGCACTGTTATGAATGCTTAACATATATAGTAGCTCTTTAAGCCTCACAACCTATGAGGGGGTGATGAGCTCCCCATTTTGCAGAAGAAGAAACTGAGGCACAGAGATACCAGGTTAACACCTAATGTCTATAAATTCCAGACAGACCCCATGGCAGCTCAGAACAGCTAGCTGGTCAGCCCAGGTCCCGTCCCTCCTCACCTGCCCTTCCTCCCCCATGCAGCACGGATCATCCCAAGTTCCCATCAGAAGGAAAGGGCAGGGGAACAGGTGGGTGGGGTCAAGAGAAGCAATCCAAGAAAGAAGAGCATTTGCTTCACTGTCTGAGGTTTGGAATCATTTGTGTTTTGCTACCTCCTGCGTTTTGCTAGCCCTTGTTCTCATTTTTTTTTAATGGAGTTTCGCTCTTGTTGCCCAGGCTGGAGTGCAGTGGCGCGATCTCGGCTGACTGCAACTTTCACCCCCTGGGTTCAAGCAATTCTCCTGCCTCAGCCTCCCAAGTAGCTTGGATTACAGGCACCACCATCATGCCTGGCTAATTTTTGTATTTTTAGTAGAGAAGGGGTTTCACCATGTTGGCCAGGCTGGTCTTGAACTCCTGACTTCAGGTGATCCACCCGCCTCGGCCTCCCAAATCCAACGCCTGGGATTACAGGCGTGAGCCACCATGCCCAGCCTTCAATTCTGCTCTTGTAGCACAAAAGCAGTCATAGACAGTAAGAAAACAAATGGGCGTGGGTGTGTTCCAATACAATTTATAGACACTGAGATTTCAATTTTATATAATTTCATGCATCAATGAAAAAGTATTTGTCTTCTGATTTTTTCAACCATTTAAAAATGTAGGCAGGGCGTGGTAGCTCACACCTGTAACCCCAGCACTTTAGGAGGCTGAGGCAGGCAGAACCCTGAGGTCAGGAGTTTGAGTCCAGACTGGCCAACATGGCGAAATCCCATTTCTACTAAAAATACAAAAATTTGCCGGGCTTGGTGTCGGGCACCTGTAATCCCAGCTACTAGGGAGGCTGAGGCAGGAGAATCGCTTTAACCTAGGAGGTGGAGGTTGCAGTGAGCCGAGATTACTCCACTGCACTCCAGCCTGGGTAACAGAGTGAGACTCCGTCTCAAACAAACAAACAAACAAACAAAAAACCAGTAAATACCATTCTTAGCTGTGGACCACACAAAACAGACATTTGGTCCACAGGCTGTATTTTCTGACCCCTGAAGTAGCAAATAGAAAGAGGGAAGGACGATTGAGAGTGCTGCAGAGGGCAATCTTTTCTTATTTGTAGAAATGATGTGTTAAAAAAGAAAGGAAGAATGAAATGAAAAAGAAAAAAAGACAGAAGAAACCAGACAAACTTAGGGAAATAAATCATGAAAAACTAGGCCATGTACAACTCTGTAGACCTTTTGAGAACCTTTGCTTTAAGTGAAATGGTTGTGATTAGAGGGTTTTGAGCAGAGAAATGCTGTGATCTGATTTATGTTTTTAAAGGATCATGAGGTCCAACTTTAACCTGGTTTTGGAAGAGGAAGTAGTTGGAATTGAGTGTATGAATTCACAAATAAAACACCAAGGGGAAATTCTCTCCTAATACTTAATTATTCTCCCAGTTGTGTGTGCTCAATTAGTTCATGGCTTAGCTAAATCACAGGATATAACTAAATCAAAGCGGAATACTTTCAACCAGAGTAAAGTTTTTTCCCTCCGTGTGTCCAAAGACTTTTCTCTATTGAATCCGATGCATGATAAAAAGACATTTGGATTCCATTTAGATCCTTATTGGCCAGAAACAAGCTCCAAAGTTTGGATATTCGTGCTGGACAAATTATTTTTCTTTTTGAAACCAGTTTGTATAATTCAGCAATGGAGCTGGGTGCGGTGGCTGACCCCTGTAATCTCAGCACTTCGGGAGCCCAAGGCAGGTGGATCACCTGAGGTCAGGAGTTCAAGACCAGCCTGGCCAACATGGTGAAACCCCTTCTCTACTAAAAATACAAAAATTAGCCGGGCATAGTGGCAGGCACCTGTAATCCCAGCTACTTGGGAGGCTGAGGCTGGAGAATCGCTTGAACCCGGGATGTGGAGGTTGCAGTGAGCAGAGATCATGCCATTGCACTCCAGCCTGGGTGACAAGAGCAAAAGTCAGTCTCAAAAGAATAAATAAATAAAATAAAAAATAATTCAGCAATGGAAGTATTATAGCAAGTCCTATATAGGCTAGGACTATGGCTTATATTTCTGTGTTAGTGCCCCCTTCCCTTGGCAGAATGTTGGCTACAGAGATAAGGCTGACTAAATAATCCTAGTGGCTCAATGCAATTGCCTTGTGCATCTTACCATCTTCAAGGTACCCACATCAAGGGACAGTAAGTAAATGAGGATTAAGTGATAGGTAAGGCACCAAGCATCATGCCTGGTGCCCAGTAGATGAAAAAATGGGCCCTGGTGCTGAGTTATATGGCAACCTGCTCAGGCTGGAAAGGAGAAGACAAACCCTTCTACCTCTGGCTATTTTCATCATGGGTTCCCCCAGCTCCTGCTTTTCCTTTCTGGACCATGCTCCGTGTTGATTCATTCACCCAGATGTTTCCTGCTTCCTTGCATAAGAAGTATATGATGGTCACATTAGCTCTCACTACCAGAGATGGAAACTCTGGCACCCAAAAGAGGTCTCTTGCTGGGACTAGCTTCCCTAGACTCAGTCTCTTGGCCAGAATCTTCACTTGGCCAACTTAGACACTTTGAAATTCTTCTATCAGAGCTCTTACCTACAAAATATCTATGCAACAAAATGACAGCTTTTAAACAAAATGAAAGAGACTCTTTATATAAAGCCTCCCTGTGCAGAATAAATGAGGAGAAGCTCATAGTCCAGCACCTGGCTTAGGTAAGCTTCCTCTTATACCGTTTGGTCCTCCGAGATAAGAGAAAAGCCCCTGAGGGTTAGGCCATCAGATGGGGAAATGGCAGCCTCCATTCTTGTGCTAGAGAGGGTCCTTTAAAAGCTGTGCATAAATGGTTTACTTTTCTTTTCTGAAAGGAGAAGAAAAATGTAGATGGAAGCAAAACAAAAATACAGTTTCCTCATTTTATTATTTTAGATTTTTCTTTTATTTTTATTGATACCTAATCAATGTACATATTTTCTGGGTATATGCGATAATTTGATAGAGTCATATGATCAAATCAGGGTAACTGGGATGCCCATCACCTTAAATATTTGTCTTTTCTTTCTTCTCTTTCTTTCCTTCTTCCCTTCCCTTCCCCTTCCTTCCTTCCTTCTTTCCTTCCTTCCTTCCTTCCTTCCTCTCTCTCTTTCTGTCTTTCTCTTTCTCTCTGCCATACTCTGTCACCCAGGCTGGAGTGCAGTGGCACAATCATGGTTCACTGCAGCCTCAAACTTCCCAGGCTCAGGTGATCCTCTCACCTTAGCCTCCTGAGTAGCCAGGACCATAGGTGTGCAACACCATGCTCAGCTAATTTTTGTATTTTTAGTAAAGACAGGGTTTCACCATGTTGCTCAGCCTGGTCTCAAACTCCTGGGCTCCAGCAATCTGCCTGCCTTGGCCTCCCAAAGTGCTGAGATTATAGGCATGAGACACCTCACCCAGCTTTGTGTTTTCTTTATGCTAGGAACATTTGAATTATTTCCTTCTAACTATTTTCCTTATTTTAAACCTGTGTGGGAAGAGCAGCCTCTGCAGGTAGGATCTGTGAGGTCCCATTCCTCATAGTGGACAAGCAGGGAGATGCCAAATTTAGAGCAAAATTATTGATCTTGTCACAATTTTGTTTTCAAACTATATAACTTACCAAAAAATGTATTTTTTGATCAGGATAATTTAAATTCTCTAACATGTTAGGTTCACTTGTTAAGAGATCTCATTCAATTAGTGAAAATAAAACAGCAATTCTAGATAAAACAGTAAGCCCCAAAATTGAATTTCCCATGTCATTTAATGTCTACACATTATGAGCTATGAAGATGTCCTCTGAGAAGAGATATAATGCTTCCCAGTCCTTAACCTGATTTTCCCGACCTTTCCTACTTTTCTTGTCCTTACCTATTCACGCACTTTACATGTACTCTGATACATGGACTGGGAGTGTTCTAGAGAACGGGGATATGTCTTCCCAGCATATCACAGGACCTCGCCTGGGACCAGAATCATTCTGTTCATTTTCCAAGATCCAATTATCACTTGTAACCAAGGTGAATGCTTGGCAAGAGCCTGTGTCCTGGGTTTGGTTTTAAGGTAGGTGTTTTCCTCTTCTTCTATTATTAAGGCTGTTCATAACCTACGTAATCTGCTTTCTCCCCTTTGTGCTTATGAAAAGTTCGTTTTTGTCTAGGATGAAAACTATGGCAGCCAAATCTCCTCCAAAACTAAGTAATAGCACACCTGCCGTACCCACAGTACTTTTGAGACCCTCTAGTTAGTATTATTGTAATGTATTATTGTAATTACTATCAACAATAGTCATAACAAGTGCTATTTTTTCTTTTTTTCTTTCTTTTCTTTTCTTTTCTTTTTTTTTTTTTTTTTTTTGAGACAGAGTATCACTCTGTCACCCAGGCTGGAGGGCAGTGGCATGATCTCGGCTCACTGCAACTTCCATCTCCTGGGTTCAAGTGATTCTCCTGCCTCCACCTCCCAAATAGCTGGGATTACAGGTGCCCGCCATGCCCGGCTAATTTTTTTTTTTTTTCTAGTAGAGACAGGGTTTTACCATGTTGGTCAGGCTAGTCTTGAACTCCTGACCTCAAGTGACCCACCCGCCTCAGCCTCCCAAAGTGCTGGGATTACACGCATGAGCCACTGCACCTGGCTAACAAGTGCTATTTTTTAGTTCCCATTATGTGCCATGGACTGCACATCATATACATTTTTGCTAATCCTTACACCAACCCTACACAATAGATATTTTTATCCTAATGTTAGAGATAAGGAAACTGATGCTCAGAGAGCTTAAGTGACTTACCCAAGATCACACAGCTAGTAAGTGACAGAGTGAGAATCAGGTCTGACTGCACTCAGGTCTGACGGACTCCGAATTGCCTCCTCTTGCCACTGGGCAATGGGCCTTTGAGTTGTTCCCTCACATGTCTGTGAGGCCAGACCCTGAGTCTGAGATTCTGGGGTCCCCTCAGTGCTGCCAGCTCCTTAGTCCCTAAGACTGTTAGGACCACAGAGCCCATGGCCAGTGAATCCAGCAGGGGAATAAATATGCAGATGATATAAGACAGCAAAAATCAGCCCAGGGCTGGGACTGGAAGGCCTGAGTGAGGAAAGGAACCTGCTCTCTAGGAGTCAGGACACCCCGGTCCTGGCCCTGACTCAGCTCCCACAGGGCCTTCAGCCAGTCCCCACAGGGCCCACAGCCTGGTGGTCAATCACTGTCCCTGGTGGGATACCCTGTGAGCCGCACTTTACTCCCCAGAGAACAAGGGGCTTTGCCTGCAGGATGCTGTCTAAGCTTTTCTGGTTCTGAGAATTCTGGGATTCTTCCAGGAGCCCTGGGGGATGCCTGGTCAATAGGTAACTGTCTCTGCTGCCAGGAACCCAGGGCCTGGGGGGAGACAGGCGAGGGCACGCCCAGAGCAGCTGCAGTTTTTATCAGGAGAGACGTGTCACCCAAGGGCCTGGATAAGACTCCCCCACTTCCGCAGCCCTCCTCCTGCTTTGTCTCCTAGGATAGAATAGAGCACGATAGGATGAGGTGGGACAGATGAGGACTTCACACACTGTAAGGGTAAACATTGTTTCGTCTGCTTGTGTTTGAATTCTATAAATGTATTTCTGTGTTGGGTAAAATTTGCGTCTCCCTGAGGTTGCACTCTAAGGAGTATGGAAAACCTGGCTCTAGACTAACTGGGCCCCCCGTGGTGCTCCAGGCATCCCCACCCTCACCTGTGGCACCTGGAGCTCCTGCTGTCACCGGCCCAGCTGGGTCCTGTGTCTTTCTCTGGTTGTCAGGGCCTGCGCTGACAGTCCCCCCACAGGGAGGTGGAATCTGGGGTTGACAGGGCTGGGAGGATCCTTCCTCTTTCCAGGCTCAGGCAAATCCTCGCCTGGAGGCGGGGAATGGGCTAGATGACCCCTGAAACAGTTCAGTCCAGGGTCTGAGAGCCCCTCTGTGCCCAGCGCTGTGCCCCCTCCCCTTCCTACGCTTCCCTGCAGGGCCCGCGAGAGAGAGGGGAAAGCAGCTGCCAGCTCCAGGCAGTCATTTTACCCCAGGTGCCACTTACCCTGCGGAGGGGCTGGAACCAGCTAATCATTTTACCTGGAGGTGCCACTTACCCTGCAGAGGGGCTGGAATCAGCTAATCATTTTACCTGGAGTTGTCATTTACCCTGCGGAGGGGCTGGAGCTTGTCCGGTTTTCCAGTTCCTGTGTTGCCTGCCAGCCCTGTCTACCCCAGGCTGTGGGTGTCTATGGCTGACAAAGGCCCCTGAGCCAGGCCAACCCCAGCCTCCCAGGGGGTGGCTCTGTGGTCCCTAGCAGCCCCAGCATCATCCAGGGCACAGAGGCCATGGACCCTGGAGACACAGCCCTTCCTATTCATCCAGGGCACGGCTCCCTCTGTCCCTCCATCTCTCCCTCACAGAGCTTTCAGCAAGATAGATGGTCATTCTCCTGTCCTCACTGTTTGCTCCTGGCATAAGGGGACCCCGGGGCTGGATGACTTCCCTAAAGAGGAGTCTCTCAGGGTTTCCTCAGGTGCTCCGAAGTCCTGTCTGGAGGATGAAGGTGGGGGGCACATCCCTGAGGCAGACTCCCCGCTGCCCTCCCTCCACCCTTCACCGATTCCCCATGTATTAGTTTTCTACAGCTATGTAATCAGTTTCCCAAACCTTAGTAGCTTGAAGCAACAAACATTTATTATCTCACAGTTTCTGAGGGGCAGTTTAGCTAAGTGGCTCTAGCTCAGGGTCTCTCATGAGCAGCTTTCAGCCAGGGCTGCAGTTCTCAGACGCCTTGAGGATTAGAGAATCTGCTTTCAAGAAAGCCTCATACTTTCTTGCAAGGTAACAAATAAGTGCTGTAGATCACCTAAGAAAACAGTGCTGTATTACGCTTTGTTACCGAGAACCCGCAAAAGGACAGCCTGGATTATGCTAAACAATGCAAGGGAAGGGTAGGGCAAGTGGCCAAATCCCTGATGGTAGAGGACAAATTCCAAAGCAAAGAAAAGCTGGCAGGACCAATTTATGAATTGTGAAAGCCTAACATTAAGGCATTGTACCATTTTTCCTGCCACAGGATCAGCTATCTTGCAATCAATGGCCTCTAAGACTCAATAATCCCGGGATAGGACCAGCTGCAGTCACTCTAAGAGCTCCCTCTGGGAGGGGAGGCCTGGCAGGGAACCGTGAGGACACAACAGAGCTCTAGGTCTGGCAGTTGAGACAGGAGCTTCTTTCCTTTTAGGAAAATTACCCCAGGCTGTCCTTGGCGGCACCCCATCACTAGGAGTGTAACTAAGGAGCTTGTGGTCATCTTTTGTCCCCTCGTGGACACTTTTAAAAGTGCAGCCCGGCCGCGCACGGCGGCTCATGCCTGTAATCCCCAGCACTTTGGGAGGCTGAGGCAGGCGGATCATGAGTTCAAGAGATCAAGACCATGCTGGCCAACATGGTGAAACACCATCTCTACTAAAAATACAAAAATTAGCCAGGTGTGGTGGCACGTGCCTGTAGTCCCAGCTACTCGAGAGGCTGAGGGAGGAGAATCACTTGAACCTGGGAGGCGGAGGTTGCAGTGAGCCGACATCGCGCCACTGCACTCCAGTGTGGTGACAGAGTGAGACTCTGTCTCAAAAAAAAAAAAAAAAGTGCAGCCTTTCCTCCTGTATGAGAGTCTGTTAGGGTGGAAGTAAACTCAGAAGTCACCTTCAACCACTAGGGGGTTTTATGGCACAGGTCCCTGGCCTTGCACAGATCACAGAGTGAGTTAGTAATAAGTATTTCCAGATTTTTTTTTCATGGTGACTCTAAAGTTGTGACATGCTTGATCTAAAATCTTTGAATCATAGAAGCATGGACTTAGATGAGACCTGCGACATCACCTCACGGCATTCCATATACCCGCTCCCTGCAAGCAGCGATGGGCAGAGCAGAAGCGTTGCCAGCCTTGGAGACCCCCACACTTGCGTTCAGTCTTTACTCTGGGAAGTCTCTGAGCCTCAGTTTTCTCATCCATATAGCATCAATTTACTTCACAGAGTTCATGCAAGAATTAAACAAAATGGTGTACGTCAGAGACTGCAAACTCAAGTGCCTTCGGGACCAAGTAGGTCAGTGGACACTGGCAAACCAGACTTACAAGCCCTTTTCTTTTTTCTTTTTTCTTTTTTTTTTTTTTTTTGAGATGGAGTTTCACTCTTGTTGCCCAGGCTGCAGTGCAATGGAACGATCTTGGCTCACTGCAACCTCCGGCTCCCGCGTTCAAGCAATTCTCCTGCCTCAGCCTCCCGAGTAGCTGGGATTACAGGCATGCGCCATCACCCCTAGCTAATTTTGTATTTTTAGTAGAGACGGGGCTTCACCATGTTGGTCAGGCTGGTCTCAAACTCCTGACCTCAGACGATCCGCCAGCCTCGGCCTCCCAAAGTGCTGGAATTACAGGCGTGAGCCACCGCGCCTGGCTTACGAGCCCTTTTCTAAAGGGAACAGTACCTGTTCTTTTCTGTCCAGTGAAGTAGGGATATGACCCCTGTGTTGCCAATTTTAAAAAATATGGCAGAGTCCAAAAAGGTATCTATGGTTTTCATTGTTCAACCTCTGGCGTGTGTAAAGTGTCCAAGAGGTGATCAATAATGGTGGTGGTAATTACTGGGGTGGCAGCTCCTCAGGACCCCCACACTGCCCCACCCCTACCCATACATTTCTCCCGGTAGGTGTTGATATAGTAACATTCTTGGAGTGTCACTGTGTACCTGGCACTGTGCTAAGTGCTATAGATATAAAAACCAGCAAGAAAACAGCCCCCAGCCCCGTGGGCCTTCAGTCAAGTAAGGACAATTACAGCAGCTAACATGTGCGGTGCATTTACAATCTGTTGGGCGATGAGCTAAGCATTCCACGTGTACGATCTCGTCTAATCCTCACCCAAACTCTATGAGGCATAGTCTATTATTACTGTACTTTCAGGATGAGGTGACTTAGAGTGGAGGTGAGTAACAAAGCCGCAGCCTTTTCTAACCCTCAGCACATCTCCAGGCTTGCTTCCTGCTGAGGATTGCAACCCACCTCCCAGGGAGATGAAGTCTCTAAAATTGGAAATAAAAATTTCAGCACCTAATTTCTAGCTTGCATCTGAATTGCCACACGTTCTTTTACAGGTTTTTTTTTTTGTTGTTGTTGTTTTTTGTTTTTGTTTTTGAGACGGAGTCTTGCTCCGTAGCCCAGGCTGGAGTGCAGTGGTGCGATCTCCACTCACCGCAAGCTCCGCCTCCCGGGTTCACGCCATTCTCCTGCCTCAGCCTCCCGAGTAGCTGGGACTACAGGTGCCCGCCACCACGCCCAGCTAATTTTTTGTATTTTTAATGGAGACGGAGTTTCACCGTGTTAGCCAGGATGGTCTCGATCTCCTGACCTCGTGATCTGCCCACCTCGGCCTCCCAAAGTGCTGGGATTACAGGCATGAGCCACCGCGCCCGGCCTACAGGTTTTTAAAATAGTTTGTTGGTTTGCATTTAGCCATTGAAATTTTTATTAGTTTGTTTTTTAATGTGCTGGATCTCAGGTCACATGATTTTAGGCTGCCAACAAGATCTTTTCAAAAATTAACTGGGCTTCCTGGGGCACACTAACTTAAGAGTTCTGGCTTTTGTCCCCTTTTGCCCATCCCCACTAACACCAGCACTGATGTTCCCACTGTCACCAAGATGCTGAATGGATAAGCGGTCACATGATCAAAGTACTGCCTTCCACCTACACTGGGAATGAGTTGGGATCGTAGCTCCTGGAAAGGCTTCCCCAACAACCCTAGGGTGTGTGAGTAGGCAATTTGGAGAGTCAGCCCCAGCCCACCGTAATATGAGTGCCCAGAACAGGATCATGCCCAAGACAGAGCATGGATTTGGAGAACAAACTCAATATACGTTGGATTCATAAAAACATTGGGCTCAGGGTGGCAATTCCTTGCTGTTACGCACCTGCGAACATAGCTGACTTGGATTTGCAAGCCACAAGCTTAGGTGTGGAACATTTGTGAGTCTCTAGCATTTCTGAACCTGTCTTAAGAGCTATCACCTTACTCTGATGACATTCCAAGTGCTTACACAGGCCTCTGAGACTCCCTACCATGGCTCTGAATTTAGTCCGGCTACACAGGCCTCTTGACTGTTCCTTACTTATTTATTTATTTATTTTTGAGATGGAGTCTCACTCCGTCACCCAGGCTGGAGTGCAGTGGCGCAATCTCGGCTCACTACAAGCTCTGCCTCCCATGTTCAAGCGATCCTCCTGCCTCAGCCTCCCAAGTAGCTGGGACTACAGGGATGCCACAATGACCAGCTAAATTTTTGTGTATTTTTAGTTCAGACAGGGTTTCACCATGTTGGCCAAGCTGGTCGCGAACTCCTGACCTCAAATGACCTGCCCATCCTGGCCTGCCAAAGTGCTGGGATTACAGGCATGAGCCACCGTGCCCAGCCATGACTGTTCCTTAAATACACAGAAGCCTCCCACCTCAGAGCCTCATTAGCTCTTCCCTCTGCCTGGAGTAAGCTTCCCCAGATACTCTCAGGCCTCTCATGCTCTCTTCACTCAAGCCTCTGTTTAAGTGTCTCTATCAGAAAGGTTGGCTGTGTTCATCCTAGCTCAAGTAGCATGCATCACCCTTCCCCTGAGTTACTTTCTTTGGACATTTATCTCTACTTGTCATTATATTATATGCTTGTTTGATTCTTGCCTGTCTCTCTCTACTAGAATGTTAGCTCATGTGAGCAGAGGCTTTGTTTTGTTCACAGATGGACAGAAATCATGCCTGGCACGTAGTAGGCGCTCAATGAATATTTGTTGCATTGTTTCACAAAGACTCACCCCATTCCTTCTTTCACTAATGTCTACTTAGAACTCAGAACAAAATCTAAGGCATCATTTTTCCTACAGATTCCTCCAGTGACCTTTTCCCGGAATGTGACATTCTACCAGAATGCACTTTGACAATTAAAAACCTCAGCATTTCTTCCTAGACTAGTTTTGTCACTGTCCTAATCTTTTTCTTTTTTTTTTTTTTTTCTATTTCTGGCTTGGTCTCATGTTTCAGGGAAATTACTCAATAGATGCTCCTATTACTACATTTTTACTATGAAAGAATAGAATTTCGGCCAGGCATAGTGGCTCATGTCTGTAATCCCAGCACTTTGGGAGGCCAAGGCAGGCGGAGGCGGATCACCTGAGGCCAGGAGTTCGAGACCAGCCTGACCAACATGGCAAAACCCTGTCTCTACTAAAAATACAAAAATTAGCTGGGCGTAGTGGCAGGTGCCTGTAATCCCCGCTACTCAGGAGGCCGAGGTAGGAGAATTGCTTGAATCCAGGAGGTGGAGGTTGCAGTGAGCTGAGATCTCACCATTGCATTCCGGCCTGGGCGACAGAAAAAAACAAACAAACTCAAAAAAACAAACTAACAAAAAAACTCAAAAAACTCAAAAAAAAACCTCAAAAAACTCAACAAAACAAACAAACTAACAAAAAAACAAAGAACAGAATTTCACCAACAAAAATCCTGTTTATCTAAGGCCAGACTTACAGATTTCTCTGCGCAGTCAGGTTTTCCCTCTGCCTTCTGTGTATTGCCGCTTTGTTAAATCAAGATGATATGGTTTGGCTGTGTCCCCACCCAAATCTCATCTTGAATTGTGGCTCCATAATCCTCAGGTGTCATGGGAGAGACCTGGTGGGAGGTAATTGAA
Source organism: Homo sapiens (assembly GCF_000001405.40). NCBI lineage: Eukaryota > Metazoa > Chordata > Mammalia > Primates > Hominidae > Homo > Homo sapiens. The sequence continues at coordinate 183,484,562 of NC_000003.12, forward strand.
TAATGGGGGTAGGTTTTTCCCGTGCTGTTCTCGTGATAGTGAGTAAGTCTCACAAGATCTGATGGTTTTATAAAGGGCAGTTCCCCTGCACAGGCACTCCTTCCTGCTGCCATGTAAGACATGTCTTTGTTCCTCCTTCACCTCCTGCCATGATTGTGAGGCCTCCCCAGCCATGTGGAACTGTGAGTCCATTAAACCTCTTTCCTTTATAAATTACCTAGTCTCGGGTATTTCTTCACAGCATATGAAAATGGACTAATACACCAGGCTTTGCCACCCTCATCTCCCCTCACCCCTGCCCTGTCTGCCCAGGTCAGTGCCCTCCAGCCTTGTACCTTTCAGATATGGGTTGTGACCTGTGACCCATTTAGTGGGTGATGAAATTAATTTGGTGGCTTGTGAACAGCATTTTAAGAAAAAAATAGAATAGGAAATACAGAAAATGTGTTTCTTATTGTGATACATGTTCAAGAAAGTTTGAAAGCACTGCTCTGGCCTGTATGGGTCAAAGAAGCTTTAGTACTATTTTTCTCTTTAGTTGCCTTCAGCAGATTCTAGAAGAAGGGGCTTCGGCACTCCTGGCCTCGCACAGTGGGCCTGTGGTGGATTGTAGAAAATGGTCAGTTCTCTTTTAAAATGCTGCCAACAGCAGCGCAGGTGGTGGGCACACCTGTTCTTTTAACTGTATCTGTTTCATAAGGTAAGTATACCTGGGACACTGAAACTCTCAGTACCAACACTCCACTCATACCCTGCGCTCAGAGACTTCACCAAACCATCGCATGGCTTCTAGCAGCCTGAGGCCACGTCCCTGGGATGGCCCAGCCCCCTTTTGAGTTGCTGTCTGGGAAAGCTTAAGGCTGTCAAAAGAATTGAGTTTGTTCCACCAACATCTGACAACAGGCCCCTGATCTTGCTTTTTTAGAGCATTTACTAAAAAAAGGAGGCTTACCATTGTGAATCCTTCCTCTGTTGCTCTGAGCTACTATGTATGTGTTGCCTACAGCTCAGGGGTGTCTTTCTCAAGGACCTGAAAGCCATTCCCCTCAAGGTAATTATCAGGAAGGAGAGAGGATCCTAGCTTCGAGAACTGCCAGCTAGCAGACACAGCTGGTCTCATCATATTGACTCTGCCCAACACTTTGTCATTTTTCACTTCCCTGACTCTACCTGAACCTGCTCGCTCCACCTCCTGCCTCCCTTATTCTCCCTTTAAAAGGCCCAGTCAGCATCTCTGCACAAATCAGAATAGAGCTCAGCTCTTTCCGCTACTGTCAGCAGTTACTGAATAAAATTTGTTTTCACTGCTTTAACTAATGTCCAGCTTGTTTATTTTTATTTTTAAACCATATACGTACACATGCACACGCGCACACACACACACTTCTTCTCAAGACAAACATTGCTTCTCAGAGATAGCTGATTCTTGTCATCCTCATAATCTAGAGTATCTTCCCTTCCTATGTTTAAGTTATAAGTAAAGTTTTAACTGTTCCAGTCTGGTCTTTGATGTTCCTTAGGAAATTAAATGAAGAGTTGTGTATGGGACTCTTTCCTTACAGGGAAGAGTTGGGGCTATGAGGTCCAAATTTCCGTGCCCACTGGGAGCTTCTCCTTCCACTGCCAAACGTGGAGGAACCAGGATTCGTGTTACAAAGGGAGATTTCCAGTTGTCTTACACATCAAAGGCCACCCCCTTTTCCCTCTACCCAGCTTTAACTTTCCCAAAGAATTTATAAGCAGGAAGTCTCATATTCTCTATCCAGGCAGATGAGTAGAGATGGTTGGGCATGGGTTTCAAGGCAGCGTTTCATGTGGGAATCAATAACAAAGCAGACATCTGAATGTGCAAAGAGAAAAGGAAAATCCCCAGGTGCCAGTAAACAAACATGGAAGTGAAAAACAGAGTGACTGGTAAGCAGCCAGGCCAATGGTGGGGAGACTGGGGAGGGTGGGACTGGACCTGGATTCATCCCCAGCACCAAAGAGTTTTCAACTGTGGCCACATGCAGGAACGGAACATAAGGCATGGGCCTATGGAGGGCGGGAGAGAACTGAGATCCTGTATGAAGGCTGCACGTCCAGTGAAAAGGAGCTGGTCCAGAAGATGCCATACACCAGCAGGGAGGAGCTGGTGCAGGGGGAGGCACTAAGAAAAGCTGGGCAGATGCCTGGCCCCGGCCAAACTGCCCAGACATGAGATTATCACTTAGACCCAGCGGGGAAATTGGAAGGCTCAGCAGCAAAGTTAAGGTCAAAACTCCGTTTGACTCACAGCTGGTGCACTGGCACTCAGATCCAGGGCCCAAGATCACTCCAGAACATTCCCCACCAGTGAGGAAGCTGGGTCTGTGATTCCCAAGGGTTTCCACCAAGAAGTCCTAAGGCAGAACATCTACCTCTGGGGATGCCCAGAGGGGAAGGTCTGAAGCTATTCATGGAACCCCAGATTTCTTTAAAGCCTCTGATTTTCCTTTTCAAATACACAGGAGTCTTGCATTGTAACCAAAACAAACTAAATTGATAACAAGGTTTCCAGTGATTAAAGGGAAGTCTCATACCCCAAGTTACACGTGCCCCAATTTGAGAAGCACAGACCAGGGAGGGCTTCAGAGACAACACAGGAACAATGGTGGACGCAGGCTAAAAGGTCAGACCTGTAATCAAAAACCTAGAAGGGGGTCTCCTGTAAGAAGAGCTGAGGCCAGGCAAGAGAAGAGTCACGCAGTTTGCATATGGGTTGGTAAAAGCTTGCTCAGCGAGGCAATGCATCTTTAGGGAGGGAAAATCTGTCTACTCTTTGACATTCTATAAATCAAACCTGGTGAATTTTAACCTATGAACTTATCTAAAGTCCCATGAACCAAATGAAACGTTTTAAATTTCCACCTTCTAAATTAATTTCTATTCAGACACCACTCATTTATATAAACTAAAAACAGCAAAAAAAAAAAAAAAAAACTTCATGATTGTATATAACACATTTGCATCTGTTCTGTGCATATTTTATTGAATAAATAAAAATTTTATTGGTTTGGTTTTTAAAACCTATAAACAATATTCTTAGTTTGATCACTTAAAACATACAACTTTATGTAACCAAAATGCTTAAAGGATTTTGTTCACTGAGTGTTGGCTATTTATACCTATACATATGAAAATCTGACCTGTCAAAACTGGTTTTGCAGTAGCCAGATTTGAGATATATGTGGATTTCTAAAAGGTTAACTTGTCAAATTATGAGATCTAATACAACACCCAGGTATTAAGGGAAAAAATGATTTTGCAACCCCAAGTTGGGACTTAACATAAGAAATCCTTATGGTGTTGCCAACGTTAAAAATTCTATTGAGCACTTTCATTTTTCAGAATAAAACAGGATAAGCAAATAACTCACAACAGTACCTCATAGTCTTCTATAAATAGCTAAGCTATACTTTACAGCTATAAGAACGTGATATTTGTATTTCCCTGAGAGCGTAGTTTGCTTTGAGTTCAAGGGCATGGTGTATGTGTATATGTGTGTTTCCCGAAGCCATTGAGACCAGAATAGATGAAAGCTAAGACGAGAACATGAATCTGTTGGTGTTCTGATGAGCTTAGCTCCCTGCCTGTTTCAGATCAACCTTGGCAACTGGAGTCCCTTAACCTCATCTACAGATTCCGCTCCACCAAAGACTCTGGGCCACCTTCCCTCTAGGACAGGAGACCCAGCTGAGCAGCTCAGAGGCCCCACAGTAAGTTGGCCCAAATGCTGGGCCTGCTCTAACTTGTGCCTCTGCTCTAAGAAGGGGATTCCTTCCTTAGTTCCTTGCCTAGAATACTCCCTTACCCTTATTCTCCCTCACCCTTCTTGGGACTAGAGCCAAGCTCACAAACTCCAGGGCCTCCGATATCATTTTCCAGACCTGCATCCTTGGAACCTGACCTCCTCCTACCCCATCTTCTTCTTCCCAGCCAGGGGTGCTCTGTCCACTCACAGGCCCTGCCTCAGTCTCCAGTCTGCTGTGCCAGAACATCCTGCCATGTCCTGCCTGAGTCCGAGGGTTCTTTGTCTCTGGGTTTATTCTCAGCTTGGCTTTCCCCCTGCTGATGGTGTGGGTTATAACAGTTACCTTCCTGCAAATGTGTTCGTCTTTATTTCTTGAAATGGATTTTAGATTTTAGAAGTTCTCATCCTTGGCTGGTGCCTAGAAGCTAAAACCCTGATGACTATTCTTAAGTTTCCCCCAAATGACTTGAACTTTCTTTCTCGAAGAGCTACAGACTGGCAGCTTCATATACAGAACCCTAGACCTTCTAACCAGGTGTATCTGTTCCCTACCCATGCCATTATTAGGAATCCCTATTTCTTGAGTGTCAGCTACATGACATTTTCCACAATTCACCTGCATATCTGGTGTTGTAAAAAATCATAAAGAGTGTTTCCATGATTCATTTAGGTATTCTGAAGTAGTCCAGAAACTTGGGTCCTACATTTAGAATCAGGTTTATAGCACAGAAATCCCAAATCCTCACTTTCCCAGCATAGGGTTGACCTGCTGATGGGCTCGAAGTTTGCCTATGGGTCTTATCAAAGGACCGCCATCCCCTCCCTGACTAGGGGCGCTGTCTTTTTGAAGGGAGGCTCCCTGTGTATGCCAGTACCATTGTCATTGGATTTCCTCTCTGGAAGTTCCTCCCTGCAATAGTCTTTGGAGTAAGACTGACTTTTCCTTCACAAATCAGTTCACAAATGGTTCTGGTGGCGATCTCAAAGAGACAAACATGTAAGCCATGGCCACTGGTTGACTTCACTGCACAGCTTACCACCTTGACCCCCTGAAAGGCAATCAAGACTTGGATCCAGCCTCCTCACTTCATACGCATCTCATTTTTAGCTAACTTGAAGAAAATAAAAACAAGAATATTAACTGGTGGCCTATTTACCTGTATTGAGTGTCTAGCGTGGAGATTTGCCATTCGTGGGTGTCCTCAAGGCTTGACAGACATGAAGAACTCCATGAATGTTTGCTGAATTGAACTAGATTACACTGTTACATTGCTTCAGTTGGGAGCTTCCTGATGGTTATTATAGTGCTCATGAGTCAGCAATAGTTTGTTCTAAAATTCCACAAATATGTTTCTATTGCCCTGTGTTACTTTCCACAGCAGAGAGCTGAACTGTCACGCTTCTAAGGCACAGAGCATTTCACACACCAACATACATTTATATTTATCTTCAATAATCTGGCATAAACAGAAATCTCACCTGTAATTTTTCAAGTTTTTAAAATCTGTTTCAAATATTAGCTTCTTCTAACCGTGACTGTTTAATGAAAATTCAATTCACTATCAACTCTAATAACTAACTTCCCAAACTGCTGAAAAGAACAAGCCACACCGGATATGAAATAAAACTCTATAAAGAGAATTGAAATCATATGATGAAAATAAAGTCCATTGGGTAACGCAGTTACTATGTTGTTATCATTGTTGCTTTTTAAATACAGCATATGAAACAGGATCTCTTAACCTGTTTCTCCAGCTTGGGGATTAGAATGAATTTCCAGTGAGCTCATTTGAAAGCTGTAGCTCTTACAGTGAAGGACAGATTCTGTTCTTTAAGTCACAATTGAGCTACACTGATCAAAAAACCAAGTAGAAGTGCTTTTTAAAAGTCTTGAAAACGAAGGCTTCAGGAGGATGGGGTATCAGGAACGTGGACCTAAATCACTGTGTAAAAACTAGAAAGTGTACCATCAAGGAGAATCTGTCGCTCCTGTGTAGGCCAGCTGTGCTCAGGTGTTTACTTTTTTAATAAAACAGTAGTTTGAGTCTCTAGAGACATCTTGTCTATATTGCAGTACAACTGGTGAACACTAAGAGGCCAGGGCACCAGAATGTGCTAAAGGTACAATTCTGTCTGGCAATGACAGTTCCGGTCCAAAATGGGCCATCTTATGATCATTTAAAAAAAAAAAGACCGGGCCCAGTGGCTCACACCTGTAATCCCAGCACTTCGGGAGGCCGAGGCGGGCAGATCACAAGGTCAGGCGTTCAAGACCAGCCTGGCCAAGATGGTGAAACCCCGTCTCTACTAAAACTACAAAAATTAGCCAGGCGCGGTGGCAGGTGCCTGTAATCCCAGCTACTCAGGAGGCTGAGGCAGGAAAATCACTTGAACCAGGGTGACAGAGGTTGCAGTGAGCCGAGATCATGCCACTGCACTCCAGCCTGGGCGACTTCATCTCAAAAAAAAAAAAAAGAGGGTTTCAATGGGAGGAGGACAGAACACAAGTATTTCATCTCTTTCAAAGCAAACAGGCCTTCCCAAGCCCATCCCCCAGACCTTTCAAGTGGAAGAACCTATGAGATGTTCTTGGCAAGGAGCCCAAATGACTCCTTGGTTTAAATATTGGTAAAGGGCGGGGACGAGGGAGGATGCAGAATAAGAAAGAAAAGGAAAGAAAGCAGGAAACACCTTTATTTCCCTGCTGTGCTGAGTGAATCTTTTAGCAGACTTGCCGAAACAAGAAATGAGCCAGGTTTCTTTGTTTTTGTTTTTGTTTTTGTTTTTGTTTTGAAGACAGAGCTTCACTTTTGTTTCCCGGGCTGCAGTGCAGTGTGGCGATCTCGGCTCACTGCAACCTCCACCTCCCAAGTTCAAGTGATCCTCCTGCCTCAGCCTCCTGAGTAGCTGGAATTACAGGCGCCTGCCACTGCACGCGGCTAATTTTTGTATTTTTAGTAGAGACGGGGCGGTCTCACCATGTTGGCCAGGCTGGTCTTGAACTCCTGACCTCAGGTCATCCGCCCGCCTCAGCCTCCCATAGGGCTGGGATTACAGGCGTGAGCCGCCACGCCCAGCAAGAGCCAGGTTTTGTTGTTGTTTTTTGTTTGTTTTTCCTGCTCTGAGATAGGCAGCATGGTGGAAAGAGCATTGACTTCGGAGATGAAAGACCTGGATTTTAGACTCCTGGGGTAGCTACTTGCTATCTGAGTGATCAGGGGCACGCCACTTAGCCTCTGTGAAACTTGGTTCCCTCACCTGTAAACTAGAAGTGATAAGAGCCAGTCACCAGGTTAAATGAACCGATAAAAGGAAGTGCCTGGCACAGAAGCCGGCATAGGGTGGGTGGGTCCTGAATGCTAAATATTACTCTTCCTCGCCTCCCCTCCTGAGGTAGGTCATGCAAACATTCCTGGCCGGTCTCAAGTGACCCCAAACTGTGACTTCCAAGGTTCCCCCAAAGTGAGTCAAGGGGATCCCCTGATGTATGGCCTCAAACTCGAGCCTGCTGCCTGAAGTGGGACTGGAGGAGGGTGAGAGGTGAGGCGGGTACGCTGAGGGTCGGGGGGGCTCTCCAGCTCCCCATCCTGCCGTCAGACAGACACTGCTCCGGGCACGATCCTGCGGATGTGGGTGTACGACTTCCTGATGGTGACGCTGCCGTGGTGCGACACGCCCCGGGGCAGGACGCACTCCTCTGTCAGTTTCTGGGCCTCGGGGTCCCAGCACAGCACCGTGGCGATAACCTCGTTCTTCTCGTCCCGCCCGCCGGTGATGTAGAGCCGGTTGTTGCAGGGCGCGATACCGCAGCTGGCCCGCTCGTGGCTGAGCTGGGTCACCAGGCACCAGCTGTCTTCCAGCGGGCTGTAGGCGTACAGCGCTCTCATGGCCCCACCTGAGGAGAGGGAGGAAACACGGTGGGCATCGCTCCATTTTTCTGGTTTCTTCCCTCTTAACCACTAAAATTCAACTTCTGATTAGGCCAAGTCTACCCTCTTGCCAAGAGAAACAGTCGATTGATGGCTCTCCTGAAAGCCAGAGTGGGTCCTAGGGGCAGTGAGTTGCCAGCGCTGGAGACACCGCGACACACCGTTTACGTGCTGCAGCCAGGCGCTCATCAGGTTCTAAGCCATTCAGACCAATAAGAAGCCATTACTCACCAACGACATAGATGCGGTCCCGGAAACTCACTGCATTGATGCATTTAGCCTCCACGGGCATGGCCGCCTTCAAACTCCACTTGTTGGTGGAAGGGTCATAACACTGAGTCTTGTCTGTGGCCAGTTTCCCATTGGGCCCTCCCCCGATCACATACAGCTTCTTCTTATGGCTGGTGGCTGCAAAGGAACTGACATGGACAAGGAGGGGTGCGGCCTGTAGAGGCACAGGGCACAAGAAGAAGCTGTCAGTCATGCTGCCCAGATTGCTGCAGTAGCTCCCAGGATACAGGACAGAGCTCCGGGACACAGAACTGGGCATCTTTTGCCTATAGTCACAAGGCCCATGGGCTTGACTCCTCTTAAGACACAGCAAGAATGAAAGCATGCATTTCCCACCCTCCCTCCAGGCTCCACGCAAGCTAGAGCAAGCTGTGTGTTGGGATGTGCCAGCCTCTCCCGGAATCCAGCTCTCAGGCAAGAATAAGTTTATACAGATGAAGTCAGCCAGTGTGGGAGGAAAATGATGTTTTATACATGCATATTCATATTCATTCATGTGCTCATCCACTCGAAAAATATTTATGGAATGCCTACTATGTACCAGCATTGATTTTCCTTGGTGCTTATATCTAGGAAGAAAAGCTGAAACGGTGGCCACAGGTAAGCAGACTCTTCCATTATGGGGCAGCATTGAGGATTTTGAGATTAAGTCAGACGTGTGCTTCTATCCTGTGAACCCCAGGACAGTAAAGGAGACTTCCAAGAGCCTCTTGCCCATTTATTTACAGGATCCTTTTAGATCGTGGAGCAGCTCTGTGATAGGGCTTGTTTTGAGAAGATCCTGGGCATGTCCCCCATACATGTTAAGGGCTCTCAATATAGCACTTTTCAGGCTGACAGTCTTGGCTAGATGTGGTGACCTGGCTACCTTTGCTTGTGCCTACAATGACTGTGTTGTACATTCCATTAAGCTGGAACATGCTTGGACATCTGATCTGATAAGGAGAAAGAAAATTTGAAACTGGGAATAACCTGGAAATGAGATGAGGTGGCTTTTCTTTTCCTGGGTCTGATATATACCTGAGGTTGCATTACTAAAGTCTGACATGCAGGCCTGTAAGTGGCTCATCATCCATGGGAAAATAAAGAAGGGATGATTTCTAACATGACCAAATCACTCTGGGTTCATAAACGGTGTAGTAAAGTGATCCGCATGTGTCCAGTGTGGAGAAGAATAGGAGAGAAGGCATCTGAGGAGACAAGACTCTACACCAAGACATGCAGACCAAGAGATCTCCCATCTAAGGACAGGGTGAGCCTCTGTGCACATCTGGGGTTCTGTCCAAATTAGGACAGGTGCCCACACAGACCTTCACCACTTGGAAGGACATTGTTTCTGTGACTTGATCAGCAATACTGAAGCAATAGCTCCTAGGAGGAGGGAAGCTCAGAGCCACCAAAACTGTTCTCCTTGGAAGTAAAGTGATCAGAAAGCTGACCACCACGGCAGGCACGTTCCAAAGCTTTTTAAAAAAGCACTGAAGTAATAATACAGGCAGTTACTGGTAGAAATCGTGTCCTATACCTCTGACCAGCAGTTGTGAAAGGGGTCGTAGGTCTCCACATTGTTGATTCTCTGTAAGCCGTCAAAGCCTCCGATCACATAGACCTTGCCACCCAACACCACCATCTTATGCCTCCAGCGGCCTATGTTTAAATACTCAATCTGAATCCACTTGTTGATCGAAGAATTATATTTCCAAACATCATGCTGTGTTTCTTTGCCACCTGCAAGAGATACAAAGCATTTAAGAAACCATCAGATGTGTCAGAAATACAGCTTCTCCCATAATATCCCACATGTCCAAAAGTGCCAGGTCCCCAGGCCAGCCCTACCCTGAGGGGAGATACAAGAAACCCAGCAGGTGTGTGATGTCTGGCAGGGGAGATGAGGCAAATGCAGGGGAACAGGGAGAGACAGAATGGATGATGTGCCACACTGTGTCATGTCCACCTCAGTGCTGCGAGAGTTCAGAGAAGAGGTGGCTAAGTGAGCAGTGCCCTGAGAAGGCTTCAGGGGGCAGGACCCAAGCCAGCCTGGGTGGGTAGGGACCAGAGGGAGCCTGGACTCAGTGTTTGCCCTCACAGGGAGCAGGAAGCAAGGCTGGGCGGGGACAGTGGGGTTTGTGCAGAAGGCAAATTACATGGCAGCTTAAATTCTATGTTTACTTTTTATTTAAACCAAAAAGCAAAGATACAGACCTGGAAAAATCACTAAGAAATCCTACAACATTCTCCTGGTTTGTCGCTCTGATCTGTTTAAAACAATCAGTGGGATTTATCCTATTTCTAAATAATTTTTGTTATAAAAGTATGAGATGCTCACAATAGATCATTTGAGAGTGATCTGGTAAACATTTTCTTGAAGGCAACTCTCTTAAAAAACAGAAAATACAAAATTCAGCAGCTGGGGAAAGAGACAAAGACAAAGGAGAACTGACTTTTTGGGTGATTTTAATCAAATATTTAACAGCTTTGTGTTTCCATTTTCCCATCAGCATAGACTACCACCAACTACTTAAAGCAAAGATTTACTTTTCAGACTTACATGTGTGCAATAGTGGAGAAATGAACATTACTGACCACATTCTGTGTCAGGGGTGTTTCTCTAGCATGGAACCCAGAAGTGGGTTTACTAAGTCAAAGCCATGTGCACCCTGAATTTTTATAGGTGCAGCCAAGGCATCCTCCGCAGCTGTGGTGGTTGACTTTTCCTCATACCCACTTTTTGTTGGTGGTGGTGGTTTTGTTTTCTTTCTTTTATTTATTTATTTTTTTGAAGTCTGACGGAAAAAAACTATGTCAGTTTGGTTTTCGCTTACTATGAGGGAAGCTGAGCTTCCTCTTCCTTGAATCTTTTGTTCATATAGTTTGGCTATTTTCCTTTGGGTGGGGTACCTTTCAGAGGTCTCCATTTATTCAAAACATTGATCCCATTTAGGTAGCATCAAAAAGTATAAAATAAATGTAAATTTTCAAAGAAATGTATGCAACCTTTATTAAAACCTATGATTTTATTTTAGGACAAAAAAAAAAAACCCTGAGAAAGCATATTGTGTGCATAAATCAGAAGACACCTTATTGTGAAGATGTCAACCCTCCCTAGGTTAATCTATATACTCAGTGCCTTCAAGACTTTTGAGGGGAACTTGATGAGATAATTCTAAATTTCACTGGGAAGAGTAAGTTTGGAAAAATTTCTAAGAAACTTTTGAAAAAGAAAAGGGAAGAAGGAGGCTTTCCTTATCAAATATTAAAATATACTATAAAGCTATCCTAATACAAACAGTGCAGTACTAGACAAACTGATCAGTTAAAAACAAGAGCACAGAAACGGACTAAAATATATACAGATCATTAAATAAATGTTATTAGAACAATTGGTTATTCATTTGGATAAAGATTAAGTTAGATACTTATTTTACATTACATTTAAAATAAAATTCAAATGTTACTGCTACAGAAGTAACTGGAAAATGTATAGGATATTATGTTAATGACCTTGGGGTTAGGAGGGGTTTTCTAAGCATGACATGAATGTAGAATTGTATAGGACAGAAAACAAGTATATAAAGGTAAAAAACAACCACAGTCTAGGAGAAAATATTTGCAACACAAATAGCAAAGGATATATAAGAAGAGTTCCAAAAAATTAGTAAGAACAAGACAAAAACTGATAGGAAGTGTCAAAGAGTATGAACAGATAATTTTTAAAAATAAATACAATTATCTGGTAAATATATATTTACCATTCTAGTCTATTAAAAATTTAAATGACTAATAATAAAAATCGTTAGCAAGGATATAGAAAATGAGCACTGTCATTCATCACTGATTGAACTGTAAATTGGTACAACTTTTCTGTAGGAAAATTTCACAATATATACAAAATTCTTAATTCACATATGACCACTTCCAGGAAACTTTCCAAGTAGCAGCACAAGTATGAAAAAATATGTGTCTAAGAATGCCTACTGCAATATTTTTTAAGGAGACCAAAAAAAGAAAGCTAAAAAAATTATGGTTTATCCATTTGGTAGACTGCCATATAGCTGGTAAAAAGAATAACAGTAGTGATAATACTGGCCAACATAATTAAGCTCCCACCATGTGCTTTGCATGTAATAACTATATCACTTGATATGTATATCCATTAAACCAACATGTCATCATGTCCAGATGATATTGTTAATTGAAGTACAAGTTTCTGTTGATTTAGCCGTGTATAACAAGCATGCTTTCAGGTATTGCTTGTATCATTAAAAAGTGAACAACAAATTTATGACAAAAGAATAACATGTGGGCTGGGCACAGTGGCTCGCACCTGTAATCCCAGCCCTCTGGGAGGCTGAGGTGGGCGGATCACCTGAGATCAGGAGTTCAAGACTAGCCTGGCCAACATGGTGAAACCCTGTCTCTACTTAAAATACAAAAAAAAAATTGGGCCGGGCGTGGTGGCTCACGCCTGTAATCCCAGCACTTTGGGAGACCGAAGCGGGCGGATCACTTGAGGTCAGGAGTTTGAGACCAGCCTGTCAATATGGTGAGCCCCCCACCTACCAAAAATACAAAAATTAACCAGGCATGGTGGTGGGCACCTGTAATCCCAGCACTTTGGGAGGCCAAAGCAGGCGGATAACCTGAGGTCAGGAGTTTGAGACCAGCCTGGCCAACATGGTGAAACCCCCTCTCTACCAAAAATACAAAAATTGGCCAGGCATGATGGCATGTGCCTGTAGTCCCAGCTACTCAGGAGGCTGAGGCAGGAGAATTGCTTGAACCTGGGAGGCAGAGGTTGCAGTGAGCCGAGATCTCGCCATTGTACTCCAGCCTGGACAACAGAGTGAGACTCCATCTCAAGAAAAAGAAAAAAAGAATAACACGTGTAGTATATGTGACAAAGACTGACTATGATGACCACACCTGTTGATCCCTCCTGGGCACACAGCTAAACTACATTTCCCAGGTCCCTGCACCCAGAGGGGGTGAGGGGAGGGTAAGGGAGGTCATGTGGCTAGTTTTTGCCAATGGAATGTGAGCAAAATTGATGGCACTTCCAGGCTGAGGCTTTTATGAGCAGGTGTGACTTCTCAACTCCCTTAGCTTTTTTCTTGTCCCTAAATCAAGGCCATGTGTAGGAAGAGGCAGTGTCAGAAGATGGCAGGCCCCTAGGCCCCTGAGTGCCTGAGTGGAGCAGACTGTCCTGCCCCGACCCCTGCATACTATTGTGTTAATTCACTGAGACTTAGGATTTGTAACAGCAGCTAAAATTATTTACCCTGAGCAAATAGAAAACAATTTTTGTAAAAAATGAAAACCCATAGAATTGTGATGGCACAGAGAAACTGCCCTATTTTACTTTACGTGCTCAGTATTGTTTGGATCTTCTACAACAATTAAGGCCGGGCGCAGTGGCTCACGCTTGTAATCCCAGCACTTTGGGAGGCTGAGGCGGGTGGATCACAAGGTCAGGAGTTCAAGACCAGCCTGACCAACACTGTGAAACCCCATCTGCACTAAAAATACAAAAATTAGCCGGATGTGGTGCCACGTGCCTGTAATCCCAGCTACCTGGGAGGCTGAGGCAGGAGAATCATTTGAACCCAGGAGGCAGAGATTGCAGTGAGCCGAGATCACGCCACTGCACTCCAGCCTGGGCAACAGAGCTAGACTCTGTCTCAAAAAAATAAAAAATAAAATAAAATAAACGTCTACAAGATTAAAAGAAAGCTAGAACCTAATCAATGGTATAAATGCATCCAAAGAATGACCTGCCCTTGATTTTGGAGGAAACACGCTCTGGGGTCCAGCTTTCCCCACAAGTTCAGATTCAAGAAAAGCCTCTAAGAAAGGGGAAGGGAAGCTTGTCTCCTTCCTTAGGGTCCCAGGGAGAGCCAGGTGGCTTTTGATGTGATGGGGAAGAGTGTGGGCGTTAGGCTTAGAACTTGGGTTGAAGTCCTGCCTGACACCTACCAGTGTGCGACCTTAGGTATGTCTGAGTATCTCTCTGAGCCTCTGTTTTCTCCTACCTTAAAAACACCTACCTTGCAGAGTTGATGTGAGAGGCAAGCAATTAAATGTTATTAAAGTATAAATGTATCTCCCACTCAGTAAAGATGGTTGAGACTGCGTCATTCAATAAATATTTACTGAACATTTACCCCGAGGTCAGGCACAGTGCTAGGTACAGGGGCTATAGTGTTGCCCCTCATGGAACTCCAGGTCTAATGGGAAAGGCAGACACAAAGTAACGATCAATACTGAAGCAAACACTTTCGTAATGAAAAAGTATTGGGCCCTACTGAACTATACCCAAGTACAACCTAATAGACATGGGAGGGGAAGGGCAGACGTGTTTACTCATTACTGAATTCCCACTGCGTAGCTCAGGGGCCTATGCCTATAGCAGACACTGAATAAACCCTTACCACTTTCCCTCTTCTTTTTCTGGGAAGGACTAGACTTGTCTGCCTCCTCCCCAGGTTTTCTATTAATAGTACAACGCTGGCCGGACGAGGTGGCTCACGCCTGTAATCCCAGCACTTTGGGAGGCCGAAGCTGGTGCATCACCTATGGTCAGGAGTTCAAGACCAGCCTGGCCAACATGGTGAAACCCCGTCTCTACTAAAAGTACAAAAATTAGCTGGGCATGGTGGCAGGCACCTGATTGTAATCCCAGCTACTCGGGAGGGTGAGGCAGGAGGGTCACTTGAACTCGGGAGGCGGAGGTTGCAGCTAGCCAAGATTGCGCCACTGCACTCCAGCCTGAGCAACAGAGCGAGACGCTGTCTCAAAAAAAAAAGAAAAGAAAAGAAAAGAAAAAAATAGTACAATGTTGCTCAGTTTTTTGTTTATTAAGTAGCAATGTACTCTCCAAGATAAGACCACCTGAGCTCCTGGGTCCATATCCTGTCTCAGTCAGAGCCGGATCATTGCCAATTCACAGTAATTCTTCTAGGATGGTTGCCTGGCTGCCACTCAGGAATATATGTAGTGCTACTGGAGCTTGCTTTGCCTTTACATGACTCCTGCTTACCTGAGATGTAGACCTCATTTTTCAATGTCACGCATGCAAACTCCACCCACTTCTTATTCTCACTCTCCAGCTCATGCTCTGTTAGCGGGAGCTTGGCCACCTCCAGGCGGCTGCGCCTCAGGGGGTCCAGGCAGGTCACCTCTGCCACAAACCGTTCATCCTTCGTGCAGCCGCCAATGATCATGAACACCTCAGACTGGAACTCATGCATCCTGGGCTTGGTGCGTTCCGAAATGATCTGGAAATCGATGGGGGTACATGAAGGCAGGGACAACACAAAGTTTCAGAGCTCGGGCTATGGAGCCATTAGGAGTCGGGTCCAATTCCCATATCTGCCACGGTATGACCATGTGACTTCACCTCCCTGAGCCTCAGTTTCATCATCTGTATAATCGGGATAGCAGAGGTAACTACCTCATAGGTGTGTTGTGAGGGTTAAATGGGATAATGTACACAGTGTGCTTCGCCCAGGACCTGGTGCATAACAGGTACTCAATACATGTTGCCTGTTTTTGCTGCTGTTTTAAGAGGTGAGGGTCTATTTACTATCAGATGCACTTCCTGCCTTTCCTCTCCTGCCTGCTCTGAAACCTTAAATCCTGGAATTTTATTTGGCGCTACTTTCCATTCCCCCTTGGCTTTAATTTCTTGATGATACCTCAGACTTTGCTCACCATCAGCCTTCTGGAAGAGACATCCTGGACAGTGACAACGTAAGAGCATTCAGAGACTTAGGAAACAAGAACTAGAAGGAATCAGGGTGTGGCCAGGGAGGGAGGAAGGCTGGTTCCAACATACAGCATATGACCTTTCAGAGCTTTGAACAAGTGAAGAAATCCATACTATGGGTATTTGAACCCTGCTGAAAGAGCAGAGGTTCAGAAGTCAAATGTACCAGCGTTCTATCACCTATGGCCATGTGACCTTGGAGAAGTAACACGATCTCTGTAAACTGCTTGTAATCATTGCTGTGCTATCAGATGACTGTGAGCATTCATAAGGTATGAGGTAGAGGCGTGAGCAGAGCACCTGGCACACACTCGCCCCTCAACAGCTAATTATGCCTGTAGGAGCAGTGGTAGATGCCATGTTGATACTGCTATAAAAGGAAGAGCTGCCCTTCCCTGGTTCCATTGATCCCCTGGGCTCCATGATGAAGGTTCCATAGGTGTGCTGACACAAGGCGGAGAGGCAGCAACCGTTTCCCAGATGGCCAAAGTCGCCAATTTTCCCGCAAAATTAGACTGATCTAACACAGACTACAGAACTTCGATTCTGCCCATAGGTGGTAACAAATAGGTTACAGTAGCAAAGACTGAGCCCTCAGATAGTGAATCCAACCAAGAGCCACAAATAGTCAGACCAGCCAACTCCCAGCCTCTACTTTTCCATAACAGTCTTTGTTTGTTCGGTTGGTTTTCTGTGCCTAGGAGCCTGGTACAGTGAGTTCCGCATCCTCCGTTCTTGAGGCTGGACCACGGCCGTAAAGTTTGTGGCAGGGCTGTTCCTTACAGGTCAGCAGAGTGGGGATGGGTGTGGCTGGACAAAGCCTAGGCAATGGGCTGGCCCTGACGGTATGGACAGCAGAACAGTGCCGGGATAAGGGTGAAGGGGTGGGCCAGGGAACCTGGAGGCACCATGAGAGCACCAAGCTGGCAGGACAGGATCTGGGCAATGGCACCAAAGACAAACTTTGCTGCTCTGCAACTTTCTCTTCAGGTGTCAGCCCTGGTTCCTGTCCCTAAACCACCTTCCCCACAGCTGAGGCACAGCCACCAGCACTAATCTATGTGGTCCTCTTTCGGAGGGGATCTAGGTGTTTCAGGGCAATGCTTAGAAAAAAGCACCGGCCTCCCTGAATTCATTCCCTTATGACCCTTTCTTCACTTCCGGGAACCAGGCCTCAGCCTCCACTCCGAAGCTCCCCTCGTCTTATCTGCAATGCTTGCTCTCCTGACCCAGTAACCTGTTGGGTGATTGAGAGGCTGCTAGGAGGACTGGACTAGCCGTGATCTTACCTCCTGACCCCCAGGGCTGGCACCTCGTTCCTTGGTCCTGACCTACGAAAGGCTCTCCTCCTGCTGGCTAAATTTCCTGGGTCCCTGCCTGCTGCCTGGATCTCCCCATAATATTCTATTCTCAATTTCCCATGCTACCACCCCAATCCACTTACCCTTTAAGGCACTGTGAGTAATTTACCATGTCACTTTGCCCTTTTCTCCAGGAAGCCATTCCTAACTTTGCACACATTCTCATAACCCTGAATTTCCCCCACAACGGCCCTTTTCATGCTTCATTGTAATTTACCGTAAGGCCCCTGATGGCAGGAACAGCCCTTTTTCTCCAGTGGATCCTCAGCACCAAGAATAGTACCTGGAGCTTGTGGGCATCTATAAACATTGATTAAATGAGCGAGTGAGCTGGGTGCAGTGGCTCACGCCTGCAATCCCAGCACTTTGGGAGGTCGAGGCAGGTGGATCACCTGAGGTCAGGAGTTCGAGATCAGCCTGGCCAACAAGGTGAAACCCAGTCTCTACTAAAAATAAAAAAGAAAATAAAAAAATTAGCAAGGTGTGGTGGCAGGCACCTGTAATCCTAGCTACTCGGGAGGCTGAGGCAGGAGAATCACTTGAATCTAAGAGGCAGAGGGTGCAGTGAGCCAACGTCGCAGCATTGCACTCCAGCCTGGGCAACAAGAGCGAAACTCCATCTCAAAAAAAAAAAAAATGAGTGAATGGATGAGTGAATGAATGGGCAAGCTAGGTAACTCAGTCTAAATCATTGTGGTAGTGAGCATCCACGATGGCCCCAGTGATCCCTGCTTCCTGGTATTCACATCTGTGTAGTTCCCTCCATGCTGTTCTAGAATTGGTCTCTATGACCAACAGATTACAGCAGAAGTGATGATACATCACTTCTGAAATTAGGCTATAAAAGGCACTACCAGCTTGCATCCTGATTGCTCTCTCAGTCTTTCTTAGGTCATTTGCTCTGGGGGAGGTCAGCTGATATAGAGATGCCCATATGGCAAGAAACTGAGGCTCCCAACCAGCAGCCAGCAAGGATCTGATGCCTGCCAACAGTACAGTAAGTGTGAGCTTGAATCTCATAATGAACTTTGAGATTACTGCAGCCCCAGCCAAGAGCTTTACTGCAACTTCATAAGAGACCCTGAGCCAGAAGCACCCAGCTAAACCACTCCTACATTCTGACACTCAGAGCCTGTTAGATAGTAAGTGTTTGTTATTTTAAAGTTTTCAGTTTGGGGGTAATTTGTTATGCAGCAATTGAGAACTAACACAATCATCTAGCTGATGGGCTTGGCTAGGGTAATGAGACCTGTCTTATAATTCAGCACCACGGAGCTGCCGAGTGGTGGCATCATTACCACATTGTAAGTTCAGCTACATTTGGCAAAATACTAACCCCAAAGCCATGACAAATGTCAATCTGAAGTCTGAGACGTGCCACTTTGTTGCAGACATATGGAAGTGTTTGCCAATGAATTGCATGCAACAATCAGGCATAACCAGTTTATTTTCAGATTGTTAAAAACAGAGCAGATAATTGCACCTTAATGACTGCTCACTGTCCACAGATCTTATACTAGGGGACAGAGTGAGCATATTGTTTCAGCAAAGCTGTCCTTGGGCTGGAGCCTCTGCTCCCCTTTCCCCACATCACACATGTCAGAGTAATGTTTGGTATAGATCAGGTTCATGTCTGAAAACTTAAGAGGCAGTTAAATGAAGAGGCAAATTTCCTCTGTCCCCAAAGTTCTCTTTCAATGAAGGTTCCAGCTACCATTCCCAAATCAAATGGAGACTGACATTTGCTTTTGGTGTGTTCTAAAATTTCCTGTTGTTAACACCAGTTTAGAGGATGGGCAAGGTTAGAAGAGAAAGATGGGCTGGGCACGGTGGCTCACACCTGTAATCCCAGCACTTTGGGAGGTCGAGGCAGGCAGATCACCTGAGGTTGGGAGTTTGAGACCAGCCTGACCAACATGGAGGAACCCCGTCTCTATTAAAAATACAAACTTAGCCAGGGGTGGTGGCACATGCCTGTAATCCCATCTACTCAGGAGGCTGAGGCAGGAGAATCTCTTGAACCTGGGAGGCAGAGGTTGCAGTGAGCCGAGATCGCACCATTGCACTCCAGCCTGGGCAACAAGAACAAAAGTCTGTCTGAAGAAAAAACAAAACAAAATAAAACAAAAATGGGAAAGATGATGATAGGACAAGAGGGTTAAAGTTTGGTAAATGAAGGGTACGGGGAGAAATGTGTTCACAGAGTAGCCTCCAGGCTCACACTACTGTCATCAGGAGTCAACCCAAGACCATTCCAGCAGGGAGCAGACTGACTCAGGGAATCAACTGGCAATGAGACCCCAATTAGGAGGTCATGGTGGCTGGTTGGTTGGTTCAGTTGTCCAAACTATAAAATGAAGATGAGAAAGTGCCTTGAGAAGGATTTGGGAAAATAAGGCCACAAAAACCTGAGACACAGTGAAAAGACTGGTTTTAACCCCAGAGAAGGAAAATGATTGATTGTGAGAGATGGAGCAACAATAAACGAACCAAGTGGCAATGGCAACAGCTTCCATTTGTGGGGCACTTAGCTTGTACCAGACACTGTGCTAAGCGTTCCATTCATTACTTAACTCTCAAGACAGTTCTATCAGTTGGTAGGTATTATTACCCCCATGTTACAGATCAGAACTGAGCCTTAGCATAGCTAAGTAACTGCCTGAGATTACACTGTAAATAAATTGTGGAGTCAAGATTAACACCCAGATCTCTGCCTGACTCCAAGCCCAGGTTCTCACCACTGAAGAATTTTCCAGATGTCAGAATTCTCTCTCCTCCTAAATCTAAAGCTTATAATGTCTGACTCTGCCCCCAGCACCTCGGAAATACAAAAGGCAATAAAAATATTTCATTGCAGCAATTTTGCAGAAGACAGGGTAGGGACCTTTTATATCAGAGAAAATCTTTATCATCTGCATTTCAAGGACTTAGAAAATAGGAAGCAGAAACAAAAATAGCAAAAATATTGGAAGTATAGTTGATCAAGGCACAGTATATGTTTAAATTGTTTTAAAGTGCTATTTATTTTAACTTTTAGGTTCAGCATGTGCAGATTTGTTATATAGGTAAATTGTGTGTTGTGGGGGTTTGGTGTACAGATTATTTCATCATCCGTATGATGAAATCATACATAAGCATAGTACCTGATAGGTAGTTTTTCAGTCCTCACCTTCTTCTCATCCTCTACCCTCAAGTAGGCCCTGGTATCTTTTGTTCCCTTCTTTGTGTTCATGTGTACTCAATGTTTAGCTCTCACTTATAAGTGAAAACATGCATTATTTGGTTTTCTGTTCCTGTGTCAGTTCACTTAGGATAATGGCCTCCAGCTCCATCCATGTTGCTGCAAAAAACATGATTGCATTCTTTTCTATGGCTGTGTAGTATTCCATGGGAGACACTGAATAAATGCTGAACTGAGGGCAGTTACGGAGACTGAAACCTGTCTGCAATTATATGCAGGCTGTCTGCTAGACATCCAGCATAGAATAGGACCTATGTGGTTTCCTAGGCTCCCCCCATCAATCCACTCATCACCCTTCATTTGTTAAATGTCCCATCTTCTCTGACACACAGACTGTTTAGCAGTACCTGGGTAAGACACAGACTGTTTTTGCAGTACCTGGTGCCATATCTGGCAAGGAATTGGTGTTCAGGATTTATTTGCAAAAAATGAAGGCATAGCGTGCTTAAATACATGGGATGCTGTTTAAGTAGTTTTTAGGGGGAAATTTATAGCATGAAAGCCAATATTAGAAAGAAAGTCTCAAATCAGTGGCCTCCACTTCCACCTTAAGAAACTACAGAAATAAGTGCAAATTAAACCCAAACTAAGCAGAAAGAAAGAAAATAATGATCAGAGTGGAAATAGGTGAAATAGAAAACAGAAAAACAATAGAGAAAATCAAATGAAACTAGACATTAGTTATTTGAGAAAAATCAATAAAATTGATAAGCCTCTAACCAGATTGATCAGGAAAAAAAAAAAGGGCAGACACAAATTACCAATATCTGGAATGAGAGATGTGACAACACTATAGATTCTGCAGGTATTAACAAGATAATAAAGGAATGCTGTGAACAACTTTATGCCAATAAATTCAGCAACTTATATTAAATGAAAAAATTCTTTGAGACACAAACTATCAAAATTCATTCTAGAAGAAACAGAGATCCTAAATAGTCCTATATCTATTAAAGAGATATACATTATAGTTTAAAAACTTTCCACAAAGAAAACACCAGGCTCTGGTAAATTCTACTAAACATTTAAGGGTATGTTTGCAGAGTGAATGAATGAACAGTGGATCTAAGGACAACAAAAAAACTAGAAAAGAACACACAGAAAAAGGGAGAAACTCTAAAAGAACCTCAGACAGACAATTCCTGGGCCACGTTTGGCTAAGGCTTCTACCAATGGCCTAATGAAGAAAGCCTGGTAGCTAATCCCAGAACCACTGCATAGTGAGATATATGTATGGGTGTTCATGTGTACAAACTGTTAACAAACTGTCCCTATATCATTACTTCCTCTCCACTAAATTTGTTCTTGTCTTTATAAAGTTCTGAAGAAAAATCTTCTTCAGGAATTGTTAAGGAGAACCAGGTAGATCCAAATGACATGTTTATTCACCGTTCGTAGTACCCATTTAATCATTCAACAAGCATTTACTAATTACTCATTCACTATATAGCAGTCTCAGGACTCTCTTCTAAGATCTAGAGATGTAAAGTGCAATAAGACATATTTCCTACTATAACAAGCTCCCAGTCTAGAGATATTTACATATAATAAATTCAAATCATTGCCATGCAGCAGTTGGTGCTGTGATGGAGCAATGCACCAAGTGCTATGAGAACACGGAGAGTGGCTGGGTGTGGTGGCTCACACCTGTAACCCTAGCACTTTGGGAGGCTGAGATGAGAAGATCACTTAAGCTCAGGAGTTCAAGACCAGCCTGGGCAACATAGTGAGACCTTGTCTCTACAAAATATTTAAAAATTAGCCGGGTGTGGTAGCACATGCCTGTACTCCCAGCTACTTGGATGGCTGAGGTGGGAGGATCACTTAAGCCTGGGAGGTCGAGGCTGCAGTGAGCTATGATTGCACCACTGTACTCCAGCCTGGGCAACAGAGCAAGACCTCCTCTCAAAAATAAATAAATAAATAAATAAATAAATAAATAAATAAATAAATAAAAGGAGAAGTCTCTGGAGAAAGTGATGCTTGGACTGAGTTTTGAAGTAGGAGTAGAAGTCAGCTAGATGAAGAAGAGAAAAGCATTTGAACAACATTCAGATTGACCTGGAGGCAGAAAAAGCACATCCACTTTGGGGAACCACAAGCTGTGCATTAGGACTAGAGCAGAAGTGGGAGGTTGGAGAGGACACTAGAGAAGCAGGCAGGAGATTAATGATGCAAGACCAGGCTCTGGGAACGTAGGCAGGAAGTATGGGCTTTATTCTGAAAGTGATGGGGAGCCAATGAAGAAGGCAAGCCCAGGAGCAAGATGATCAGACTTGAGTTTCAGATCTTTCAGCTGGTGAATAAATTGGAGGGAGGCCAGACTTGGGGGAGGAAGATGAGTTTTGAGAAATTTCCAGAAATTCAGATGGTGAGAGTCTAAATCAAAGTGATGTCAGAGTATATACAAGAGACACAAGATTTCACCAGAGTGGGCAAGGAAGAGCAGCACCCCCATGGAATAGTGACTAGACAGGGCACGTTCTTGTTTTTTTTGTTTTTTGTTTGTTTTGTTTTGCTTTGCTTTTTGAGACAGAGTCTCCCTCTGTTGCCCAGGCTGGAGTGCAGTGGCGTGATCTCGGCTCACTACAACCTCTGCCTCCCGGGTTCAAGTGATCTTCCTGCCTCAGCCTCCCGAGTAGCTGAGACTACAGGTGCATGCCACCATGCCCACCTAATTTTTTTGTATTTTTAAGTAGAGACAGGGTTTCACCATGTTGGCCAGGATGGTCTGGATCTCTTGACCTCGTGATCCACCCGCCCTGGGCCTCCCAAACTGCTGGGATTACAGGTGTGAGCCACCAGGCCCGGCCCAGGGCACATTCTTGTTTGTGCGTGCAGTGTGACCCCCAACCTCCCACCCTTCCACAACTGGGAAGAGGAAGCACGGGCCAGGCATGGTGCTGGGTGATTTCTACATCTCACCTAACGCGCTCAGTAACTGTCTGAACACGTGGGATCGGCCTCATAGATCAGGAATCAGGGCTTCTGGAACTGACCGACTCAGCAATGAACAGGGCAGTGTTTTCTCCTTAATGCCCTAAGGATTTTTGAATCCGCTTTGCTTGCATCTCTGTGAGCCCCTAGCTAACTCCTTACTTCGCTGGTTAAATATAGCACCTCTTATCTTCTACTCACCTCATTGCCAGAAAGGTGGTACATCCTGGCTTCCTGGAGCAGCGGGAAGACCTCTGGGCACTGCCTGATGAGAGGATCTGCTTCCACCGTCTCCACAAAGTACCACGGGTCCAGAAGCGGTAAGCGCACGTTCTCGAGGACATAGGGGAGTAAGCAGAGTCGTTCTGATGGCTTGTGCCGGACCCAGCTCATCACGGTCTCAAACACCTGAGCCTCCTCGGTCACGTAAAGGTCATCACTCTTCAAGATGTGGTGCAGAGTGTCCACGGGCAGGTCAAGAAACTCCTCAGAGTTCAGAATCTGCACAAAGTTTTGAATGATGTAACTCTGAACCTGCTTCTTTAGACTGTCCAGCGAGTGTGTGTCAGCCAGCCTCAGTATTCCAACGCAGTTTTCTGGGTTCAAGGCTTCAGTGAGGAAGCTGGCACAGGCATCCACCATCCGCAGGAACTGATGAAATAGAAAGGGTGGAAAGGAGGCCAGAAAATGGTGAGTCCACAAGGAGGTTTATCAGTGAGTTATGTGTATTAGCCAAAAATTGGAAACAACCTAAATGTCCAACAGTACAGGATGAGCTAAATACATATAATTCATTCATACAGTAGACTTAAAACAATGAGATACTTACTGGACGAGCTAAATACATATAATTCATTCATACAGTCGACAAAACAATGAGATACTTACGGGAGGAGCTAAATACATATAATTCATTCATACAGTCGACTTAAAACAATGAGACACTTACGGGACTAGCTAAATACATATAATTCATTCATACAGTCGATAGCTCTGTAGATACTTAAAACACATGTTGTAGAAAATATTAAATGAAATAGAAAATGTTCATAATGTATTGAGTTTTAAAATCTGTTCATTGGATCTGATTAAGCCTCTACATTTACTCAGCAATTTACAGGAAATACAGGGAAAGAGGAACCTGCTAAAGACGTCATGGGAACATGATCAGCAAAATCCAGATTGTGGAAAACTCTACTGAACAACTTGTTCAGTTTCTTCAACAAATACATTACAAGGGGATAAAAGAGAGAGAGAAGGAGAGGGAGAACCTAAAGATAAACAGAGATTTAAGACACATTGACCAATTGCAAAGTATGGATCTTATTTGGATTCCTGATTTAAACAATATATATTTTTTAAAGTTGGAGAAATGTTTACAATGACTAATATTTGGTGCTAATGAAACAATTATGATTCATTTTAGGTGCCATAATGGTTTCATGTTTATGTTGAAGAAGAATCCTTATTTTTTAGAGCTATAAGTGAAATATTTGCAGATAAAATGAGAAAAGCACGTCACAAATCATATGTACATTGTGACCTTATTTTTATAAAGAAAACATACACAGAATAAAGTCATAGAAAGAAGATGAAAGGATGTAGGTCAAAATATTAATGGTTGTTATCTCTTTGGGTTATCAGGTATCTTAAGGCAAATTCTGCTGCAGCAGCAAACAACCCTCACGTCTCAGGGGCTTACAATAAATGTTCCTCTTACCCACTATGTGTTCTTCACGGGGCTCTTCATTCCAGGGGCCAGGAAGATGGAAAGCCCTTACCTGAGACATGCTGGTCCCATGACAGAAGGGGAAAAAGATGGCAGAACCACACAGAGGCTTTTAAAGCTTCTGCTCAGAGGGGGCGCATGCTATATCCATTTACACAAAACCGTCCAGAGTAAGTCACATGGCAAAATTTGTCATCAAGGGAACCATAGTTCTCCCACAGAAACAGGTCTCATGGGATGGACAGGGAATATACTATATAAATAATAGAAGGTATGACACTCTAAGAAGACTATGAGAATTTTTCTGTTTTTGTTTATTTATATGTTTTATTTATTTATATATCCTTTAAAATGAATACGTACCGCTTTTGTCATTAAAAAATCAATTTGTAAAATTATTGATTGGCTCTCAGGTCCCACTTTTAAGTTATCACCATCCTCATAAAAATTCAAGTCCCTTGTGCTTGTAGGGCACTTTACAGATGACAAAGCACTGTTATATCCATTATATTTTGTAATATCCATTTTACAGATGACATGTCTCAAATGCATTGGTTCATTCTTATTTGTTGTTCTCTGGAGCTTAGCTTTGAACAATTTCAACCTCCTAGCTCCCTTCCCCGTCTACTGGACTCCTTATAGGGTCAAGTTCTTGGTGCCCATGGGTTGATCGATTAATGGGGGGAGAGGAAAGGGGAGGCTGAGGGGGCAAGACCTGGTGGGGGTGGGGGAGGCCTTCTGAAGGCAGGTCCTGGTGAGAGTAGGGACAGGACAGACCTGACTGGGGAGGGTTGGCAGGAGCTGTGGGGAGTGGGGCTATCGAGCCTGAAGGTTGATAGTGGGGCAGGACTGGTTCTAAGAGTGGACCAAGGTGACCTAGGCTCTGGACTTTACTCCAGAGCATTCCAGGGAACACATCCCTGACTTTTTGGATCAACCTCTATTGCAAAATATTATCTTTCTGTGTCAGATCACATAGGATTGTCAGTTTAAAAAGCATTTTTTAGGCCGGGCGCGGTGGCTCACGCCTGTAATCCCAGCACTTTGGGAGGCCGAGGCATGCAGATCACCTGAGATCAGGAGTTGGAGACCAGCCTGACCAACATGGAGATACCCCGTCTCTACTAAAAATACAAAATTAGTCAGGCGTGGTGGCACATGCCTGTAATCCCAGCTACTCAGGAGGCTGCAGCAGGAGAATGCTTGAACCTGGGAGGCGGAGGTTGCGGTTAGCTGATATCGTGTCATTGCACTCTAGCCCGGGCAACAAGAGCAAAACTCCATCTCAAAATAAATAAATAAATAAATAAATAAAGCATTTCTCCGAGGGTCAATGCTGAAGGGGGCCAGCCCCTCTACACCTGTGGGTATTTCTCGTCAGGTGGGACGAGAGACTGAGAAAAGAAATAAGACACAGAGGCAAAGTACAGAGAAAGAACAGTGGGCCCAGGGGACCAGCGCTCAGCATACGGAGGACCCTCACCGGCACCAGTCTCTGAGTTCCCTCAGTATTTATTGATTACTATTTTCACTATCTCAATAAGAGGAATGCAGTAGGAGAGCAGGGTGATAGTGGGGAGAAGGTCAGCAAGAAAACATGTGAGCAAAGGAATCTGTGTCACAAATAAGTTCAAGGGGAGGTACTATGCCTGGACGTGCACGTAGGCCAGATTTTTGCTTCTCTCCACCCAAACATCTCAGTGGAATAAAGAATAATAAAGCAGCATTGCTGCCAACATGTCTCGCCTCCCGCCACAGGGCGGTTTTTCTCCTATCTCAGAACTGAACAAATGTACAATCGGGTTTTATACTGAGACATTCAGTTCCCAGGGGCAGGCAGGAGACAGTGGCCTTCCTCTATCTCAACTGCAAGGGACTTTCCTCTTTTACTAATCCTCCTCAGCACAGACCCTTCACGGGTGTCGGGCTGGGGGATGGTCAGGTCTTTCCCATCCCACGAGGCCATATTTCAGACTATCACATGGGGAAAGACCTTGGACAATACCCGGCTTTCCAGGGCAGAGGTCCCTGCGGCTTTCTGCAGTGCATTGTGCCCCTGGTTTATTGAGACTGGAGAATGGCAATGACTTTTACCGAGCATACTGCCTGTAAACATTTTGTTAACAAGGCACATCCTGCACAGCCCTAGATCCCTTAAACCTTGATTCCATACAACACATGTTTTTGTGAGCTTAAGGTTGGGGCAAAGAGGTTGGGGCAGTTACAGATTAACAGCATCTCAGGGCAGAGCAATTTTTCAGGGTACAGGTCAAAATGGAGTTTCTTATGTCTTCCCTTTCTACATAGACACAGTAACAGTCTGATCTCTCTTTTCCCTACACAATGCAAAGTTGCAGAAGGCCTGAATTCTGCCTCAGAACCCCATGTCTGCTGGTCTCAACTGCCGGCAGCTCTGCTCTTTGCATGAGCAACCGTGGAAACAGTTGTGAACAAGGCTGCTAACACCTGTTTAGTCGTTGGCAGATTTTCAGTTCAAAGACTAAAAATATGCAACAAAGACCAAGCCTCGTGAGCCCTCAGAACTGGACACCAGAACCCTATCTGGCCCTGTTCACAGAGACATCTATGAGAGCTGAAAGGAAACTCACTTAAATGGTAGCCCCCAGTGCAAAATACCACGATCACCATGCCAGCGTTTGCGTGAGGGGAAGAGGAGAGGAAAATTAAGTAGATATTTCTAGGAACTTAGACTACTCTGGGAGGCCACATAAGACCTGATAACAGTAGTTGTTTCTATTGGTGATAATGAAACAATTATTATTCATTTGAGGTGCAATAATAGTTTCATGTTTATGTTTAAGAAGAATCCTTATCTTTTAGACATAACTGAAATATTTGCAGATAAAATGAGAAAAGCACTTCACAAATCATATTATGTACATTATGATATTTTTTTTTTTTGAGACAGAGTTTTGCTTTTGTTGCCCAGGCTGGAGTGCAATGGCATGATCTTGGCTCACCACAGCCTCCGCCTCCCGGGTTCAAGAGGTTCTCCTGACTCAGCCTCCCAAGTAGCTGGGATTACAAACATGTGCCACCACACCCAGCTAATTTTGTATTTTTAATAGAGATGAGGTTTCTCTATGTTGATCAGGCTGGTCTCGAACTCCTGACCTCAGGTGATCCACCCACCTTGGCCTCCCAAAGTGTTGGCATTACAGGCATGAGCCACCAGGCCGGGACTATGATCCTATTTTTATAAATAAATAAATAAATATATATATAAAATAAAGTCATAGAGGCCAGGCACAGTGGCTCACACTGTAATTCCCATCCAATTTCAGGGAAGAAAGGGAGAATTACTTTACCCTCTTCACCACTTCCTATCCTCTCCAATTGTGTGTAAGAAATACCTACCTAAAATAGACCAACTTTCTCATTTATAGAGAAAATACTAGAAGGTAACATACAAAATGTTAGCAGTGGTTATAGATAAAGTTATTAATTTTTTTAGAGTTTGTTGTATGACAACTTTACTATACTGAGCATGAACATTATAAACTCAGGAAAAAATACGTAAAATAAACACATTATTGTGATTTTTAAAGGACGCAATGAGAAAATAAAAGGTAAACACTAAAAGAGCACTTACTATAGGCCAGACTCTACATACTAACTGTAAGAGTTACTCAATCCTCACCACAATGCCATGAAAAGGGTATCTATTATCATCCCTGAGGAAACCAGATTCAGAGAAGTAATTTCCTCAGAGACTTACAGTTAATAAAAGATAGAAGCAAAGTTTGGACCAGTCATCTCTGATTCCAAAAATGCATGTTTTTTATACTATTTCAAGCTGCTGCAGGTCACAAAATGTGTGTGGGGGACAAAGGCTTGGCAGATGCCAAACGTCATTTGCACACGTCACTGGGTAGCTCAGATGACCTGATCTGCCCTGACACAGGAAGGACTAGCCAACAAGATGCCGGTTCCTATTCCTGCTTGGTGGCTGTTGATGAGCAAAGAAGGAAACCACAGAGGAGAATCAAATCAAGTACTGAAGCTCACATTTGTTAGAAGAAGCATTGATCTTCACTCCACCTGGCAATTCATCCATCCAGCTACCTGTGTATGGACCGAATGTGAATTGAGCATGTATTTCTTTTTTTTTATTTTACTTTAAATTCTGGGACACTCGTGCAGAATGTGCAGGTTTGTTACATAGGTATACGTGTGCCATGGTTTGCTGCACCTATCAACCCGTCATCTAGGTTTTAAGCCCTGCATGCATTAGGTATTTGTCCTAATACTCTTTCTCCCCTTCCCCTCCACCACCCGACAGGCCCCAGTGTGTGATGTTCCCCTCCCCGTGTCCATGTGTTCTCATTGTTCAACTCCCACTTATGAGTGAGAACATGCGTTGTTTGGTTTTCTGTTCCTGTGTTAGTTTGCTGAGAATGATGGCTTCCAGCTTCATCCATGTCCCTGCAAAGGACATGAACTCATCCTTTTTTATGGCTGCGAGCATCTATTAATATTATGTAGGAGGCTCCCAACTAGTGCTGGGTGTACAGAGGTGAGCAGAGACAAAGCGCCTGCGCTCATTGAAGCCGACAGACCAGTGGAGGCAGCAGACGCTAACCAAATAATACAACACGGAGTGTGGAAGGACACTTGAGATAAATGCTATGGACCAGAGTCCAGGGACTCCATTGCCTGAAACCAAGGACAGTCCTACCCCCACCCCTTCAATCTTCCACAATCTGGCTGTCAGTCATCACCAGGAACCTCCCTTTCAGAACTCTAGCCACAATTGCACCCATCTCCTCACCTCCTCCAAGCAGTCCTGGAGCTGCCCTGTTGCAGTGCCTTTCCACGCTCCTGCCATCTCTCGGCCTGAGCTGCCTTTCCTCATCATCACCATCTGTTATGATCCTACGCGCCTCACCCAGACAAGCCCAACTCCAGAGCCCAACTTTTTAAGGAAAGACTCAGGATAGCTCACCCCATTTTCAACAGAGAAATCCCCCTGTAAGTTTACCTCAAGAAGAAGGAAGACATAAATATTATAGCCATGACTCTATCCACACAGGGCTGTTTTCTTTCTTTTTTTAAATTTAATTTAATTTTTTTTTTTTGAGATGGAGTCTCTCTCTTGTTGCCCAGGCTGGAGTACAGTGGCACGATCTCGGCTCATTGCATCTTCTGCCTCCCAGGTTCAAGTGATTCTCCTGCCTCAGCCTCCCAAGCAGCTGGGACTACAGGGGCACGCCACCACACCTGGCTAATTTTTTTGTATTTTAGTACAGATGGGGTTTCACCATGTTGGCCATTCTGGTCTCGAACTCCTAACCTCAAGTGATCTGCCCACCTCGGCCTCCCAAAGTGCTGGGATTACAGGCATGAGCCACCATGCCCGGCCAGGGCTATTTTCTTGATTCAGAGTTATTACATCTGGGATCAATGGATCGATCCAGAAAGTCTGTGAACCCCTACAATAGTATGTGAACATTTGCACATGTGGCATTTTTCTGGGAACTTAGTTGGCAGGGGACAGGTGAGTTACTCCCTGGTATCCTTCCACCTAAGTACAAAACCAACACAAGAGAGAGAGCTAAGTCAAAAGATCCAGAGAGGAAGAGAGCCAGAGTCTTGACTAGACGGTGCTTGGAACCCCACCTCTGGACATTTAAAATTCTGGGTCAATAATTGTTTAAGGGCTGGGCACAATGGCTTAAGCTTATAATCCCAGCACTTTGGGAGGCCAAGGTAGGAGAATCAATTGAGCCCAGGATTTCAAGACCAGCCTGAGCAACATAGTGAGACCTCGTCTTTACAAAAAATGTAAAAATTAGCCTGTTGTGGTGTTGCATGCCTATAGTCCCAGCTACTTGGGAAGCTGAGGAGGGAGGATTGCTTGAGCCTGGGAGTTCAAGTTTGCAGTGAGCCATGATCACACCACTGTACTCTAGCCTGGGTGACGGAGCAAGACTCTGTCTCTAAAAAACTAAAAATAAAAAGGAAAAGAAGAATTGTAGAGAAATCCTACCTATTCATGAAGTTCATTCTTAAAAGCTACTTCTTCCTTGACGGCTTCTCCTATTCCCCAACATGGAATCCCTCCCTCCTCTGTGCTCCACTGGGCACCTTGCTTTCCCCTTTTGTGGAGCACCCAGAGTACTAAGGTCAGTTGAGACAAGCATCTCAAAGCAGCTTCTAGGTCATACTTGGGTATTTATTTCTAGCAGCATCTAGCAGAAAGTCTGGAAAAAGAAGAGAAAGAGGGACAGAGGAAGGACATATTTATCACTTAGTATGCACCAAGATCTGTGCTAGACACATTCCCAGTCATTATTTCACTTAACAAATAAATTTTATTTTTTAACAAGTGTATTTTATTTAACAGGTAAAAAAGGGAAGGTGTTAGAATTAGCATTTGTATAAAGGAGCAAATAGAGAATTCAAAG
This sequence comes from Homo sapiens, assembly GCF_000001405.40. Classification (NCBI taxonomy): domain Eukaryota; kingdom Metazoa; phylum Chordata; class Mammalia; order Primates; family Hominidae; genus Homo; species Homo sapiens. The sequence goes on from NC_000003.12 coordinate 183,516,015, forward strand.
AGCGATGCAAGTTCACACTGCTAGGAGGCAGTACAGTTGATGCTCCAGTCAGCATCGTGGTGCCTTTGTAACTTGTTGCATTGTTGAGCTAACAAAATGCCAGGAGAGTCTGAAGAGGCTTTATGAGGACAGAGGCAGGTGGGGGATCTCCAAGTTGCCTAAGTTCCTCCAAAATATACTTCAATAAACACTTTTAGTGTGAGGGGTGTAGGGCAACATCACATGATCCCAACCAATGGCTGGGAAACTGATGATGCGCAGGGCAATCATGGGAACCAGAAATGGGTTTCTTTTAAATATGCTTTTGCTTCTTCACATTCAAGATTATTCAAGACTTCAAGGTAAATTTTCTGTCTCGGCCTGTCCCGATGACACATGAACTTGTTTGTCAGAGCTGAGAGATGACAGATAATGGCAAAAGACAGCCAGCTTCCTGTTTGGGGGGACATGTGAGCAAAAGGTTGCAGCCAGCCACCTGACTCTCAAATGAGGAGACTAAAAATACAATCAAAGAAACCACTTGAGACGTGGCTGCAGTTCCCACAAGAAGTGTCTGCCTCCAAGAGAAAGCACTGCCTGTTCCTCATCTCCACTGCCCCTCCTCTGCTTCCCCATGACGTTCTCCAAAATCTGAGGTCCTAGGGGACTTCACCCATGTGACTCCATGTCTCCCTCAAGGTGCCTTCAAATCCACTTCAGAATCACTGAAGTCCTATTTTAGTCCACATCAGCAATTCTGTTGATCATGGTGTCCAAGTGGCTTTGGCGTTATTGCAAAGGGTCTATAAAGACATTGATATTCTTACCTTCAGCTCCGACAAATCAGCATGTGTGAAGGTGTGATGAGATTAATAACATTTAAATTTATTTCAAAGTATTTCTGAATTCATTGTAATTTTTGTTGTTGTTTTTTGAGACAGAGTCTCATGCTGTCACCCAGGCTGGAGTGCATGGTGTGATCTCAACTCAATGCAACCTTCACCTCCCGGGTTCAAGTGATTCTTGTGCCTCAGCCTCCCGAGTAGCTGGGATTACAGGCTCGCACCACCACACCCAGCTAATTTTTATATAATATTTTTAGTAGACACAGGGTTTTGCCATGTTGGCCAGGCTGGTCTCGAACTCCTGGCTTCAAGTGATCTGCCTGCCTTGGCTTCCCAAAGTGCTGGGATTATAGGTGTGAGCCACTGTGCCCAGACAATTGTAAATTTTTTGTCAAAACTTTTCTTCTCCAGCAATAGACACTAAAAGTAAAGTTCCTCTCCTGTGAGGTCTGTGTTGGTGTTTAAAAGGGGTCTTCATGCTAAAAATTTGTGAATTACCATTGATTCTAATCTTCCATCCTCACCTCTCTTCCCCTCTCCCGGGCGATGCTCCAGCTCCGTTCCCGTGGCAGTATGTCTCACAGTCCCCCAGGAGGGGCATTCTCTGCTCCCTCTAGCCACTCCTTTCAGTCCTTGCTCTAGACTTGGCTGAGAAACCTGCTGGTTCCTGGAAGCCTCATGGAGTGGGCAGAAAAGGAAGGAACTAAGACCTGCAAAAGACCTGCTCACTAAGGCAGGGCAGGTGTTGAGGGACTGAGGCAACTGTGGAAGTGGACTGGGGAAAAGACCAGCAGTGTGGCAAGCTTACAATTGTGTTCAATCAGCAAACAGCCCCTGAGTTTCCAGAGAAGACGGTGGTGGCCCCAGCAGGCTAGCAGGGCACAACAGGCAATACATGTGACCCACATATTCAAGGGGCAAGTGGCATGGCTGGGGCTCAGTGATTCAGCCCAGCAATGAGGTAAGGACCAGGGAGAAACACTGTTGTAAAGATTAAGTAGAATGATTGCATCTCGGACATGATTGATGCTCAGGGTGTGGTTTGTGTGTGTGTGCGTAGGGCACAGGAGCAGGAATGGAAGCAGAAGACAAGTGCTGAGAAGCAGCCCCGTGAACACAGGCAGCTGCAATAGGTGGGGTGGTGGGTAGAGAAGGCTGAAACAAGTCCACTTCCAGGTTCTCTCTGCCTGGAATACTTTTCTCCCAATCCTACTGCCACCATCCTATGAGGTCCAATTCAATGTCCCCTCCTTTCTGCCCTGGGCTCTACTTGGTTTGCCCAATGGCCTGGAGGCTCATTGAGAATCTTTCAGGGATAGTGGAGGGAAGTGGATATATGGAGTTGGAAGTTCTGGGTTTACTTGAAAATTCCACCCATAGCTCCACCACTTGATGAGCTGAACACTCTCTCTCTCTCAGCTAGTTTTCTCATCTGGAAAGTGCTAAGAACATAAAACTCACCTCGCAGGCTCACACTGATGGTTCTACCTAGCCTGCTCGCCCACAGAGACATGGTCAACATCAAATGGGATATGTAGGGGACAAAATTGCTACAAAAATGTGATCTGTACTCCACATTTTTAATCTTTATATTCTCCTGACAGCTTCTCACAAAACACCTTGCACTTAGAACATGCTTAGTAATTTGTGGTAGTTAGGGAGCAGTTAAAGTCAGAATCTGGTAGCGATATGGATTTTCATTACAATTAAAAACCCCACACCCCACTTCCTGTATTTTACAACCTATAGGCAGCAACCGAGCACAGGCTTACTCAGGGAAGGGGTGATAGAGCAGGCAAAAGAAGATAATTCTTGGCTTTTGAGTTTCTAAATAGACTTTCAGAACTTAAACTAGAGAAGTGGTTTTGAAAGAAATACCAGTTAGTGGTAAGAACCTACCCCTTCCAGCCTCAAAAGCCAGAGTCCTAAAGAGTCTGGGTACAAAGTTTATACCAAAACAGGAGACGTGAGAGAACGGATGACAAAGCAAGAGTCAGCTTTTCCCACCCTGGAGGCAATAAAGATTCCCAGGCAAGGAAGAGGGACAAGAGAGAGATTGTCTAACAACAGAGTGAGAAGCAGGGGTGGGTTCCCGAGATGATGCCTTGCTTCCCATCCCAGGCCAAATCTCCAGAGTGAGGGGGATGCTAAACGTCCCTTATAGGTTGTGAATCTGAGAACAAAAGAACATGTGCCTTGATCGCCGAGCTGAAAGCAGAAAAGCAGCAGTCCGGTATGGCAGCAGCAGATGAGATGAGAGTGTATTGTTTCCAGACAAAGGGGCCCTGTGGCAGTTGCTCCACGTCCCCTGTAGCTCTGGATTTGTAAAGGAGAGGGAATGGAAGTGTCTTTTGTCTTGAGAGGGGCACAGATGTAGCTGAGAGGATTGCCAGACCTGAAGAGGCTTTGCAAACAGGACAGAGAGAATGCAAAGTGACCTGCAAGGACCAATGACCAGAATCAGGTAGGACTGGGGACTTGTTGATGTCAGTGAGAAAGGAATGAAAAATCAGAGAGAGACTGATGGGAACACAGGTGCTCCAGTGGGTGCCACATGGACCAATAATGCAAATGACCATGGTAAGCCCAGGACAGATGCCTCTTTTTTCAATGCCCTGGCACTGTATAAATGTTTCCTGGAACTATATAAGCAACCCGAATCCTGAATTGATTAAACTTTCCTGTGTCACTACCTATGATTTCTGCCACTGGTAGAATGAGAGCTCAGGATAGAAATTAAGTTCAATGATAGAAAAATAACAGGTTTGGACGACCACAGTGCTCATGCCTGTAATTCCAGCACTTTGGGAGGCTGAGGCAGGAGGATTGCTTGAGGCAAGGAGTTCAAGACCAGCCTGGGCAACAGAGAGAGACTTTGTCTCTAAAATAATAATAATAATAATAATAAAAAGCCGGGCATAGTGGTGCATGGCTATATTCCCAGCTACTTGAAAGGCCAAGGTAGGAAAATCTCTTGAGCCTGGGAGTTCAAGGCTGCAGTGAGCTATGATTGTGCCACTGCACTCCAGCCTAGGTGACACACCAAAACCCTGTCTCAAAAAAAAAAAAAAAAAAAAAACAAGAAAACAGAAAAATAATAGGTTAAATCACATTCTTTTTGGCACACTTGAGTTTGTAGCCTAAGATTCAGACCCTCTGTACTAGTTAGGACTCAAAAAGAACAATATGAAATTCAAAAGCAGGCAAAACTAACCCATGGCAACAGATGCTAGAGCAGTAATTAGCGTGGGAAAGGACTGGCTAGGGAGGCTGTGAAGGAGAGTTCTGGGATGCCAGGGCTGTTGTCAATGTTGATCTGACTGGTGGTTGCATGGTGAAATACACATGTGAAAAATCATCAAGCTGGAAGCACTTTAAGAAGTGTACATTTTACTAAATGCAAGTTATACCTAAAAATAAAAGCATAAACAATTGAGATCAAACACCGAGAAATATAAAGACAAAAGAGTTGTTAAATGGCCAGCAGCAGACTCATTCTGGGGATGCTTGCGGGTGAAGGAGGCCAGCTCCTCCACACTTGTGGGTATTTCTCATCAGGTGGGACAAGAGACTGAGAAAAGAAATAAGACACAGAGACAAAGTATAGAGAGAGAACAGTGGGCCCAGGGGACCGGCGCTCAGCATACGGAGGACCCACGCCGACACTGGTCTCTGAGTTTCCTTAGTATTTATTGATCACTATCTTTACTATCTCGGTGAGGGGGATGTGGCAGGACTATAGGGTAATGGTGGGGAGAGGGTCAGCAGGAAAACGTGTGAGCAAAGGTCTCTGTGTCATAAATAAGTTTAAGGAAAGGTGCTGTGCCTTGATGTCATGTAGGCCAGATTTATGTTTGAGTTTACACAAACATCTCAGTGTAGTAAAGAGCAATATTGCCACCAGCATGTCTCACCTCCAGCCATAAGGCGGTTTTCTCCTATCTCAGTAAATAGAATGTGCGATCGGGTTTTACACCGAGACATTCCATTTCCAGGGACGAGCAGAAGACAGATGCCTTCCTCTTATCTCAACTGCAAAGAGGCCTTCCTCTTTCATTAATCCTCCTCAGCACAGAGTGTGACCCTTTGCGGGTGTCGGGCTGGGGGACGGTCAGGTCTTTCCCTTCCCACGAGGCCATATCTCAGGCTGTCTCAGTCGGGAGAAACCTTGGACAATACCCAGGCTTTCTTGGGCAGAGGTCCCTGTGACCTTCCGCAGTGCATTCTGTCCCTGGGTACTCTCGAGACTGGAGAATGGCGATGACTTTTACCAAGCATACTGCCTGCAAACACATTTTTAACAAAGCACCTCCTGCACAGCCCTAAATCCATTAAACCTTGAGTCAACACAGCACATGTTTCTGCGGGCACAGGATTGGGGCTGGGGTTACAGATTAACAGCATCTCAAGGCAGAAGAATTTTTCGTAGTACAGAACAAAATGGAGTTTCTTATGTCTTCTTCATTCCACATATACACAGTAACAGTCTGATCTCTTTCTTTCCCCTACAGGTGGCCCCAGGCATCCAAGGTTCCCCAGAGGGTGCTGGGCCAGTCTTGCCCCCGACACACTCGCACAGAGCACTGCTGGTTCTCAGAACATTGCACTGGGCAGTCCTCCCTGAGGACACCCTCCCCGGAGGCCCTAGCTGCCTTCAGGGTGATGGCTTGTTTCAGGCGTCACTCTGAGGCATGGACAGAGCATGTGCACTGGAGAACACACAGGCTACGCACAGGACCACAGGAGTCAAATCCAGGCTCCCCTCTTACTAGCTGTGGAGACTTTAGCGTTTCCTTAACATTGCTGAATTTTATGCCCCTCATCTATACATTGAGGGTAAAAAGACCTACCTGATTTTTTTTTTTTTTTTTTTGAGATGGAGTCTCACTCTGTCGTCCAGGCTGGAGTGCAATGGTGTGATCTCAGCTCACTGCAACCTCTGCCTCCCGGGTTCAAGCGATTCTCCCACCTCAGCCTCCCAAGTAGCCGGAAGTACAGACGCCCGCCACTACACCTGGCTAATTTTTGTATTTTTAGTAGAGACAGGGGTTTCACCATGTTAGTTAGGCTGGTCTCGAACTCCTGACCTCAGGTGATCCGCCCGCCTCCACCTCCCAAAGTGCTGGGATTACAGGCGTGAGCCACCGTGCCTGGCTAGACTTACATGACTTTAAACAATGTAGTTCAGGCAAAATAGCTGCTACTGGCTGGGCACGGTGGCTCAGGCCTGTAATCCCAGCACTTTGGGAGGCCAAGCCAGGTGGATCACCTGAGGTCAGGAGTTCGAGACCAGCCTGGCCAACATGGTGAAACCCCGTCTCTAATAAAAATGCAAAAATTAGCTGGGTGTGGTGGCACATTCCTGTAATCCCAGCTACTCAGGAGGCTGAGGCAGGAGAATCGCTTGAACCCAGGAGGCAGAGGTTGCGGTGAGCCGAGATGGCGCCACTGCACTCCAGCCTGGGCAACAGAGCAAGACTCTGTCTCAAAAAAAAAGACTCTGGTGAATGCTCTGAAAAGGGCCACTGTGGCTGTCATGTGGACCCAGTAGACTAACCCTGATTGCTTAATGCTTACAGTAGCCACACAGCAACACTGGTTGACCAAATTTAAGTGTGAGAGGGAGTGCATCAAATAGTCAACAGGCTGATTTTATGTAGATGATAGCAAGGAAATAATCCAGCTGGTTTTCTTGCCTAGATTGACTGGCTTCTATGGTGTTGAATAGATATAATCTGTGAGTCTCTGTCCATGACAACAGAAATTCATGTGTGTACATAGTATATCATAGTAGGTGCCTGGCACTTCATCAGGCACCTATAAAATGAAGCAATTATTAGTATTAGCCTGTGAAATATTTCCTCCTTTCTTGGCCCACACCATTTCCAAGAGCCAGGATTGGGCTTCTTAGTGTCGCCTGGAAGGAGACCAAGTAATTTCTGTTGGAGTCTTGGGCAGTTTTTTGTTTGTTTGTTTGTTTGTTTGGTTTTTGTTTTGAGATGGAGTCTCACTCTGTCACGAGGCTGGAGTGCAGTGGTGCGATCTCGGCTCACTGTAACTTCCGCCTCCTAGGTTCAATCGATTCCCTTCTGAGTAGCTGGGACTACAGGCGCACGCCACCAGGCCCAGCTAATTTTTCTATTTTTAGTAGAGACGGGGTTTCACCATGTTGGCCAGCATGGTCTCGATCTCCTGACCCCGTGATCCGCCTGCCTCAGCCTCCCAAAGTGCTGGGATTACAGGCGTGAGCCACCGCGCCTGGCTTCTTGAGCAGTTTTTGAGAAGTCCTTACATCCAGCTAGTAATGAACAAGAGTGACACACTCATTAGTGCATTTATTCACATATTCATGTATTCCACCAATATTCATAGCATGCCCGCTATGTCCCAGGCATTGCATAAGCCAAGGAGCCAACCCAGGCCATCAAGTCAGACACTGACCACGTGGCTGTCTCATCTGCATTAGCCTCATGCGCATTCATCCTATTGTAAACAAAGGCAATCCTAGGGAAATAAGCAACACTGGACCTTCACCAATGTCTCCTCTAACTGCCACCATGTCACTGCCCCAGAGGGTTCTGTGGGAGCCCCTCCTGGGCTCTTCTCAGGCCCAGGCCAGATGACCAAGCTCCCACTCCAGCATCCCCCTTTTTCCTCACTTTGGCCACGGGACTTAGCCTGGTTTTCTTCTCCTAAGTTGCTGCTTCTAACCAACTGTTATGTACCGTAGGGATCCTTACATCCCAGACCAAATGCAGGGTGAGAATGGTCTCCCTGACCTCACATCTTCTTGCTGCCTGCAGATAAGCTCCCAATCCCTTACTCTTTCATGAGTTGGTTTTTTTTCCCATGAGTTGTTGTTTGTTTTTTTTCCATAAGTTTTTGGGGTACAGGTGGTATTTGGCTACATTTCATGAGGTGTTTTGTTTTGTTTTGTTTTAAATGGAGTTTCACTCTGTCGCCCAGGCTGGAGCGCAGTGGCGCAATCTCAGCTCACTGCAACCTCCCCCTTCCGGGTTCAAGAGATTCTCCTGCCTCAGCCTCCTGAGTAGCTGGGATTACAGGCGCCCACCACCACACCTGGCTAATTTTTTGTATGTTTAATAGAGACGGGGTTTCATCATGTTGGCCAGGCTGGTCTGGAACTCCTGACATCAGGTGATGCACCCGCCTCAGCCTCCCAAAGTGCTGAGATTACAGGTGTGAGCCACTGTGCCCGGCCTCATGAGTTTTTAATAATAAAAATGAAAGTAACAAACATGGCAAACTTCTCAAACAACATGGCAGTGCCCTGATTGAGAAATCATTCTCCTTCAAGATGGAAAAATTTTGCCAAGTCCTTACAGCCATTGTCCCAGGTCCATAGTTTGGGGCTGGCTTGCTTACCTACGACTCAGAAGCCTGAAGGTCCAGTTAAGGAAAGGGAGACCTTTGGCTTCTCTAGAGCCCCTACTGGGTGGCATTCATTTCAAAGATCCCACCGCATGTGAGAACAGGTCCCTTAGGCCTTTCCTCTTAGATGCTTCTCTTACTTTTACCTTTCCAAAAACTAGTTGGGGAAAATGTGTTTCTCCTCATGATTGGCCAATGCATTACGGCCAGATGATTGCAAAGTTCTTCTAGTGGGCAGATCAATCAGTACCTGCCACACCCAAAGTTTCCTCCTAAAAGAAACTGTCCTGTTTCATGGCATCGCTGATTGGTCTGTAAACCCAAGGCACCCACGCTGTAAACTGGCCAGCAGCTCATGACGTTGCCTGGCCTGGTAGGAAAAGCTCTTCCCAAACAGTGATAGAGCTGATTGGCTTGGTCATCGGATTGTCTCTTCCTGCACCAGGAAATTCTGGGAGAGAAGCAATTGGTGGGTAACAGGAAGACACTAAGGGCAGCTGAGTCACACCAATGGTGAAAATTAAGAAGCGTTTATTACTGGGTGGGGCGGGGAGCACTGAGATAATCTGATTCCTGTTCATTTCAGTCCCACAGAGGTGGTACTGACTTCTGCAGATGTTGTAAAAGGACCAGATAAAATGCCATCACTGGCACACTTTTCTCTACCTATAACCCTGAGTTAATTAAAATAAAGCACTGATTCATTTCATCATTCTAATCATGTATCGTATGAACATGATAAAAAAAACTTTTGGCTGGGCATGGTGGTTCACACCTGTAATCCCAGCACTTTGGGAGGCCAAGGCAGGTGGATCACAAGGTCAGGAGTTCAAGACCAGCCTGACCAACATGGTGAAACCCCGTCTCTACTAAAAATACAAAAATTAGCCAGGCATGGTGGTGCACACCTGTAATCCCAGCTACTCGGGAGTCTGAGGCAGGAGAATCACTTGAACCCGGGAGGCGGAGGTTGCAGTGAGCCGAGATTGCACCACTGCACTCCAGCCTGGGCAACAGAGTGAGACTCTCTAAAAAAAAAACACACACACACACACACACACACACTTTTAAACATGGTCTCTTACAATCCTAACCCGGGGGGGAAAATTTAGGAATACCTTAGGGAAATGTTCTCATAGCTCAATGTCAGCCCCATTTATCCAAGGCACAAACTATCCAAAGTAAAGTAAAAACCACACAACTGATGGGAAGACACGTCCATTCCTGGAAATATGCTGTACTTTGAAAACATCATCTCATCTAACTTCATAATAGCTTTCCCTGGAAGGTGGGGTGTTTATCAGCCTAATTTTACAAATGAAAAATCTGAATCTCAGAAAATTTAAGTAACTGGTCCACAGCCACATAGCAAATAAGTGACTGACCCAGGGTTTAAACCTAGGTCTGCTTGCCCGTGTTCTTTCTACTCTGCCACTCTGCCTTATAAGAGATCATTAGCAATAACTGGACATGTTTCACATCTAATGTGACCCCAACAATATCATGCTGCCATTGAGAAGAACAAGGTAGTTTCCACACGCAGACCTGCGGCAATGCCCAAAATAGAATGTGAAGTAAAACTAGTAAGATGCGAAACAGGATGTATAGTGTGCCTACGTTGTGTTAGAAAAAATGGAAGCCTGAGTGGGAGTGATATGCATATAGAGACTGCTATATGCATGGAATATGAAGAACAGCAGGACACTGCAAACAGGCAGTGTCACTGCTTCCCTTCCGGGGTTCTGAATTTGGAATGGGAGTATGTTTTATCCATTCAAAAGAATAAATAATTTTTTGCCGGGTGCGGTGGCTCATGCCTGTAATCCCAGCACTTTGGGAGGCCGAGGCGGGCGGATCACCTGAGGTCGGGAGTTCGAGACCAGCCTGGCCAACATGGGGAAACCCCCTCTCTACTAAAAATACAAAAAAAATTAGCCGGGCGTGGTGGCACATGCCTGTAATCCCAGCTACTCGGGAGGCTGAGGCAGGAGAATTGCTTGAACCCAGAAGGCAGAGGTTGCGGTGAACCAAGATTGTGCCATTGTACTCCAGCCTGGGCAACAAGAGTGAAACTCCATCTCAAATAAATAAATAAATAAATAATTTTTACAAACCACAAAGTTATTTCAACAACCTATAAACTTCTGTCCCTTATGATGCCGTGAAGCCTGAATATGACCCCAGTTTTCTCTGTCTGAGACTTCATAGCAAGTAACCCAGAGTCAACAGAAATCAGTGGGTTAAATAGATATTTGGAAGCCCACAGCAATCTTCTCTTATTTTCTTAAGAATTGACACTTATAAGGAAACTGAGTACAATCGCTTCAGAAAGAAACTTGCTAATTTCTGCCTAGAAAGTAAAAGATATTTAGGATTTTTTGAGGCAAGGGATTACCGGAATAGGGAAATCAACAACAAATAAAGCTCACTCTGTCTCTGCACCATGTCTGTCCTCTCCCACTGTTCTCATTAAAACTAACATCTCTATGGAAGTTCATCACTTGAGAGAAAATTAAAAATGAGGCAAGGGGTGGGGGGAATGGAGAAAAATAATTTATGCCAAGTGATTCTAAGTATATTAAAGTTGGCTGGGCACGATGGCTCATGCCTGTAATCCCAGCACTTTGGGAGGCTGAGGCAGATGGATCACTTGAGGTCAGGAGTTCAAGAACAACCTGGCCAATATGGTAAAACCCCATCTCTACTAAAAATACAAAAATCATCTGGGCTTGATGGCATGCACCTGTAGTCCCAGCTACTTGGGAGGCTAGGGCAGGAGAATCGCTTAAACCCGGGAGGCAGAGGTTGCAGGGGGCCAAGATGGTGCCATTGCATTCCAGCCTGGGCGTCACAGCGAGACTCTCTCTAAAAAAAAAAACAAAAACAAAAACAAACAAACCAAAAAAAAGGATATTAAAGTTGTAAACATAACAAGACTAAATGAAATTGAATAAGGATATGATCAAGCAAGGGAAAGGCTAAAAATGCACACCAAAGACAAAAGTCTTCCAGGAAATGATCAATAGCTATGACTAAGTACTAGTTTTAAACTTTTGTACATTAAAAAAGCTATATTTTAAAATGATGAGTCAAGTGACTAGCAGGAAAATATCTGAAACATACATTACAAAAGATTATAGTCTTTACTATTTAAAAAGTTTTTATAGCTCTTTTGAAAAGCCACCCAAAACTGAAAGGAGAACAGAAAACAGAAACATAAACACCACCCTCGATGAAACCAGGAGACATCAGTAACCCCAAACCACAGAAGAGCCACTGGCTCCAATTAAGCTTCTGCAAGTTGTACTTATTGTTCTTGGAGTCAGGACCCATGCCTAGGTTCTAGGCACAAAGCTCCCCTGGCTTCATCTTATTAAGGAGTCAATGCCCTATCTCACTCCCTCTGAGAAATTTTCCAAAAGAGCATCTTCTAACTTTCAAGTAAGCACAAGCCCAGCTAGGGGTGTGCGTGTGTGTGTGTGTGTTTGTGTGCGTGTGTGTGTGTGTGTCCATGTCCCAGGTACAGGCCTGGGAGCTAGACCAGGTCTGGCCTCTGGAGAATTACTGCATTCACCTGCTTCAGAGAAGAGCACTGAGCCAGTTTGTTCACACACCTGGAAGAGGTTAGCAGCCTCCAGGACCCGCTGGACATTCTGCTTGGTGATCAGCGCCTTGCTGGTGTACGTGTAGTCCAACAGAGTGTGCATGGTCTCAGCATCAACCCCTTTAATAATGATCCTTTTCTCATACTTTTCCTTTAAATCGTTGCAGAACATGGCCCTGGAAGAGAAATGTGTGAATGTGAATCGTGCCGAGACCCTTGGTTCCAGGCCTAAAGAGATCCCCTTTCAGACTCATCAGGCCCTCACAGAACAGGGGGTTTCCCAAGGTCAGGTCCTGGGCTGGTGGCTCTCTGTTCTCCAGCACCCCCTACGCATTAGACATTTCATCAGTACTTACCGAGCTGAACTGAACTGCCCTGCTCCTCCATGCCCGATTGTGATCTCCAAAGTCAGTCCCAGATCTATTTTATTGGCTTTTATTGGCTCAAAGTGCAGGAGATTCATCTGAGGGCATTGTGGAATCCCCAAGCTTCATCTTTTCTCTTCCACCCAGCACCCAAACAGGGCTTCTGACTCTCACACTAGCTCTCGTTTGGCCTGGAGCCTGGCCCCACATTCTGGCCTGGCCAGCTGAGGCCCAGATACCTGCCAGAAGTGCAAGTGGCTCCTGTAGCTGCCTCTCACCCCAGCAGCTGAACCCAATGTCCGTAGGTTCCCAGATGCAGCTGGAGCCTTGAATTCCCTCATTTCAGGACTCTGTCTCGCCTCTGGATTCTGCCTTTCCTGCTCCCTCCCCACGGCTGGACTTCCAGATATTTAGCCGCCATCTTGGCTGCAGGGGAAGAGGATAGAAAGGATGTAGGTTTTATCGTAGCATTGGATGGACCAGGATTTGAACACCAGCTCCACCAACCCAGGAGTTGGACAGGTCATTTAATCTCCATGACCTTCAGTTTTCTCATCTGAAATGGGGATTTTAATAGCTATTTTTTAAGTTTATTGTAAGGATTAGGACCCAAAGGACTATAAATCATTCTACCATACACATGCACGTGTATGTTCATTGCAGCACTATTCGCAATAGCAAAGACATAGAATCAACCCAAATGCCCACCAGTGATAGACTGGATAAAGAAAATGTGGTACATAAACACCATGGAATACTACGCAGCCATAAAAAAGAACGAGATCGTATCCTTTGCAGGGACATGGAAGGAGCTGGGGGCCATTATCCTTAGCAAACTAACACAAGAACAGAAAACCAAATATCTCATGTTCTTACTTATAAGTGGAAGCTAAATGATGAGAACACATGGACACATAGAGGGGAACAACACACACTGAGGCCTACCGGAGGGTAGAGGGTGGGAAGAGGGAGAGGATCAGGAAAAATAACTAATGAGTACTAGGCTTAACACTTGGGTGATTAAATAATCTGTACAACAACTCCCCATGACATAAGTTTACCTATATAACAAACCTAAATACCCCTGAACTTAAAATAAAAGTTTAAAAAAGAGAGATATAGAGATTTTTTTTTTTTTACCCCATGCCAGGCCCCATGCCAAGCCCATAAGAATTTATCATGCTTCTTGGACTTTGACATTTAAACTGTTGGTCCTTCCCAGGGAATGTGTGAGCAATTTTATTTATTTTTAAAATGCATGTAACTGAACCATGCTCTGAAAACATTTCTGGAATTTTGGAAACTTATATGGTACCTAAAATATAGCAAGAATGCATGAATTAAAAGTAGGTGGGGGACCGGGGGTGGGGGCTTATGCTTGTAATCCCAGCACTTTGGAAGGCCAAGGCGGGTGCATCACTTGAGGTCAAGACCAGTCTGGCCAACATGGTGAAACTCCATCTCTACAACAATACAAAAACTAGCCAGTCATGTCTAATCTCTTGAACCCAGGAGGCAGAGGTTGCAGTGAGCTGAGATTGTGCCACTGCACTCCAGTTTGGGCAACAGGGCAAGACCCCATCTCAAAAAAAAAAGAAAGAAAGAAAGGAAACTCTAACCCCGCAGTGTGACTCTATTTGGAAATAGGGGTTTTAGGAGGTAATTAAGAAAAATGAGGTCATAGGGCTGAGGTCCTAATCGGATAGGATTGATGTTCTTATAAGAAGAGGAACAGAGACCAGAATTCTCTTGCACGTGCTGCCCCGTGTGAGGACTCAGCGAGAAGGTGGCCATCTGCAAGCCAGGAAGGGGACTTCACCAGAACCCACCCATGCTAGCACTCCAATCTCGGACTTTCAGGATCCAGAACTGTGAGAAAATACATGTATGTTGGTTAATCCATCCAGTCGATGGTGTTTTGTTATGGCAACCCAAGCTGAATAAGGCACATTTTGGTACTGAGAAGTGGGGCGCTGCTGTCACAAATACTGAAAAAATGTGAAAACAGCTTTGGAACTGAGTCATGAGTGGAGGTTAGAGGAGTTTTGAGGTAAAAGCTAGAAAAAGTCTAGATTGCCACAAATAGGATGTTGGCAGAAATATGGGCATTAAAGATCATTCTGGTGAAGTCTCCAATGGAAATGAGGAACACGTATTGGAAACTGGAGGGAAAGTGATCCTTGTTATAAAGTGGCAAAGAAAGGACTAAACTGTGTTCTGCTGTTTTGCAAGAGGTGGAACTTGCAAACAATGAAATTGGATATTTAGCTGCGGATACGTCTGAGCAAAGCATGGAAGAAGCAGCTTTGTTCCTCCTACTGCATGTAGTAAAATGCAAGGGGAGAGGGGTGAATTAGAAAAAGAATGTTTAGGCAAAAGGGAACCAAAAATTAAAGAGTTGGAAAATTCTCAGCCTACCCATTCTGAGAAAAATGAGGGAGCATGTTCTGAAGAGAACGCCAAAAATGTGGCTGGACTATCATTTAATAAAATGCTTATGGAATTATAGGAACAGAAAGAAACACTGCCAGTTTGAACTGAAGGGGAAGAGACAAGACAATTGAAGGAAGGCTGTCAGACTTCTTGGATTTGACGGTAAAAAACAATGAGGTACTCAGCTGTGAACATGCATTTTTTTTTTTTTTTTTTTGAGACAGAGTCTCACTCTGTCACCTAGGCTGGAGTACAGTGGTGCCATCTCGGCTCACTGCAACCTCTGCCTCCCAAGTTCAAGTGATTCTCCTGCCTTAGCCTCTGGAGTAGCTGGGATTATAGGCACTCGCCACCACGCCTGGCTAATTTTTGTATTTTTAGTAGAGATGGGGGGTTTCGCCATGTTGGCCAGGCTGGTCTCAAACTCCTGACGTCAGGTGATCCACCTACCTCGGCCTCCCAAAGTACTGGGATTACAGGCGTGAGACACTGCACCCAGCCCTCACTATTCTTCCAGAAGAGGGAAAAATTACCCTAAGGGTGATTCAGAGATAATCAGGACCACTGCCTCGGTTCAAGAAGCCAGACAGCCTCCATCAGACACCTGGGAGTCGGGGGAGGGGTTGTTGGGAGGACTCACACCTCCAGCCATGGAGGTGACACTGCCACCTCAGTGGGCCAGAAGGGAAGACAATCAAACCAAAAAGGATTATTCTGAAGCCTTGAAATCTAATGGAATTTATCTCACTAGATTTTGGACTTTCTTGGGACACATCACTTCTTCCTTCTTTCTGTTCTTTTTTTGTCTGTGTTTTTTTTTTTTTTTTTTTTTTTTGAGATGGAGTCTCACTCTGTCTCCCAGGCTGGAGTGCAGTGGCACAATCTTGGCTCACTGCAAACTCCACCTCCCGGGTTCACGCCATTCTCCTCCAGCCTCCCAAGTAGCTGGAACTACAGGCTCCTGCCACCACGCCTGGCTAATTTTTTGTATTTTTAGTAGAGACGGGGTTTCACCATGTTAGCCAGGATGGTCTCAATCTCCTGACCTTGTGATCTGCCCGCCTCTGCCTCCCAAAGTGCTGGGATTACAGGCGTGAGCCACCGTGCCCAGCCCCATCTTTCATATTTCTCCCTTTTGGAATGGGAATGTCTATCCCACACTTGTCCCATTATTGTATTTTGGAAGCATACATCTTGTCTTGTTCCACAGGTTCACAGCTGGTGAGGAATTTTGCTTTAGGATGAATTATACATAAAGTCTCACCCATATGTGATTTAGATGATATTCAGACCATAATCTGGACTTCAGAGTTGATGCCGGAATAAATTAAGACTTGGGAAGCTGTTGGGATATAATGAATGTATTTTGCATATAAGAAGGACACGAATTTGGGGGCCAAGTATGGAATGTCATGGATTGAATTGTGTCCCCCACAAAATTCATATGTTGAAACCCTAACCCCTAATGTGAATGTATTAGGAGATAAGATTTTTAGGAAGTAATTAAAGTGAAATGAGATCATAAGGGTGGATCTCAATTTGATAGGATTCGTGTCCTTATAAGAACAGAAAGAGAGATTCCACACCCACCTCACCACTCCTGCTCACGCACCGAGGAAAGGCCATGTGAGGACACAGTGAGAAGGTGGCCGTCTGCAAGCCAGGAAGGGAGCCCTCACCAGAAACCAGATCATGCTAGCAACTTGATGCTAGACTTCCAGACTCTATAGAAGTGTGAGGAAATAAACATTTCTGTTGTTTAAGCCACATAGTCCATAGTATTTTGTTATGGCAGCCCAAGCTGACTAATACTGGCAGTCTGTATCCACCCCAGACCCTTGTAGTTCACAAACTAGCAAGGGCATTGATGCCCAAATAACAGTCTACGAGGGGCCATAAGAGACCTACAAAGTGCTGTGGAGGCCAAGAATGGCTACTCATAGAGAAGGAAAATTCTGAAATGTGAAGATTATGGATAGGATTTCTAGGTAACAAGCACAGTGAGTAAAGCCATAAAGATGCAAGGGCATGAGGCATGAAGAGAAACTAGCAGACATGTGATTCAGTTGAAGCTCAGGGGACAGGAGAGGGATGAAACAATGGTCTGGAAAGATAACCTGGATCCTGCTTGTGGAGGGCACTGAAGGCAGGATAGGGAGTTAGGTTTTCACTCAGTGAGCAATGGTGAGCCGTTGAAGGTTGATGAGCAAAGGCAGGACTCAAAGAGAACATTTTAAGCACATGTGTTCTCACTTTTGTTTGCAGGTGATGGGTGCCACTAGAGTCAAGTATCAGATGAACCCATAAAGAGCTGGGAGGCTTGTGACAATGTCAAAGCCTTTTCTCAGAAAATGTACTAATTGAGGCAGTAGCCACACCGCTAGGGAACATCTCCAAACATTAGTCACTGGACTTTCTAAGCTACAGACACATGAACAGGTTAGGGAGCCGTTATCTCCCAGCCAAGTCACTGAAATGCAAAGGCCCTGGGTGGAGCTCTGGTGATGTAATTCCAAACGCTCGGACTTCCATCTCAACACGGAGGGGATTACACCTCTAAGTCCTGCCCCTCCTCTCTATCCCACACTTCCTATTTATCTCTGGAAATCAATCATCAGTTCTTTCCTTCCTTCCTTCTTTCCTTCCTTCCTTCCTTCCCTCTTTCTTTCTTCTTTCTTTCTCTCTTTTTCTTTGTTTCTTCCTTTCTTCCTTTCTTTCTCTTCCTTCTTTTCCTGGCCTCAAGTGACCCTCTTCCCTCAGGCTCCCCAGTAGCTAGGACTATAGGCACCCACACCCAACTTTTTTTTTTTTTAATTTTTGTAGAGACAAGGTCCCACTCTGTTGCCCAGGCTGGTGGTGAACTCTGGGGCTCAAGAGATCCTCCTTCCTCAGCTTCCCAAAGTGCCAAGATTACAGGCATGAGCCTCCGTGCCTGGCCACTCATCCATTTCTTTACCCCTTTTCCTAATCTGCAAAACAAAGGTAACTGTTTATGGCTTCCCAGAAACATTCAAAAGTCAAAAGACTTCCAGAGAGAGAACGAGAGAGAGACAGAGATACAGAAAATCACTAGACACTTGACTTGCTGACTTTTTGGACCTTTTGTTTTAGTCAAGGTGATCGTCCCCCCTCTGTCCTTCCGCCTCCGTCCTTCCCCCTCTGTCCTTGTTGTTTTAATCAATGGTAACCCTCCTAACCTTTCCTTCCCTCCCCTCTTCTCTTTTCCCTCAGCTGGCCTCTTTCTCCTCACAAGAATATGGTAATAAGAAAGAAAGAACGAAGGTGAATTCCGGGGCCTCTGTAAAGTGAAGAAATCCCCGCCCAGAGCTGGGGGAGCCGTGATGATATCAGAGCAGGTGACCAATTTACAGACCAGTTTCCTCAGCCACAAACCCTCTTGACCAGCAGCACAGAGCTGTCTGCAGAACCGTAATCACCAGCCTTTAAAAGTACTTTACTTTTAAAGTACTTTAAAAGTACTTTACTTTTAAAGTACTTTGTACTTTTAAAGTACTTTAAAAGTACTTTAAAAGACATTACTTTAAAAGTAATGTCATATAGGGCTTGCCTCGCTGCCTCCTGATTTTATAAAGAATCTGCTCTCAGAGACAGCCTATGATTTCTTCTCAGCTCAGCATATCTTCCCTGGAGGAGTTGGAAGATCACTCTCTAAGCCTCCCTTTGTTGGAGTGTCCAGAGCAAGGCTGCCCAATAGAAATGTAATGTGAGTCATCTATAGCATTTTACAGTTTCTAGTCACCACATTTTTTGTTTGTTTGTTTGTTTTTTGAGACAGAGTCTCACTCTGTTGCCCAGGCTGGAGTGCAGCGGCACGACCACAGCTCATTTCAGTCTCCATCTCCAGGGCTCAAGTG
This sequence comes from Homo sapiens, assembly GCF_000001405.40. Taxonomy (NCBI): domain Eukaryota; kingdom Metazoa; phylum Chordata; class Mammalia; order Primates; family Hominidae; genus Homo; species Homo sapiens. The sequence goes on from NC_000003.12 coordinate 183,534,508, forward strand.
ATCCTCCTGTCTCAGCCTCCCAAGTGGCTCGGACTAGAGGCATGAACCACCATGTCTGGCTAATTTTGCAATGTTTGTAGAAATGGGGTTTCACCATGTTGCCCAGGCTGGTCTCAAACTCCTGGGCTCAGGCGATCCACCCACCTCGGTCTCCCAAAGTGAGGGATTACAGGCATGAGCCCCACCATGCCCGGCCCCATTTTTAAAAAGTAAAAAGAAAAAAATAAAAGTCAACTTTAATAACATATCTTATTTAACCCAAAATATACCTGAAATATCATTTCAACACGTAAGAAATATTTTAAAATGACTAATGCGATAACTTACATTCTTTTTCTCATACTGTGTCTTCAAAGACCATCATATATATGTATGTATATATGTATATATGTATGTATGTATGTATATATGTATGCATATATATACATATATATATATATATATTTTTTTTTTTTGAGACAGAGTCTCTCTCTGTTGCCCAGGCTGGAGTGCAGTGGCACAATATCGGCTCACTGCAGCCTCAGCCTCCCGGATTCAAGCGATTCTCCTGCCTCAGCCTCTTGAGTAGCTGGGACTACAGGCTCATGCCACCACGCCTGGCTAATTTTTGTATTTTTAGTAGAGACGGGGTTTTACTATGTTGGTCAGGCTGGTCTCAAACTCCTGACCTTGTGATCTGCCCGCCTCAGCCTCCCAAAGTGCTGGGATTACAGGCGTGAGCCAACGTGCCCAGCCTTATGCGTATTTTATACTTAAAGCATCTCAGTGCAGAGTAGGCACAATTCAAATGCCCAACAGCCACATGTGGCTAGTAGCTACCATATTAGACAGTGCAGCTCTTGCCATCAGTCCTGAACTCAGGTGTTGGGGTCACCCAGACCTACAGTCATCTCAGGAGGCAAAGCAAATTTCACCCTCGTGAATGTCATATAAATAAATATATGGGAAACAGGAAGTTCAGCAGGACAGGGTGGGCACTAATTATGGGGTCAAATAAGCTTCATATAACTGAGGCAACACATCTCTAGAGACCCACCAACATGACATTTAGAAATGTTATTTCACCCGGACTGTGACTTGAAGATTAGTGAGAGGTTAATTTGGTTGAATCTGTATAATCAAGTCTAAAGGAGGGATGTTCCAATGGTTTAAGTTAATGCTTTGCACTCCAAGGAGCTCCTAAATGAAGTCAATGTGTTTCCCATGTGACATATTATTGGGCTCTCTAGGGTCATCTGGACTCTTAATTGGGCTGTCACTGCTAGCCACGGCTTCCGAATTCTTTTTGAGACGAGTCTCGCTCTGTCGCCCAGGCTGGAGTGCAGTGGCACAATCTCTGCTCACTGCAAGCTCTGCCTCCCGGGTTCATGCCATTCTCCTGCCTCAGCCTCCTGAGTAGCTAGGGCTACAGGCGCCCGCCACCACGCATGGCTAATTTTTGTATTTTTAGTAGAGATGGGGTTTCACCACGTTAGCCAGGATGGTCTCGATCTCCTGACCTCATGATCTGCCCCCCTCGGGCTCCCAAAGTGCTGGGATTACAGGTGTCAGCCACTGTGCCTGGCCCCAAATTCTTGTTTGGAATCACAGTCACTTAATAACATGCTGCCCCAGCTCAGCCCATGTCTGACCGGGCATCTGGATTCCCTGCAAGCAGACCCCCTCTGCTAGTGACGTAAGGGAACAGGGGGGCAAGACAAGGGGGGGAGGAAGCCCAGCAAGACAAAAGTCATGCAAAAAGTGGCTTCAGCCTGATCCTGCAGGGACCTCTGGAAAAGACACTTCTGAATTGTCCCACCAGGAGGCAAGGGCCGTGATACTCTCTGACCACACTGACTGTCTTTGGTTACAGGCCATCCAGGAGTAGGTAAATTCTCCAGCACATCTGGCTTTGTGTATGTGTGAGTTTGCATGTGCACAAGCCAAGGGACTTCCGGGAGCCTGGGGAGGGCAGGGGAAAAAGAGCAGCCACCTGGCTGTTGGCAGGCAGAGGAGGGACTGGTGTCTAGTCTGACCTCTGATGCTCACTCATTGTGTGACTTAGTGCAAGTGAGTGAACCTCAGCTTCCTCATCTGTAAAATGGTATAATAGTCCCCACCTCAGTGAGCTGCACAGAAGAATAAGCAAGATGAAGTACACCAAGGCGTTAGCACGATACCTGGCACCTCGTCAGCACTCAATCAGGGAAAGTATTTTGGACCAAATCAGAGGAATCTTGGAAGGTTGGTAGGAGACACTTAGGGGTAAGTGGACCAAGCACCACACTGACTCACAACCCTTATCTCTTCAGCATTTGGCCGGGTGCGTATCAGGTAACTGCGTGTCTGACTTGCTGCATTGCTGTCGACCATGCATCCAGAGCAAGCATAGGGCCAGCGCTGTGCACGAATCGGCCTAAACATCTCAGCTCAGTTCGTGGGAGAGAAAGAAAGTGCCCTCAAGACAGTGTCCTTCTCTCCAGGGGTCTTTTTAACCAGCTTTGACTCCCCAAGGCCCAGCATTTCTCTGCTCCCTTTGAAATATTTTCATGAATTTTCTGCCACTTAAATACACTACCCTGGCCATGGCCACCATGCTGAACATGGGTAAGATGAAACTAAGGGGAAATCTGCATATTCCTCATAGACTATACTCCCAGGCCTCCTGCTGCTCCTCTGGGAGATCCATGGACACACTCAGACAAAGCTTGGTCCCCATGGGTTGTCAGCAATAGAGTAGGAATCAGAACCTAGGGCTTCAGGCTCTGAATCAGGAGCTCAGCAGTGCACGAAAACCAAGAAAATCAGCAGGAGTTCAAGGCCTTTTGCGGGGGATCAACTCAGTGTCAGCGCTCAATGGACCAGCCCAAACTTTGCTCTCTGAGAACACAGCTGAGTTGGTTGCTGACAACTTATCCTGTGGCATACATGCAAGATATTGTGTAATAAAAACACTTTCTAGAAAGACACTGACCAATTCTCATGAGATTGTTGTAAAACAGAGGTAGCTAGGAAGATCCTCATTTTACAGCAGAAACAATCTCACAGCAGCATACCAGTTGCCCAACACTTGGGCGGTGAGTCAGTGCCCACCCCAAAATAGAGCCTGACCCAGCAAGCTTGTCTCCCACAACAGTCATGAAAATATCCACAGGCCCAAGAATCTCCCAGCATGAAGTCAGGCCATGCCACAAACACTGCCTGGCCACACGCCTCTCCATTCTCCACCAGGCTTCCTCACCTCAGGTCTCTGCCAAACATCGCCTTCTCAGAGAGGCTCTCCCCGACACTCCCCCTAATCTAAAATCGCCACTCCCTCACCTCTTCGCTTCCTTTATTTTTCTTCATAGCTCTGCACATCCTGAAATTAGATTACCTATCTATTTGTTAATTATTGTCACCCCACTAGAATGCCAGCTGAGTGAGGGTGTGCCATGCTCAGCACTGTATCTAGGGGCCAGAGCAGTGCCACCACCAAGTAGGGACGGTCCCTAGGGAAAGTGAGTGAATGAATGAATCAACCAACTTGTCCTTCCTAGTCCCTTTGCACTTGCTTTTGACAGGAATCTGTACCTCCAAGAATTATCAAATATATCTGGAGGATGAGGCCCTCCACCGCCACTAGGGAACTCCTATCACACTCCCGAGTCCAGGGCCTAGAGCTTGAAGAGGACACTCGAACATTCAACGTACCTGCACTACTTCAATGAGCTCTACAAGCTCCTGTAGTTCCTAAACTTCACCAACTCAGAATATTTCACCCAGCCCGACTCCATTATAGCTGACCCCTTCCCTAGAACTCCACACCTCTGAACTCCCTGCCTCCTGTAACCCTAATTCTAACCCTATAAACAAATACCCACACCTATCACTCCCACTATCTCACTCCTACACCGGCTCCACCTGTCTGCCCCCTGTTCTGTCCTTCCTCTTATTTCTTCACCATTCCCCGTTTATACCAGGAACGAACTCCCCTGTTTCACTGAGATATTCTGTGTGGCGGTGGCTTTAACATCAGTTGCAAAATGAGTTAAATTCTACTTAAGAATACAATGTCCATATGTATACAATCAGTTTAAAAGTTTTTTAAACTAGTCAGCATGTACTACACAATGAACACTATTGTTAAGAAAGGATTATTGGATATAAACACAATGAAGTCAATCAAAGGGGGTTCCATTGCAAAGAAAGCAGGGAGTCAGCAGATGCAAGTGTGACCTAGCATGACATGGCATCTCTCTCTATGGTCCCCAGCACTTCTTAGTTCAAGGCACCAAAACCTGAGCCAATACTAACCAAGGGAAGCACTTAAACATTCAGCTCTGCCCTGTTTCTGAGCTCAAGCTGTCCCCTAAGTTTTATCATATGGATCCTGTCTCAATACTGGAGTCCTGCTTACATCCTTGGCCTCAGATACTCCAGCCTCAAGAGGTGGATCTCAAAATGTGTTCCCTGAACCAGCTGCATCAGAACCTTGGGTTGCTTATTCAGAATACAGAATCCTGTACCCCACCTACCTTAGACTTACTAAAGCCAAATCTCTAGCAGTAGGGCTGGAGGTATGTATTTAATTAGGTGTCCCTGGCTCCGACTCATAATTCCTTTGCAAAGCAAACTTTGAGAACCTCTGCCCTAGAAAGAGGTCACCCCTACTTCCTCCTGAGAAGGAGACTGAATGAAGATCAAGGTCATGGAAACAATTGGCCATAGTGCTAGGGAAGATATGTTTCGGAAAGTCCTCCCTCACTATGGATCCTTCCTTTCATCTTCTAAGACACAGCCTTCCTAGAATTCCATGAGGCCTATGGCTGCCTCCCGAATCAGGTGGCAATCCCATTCCGTTTGCCAGCTTTGCTCCAAACTGACAGAGGAGCTGGAAGCCTACAGCTGCCCCGATCTGACTCTAAGCATCAGCAGGCCTCAGAATAACTCCCTTCTGTGGGCCAGGCACGGTGGCCCATGCCTATAATCCCAGCACTTTGGGATGCCGAGGCTGGCAGATCTCGAGGTCAGGAGTTCAAGACCAGCCTGGCCAACACAGTGAAACCCCATTTCTACTAAAAATACAAAAAATTAGCTCGGTGTGGTGGCGGGTGCCTGTAATCTCAGCTTCTCGGGAGGCTGAGGCAGGAGAATTGCTTGAACCCGGGAGGCAGAGGTTGCAGTGAGACAAGGTCGCACTACTGCACTCCAGCCTGGGTGACAGTGTGAGACTCCATCTCAAAAAAAAAAAACAAAAAAACAACTCCCTTCTGCCAAGCTTCTTGCCCTAGTTCACCACTCCTCAAGGACACTGCCCACGGCCCCTGTGGAGAAGAAAACTCTGGCCATGTTCCTAGGGAAGCAGAATCCCTCCAAGTCCCACCAGACCATTGCTGATGCCTCAGCTTGCCATGAAATTCTGCCATCCAAGTTTATGACAGAAAGAAGGACTTGTTCTGTCTGCAAGATCAGACAAGAAAGAACATCAATTACAACATATACTTGTGGTCAGGCTTTAGTGACGATACAGTCACAAAGATACAATGGACAGTTTTTGTTTTGTCTGCCCAACTTACTCCTGTCTCTTTTAGCAGGAGTACTCAGATCTTCCGTTGGGAAACACCCCACCGTCCAAGCCCAAGCCACAATGATTGGTTCAGGGATGGGAATAGGAAGAAGCCAATTCAATTGGAGCCAATTCCAGAACTTTCTTTGGAATTACTGAGAAAGAGAAGCTGTCTCTTCCCACTAGAATTGCTGAGCTGGTGGACATGAAAGTTTGGAGATGCTGGCTACCTGCTTGTCCTCATGTGTGAATACATTCCCTGAGAGAGAAACCCACACAGAGGAAAGCGGGACTAAGAAGGAGAGAGAAACTGAGTCATGGTAACATTACTTTGGGCACAAGGACCCAACTATACCTGAAACCATTACCCCAGACTTTTTTTAATTCCATGAGCAAATAAATTATTTTTTCCCCTTTATGCTTGGACCAGTTTGAGCTGAATGTCTGTCACTCGCAGGGCGGAGTGATACAATTGGACAAAAGAAATCCCAGCGATTCTCTGAATTGGAACTCCAGGCCCGTTTTTGTTTGTTTGTTTGCTTGTTGGTTTGTTTTGAGACAAGATCTCTCTGTTGCCCAGGCTGGCCTCAATCTCCTGGCCTCAAGCAATCCTCCCACCTCAGCCTCCGAAGTAGCTGAGACTGCAGGCACACGCCACCACACCCGGCCCCATTGATGATTACCCTAAGCTCTCCTACCTGAGAGTTTAACTTACAAAACATGGTGATTATTCTTTACCTTTGTCTGCTTTTGTTTTTACACATCTTCCACCTCCTTCCTGAAGATGAAACCTGGCTTCCCCTAACAAAACCCCACTTCCCTCACAAACCAACGAGGTCGGCTCAGATTCTCACTTCCCCTCTGGGCCTGGAGCAGGGTCCGCATTTGCGCTCGCCGTCCACCACCACATCCCGACCAGGCTATTGCCCGGAGGCTCCACATGACCCTCTTTTTCCACTTTCCACTCCCACCTCCAGGACTCTGTGGCTTCCCTGTGACCATGTCATTGTCCAGAAGTTAGGGATCAGCCTCTGCTTAAAGATTTTTTCTGAGCCTTCCCTGGTTCTAACCACTTAGAAACTTGCAAGCTGGCACTGGCCCCAGTCTTTACCCCAAGGTATTCAAATGCTAAGGCTCCTCCAGTCATAAAAGGTATCCCTTGTGACAGGCAAAGATGATCCTATGTGCGTTCTAGGCTGCTCCCTCCGCCAGCTGCCACAGAGGAATCTGGACTGCCAGGCCTGTCCCTTGGGCTTTCATGATACAGAATCCAGAGGGAAAGGGACAGAAGACAGGAGCTCCTCCAGCTGGGGATGGGGAGCAGTTATGAATCTAGACGTGAAGGAGGAGCTGCCACAGTTGGGCTACACGCAGGAGTGCACAGGCCAGGCTTGACTTGAGCTAAAATCCAGCGCCCCCTACACCTGCCAAGCCTTGTGCACTAACGTGGATTGCAACCCCCAGAAAGGGGCCCCCATTTCTAACTGGTCCTCCCAGGTAACTTATTTACATTCAGAGGAAGGGGCTGAGTGTGGTGGCACATGCTTGTAGTCCCAGCTACTTGGGAGGCCAAGGCAGGAGGCTCACTTGGGGCCACGAGTTCAAGTCCAGCCTGGGCAACATAGCAAGCCTCTAAAAAACACAAAACAACAAAAACAAACAAACAAAAAAACCAAAGGAAGGCACCCTAAAAGCCAGCAGTGGTCTCTATCAGAGATGTGGATAAGAGAGGGGAACATATTTTAATAATAGCTGTGGCTCTATCTCCAAGGTGTTCAAGAATTGCAAGTCCAGAACTTGAGATGTTTTGTTTATGAGCTTTGCTCTAAAACGGGATAGCCTGGGCAGGAGAAGGGTTGATAAGGTCAGACCACTTTCTCTTTCTCTTTCCAATCTTGAGGCTCAGAGCTGGTCCTCAGCAAAGAGTGGAGTCAGTTTGCTTTGTGTTCCAGCCCTCCTAACCTCACTTCCCCCTACCCTTCCCTGCTGGGCAGCGCTGCCTCTCCCTCATGCTCTCTGTGGTCCGGCTGCCCTGCAGGCCCTCAGAGAGGATGTGAATGTTGCTGGAGGCCTTCTCCCCAACCACACTGCCTATACCTTAATTCCAACCCTCATCTCCTCTCACTGAAATTTCTTGCAACTTACCTAAGGGTCTGCCTAGATTGATGGGACCCTCCATACCCACAGTGCAAAGGATTATTTTAAGGGAGATCTTGGATCACATCTCTTTCCTACTTAAAGACTCTTCCACGGCTTCCCACTATCTGTAAGTCATGTTTCAAACTCCACAGCTTCACCCAACAAAACCTTTCCCGGTCTGACCATGCCTGTCTCTCAGCCTTATTGGCCTGTGCATGTCCTTTATTTCAACCTACTCTTCTACCTGTGGTTACACTGCGTGGCACCTTCCCGGATGTGCTTCTCTTTGCCTGGAATGCTCCTCTCTTCTCCTTTCTCCCCTCTGGCCCCTTCTGGCCAATGCCTACTCATCCTTCAAAACTCCGTTCAGATATCACCTCTGCCAGGAAGCCTTCTCAGACTGCTCTTTCTTCCGTCTGATTTAATGCCCTTCTGTAAGCTCCTATAGCTCCCATGTAGCAAACCTCTCACAGCCCCTGTCCCCAGCTCCACCATAACCCCTGTGCAGAGCTGCATCATAGCACTTATCACCCTGTACAGTAAACATCAATTTACTTATCTCTCTGTCCTAACTAGATGATGATTTCCAGGTCAAGCAGGAACCATAATTTATTCATCTTTGTAAACTCTGTGCCTGCCACAGAGTAGGCACTTAATAAATTTGTGTCAAATGGATGGATACATGGATGGATGGATGGATGGATGGATGGATGGATGGATGGATGGATGGACAGATGGATGGAAATTCACTAAGTCCACTCAGCACTGTAGTTCTGAAAGTTTAACATTTTGCATTCCTTCCCCTCCAGGTATTTGCACATTAAGAGAGATAATACTGGCTGGGTGAGGTGGCTCAAGCCTGTAATCCCAGCACTTTGGGAGGCTGAGGCGGGCAGATCACCTGAGGTCAGGAGTTCAAGACCAGCCTGGCCAACATGGCGAAACCCCATCTCTACTAATAATACAAAAACTATCTTGTTGTGTTGACCTGTAATCCCAGCTACTCTGGAGGCTGAGGCAGGAGAATAGCTTGAACCTAGAAGATGGAGGTTGCAGTGAGCTGAGATCGCACCACTGCACTCCAGCCTGGGCGACAGAGCGAAACTCCATTTCAAAAAAAAAAAAAAGAGAGAGAGAGAGATAATACTATGCAGTGCTCCTTAACTGAAGGCCTGCTAATCATCGGTGGTACACTGGAGGAGCATGGGAGGAGTGAGGATTTTCATAGCAGTTACTAAGAATTCTCTCCCCCTCCATTTCCAGGCCCACCTGCTAATGAGACAGACATCGTCTGCCAACCCAGCCTGCTATCCTGAGTTTTAAAGACACTGCTAGTCACCTGACACTTTCCTAACTTTCCCTAATCTCTGTTCTCTTCTGTCCTATTTTTTTGTGTTGCGTTCGCTATACACAATAATACAATAAAATTCCACCTTCCAGGAGTTATCCACTGGGCCTCCACCTCTCCCAAAATTCCCCCAACACCAAAAGGCCCTTGATACTCAGCCCTCCATAAACCTGAGCTTACTCTACAAGACACATGATCTTTTCAATCCAATAAGGTCTTACTGGACCCTGGACCTGAATCATTATATGCAAACCTGCTGAGTGTCTATTATTTATTGTAGATCCCAGAGCATCTCTTCAGAAAGGGCTATGATGCAACCTGTTAGTTTTGGTTTGATTGTGTTTTAAAGCCGTAGCACCAGGCCGGGTGTGGTGGCTCACGCCTGTAATCCCAGCACTTTGGGAGGCCGAGGCAGGCGGATCACCTGAGATCAGGAGTTCAAGACCAGCCTGGCCAACATGGTGAAACCCCATCTCTACTAAAAATACAAAATTAGCCGGGCATAGTGGCACACGCCTGTAGTCCCAGCTACTCGGGCGGCTGAGGCAGAAGAATCGCTTGAACCTGGGAGGTAGAGTTTGCCGTGAGCTGAGATCAGGCCATCGCACTCCAGCCTGGGCGACAAGAGCGAAACTCAGTCTCAAAAAAAAAAAAAAAAAAAAAAAAGCCATAGCAGTATCAGCACTCTTGTAATTATGGTGGCCTTAACGTTTTCCATAGAAGTTAAATACAGTAAAAGAATGCTAACCTTTACAGCTAGCAGAGGACATGTAGGTTGCCTAAGTGATACTTTTTCACAGCAAAGGAGACTTATCTTTACGTGGAGATGGCCTCACCAAAAGCATTTAAGAAGGCTTTTACAAAAGAAGCAGAGGGATCATAAAACACAAAACAGTAACAATAAAAATAAGAACACAAGAATTAAGAAATTAAAGTCGAAGGAGAATATGTCTCTGAAACCAAGGCTCAGGAAAGTTAATCCACAGAGCTTCCTGACAGTCACAGCAAAGGCAAAAGTGCGACAAATTGGCTAATAAGAAAGTAAAGCAGTGTTTGTTACCCCTCTTTAGCGGACTTTATTTTTCCTTTTGTCCAGCATCTCTCCATATCGGGAAATGCTCTTCTCCCCATCCAGGCCCCACTCAAATCATGTGATTCAGGCGGGAGCTCTCACGTCATTACAGGCCTCTCCGCCTTTCTATCTTCTGTCTCTCTCTCTGTCTCTCAAACACACACACACACACACACACACACACACACACACACACACACACACACGCACAGCTCTTTAGCCAAGGGTGGACTCCTAACCTAGGCTGGGCTGATCATTGTGCCCCACCTCCCTGGCACAGTGATTGGCCTAGGATTGGGTAACTGAATGGGGCTGAGCCAATCAGAGTCTTTCCCAGGGGTTTTTCAAGCCACAGGTAGAGAAAGTCCCTCATTTTCCCTCCAGAGCCAAGGCTAGGAGTCTCATAGCAGCCAATAGGCAAACTCCCAACCGTGTGGCAGAAGTCAGCCTGAGAAACCCAACCTGAGAGAAGCCAAGTGAGGGGTGGAGAAAGAGCACGCAGGCTGCACGAAAGGGCCTGGTTCCTCTTCTCCCTGGGCTCTGCTGCATCCCAGCCCTTCCTATGATTTGATAATGTGACCAAATACCTTTCTCTTTGCCTAAGCTGATTGACTTGATTTCCTATCCCTCGAAACCAAAAAATGCTCACCAATAAAGGAATATGAGGCAGCGCAAATGGATGTTGCGCTCATGGCAGTTTTACCAAAAACACAAAGGCTCTGCATGTGGCCAGCTCTTTTCGTGGACTGTTTGGTGCTTACCATGTTAGACCCTTGTCCTGAAAAAACATTTTCATGGAGGGACAGTTGCATATCCATGGGTTTGATGCAGGGATAAAGCTCACAACTTGAGCTATGAATGATGAAAATATTTCTCTGTTGTGTTTTAGTTGGGAGCTGCATGGAAGATTATCTAAAATTGAAGAATAGATTTTCTAATCTTGATTGGAATAATATCCACATGCTGTGGATCTCTCTATGAAGAGGCCTGTTTTCAGTTTAGACATCATGGGTAGGGGTGACAGAGATGACACTTCCTTGAAAAATCAAAGGACCTAATGGCACTTCTGCCCTGGTGCAGAACCCCTCTCCCCACTCCCAGTGCAAAAAAACAAAAGAACTGCAAGAGTCACATTGTATGCATGGCACATCTGTATGCAGGTGGTCACATGAGCGACCGGTTCAATCCATAATATTCTGAGGCATTTTGGATTTTGGAACTGTTCCTTCCCATTTTTCCTGTGATAGCCACATTTTATCATCTTTCCCTTTTCTAAAGTTGCCCAATAGCTTCCCACACAACTCTGTGAGGACTTCCTGCTCTGGCCAGGATGCTACTTAATCAGTGACTGGACCTGCAGGAGGAAGATCCAAGCGTTCGTTCACTTCACGCATTTACAGGATGTCTGCTGAGTGTCAGCCATTGCAATGGCATCGAGGAGAAGAATAAGGTGGTCACTGCCTTCACATGGCTTGCATTTTCAACCTGCTTTTAGTCCACCCATGATGGATGATGCCTTCATGCCACACATCCCTACAAGTGTATCCAGGGCTCCTCACAGTTTTGCAGGGAGCAGAGGAGTGAACGTGCTAATAATTACCTTCTTGCATATTTGGGTCTCAGGATCCATATCTCTGATGCCTATGTGACAAGGGTCACGGAATCCCCTCATAACTGTGTAGTTTTCATGATACTTTAACATCTATTCTGCATATATTGCAGGCCTAGCAAATAGTTTTGAATTGGAAGCCGTTGATATCAACAAGCCCAGTCGGAGGAAAGCCTGCTTGGGTGGAGGCAGGACAAGCAGCAGCAGCCTCCAGCTTCCAGAGACAGCCCTGACAGCAGTGCCAGTGGCTGCAGCTGTGCAGCTGTGGCCCCAGCATTGTACAGCAGCAGGGAAGTCCTCCCCACAGGAGTCCTGGGTGGCTTCGGGCTGCGGTCCTGGCCCCTGTCTAGCCTCCCTTGCACCTGTTTGTCTTCTGGGTTTGGTTCTCCAAACTTCTTTGGGGATTTTATGAGTTCCTACTATCATTTACATAAATTCCTCTTCTCGAATAAGCCAGAGTTGATTTCTGTTTCTCAGAACCAAGAAATCTGACTTATTACCACGCATAAAGTGTTGGGGCAAATAAATTAATAAATGAATCCATTTTACTATTCGCGTTTCACAACTTGCTGGGATCGGTAGACGTAAATTGTTAGCCTCGCTCTATTGTAGACATCGGCGTTGAGCCTCAGAGGAGCCAAGCAATTCCTCCAAGATTTACACAGCCAACAAGTGGCGAGTCCGGACTGAAACCCCAGTGCCATAAGTCTTTTTTTTTTTTTTTTTTGACGGAATCTCTCACTCTGTCGTCCAGGTTGGAATGCAGTGGCATGATCGCAGCTCTCTGCAACCTCCGCCGTCCGGGTTCAATCGATTCTCCGGCCTCAGCCTCCTGAGTAGCTGGGACTACAGGCACACGCCACCGTGCCTGGCTAATTTTTATATTTTTTAGTAGAGACGGTGTTTCACCATGTTGGCCAGGCTGGTCTTGAACTCTTGACCTCAGGTGATCCACCAGCTTCAGCCTCCCAAAGTGCTGGGATTACAGGAGTAAGCCACTGCACCCGACCTCAGAGTCTTTATTTATTCCACTTAGGACAACTATTTGTATACTCACTGCTGAAGTACTAATGCATTAGACTAAAGAGCGCTGGAGGTGCTATATAACATTTAAGATATGCTAATATCCAAAGAATTCTGAATGGCAAAGCACATCTGGCTCCCAGATTTTTGGGTAAGGGATTATGGGGCTTTCTGATAATGTTAACAGTTTTCATTTTGGTGTTATTTGTCTACCTTTTCTCACATGCATATCTTTCCATAGTTTACATGCAATTTTGCATCTTGCTTTGCCCCCTGTTTTCATTATAATATTTTTCCTACGGTGCTCCATGCTTTTCATAATGACTATTTATTATATTGCTACCAATTTCAACAGAGGCATAATATGAAAATCATTCTCTCACTGTGGACATTTAGGTTGCTTCCAGTATTTTGTTTTTATACGTGACGTGGTAATCTTTGCATTAAGCATTTTTTCCCAGTTTGGAATATGGACGGCCTACATTTTTTCAGGCACTTTGCTGGATTCTTTTTATTTCATTCAGTCTTCATAATATCAAGTAGATAGCATGGTGTCCATTTCATCCTTGGGGGAGCTCACTTTGATGGGAAGAGTGGTTTCCCCATGATGTCTAAACTGAAAACAGGCCTCTTCACAGAGAACAGAAATGTGGCTAACAGGTCATTTCCTATGACCCCTCAGCTCCCCAAGACTCTTTTGCTAGTGTAGGCTACATAAGCTGAAAATGAGGAGGAAATGTAAAAATCAGAGCCTCCTTGTGCTCATACACACATGCACAGGCAGGATACTGTTGGAACATTCATTCCAGTTTATGTCTGGGGGCTGAGCTGACAGACCCCCATAGCAGCAAGGACCCAGCATGCCTTAGGACATCAGTCTGGATCAAAGGGTTAAAAAAGAGACAAGGAAGCAGGGTCAGGGTGTGCAAGGTGAAAAGACAGTGCGCTCTGAAAATATATGGGACCTCACTGTGGCTAGAACCAGAAACTGGTTCTCACCATTTGGGAAGCCCAGCTCACTGCAAAATATGGCACACTCTGTAAGTGACAGTGACCTGTGAGGGCAGCCCTGCTGTGATTCCCAGGGTTGGCAGAGGGAGGGGAGTCCTAGTGATGAGGGGAGGGGTTATCAGGCTTTTCTCTGCCCTGTCTCATGACTGGCCCTTCCTTCATGCATAGAAAAGCTTCCAGGCTGAGGCTGAGTCATTAGCAATCTCCTTTGTTGATGCTGCTGCCTGGAATCCTTGTCTGGATTCCTGTCTCACTCCTGTCTTGTACCGCAGTCTCTAGGTCTGGTTCCTTGAGGCTATGTTGAGAGGACTTTACCCGCCAGCTACAAAAATCAGGCATAAGGCCAGGAATGGGAAGGTTATTGTGAGCACAATCTATGCACTTGTTAATCATTATTACATATTAACCAATTACTGCATGGCAGAAAAGTGGGGCAAGAGACTACTCTTAAGCCACATGTAGATGTTGTAATCCTGAGCTTTGTCTCCATAATGGGGTAAGATGTCAGAAAAGAGTCAGAAAGCCCAGGTGATAGAATAAGTGCCAAGAACATATACACCATGGAATACTGTGCAGCCATAAAAAGGAATGAGTTCATGTCCTTTGCAGGGACATGGATGAAGCTGGAAACCATCATTCTCAGCAAACTAACACAGCAACAGAAAACCAAACACCGCATGTTCTCACTCATAAGTGGGAGTTGAACAATGAGAACACATGGACACAGGTAGGGGAACAACACAACCCGTGGCCTGTCGGCGGGTGGGGGACAAGGGGAGGGAGAGCATTAGGAAAAATACTTAATGCATTCAGGGCCTAAAACCTAGATGATGGGTTGATAGGTGCAGCAAACCACCATGGCACGTGTATACCTATGTAACAAACCCGCGCATTCTGCACATGTATCCCAGAACTTAAAGTAAAATTTAAACAAATTTTAAAAAAGAGAATAAGTGCCAAGAAAAACAAGAATGAGTTAAGGCCATGTAGGTCTGTATTAAAAATCTGGCTAACAGCAAATGTGTTGAGGATTGCTGCTGCCACAGTGGGTACACTTGAGAACTCAAGTGAAGCCAATGATTGTAACACCAGGGTCAGGCCCTATATTTTCCACTTTTAATATTTTCCAATATTGTGGATCAGAACCAATATGATAGTAAATATTTCAGCATTATATATCTATAATCCCTTATCTGTAGTTTCAAAATTCCCAAAGTGCTGATAAATGTAAAGTTTTTTGTAACTTATTTCATGGCTAAATCCAACTTGAATGGCACTCGTCAGGTCGGGACACCTGAGTCTTGCTCTGTTGCCCCGGCTGGAGTGCAGTGGCATGATCTTGGCTCACTGCAACCTCCGCCTCCCAGATTCAAGCAATTCTCCTGCTTCAGCCTCCCGAGTAGCTGGGACTACAGGCATGTGCCACCACGCCCAGCTAATTTTTTGTATTTTTAGTAGAGATGGGGTTTCACCATGTTAGTGCTTGACTCTTAAATAGGAACAGATATCCAAAGACTACCAGATATTTAAGTATAGCCTCTAAAATAAAAGACAGAGGCCAGGTGTGGTGGCTCATGCTTGTAATCCTAGCACTTTGGGAGGCCGGGTCAGGAGGATCCCTTGAGCCCAGGAGTTTGAAACTATCTGGGCAACATAGGGAGACCTTGTCTCTAGGAAATAAATAAATACATACATAAAATAGAATAAAAGAGACAAAAACAAAGAGAAAAATACAGTGAAAACAAACAGTAAAAAACAAACAAAAACAGAAGAGTGGTTTTTTAAAAAATATAAACCTCAAAGAGATTAAGTGAAAATATGACCTATACAAAACAAGAACAGGATGTTATAAAAAGGAAGCTTCATACATAAAACAAGAAAAAAGTCTTGGAAGTTAAAAACTGAGATTCTCAACAGGTTGGAAGATAAAATTGAGAAAAATCTTCCAGAAAGTAAAACAGAAAGATAAGAGGATGGACAACAGGAGAGAGAAGATGAGAAAGCTAGAGACTGTTCTAGAAGTCCACATCTACTGAATAAGTGATCCAGAAATAGTAAACAAGGAAAACAGTAACCATGTAATTACCAGGCAGTAATATGAGGAAATGTTCAGGATTAAAGGATGTGACTCTCCAGATTAAAAGGGTTCATCAAATGCATAGCATAATGGTTGGAGTAAAACACACATACACACACACACACGCACGCACACACACACCCCTCCAAGGCACATCATTGTGAAATATCAAAATGTTATTTAAAATCAAAGAAAGGCCAGGCGTGGTGGGTGGCTCACAGCTGTAATCCCAGCAATTTGGGAGGCGGAGGTGGGTGGATCACCTGAGGTCAGGAGTTCCAGACCAGCCTGGCCAACATGGTGAAACCCTATCTCTACTAAAAAAATACAAAAATTAGCCGGGCATGGTGGTACATCCTGTGGTCCCAGCTACTTGGGGGGCTGAGGTGGAAGAATTGCTTGAGCCCAGGGAGGCTGCAGTGAGCCATGATCAAGCTGCTGCACTCCAGCCTGGGCAACAGACCAAGACCCTGTCTCAAAACAAAACAAAAATATATGCGAGGCCTTAAAAATTTACTTCCTATGGGCTGGGCGCAGTGGCTCACGCCTGTAATCCCAGCACTTTGGGAGGCCAAGGTGGGTGGATCACGAGGTCAGGAGATTGAAACTATCCTGGCTAACATGGTGAAATCCTGTCTGTACTAAAAATAAAAAAAAATTAGCTGGGCGTGGTGGCGGGCGCCTGTAGTCCCAGCCACTAGGGAGGCTGAGGCAGGAGAATGGCATGAACCCAGGAGGCGGAGCTTGCAATGAGCGGAGATACTGCCACTGCACTCCAGCCTGGGCGACAGAGCAAGACTCTGTCTCAGAAAAAAAAAAAAAAAAAAATTACTTCCCATGCACTCTTTCTTAGGAAGTTATTGGAGAATGTGCTTATCAGGGTAAGATGGTAAACCAGGGAAGAGAAAGATAGGGGTTGAAGGGAGAAGGCTCCATTCAACATAGCAGACAGTCCCGGGGAATGATGGAGAAGCAGGTGAAT
Source organism: Homo sapiens (assembly GCF_000001405.40). Classification (NCBI taxonomy): domain Eukaryota; kingdom Metazoa; phylum Chordata; class Mammalia; order Primates; family Hominidae; genus Homo; species Homo sapiens. Next base: position 183,551,296 of record NC_000003.12, read on the forward strand.
CCCAGCCAGCGTGCAAATCCAGGGAACATGTGTAACATGATGCAAGGCAGGAGGATTCTGAGGAAATGGAACTGGTAGATTGTTTGATGCATTGGACCATATGAAAGATTTTTGTGAGCCTGTGAGCAAAAGACACCCCAAAACAAAGCAAATGAAAAAATGAGTGAATTAATAACTTCAGGAAAGACAAAAGGTTTACAAGAAAAGAAACGTGATCATTGAGTAATTTGGCTCAACAGAGAACAAGGTTTTCGTGAACATAATAATGTAAACTCTTGTTGTGATAACATTATGTTGAAAGATTACAGGGAAGGAAAGCTTATGGTAAGAGGTTAGGTAAGGATACTAAATCCTTATTTGAAATCAGTGAATGATGTCTAACACTGAAAAATCAAGAAAGAGCAGTATAAGTGTATTTTGCAGAAATATAGAGCTAGTGCCAGAAGAAACAAATAGAAGTTGAAAGTGGTAGCCTTTGGCGCATGAGACAGGGTGGAGGAGGAAATAGGAATTTTTGTTTTTTCATTATAAGCCTTTAAATACTATTTAACGCTTTGTTTACTATTTGCATATCTTTAATAAAAAATAAAATTTAATTTTAAAAAAATACATGAAAAACAGAAAGGCAGTGAAGAGACAGTTCAACAAAAAAAGAACTGCAGATGCCCCTTAAACATACGAAGAGATGTTTGATCTTACTAAAAATAAGAAAAATGCAAATTAAAGCTAAATTGAGATATTCTTTCTCATTTATCAGATTGGTAAAACTTCAGCGGTTGGATGACACCCTCTTTTGGTGATGCCGTGGGGGAACGCAACATGATTCAACCCCAATGAAAGAGAAGTTGCAATAACCGCTAAGACTGCAGATGCATTTGACTCAGCAAACCCCCTTCAAGAAATGCATATGAAAAAAACTCATGTTTCAGGTTATTCATTACAACATTGTTTGTAATAGCAAAATGTGGATTAGAAATAGTCCAGATGTCTGTCCGTAGGGGACTGTTTAATAAACTATTGTCAGTCCCTTAGTGGAAAGTAATTATTTTCTCAGTGAATAAAGGAAAAAAATGACATAATTTTATAACCAGCTTCCAGGCCCTCCAAAACACAGAGAGCTGTGTTGAAAGCCTCACAGACTGGTCGGGCGCGGTGGCTCACGCCTGTAATCCCAGCACTTTGGGAGGCCGAGGCGGGTGGATCTCGAGGTCAGGAGATGGAGACCATCCTGGCTAACACAGTGAAACCCCGTCTCTACTAAAAATACAAAAAATTAGCCGGGCGTGGTGGCAGGTGCCTGTAGTCCCAGCTACTCAGGGGGCTGAGGCAGGAGAATGGCCTGAACCCTGGAGGCGGAGTTTGCAGTGAGCAGAGATTGTGCCACTGCACTCCAGCCTGGGCGACAGAGCGAGACTCCGTCTCAAAAAAAAAAAAAAAAAAAAAAAAAGAAAGCCTCTCAGACAGAGAGACTCTTTGACCTCCCTAAACCTGAGCATACGAAGAACCCCTTTCAAAACCTCAGACACAAAGCGAGAGAGTGTGTCAGATTTAACGTCAGTCCTAGGTCTAAATCCCAGCTTGGCTACTTTTTATTTGCTGTGACACTCTGGACTTTGGCTCACCGTCGGTAGGCTGGGGATAGGACTCCCTGCCTTGTCAGGTTGTTGTGAGGGTGGAGTGGACTAGAGTATGTGATACAGAAGCTACAGGGCCTGGCCCACAGTAAGCGCTCCACAAACAGGAGTTGATAGGAATAGTAGCACCGGAAGAAAGAATCCTGTCTCCAGGACAGTATTCATTGTAGAAGGAAAGTCACGTTGAAAATCCCAAGAGAAGAAGCAAAAGTCACTTCTCTGAAGAGAAGAATTGAAGGAATTTCCTCTCATGACCAGGCAGTTTTGGGAGAGGCTCTGTATACACAGTCAGATGCCTTCACCCTCATGTTCTCCAGCTTCTCATTGCCGTTGCCTCCTCTGACGACCGGCAGAGACTTTCCCTAAGTATCCTGGATCAGCAGGGCTGGAAGGACCCAAGCCCAAATTCCCATTTAGGATGAGAAACCCAAGAACCAGAGAAGACCAGTGATCAACTCGAGGGCACACAGCCAGCGGGCCTGGTCCACAGCCAGGCCAACCCGCTAACAAAACTGCTTCCAGGTATGCATTTTATGATAGCAAGGGATACAAAAGGATCAACCTAAATGTGCGTCCCCAGGGCATTGAGCTAACTTGACTTCACTCACTCCTGAGAGGGGCTGCAGTCAACGTGAAAGCACGTGATCAAGGTTGGTGGAGAAAGTAATGTGTTTATATCAACCCATTTTGATGGCTGTGTTTACACTTTATATTTTACACACTTCCCATGGAATGAAGTCCCAGACCTAGTGGCAGCTTGCATTGCAGTAACAAGGATTTCCAGAACATACCCAGTCCCTGCTCCAGCAATGACCAGATATATAATGCTGAGTTTTCATTTCCTCATCTGTGAAATATCAGCCACCTTCATCATGCTGTTACAAAAATAAAATCAGATAACTATGTCTGTCTGGCACACAGCAGCCACTGCTTCCCTCAAACCCAGATATCCCCTTGTCTTATCAACACAGGAGACCTAATGAGTCCCACAGCAACCTGCTGATCCTGCTCTATGAATTACAAAGAAACGTTTCCCCCCAAGCACCTCAAAAAAAAAAAAAAGAAAGAAAGAAAACGCTTTCCATAATACTTTCATAGGTTAATCGTTTTCAATTTCCTCAGCCAGAATCAAGAGTTAAGAAGAATCTCATTAAGAAGAATTCTAAGGGTATTTCTTTTCAAGTTCCCAAATACTTTCTTCATTATCCACATTGCCCTTGCAGGCTGGTTCCCCCATGTCCATGCTGATATGGAGAACACTGGATCAGGTGTATTCACTGGGTTCCCAGCGCTATAAAATTCCTACCCCAGGGACGTGCTCATGGGAAACACTCAATAAGTCATCCTTAGCTGAATCAAGCAGAATCAGAAAAAGAATTCCAAGAAAGATATATTGAGCATCTACTTACTATATGCTAGACACTGTGTAGGACCCTTTTCACGCTCTTGTTTAATTATGACAGCCCTGAAAGGTGATCATCATTGTGCTCACCTTACAGATGATGAAACAGACATTCAGAGCACTTTGTGACTTGCCTAAAGTTTCACTGTCAAGAAGGAACCAAGTCTCCTGACTTCAGGCCTTCCCACTATGAGATCACCAGTTTATCGTAACTAGAGGCCTCTCCCATCTAAAGCATCTTTGTAACTGCTTTCCCTTTCCCCACACTGCCTACACATAAAGAAGCCCCTAATTTGTAACAAGTCATTTGACAACTCCAGAAGAGGGGCCACATCCTTTTTCTCTATGTCTGTTGATTAACAAAGACAACATTATGTTTCCAACACCAGTCAGACCAAGGGGGAAAAAAGTCCCCATGACTTCAGTAATTTTCCATCCTTTGGAACAAGGAAATATACACAAAAGGTTTACTATAGAATGTAAGCATTGCTTTTAAATGATGCCAATCTCTCTTTTAATGTGGCCTAAATCCTAAAATTTAAAGTGTGATAAGCCGGGCGCAGCGTCTCACACCTGTAATGCCAGCACTTTGGGAGGCGGAGGCGGGTGGATCACCTGAGGTCGGGAGTTCAAGACCAACCTGACCAACATGGAGAAACCCCATCTCTATTGAAAATACAAAATTATCCGGGTGTTGTGGTGCATGCCTGCAAATCCCAGCTACTCGGGAGGCTGAGGCAGGAGAATCGCTTGAACCCAGGAGGCAGAGGTTGCGGTGAACCGAGATTGCGCCATTGCACTCCAGCCTGGGCAACAAAAGCAAAACTCCGTCTCAAAAATAAATAAATAAATAAATAATAAAATAAAGTGTGATAGTGTCCTTTCTTATATTTTAAGTAGACACACAAGCCTTAATATATATGTAAACCATAAATATCATGGCCAACTGTTCAAGATTGGGCTCTCACACTAACACACCTCTTCCTTGCAACTTGCACCCAATTTGACTCTGGTCCTAGGCATGCTGACCTGAAATAGTTGCTGGCTGCGGCAAGCACCACGCGGTGGCAGGAGAATTCCTGAATGTCCACACACAAGATGACATCTGTCAGAGCGTTTTCCATTCGCAGGGTTTCCAGGCCATTCTGAAGAATTAAGGAGAGTCCCGCGTCGTCAAATTTGACCTTTTCCCCATTTAAGATCTCGACCAAGTCTCCTGTTTTCTGGGAGGGCTCATCTGTAGAAGGTGCCAGGGGCCCTTCCAAACTCTTCTCGACCACATCACCCATGGTCCAGGCGCCCCTTTGTCCTGCCATCAACATCGAGACTGAAGGAGCGCCCAAGTGTCAGGCAGGCCCCATTGCAGGAGCTGAGCGGATTTCCTGTGCAGGGCCCTCCACTTATCACCAGCTGTCACACACACATAACAGGAAGTCTCGCACTTTCTCATCCTGTTACTACAAATGCCAGCAACTTCTATTCTTCTTCTTTCTGTGAGTAATCACAGGGTTAGAAATTACTTAGAATAGGTGTGTGGGAGGGGGTTCTGGAAGAGGAGTGTCCTCTCAGAGTCCACTGTGAGTGCTGTGTGTTTATTTTGGTGCATCTCCCACCTCATATCCGTGAGCAGGAAGCCTCCGGTGGTGGCTGTTACATTTGTACTCCTAATGCTATCAATAACCCAAGTCGTCAATGAGGGGATGGACAGGAGACAGTCTATAATCCTCCTGCTTCACATTTGTACTCCTAGTGGCTCAATAACCCAAGTCGTCAGCGAGGGGATGGACAGGAGACAGTCTATGATCCTCCCACTTCCTCCTCCCAGGAGTCTGAGACCCCACAATGATCCAACAACCGTGCTTTGTAAACCATGGAAACCCCACTTATCCCTGACATTCTCATTTCTGGCGGCACTGCAGATCGTCTATCTTCATCCTCCTCCCTACCCAGGGGAAAACAACGTCATGGCAAACTTTCATGTCTTCCCCCACCAAAAAAAATGTCTATTGTTTCGAATATGCTTTGGGGGCACAGAAGAAATGGTTTCCAAAACTCCATCAACAGCATCTTCTCAGAGGATGAGTCAGGGTGGGTCTACACCGAATTGCCATAGCACGTCTCAGATTAGCCCAACATCTACTGACCGTGCATCTAACGGTGGATCCTGAAGTATTTTCATTACCTCTGCATGTCTCAGTTAAGTAGTAATAACTGTCATTATTAAAATCCCATGATATCCTGGGGAAGTTATAGGAGCGTATCAGTTAGCGTTCTCTCACGCCCAACAGTAATGCTTTACCAGGTTGCTAGGTATTTCTTAGCCCAGCAAACTTGACATCTAAAATTAACCATTACAATTACAGTCATACCCAGCATAATGATATTTCAGTCGATGATGGACTCCAGAGAGACAGAACCAAAAGGATACCTAGAGAGGCATAGCAGAGGGAAATTATTAGGGGAATTGGCTCACGTGATTATGGAGACTGAGAAGTCGCATGACAGACTGCTGAGAGCTCAGTTCAAGTCCAAAGGCCTCAGAACCAGAGAAGATGGTATAACTCTCAGTCCAAAGCCAAAGGCCTGAGAATCCAGGGGGTGGGGAGACTGGTGTAAGTCCTGAAGTCCAAAGGCAGGGGATCCTGGAGTCCTGTTGTTCAAGGCAGGAGATGACTGTATCCCAGCCTCAGGAGATAGAGACATCGACCTTTCTTCTGTTTTTGTTTTCTCTGGGCCCCTGGCTGATTGGATGGTGCCCACCCACACTGAGAGTGTATCTTCTCTACCGAGTCCACTCAGACTCACTAATCTCTCCTGGAAACAACCTCACAGACACGCCCCATGGTAATGCTTTAACAGGTTGCTAGGTATTTCTTAGCCCAGTAAACTTGACATCTAAAATTAACGGTCACAAGTACAGTCATGCCCAGCACAATGACATTTCAATCGATGATGGACTGAATATACAATTGTGGTCCCAAAAGATTATAATGGAGCATATAAAGAAACCTGACGGCCGGGCGTGGTGGCTCATGCCTGTAATCCCAGCACTTTGGGAGACCAAGGCAGGGGGATCACAAGGTCAGGAGCTCAAGACCAGCCTGAGCAACATGGTGAAACCCCCATCTCTACTAAAAATACAAAAATTAGCCAGTCGCGGTGGCGTACACCTGTAATCCCAGCTACTTGGGAGGCTGAGGAAGGAGAATCGCTTGAACCCGGGAGGTGGAGGTTGCAGTGAGCTGAGATTGTGCCATTGCACTCCAGCCTGGGCAATAAGAGCGAAACTCTGCCTCAAAAAAAAAAAAAAAGTCATGGAAAAATAATGCCATTCACAATGGTAATAAAACATATGTAAATGCCTAGCAATAACAGCAACCAGCAACATAAAGAAAACTAACAAACTTTACTAAGAGTTTCGAAAGAAAACTTAAATAAATATACCAAGTTCCTTTATGGAAAGACTAAATATTATTAAAAGGACCAATTCTTTCCGAATACATTTATAGGTTTATTTTACTCTAATAAAAATTACAAGAAAATTTGGAGTTTAGGTTTGTTTGTTTGTTTGTTTTTGAGACGGAGTCTTACTCTGTTGCCCAGGCTAGAGTACAGTGGTGCGATCTCAGCTCACTGCGACCTCCGCTTCCCAGGTTCAAGCGATTCTCCTGCCTCAGCCTCCCAAGTAGCTGGGACTACACGCATGCACCACCACACCTGGCTAATTTTTTGTATCTTTAGTGGAGACAGGGTTTTGCCATGTTGGCCAGGCTGGTCTTGAACTGCTGGGCTCAAGCGATCCACCCGTCTCGGCCTCCCAAAGTGCTGGGACTACAGGCTCACACCACCGCACCTGCCCCAAGTTTAGGTTAAATGTAAATGAACAGTATCAAGATAGGTTCAAAGCACAGTGGGACTATCTGTAAAAGGATAAACATTAAGTCTAGACTTTACAGTGGACCCAAAGTCTTTTCTCCCTGGAAACTACAAAATTGAGATAGATGTGGAATGTTGTATTCAGAAGCCCCGTATCTGAGTTGGAAATTGAGACTGCTTCCCAGTGTCAAAGTGATTTAGATCTTCCAGACAACTATGAGATCTCATTCTTACTGACACAATGGCAAACAACAAAGTTTCTGATGGTCTGTGATTTTTAGAAAACAATTTTTCTCAGTAAGAATAAGTAGTCACCCACGAAGGGTATCCTTATGACACATTTATAATTGCAAGGAGTCACTTAAGGAAACGTTATTTCTTTTTAACGTTTCATCTGTGTCTGACTTCCTAGCCTGATGAATGGGAGGGCAGATTTTTTACTTTCCGATCTGACCTAATCTTTGAAGAAACGTTGTTTCTTTTTAATGTTTCATCTGTGTCTGACTTCCTAGCCTGATGAATGGGAGGGCAAATTTTTACTTTCTGATCTGACCTAATCTTTCCTTTCTCGCCCTTTTTAAGATTAATAGTCATGAATTTAAATTGAGACCTGGCAGGCGGCCAAGGTCAGCTTCCAAAAGTTATATGCTTGGGCCAGGTGTGGTGGCTCACGCCTGTAATCCCAGCACTTTGGGAGGCCAATGCAAGAAAATTGCTTGAGCCAAGAAGTTCCAGACCAGCCTGGGCAACATGACAAAACCCCATCTCTACAAAAAATATAAATAAAAAAATTAGTCATATATGGTGGCATGCATCTGTAGTCCCAGCTACTTGGAAGGCTGAGGCGGGAGGATTGCTTGAGCCCAGGAGGTGGAGGCTGCAGTTAGCCATGTTCTCACCACTGCATTCCAGCCTGGGCAACAGAGCGGAGACCTTGTCTCAACAAACAAACAAACAAAACAAAAAAGCAAAAAAAAGTCATATGTTAAGCTGTGTTCAATGGAACTATGGAGGGTCGGCTGGCGACGGTGGCTCACGCCTATAATCCCAGCACTTTGGGAGGCCGAGACGGGCAGATCACGAGGTCAGGAGATCGAGACCATCCTGGCTAACACGGTGAAACCCCATCTCTACTAAAAATACAAAAAATTAGGCGGGTGTAGTGGCGGGCGCCTATAGTCCCAGCTACTTGGGAGGCTGAGGCAGGAGAATGGTGTGAACCCAGGAGGCAGAGCTTGCAGTGAGGCGAGGTCGCGCCACTGTACTCCAGCCTGGGTGACAGAGTGAGACTCCGTCTCAAAAAAAAAAAAAAAAAAAACTATGGAGGGTCCAGTTAGTTAAACTGAATCTGCCCTTAGACTTCAGTGTCAAGGTGAAGCAGAGATGAAGCCAGGTGAATGAAGGAGACTGAGGTAAGACAGGACAGGAGGGTAGGAGGAGAAAGGTGGGAATTCAAGAGGGTCTAAGATTTTTGCATATGTCAGAGCTGGGCTCCAGGACTCCCACTTGGCCCCACTGGTGGCCTCCTGCTTAGCTAAGAGGGCCTCACTGAAAGAGGTAGGGTCAACACAGATTCCATGCCATACCCTATCCCCAGCTTCTGTGACCTTTCTCCTATACATAGATATCAAACCTTACTCCCTAGTCACTCTCTTCTGCTTTATATATTTTAATGCTCTAAATCTCTGTTCAAAGTACGGTGTTGTTATATCCTTGCTATTGATTGTACCTTTTATTAGTATTAAATATCCCTGTTTATCCTGTTAATTTTTTTCTTTAAATAATTTTCTGATTTGTCTGGAGTTTCTATTGCCACTCCTGCTTTCTTTTCATTTACTTTTCCTAATATATCTTTGCCTGTTCTTTGTGTTCTGGGAAATAGACATCTTTTCTTAATGTTTCTGATGGTTGTAATGATGTTTCAACAAATAGTAAGCCAATATTTATCTAATTATCACAGCACAAAGCTTAGAGATAACTTGGATAATCTCCAGGCTTGGATAACTTGGATTATCTCTAGGCTCTGTGCTACAATAACTAGATAAACATTGGTATCCAACTGCTTACTTAACATCTACACTTGAGGGTCTAACATTTGAGGCATCCTCCAACTAAATACATCCCAAGCCAAAACCTGGATGGAACACACCAAACATGTCCCTTCACCGGGCTGTGTTTGGGTAGGGACACGTGAAAGAGATTTGGGGTAGTTGGCAAAGTTCAATTTCTTGACCTTAGTGGTGTTTACAACAGTATTGTGTGCCTTATAATAATTCACTAAGCTATACATTTGTTTGTATCATTTTCCATGTTTTATTTGACAACACAAAGGTAATAACAACCATAACAATAATAGTCAACATGCATTGATGCCAGCACTTTGCTAGTTAGTAGCTGAATGGGACTGCAGTTCCAGACTTCCAGCTCCTGAGCCAGCGCCTGACACCCCACCCCATGCTGAAGGAGCACACTCAGGACTTCACGTCTTCCTGATAAGTGTGAGGCAAATGAAATATCCACCCATGCCTCAGACAAGACCAGCTTTGCCTGCCATCTTGTGGCCTCTTTCTGGTTCCAGTTAATACCTGAGGGCCCAGAAAACAGAGAAGCTGCAGCTTTTACCTCAGGTCAGGGTTCCTCTGAGTATCCTCAGCTCCCAGGTAGAGTGTGCCGGCCTCTCCCAATCGCGGCCTCCCGCAGACGCCGCTGGCCTGGCCTCTTCCTCCGCCTGATTCAAGGGTGCCCAGTGCTCCCAGGCTCCTGCTCATCAAATGCCTGGCCCTGGGCTCCTCAGGCCAACTCCTCTTGCCAACCACATCCCGTCATAATAATAACGAAAGATAGATGCCTTCATCCAAAACAATGACACGGGGTCTGCCTGAATCCCAAACAGGAAGTTGGGAAGTTGCCGGAGGAGAAAGACAAGCCTGATGGAAGTGGTGAGCCCAAATATCAAAATCCAAGAACAAAGCAGAACCCAGAGCCAAGTGTTTTATAATTTCATCCAGAGGGGATTCTTTTTAAAAGAGCGGCATTAAGGCTTTATTTCCTCTTACAAATTCTGCGTACAACACACGCTTTCCATAGCATAATGTTTCTAGTCAACGTAATAAAAGGCTTGTCATATATGAGTTATAATTTTTTAACTTTCTATTCAGGACCACCCAGCCTGGTCCCTAGGCGTTACCCTGACATGTCCGCTGCGGACCTGAACTTAGGAAAGCCAGGTATTCCCAAGACCCCTACCAGGTGGTTCTGAGCAACCTCTCCTTAAAACAATGTCCGCAAAATGGTGGAAGTAAGGCCGGGTGTGGTGGCTCACGCCTGTAATCCCAGCACTTTGGGACGCTGAGGCGGGCAGATCACTTGAGCTCAGGAGTTCGAGATCAGCGTCTCTGCCAAAAATACAAAAATTAGCAGGGCACAGTGGCGCATGCCTGTAGTTTCAGTTATATGGGAGGCTGAGGTAGGATTGATTGAGGCCGGGTGCTATGGCTCATGCCTGTAATCTCAGCCCTTTGGGAGGTGGAGGTGGGCAGATCACTTGAGGTCAGGAGTTCAAGACCAGACTGCCCAACACGGTGAAACCCTGTCTCCCCTAAAAATACAAAAAAATTACCCAGGCATGATGGTGGGGGCCTATAATACCAGCTACGCTGGAGGCTGAGGCAGGAGAATCACTTGAACCTGGGAGGTGGAGGTTACAGTGAGCTGAGATCACACCACTGCACTCCAGCCTGGGCAACAGAACAAGACCTAGTCTCAAAAAAAAAAAAAAAGAAAAGAAAAGAAAAAGAAGGCATAGAGGCAAGAGATGGTAAAAGCCAAGGCTGACCGTCTACCCTCAACAAGTAGTGAAATCAGGGAAGTTTGTCCTTAACAAACCACATCCCATTTTTCATCCCACCCCAAAACCCCACATTTCTTTTATTAAAAAATTAACTTTTGCTGGGTGTTTTTCTGGTTATGAAACAATAATAAGTTACCTTGTTGAAAACCTGGAAAATTCAGAAAAGAATCAAAATTAACATTTGGTATGCTGCAGTAGACTTGTACTGACCCTAGGGAGTTGATTTTGTGCATTTCTTCCTCACTTCAAGGGCAGTGACTTGGTGTTGGTTGAAATTAGCCATGATAGGGATATTTACACCATAGAAATTGATAAATGCTATGAATCAGGGCTTTGTCCTTGAGAGCCAGTTGCTGAACATTCACTATCACCCCACTGTGACCCCACCCTCCTCTTTAGATTGCCGAGGTCCTGCGGCCTCCTTGCATGTGCACCTCCCTCCAGCTCCAGTTCGGGCTCTACTCTTGGATTTCAGAGAGATTCTGCCTGACCCCCTTTTCATGAAGTAGATTGATTGTGTCTCTGCTCCTTACAGGCAAACGCACTTACCCGAAACAGAGGCAGAGCAGTATTGGGACACTCATCTGCCAGGCCCAAATGCTGTACCACTCTTCCTCTGCAGACCCCAGTGTGGTCCTCACCTCCAAGTTCTCGCTATAGAAGCCACATCTGCTCCCATCAGCAAAAAAAATAAAGCAAAAAAAAAGCCACTTCTGCAGCCCAGCTTGGCACCTTCCAGCTTCTATACCTGCCCTGAGGCCAATCTAGTTTTCTCATAAAGGGAATTTCCCGACAGATACTAACTTTTGGACCATCCCATGTAGCCTCACGCTTGTCCCAGGATGGCGTTGTGTCCTGGTTTGCCTCTTGACCAGGCTTGCCCAAGTTATTAAGGGGTCTGGTGGCAGCCCTAAGGGAGCTAGCCTTCCGGTTTGGAGTTCATGGAAGAACACTGTCTCTGGAAGGAAGTGGGAGGAGCAAGGCAAGACTCCAGTCCTAGAGGAACAGCAATACAAGCCCAGAGAACCAAGGACTGCAGACAGGCATAAGGTCAAAGTAAGGTCAGTTGATTATAGTTTCAAGGCTGGGCACGGTGGCTCATGCCTGTAATCCCAGCACTTTGGGAGGCCAAGGCGGGCGGATCACCAGGTCAGGAGATTGAGATCATCCTGGCCAACATGGTGAAACCCCATCTCTACTAAAAATACAAAAATCAGCTGGGTATGGTGGCACGCACCTGCAGTCCCAGCTGCTCCAGAGGCTGAAGCAGGAAAATCACTTGAACCAGGGAGGCGGAGGATGCAGTGAGCCAAGATTGCATCACTGCATTCCAGCCTGGGCGATAGAGCGAGACTCCGTCTCAAAAAAAAAAAAAAGAGAAAAAAACAAAACAAAACAGGTCAATGCCTCAGTTTCATATACCTACAAATTGGAAGTAATAATAGTATCCACCTCAATGTGTTATAGAAATAAGGAAATACGTGAAGCCTGTAGAACAATGGCTGGCATATATTAAGCACTATGTAAGCATTAGCTATTATTATGCAAACCCTTCTGTAGAAGAAAAAGTGTGTACATTTGATTCTAAATCAGGCTTCTGGCTTCAGACCAAAAACTCCTTCAATGCCCTTTGTTAGTATCTACAGGCCATCTATTTTTCCCATGTTATCTTGGATCATTTTCACATAGTCAGTGTAGATGGGTCCATACACCACCACCTCCCCAGGGAAATAAAGATTTCCATCACCCAACCCTCTGCATCAGAACATTATTCTAACCAGAGTCATAACAATCCGTAGAAGGATTTATCCATCTGGGACAATGTTCCTTTAAAGAGCCTGAATTAGAGAGCCATTTTGAAAAAAAGTATTTTATAGATGATACTAGTACTAAGAGCACCATTTATTGAGATGTTACAAAGTGTTCTGTGTACCTTTCCTCATTTTATATCCTTTTATCCTGTAACTTGATAAAATAGATTATTTTCCTTTTTACAACTGAGGAAACCCAGGCTTAAAACCAAAGTTGGCTGTTTTGTCCCAGGTCACACAGGTAAGTCAGTAGTAGTGTTTGGCCGCCCATGCCCTATTCTAATGAAAAGTTACCAGCCCACATCCTCTATTCCCCAGGAAGCCATTTTCCGGTACCACATGACTCAGCTGTTTCCCCTTATTACTTGGACTAGAGTGAGCGCCCCCCACCCAAAGACAGCCAAGTACAGAGATTAGTTCAAGGACACGTACAGCTGGCTCAAAAATGTCAGATGGGGCCTCACCTGATGCCTCATGCCTGTAATCCCAGCACTTTGGGAGGCCAAGGCAGGTGGACAGCTTGTGCCGAGGAGATCAAGACCAGCCTGGGCAAAATAGGGAGGCCCTGTCTCTACAAAAAATTTGTTAATTAGCTGGATGTGGTGGTGCACGCCTGTGGTTCCGACTACTCAGAAGGCTGGGGCGGCATGATCTCTGAAGCCTGGGAGGCGGAGGCTGCAGTGAGCCATGATCACACCACTGCACTCTAGCCTGGGCAACAGAGTGAGACCATGTCTCAAAAAAAATCAGATAGAACCATTGGAGTCTCTCTCTTCCTCCCTCCCTCCCTCCCTCTCTCTGAAATTTGAAATAAGGAACACAGAGTTTGCCATTTGGCAGCAGAAACAGGAGGCAAAAGGATTCATCAAGAGATCCACGAGGTAGGGTCAGAGCCATGGCAAGCTAAAGCCCTGTGCAAGCCAAACTTCTGAAAAGCAAAAACTGTTAGTAAGCAGAGGGACCCAGAAGGCATAAAAAGGAGACTGAAGCCAATATGCAGAAAGTAGCTGAGACAGGTCACCCTGAGGCTGGGTGGAAGGAAGACCATGGGCTCCTGTTGCTGAAGTCCTGAGCCCACTGTGGATCTGGACCCACCCTCCTGCTCCAATGAGGGCTCTGCTCATGAATTTTAGAGAGATTTCTGCCTGGGCCCACATTTCTCAATGTGGCTTGATTGAGACTCTGTTCTTTTCATCCAAATGAGCCTCCCTGAAACAGAAGCAGAGCAGTGGTGTGGAGTTCATCCATCTGACCCCACATACTACCTCTGCGCTCCCATCCTCCACAGACCAGAGATGTCACCAGGTGCACTGATGGGCCCTAGGAAAGGATCAGATACCATAGCTGCAGCCAGTGCTAATTCAGGTCTGCTATCCATATCCAAATCTAAAGTGTACTTTGCAAATGAAGAGTCAAGGAGTAAATGGGAAACAGCAAAAATTCCAAAAAGTGGATTTTGTCAATAAGAACAGCCCCCGAATGTTCACTTATTGCTAAGGGGAGGAAGCTATAAAAAGCTAATGTACATTATGACCAGGTGCAGAAGCTCACGCCTATAATCCCAGCACTTTGGGAGGCCGAGGCAGGTGGATCACTTGAGGTCAGGAGTTCAAGACCAGCCCGACCAACATGGTGAAACCTTGTCTCTACTAAAAATAAAATTAGCCAGTCTTGGTGGCATGCACCTGTAGTCCCAGGTACTCAGGAGGCTGAGGCAAGGGAATCACTTGAACCCAGGAGGTGGAGGTTGCAGTGAGCTGAGATCGCGCCACTGCACTCGGCCTGGGCGATAGGACCAGACTCCATCTCAAAAAAAAAAAAGTAATGTACATTATGTTGCCATTTTTGCAAATATGATTATGTGTGTGTATGTATACACACACATAATCATATTTTCATATATATATATGAAAAGACCACAAGGAAAGGCCTTCACTCATCATCAAATATTTAATATTTAGTGATATAATGGTGTGCAAAAATCTGTTCTCCAGATACAATGCTGAACAAAAGTGACACAGTTCCTACCCTCAAGGAGCATACAGTCCAATGAGGGAGATCAATCGTAAGAAAAAAACACACACATTGCAATCATTCTAAATGCCATGAGGGAGATGCACTTGGTGAAGAACCTTTCTCAGGGGCAATTTGACGTGGTCAAAGAGGTCAGTGAAGGCCTGTTTGATGACCAAGATGTGATGGGAGAATATGCACCACCCACATGAACAGCAGGGAAAAGAGTTGTCCAGGAAGAGGCTACAGCAGGGGCAAAGCCCCATTGGAGGAGAGACTACAGCAAGTATAAGAAACTGAAAGAAGGCCAAGTGGTTGGAGTGAAGAAAATTTGGGCTGGGAATGATGTGGGATGGGAGAGGTAGGCAGGGCCAGATTATCCAGGGTCCTAGGGACCAGGTTCAGCAGTTTTGTCTTTATCCTACAAGCAATGGGAAACTACCAAGGGACTGGGGGAGCAAGTGGGGTGGGGTGTGGAAGATATAATCAAAATTTGCAATTTGAAAATATTTGTCTCAGTATGGAGAACAAATTACTAAGGGCCAGCACAGATGAGATAAAAGAGAAGAGAGCCAGTCCAAAATCTATCACACTAATCCAGGTGGCAGGTGATGGCAGCGTGAACTGGGAAGTAGTGCTAGGGACAGAGACAAGTAGATGCATTTGAGGGCAATATCAAAGGCAAAATCATGGCTGGGCACAGTGGCTCACGCCTGTAATCCTAACACTTTGGGAGGTCAAGGTTGGCAGATCACTTGAGGTCAGGGGTTCGAAACCAGCCAGGCCAACATGGTAAAACCCCATCTTTACTTAAAAAAAAAAAAAATTAGCCAAGCGTGGTGGCGGGCACCTGTAATGCCTGTAACTCCAGCTACTCAGTTGGCTGAGGCAGAAGAATAGCTTGAACCTGGGAGGCGGAGGTTGCAGTGAGCCAACATCACACCACTGCACTCCAGCCTGGGCAACAGAGTGAGACTCCACCTCAAAAATAAAAAATAAATAAAAAATAAAAAACAAAGCTAAAATCAATAAGACTTGGTGAAGGATTGGATGTGGAAGGTAAAGGAACAGGAATTTTCAAGAATGACCTAGGTTTCTAGTGTGAACAGCTGGATAAACAGAGGTACCAACCCTCTGAAATGGAGAACGCTGGAAAGGAAACAGGTTTGGGGGTGAAGAGTATGAGTTAATGCTTGGTCATGCTGAGTCTGGAGAGTTTGTGACATTCAAGACGTGCTATCAGGTAGGATATTTAATATGCAAGTTTAGAACTGAAAGACATTTGGGTCGGAGATATAAATTAGTGTGCCAAAACTTTTAAAGCGGTTATTTCTGGGTGATAAGCTTTTGTATGTTTTTTTGTTTTATTCTTTGTGTTTTTCCATTTTTCCCAGGTTTTCAGCAATAAGCAGTGTTTGGAGTTTTTTTCTAAATGGAATCTAGAAAGAAAACGTAAAAATTCTCCTTGTATCTGTAGCAGAGGGTGCCAGGGACGGGGGTATACTCTGCTTCTCATAGCTGGAATTAGTGATCTCAACAGGAATGTCCCTAGAGTCTGGAAAGCCAAATTAGTTTGATGCTAATATCTCTTTGGCAACACGAAATTTCTCTTACATGGGTCTGCTCAGATCTAGCCATCTTCCATATTGCAATTTGGTGTCCTGAGCAGACTTATGCAACAGGAAATGGTTCACCATGTAGGTAGATGGTCAAGTTTGGGATCCAGGTGTCTCTCAGATAATTGAGGTGTTTTAAGGGCCCAAAAAAGCAGCAACCTTTCCCCCCTTCATCCTGGAGATGAACCAGCTGAGAAGTAAAACAAAGAGTTAGGAGATGAGTACCAAATACTTCGTTCTAGCTAAGTCGGAGAGCCAAACAGTATAATCAACAGATTATCCACACAGTTATGGCAACACTGAATCAGGGCTGGCTCCTGCCCCATCTCACCTCCAGAATTACAAAGCAGAAAGTGCTGTAGAGTAGCCACTCCCAAAGGTGGAGGAGAAGAAAAGGCTGGGCCATATACACAGCATCTATTTTCACCATTTTCCTTGTGGCAGAATGAGGGAGGAGTGTGAGAATGGAGAGAGGCCAGTAGTGTGAGGCTAATGCCAGGATACATCAGGTGTGGAAGCAGCATTCACGCTCACCAACACCCCTCTGAGTTAATGTATTTAGCATCAGGTTTTTTTTTGTTTTTTTTGTTTTTGTTTTTGTTTTGAGACAGAGTCTTGCTCTATTGCCCACGCTGTAGTGTAGTGGCAACATCTCGGCTCACTGCAACCTCCGCCTCCCAGGTTCAAGCAATTCTCCTGCCTCAGCCTCCCGAGTAGCTGGGACTACAGGCACCCACCACCATGCCTGGCTAATTTTTTGCATTTTTTTTAGTAGAGACGGGGTTTCACCGTGTTAGCCAGGATGGTCTCGATCTCCTGACCTCGTGATCCGCCCGCTTCGGCCTCCCAAAGTGCTGGGATTACAGGCGTCAGCCACTGCGCCCGGCCTGTATTTTTATTAGAGAGAGGGTTTCACCATGTTGGCCAGGATGGTCTCAATCTCTTGACCTCATGATCCGCCCGCCTCAGCCTCCCAAAGTGCTGGGATTACAGAGAATCAGGTTTATTAGTCAAGCACTACCACATACAGTGTAGTATGCTGTCCCACGTACATTTGGCTGGTCTGAGTCCCTGGTGACTAGCAACAGATCAACGTTAACTGATTTTTAGGAGAAGCAGAATTTATTAACAGAATATTGGGATGTAAATCTTGCTTGCATCTTGGATTTAAAAAGAAAAAAATCTGTGTTTATAGCAGCATTATTCACAATTGCCAAAAGGTGGAAACAACCTAAGTGTCCATTGACAGAGGATCAACAAAATGTGGTATAGAGAGAATGGAACATTACTCAACCTTAAAAAGGAAGGAAGTTCTTTTTTATATATTTTTTTATTTTTGTGGGTACATAGTAGGTGTATACATTTACGGGGTACCTGAGATGTTTTGATACAGGCATGCAATGTGAAACAGGCACATCATGGGGAATAGAGTCTCCATGCACTCAAGCATTTATCCTTTGAGTTGCAAAGAATCCAATTATACTCTTTAAGTTATTTTAAAATGCACAATTAAGTTAGCATTGACAATAGTCACCCTATTGTGCTATCAAATAGTAGGTCTTATTCATTCTTTCTATATTTTGTGCCCGTTAACCATTCCCACCTCCCCACCCCCAACTCCCCACTACCCCTCCCGGCCTTTGGTAACCACCCTTCTACTCTTTTTCTCCATGGGTTCAATTGTTTTGATTTTTAAATCCCACAAATAAGTGAGAACATGGGGTGTTTATCTTTCTGTGCCTGGCTTATTTCACTTAACTTAATGATCTCCAGTTCCATCCAAATAGTTGCAGATGACTGGATCTCATTCTTTTTTATGGCTGAATAGTAGTCCATTGTGTATATGTACCAGATTTTCTTTATCTATTCATCTGCTGATGGACACAGGTTGCTTCCAAATCTTAGCTATTGTAAACCGTGCAGAAACAAACACAGGAGGGCAGATCTCTCTTCAGTATCCTGATTTCCTTTCTTTTGGGTACATACGCAGCAGTGGACTTGCTGAATTATATGGTAGCTCAATTTTTAGTTTTTTGAGGAAACTCCAAACTATTTTCCATAGGGGTTGTACTAATTTACATTCCCACCAACAGTGTAGGAGGGTTCCCTTTTCTCCACATCCTCGCCAGCGTTTGTTATTGCCTTTTGGGTATAAGCCATTTTCACTGGGTTGAGATGATATCTCATTGTAGTTTTGATTTGCATTTCTCTGATGATCAGTGATGCTGAGCACCTTTTCCTATGCCTGTTTGCCATTTGTATGTCTTCTTTTGAGAAATGTCTACTCAAATCTTTTGCCCATTTTTTGATCGGATTATTAGACTTTTTCCTATTGAGTTGTTTGAGCTCCTTATCTATTCTGATTATTAATCCCTTGTCATATGGGTAGTTTGCAAATATTTCCTCCCATTCTGTAGGTTGTCTCCTCACTTTGTTGATTGTTTCCTTTGCTGTGCAGAAGCTTTTTAACTCGATGTGATCCCATTTGTCCATTTTTACTTTGGTTGCCTGTGCTTGTGGAGTATTGCTCAAGAAATCTTTGCCCAAACCAATGTCCTGGAGATTTTCCCCAATGTTTTCTTGTAGTAGTTTCAAAGTTTGAGATCTTAGACTTAAGTCTTTAATCCATTTTGATTTGATTTTCTTGTATGGCAAGATAGTAGGTAGGGGTCTAGTCTCCTTCTTCTGCATATGGATATCCAGTTTTCCCAGCACCATTTATTGAAGAGACTCTCTTTTCCCCAGTGTATGTTTTTGGCACCTTTGTCAAAAATGAGTTCACTGTAGGCGTGTGGATTTGTTTCTGGGTTCTAATAAAAGAAAGAAAATTCTGACACATACTACAATGTAAATGAACCTTAAGGAGATTATGCTAAGTGAAATAAGCCAGACACAAAAGGACAACTACTGCATAATTCCACTTATATGAGGGACCTAGAGTTCTCAGATTCATAGAGACACAAAGAATGGTGGTTGCCGGGGGCTGGGGGAAGGGGGAAATGGGTAGTTACTGTTTAATGGGTACAGAGTTTCAATTTTGCAAGATGAAAAATGTTTTGGGCTAGACTCGGTGGCTCTTGCCTGTAATCCCAGCACTTTGGGAGGCCGAGGCAGGAGGACTGCTTCACCCCAGGAGTTCCCAAGACTAGCCTATGCAACATAGTAAGACCTCGTTTCTACAAAAAAAAAAAAAAATCAGCCAGCCGGGTGCGGTGGCTCATGCCTATAATCCCAGTACTTTGGGAGGCCAAGGCGGATGGATCACCTGAGGTCAGCAGTTCTAGACCAGCCTGGCCAACATGGTAAAACTCCGTCTCTACTAAAAATACAAAAATTAGCCGGGCGTGGTGGCAGGCGCCTGTAATCTGAACCCAGGAGGCAGAGGTTGCAGTGAGCCGAGATTGTGCCATCGCACTCCAGCCTGGGGAGACAAGAGCAAGACTTTGTCTCAAAAAAAAAAAAAGAAAAAAGAAAAAAAATTCAGCCAGGTGTGATGGCTTGCACCTGTGGTCCTAACTACGGGGGAGGCTGAAGCAGGAGGATTGCTTGAGCCCAGGAGGTCAAGGCTGCAGTGAGCTGTGATGGCACCACTGCATCTATTCCAGACTGGGCAAGAGAGCAATACCCCGTCTCAAAAAACAAAAACAAAAACAAAAAAAAAGAGAGAGAGACAAAGAAAAAAATGTTTTGGAGATTGGCTGCATAATAATGTGTATGTACTCTAACACTGCTGGACCATACACTTTAAAATGTTAACATTTAAAAAAAAAGTTTAAAAAATCAGCTAAAAAAAGTACCTTTCTTTCGTTTGTTTTTTGTTGTTGTTGTTGTTTTGTTTGTTTTTTTTTTTTTTTTTTTTGAGACGGAGTCTCACAACGTCGCCCAGGCTGGAGTGCAGTGGCGCGATCTTGGCTCACTGCAAGCTCCGCCTCCCGGGTTCACGCCATTCTCCTGCCTCAGCCTCCTGAGTAACTGGGACTACAGGCGCCCGCCACCACACCCAGCTAATTTTGTATTTTTAGTACAGACAGGGTTTCACCATGTTGCTCAGGCTGGTCTCAAACTCCTGACCTCAGGTGATCCACCCATCTTGGCCTCCCAAAGTGCTGGGATTACAGGCATGAGCCACTGCGCCCAGCCACTTTTATGTTTTAAATTTAAAATGTTTGAGGGACCATATGGGGGTCACACAAAAATCCAGCATGGAGGAAGAACTAGACTTGAAAGATGCAGTCAAAAACAAGGCTCAAAATCACTCTAAAGGACTTGCCTGGCTAGGATACCACTCTCATCATCCCCCAGTGTGAGATGCTGCAGTTTGCACCACCGACCCTGCTGGTACCGGGCACTGGATGCCACTGCTACCTACACCCACTGTCATTGCTTCCTCAAGAACTCAATCTTACAACAACCTCCAATTGAGTAAATAAATCCCCCCAAGTGATGGTCACCTCTGGCTGTGCTGGTGCCATTAGAATTAATGTTGTGAACCTGATCAGCTAAGGACAAGACCAAGGTATCACACAGGGCAGGAAGTTAGGGGCCAGGGACTTCCAATCACTCTCATTCTGAAGCTGCCAATAGGCCTTTCCATCTTTAAGACACTTCATCTAGAGTAAAGAAATCTGTTCAAGTCTGTTTGAACTCTCAAGCTACAGAATTTTAATATATTTTTAGATGAGAGGGGGAAAATGAGGAAAATAATAGGTTAATAAAATCTGCTTTTTCACTCTACATTTCAAGGAAAGCTTTCATATATTTTCATGGGAGTATCGTCCACATTATTCAGAGATCGCTGAATTAACCAAAGTTCTTCTAGACTTAATGTCTTGGAACCTGAATATGACACAGTAGCTCTGATGTTTTATAATTCTGAAAAAAATACGTAGAAACATTTAACACATTTAAAAAAGACTTTCAGACAAGTCCCAGTTAGGGTTAACAGCACTGCTGCTCAGCATTGTAGACAGCATATATAAGAAAACGCTATTCAAAATGCCCTAAATAGCCAATATAATTTATCCATAATAAGTTTATCATTACACTAATCCTTCCAGGTACAAATATGGCAAGAGAAATTGAGGGTGGCAGGACTTAAAACTCCCTGCTCACTTCTGACTGTCCCACTGCCACTTTGCAAAGTGCTCCTTCAGCATGGTATGGGAAGGTATATTATCAGATTCAAACCGGAGACCGAAAATTTTAGCCATCACATTCTCAGAGAGATCTTTGGGATTTTGAGTGTTCAGACTTGGAGACAGAATCCTAGTGTGGGGAGAGCCAGAAGATCCATCACCTCATTTTAGGGGTCTTGGGGCCCTATTTGAGGAAGCAGGAAGGCAGACCGGTGCCCACTGGAAAGGGCGTGAACTCCAGAGTCAGACAGACCTGAATTTGAACAGCACTTGTAGCATCTACCAGAGTAGGGCCTCGGGTAATTTCCTTAAGTTTTTGGATCCTCAGTTTCTTCATCTATAAAATGGATTACTCATCTCATCACCTTGTTGTGGCTGTTAAATGAGGGCTCATTATGGAAAGTTCTTAGTACCGCACCTGACATACAGTAGTGCTAAATAAATAGCAACTATTAATAAATAACCAAAGTTTCAAACCCTAGGCAAAGAAGAACAGAGACATGAATTTCCTCCAGACATAATGAAAACCATTTTGGCTACTGACTGACTGACATGTAAATTATTTCTAACCCTCTCAAAATAACCCACTTTAACGGGAAGTCATTTCTATGTCTAAATTGGACAAAGTGCACCCCTTTCACCAGGCTGCCCCTTTCTCTGTGGGCTTCGTTCTGAGTCATCACCATGTCCAAGAAAATATGAACAAGGAGGACTTTTAAACTGGCCCCTTTCCGGAATTTGAGTTTAAGCAATATTTATCAAATGTCAAGCATGTGCCAGCCACGGTGCTAGACACAAGGAGATATAGAAGTGAATAGCTCTGCCCTCAAGGAGCGTCCAGCCTCATACGGCCAACCTGTGGACAGAAAAACTCCCATAGAATGTGGAACATGCAGGCTACTAGGAGAAAATAAAAAGTCCTAAATTGTATGGACCCTTTTAGACCCAATCTTTTTTTTTTTTTTTTTAGATGGAGTTTTGCTCTTGTAAGGCTGGAGTGCAATGGTGTAGTCTTGGCTCACTGCAACCCCCATGTCCCAGGCTGAAGCAATTCTCCTGCCTCAGCCTCCTGAGTAGCTGGGATTACAGGCGTCTGCCACCATGCCCAGCTAATTTTTGTATTTTTAGTAGAGACGGGGTTTGACTATGTTGGCCAGGCTGGTCTCAAACTCTTGACCTCAAGTGATCCACCCGCCTCAGCCTCCCAAAGTGCTGGGATTACAGGCAGGAGCCACTGCGCCCAGCCTCAACCCAATCTTTAATCATATATTTTCAGCATTTTATACTAGTCTTCAACTTAGTTCTTTTTCTCAAAAATCAAACACTCAGGACGGGCACAGTGACTCATGCCTGTAATCCCAGCACTTTAGGAGGCTGAGGCGGGCAGATCACCTGAGGTCAGGAGTTCAACACCAGCCTGGCCAACATGGAGAAACCCTGTCTCTACTAAAAATACAAAATTAGGCCGGGCACGGTGGCTCATGCCCGTAATCCCAACACTTTGGGAGGCCAAGGGAGGTGGATCACGAGGTCAGGAGATCAAGACCAGCCTGGCCAACATGGTGAAACCCTGTCTCTGCTAAAAATACAAAAATTAACTGGGTGTGGTGGCGTACGCCTGTAATCCCAGCTACTTGGGAGGCTGAGGCAGGAGAATCACTTGAACCCGGAAGGTGGAGATTGCAGTGAGCTGAGATCACACCATTGCACTCCAGCCTGGCGACAGAGCAAGACTAAGTCCCAAAAAAAAAAAAAAAAAAAAAAAAAAGCGGGGAGTGGTGGTGCATGCCTGTAATCCCAGCTACTCAGGAGGCTAAGGCAGGAGAATCGCTTGAACCTGGGAGGCAGAGGTTTCTGTGAGCCGCGATCGCGCCATTGCACTCCAGCCTGGGTGACAAGAGCAAAACTCCATCTCAAAAAATAAAAATAAATAAAAAATTTTAAAAAAAAATTCAGCAAATGGGCTTATGTCTAACGTACATTCAAATGAGAAAACAAAACCCACCACTCTGAGTTTGCTTAAAACTGACCATCTTTGTCTCAATTGTGTTAAATTTATGAGTGCTACTAGTATCAAAGGAGAGCTACCTAATTCCGTCTAGAGAAGGATCTCTCTGTAACACTCCAGCGGTCCACTGTGCCTGCCGAAGGGCAGGATTGCACTCACAACTGCAGACACAATTTGCAGAGTGCTATTGAATTGGGCTGCCTGGAAGGTCCCCAGTGAAGGATGCATTGATTGACCCTCTCCTGGTAAAGCTGGTCCACAGAGGGAACCAGCAACCTTTCCCAGGACAATCCTAGTATTATAAATTGTATCCTGCTGGGTGTGGTGGCTCACACCTGTAATCCCAGCACTTTGGGAGGCCAAGGCAGGAGGATCACTTGAGCCCAGGAGTTGGAGACCAGCCTGAGCAACAAAGCGAGTCTCCATTTCTACAAAAAATAAAAATATTAGTCAGGCCCAGTGGCAGGCACCTGTAGTCCTAGCTACTCAGGAGGCTGAGGTGACAGCATCCCTTGAGCCCATGAGTTTGAGGTAGCAGTGAGCTATGATCACGCCACTGAGTGCCATCCTTGGTGTCAAAATGAGACCCCATCTCTAAAAATAAAAAAAAAGTTGTGTTCTTTTTCCCCAGAGATACACTGCTATTTATCACTCCTATGAGAATTAGTATAGTGCAATGGCTAAGAGAAGGTACTCGGAGTCAGACTGCCTGCCTGAGTTTGAATCTCATCTTTATCATTTACTAGTTGTGTGATCTTGGACAAGTTATTAAACTTCATGTGTCTCAGTTTTCTCATTTGTAAGATAAGATTGATGGTAATAGTACCTAGCTCATAGGGCTGACAAACTCTTCAATTCAACATTTACTTTTTTTCCTTTATAATATACACTTGGCAGATTTAAGTCCAATGGGCTTAAATTGAGGATAGGATAGTCACAACGTCAAGCCCGCTTAATTGTTTCCATCTTTGTCTTACTTACATTAAACCTGACATCTATAGCCCAGTGGTACAGTCCTCAAATTGGGTCCTGAGAGGAGCATCACCTGAGAACTTGTTAAAAATGCAAATTCTCGGGCAGGCCCTACTCCAGCCCCACTGAATCAGAAACTCTGGGGATGAAACCCAGAAACTCAGGTTTTAAGAAACCATCCAGGCCGGGCGCGGTGGCTCATGCCTGTAATCCCAGCACTTTGGGAAGCCAAGGCGGGCAGATCACCTGAGGTCGGGAGTTCGAGACCAGCCTGGCCAACATGGTGAAACCCCATCTCTACTAAAAATACGAAAATTAGCCGGGCATGGTGGCAGGCGCCTGTAATCCCAGCTACTAGGGAGGCTGAAGCGGGAGAATTGCTTGAACCTGGGAGGCAGAGGTTGGCGTGAGCTGAGATCATGCCACTGCGCTCCAGCCTGGGCAACAGAGGGAAACTCCATCTCAAAAAAATAAATAAATAAAAAGAAAGAAAAGAAAGAAACCATCCAGGTGATTGTAATGCTCACTTAAGTTTGAGAACCACTGGCTTAACGTTTAAGATGAAGGGCCCTGGAACTAGCCTGCGTAGATTTAAAGCCAAGCTCTGCCACTTTCTCGCTGTGTAAACTTGGGCAAGTTGCCTAACCACTGTATCCTTTAGTTTCCTATCTGTAAAATAATAATAATAACAATGACAAATTTTTTTAAATTACAATAGATAAATAGATATAAGCAACTTCTTAGGATTATTGTTAGATTCTTAGGATTATTCTTAGAATGAAGTGAATTGGATAAATGCTTTATGTCAGGGTCCAGTTAGGAGATGGAAAACAGATGAGTTGTTTTAACAGTGAGAATTTAACACAGAGAATGCTTAGCTAGGTAATAAAGAATGAACGATGTAACTGAAAAAGCAAAAAGAGAACAATAAGCTATCACAGAGGTAAAAACTGCAGGAAGCAGCTTGTAGGGCTGAGAGAACAAAGGGAAGAGGTTGCCGTTATTAAGACTTAGAAGCTCAGAGGGGAGTCCCATGGGACTGAGACACAGACTTCTGAGGATGAGGTACCGGCTGGCTGTCAGCCATCTCTTCAGAGATGCAATGAGGCTGGCTTTGCCAATTGGAAAAACTGCAAGCTGGATTGAACTGCTTCTGCTAGACTGAAGAAGCAGCATTGCTGGATGATAGTGACAGGCACAGGAAGTCAACCAGAAATAAATGGAAAGCCAACGGGAAAACGTCCCTTCTTTCTCATCCAGTCCTGCAACCTCCCTCTAATGGTCCTTTATTAATAGAGCCTAACAGGAAGAAGGGGACAAAGGAAAAATGCAGTTTGCAGAGTTCCAGCCCCTGCATCACACAGCCAAATATAGAAGAGTGGGAGACAAGTTTGAAGCTGAGGGACAAGAGTTTCATCGCTGACACAGTGCTCAATAATTGTTAGTTATTCTAATAATCACTAGTATCAGAATTTTATTTCCATTACACACATTTTTATAATATAATGAGGGCAAGGTACAGTCAATTATTTAAATAATTGAACACACATACAGGATCACTGCTAAAGCTGAACTAATGGCTGGCAGGCTGGAACAAAACCATGTGGCAGGTCATTTGTCCACTGATACACAGCAATGTATCGGTGGCCTTCGAAATTAACCTATGAAAAGCCACCATGTAATATGCATGTGTGATATGTACGGGGTATAAGAAAACTTAAAATTTGCAAATCAAGGAATCAGCGAGTAGTACCTCTATTTTATAGCTCAGGAAATGAGGGAGAGATTGTTCACCCAAGTCATGCAGCCAGTAAGTGGCAGAGCAGGGATTTGAGCTGAGGTCTGATTCCCTGTGCCTCTCTCTATTTCCTCTCTGTTGAATGAAGATGAGTAGCTATCCCACAGAGCTATTAGGAGGACTAAAGAAGTTAATGCATGTAATGGGTTTGGCACATAGCCTGGCATATTATAGAGAGTTCAACAAATGTTGGCCATTGTTAGAATTCCAAGCCTGGAGTTGTTTCTATCATACCAGGCTATCCCATACATGCGTTCATTGTCAAAACTTTACAGCATTTGCAGGATCGAACTGCAAAGAAGAAGAGAGATGAAGTTGGAAAAAAATGCCTTTAAAAATTCTTTTAATCGTAATCTATTTGCTACCAAATCTTTCTGAGGGCAATCATTCATTGTGGACTCTCAATTATAGACAAATACTTATTGAGTACCAGCCATATATACAGTAATTGCTGGAGACGTAACACTGAGACGGTCACAGCCCCACCTTCAAGCGTCTCATCGTCTCTTTGGGGACTTAGGCGGCAGAGATGATGCAGAGTGAGGGCTGTGATGGAGGGCATACTGGATGCTCCGGGAGCCTGTAACAGGGGAACCTGACCTAGACTCGAGGAAGCCAGAGAAAGCTTTCATGGAGGAAGTTACATCTAAGTTGAAAGCTGAAAGACATAGGAGAGTGTTAAGCATTCTAAACAAAGGGACCAACGTGAAAAAAAGAAAATGCTTAGAGGGAAGAGGGAGCAAGAGGCATTCAGAGATCTAAAGGAAGCTGATTGTGGCATGGAGGTTGGGGTGGCCAACAGGTAAAACTGGAGAGGTCCCAGAGCCTGTTCCTGAAGGAATATGTGAGCCACAGGACCCTGGGCATGAACTGGAGGGCAGTGTAGGACGCTGGTCTTTAAGAAAGCCAGTGACAATCAGATGTACACTTAAGATCTACCCTGGCTATGGTGTGGAGGATGGCTTGAAGTGAGGTAAGACAAGAGGTGAGGAAATCAGAAAGCTGCTTCCTGCTGCCCACAGATGAGAGAAGACAGAGCTCTGAAATAGGGAAGGGGCTGAGGGGATGGAGGAAAGTGAATGGATTCAAGAAATATTTAAAAGGTAGAGCTGATGGGATTCGGTAAATGATGCAACCTGGGGAGCAAGGGACAAGGTAGGAAAAAACGGAGAAATCAAGGAAAACATCCAAGTTTCTACTTTGGGCATTGGACAGATGGTGATATCCTTTACTGAAGGTGCAGGAGGCAGAGCAAGTTTGAGGAAGGAGATGATGGGTTTACATTTAGACAAGTTGAGTCTGAAGTATACAAGGGTCATCTCGATGATGAAGAACTGTAGGTAACTGGATTCTCTCTAAGCCATCACATGTCTCAGTATCCCACTTCAACTGGTGACCACGGTCCTCCTCTCTAAGCCGCAGAGCTCTCCATAAACCAACCAAGAAGTGCTTTGAGTACCACCTGTTGTCTAGATATTATTAGCCTCTCATTTTAATAACTAATAATTTTAAATTTGCTCTTCTCCAAAATTCATCCTAAGTGAGAACAGGATGTGGGTACACCCAACAGATAATTAGGTATGTACTCTCACTCGATTTAAAGAGAAACGATTGTGGCTTTTCTAATTCAATTAGGTTTTTGTTTCTTTCTTTCTTTTTTGAGATGGAGTCTTGCTCTGTCGCCAGGCTGGAGTGCAGTGGCGCGATCTCGGCTCACTGCAACCTCCGTCTCGTGGGTTCAAATGATTCTCCTGCCTCAGCCTCTTGAGTAGCTAGGACTACAGGTGCCTGCCACCATGCCCAGCAAATTTTTGTGTTTTTAGTAGAGAGGAGGTTTCACCATGTTGGCCAGGATGGTCTCAAACTCTTGACCTCGTGATCCGCCACCACGCCCAGCTAATTTTTGTATTTTTAGTAGAGGCAGAGTGTCACCATGTTGGCCAGACTGGCCTCGGACTGCTGACCCCAGGTCATCCGCCCACTTCAGCTTCCCAAAGGCATAATATATTTTTATCTTTGAAAATGCAATACATTGATAAGGTAAACCCATGTTAATTCAGAAACGTACGGAAATTTGCTCTCCAAAGTTAAATAACATCTGCTAAAGTATTTCAGTTTTCTCAGAGCCACTGAGAACTGATCAATCTCGAGGGATCCATGTGAAGGTACATCCAAGTTTTCCTTGGCCTCTCTCTATGTGGGTACCTGCTTAGGGGCTTCCCACCCCCATTACCATGTCAGGATGGCCAAAGGGGGACAATGATGCCTACCCTCATGTGGCATCATTTACTAAGGTCCTTCAATTGCCTGCTTAGATGCCACCCTTGGGCAAATTTGGGGAAGGTACCTCCAGGTGGATGTGTTAGAAAAAGGCACCCCTGGCCAGGCGCGGTGGCTCATGCCTGTAATCCCAGCACTTTGGGAGGCTGAGGCGGGCGGATCACAAGGTCAGGAGCTCAAGATCAGCCTGACCAACATGGTGAAACCCCGTCTCTTCTAAAAATACAAAAATTAGCCCGGTATGGTGGCTCGTGCCTGTAATCCCAGCTACTCAGGAAGCTGAGGCAGGAGAATCGCTTGAACCCAGGAGGTGGAGGTTGCAGTAAGCCGAGATCACACCATTGCACTCCAGCCTGGGCGACAGAGCAAGACTCCATCTCAGAAAAAAAAGAAAAAGAAAAAGAAAACGAAAACGGCAACCCTTCCTCCCCCGCAGATGCAGCCTCCCTCAAGGGTACACAGCTCAGTGGACCGATTTTAATTCCAGTCCGCCCCCTCAGCATACTCCCACAGGGGGGCCCTGCCACCCACTCCGTGGCCCACTCATTGGGTGCAAAATCCATCCATGCAGTTACATTACAGGTCTTGTAAATTAACACTCATCACTAGGGAAACCAGTTTTCTGGGAAATTAATAAGCTGTATGGAAATCATTTCCTAAGATTCCGGCGGCAGCCACAGAAACTTAAGCATGATTCAAACTCCTCAAATCTCTTCCAAGATTGCAACTTATTTCCTCCAAATAACTCTGTAACTCTTCAAAACCTGTGAC
The DNA here is from genome assembly GCF_000001405.40 of Homo sapiens. Lineage (NCBI taxonomy): Eukaryota > Metazoa > Chordata > Mammalia > Primates > Hominidae > Homo > Homo sapiens. The sequence continues at coordinate 183,580,462 of NC_000003.12, forward strand.
TTCACCAAGCTCTCGGCAGTACAGAAATGGAAAATGAGCAGTCTCCAGTCGTGCGGTTTGAAACTAAGGCGCTGCGCCTCCCTGGATAAGTATCAAGGTCAGTGTTCCGACAACTTGCCAAAGTTCTATCACTCAGGAAGTGCAGTCTACTGGCCTTTGAGTGCCTCAGAGCTTAAGTTCCCAATAAGTCACTTTTCTCAAGAAGCAGGTCAACAAATCCCCTCATCCTAGTCACTCACTATCTTAAAATAAGCTAATCTCTATATCCTTTGACTTCAACTACCTCCATATGTCCATAAACTGGTAATGGTTCAGAGTTCAGGCATAAGGAAAATGCAGAATCTTAAGCATTTCCTCCAACACATCATTCAATAAACCTGACTTGAAATGTGGCCTGGTGTCAGCTGGAGTAGCTCTGCTCCTTTAAGGTCTAGATAAAACAGGTTGCAATCCCATTCCTGTGTCCTGTGGAAAGTCCAGGACTCTCCCTGAGATTTCTGCAAATGGGGCAGGGCAGGGAGGACTGTGCACACAGCTCCTGCAGCTCTCAGTCCCAGCCTCCTCTGCATTGAGGGTCTCCATTCTGTCCCCACGGTTGTTCCTTTATCTAGGCGCTGGTGTTATTTCAGCAGGACCAGCCCTTTCACTTGCAGGTTGCTGCTGTGAGGAGAACGAGGGAGCTGCCCCGCACCAGCTCAGACACTCCTCAGACGACTCATTCTCAAAAGTCCCTTTGCAGCTGGACGTGGTGGCTCACACCTGTAATCCCAGCACTTTGGGAGGCCGAGGCAGACAGATCACAAGGTCAGGAGTTCGAGACTAGCCTGACCAACATAGTGAAACCCCGTCTCTACTAAAAATACAAAAATTAGCTGGGCATAGTGGTGTGTGCCTGTAATCCCAACTACTCAGGAGGCTGAGGCAGGAGAATTGCTTGAACCGGGGAGGTGGAAGTTGCAGTGATCTGAGATCGTGCTACTGCACTCCAGCCTGGGTGACAGAGCAAGACTCCGTCTCAAAAAAAAAAAAAAAAAAGTCCCTTTGCAAAAACATCCAGAACTAGACATATCTCACTACCCATACCCTACCCAGGACACCCTGGCCCTGCTTGTGTCTCTCCCTCCTTCTCCTTTCCCATCTTTTCAGTCACCACCAACCCCCAAGTGCAAATTTGCCTTAGGATTTCAGATGAGCCATTCAGCTCCTCCTCCCCAAGTTACCCAGGCTGGCCTTCAAGCAAACCCTTCAAGGAACAAATGGGCTATTTATTCATTGAGCAGAGGCCTTGACTTCATAGCTGTTTTTCTCTAATGTTCATCCTCCTGAAAGACAGCTGCCATTTCAAAGAGCCATTGACTCTTTGCTTTTGCTTTTCTGATGATGATACAATGAAAATCAAGCACAATGACTTTCTTCGTCATCTTCCATAAACAGTGGAAACTGTCCCCCCGCCCAACCTTTCTATTGCAGGTGCCTGGCCTATGGTAAGTGCACTCAGCTTTTCCAAGCTTAGAATAAACTGCTGAAATTACAAATTGGCAGGTGGTTTGGCCCTACTGGTTTATAGTGCTAGCTACTTAGGTTTAAAAATGGAAAGGGGGCCAGGTGTGGTGGCTCCTGCCTGTAATCCCAACACTTTGGGAGGCCGAGGTGGGTTGCAGTGAGCTGAGATTGAGCCACTGCATTCACTCCAGCCTCGGCAATAGAGTGAGACTCCATCTCAAAATAAAAAAAAAAAAAAATTATATATATATATATATATATATACATATATATACATAAGCAGAAAGGGTTTTAGTTTAAAATCCTGGTCAGACCAGGTCACAGCCCAAGGTCTGGCAGGCCCCATTTGGTTGACAAGCTCTGTATCAGCCTGTCTCAGGAGTGCTGCTGCCTGGACATTGGGCAGCTTACAAACAGGGCAAGTGGCTGGCTTTGTTTACCCTCATGTCATTTTTGGCTGGACAGTCATTTTGCTCTTTCCTCTGATCCTTCTCTGCCCTCCCTCCCCACACATCGAAAGCCAAAAGGGAGCAGATTCTAATTTTCTACATTCTCTGAAAAAATCAAACACTCACTTTCCATGTGTGTATGTATATATACACATTCATACACATATATGCACATATGTATATGTATGCATACATATGTATGTTTGTGCATATACATACGTTCATAGACTCCTAGAGTTCATCATAGTAATATTCAACCTTGGACAGCATGTTAAAATCACCTGAAGACAGTTTTTTTGTTGTTTTTTTGTTTTTTGAGATGGAGTCTCCCTCTTGTCACCCAGGCTGGAGTGCAATGGCGCGATCTTAGCCCACTGCAAGCTCTGCCTCCCGGGTTCAAGTGATTCTCCTGCCTCAGCTCCCCGAGTAGCTGGGATTACAGGTGCGCACCATCACGCCCAGCAAATTTGTGTGTTTTTAGCAGAGACTGCTAGTCTCTGCAGTGATTACAGAGTGCTAGTCAAGTCTGACCAGTAGCAACATAACAGCATCATCTGGGATGCAGAGTCTCAGGCCACATCCCAGACCTACTGAATCAGAATCTGCATTTTAACAGAGCCCAGTAATTCGTGTGCATGTTACAACTTGAGAAGCCCCGATCTAGTCAAGCTTTCATTTGGCAGATGAGGCCCAGAGAGGCTGAGTGATTTCAGGGGTCATGCTGTTAACTGGAGACTCAGATAGGACTGGAGCCCAGATCTCTTTACTGCTATTTCCATCACATTATCATTGTTCAGATTTAGCCAATGGTTAGATATTCCTCAAAAGTTTGTCATCTTTCTCAAGTTTATCACAGCTCTCTATGATTTCCTCTGTTCACACACACAAAAAATCACATTTAAAAAACATTTAAGGTTTTATTTTCTGCTGGTAGAGGACAAAATGATTAGATGGCATGACAAAAAAAAATTGAGAAAGGCATCACGGATAGATATAAAGAAAAGATGGAAGACATTTAGCAAAATGATTGCCACCTAATTTGTGGATCAGGAGACTGCAGGGCCATAGCTGATCTTGATAAAGAGGACAAAGTCTGCCTGCAATCTAGCAAGTGTGCCTCTTGTGACAGCCCAGAACTCAGCATGGGTGAGACACCAAAGTCTTCATCTTGGACCTGAGGAGATCTAAAAAGTGGGGCAGGTTATTTATAGGCTTGCAAGTTTCATAGATACGTTTGGTGTGAGAATAGTCCACATTTCATTATCACACATCATGGAAATGAAAAAAAAAATCCTATAGATCCATAGAAGACAAAGTTTTGCAGTCAGGGAGGCAGACTATGTCAGGAATTCGATCAATCCTACACTTCCCCAACCCTAGGAAACTGAGGGAAGCCCCTCCCACCAGGTTCCAGGCTCAGCCTTCCAGCTGCGCACCCTGTGCAGCTACTTTAAGCCCTCACACCCACCTCCAGAGTCACACCAGCCCCACAGGGAAGGAAACCCCCTCACAGATTTGCTATCCACAGCCTTCATTTGAAACAGCCTCTTTGGCCATTCCTCACACTTTCTTTCATTCTGTTTACGCTGCTTGTTTTGGGGGGTGATTTTGGCTCTCCACCCTGGCCACATGGCCTCAGGCTGCTTCAAGCAAACAGCCCTCCCCCATCTGACCTGACTGTGATCCTTGTACCCTGGCTCCACTCCTGTAAGTAGAACTATCTCCAGTCCTGAGAGTGGCATCAGGCCACCTACCATCAGTCCCAGGCCCAGGGGCACTCCTTCCTGAGTCCCTTGTCCCACCTTCTTAACACCATGGAAGCACCTTCCCAGCATTACTGTACCCATAAGGCTGCTGAAAGAAGAGGCCTCAGCCTTGGAGACCGAGAGCTGACTGATGCCATAGGGCTGACCCCAGTCGCTCCCTGCCCTGAAGCCTTTGCTGGGGTATTTTTCTGGCATATTAATGCAGTTTGTAATGTCCCAGCTGTGGCTCTGAGAAGAGGCGGAATGAATGGTGTTTTTGGTTTGCTGCCAGACGAGGGTGATCCGCATCCAAGGACACGTTCCTTATGTGATAAACACTGCTCCTCTGGCCATCTCTGGCAATAGTGAGCTCAAATAGCAGAAAACTCGTCTGTGAATGGCAAGGATTGCTGAAAAGTAACTCTCTGCCACTCCAAGGGGATATGCTATCAGGGAAAATACCCCTCTGCAAAGACATGCAGAATCTATGTTCCAGCCCCTTGGAGGCCTGCTCTCAGGAAGCCAGCTGGAAGCCAGGCCCAGACTGGGGCTGCACCAGAGAAGGAGGCAGCAGCTGTTACCAGATAATTAAAGTTAGGCCAAGTACAGATGAGTTCAGGAGGCTGATGTGAGAGTCAGGGTCAGGCAGGACATGAATCAGCTCAGGCCTGTAAAAAACCATTAGCTGTCAACAAAGGACAGGAACAGCCTATCTAAGCACTGTTCAAAGGTAAGAAAACTCTTAACTGTAGGGACATAACGAGTCTTCCTTCACAGAGCACCAACACCAGATCCTCTCTCTCACTCCCAATTGGCTTCGACTGGAGTCTGTTTTGGAGATACTGAGGAATCCCTGTGTCTCTTGTTATCAGATAATTTAACTAACAGGAAGCTCTTTTTCCTAGCTTGTGACATGATGAATGGATCAATGGGTGACTTCGTGAATAAGAGAGGGAAGTAGAAACAGGTGTACTCTATGGATAGAACCAATAGCAAAGATTTTGTTTAAGGACAGTTGGACTTATCAAACTGTCTCTAGAACCATACTGACAGTGAGTTTCAGGAATGCCCCAGTGAAGCTAGGGGTACAATCTTCATAGACTTCATGGACCAAGGGCAACAGTCATAACAACAGCAATCAGTTAGAGAGTTGAGAGTTAAACAGTTAGAGAGTTGCTGCTATGGTCAAGAATTGTGTTACATGCTGTATTAGGATTCTTGCTGCTGAGTAAAAAAACCCAGCTCAAATGGACACATTGGATATCAACCTTTACCAAAATTCATTTGAAAATAAACTTTTTGTTTTAAAATATTTGGTTTCTCTACAAGGCTCAAATCCTCTAAGGTTTATAGAGATAGGAGGAGAAAGGTAAGACAGACTTTGCATTTTATCATGCCTATAAAGTGTTTTAGCATGCTGAGTTGTAAGCCAAAAATCTACCACCATAACGATCATACCACTATTTGTTGGGTCCTTTCCATGTATCAAACCACTGAACCCAAACAACTTTGCAAAGGGTAATTTTGTCATAGACGAAGATTACGGTTCAGAGAGGTTAAGCAAATTTCCCAAGATCATTAAGCCATACGTGACAGAGATGGAATTTGAGCCCAGGTGTCTCTGACCCCCAAAGCCCATGTGTTTTCCACCATAGCGTGTTGGTCAAATAGTCATTGGCGTCTATTGCTATTTGCAGTTTGAATTTGGTTGTGAGGAGGGGATGGGGGTTATAAACACACAATGGGGCCAGGTGCGGTGGCTCACGCCCGTAATCCCAGCACTTTGGGAGGCTGAGGCAGGCAGATCACGAGGTCAGGAGATCGAGACCATCCTGGCTAACATGGAGAAACACTGTCTCTACGAAAAATACAAAAAAATTAGCTGGGCATGGTGGCGGGCACCTGTAGTCCCAGCTACTCAGGAGGCTGAGGCAGGAGAATGATGTGAACCTGGGGGGGCGGAGCTTGCAGTGAGCTGAGATCGTGCCACTGCACTCCAGCCTGGGCAACAGAGCGAGACTCCATCTCAAATAAATAAATAAAAATAAAAAATTAATAAATACACAATGATATCCCCAAATTTCTCATTGTTTCTATGGCTCACAGAACCTCACCCAAGACACCGTGGATCTTCTATTAGTTGGGTGTGCACGAGACATTTTTCAGCCTTAGGAGGTCTTGAGGGCTCCAGTGTAGGTACATGCTCTGATTGCAAGGAGGGAGGTGTCCACCTGTGCCCTCTGCATGGAAGGGATTGTCACTCTGTATGGCCATCAAAGGGTGGAATGCTTAAAGTATTGCCCTTCTTGCCATTCTAGCAGGATTTTCTTGGAGAGGGGCTGCCCAAGCCTTGAGAAGTTTTCTTATCTTTCATCTTCTAACTCAAAAGAAAACGAAATGAATTTCTGTTAACATCTAGTGTCCCCTGGCCCTGAACATTCTCCTATCCTTCTCTTCCCAGGTAACACAGTGGTGTAGGGCGGCGGCTCACTCAGTTGGAGGAAACCACACCTTCAAGCAACATCCTCTCCTCGGAACGAGCTTTAAAGGTCTTATGGTTTCACTCTGGGCTCATCTAACTCAGTCTACATAGTTCCTCCAGAGGATACTTACACATGGGTGAATGTTGCCCCTTTCATTCATTTATTCACTGAGTATTTACTGAGCACCTACTATCTGCCAGATACTATTCTAGGTGCCAAGAATACTTGTGTGAATAAGACAGAAAGGTCTCTATCTCAATGAAATTTATATTGTGATAAAAGAGATAGACAATAATTAAACAAGTAGTGAGATAATTTAAATGTTTGACTAGTGCTATGGACAAAAGAAATATAGTGATTAGATAGAGAGTAACACAGGGTGCAGGAGAACCTGCTTTAGAAAGAGTGCTCAGGGCCAGGCAAGGTGGCTTATGCATGTAATCTCAGCATTTTGGGAAGCCGAGACAGGGGGATCACTTGAGGCCAGGAGTTCAATACCAGCTTGGACACCATAGCAAGGCCCCATCTCTACAAAAACATAAGAAAAATTAGCCAGGCCTGGTGGTGTACACCTGTAGCCCCAGCTACTTGGGAGGCTGAGGTGGGAGGATCGCTTGAGGCCGGGACTTCAAGGATGCAATGAGGTATGATCGTGCTACTGAACTCCAGCCTGGGTGACACAGTGGGGCCCTGTCTCTAAGGAAAAAAGAAAAGAAAAGAAAAGGAAAGGAAAGGAAAGAAAGCTTGCTGAGAAAAAGCCTCCCCAAGAAGTTGATATTTGAGCAGAGATCTGAAGGTTGACAAAGACCCAGTCTTACAAGAGTCAGTAGAAGAACATTCTAGGCAGGGAGAACAGGAAGTAGGCAGGAAACTGGGACAGTCAAGCAAAAGCAGCTGCAGCTTAGTGAGCAAGAGAGAGTAGTCAGTTGTAACGAAAGAGGAAGACAGGGACTAGGTCATGGAGGCTTTTCTAGGCCATGGTTAGTAGTTTGAAGTTTATTCTACATGAAGAAGGAAAATAATAGAAGATTTAAGTAGGGCAGTGACATGCATGATTAGATTTAAATGTTTAAAAATCCACTCTTGTGGCCGGGCGCGGTGGCTCACGCCTGTAATCCCAGCACTTTGGGAGGCTGAGATTGGTGGATCACCTAAGGTCCAGAGTTTGAGACCAGCCTGGCCAACATGGTGAAACCTCGTCTCTACTAAAAGTACAAAAAAACTTAGCTGGGCATGGTGGTACACGCCTATAGTCCCAACTACTCAGGGAGGCTGAGGCATGAGAATCACTTGATCCCAGAAGGCAGAGGTTGCAGTGAGTCAAGATAGCGCCACTGCACTCCAGCCTGGGGGACAGAGGGAGACTCCATCTCAAAAAAAAAAAAAAAAAAAAAAGAAATCCATCCTCGTGATGTAGAAAACAGACTAAACAGGGAAGTGGAAGAAGGGAGGCCAGATAGGAGGGTTTGACTGTAGTCCAGGCAAAAGATTATGGCGCCTTGGACTGGGGGTGACAGCAGAGATGGCAGGAAGAGGATGCATTTGGGATATATTCTTCAGGTAGAATTGGCAAGACTTTGTCATGAGCTGAATGCAGGCGGGGAGGACGAGGAAGAAATCTAAAACGATTCCTCAATGTGGGGTTTAAGCAACTGTTTGGAAGATTATGCTCTTTATTATATAATTTAACAAACTATATGGAAAAAATTGGAAAAAAAAACAGATGGTGAAGATGGGGCAGGGAAATTTGGGCATATTAAGATGCCTATTAGAGGTCCATGTAAAGTTGCCGGTGGCAATTGGATTCATGATTCTGGGGCCCAGATGAAATATTTGGGCTAAAGGTACACATTTGGAAGTCACCCCCTTAGGAGAAGTTAAAGCCATGAAACGGAAAAAGAGAGAAGACCCAGGACAGGACTTGGGGCATAAGTTCATTTAAAGGTTGGATAGCAGAAATAGCCAGTTTTAATGATACATTGAGCAAGAGGGAAGCACGCAGTGTAATCAGAAAACCACTTTATTCTTTTCCTCCACTACCTGTTCAAGCCATCCCCTCCATGGAACTAGTTGTTCCCTGCTCCCTTGAACAAAACTGAAGGGGATTGTGTGACTTTTGTGGACATTCTTAAATAATATAAAGCCATCTGGTCACTGCTGGTCACACACACATAGAGAGAGAAAGAGAGAGTCTCATTTCAATAAGCGTTATGAATGGTAATAAGAAAGTATTCCAAATTCATGAAGAGTTGAGGCTCTCTGCTCCAGCCTGGCTGCCTCCAGTGGGAGTCAGCTGTCCTCTATTTCACCTGAAATGTGACGTCCTCTTTCCCAGCTCATTTGGCTGCCTCTGGTTCCTCTAGAATGGAAGCAGAGTGGGGAGGTAGAAAGGGACAGGGCAGGAAAGATCCTACGTGGCTAGTCTTGTCGTAAACTAATAAGAGCTGTCTGGGCTTTCCAGGCATCTAGAGCTTATTCTTTCTCTTTTGGGACAATATTATGGTTTCTTCAGACTCATCTTTGGAAATCTTACAATGGCAGTTCCCATGCTGTAAGTAAATGCATCTCCTAGGGCTGGTCACTTACAATTCCTCTTTCACTGCCTTGGAATCTAATAGTACATCTCCAACACTTGTTTGTGGTTGGGTTTTTTTCTCCAAGCAGCCCTCCTGGGCAGGATCTAAGAAAACCTCAAGCTTGCTTGCTTTCTCTGTGAGTGCTACCTCAGGCCCGTGGGAAGCACTCATAAGCATCATTTGCCCCAACATAGCACCATCTCTTCTCCCTGCCATTAGAACAGCTAGCCGGCCAAGGGCAGACTCTAGTCCACTGTGATCCACCTTCTAAGTGCTCCCCAGTAAAGCCCCTTTCCCTACACTGGTCAGGAGGGGCAAGCATCCCCCACTGCTTCTGTACGATGGGGAAAAACTCATAGGGCACATCTCTCTAAACAAATTTTCTCTCCAATTTCTTACGCACCTTGGTCTCATTAATCTCTTTTATAAGCTGGAGGTGTTTAATCAACCAAGGGACATAAAATTCATTCTTGGCCATGCTATAAGTCCTGGCCAATCGTCTCACTCCTCACTTGGTGAGAATCATTTGCTCTAATTGCATTGGGAAGACAAAAATTTAGGACAAAATAGGATGTTTTAAAATCCTGTGTACCCAATGCAGTAAACTGACAAACAAGCAGAAGAGAAAGTCAAGCCAGGAGATGTAGTAGAAGCTAATGGGTGCTCAATTATGTCAAATGTTTCTAAAAGGAGGAACACATTGAAGACAAAGAAATGCTCACTGGATTTGAAGCCTTGTGCAATTCCATTTCAATGTAGTGTTGGGAATAAAAGGTAGATGTAAATGTTAGTTACTTCCCAGACTCTATTCACCCCTTTTTCCTTGCAAAAAGAACCCCTACTGCCAGCTCCAGTGTAAATCCTGACTGGTTTAAACCAAGACACCATGATCTACTTTTCTTTGCCAATGGCTATGTGATACCATTATTCTGGCCAACAAGATGTGAGGGGATGTCTGTTGAAGGATTTCTGTGGAGGCCTCTTTTTTTTTTTTTTTTTTTTTGAGACAGTCTCACTCCGTTGCCCAGGCTAAAGTGCAATGGCGTGATCTTGGCTTACCATAGCCTCCGCCTCCTGGGTTCAAGCGATTCTCCTGCCTCAGCCTCCTGAGTAGCTGGGATTATAGGCATGCACCACGATGCCCAGCTAATTTTTGTATTTTTAGTGGAGACAGGGTTTCTCTGTGTTGGCCAGGCTGGTCTTGAACTCCTGACCTCAGGTGATCCACCCACCTCAGCCTCCCAAAGTGCTGCGATTACAGGAGTGAGCCACCGCGCCTGGCCGGAGGTATCATTTTGTCTTAAAAAGAGACACAAGAAGATCTCTGCCCTTCTCCCATTAGCTATTGTCATTTCTGCCTGTGACCCCTAGTTCTGTGGAAACCACCTTGGCACAAGCCTGAGGATAAAGCCAACCCCCTAGAGGAGGGCGGAGTCAAGGGAATTGCCAGAGCCCCTGTCTGGAGCCTGCTCCACCTGTGGAGTTCTTGTCACTTGAGCCAATGAATTCCCCATCTTACTCTACACAGTTGATTCAGAGTTCTCTATTATTTAATACCAAAAGCATCCCACAGAAAAAGAGTAGGCCGAAGGGAGGTAAAGAATTGCAGGCAGAGTAACTCTTCTGAGTTGGTTTTCTGGAAAGAGGGACAGAGACATGGTCTGTCAGCTGGAGGGATACGAGGGATCTAGTGAAGGCTTTTCTAAACATGAGAGATATAGTAGCCAGTTTTTAAGGAGGTGGGAAGGATTCCATAGAAATAGGAGATGGCACAGCCACAGGAACAAGCATCCTCTTGCCACTCACTGAAAGTGCAAAGCCTTTCCTGGAGTCTTCTTTTTTGTGTTTTTTTAATTTTTGTTTTTGTGTGGTTTTGTTTGTTTGTTTGTTTGTTTGTTTGAGATGGAGTCTCACTCATCACCCAGGCTGGAGTGCAATAGCAAGATCTTGGCTTACTACAACTTCCGCCTTCCAGGTTCAAGCAATTCTGCCTCAGCCTCCCGAGTAGCTGGGATTACAGGGGCCAACCAGCATGCCTGACTAATTTTTGTATTTTTAGCAGAGACAGGTTTCACGATGTTGGCCAGTTGAACTCCTGGCCTCAAGTGATCCACCCACCTCAGCCTCTCAAAGTGCTGGGATTATAGGCATGAACCACCGCACCCCCGGCCATCCTTTCCTGGAGTGTTCTGCACTGATCTTGCTGATGCCCCTACATGGAAGAGCTGCCAGTTTTCACACTATTGTGACTATAACTGGTTGCATGGCTCCCTCCCCAGTGAACTGTTGATGGAATCCCTCCAGCCATCTTTGAGCTCTTTCTTTGTCCGGAGAAGAGGCTGATCCCTCCAGGGCTGATCTACATCTCCAGGATAACCTCTGCTCCAGAGGGGCTGACGGGAGCCCAGCTTTTTATTCTCTCGAGGTTCTTCCCAAGAAAAGCCCAATCTTATAAACTGTTACTTCCCCTAACAAAGAAATACAGATTATCCAAGAATCTAGCTTGCAGTTACTTGGTTTGTCTTCCAAGCTGGACCTACCCCTAAGCCCCACCTCATCAGGGGGTGTAGACCAGCTCAACCTAATGAAGTTTGTTGTTACTTAACCCTCCCCTTAACATTCGACTTCCCAATTATAATTGCACAAAAAAATATATACACCTATGCCTGTTGCAGTATTAACCCCTCTCCCCCAAAGGTGGGGAGCTTGGCTTCCCAGTCAGCTGCTCTCTCACTTTCCTAGTCACTTGAATTCATATGCAAATTAACTCAAGGTACAAGGTCTCTCCCCAGGGGAACAGAAACATTCAGTCTCAGCTGGGGTATGAGCTATATCAGGCCACATATTTACTGAACATCTAAATAATGATCTAAAAGGGCATTGCTGTGAAGCATTTCCAGTAGAAATATGACAACAATGCAAAGGACCAAATCGAGAACAACGTTGATTTGCCTTTCTATTGCTTCCTGTCCAGAGTAACGATTTGTTCCATATTTCACTTCCCCTCCTCATTTACCAGTACAAGAAGATATTTAACCTAAAATGTTTAGCACCCATGCCATGAGGTACAATTATCTACACTCAAATAGAAACACCCGGTAAAAGCCAGTCAACTGAGTTTCATTTCCTTACAAAATTTCAACAATTCGTTAACTAAAACATTACATTGACCAAAATATTTTAAACATCTAAAACTGGCTCCCCCTGTTGGTTAAATTCAAATGGATGTACCAAGTCTTGTTTCATGACATTGAAATGGAGCGGGACCCCTTGCAGAGGACTGTGGGCCCCTCAAGCATGGACATGAAGAAAAACCTTGAGTTTCTTCAAGGGAAATTCCAGGCACCTAGCTAACCCTGAAAAGTAAATGAGCAAATTGATAAGCAAGAAGGTAACGGTAGCTTAAAACAATAACCAAGGAAGTTAGAGTCGCAAGAATGTTTGGCTTCCGACAGAAACATCTTAACATATGTCCCTGAATTTTTCCAGAAACCTGGACCCCCACCAAAGGGATCCACTGGCATGTGAACCTCAGACAAGGGGGAAACGAGGACTGAACTCCAACACCCCTTCTTTGTTCTAAATTTCTTCCTCAGGGTCCTGGCAGAGGTCACACCCACAAGCCAGTGCTAATGGTCTTTTCTGCTGATGCCAAGTTTTTAGCACCTCCTTAATGTATATGGTTTGGATCTGCATCTCCACCAAATCGCATGTGGAATTGTAATCCCTGGTGTTGGAGGTGGGGCCTGGTAGGAGATGATTAGATCATGGGGTGGAGTTCTCATGAATGGGTTAGCAACATCCCCTTGGTGCTGTTCTTGTCACAGTGAGTGAGTGGGTTGTCATGAGATCTCATTTAGAAGTGTGTAGCTCCTCCCCGCCCCCTCTCTGGCTCCTGCTCTGGCCATGTAAGATGTGCCTGCTTGATGCTGGGCGCAGTGGCTCATGTTTGTAATCCCAGCACTTTGGGAGGCCGAGGCGGTCAGATCACCCGAGGTCGGGAGTTCGAGACCAGCCTGACCAACATGGAGAAACCCCATTTCTACTGAAAATACACAAATTAGCTGGGCATGGTGGCGTATGCCTGTAATCCCAGCTACTTGGGAGGCTGAGGCAGGAGAATCACTTGAACCTGGGAGGCGGAGGTTGTGATGAGCTGAGATCACACCATTGCACTCCAGCCTGGGTGACAAGAGTGAAATTCCGTCTAAAAAAAAAAAAAAAAAAAAAAAAAAATGTACCTGTTTCCCTTTGAACTTCCACCATGATTGTAAGTTTCCTGAGGCCTTCCTAACCATGCCTCCTGTACAGCCCATGGAACCATGAGCCAATGAAACCTCTTTTCTTATAAATTACCCAATATCAGGTATTTCTTTATAGCAGTGCAAGAACAGACTATTACATTAACCAATCACAAATCAGGAAATCTTTGAATTGACCTGTGACCTGTAAGATATCCTTCTCTTTCAGGCCTAGACAATGTATAGCCTCCATGTATTGATATATGAATGTGCCTGTAACCTCTGTCTCCCTGCCTTTAACCTTTACCTATAAGCCATCTGGGGGGTTGGGTCTGGAGCATGAGCTACTCACTTCTCCTTGCCCGGCACCCTGCAAATAAACTCCTTTTCTCCCACTGCATACCTCAGTGTGGATGTTTTGGCCTTACTATGTCAAGCAAGCAGACCCCAGTTTGGTTCGATAACAACATTTTCTACTAATGTAGTTTTGGCTAAAATTCAGACTGCGTAAGTAAAAAGAAATGAACAACATGGTCACTTAAAAAAACCTCTGCACTGGCTCACGCCTGTAACCCCAGCACTTTGGGAGGCCGAGGCGGGTGAATCACGAAGTCAGGAAATTGAGACCATCCTGGCAAACACAGTGAAACCCTGTCTCTGCTAAAAATACAAAAAATTAGCCGGGCATGGTGGCGGGCGCCTGTAGTCCCAGCTACTCGGGAGGCTGAGGCGGGAGAATGGCGTGAACCCAGGAGGCGGAGCTCACAGTGAGCCAAGATTGCACTACGGCACTCCAGCCTGGGCGACAGAGCAAGACTCCATTTAAAAAAAAAAAAAAATCTCTGCACTTACCTGGAAACATTAGAAATGAGATTTTTTTTTTCACTTCACTTAAGGCAGTAATTCAAACTACTGAATCATGTGTGAAAATGTTAATAATTTTATGTTAAAACGTATTTTTATTTTCATTTATTTATTTATTTTTAGAGACAAGATTTCACTGTTACCCAGGCTGTGCCACTCATAGCTCACTACAGCCTTGAAATCCTGTGCTCAAGTGATCCTCCCACCTCAGCCTCCTGAGTAGCTAGGACAGGGTCTCCCTGTGTTGCCCAGGCTGGTCTTGAATTCCTGGCCTCAAGCAATTCTCCAGCCTCAGGCTCTCCATTAGTTGAGTTTACAAGCTATTCAAGCATTTTGCATTTGATCTGAGCCAAAGGCCAAGAAGTGATATTAAAGCATTTTCATACTCATTTTATTTTCCAGGCATAGTATATTAAAGACTGCACCTGAACCTACTTCACACTTTAAGATTTAGCTGCCTCAGCCCTATGCACCCGCGTCTTAGCAAGCATGACTGTAGCCACCATAGCCACCAGTTACCTGGGCATGTCAGCAGCTTCAGAATTTTTGAAGCTGTCCTCACCCTCTTATCTTGATTTAACATTCTTCTAATTCTAACTACCCAATTTGTCTCTCCTCTCACCTTCAGGCCATCAAGCTCCAGATGATTTTCAGTAAGGGATACCATCCTCTCAATATTCCAGAGGCACCATTCTACAGGGGACCCCTAGACTGCCCATCAGTGGGACAGGAAGGAGGTGAAACCCTGTCCGTTTCCCTTGGACATGGCTAGATACTAGTTTCACTAACTCACAGAGTCACCCTTCTGCACTGACAGCTAGCAAGAGGTCAAGACCCACAGAACCACCATTGCCCCATTGTCAGTGGGAAGCAATTACAGAAAACTGACCTTTATCCATTTTCCCTGAAAGATTTGGAGTCTTGGGCTCTTGAGGCAGGGAGGTGTTAGTGGTAGTTAGACAGGCGTGAGTGGGGCAGGAGAGGGCTCTCCCCCACCCACGAGGAATGTCAGGTGGTGGTTCAGCAAGGATCACATTGTCTCTGTAAAAGCGATAAATTGGCAGCTGGCACCAGGAAGAGGCCATTTTCTGATGGTCCACACCTGTTGCACTAACGTGTTAATTGAATGCAGATGCCAGGGAGAAGCAACTTCCCGGGCATGTGCATTAAGAGACAAAATGGCAGAGTATGACTTTCTGGGGCACTCCACAGGAAAAGGGAAGGAAGCCTCAGATGGGCATGCATACAATTTCCTAAACACACTGTGCTTGCTCACCTCCCAAGGGTAAGGAGGGCACTGTGCATGTGGGCAGCCCACCCGAAGGGAAGAATCATGGGAAAGGAGCCAACGTGCAAAGTCCTAGGATCAAGGTTAAACACCGCACCTGACCTTCATGTGGCCACCTGGGTCTCTTCCAAGTGCATCTTTCTTTCCTATTCTAAAGTATTTTCTTAAACTCCTACTCCTGCTCTTAAAAAAATAATGTAGCTGCCTCAAATTATTTCTTAGAGTTAAACAACTATTAATTAACTAGTGAATTTTGTGATGATCCGTCTATTCATGGGAGTCCTGACAATGAACATCAACAATACATGGTTGTAGGAGACTGCTTTGGGGGTTCGCCCTAGAACTGCCCTTTCCTATAGAGGTCATTTCCACAGACATGTTATTTTTGACTTTCTTGGCTGCATTTAATTGATCCAAGGATAGACACCTGACCAAGCTGGGCCAATCAGATTGTCTCTCCTGGAAATTTGAAATTTGACATAGCCATTCAAGTTAGGCTTTATAGGTACCTAAGAGGATGTATGGGAGGCTGAGGACACAAAAAAGCACAGGGAAAAAAATGATGCTCAAACTCAGAAAGAACAAAAATAAAAGACCAGGGAGCCTCACAAAGAGAGGTGAAGGAGGGAGAGACAGCTTGGTTTCTGGTGGCCTTCCAATACCCGTTTCTGGTGCTGCAGGAGACTCTCTCTAGCCCCTGTGTTCTGTGAAACACCTTTATGTTTTGTTTTTGTGTCTCTTCGCTTAAGCAAGTTTGAGTGAGTTTCTGGAAGTTGGGATCAAATCTTCCCTAACGTGACAATGGGCCCTCGGGGTTTGTTAAAGCACGAAGGAGAGCCAGCAGCAACAACACTACATCCCCACAATCTGTGCTTGCTGCATTCTTGGGTCTGCTCTGTATTTCTTTGATGTGGTAAGTACCTATACAGACCAAATAATGCTTTCAAAATGTTTCTAGTCACAACACACTGGCAGGAATATGGTTTGTATCATGACTTAGTTGATACGTTGTCATACATAAATATTTGATTGAAACAAGAGTACTTGCCACAGTACCTGACATATTTGCTGAAATAATTACATGAATAAATGAATGCAGTACAAGAAAACAAAGGTAAGGCCATGAATGCTTATGCTGACTTCGGAAAAAGAAACAGAAAAGTCAGGCTGAGAGCAGTGCCTCACACCTGTAATCCTAGCACTTTGGGAGGCCAAGGTGGACAGACAGCTTGAGCCCAGGAGTTTAAGACCAGCCTGGGCAACATGACAAAAATGTTGTCTCTACAAAAAGATAAAAAAACAGGAATGTTGGCATGTGCCTGTAGTCCCAGCTATTTGGGGTACTGAGGTGCAATGATCGCTTGAGCCCAGGAGTTAGAGGCTGCAGTGAGCCATGATTGTACCACTGCACTCCAGCCTGGGTGACAGAGTGAGACCCTATTTCAAAAAAAATAAAGAGAGAGAGAGAGAGAAGGAAGGAAGGAAGGAGAGAGGGGGAGAGAGAGAGAAAGGGAGGAAGGAAGGAAGGAAGGAAGGGAGGGAGGGAGGGAGGGAGGGAGGGAGGGAAAGGAAAGGAAAGGAAAGAAGGGACAAGACAAAAAAGCCAAGTTTAATAAGCCAAGTTTATAACTATCTTTAAAAATTAAAATTCAAAATTCAAAATAAACTAAGCCAAGAAAAAGCAAAGAAAAAGAATTTAAAACTACAGAAATCTTAATTTTTATTAATTTTAATTTTTAATCTTAAAAACTCTAGAAAATTTATTTTTATAAAATATTAACAAAATTTTAAATCATTAGCTGAATTTTAAAAAAGGAAGATCACAAATGAAAAAGAAAACAAGCATTGTTTTAATTTGGGAAGAACTATTACTTATATCCTATTAAACTGAATGTTCAATAGGGAATTGTTAAGTCCTTGTACAGATATTACTTTGCATAGTTCCTGATGAGAAGTTTATTCTCAATCTTATTTTTGTTCCTCTGAACAGCATGTGTCCTCTTTTTCTCTGGCTGCTTTTACATTTTTCTTTTTATCACTTGTTTTTAGCAATTTTATTATAATAGGCCATAACATGGTTTTCTTTATGTATATTCGTTTGGACTCATTGTGCATGAGTTTATAGTTGTCATCAAATTTAGAAAATACTTAAGTCATTATTACTTCAAATATTTTTTTCTGGGTTTTTTCCCTTCAACTCTGTTTTAGAACTTCAATTACAATGACTGCTCATATTATTGTACCACAGGCCATAATATTCTGTTCATTTATTTTCAGTATTTTTTCTCTGTGTGCCTAATTTTAAACAGTTTCTATTGTTACATCTTCAGGTTCACTGGGATTTTTTTTCTTCTGCAGTGTCTAATCTGCTGTTAGTCTCATCTACTATATTTTTTATCTTATACATTATATTTTTCATCTCTGGAAGTTCCATTTGAGTCCATTTTGGATATTCTATTTGTCTCTCATGTTTTCCTTTACCTTATTGAACATATGGAGCATATTTATAAAAGTTGTTTTAACATGTTTGTCCTCTAATTCTTCATCTCTGTCATTTCTGGGTCTGTTTCTATTGACTGATTTTTCTCTTGGGTATAGATCATATTTTCCAGGTTCTTTGCATATCCGGTAATTTTTTATTGGATGTTTGATATTGTTGATTTTACATTGTTAGGTGCTGGATTTTGTTGAATTTCATCAATTAGTGTTGTATTTTTTTTCTCATGTGCAGTTAAGTTACTTTGCAGATCATTCAACCAAAGACCTATAGAGGTCTCTCTGTAAATATCCAGACTTCTCTTTTTATGCAGCTCCTTCCTCTACTGTACTCTGCCCCACAAGTTCCAGCTGCATTGGAACAAGCTCTGATTTGTTTTTAACTCAAAGAGATTGCTGGGTTCTGCTTGTGTTCTCTCATCCTACTCTGGGTTCTGGAATTTCCATCTAGGCGATATACTGGGTCAATTGTAGAATTCACCTCATTTGTTTCCCTTCTCCCAAGCATCACGGTCTGTACTGCCTGCAATCCAAATTCCGAAAACTGTTGCTCTCTATTTTGTCCAGAGTTCTAACTGCTCAAGTGGAGGATAAATCCAGTACCTATTACCCTATCATGTCCCAATGCAAAGTCAACTCATTTTAATTAAAAACAGAAATCAGACAAGGACCCCTCTAATCATCCCTTTTACTTAAAATACCACTAACAATATGGCAATTGTTGTTAGTCAAGACAACAGAATAAAAGAAAAAATTATTAAAGTGACATAATCATGTAATTAGCAAATCCAAACAAACTATCTGTCTTAGGCCAACACTATTCCTGGTTATGCAAGTCTTGATGTGGTTCTTTCAGAGTTGTGACTAAGAAGAGTAAAATCTTCCAGTCTCAACAAACAAGAAAGCTTGGGAATCCATGTACAGAAACCAGTGAAATAATGACCCACACTTCTCCACATATTTTAATGAACCCTTAGTCATGAAATTACAATCATGTTGCCCGATTATATTTCATTTTATTACCATTACAGATCATTTATGTCATATTTTTCTGATTTTTAACAGTATATTGTTCCTATGCATTCACTATAGAAAAAGTTAAAACATCCAGATAAATAAAAATAATATGAACATTTGCCTGAAGTGTAGATACAGATTGCAAGGGATAACAATGAAAATACCATAAGCTATTTCACAAAACTAAAACTCCATGGTAAATTTTAACAAAAGAATAAGCCAACAGGTTGTGGGCGGTGGCTCACGCCTGTAATCTCCAGCACTTTGGAAGGCTGAGGTGGGCAGATCACCTGAGGTCGGGAGTTCGAGACCAGCTTAACCAACATGGAGAAACTCTGTCTCTATTAAAAATACAAAATTAGCCGGGCGTGGTGGCAGGCGCCTATAATCCCAGCTGCTCAGAAGGCTGAGACAGGAGAATCACTTGAACCCAGGAGGCAGAGGTTGTGGTGAGTCGAGATCGTGCTATTGCACTCCAGCCTGGGCGATAAGAGCAAATCTCCATCTCAAAAAGAAAAGTATGAATATTTGAACCTCATATAAAAGAACAGCTATCACCAGCCTCTGGATAAGCGACAGTTAGAGATGGCTAAATATCATTAGGAAAAATGCTTGACAAGTCATCTAGTGGAAAAATGCTTTGCCTCACTAACAATCAAAGATACACAAATATAAATATTTTAAAGGTATCATTATTGATCAGACTTTGGAAATAAATACACCTAGATATTATATTTGCATTTCAAATCAGTCTGATTTTTTTTTTTCTTGAGACAGAGTGTCACTCACTCTGTTGCCCAGGCTGGAGTGCAGTGACACGATCTTGGCTTACTGCAGTCTGTGCTTCCTGGGTTCAAGCAATTCTCCTGCCTCAGCCTCCCAAGTACCTGGGACTACAGGCGTGTGCCACCATGCCTGGCTAATTTTTGTATTTTTAGTAGAGACGGGGTTTCCCCATGTCGGCCAGGCTGGTCTCAAACTCCTGACTTCAGGTGATCCGCCCGCCTCAGCCTCCCAAAGTGCTGGGATTACAGGCATGAGCTACTGCGCCCAGCCAGAAATTGGTCTGATTTTTATCAGCACCAACTGGCTGGCTAGAATGCTGCTTACACCTTTGACCTGCTAATTTCACCTCTAGGAATGGAACACTAAGAAAGCTTGCATTCTAGGCCAAAGTTTCTATACTAGGATTGTTTTGAATAGTTTAGACAAGCAAAACCTTAGAAACACCAAAAACTCCAGCAACAGAACATAATTAACCAAACTGAGATATTTTAACATGATGGAATAGTTTATACAACAATATCAATAACTTTGATAACCATATCTTGAGCACTTGTTATGTGCCAGACACTGCGTTGAGTGATTTAAATATCCTATTTTGTATTTGCATTTAATTGCTCAATATTTTCTATCTCAGGTAGATAATTGCAAATGAGAAAATGAAGGCTCAGAGAGTTGCATAATGGGCCCAAGTTTACAATTAATAATAGCAGACAGACAACTCAGGTCTGTCTGACTCCAAAACCTTTAAAAACTCTTTCCACTTTATCGTGAAGTTGCAGGATCCAAATATGGCAAACCCCAGAGGCTGGAGGAAAAGTCAGAAGACATAAACCTTTGAGACCAAAGGCTGTAGTAAACAAAATAAAATTCTCTATTACTGGCCACCCAAAGACATCTTCCCAGGAAGATTAATAATTGTGATTGCAATACAAATTTTTAACAATGGACTATTTTAAAGTACCTAAATACCAGTATTTTTGTTTATAAATATCATTTCTTTCTTTTTTTTTTTTTTTCTGAGACGGAGTTTCGCTCTTGTTGCCCAGGCTGGAGTGCAATGGCGCGATCTTGGCTCATCGCAACCTCCACCTCCCGGGTTCAAGCGATTCTCCTGCCTCAGCCTCCTGAGTAGCTGGGATTACAGGCATGCGCCACCACTCCCAGCTAATTTTTTGTATTTTTAGTAGAGATGGGGTTTCTCCATGTTAGTCAGGCTGGTCTCGAACTCCCGACCTCAGGTGATCCACCCGCCTCGGCCTCCCAAAGTACTGGGATTACAGACATGAGCCACTGCACCTGGCCTATAAATACCATTTTCAAATGAAACCTTTATGCACCCTTCTTGGCTCTCTCTGTAAACCATTTCTCTATACCTGCTTTGTCTCCTTGACACTCTTGTCACAAATCCTGCCTCTTTTCCTATCAGTTTCTGCCAGACCCCTGACCCCTCCCATCTCTCCTAGCCATCACCCACTCCTCCCCTCTAAAAGGGCAGATACCTGCTGCTGAAGGGACAGAGCAAGACCCAGGACAGGGCCATCTCTCCAGGGCTGGGAAAGAGAATTCAAAACTGATACAACACGTAAACTTGAAAGCTCACTCCTGGGAGCTGGACAGGGCAGAAAGGTACTAAAGCAGGTGGGTCTGGTACCTCCAGGCGAATGCTGTGACTGAAGCCTTGCTTCCCCAGAACAGAGGGGACTGAAGGGTAGGGGAGCAGCCTCACCAAGCATGACCAGAGGCATGTTTTATAATAGGTTTAAAATATTTTATATTTGAAATACAATATGTAGTTTCAATGATTTTTATTTTTTATTTTTATTCTTTTTTTGAGATGGAGTCTCAATCTATTGCCCAGGCTGGAGTGCAGTGGAACAATCTTGGCTCACTGCAATCTCCACCCCCTGGGTTCAAGCAATACTCCTGCCTCAGCCTCCCAAGTAGTTGGGATTACAGGCACTGCCACCACGCCTGGCTAATTTTTGTATTTTTTAATCAGAAACAGGTTTCACTATATTGCCCAGGCTGGTCTTGAACTCCTGACCTCAGTTGATCTGCCCACCTCAGCCTCCCAAAGTGCTGGGATTACAGGCATGAGCCACAGTGCCAGACCTTTTTATTCTATTTTACAAATTCTGAGGTAAATATCAATATTGCCATTAGGCAGACTAATCTGTATGTGTGTTGCTGATAAATAAGATTGCTTCACTAATCCCCAGGAACGGGCCCAAGATACCCCCATTTAATGGAAAGCATGAACTTAAAATGTATCTGGTGGGAGTGGGGAAAGCAGTAGTTTTTTTATTATTATTATTATACTTTAAGTTCTAGAGTACATGTGCACAACGTGCAGGTTTGTTACATATGTATACATGTGCCATGTTGGTGTGCTGCACCCATTAACTCATCATTTACATTAGGTATATCTCCTAATGCTATCCCTACCCCCTCCCCCAGGGTCAAGTCTGAGAATCATCAGGAAAACTTCAGATACAGAATTCTTCAGCGAGTAATAATGAAAGAGGAGAGGCTGGTTGAGGTGGCCCATGTCTGTAATCCCAGCAATTTGGGAGGCCTAGGCGGGGGCGGATCACTCGAGGACAAGAGTTCAAAACCAGCCTGGCCAACATGGCGAAACCCCATCTCTACTAAAAATACAAAAATTAGCTGGGCATAGTGGCCGGCACCTATAATCCCAGCTACTCGGGAAGCTGAAGCAGGAGAATAGCTTGAACCTGGGAGGCAGAGGTTGCAGTGAGCTGAGATCGTGCCACTGCACTCCAGCCTGGGTGACAAGAGCGAAACTCCGTGTCGGTGGGGAGTGCGGGGGGGCGAGGGAGGAGAGAATTTATGTAGCACTGTCGATAGACGAGAGATGGGATTTAGTGAATTCTAATCCTGGAAAAGTGTACCTTATAATGGAGGAGAAATTCTCCACACCTAGTCATAGCCCAGCAGAAGGATTAGGTGCACACACACACACACACACACACACAGCAGACTGCACTCAAGAGGTACAAATACAAACAGGAAATGGCTTAATTTTTCTCCTAATGCCCTTTAACATGCCTTGCTGGATCCCTCTCTCTCTTTTTTTTTTTTTAATTTTCTTTTTGAGACTGAGTCTTGCTCTGTCACCAGGCTGGAGTGCAGTGGCGCAATCTCAGCTCACTGCAACCTCCACCTCCCAGGTTCAAACAATTCTTGTGCCTCAGCCTCCCGAGTAGCTGGGATTACAGGCACCCGCCACCACGCCCGGCTAATTTTTGTATTTTTAGTACAGACGGGGTTTCACCATGTTGGCCAGGATGGTTTCCATCTCTTGACCTCGTGATCCGCCCGCCTTGGCCTCCCAAAGTGCTGGGATTACAGGCGTGAGCCACCGTGCCTGGCCAGCTGGATCTCTTCTTTTAGCCCCTGGACACCTCAGGAAGATCTTTAAGTTTTTCAGGCTCTTGTGGTTGTATGAATAGCCTCATTTGGGGATGTTTTTAAAATTCTACTCCAATGTAAACAAAAAACTCACATCCAATCCCCCTCACCTCAGGCCTGATCTGTGGCTAGGGGATCAACACTGAAGAAGATCAGCTGGGCGTGCGTGGCTCACGCCTGTAATCCCAGCACCTTGGGAGGCTGAGGCGGGGGGATCACGAGGTCAAGAGATCGAAACCATCCTGGCCAACATGGTGAAACCCCGTCTCTACTAAAAATACAAAAATCAGCTGGGAGTGGTGGCGCGGGTGGTGGCGCGTGCCTGTAGTCCCAGCTACTCCGGAGGCTGAGGCAGGAGAACTGCTTGAATCCAGGAGGCAGAGGTTGCAGTGAGCCAAGATGGCGCCACTGCACTCCAGCCTGGGTGACAGAACAAGACTCCATCTCAAAAAAAAAGAATTCAAGAAGATGGATGCCCTATGACAGAGGTCCCCGTCGAGGGAGCTGAAATCTCACTGCCTGTTGCAGAGTTCACTCTGCCAGGAAATTCATATAACTTTGCCCCACCAAACAGTGGCTCTCACTCCTTACCATGCCATCATGGTCTTCTCTAGCCTTCCTCTTGCCTTAATGGTTTTCTAGGTAGGAAGCAAACATTGGCCTCTGTGTTTAGTATAACTAACTCCAACACCACACCATTCAACCACAACACCTCCCCAACCCCATAAACTCCAAAGTCTGCATGTCAGGCTTCCCAAGAACTCTCTTAGCTTTCAGCCCTGGCTCCATGGAAACACAGGGGCTGTGATTCCTTCTCAGCCCATCACTTGAGCACATCTCCTACCCTGCTCCTAGGCAAGCAATCTGTTATCTGTAAGATTGCTTGCTTAGAACTCCTAGACTTCTATGCTTCTTGCACCCTTAGAACTCCTAGGCTTCTATGCTTCTTGCACCCTTAGAACTCCTAGGCTTCTATGAGGCTGAAGGTGGATGACAGAGGCTGACAGTCACAGGACCAGTTCTGCCATTTTTTAGACAACCTTGAGGGGATATCTAAAATCATTCTTTAGAAATAAAGAGGAATTCTTATCAGCTTTGAGAATTTAACCAAAATTATGAGACATCAGGAAAATCCCATTCCATATTGTTTTACATTAACAATTAAGAACCAATTAAGTTCTATTTCTTGACCTGGTCACTGGTTACTTGGGTGTGTTCTGTTTTGGAAAAATGTATGGAGCTATGTGCTTATGCTCTGTTTATTTCTCTTTATTAGGTTATACTTCCATAAAAAGCTTACTTACAGGAAATTATCCAGGATTCTCCCCCAACCCTGTGTGCTGGATTCTGTGCCAGCTATTTTACATCTCTTATCTCATGTAATCAGGCTGGCTACATTTATTGAGCATCTACTATATGCCAGCAGTATGTTATATTCTTTGTTTTCTTTTGATTTTTATTGTGATGTATAACATACACATAAAAAATTCAGTTTAACAAATAGTTATAAAGTGAACATACATGTAACCACCACCCAGATCAAAAAATATATTGCCAGCACCCCAGAAGCCCCTTATGTATCTCTTCATAATCATAATCCCCTGCAATACTCTTCATATGCATTATTTAATTTAATCCTCACAAAAATCCTGGGAAGTTATTACCAGTAGCTGCAAGCTGAAAAATTCCCAGAGTTCACCCAGACCTAGGAGACATTTGAGTTCTGATCAGCCAGAAAGAAGAAACTGTATTAAGCACCTGGGGCATTCAGTAAAGACCCCAGAAGCACCACACCTTGCTTGTAGGACTACCCTAGTCCCAGAGTAAAGGATACTCTAGACCTACAATAACAAAACTTAAAAACAAGCTTCAGACAGATCAAACTGATTTTCTAATAAATTGTCTGCCAGAATAAAGTCTAACATATTTAAAAGGAAAAAAGCAAAATTGAGCACTCAACAAATGTTGAAATGTCCAGCATCCAATCAAAAATCACCAGAGTAGGCAAGAATGGTTGTGTGCACCTGTTCCCAGCTACTTAGGAGGCTGAAGCTGGAAGGTTGCTTGAGCTGGGAGTTCTAATCTAGCCTAGACAACATAGCAAGACCCTGTCCTAAAATACAATTACAAGACATACAAAGAAGTTTTTTTTTTAATTTTAAGAAGTGATCCATGACTAGAAGAAAAATCAAATTCAGAAATGACAGAGGTAATGAAATTAGCAAAAAAAACAAAAAAAAAAAAAAACAAAAAAAAACCCAAAAGCAAAAACAACTATTGTAGCTATGTTCAAGTATTTAAAAGAAAAATGAATGTAATGCAGAGAGAAATGGGAGATATAGATAAGCGCCAAATGGAAATCCCAGAGATGAAAATATAATGTTTGAAATACAAAATTTGGCCGGCTGCGGTCGCTCATGCCTGTAATCCCAGCACTTTGGGAGGCCGAGGCGGGCAGATCACGAGGTCAGGAGAGCGACACCATCCTGGCTAACACGGTGAAACCCCGTCTCTACTAAAAATACAAAAAGTTAGCCGGGCCTGGTGGCAGGCGCCTGTAGTCCCAGCTACTCGGGAGGCTGAGGCAGGAGAATGGCGTGAACCCGGGAGGCAGAGCTTGCAGTGAGCCGAGATCGTGCCACTGCACTCCAACCTGGGCGACAGAGCAAGACTCCGTCTCAAAAAAAAAAATTACTGAAAGGGTTAAACAACAATTTAGGCAGTACAGAAGAAAAGATCAGTGAACTTGGAGGCATAGAAATAGAAACTATCCAGAGAGAAAAGCACAGAAAGAAAAAAGATTGAAAAAACTGATCAGAGTTTCAGTGACCTGTAGGGCAATATAAAGTGGTATAATGGGATTACAAGATGCAGAAGTGGGGGAGTGACAGAAATAATATTAAACAAAAATATTGCTCAAATTTTCCAAATGTAATAGAAACTATAAACCTGTAGCTTCAAGAATCCCAACAAACCTTCACGCAAGATAAATACACACACACACACACACACACACACACACACACACACACACACAAAGCATATAACAATCAAACAGCTGGGGGGAAGTGATAAGAAGAAAATATTAAAAGTAGGCAGAGGAAAAAACATAACATACAAAGGAAAAAAATAGAATGATCACTGACTTCTCATCAGAAACTATGCAAGCCATCTTTAAAGTGCTGCAAGTAAAACAAAACAAAAAGAAAAACTATCAACCTAGAATTCTGTATCCAGTGAAAATATCCTTCAAAAACAAGGTAATACTTTTTTAGACAAAAGCTGAGATAATTTGTCACTAGTAGATCTGTTATCTATGTTTAAAAAAGAAAAAAAGAAAGAAAACATTCTTCAGGCAAAAGGAAAATTATACCAGATGGAAACTTAGATTGACATAAAAAATGAAGAGTGCCAAAAATGGTAAATATGTGGGTACATATACAATACATTTTTCTGTCATATTTTAATTTCTATAAAAGGTAATAGCTATTTAAAGCAAAAATAATAACTAGGCATGGCAGGATTTATAACATACATAGAAGTAAAATGTATGACAATAATAGCATCAGTGACAAAAAGGGGAAAATGAAAGTATAATAAGTTTCTTACACTAGAAATGAAATAGTATATTTTTGAAAATAGACTATGATAAATTGAATATGGATATTGTAAATCTTAGAGCACCCACTAAAAAATAAGACAAAAAAAGATATACAGATAATAAGCCCATTGTGGAGAAGAAAATACTCCATCCAAAAAGAAGTCAGAGAAAAAGGGGAAAAATGACCAAGCAGATGGGACAAATGGGAGATAAATGGCATACCGATACATTAAAATACAACCATATCAAAAATTACGTTAAATGTAAATGATCTAACACTTTAAAGGGCAGAGATTATCAAATTTGATTTAAAAAGCAAGATGCAACTGTATGCTGCTTATAATAAACTCATTTTAAATATAAAGATATGGAAAGATTGGCTCTCTCCCTCTCCCTCTCCCTCTCCCTCTCCACGGTCTCCTTCCACGGTCTCCCTCTGATGCCGAGCCGAAGCTGGACTGTACTGCTGCGATCTCGGCTCACTGCAACCTCCATGCCTGATTCTCCTGCCTCAGCCTGCCGAGTGCCTGCGATTGCAGGCGCGCGTCGCCACGCCTGACTGGTTTTCGTTTTTTTTTGGTGGAGACGGGGTTTTGCTGTGTTGGCCGGGCTGGTCTCCAGCTCCTAACCGCGAGTGATCCGCCAGCCTCGGCCTCCCGAGGTGCCGGGATTGCAGACGGAGTCTCGTTCACTCAGTGCTCAATGGTGCCAAGGCTGGAGTGCAGTGGCGTGATCTCGGCTCGCTACAACCACCTCCCAGCCGCCTGCCTTGGCCTCCCAAAGAGCCGAGATTGCAGCCTCTGCCCGGCCGCCACCCCGTCTGGGAAGTGAGGAGCGTCTCTGCCTGGCCGCCCATCGTCTGGGATATGAGGAGCCCCTCTGCCTGGCTGCCCAGTCTGGAAAGTGAGGAGCGTCTCTGCCCGTCCGCCATCCCATCTAGGAAGCGAGGAGCGCCACTTCCCCGCCGCCATCCCATCTAGGAAGTGAGGAGCGTCTCTGCCCGGCCGCCCATCGTCTGAGAGGTGGGGAGCACCTCTGCCCCGCCGCCCTGTCTGGGATGTGAGGAGCGCCTCTGCCCGGCCGCCCCGTCTGAGAAGTGAGGAAACCCTCTGCCTGGCAACCGCCCCGTCTGAGAAGTGAGGAGCCCCTCCGTCCAGCAGCCACCCCGTCTGGGAAGTGAGGAGCGTCTCCGCCCGGCAGCCACCCCGTCCGGGAGGGAGGTGGGGGGGGGGTCAGCCCCCCGCCCGGCCAGCCGCCCCGTCCGGGAGGTGAGGGGCTCCTCTGCCCGGCCGCCCCTACTGGGAAGTGAGGAGCCCCTCTGCCCGGCCGGTCGCCCCGTCCAGGAGGGAGGTGGGGGGGTCAGCCCCCCGCCCGGCCAGCCGCCCAGTCCGGGAGGGGGGAGGGGGGGTCAGCCCCCTGCCCGGCCAGCCGCCCCGTCCGGGAGGGAGGTGGGGGGATCAGCCCCCCGCCTGGCCAGCCGCCCCGTCCGGGAGGTGAGGGGCGCCTCTGCCCGGCCGCCCCTACTGGGAAGTGAGGAGCCCCTCTGCCCGGCCAGCCGCCCCGTCCGGGAGGGAGGTGGGGGGGTCAGCCCCCCGCCCGGCCGGCCGCCCCGTCCGGGAGGTGAGGGGCGCCTCTGCCCGGCCGCCCCTACTGGGAAGTGAGGACCCCTCTGCCCGGCCAGCCGCCCCGTCCGGGAGGGAGGTGGGGGGATCAGCCCCCCGCCCGGCCAGCCGCCCAGTCCGGGAGGGAGGTGGGGGGTCAGCCCCTCGCCCGGCCAACCGCCCCATCCGGGAGGGAGGTGGGGGGGGTCAGCCCCCCGCCCGGCCAGCCGCCCCGTCCGGGAGGGGGGAGGGGGAGTCAGCCCCCTGCCCGGCCAGCCGCCCCGTCCGGGAGGGAGGTGGGGGGATCAGCCCCCCGCCTGGCCAGCCGCCCCGTCCGGGAGGTGAGGGGCGCCTCTGCCCGGCCGCCCCTACTGGGAAGTGAGGAGCCCCTCTGCCCGGCCAGCCGCCCGGTCCGGGAGGGAGGCGGCGGGGGGGGGGGGGGGGGGGTCGGCCAGCCGCCCCGTCCGGGAGGGAGGTGGAGGGGTCAGCCCCCCGCCCGGCCAGCCGCCCTATCCAGGAGGTGAGGGGCGCCTCTGCCCGGCCGCCCCTACTGGGAAGTGAGGAGCCCCTCTGCCTGGCCAGCCGCCCCGTCCGGGACGGTGGTGGGGGGGTCAGCCCCCCGCCCGGCCAGCCGCCCCATCCGGGAGGTGAGGGGCGCTTCTGCCCGGCCGCCCCTACTGGGAAGTGAGGAGCCCCTCTGCCCGGCCACGACCCCGTCTGGGAGGTGTGCCCAGCGGCTCATTGGGGATGGGCCATGATGACAATGGCGGTTTTGTGGAATAGAAAGGCGGGAAGGGTGGGGAAAAAATTGAGAAATCGAATGGTTGCCGGGTCTGTGTGGATAGAAGTAGACATGGGAGACTTTTCATTTTGTTCTGTACTAAGAAAAATTCTTCTGCCTTGGGATCCTGTTGATCTGTGACCTTATCCCCAACCCTGTGCTCTCTGAAACATGTGCTGTGTCCACTCAGGGTTAAATGGATTAAGGGCGGTGCAAGATGTGCTTTGTTAAACAGATGCTTGAAGGCAGCATGCTCGTTAAGAGTCATCACCACTCCCTAATCTTAAGTACCCAGGGACACAAACACTGCGGAAGGCCGCAGGGTCCTCTGCCTAGGAAAACCAGAGACCTTTGTTCACTTGTTTATCTGCTGACCTTCCCTCCACTATTGTCCTATGACCCTGCCAAATCCCCTTCTGCGAGAAACACCCAAGAATGATCAATAAAAAAAAAAAAAAAAAGATATGGAAAGATTGTAAGTAAAAGGATTTTTCTTAATAAAGCTGGCTTTTATAAAGTAAAATGATAAAAACATTAAACCATACAAATACTAACCAACAGAAATCTGGACAATGAAGTGTTTTGTTTTTGTTTTGGTTTTGGTTTTGGTTTTGTTTTGTTTTGTTTTACCTTTTTAAAAAAATTATTTATTTATTTATTTATTTTTATTTTATTATTATTATACTTTAAGTTTTAGGGTACACACACAATGTGCAGGTTTGTTACATATGTATACATGTGCCATGTTGGTGTGCTGCACCCATTAACTCGTCATTTAGCATTAGGTATATCTCCAAATGCTATCCCTCCCCCCTCCCCCCACCCCACAACAGTCCCTGGAGTGTGATGTTCCCCTTTCTGTGTCCATGTGTTCTCATTGTTCAATTTCCACCTATGAGTGAGAACATGCGGTGTTTGGTTTTTTGCCCTTGCCATAGTTTGCTGAGAATGATGGTTTCCAGTTTCATCCATGTCCCTACAAAGGACGTGAACTCATCATTTTTTATGGCTGCATAGTATTCCATGGTGTATATGTGCCACATTTTCTTAATCCAGTCTATTGTTGTTGGACATTTGGGTTGGTTCCAAGTCTTTGCTATTGTGAATAGTGCTGCAATAAACATACGTGTGCATGTGTCTTTATAGCAGCATGACTTATAATCCTTTGGGTATATACCCAGTAATGTGATGGCTGGGTCAAATGGTATTTCTAGTTCTAGATCACTGAGGAATCGCCACACTGACTTCCACAATGGTTGAACTCGTTTACAGTCCCACCAACAATGTAAAATTGTTCCTATTTCTCCACATCCTCTCCAGCACCTTTTGTTTCCTGACTTTTTAATGATCGCCATACTAACTGGTGTGAGATGGTATCTCATAGTTGTTTTGATTTGCATTTCTCTGATGGCCAGTGATGATGAGCATTTTTTCATGTGTTTTTTGGCTGCATAAATGTCTATAAGACCAAGTCTCACTCTGTTGCCCAGGCTGGAGTGCAGTGACGTGATCTCAGCTCATTGCAACCTCCGCCTCCTGGGTTCAAGCGATTCTCATGCCTCAGCCTCCTGAGTAGCTGGGACTACAGGTGTGAGCCACCACGCCTGGCTAATTTTTGTATTTTTAGTACAGATGGAGTTTTACCATGTTGGTCAGGCTGGTCTTGGATTCCTGACCTCAAGTGATCTGCCTGCCTCGGCCTCCCAAAGTGCAGGGATTACAGGCGTGAGCCCTCATGCCCAGCTGAAGTGTTTTAAAATTAGATTGTGGTGATGTTTGCACAACCTAAATTGAATTATACATTTCAAATGAATGAATTGTATGATATGTAAACTATATCTCAGTAAATATGTTTTTTTAAAAAAGAAAGCAGCCAGGCACTGTGGCTTATGCCTGTAACCCCAGCACTTTGGGAGGCTGAGGTGGGTGGATCACGAGGTCAGGAGTTCAAGACCAGCCTGGCCAAGATGGTGAAACTCCGTCACTGCTAAAAATACAAAATTTAGCCGGGCGCGGTGGCAGGTGCCTGTAATCCCAGCTATTCAGGAGGCTGAGGCAAGAGAAGCACTTGAACCCAGGGGGTGGAGGTTGCAGTGAGCCAAGATCGCGCCATTGCACTCCAGTCTGGGTGACAAAGTGAGACTCCATCTCAAAAAATAAATAAATAAATAAATAAATAAATAAATAAATAAATAAATAGAAAGATAGAGTGGCTTTGTAAATACCAGAGTAGACTTCAGAACCTTATAAAAGGATGAAGAAAAACATTTCATAATGCTGAAGTAAACAATTCATAAAAAATAAATAACAATAATTGATGTGTCTGCACTGAATAATATAATTTCAAAATACGTGCAGCAAAATTGACTAAACTAAAGGAGAAAGACAAATCCATAATTACATTTGGAGATATAAACACTTCTTACCCAATAGTTGGTAAAATAAGTAGTCAGAAAATCAGTAAGGATATCAAAGATTTGAACAATGCTATTGACCAACTTGACCTAGCTAACATTTATAGAACACATCACTTAGCAAAAGAAGAAATATTTTCAAGTGCACATGAAATAGTCACCAAGATAGACCATACGTTGAGCCATCAAACAAGAATGGGACCACTAATGTTTTAAATTCTTGGGGCTTTTTGGATCAAGCATCTTAATCAGATATTGAGTCTCAAGTCCCTGTTAAGTGTCTATGACACCGGTTTCTGCCCTGTTCTTCATGACCCAAGTCCTTCCAGAGGCTGAACTCAGCTTCTGAAGTCCAGGCCCTGCACCTGTATAGTTCCTGATACTTTCTGCTGATGTCCCTGGCACTGAATTGCTAGACTTGCCTGGCCACTAGCCACTGATAGGACTTACTCCTTTTTGTTGTTGTTGTTTTATTTTTGAGGCAGAGTTTCACTCTTGTCACCCAGGCCGGAGTGCAGTGGTGCGATCTCGGCTCACTGCAACCTCAGCCTCCTGGGTTCAAGCGATTCTCTTGCCTTAGTTTCCCAAGTAGCTGGGACTACAGGCACCTGCCACCATGCCCAGCTAATTTTTGTGTTTTGGCTCATGCCTGTAATCCCAGCACTTTGGGAGGCCGAGGCGGGCAGATCATCAGAGGTCAGGAGTTCGAGACCAGCCTGGCAAACATGGTGAAATGCAGAACTTACTCCTTTTATCTGCCCCACTGTTATGAGTCCCTAAGCTCTGGTTCTAGCTACCCACAGTCTGACTCAATTATTCATTCAACAATCATTTATTGAGCACCCACTATGTGCCAGGCACAGAGCAAGGTGCTGGAGATACCATGAATAGGGCAGACATGATCCCTTTTCCAAAGTAGATAGTGTCTAGTAAGAGACACAGACAAGTAACAAGACAATTACAAAACACTGTGATATATCCTATGAGTTAGCAAGTCCAGGGCTCTGTGCTGTGTGAAAGCACAGAGACTGAATACCTAATTTGGACTTCAGGTGTAAGAAAGACTTGCTGGTGGAAATAAAATCAAAGCTGAGACCCAAAGGACGAGTAGGAGTTAGCCAGAGGATAGGAAATGTGGTACGTTGTGCTAAGCCAGTGGTTCTCAAAATGTGTTTACAGATCAACAGCACCAGTATCAATTAAGAACCTGTTAGAAATGCAAATTATCAGGCCCTTCCCCAGACATACAGTCAGAAATTCTAGATGTGGGTTCCAGAAATATGAGTTTTAGCAAATCTTACAGGTGATTCTGATGAATGGTAAAGTTTGAGAATCACGACTCTAGGCTGAGGAACAACATGTACAAAGGCATGGAGAAAATGTGGTCCCCTCCAAGCCATACTCAAATATGAGAATGGTGATCCTAGTGCCTATCAGAGATGGCAACACCAGACCTAGTTCAATTCTTGTTTAACAGAAAAATAGAATAGGAAAGAACTATTATTTGTTAAACAGAGAGTATACACCAGGCCCTATGCTTCACATTGTTTCTCTTATCTAATCCTTACTACATCCCTATTATTAATATCATATCCATTTTACAGATATGGAAGTTGAGGTTCTGAGAGGTTACAGAACTTGCCCAACCTCACTCAACCAGTAAGTAGCAGAACTGGGATTTGAACCCAGTTCTCTCTGACTCCGGAACCCAATGAGTTTTCTATGCCAGCCCACTGCTTCCAGGAAAAAGAGTTCAAGATGAAGAGGTTAGGGCATTTCAGCAGCTTCACTCACTAAGACTCCTAGGAATGGAGCAGGCCAACAGAGCAGCCATTGTTTGATGTCCTGTGACTGCAAAAACTGGCTTTTGGCTTTATTATTATGCCTTTGGAGATGGGGCCCAAAATGAGCAAATTTGCCTTTAGGTATCAGAGAAGTTCCATATCAGATAATGATTCTGGCTGTGCACTGGAGGAGTACTCCGAGGTCCCCTGGGCCTTAGACCAGAGCAAATCTAGCTCTCTTTTGCTTGCTTATCAGAGGAAAATGTCCTTATATTAACATCCCTGGAAAGAAACATCTGATTAAAGGGCTTGTATACCAGTTGCTACAACATGATAATGACATATAGTATTGTCAGTCTTTGAAAGAAGATGAGAATAAAGAATTCCAAGTGTTCAGTGCTTAGCAGCAGAAAGAAGCACTTGGAAGAGGCATGATTAAACTTTTGTCTAGAGCAGGAATGCACGCTATGTGTGAGCAATGTGGGTTGAAGATCAACTGAGGTAAAATTGCAGTGTTTGCCTCTCGAGTGGGCCCTGGAGTGTACTGGTACTCATTCTGTTTTGTCTGTTTCACGTGTAAAGAGCTGCTGGTCAACCTCGTCTATTTTTATCAGGATGAAAAAATTCACTGTGGCAGGCACCATGCTGAATTGCTCAAACCCTGATGCTCAGCATGTGCTGAGATAATTTTGTTGATGTTTGCACAGAAACTGAGAGTCACCATTGGCACATGAAACACTTCTGCTGCCTTGAGCGCAAAATGGTCCCCAGAGGACAAGGTATGTTATGAAGGATAGCCACCCATTCTGCTGTGGTGGTTTTGAGCCTGTCTATGCAGAGTGCTGTGAAATCTGTGGGAACATATTAGTGTCGACCATGTGCAGATGACCTATGATGGGAAGTTCTGGCGTGCTGCAGAAGCATGCTTTTCTCGTGTCTAGCATAAATCCTTTTTGTTGGATGTCTCTTCTTTACCAAAGTCAGATTTATTACTCAAAAATATGCCACCTCGGGCCAGGCAATGTGGTTCACGTCTGTAATCCCAGCACTTTGGGAGGCCAAGGCGGGCAAGTCACAAGGTCAGGAGTTGGAGACCAGCCTGGCTAATAAGGTGAAACCCCATCTCTACTAAAAATACAAAAATTAGCCGGGCATGGTGGTGAGCATCTATAGTCCCAGCTACTCGGGAGGCTGAGGCAGGAGAATCGCTTGAACCTGGGAGGCGGAGGTCGCAGTGAGCCAAGATGGCGCCACTGCACTCCAGACTGGGCGACAGAGCGAGTCTCCGTCTCAAAAAAAAAAAAAATGCAGCCTCAGTAAAGACATCCATGCTTCTAATTCTTCCAATTATCCATTTCAGTGAGCTTGATCAAGAAACACCAGAAAAAGTATCTGAATGAGCAAAAGCAGTT
Organism: Homo sapiens; assembly: GCF_000001405.40. Lineage (NCBI taxonomy): Eukaryota > Metazoa > Chordata > Mammalia > Primates > Hominidae > Homo > Homo sapiens. The sequence continues at coordinate 183,614,935 of NC_000003.12, forward strand.
GGTCAGCAGATCAGTGTAGACAGTCTCTCCTCTTGTTCCCTGCTCTGAACTACAAGTTTTCTGGCCTTTTGGGCGATGCTGATGACACTCTTTCTCAGAAATTGTATATTCTGAGTCTCTCCAGGCAAGGAACATTTTTATCAATGCGGAATTTTGGAAAGACAGAGTACAGCATTAAACCCCAGAAGACCCTGAAGGACTGGGTGGGCATGAAGATTATATGACATAGCTCCTCCTCAAATTTGGTGATAAAAGCCTCTTCAGCAGCAGCCCAATGAGATGGATATTTGAGCCAATCAGCACTGGATATCTGATAGCATGTTCGAAAATAACAAGCTGGGCGCGGTGGCTCACACCTGTAATCCCAGCACTTTGGGAAGCTGAGGCAGGTGGATCACGGGGTCAGCAGATCGAGACCATCCTGGCTAACATGATGAAACTCCATCTCTACTAAAGATACAAAAAAAAAAAAAAATAGCCAGGTGTGGTGGCAGGTGCCTGTAATCCCAGCTACTCAGGAGGCTGAGGCAGGAGAATCACTTGAACCCTGGAGGCGGAGCTTGCAGTGAGCCGAGATCATGCCACTGCACTCCAGCCTGGGTGACACGGCAAGACTCTGTCAAAAAAAAAAACAAAAGAAAGAAAGGAAAGAAGGAAGGAGAGAAGGAAGGAAGAGAGGGAGGGAGGGAGGGAGGGAGAAAGAAAGAGAGAAAGAAAGAAAATAAGAACTAGCTAAAGCAAAACAACCAGAACCTTGCAAATAAAAATTACTGACCTGATATGGACTGGGCACAAGATGAACAGTGTTTCTGCTCATGGCAACCACACAGGCCCTGTAAGCAGTAGAAGGCTCTAGAAATTGAATCTGGACCATGGGGCTTCAGGGTAGGCTAATGATCAAACACAGGGGTATGAAAATCCCCTGGGGTTTTTGTCAGACTTGAAACCAGAGAAACGTGCTCAGGATTCTATGGATTCTTTGGCTTTGTCCAACATCACAGTAGCTTCAGCGGATGGATGAAGCAAGCTGAGGTCATCCTTATATTCTCTGCAAACTCTGAAAAAAACGGAGGCAGAAGATTATGAGAAAATCAGCAGTATGGAAACTTTGAACTCTGCTGCATGGAAGTGCAGAGGCCTTAAAGAGTCTAAGTTCAGATTTTTGTCTAGAAAAAAAACATCATGCCTCATGAAAAACTAGTACATCTGCCAGTACTCAGACAATCCAAGTCTCAATCTAGACCACAGAAGGTCAGAGGATGTCACTGACAATGGAAACTGCAACATCAAGATCAGGCAGCGTCCAATGAGTGACAAGACCTGGGTGTACCATTTTGAAGAGAAGGGATCCAGATCTCATCACCATTTCCACAGAAGTAGAAAGCCCCACTCTGACAATATCCTGAATATTGTTATAGAAAGAGAATATTCTCCCAAGGACAGGCTGCAGCTTTACATCCCCAATAACTACAGTAATTTATGTGGAATAAAAGGGCTCAGGACATCCAAGCGTACATCCAGAATGCCGATCTCTATAGAGAGCATGCCCGTTCACTTCCCTCCATTCCTATGTCCCCGGGAGTGAAGAAGTTTCTGGGATTCCTGGTGTTTCTCCTTCTCGTCCTCCTCTTCCGACTCAGAACAAAAGGATTATTTTCTTGAACAATCAATCCCTCAGCCCCACGCCACAGAGATACGCCTACTATACAGATGACCTTTCTAGTCCAACTCCCTGCCCGTCAGTTTGGTTAGAGGACCACTAAATTCAAGAAGAAAAGTGGACACACATGCAAAAACTATTATTTCTTAAGATAGTAGCTGTGGAGATAATGTGTTTAAAATGTAGCATTAACCATCAAAATCCTATCTCTTTTTTTCTTACATAAAACAGTTGCTAAATTAGTTTAAAGTGTTTCGCCCATGTAAATGAGAAGTCAACTGCTGTTTACAGCATCAGATTAACATTTGAAAGGTGTACTTTCTCCTGTTTACCCTCCTTAGACGGTACCTAACGGGAACATTACAGTTTTACACAGCGCTTTGGTCTCTGATCCTTAAGAGAATACCCAATAAACTGCCTCGAAGTGATTGGACAGGGGTGTTGATTTTAGAAGAAGGAAAACTCCAGCCACCTCAGTAAAGCAATAGTGTTTGCCATTCAGGTCGATCGGATTGGCTGAGGTCCTGATTAGTCCATCTTATGAGGCAGAGGGCAAAAATTAGCCACTTCTACTGGGGCTTCCTGGGCAATCTCAGTTATGAGTTAAAGTCCTAGCTTTCCTCTCTCCAGGAATTTAGCCCTCTGTTAGGGATTAACTATGAGTCCAGGGGACTCCAAATTAAATGGGGCTTACACAGATTTAAGCAGAAAGCAGTTCTGTGTATATCTCACCTCTCGGCTGCTTACCCTCCAGCACCCTGCGCGTCCTAGATGGTGAGTTTCTGGTAGGTAAAGATGTGACCAATTCACCTCTGTATCCCAGAGGAAGATAGCATTGTTTTACTTGTTGTTAATCATGATTTTATCAATGGCTGCCCCTTGTTCTGTACCAGGATGGGGCTGAGCACTGCACTTTCCACACCTGATGTCAGCAAGCTGCCACCCACAGGAAAAAGCCAGCCCACTGTCTCTTTTGCCAGTGAGCTTTTACTGGAACACACACACACACACACACACACACACACACACACACACGGTATTTTTGTGATTACAAGAATAGTAGTGATAATTATTAAAAAAAAAAAAAAAAAAAAAAAAAGATGCCGGGCGCGGTGGCTTACGCCTGTACTCCCAGCACTTTGGGAGGCCGAGACAGGCAGACCACGAGGTCAGGAGATCCAGACCATCCTGGCTAACATGGTGAAACCCTGTCTCTACTAAAAATACAAAAAAATTAGCTGGACATGGTGGAGGGTGCCTGTAGTCCCAGCTACTTGGGAGGCTGAGGCAGGAGAATGGCGTGAACCTGGCAGGCGGAGCTTGCAGTGAGCCGAGATCGCGCCACTGCACTCCAGCCTGGGTGGCAGAGCGAGAAAAAAAAAAGAAAAAAGATAGGATGAAAATTACACATACGTTGTGATTCCAATCATGTTTAAAATGCTTAATTAAAAAAAAGTGGGGGGGCAGGTGTGCGGTGGCTCACACCTGTAATCCCAGCACTTTGGGAGGCCAAGGCAGGCGGATCACTTGAGGCCAGGAGTTCAAGACCAGCCTGGCCAACATAGTGAAACCCTGTCTTTAATAAAAATACAAAAATTAGCCGGATATGGTGATGGTGGCATGCACCTGTAATCCTAGCTACTCAAGAGGCTGAGGCAGGAGAATCACTTGAACCTGGGAGGCAGAGGTTGCAGTGAGCAGAGATCATGCCACTGCACTCCAGCCTGGGCAACAGAGCGAGACTCTGCCTCAAAAGGAAAAAAAAAAAAAAAAAGGAATATGCCAAAATGTTGAAATACCTTCTCCCTCAACCCTTTCTAAGAATTGTGTTCATTTCACAGATGAGGAAGGAGAGTGGTTGCCTCTAGAGATTTGGAATCGTGGGTGGCTTATTCCAATTATTCATATTGCTATATATTTTGCTATAATCCCACCCTTTGCTCTTATCCCAGGAGGTGGGAGGCAGGATCCTGAAGAAAAAATTCAAAGACTATCACTGAGGCTCAAATATATACCCCATGCCCAGTGACACAGCACTGCCACCTGTCATGGACATTAGCCCTCTGGGGAACTAAGGAGAGAGGTGGCCATTGGGCTTCCCTGAGAGGCCTAGTCCCTTGAAAGCCTAGAAAGACCATTCTGCAGGTGCAGCTATCTACAAAATTTGATTCACAATTTGATTTAATTTAATTTTTTAAAACCTGAGCTATCCCAGATCCAAGGCCACAGGGCTGTGAGCTCCTCTCCGGGGAATCTGGAACTTTCCTGGTGCTGTCTCAGACCCCCAGCCTTCATTTCTGCCTTATCCACTTCCCTGGTTCAGGATTACTTTGCAAATCAGAAAACGCAGCTTCCTTCTGTTGTTAACTGACCTGATAGTTCTTTATGCCCACAGCTCACCCAGATCCTGTTTGAGCCAGTTGGTGACCTAGCCATTGGCCACCATGCTCCTGCCTCCCTGGTCCCTACCCTGCTGGCCACCCACAGCCACCCCTCAGATTGGAGTTCCCACCAACCAGCACTGTCACACCAGCTCTGGGCCCTGTCCTCAGCACACATACAGCACGATGTTTTGCTGGTGAAAGTGGTGATCCAGAGGAAGCAGTTAGATTTTATTACCGGTGGTGGCATCAACAGGACTTTGAACTGGTCCTGGCTATAGTTAATAACGCAGAAACTAGCTCAGACAATTCAAGTGCTTTTTATTTGTTGCTGTTTCTATCTCTTTGATTGCACTGGCCACTTTATTTTGCCACCGAGCTTTGCTGTTACCATTAAATTTTGTCTCAAATGGAAGCTCTTGGATTCTGAACAGAGTCAGATCCATCAGTTGTACCTTAAATTCCCCAGCTCCCAGTGGTTCTTTCTTAAAATGTGCGTGCTTGTGAAATAAGAGAGGGAAATGTCTCCAGCAGCATCCCCAGCTCCCTGCCCCGGAGGACTTTAAACTTTATCTCCAACTCCTTAGGCTGCAAATTCCACCTACCGTTAGGCTCTAAGGCAAATTTCATTTTCAGGCAACTTGAGGCATCTGGACCAGTCATTCAGGCCTCTGTATCCCTAGTGTTGTGTCTAGCTCCACTCTGAACTGGCTAATGGAATGGAAATGACTTGTAACCAAGCCACTGCCATGAAACCACATGTGACCTGGATCTCCTGCCTGGGTCCCCAGTGCCAGACTAGCCTGCCATCCCAAGGACATAAAGGCAATTACCCTGTAGGAGGGCCAGGTCCTTCTCAGTCACTGTCACAAGGACTATGAGAGGTGCTGTTGTAAGGTGTTGTAAGCAGAGGTGAAAGGACCCAACCTGGGGTCTTGGCTTAGCCCTGGCCCAAGCCAGAGGTGGTGGACCTTGGGTAGTAACCAAGGGATGTTATCCAGACTTCAGGGGGAAAGAAGCCTGAGGGGCTGATCTCAAAACCACCAGCTGCTGGAGCTCTACCCTACCTCCTGCCAGGCTCTGAGATGGCTCCTAAATCAGGTTGTGCTTAATCAGCAGAGAACATCTGTGAACACAGCCAGGAGGGAGGGGGTCAGACAAAGCCAGAGTCCCTTCCACTCACTGGGCCTCAGTTCCCTCAATTGTATTATGAGAAGATTGGATCAGGTGATCTCCAATTTTATTTCTGGTTCTGTGAACCCACTAGAAGTCCTATTCCATTCTATAATCAGACAGAATAATAATATTCTCTAAAAGCATATCTTGTGAGAAACAAATTAGATAATATGTGCAAAAGTGTTCTGTGAAGCAATAAGCCTTATGCTTATGAGATTAATTATCATAATTATCCTGCTCTCTCCCGGGCTGTTAACCATTATACTCTGTTAGTTAATGCTGCTATTACTGTCACTTACATCTTGCAACCCTACTGCTATGTTCCCCTACATTGTCACAATGTTTCACCCACTGCCATCTCAGTCACTATCAACTTTAGCACCCTGTTTTTAAAAATAGGTTTTATTGTCATAATTCAGGTATGGTGAGGCCAATGGATGAAATGATTGCCATCAAAAAGATAGTTCATCAATGAGAACACATGGACACAGGGAGGGGAACATCACACACCGGGGCCTATTGAGGGGTGGGGGGGAAGGGGAGGGAGAGCATTAGGACAAATACCCAATGCATGTAGGGCTTCAAACCTAGAAGACAGGTTGATAGGTGCAGCAAACCACCATGGCACATGTATACCTATGTAACAAATCTGCCCATTCTGCACATGCATCCCAGAACTTAAAATAAAAATCCTTAAAAAAGAAAAAAAAGAAAATATACCCAGGAAAACCTGCAACCCATCAAAAAAAAAAAAAAAAAGGTTTATTACTCACAGTTCCTAAGAGAAGGGGGCATACTATGCCATCCAAGGCCACATGGGGAAGTACCAGGGTTGGTCACAAGCCGGAGGGAGCAAAGGGAAAATGTGGGCAAGAGTCTTTACCATGCTTTTCACTGGAAGGAATGGGCAAGGCAGGGCAAACAGGCTTAGGATTGGCTAGTTTGAATAATTTCAGTGGGCTCTGGCGCATCATGGTTGTCCCTGCTTGCCTGTTACCTAGCCCTGGGGTACTTGGAGCAGGGGGTTAGTAGCCCAAGTGTCAGAGCCTCATAAGGGAGGTGGTTGGGGTATCGAGAGGAGTTAGCCAGCTTGCTTTAGGTAGACAGCAAGGGAAGGGTTTTTGGAGAGCTCTCCGTATAATCAGCAGGCTCCCCCCAAAAAGTTTCTTCTCCTTTTGTGGGCATAAACATGGTGGGCCCCCCCTCTCTGCTGCACAAAGCTTTCTTCTTTCACTTATTAAACTTTAACTCCAACCTCACCCTCGTGTTCAACCTCCTTAATCATCTTAAACATAAAACAAAAAACTCCACGTATTATCTCGAACAACAAAAACTTACATCTTAATATGTTAGCAATACTGCAACAGTATGGTCTTCGGATTGGCTGGTTTGCATATGAAAGGCATGCTCCTGGGCAAGTTGATTGCTATTCTTAAGAATTAGCTAACCCCAGATAGGGAGTTCCTTTCAAAATCCACAAAGTCCCAAAGCATCAAGATGCTTTGATGCCAAAGATGCTTGATGCCAAAGCATCAAGATAAAAAGACATAAAGCATCAAAATAGAAAGACATGCTTACATGCCCCAGCTAAGTACTGTTCCTATCACAGTTAACCTGATTGAAAATGAGAGCTCACAGTTAAAAGAGGTCTTTCTCTACCTTTCATTCTTCATTCAACAAGCATCTATTAAGCACCCACTATGTGCTGCACACTATGTTAAGCCCCCGGGTACAAAGAAGAAAAACAGTTCTTTTATTTAAGTGAGAGTAACATAACGAAACAAGTTACAATACCCGTGAGAAATGTTATGATAGCAGGAAGCCTGGACTGTTCCATAATGGAAGAGGCCCCAAACAGCCTAAAAGGAACCTGATTCCTCAATGCCTCCCCTTCCCTCCCCTAACTCCATAGTGTGGAGCTCAGGAAGACAGCCTGTGGAAAAAGAGCTAAATTATCTTCATCTTTTCCCATTGGTTCATCCAATAAAGTCCTTTAGAATAAAACCTTTGAACAAAATCTTTCTCCCTTTCCATGTCCTAGAACTAACCATAAGAAAATCATGCTTTGGGGCCAGGTGTGGTGGCTCACACCTGAAATCCCAGCACTTTGGGAGGCTGAGACAGGTGGATCACTTGAGGTCAGGAGTTTGAGACCAGCCTGGCCAACATGCAACATGGTGAAACCCCATCTCTACTAAAAATACAAAAATTAGCCAGGTGTGGTGACTTGCACCTGTAGTCCCAGCTACTTGGGAGGCTGAGGCAGGAGAATCACTGAACCTAGGAGGTGAAGGTTGCAGTGAGCCGAGATGGCACCACTGCACTCTAGTCTGGGCAACAGAGTGAGGCTGTGTCAGAAAGAGAGAAGAAAAAGAAAGAAAGGAAGGAAGGAAGGAAGGAAGGAAGGAAGGAAGGAAGGAAGGAAGGAAGGGAGAGAGAGAGAGAGAGAGAAAGAAAGAAAGAAAGAAAGAGAAAGAGAGAGAAAGAAAGAAAAAGAAAGAGAGAAAGAAAAGGAAGAAAGGAAGGAAAGGAAGAAAAGGAAGGGAGGAAGGGAGAAAGGAAGAAAGAAAGAAAGAAAGAGAAAGAAAGAAAGAAAGAAAGAAAGACGGAAAGAAAGAAAAAGAAAGAAAGAAAATCATGCACTGGAAGCAACAAAACTATGTGTATGCACGTAAGTGTCCCTTGCAGAGTTATTAAAATAGAGGAAAAAACACCAACTGGATGAAACATCAGTATCCAAAACCAATAGAGCAGCTGAATGAAGTGTAGTATATCTACCAAGAGACATTATAAAGCAAACAGAACTGTATACTGGATTAGAGAAAGCACCAAACATAGAGTCAGACTTTCTAACTTCAACTTTTTGGGCAAACTGGTTAAGGATTCCAACTCTCAGTTTTTCCATTTGTCAGATGGGGACAGCTAATAGTAGTCACTACCTCAAGGTGTTGTGTGGAGATTAAATAAGATAATGCAGGTAAAGCATTTAAGCACCTGCAATGGTGCTCAGGAAATGTTGGCCATTACTGTTATTATTAATGTGAGGTCAAGGAAGCAGGATAATTGGATGGACCTAATAAAACATAGAAAACGTTCCTAGTAGTCTTAAGTGAAAAAAACAACATAGGCCTGGCGCGGTGGCTCACGCCTGTAATCCCAGCACTTTGGGAGGCCGAGGCAGGTGGATCATGAGGTCAGGAGTTCAAGACCAGCCTGGCCAAGATGGTGAAACCCCATCTCTACTAAAAATACAAAAATTAGCTGGGCGTGGTGGCGGGTGCTTGTAATCCCAGCTACTCGGGAGGCTGAGGCAGAGAATTGCTTGAACCTGGGAGGCGGAGGTTGCAGTGATCCAAGATCGCACCACTGCACTCCAGCCTGGGCAACAGAGCGAGACTGTCTCAAACAACAACAACAACAACAAAACATCACATAAAGCAGTATGTAGACAAATTCTGAGCCTATGAAAAATATATGTGAAATACTTAGTTGGAGGGATAGCATAATGTCATTATGAATAATATTTAATGAAATATTCATTTTAATGTTATTACAAATTTCTCTTTCATAAAAAAGGAAAAGGGGGAATATAAAAATAAAAAATTAAAATATAGGGGAACACCAGAAGCAATTATATATCAAGAAATTTTAAAAACAGCAAAAATAAAGTTGTCCTAGGAATCATGCCTGCAGAGTTGATGAGCTAAAACCATCTTCAAACTGGAGAAGGACATTTTGTTTTTTGTTGTTTTTTTTTTGAGACAGAGTCTTGCTCTATCATCCAGGCTGGAGTGCAGTGGCACAATCTCAGCTCACTGCAAGCCTCCGCCTCCAGGATTCACGCCATTCTCCTGCCTCAGCCTCCCGGGTAACTGGGACTACAGGCGCCCACCAACAAGCCCGGCTAATTTTTTTGTATTTTTAGTAGAGATGAGGTTTCACCATATTAGCCAGGGTGGTCTCAATCTCCTGACCTCGTGATCTGCCTGCCTTGGCCTCCCAAAGTGCTGGGATTGCAGGCGTGAGCCACCGCGCCTGGCCAAGGACATTTTTTTTTTTTAGCATATAAAACCCCTCATTTATCTCAATATTTGGTAATAACATGTTGATAGAAGCTAGCTCCAAGTTGCAGATCAATGTCATTGGGACTGGGAAGAGGCAATAGATCAAGACAGACCAGAGAGAAGGGAACAGAAAACCACCTATTAAATACTGACATGAGTTTATTTTGTATAGTATAAACTCAAATATGTAAAAGTATATATAATAGATATAAAGAAACTATAAATATGGATATAAAGGACTAAACAGTAGCTGTCTTTGGGTCAGAAAATCGTAGACGATATCCAGCCTCTTCTTTATCTTTAGAAATTTTTCTACAACGGGTGTGTAATACTTTCAAATTGAGGGAAATGGGACTTTAAAAACTATTAATTTCTTCTTTTTAAAGCAAGGGATAATTAATGAGAAGATAGCAAGGAGCATGCACAAGCCAGCAATGTCACAAATGTCATAGTGCATGTGATTGTTTATTCTAAAAACTCCCTGAGTTGGGAGCTAAAAATAGAAAGAGCTAGGGGCAGAATTGGGGGTGGCGAAGTGTCCCACCATGAGGGCGGTGAGCAGGGCAAACTTCAGTTAGGTACAGGAGTGGGATGGCTTGGAGGGAGAGCAGGTTGGCTCAGGGCTGTCCCTGAGCAGTGGGGGCTGCAGAGGAAGAGGTGCTCCCCCAAGGACCTAGCTTGGAAAGCCTTTGGGGACAGCATTACTTAAGTAGTGGTTGAGTTGTTGTAAAGGTTCGGGGTAGGAACTGGGTTCAGTTTGATCCCATAATAAATAGGTGTGTCCTCCCATATCCCATTAGCATAGAAAGCTGGCTTTTCACTCCCAGAACTGGAACGTGATTTCTGGTCATTTATAACCTCTGACATCCACACAATTCCTCCCCAAGGAACTCATGTGCCCTCAGGTATGTCCTGAATTGGGTGTTTCTTGGACCAGAATGACTTTTCCACCAAAGTTCCTTCGGCGCTGTGGCTCACGCCTGTAATCCCAACACTTTGGGAGGCCAAGACGTGTGGATCACCTGAGGTCAGGAGTTCAAGACCAGTCTGACCAACATGGTGAAACCCCGTCTCTACTAACAATACAAAAATTAGCTGGGCGTGGTGGCACACACCTGTAGTCCCAGCTATTTGGGAGGCTGAGGCAGGAGAATCCCTTGAACCCGGGAGGTGGAGGTTGCAGTGAGCTGAGATTGCGCCACTGCACTCCAGCCTGGGTGACAAGAGCAAGACTCCATCCCAAAACAAAACAAAAAACAAAACAAAACAAAAAAACAAAACAACCCAGTACTTCCAAAATCAAACAGACTTTGGAAATAGTTTAGCCTGACACTCTCTCGGGTGCAAGCAACAGTGCTCCTTTTAGATATGAGGAAACTAGGACCCAAGGGAATTAGGCGATTTGTCCAGGGTATCTGAGTGGCTGAGAAAGTTATGGTGGGGCTCCCCAGAATCCCTCTCTTTTTCTGTGTATCTTGTTCCATTACCCCATGATGTTCTCTGATAAGAAACTTCCTTTGCTAGGATATGTCAATGCAACCTTATGTCCTGTCATAATAGTACTTAACCATTGCATCTTGATGGAATTACACGCACCATTATGTCTTGAGTGAATAATTCTTACTATTTATTGAGAGCTAGGTGCTCTTTTTTAATAAGCTGTCATTTAATTCTTATAATAAGAAGGTATTACCAGATTCTCTTTTCAGACAAAGAAGCCTAGACTCAAAGCAGTTAAATAAACCACCCAACATCACCCTTTTGGTGGTACCAAAGCCTCAGGATCTGAATCCAAATCCAAAGGTATATTCTTTGGTCGTGTTTTTTTTTGTTTTTTTTTTTGTTTTTTTTGGTTTTGAGACAGAGTCTCGCTCTGTTGCCCAGGCTGGAGTGCAATGGCGTGATCTTGGCTCACTGCAACCTCCACCTCCAGGATTCAAGTGATTCTCCTGCCTCAGCCTCCCGAGTAGCTGGGACTACAGACATGCGCCACCACACCTGGCTAATTTTTGTATTTTTAGTAGAGACAGGGTTTCACCATGTTGGCCAGGCTGGTCTCGAACTCCTGACCTCAGGTGATCCACCCACCTGACCCTCCCAAAGTGCTGGGATTACAGGTGTGAGCCGCTGCGCCTGGCCCCAAAGGTAAATTCTTGGCTCTCCATAAAGATACACTGGTGGAGCTGGCCTTGCCAGGAGCTGGTTCTTCGCTAAAGTGTACTCAGCATTCCTTAAAGGTTCTGTCTTTAATATCTTCTTAATTTATTGGGAAAGTATCTTTTCTTCAATTAAAATGGCAAATTTTATGCATCAAGATATTATATTAGAGCTAAAATTCCTAAATTGTATTAATCCGAGACTCTCCCATAGAGTTACTAGGAAAAAAATTTTTACTCTGGGTTTGTTTTTATTTCACGTGACTTTGCAAAGTATTACCATATTATAATACCATATTATAATAACAGATAATGGTAATACTTTGCTAACTCACATCAAACAAAAACAAACCCAGGGTAAAACTTTTATGAGAACTATAAAGCAAAAATCTTTTTGTTTGTTTGTTTTATTTTCCATTAATACGGCAATTTTCACAAGTCTTGCATTATGAAATATCAACTCTGGCATTTGAATTAATAAATAAAAAGCAAGGTGCCCTCCAACTTCTTACTAGTCTTCGGGACAAAGATCACTCGGAGTTCATCCTGAAAAGCATCTAAATTTAGAGATTTGCTGCCGGAGCAAAACTTTCATGTACCAGCAATAGAACCAGTCAGGCTTTCCAAAATATGTCAGGCATGTGCTTGCGATGCTGTCACAAGCGGGGTCAAGAGGCTCTGTCCCTGTGTGCTGGTGACCTGGGAGCCCTCCTTGTTTTCTAGGCCAGTCTCAGAGCACTCTGGGGTTGGAAGCAAAAGAGATTGTGCAATAGTGAATACAGGCGCTTATTTTGATCACGAATCAGGCCAACAAAAATTAAATATTTAAAAAAAATTTGAATACTATATATATGCACATAGTTTTTGGGTTTTTGTGGTTGTTTTTTTTAGTGTGAAAAGCTTACTGAAAGAAATATAGGTTTCCTCAATCCATGACTCCTCATTCCTTGGTTGGCAACCCAGAGGCAATCAAATTTAAGCTCAGTTATTTGGCCTTTGAGTGTAGATATTTTAAGAACAGAGGCGATTGCTTCTCTCCACCTGGTTGACAATCTCTGTTTAGAGGGTAGGATCCTGGATGGGTGTTCAGAGAAGCTGGCTTTGGTTTCTAGGTTTTAAAATCATTTCATTTCTCCAGGGTTGTTTTTCAAATGTATATAATAGAGGTTATATATTCTTTTACTTTTCATTTCTGTCTTTCTTTGCCTCTCTTGTTCTTAAAGCAAAGGACAAATCATAGAGGACATAGAATTGGTGGAGGAGAAGATAACAACAACAATTTTGGTTGTTATTGAGCATTTGTTATAACCCAGGCATGAGATATACTTTTTCTTCTCATTTAATCCTCATAACAATTCTATAAAGTGTTTTTTGTTTTGTTTTGTTTTGTTTTTTGGGGTTTTTTTTTGTTTTTTTAAGACAGAGTCTCACTCTGTCGCCCGGCTAGAGTGCAGTGGTGCAATCTCGGCTCACTGTAACCTCCGCCTCCCGGGTTCAAGTGATTCTCCTGCCTCAGCCTCCTGAGTAGCTGGGACTACAAGTGCCCGCCACCACGCCTGGCTAATTTTTTGTATTTTTAGTAGAGATGGGGTTTCACCATGTTGGCCAGGATGGTCTCGATCTCTTGACCTCGTGATCCACCCGCCTCGGCCTCCAAAGTGCTGAGATTACAGGCGTGAGCCACGGTGCCTGACCTATAAAGTGTTTTTAGCCCATTTTAGAGATGATAAAACTAAGGCTGAGAAAGATTGAGTAATTTACTCAGGGATGTACAGCTACTAGAAGTAAAGTTAAGTTTTGAGCCTAGACTCTTCAACTTTAAAGCTAAACTAGGAACACTGAGATTTTAAGTCTTTAGAGGGAGACAGAGGATATGAGTGTCAAATTGCTGAGTTTATGTAAGAGAGTGAAAAATGGCACCACATAGACTAGGGTAGTCCCTGGACTATCAGTGTGTGGAAACTGCTCTCAGATATGCACTGGAGGTTTTGGGTGGTTGCATTGTTCTGAATGGGTGCTTCAGAGGGAGCCTCTGATGAGCATAGCCCCAGGTGAGATTACTAAATTGATCATTCTTGGGCCAGAGATTGTTGTTTCAGCCTTAACAGATGATTTCTTAAGAAACTGGATGGGGTCTTTCAAGAACAGAAGAGGAGGTCAGCTGCAGATACCCTTGGATAGGTCCAATCCCTTCCCTTCATACCTACTGCAGGATTCCTGGGAGGGCTCCCGAAGCAATCAAGACCACGGGTGGATATGACACACTCTCAGAAACTGCAAGCAGTTGAAGGGAGAGCAGTGCCAGGCGCAGCAAAGAAAAATCAAGTTAAAGTTAGTGCATGCCTCCTAAGTGTCATGGCAGGCAGGGAGCCTTGGAGGCAAGAAACTGGGGATAATCAAAGCCTGCTGGGATTCCAGCAGCAGGAATTCTTTTTTTTTTTTTTTTTTTTTTGATACGGAGTCTCGCTCTGTCACCCAGGCTGGAGTGCAGTGGTATGATCTCGGCTCACTGAAAGCTCCACCTCCCGGGTTCACGCCATTCTCCCGCCTCAGCCTCCCGAGTAGCTGGGACTACAGGCGCCCACCACCACGCCTGGCTAATTGTTTGTATTTTTAATAGAGACGGGGTTTCACCGTGTTAGCCAGGATGGTCTCGATCTCCTGACCTCGTGATCCACCCACCTCAGCCTCCCAAAGTGCTGGGATTACAGGTGTGAGCCACTGCACCCGGCCAGGAATTCTATATGGAGATGAAATCAGATGTCCGTGGGGCAGAATAAAGAGTGTAGCTAGGCCTGGCATCACAATGGAGGAAGCATGCAGGTATGCCTTACCCCTCTGAAGTCAGAACTCGGGGCTCATGGTGATGACCACCACCTTATCTGCATCTAGATAGGTTTGGTCACACACAAAATCATGAGGCCACTGAGGCACCAATCGCCTGGCACCTCATCAACCTGTGAAGGACAGTTTTAGGGACAAACCAAGGATTGCCACTTCCCTCCCCTCCCCATGAGATGGAAAGGCCCACTTCCTTCAGTTGTGAGGAAGGACACCCTGTGGCAGATGGCACCCTTGAGGGAAAAAGCTCAGTGAAGGAGTCAGGGGAGCTCACCTTCCAGGTGGCAGATTTCCTTGTTACCCAGATCTCAACACAGAAAAATTTCCAGCTATGTCTTTCCTTCTTGAAATTTAATGTTGGTATCTCTGATCACAAGCTTTGCCTGGCCTAGTGGGGCCATAAGTGGCTGGGCTGGAGTGGGAGTGAGGTCCCAGAAGGACAATTCAAATTTTTCCTGGAATCTACACAGCTAGGAAGGGTCAAACCTCTTCATCCAATAGGGCTTCAGAAATGCATCACCTGACCTCACCAGAGAAGAAAGGAGGGAGGGGTGGCCCTCAAGACTGAAGAGGCTCTGGTGCCTGCTACACAATACTCCCCTCTCCAGAGTGTTGAGCAACTAGGGTATTGTGTTTGCTTTCCCCTTCACTCAACACTCTGGAGAGGGGAGTATTGTGTAGCAGGCTTGCTGATATGTTAAATATGTTTGAAGGAAAATGGGGTAGGGGTGGGGTGGGCAGGGATAATTTTATTTATGATGTTCTTTGGAGCTCTTGTTTGCAAGGTGATGAGTGTGAAAATATGTATTACAGAAATGGAGATGGGAGGAGGGAGTGTGTTTGGGAAGAAGGTGGCAGAGAACACGGAAAGGGATGAAACCCAAGCGTGAGGTTGGAGAGAGGCCCAGAGAGAGAGTATCAGTGGGAAAAGAGGAGCGCTGAGGTAAGGGAGCAGAGGTGGGGATTGCTACAGAGTTTTGTAGCATGAGATGCCATGTAATTCTCTCTTCATGAAGCCTTCAGTAAAATCTCCATTCACCAATGCTTTTCAACTGGGATTTGTTATGAGAGAGGAGCTCAAAGTGCTGACCTTGTAGCACATCAAAGGACCCTGGGTGAAAATAGTGCGGGTGCCACTTTCTAAAGGACTGGAAGGTGTGCACTGCTTCGTAGCAGGTTGGGGAGAGAGGAGTGAATCAAGAAGACCCCACCAAAGAGATGGCACCCGAGATGGGCCTTAAAGGATGACCAATGTTTCTGCTACAATTGGGGATAGGGGAGACCTTGGCTGGAGGCCAAGAGGGGAGGCAGGGAAGTCTGAAAGTATTGGGGATGCCTAAGAAGTGGTTCAGACCACTGCATGGGGAAGAGGCTGCGGTGGGAGAAATGAGTGGCTGGTGGAACTATGGATGCTTGGCCACCTCCAGATCTTAAGGGCTGTCATGGATGCTATGGAAAGCAAAACAAGGACTACTCTGAGGGGTTTGCAAGAAGACACAATATGGCATGATATACTCTATTCCTGAAAGGAGAGGGAATAGGTCTGAAGACCTTCTGGTTCCCCTGACTCCAACCGTCTACCTCCAGGCAGACTTGGGTTGTAAACATTGCACAAAAAAAATCACCTTATGGCTTCATTTCACTTGATTTCAGCAGATTCCCTCTGGACTTGACAGCTCTGCTTCTGTTCCAGCCCCAGCTGAGGAAAAGGCTGCTACCCAACCACATTAACTGAACTCTGAGGTAGGCATAACCCCAGGGCCCTCCACCAATGCCAAGACCACCCATATTCTGGCTGCCTGAGGAGCCCCCACCCGCTGGATAGGCCCCTGCCTATGTGCCAGGGCTTCCGGTCTCCAAGGCTGCTTGCTTGTAGGTCCTCTTCCTCCCTCTCTCAGAGTTGTTTGATGACCCTGCACTGTCTGAGGACCTCATCGGGTAGGTGAGCCCCAAGTTGATCCCAAAGGGCCTACTGGCACTTTCTCGCTCTCTCAGTTCCCTTTAAGAAGTAGAGATCAGGGCTGGGCGCGGTGGCTTACGCCTGTAATCCCAGCACTTTGGGAGACTGAGGCGGGCAGATCACAAGGTCAGGAGTTCGAGACCAGCCTGGCCAGCATGGTGAAACCCCGTCTCTACTAAAAATACAAAAAATTAGCCGGGCGTGGTTGCAGGCACCTGTAATCCCAGCTACTCGGGAGGCTGAGGCAGGAGAATGGCCTGAATCCGGGAGGCGGAGCTTGCAGTGAGCCGAGATTGTGCTACTGCACTCCAGCCTGGGCGACAGAGCAAGAGCGAGACTCTGTCTCAAAAAAAAAAAAAAAAAAAATTAGCTGGGCATGGTGGTGTGCGCCTGTAATCCCAGCTACTCGGGAGGGTGAGGCAGGAGAATTGCTTGAACCTAGGAGGTAGAAGTTGTAGTAAGCTGAGATCGCACCACTGCACTCTGGCCTGGGTGACAAGAGTAAGACTCCTTCTCAAAAAAAATACAAAAAACAAGTAGAGATCATTCAATCAGTTAACAGACACATATTGAACACCTACTAGGTGCACTGGGATACAAAATGAGTAAGATGATCCCTGACCTCAGAGGATCATCAGTTGGGAAAGGCACATAAATAAAGCTGGACAGCCTGGGCAAGGTGGTTCACACCTGTAATCCCAACACTTTGGAAGGCTGAGGCAGGAGGTTCACTTGAGGCCAGGAGTTTGAGACCAGCCTGGCCAACATAGCAAGACCCCCATCTTTAAAAAAAATTTTTTTAATTAGCTAAGCAAGGTGGCATGCACCTGTAGTTCTAGCTATTCAGGAAGCTGGGAGAGGAGGATCACTTGAGCACAGGGGTTCAAGGTTTCAGTGAGCCAAGATCATGGCACTGCACTCCAGCCTGGGCAACAGAGCAAGAACCTGTCTCCAAAAAATAATAAAATAAAATACAACAAACCTGGACAATTAGTGTAACAACTGCTGGGAAAGAGGTAAAGACAGGCTACTGTGGGAAGATAGAAGGAAGATACTTAGCCCAGGGGGAAATGGGGGGAAAGGAGAGTTCCCAGGAGAGCAATTTCCAAGCTGCCTCCTGAAAGGAGGGGCAGGAGCTAGCCTAGTGAATGGGGTGAAGGGAAGGAGGGGGCATAATACGCAAAGGGAGCAGGCTATGGCCGGGAATGGTCTGGAGACAGAGAGAGCAACAGTCCTCTGGGCAACTGTAGGTAGTCCACTGAGGCTGTGTTCCAGCTGTAGAGGTAGGCCCTAGGGTGCATCAAGAAGGACCTTGTATGTATTGTCAGACAGTTGGGACTTTATGAAGGTAGAGATGACCCACTAGGTGCTTCGTGGCCTCTCTCTCACGCCAAGACCCTCGCCCAGCTTAACGCCATGTACCTCTGCACATCCCCAGACATTCCTGCTCCCTGAGTCCCTTTAAAGTAAAAGTCACAAAGGCACACCTCAACCTGGCTTGAGCCAAAGCACATTCTTATTCTGTCGCTTACATCACCAGATTTTCCCACAAAGAATCCTGAGGTGTTAAGTCAAGATCTTCCTACGACCCTCAAATTCCTATGCAGGAGGACTATAAACTTCTGGCCTATAACACAATGAAGAAATATATGCATAAAAGTAAACAGGTGGAGAACAAGATAAAGTGTGACAACATCAGCAACATCCAAGTCAGCTGTGACTATTCAAAACTGGAAGGATCAAGTTCCAAAGTCCAGGCCGGGCGCAGTGGCTCACACCTGTAATCTCAGCACTTTGGGAGGCCAAGGCGGGCGGATCACCTGAGGTCAGGAGTTCAAGACCAGCCTGACCAATATGGTGAAACCCCGTCTCTATTAAAAATACAAAAACTAGCTGGGCGTGGTGGCAGGCACCTGTAGTCCCAGGTACTCAGGAGGCTGAGACACGAGAATTGCTTGAACCTGGGAGGTGGAAGTTGCAGTGAGCCGAGATCGTGCCACTGCACTCCAGCCTGGGCAACAGAGCAAGACTCCATCTCAAAAATAAAAATAAATTAAAAATAAATAAATAAGTAAATAAAAAGTTCCAGGTCGAGCGCAGTGGCTCAGGCCTGTAATCCCAGCCCTTTGGGAGGCTGAGATGGGCGGATCATGAGGTCAGGAGATCGAGACCATCCTGGCTAACACGGTGAAACCCCGTTTCTACTAAAAATACAAAAAATTAGCCGGGCGTGGTGGCGGGCGCCTGTGGTCCCAGCTGCTCGGGAGGCTGAGGCAGGAGAATGGTGTGAGCCCGGGAGGCGGAGCTTCAGTGAGCCAAGATTGCACCACTGCACTCCAGCCTGGGCGACAGAGTGAGACGTCACACACACACAAAAAAAGTTCCAAAGTCCAGAAATTGTCTTAAATCACAAGGAATAACAAAACTGAAGAAGGCTAATCCGTGAGCCTGGGGTGCTCATAAGGAGCTGCTAAGAGAAGACCACGTGAACCTATTCAGCAGCTACCTCCTGAGGAGCGGGAATTATTAAGCATACATCAACAAATATAAAAAATCAGTGTAAGAACAGCATTGTACTTCTCGACAGCAATACCAGAATCTAGGTGTTAATAAAGCAGTATCTTCGAAATCCCGAATAAATATAATTTATAATCTAGATTGTATGATTAGGCAACATCATCATTCAAAGGTAAAATAGAGTGATGATATTTTTAGACATGAAAAGTTCAAAAATATTTACTTCTCATGGACCTTTTCTTAGGAAGCTATTTAAGAGGAATGTGCTCTACCAAAATATGAGGCAATGCTCGAAATCACAGAAGAAAATGCTAGGATGCTGGAGAAGGGAAGACCCAAGACAGAGAAGCAAGCTTCCCAAACAGTCATTGGAACTGCGGACCAATGACTCTAAGAAAAAAGTACAGATACACACACACACACACACACACACACACACACACACACACATACACACACGATGGATTATCTGATGGGTTTGATTATATGGAGTTGTATTGAAAGCATTTTATCGTTTTAGAAAAACTAAGAGGACATTGTGATAGATCCATAATAAAATAAGCAAAGAAAGAGGATAATTATTAAAACTCCAAGGAAAACCAAAAGCCATACAAGATGGGAAATTGTATACGATTTGTCTCAACAATGAATAATAAATACATGGTCTCATTAGCGTAAACATTAATGATTTAACCAGATTATGAGAAGGATAGCTTCCTTAATAGGAAATAGTCATACATTATTTGGAAATATATAAATACCAGAAGAAATAGCTCAAATAATTGAATAAGAGATGGAAAAGAGGCCTAAAAAGTATGTTTAAAAGGCCTGTATATAGGCCTTCCATATTATTTCCGCCTCTGGTCATCAGAACACAACGCCTAATTTAATAGAGGCATGACGGTATTCATGACATGTAGAAGATAGAGATTTTTAAATTTGGTATCAGAAACCAAAAACTAGTTAAATGGTTGCAATCATCCTTTAAAAGAATACCTGCAGGCGGGGCGCAGTGGCTCATGCCTGTAATCCTAGCACTGTGGGAGGCCAAGGCAGGCGGATCACTTGAGGCCAGAAGTTCGAGACCAGCCTGGCTAACACAGCCTCTACTAAAAATACAAAACATTACCTGGGCGTGGTGGCGGGCACCTGTAGTCTCAGCTACTCGGGAGGCTAAGGCGGGAGAATCGCCTGAACCCGGGAGGCAGAGGTTGCAGTGGGCCGAGATTGCGCCACTGCACTCCACCCTGAGTGGCAGAGCGAAACTCTGTCTCAAAACGAAACAAAACAAAAAGCTTGCAGACACAAAACGACAACACAATGTCCTTTAGGAACTCCATCTACCTTGGAAAACAGGGATTTGTGACAGCTTTGGTCGACGTGCATGTGCGTTTAAAATAAAAAGGTAACCTAGGATTTGATACCAGGGACAGTAACAGCTTTATCAAAAAAAAAGAGGTGGTTTTCCTTGCTCCTTCTAAGGACTGGGGTTTTAGTCTCGTCCACCCTGCAGGCCCTCAGGCCTGATTTCCGATTGTCTATCAAAGGGTCAAATAAAAAGCTCTCTAAGCTTCGACCCAAGCTTTAAAGTCGAAGGGCTGATCGCGGGCTTTTTCCTTGGGACGTGGCAGGGGCCTTTGAGGGAAGGAAAGAAACGACTCTGGCTTCTCACTCGGCTCCTTACACAAGAGGCATTTTTTTAACTGTCTCTGCTTAAAACAAGGTGTTTTTGAGTCAGCAGCCCTTTGGGTGGGTCTCGTCCTCTTGGGCACCCGACACCCACCCCACGGCGGGAGCCCCAGGTGGCCCCGGAGGCCACCGGGAAGCGTGAACTACATCTCCCAGGGTTCCCCGGGGCGGAGGACGCCCACCCGGATTGGCCAGGGTTCGCTGACGCTCAGTGTTTTGGCCCGGACGGTCACATGTTTCCTTTGTTGTGAGCTGCGGCAGAGACTGGTGGCTGGAGGAGACGCCGGCGCTGGAGAGTGCGCTGCGCCGCCCGCCGCTGAGGGACCGCGGGGTTAGCCACTGCTGGCTGCTTCCAGTGTTCGCCGAGAGGTACCGGGGGTGACAGCTCCGGGACCGGCCGAAAGGCGAGGAACCGGTCAGAGTCTGAGTCCTCGGGGGCGGAGGGGCGACGGCGGTCCTGACCACCGGGGTGTCTGCGGGAGGGCAGCCAGCGGCGGCCGGCCTCTCAGAGCCAGACTGGCGGTCTGCGGAGAGGCTGCAGCTGGGCTACAGGGCCCCTTTCTGAGGCGAGGGGCCTCCAGGGTTCACCTGGGGGGTCTTCCTCCCCCGCTTGGTAGCTACAGCCCTGAGGGAGGGCGCGCGCGCCTCCTGGCACTACGGCCCGGAACCGCGGCGCGGCTGGTGCGGCCTGGCTAGGGCGGGGTGGTTGCCGGGACTGGGGGTAGCCGCAGGTGCGGTAGGCTAGTCGCCGCGGGGCCGGGCGCCGCCGGGGGAGGCGGCTGGGCAGACGGGTGCTGCTTGTTGCCGATGGGCTGCGAACGGGGCGCTGCTTTTTATTTCAGGAAGCCCGGGGGAGTGCGACCGCCTCAAATCCAGCCTTCTTGTTTGGTGGGACGACCGTCGGTTCTGTCCGGGAGGAATGACGGGGTCAAGGTGGGGTCCCCAGGGCCGCGGGCCCGTGAAGCCCCATTAAAGCGATTGCGAAATGCACTCGGCACTGTCACCTGACCGTTACCCCCGCCCCCGTCCCCTGCGAGCCTTTGTTTACCACGATCGCGACACCCGGCCCGCTGCGGCCGTCCCCGGGGAGCCGGGGCGGGCGGGGGAGCGGGCGTTCCGCCGGCGCAGTCCCCGCCTAACCTCCCCACCTTCTTACCACTCCAGGACTCAGTTTCTTAATTTAGTTCCTAATGGACCCGCCCTCAAGTTCTGGACACCCCGGGTGAAGACTGTTAACGCGGCGGGGATTGGGCGCCTGCGGCAGCTTGTGGGCGGTACCCGAGGGAGAGTTCGAGTTTTTATTGGCGAGTTTTTATTGTCACTAGGTGGGCCTGCCCTGGGCCATTCTTCCCGCCCCCTTGAAGGTGATCTGGAGGACGCGCGGGAGCGCGCGCTGTCGCTGCTTTTGCAGCTGCGGCCCGAGTGGAGCCGGGTGGCGCGGGTGCGGGAGGCGCGCGCTCCCGCCCCTGCTGCGGGCGGCTGGTAGCCTCGGTGGCCGCCGCCGCCGCTGCTGCTGCCTGATCCTGCAGGCAGTTCTGGGCACGCAGAGATCGGCTACCGTGGCCTGCCCTCCGAGGACCGGAAAATTAACACCCTTTAACTAGTGTCGCGTTATCTGCCGGGTGGTTCGCAGGAAGTCCTGCGAACACGTTGTTGCCAGTTCTGTAAACGTGTTTAGATAGCTAAATATAGATCACAGTGCCACATCTTAGGGGGCCCCACGGTCACCCCTGAGGCAGTGGCTGTTCACAATTGATTTTAGTGGATTTTAATGATTAATCACTTGCTCTTGTGGGCAGCTTTTCAAAAATCACGTCTTTGTATTTGCAGCTACAGACTGGGTCCACCAGCTAAGAGGTTGGTTTTTATTAGGGTTGTAAAATAGATTTAAAATCTGCTTGTTGTTGGCTGAGATTTAAAAGCAGATTTCTACTATTTAAAAAAGATAGTTTGAAGATACTCCCCTAAAAAGTAAAGATTCTTCCATACTCGGCTCGGATGAGTTGTTTTCCTTGTTTGAGGGATTCTAGGTCACACACTTCTATGTTTTAATTCCCGTGGTAATTCAAAATGTTTGAGAAGTGGGTTGCGACTGTGTCGTTTTAAAATTGTACATTAAGCTGACGGTAATAAAATCTTCAAGACCAATCATTTTTAGCCATAGTGTGTTGAAAATGGTTTTTCTAATCGCTTGAGTTAATAGGGTATTTGCGTTTTGTCAGATTTTCTTCTGCAGATATAGGAATTCACTCAAGACTTAATACACTTGTTTTGTTTTTGAGACAGGGTCTCACATTCTGTCACCCAGGCTGGAGTGGAGTGGTCTCACTCCGTCACCCAGGCCATCTCAGCTCACTGCAATCTCCGCCTCCCGAGTTCAATCGATTCTCCTGCCTTAGTTTCCCGAGTAGCTGGGATGACAGGCGCCCGCCACCACGCCCGGCTAGTTTTTGTATGTTTAGTAGGGACGGGGTTTCACCATGTTGGCCAGGCTAGTCTTGAACTCCTGACCTCAGGTGATCCGCCCGCCTCAGCCTCCCAAAGTGCTGGGATTGCAGGCGTGAGCCACCGTGCCTGGCAAAGACAATACATTTTTGTAGAAGGAAGTTTGAGCTCCCCTGGATGAAGCAGGAATTGAATATGAACAGTTCCTATTGGTTATGCATTCTTTAAAATTCCAGAGGAGATGGTTACACCGGAATGAGCATCTCCTGTGATCAGAACCGCCTCATCACTTGTGCATTGAGAGTATTTAATGTATCTAAATGAGTACAAAATGCAATCGTCTAACCTTTTGAAAAAGTAAAACCATCACTCAGTAAAGGCTTGCTTATTCAAACAAAGCCAGCAACCTAAGTCTCTAAACAGGAAGAAGAAATAAATTCTGCGTTAAGGCTGACTACCAGCTTTAACTTAAACTTTCCTGGCTTTTGTCCAAGTTGTTGAACCTTAATGCTTTTTCAATAACTTTTTTTAACTTCCTTTTCTCCCATTTCATTAAAACCCAAAGGTCAAGCCTGTGAAAAATAAATACTATTAATCAAATAAGTGACCACAGTTATTTTTGTCTATTTGACAAAAATTTGGGACACTTTTTTCAATAAATATTTGGGTATGGACTGTATAATGGAAAAATGTAAGTAAATATCTTCACAAGTATACGTATGAAAAATATATTTTTGTATGATTTTATTTCTGGTGTGACTGAAACAACTGGAGAGTATATAGCCACTTGACAACTGTTGACATTTAAAAACCGCTATTGTTTCTCCTATTAAAAACACATTAAGTGCTTGCCTGTCATCCCAGCTACTCCAGAGGCTGAGGCAGGAGAATCTCTTGAGCTCTGGAGTTTGAGAACAGAATGGGCAACATAGTGAGACCCTGTCTCAAAAAATAAACAATAAAACAATCGCTAAGCAAACTTCTTTAAATTGAAGAGTTTGGCACTCTGCCTATATTCATCATCCCAGAGTTAAAGTATTTCAACATTTGGCACATCTTAAAGACTACTAAACTGGTGTTTTAAAAGTAGGCTTTGGCTGGGTGCGGTGGCTCACGCCTGTAATCTCAGTACTTTCGGAGGCTGAGGCGGGTGGATCACCTGAGGTCAGGAGTTCAAGATCAGCCTGGCCAACGTGGTGAAACCCCGTCTCTACTAAAAATACAAAAATTAGCCGGGTGTGGCCGCAGGCGGCTGTAATCCCAGCTACTTAGGAGGCTGAGGCAGGAGAATCACTTGAACCGGGAGGCGGAGGTTGCAGTGAGCTGAGATCGCGCCATTGCACTCCGGCCTGGGCAACAGGAGCAAAACTCCGTCTCAAAAAAAAAAGTGGGCTTTACTCTTAACTGAGGTTTCCAAAGGCTACCACTGTAAATAATTCGTGTCACTACTAAGATAAATATAAACCACTGACTATGTGCTTTTATTCATAGAGAAGTCATGTAAAATATTAGATCTCAAATTTGTGGCCGGGCGCGGTGGCTCACGCCTGTAATCCCAGCACTTTGGGAGGCCAAGGCGGGCAGATCACAAGGTCAGGAGATCAAGACCATCCTGGCTAACACGGAGAAACCCCGTCTCTACTAAAAATACAAAAAATTAGCCGGGCGTAGCGGCGGGCGCCTGTAGTCCCAGCTACTCGGGAGGCTGAGGCAGGAGAATGGCGTGAACCCAGGAGGCGGAGCTTGCAGTGAGCCAAGATCGCGCCGCTGCACTCCAGCCTGGGTGACAGAGCAAGACTCTGTCTCAAAAAAAAAAAAAAAAAAAAAAAATCTCAAATTTGTTCAGGTGGCAGAGCTCCTTGCTGGCATCCTTGCAGATTTAATTAAAAAACCAAAACCGGGCTGGGCGTGGTGACTCACGCTTGTAATCCCAGCACTTTGGGAGGCCGGGCCAGGTGGATCACCAGGTCAGGAGTTCGAGACCAGCCTGGCCAACATAGTGAAACCCCCATCTCCACTAAAAACCAAACAAACAAACAAACCCAGAAAATATTAGCCTGGTGTGGTAGCACGCTCCTGTAATCCCAGCTACTCGGGAGGCTGAGGCAGGAGAATCACTTGAACCCGGGAGGTGGGGGTTGCAGTGAGCCAAGATTGTGCCACTGCACTCAATCCTGGGTGACAGAGCGAGACTCCATCTCAATAAATAAATAACCAAAACCATTTTTCTAACAGAAAACATAACTATATCATATATCTATAGGTGTTTTGATTATCAAATAAAACAATGCATTAAATACCTAAAAGAAACATGTTAGCAAGATAAAACCAAACAACAGTAAATTTACACATCAAGTCTAGTCAGAAGCATGAGTAGGCTCAATAGGGCAGCTTGGTATACCACGTGTGATGTCTGATGGTTAACAAGTTTTTTTCTTCCTTTAGGGTTGGGGAATATCAGTAGCCAGAAGTTTTAAGTCGAGGGAGAGAAACACTGGAGAAATTCATATTTTTTTTCCTGTGATTTAAGAGACAATAGTATTCTTTTTTAGTTAAAGAACCATATTGTTTAGTCTGACACATTGTTTAAGCTTTCCTAAATTTGTCATCAACAGCTATCTGTTTTGTTTCTCATCAAGCAAAGTCATATAGTATATTGCCCATTTGAGGTTCTAATAAATATGGGGTAATCCATAGTTGCTATCATTCTATCCAAAGAAACTCAAGGTTTTAGTTGGTTTCTGTTACCTTTTCTTTTTTTTCTTTTTTCTTTTTTCTTTTTTTTTTTTTTTTTGAGACAGAGTCTTGCTCTGTCGCCCAGGCTGGAGTGTGATGGTGCCATCTTGGCTCACTGCAACCTCCGCCTCCTGGGTTCAAGCATTTCCGCTGCCTCAGCCTCCTGAGTAGCTGGGATTACAGGTGCCCGCCACCACACCCGGCTAATTTTTTTGTATTTTTAGTAGAAACGGGGTTTCACTATGTTGGCCAGGCTGGTCTCGAACCCTTGACCTCGTGATCCGCCTGCCTCAGCCTCTCAAAGTGCTGGGACTGCAGGCGTGAGCCACCTCGGCCAGCCAGTTTCTGTTATCTTGTGGTGGGTAAATATGGTCTTGGTGGTTCCATTAAGAAACTGGAAATGTTGAAAATAGCTTGAAGGCTGGGCTTTAAACATTACATTTGTAAAACATGGTCCAGGAACCACTGCTGCAGAGTAATTCTTTAAACTGAAATTTTGATAGTGCAAGTTTATGATTTTTAAAAAGTCATCAAATAAATTAGCTTTTGAGACTATAGGGTGAAAATATCTGAAATGTATAAAAATTGCTTGGTTTTGTATAGTACCTTATTATATATGATTTTCTGGTTATTTTTTAAATAAAAGATGTACTGGCCGGGCACAGTGGCTCACGCCTGTAATCCCAGAACTTTGGGAGGTCGAGGCGGGTGGATCACAAGGTCAAGAGATCGAGGCCATCCTGGCCAACATGGTGAAACCCCGTCTCTACTAAAAATACATGGTGGCGCACACCTGTAGTCCCAGCTACATGGGAGGCTGAGGCAGGAGAATCGCTTGAACCCAGGAGGTGAAGGTTGCAGTGAGCCGAGATCATGCCACTGCACTCCAGCCTGGCAACAGAGTGAGACTGTCTCAAAAAAAAAAAAAAAAAAAAGATTTACTATATTGCAATTATTTTCTGACTTTCTTTCTTTTGAGTTACTATATATCTTTCAAGATAAACCTCTTGGTTAACCTTTCTTTTCATCTCCTGTGGTGTTCTTTCAAGGTTAAATTTGAGAAAATGGAGTAGCGTAGAACATAGTATGCAGCAGTTCTCTACTACAAGTTTTAGGGGCCATGCTAGTCAGGATGTTGTTGGTTCCTTTGTTTTCTGGTATTAGTTTTTAGAAGCCCCTCATTAATCCATACTATCTTTAAGGATGTTAGTAACCTCATCGTATAGAATTTCTGCATTCTAAAGGAAACATAAGCTTGTTTCAGTACACTCACGCTGTAGATTAATTCTGATATTACATATCTCCATCAGACTTTGTACCCTCTCTCTTCCATCCCTTACCCTTACCGATTAGGTTGGTATTACCTAAAAATCCATAGAAAATGTCCAGGTGAATTGCCTTATGCTTTCTACCCCATAAGGTATAATTCTAGACCAGATCGGTTATGAGAGGCTCTATTCCAGTCTGCACCTGCTAAGAATTTGAATCTATTTTAGTACCAATCTTGGAGTTCTTGTTTGGCTCTACTCTTAGCCAACCCCACAGAGTCTAAAATTGGATCTGAATCCAGTATTTGCCAGCCAGTGACAGACATAAACTAGGTTCTTTATAAATGTTTCATGAATTGACCTGCATCCCTGCATTGATTCAGGATCTTATTGTCCATTGGGAAGGAAGATTTACTTAGCTAGGAGTAACAATTCCCAAATTTGCCCTAGTTGCAATATTTTTTTACCAAGGGTACATACAAGTCAGGTTCACTTCTGAAAGTAAGGAAACACAGGATAGCATTCACTTGATGATCATAACACAGTCTGGGTATACATATGTGTTTGTGTGTATACATTTAAAAAAAAGGTCGTTTATATTTGGTTTTGGAATCAACTTTTGAATTTGTCTAAACTTGTTAAGAATTTACAAGTTCTATTTAAAGATATCTGGGCCAGAAACCAGAACCACTTGTGTTTAAATACTATTGCTATTCTGTACACAGCTCAAGGTTCTGGTATTTTCTCTTAAGCATTCCTCTTCTCCCCTTCCACCAAAAAAAAAAAAAAAAAAAAAAAAAAGGAATTGTGCCGAATTAGTTGGTTTCTATGGGGATATGGGGATTAAGTTTCTACAAGATTCAAGGCAGAAGAAATATACATTTATATATTAAAAGATAAAAAAATTATTTGCTAACTCTTAGAATTATTTAATGGCCCCAAACTTGGATGAAACATCAATTTCCAGACACTCTTCAAATATCCAAAGTGTATTCAAATATCACAGAGTGTATGTTTTTTCAGTGCTACCATTAGCTTGCTATTGACATTAATTTTCTTTTACTCATTTTTCACTCAAGAAATTTTACTGCAGGATAAAACTCCAGGATAAAACTGTCAAGTGCCGGGCACGGTGGCTCATGCCTGTAATCCCAGCACTTTGGGAGGCCGAGGCGGGCGGATCACCTGAGGTCGGGAGTTTGAGACCAGCCTGACTAACATGGAGAAACCCTGTCTCTGCTAAAAATACAAAATTAGCTGGGCATGGCGGCACATACGTGTAATCCCAACTACTAGGGAGGCTGAGGCAGGAGAATCGCTTGAACCTGGGAGGCGGAGGTTGCCGTGAGCCGAGATTGCGCCATTGCACTCCAGTCTGGGCAATAAGAGCAAAACTCAGTCTCAAAAAACAAACAAAAAAACTGTCAAGTAAGGAAGTTGATAAATAAGAAAAACTAGTTATGTAAAATAGCATTAAGTTATTAATTTACTTTAAGGAGATGTTATTCACTAATTATTTTTAAACAAAAACGAACTTCAGTTGGAAACTAGAAATTACTAAAAACTTTGTTCAACATATTAGTAAATAATGCCAGCTGTACATGAACTGACAACTATCTGATTTATATGTTGCTATTCTTTCTTTATTTTAGGTGTGGAAATTAAAAGAACACACATATTTTGACTGGGGCTTTGATCAACCAAATGCTAAAAAGGTATATTTGTAATATTTATAAACTATCTAAATGTTGTTATTAGAGAATTTAAACCATATTCCTTTCTTTAACCAGGGATCACTTAAGCCAATCAGATAACAAGGCACAACTCTATCCTTAAGATCACAAAAGATGGCAGTGTGACAATCATTTCTGTTACTAAATATTTACCCACTCTTCTGTGCTTTCCTGAGAGCCTCATTCATGTCTGATCAACTTATATACATTAACTCATGTAGATATAACTTTAAGTCATTATGTTTGTTTGGAAAGAAGCTTTTCCTACTTATTTTGTCTAGAGATGCCTACTTAGTTGTTTACTTTTTCCTGATGGGAATAATTCTGCTGTGATATTTGCAAAAATGTTATAATGGTTCAATCTGTAATCTTACGTTTTGTTTGCTTGATTATGCATCATGAGTTCATTTTGATCAATCTTGAACCTATATTAGTCACCGTACTTTGAGATGATAGGATAACATTTTTCTTTCCTTTTTTTTTTTTTTTTTTTTTTTTTGAGACGGAGTCTTGCTCTGTTTCCAGGCTGGAGTGCAATGGTGCGATCTCGGCTCACTGCAACCTCCGCCTCCCGGGTTCAAGTGATTCTCCTGTCTCCTGGGTTCAAGTGATTCTCCTGCCTCAGCCTCCTGAGTAGCTGGGACTACAGGCGTCCACAACCACGCCCAGCTAATCTTTGTATTACTTTATTGTATAAAATGGGAAGGCAAAAGCTAGCAAATTTCATGTGGAAGCCCAAAAGATACATTCTGAATGCATCTCACACTCCTAAGATGCCCTCCTGCAAATCATTTATACATAGGAAGTGTTTACATTTGGTGTAGTTACGGAGACCAGTAATTGGAGAGTTCCCAGAAAATCCAGAGGAAGTCAAGATGCCCAAAAGTCAGGAGGCAGCAGGCTGAAGCTGTTTGGAAAGATCTATGAGATAGTCTCTCTTACATACAGAGCAGTAAACAAATATCTCATTGCTGTTGAAGACTTTGTAATACAAGGTGATTTTATAGGTGTTCTAGTCCAGGATTTTCCATTTTTTATTGGGTAAAAGTAGTGGAGAGGAAGACCTCTTTTGTCAGTGAACAAATCAAGGAGCCAACTATGAAAATAAGGGGCAGATAATAGCATAAAAAGACAGACCCTTAATTGATACAAAGCTTAATCAATTTTATATTAATACTTAACTCACTGTTCTCAAATTTATCTAATAAATATTAGATAGAATAAAATCATTGAATACATAAAACAAAGTATACTTTTATATTTGTTTTTCTACTTGTCCATTCTAGCCAAAGGGAAATTCTTAGTTCTTACAATGTGCTATTTTGTTTTGTATTCTGAACAAATTTTCATTTAAACATTGAGAAAGTGAAAATGTATGCAGGAAGAAGCTCACGATTTCCATTGTTGTTAATACCAATAATTGTATCACTAGTCAAAGTCACAATCACTTGTGTGAATTTTTTGAACCTGAAATGCAACAGGAATTTAAACTAGATTAAGCTGGAATGAATAGTAGGTTCTTGATTTGGGTACCTGACTTGTAGCTAATTCAACCATAATTTGAATCTAGATTAATAAGGCATTAAGATTAAAATATGAGTTATATTCCATGTCATCACAGTTTATGTTTATCATAATTGAAATGTTCCCTTTTTTAATTACTTGTGATATTACATACATTGAACTTTTTGAAGTTTCACCAACAACAAAAAATTGACATTCAGGTACAGTAGTGATCTCTCTTGATATGGGGGATACATTTCTGTTTATAAAATGGTTATTGAGATAACTTCAAATTAAAAGCATATTTGATAGATACGCTACTGCTCATGTGTGGGAGCCTGGAATTTGGAAGTCATTCTATGCATTGTAAATGGAGTTGTAAATGTTAAGCTGTGTGTATGCACATGCATCCAGACATCCACACAAATATATGGGCAACTGTAACCCAAGTTGGGTGACGTATAATGAAGCAAACATGAACTCTGAGTAATCAGAAAAATCTTAAAAGAGATGGGAAGAAATCCATTTTTTTTTAGTTAGTGATAATAAATTTTAAAACTAATAAAATATTTTAAACTCAGATATATTTTTATTCATTTAGGTATTAAAATTAATAAAATGAAATAGAGCTTTTATTTGTTCTCAGGCAAGTCTGTTACCTAAAATCTGCAAAACATAATTGGGTCGAAGTTAAAAATCTAGCTTGTTTGGACCATAACATACATGTAGAGGAAAATATTTCCTCAAATTTAAGAGAAACTAATTTTCCTAACTAAATTTGTGGGAGTTACTTTGTTGACATTTACTCCGAAACCAGCCATTGGTAAGCATTGTCTTGTGTTTATCTTTACTTTTATATGTGTTCATTTAAATAGGCCTTCTCCATGAGCTTCCATTGCCATAACTATTATATTACATCACAAAGCTTTGTTATGTATTTAGAAAATGCATGTATATTTGTACATTTGAAATTTTCTGGGTTTTTTGTTTTGTTTTTTTTTTAACTTAGAAATGAGGGTGGCCAGGTGTGGTGGCTTATGCCTGTAATCCCAGCACTCTGGGAGGCTGAGGCAGATGGACCACTTGAGGTCAGTTCAAGACCAGCCTGGCCAACATGGTGAAACCCCGTCTCTTCCAAAAGTACAAAAATTAGCCCGGCATGGTGGCATGTGCCTGTAGTCCCACCCGCTTGGACAGCTGAGGCAGGAGAATAGCTTGAACCTGGGAGGTGGAGGTTGCAGTGAGCCGAGATTGTGCCACTGCACTCCAGCCTGGGTGACAGAACAAGACTCCATCTCAAAAAAAAAAAAAAAAAAAAAAAATCAACATACTGCCTCTGACTCTCCACCCTAGTGATTTCAAATGAAAATATTATTTATTTCACTTTAGTCTTTATTCCATTTGACTGATAAAATTGCTTGGATTTTTTCTGACTTTACCTGCACATTTGGGGGATAGACAGAGAAACAGAAAAGATCCTGTATAGCATGCAAGCATTTAGGTGTCCTTCAGATGTTGTTATAGCCAGGTATTTTTCCCTGAATGGTCAGAATAACCTGGCATATATCTGTCCAGAGAAAATCCTATCACCTAGGCTTCAGGAAGGTTAAGTGCTAATTGATATGAAGAGAATTTTTAAAATGTAATAGAAGTTTAAGGAGGAACTAGGCTGTCTGTACCAATGGGACATATTGTCTGTGCTACTTTATGTTATTATTTATGTTGTTTGAATATGTTTTATTGCAACTCTTTTTTGTTGTTTTTTTGATGGAGTCTCGCTCTGTCACCCAGGCTGGAGTGCAGTGGCGCGATCTAGGCTCACTGCAAGCTCCACCTCCCAGGTTCACGCCATTCTCCTGTCTCAGCCTCCCAAGTAGCTGGGACTACAGGCGCCTGCCACCACGCCCAGCTAATTTTTTTTTTTTTTTTTTAGTAGAGACGGGGTTTCACTGTTAGCTAGGATGGTCTCGATTTCCTGACCTTGTGATCCACCCGCCTCGGTCTTCCAAAGTGCTGGGATTGCAGGCGTCAGCCACCGCGCCCGGCCTTGTTGCAACTCTTAAAAAAAAAAAAAAAGCTGGGCGCAGTGGCTTATGCCTGTAATCCTAGCACTTTGGGAGGACAAGGCGGGTGGATCACGAGGTCATATTGAGACCATCCTGCCCAACATGGTGAAACGTCATCTCTACTAAGAATATAAAAGTTAGCTGGGTGTGGTGGTGCACGCCTGTAGTTCCAGTTACTCAGGAGGCTGAGGCAGGAGAATCGCTTGAACCTGGGAGGTGGAGGTTGCAGTGAGCTGAGATCGTGCCACTGCACTCCAGCCTGGCGACAGAGCGAGACTCCGTCTCAAAAAAAATTAAAAAATAAAAAATGAAAAGGATTACGCCTGTAATCCCAGCACTTGGGGAAGCTGAGGCGGGTGGATCACGAGGTCAGGAGATTTAGACCATCCTGGTCAACATGGTGAAACCCCGTCTCTACTAAAATACAAAAAATTATCCAGGCGTGCTGGCGCGTGCCTGTAGTCCCAGCTACTTGGGAGGCTGAAGCAGGAGAATCACTTGAGCCTGGGAGGTGGAGGTTACAGTGAGCCAAGATGGCGCCACTACACTCCAGCCTGGCAACAGAGCATCTGAAACAAAACAAAACATAACAGGCTGAGCGCAGTGGCTCACGCCTGTAATCCCAGCACTTTGGGAGGCCAAGGCAGGAGAATTGCTTGAGCTCAGGAGTTCAAGACCAGCCTAGCTAACATGGCAAAACCTGTCTCTACTAAAAAAAGTACAAAAATTAGCCAGGCGCGGTGGCATGCGCCTGTAATCCCAGTTACTCGGGAGGCTGAGGCACGAAAATCGCTTGAACCCGGGAGGCAGAGGTTGCAGTGAGCCGAGGTCATGGCACTGTACTCTCCAGCCTGGGCAACACAAGGAGACCCTGTCTCAAAAAAGCAAAAACAAAAACAAAAAACTCCAATAGCAATATCTTACATCTCTGTAAACCCTAGGCCTAGTACAGTATCGTGACAATAGTGGGCATATAATAAATATTTGTTGATGATGATGATGGTAAAAGCTGCAATATTAAGTAAATTCAGTGAGAGAATTCATGAAAATTGCAAGTATCTAGTGAATATTGGAAGTAGGATATCTGGGGCATTAGAGTGAGAAGAGAGGATGGAGATAAATAGGAACATGAAAAAGAAGAGAATACTATATATAAGAGAATGAGTTGCTTCTTGATTTTGATGTTACGTATTTTATTTCCCTTTGTGTCACTTAAAAAGTGGGGTACAATTTAATATGCGACAGGGTACACAAAATGCAGCCTTAAGATGTTAACTTTCAAGTCTCAGTTTTATTTGTGGCTTGCGAATGTAGGATGGCATCTCATTTTTTAGATTATATTATCTGTGACATCCTTTAGCTGACTTCTTTTTGCTTGCCAGTCTTAGGCCTGAATGTCTGACTTGAAATATTTCAAGAAGTTGGGAATGGTAGAAGGGATGTGTATGAAATTCTGAGAGTATGGCAATAGATGAGGTACCCTGAGTGATCTTAAACCAATTACTAATACACTTTGAATCATGTATCAGCTTCTGAAGATGTGGAAAGGGAGTAGAAGAATCGCCTTAAAATTAACCTTAAAGAGAATTGGGCTGGGCACCATGCCTCATACCTATAATTCCAGCACTTTGGGAGGCCAAGGTGGGCAGATCCCTTGAGGCCAGGAGTTCAAGACCAGCCTGGGCAACATGGCAAAACCCCTTCTCTACCAAAAATACAAAAATTAGCCGGGTGTGGTGGGTACGTGCCTGTAGTCCCAGCTACTCGGGAGGCTGAGGTAGCAGAATCCCTTGAACCTAGGAGGTGGAGATTGCAGTGAGTCAAGATCGCGCCATTGCACTTCAGCCTGGGTGACAGAATGAGACCTTGTTTCCAAAAAAAAAAAGAGACACAGAGAGAGAATTGATGGCTATAGCCAAGTGCCTCAATCCATCAGTTACTTACTGAAAGTCATTTCTGAGGGGGTTTTGGGATGTTTCTTATTAGTGAAAGGGAACAAGACCTAGATAACATGCATGAAATTTTTTTAAATGAATATTAAATTTTATAATAGAAATTTTGGTAGAAAATAGAGAAGATAAATAAAACATTTTAGCATATGTACATCCTATCCCTAGATTCACAGATACATTATTTTTTCTGTTGGCATATGTTTTGTGATCTACTTTTTCACTTACTGTGTGGTTACTACTTCCCCATGTCGTTAAATAGTCATATATAATTTTTAATGGTTGCATAGACTTTGTTCTAGCCAGAAGATGTACTGTGGTTTGACCAATCCCCTCTTATAGGGCATTTAGGTTATTTTGAGTATTTTCTATCAATACAGCATTGGACATCTGCATAGATAAATCTGTCGACATAATTCTGATTATTTCCTTAGGAGAGAGTGCTAAAAAAAAAAAAAGGACTTGCTGGTCAAACAATGTACATATTTTTAAAGGCTATTGATAGATATAGCTAAATTCCTCTCTAGGAATTCTATATTAAGATAATAATTATTTCACCAGGCATGGTGGCTCATGCCTGTAATCCCAGTACTTTGAGAGGCTGAGGTGAGAGGATCGCTTGAGGCCAGGAGTTCAAGATCCCATCTCTACAAAAAGTAAAAAAAAAAATAGCCAGGCATGGTGGTACGCACACATAGTCACAGCTACTCAGGAGGCTGAGGCAGGAAGATCGCTTGAGCCTAGGAGTTTGAGGTTACAGTGAGCTATGATCATGTCACTTTACTCCAAACTTGGTGACAGAGTGAGACCCTGTCTCAAAATAAAAAAGATTCTTAAAAAGAAAGATAACTGTTAGAATTCTAACTGTAGTCAAATTGTGTCTTACACCATTCTGACTTAACTCTACAGTCAATAGTATGAAACTCAGCTCTGTAAATGGGGAGGAAACGGAAGGTTATTAGTAACTCACGAAGTACATAGTATCCTTTCAGCTAGAAAAGGGGAGCTTAAGGAGTACTATTGCAAATTACCCCAATGTTCTAATTGTTCAAATGCAAATTTTTGTTGATTAGTTTTTATTAACATGAGATAGTGCTGTGTACCCTATATGAAATATATTATGTGATTTTGTTGTAGTGTTTATATTAAAATGAAATTATGTGATTTGAATACTGAATTTTTTGCATATTGAAATGTTTTCCTTTTTTTACTTTTAGCCACATAAAGAAGATCCCTAATAGTCATTTCTCAACAATTATATAGTCAACTGATGTAACAATGGTACTAATATTGGGACGCAGACTAAACAGAGAGGATCTTGGGGTGCGTGATTCCCCAGCAACTAAGCGAAAAGTTTTTGAAATGGACCCCAAATCTCTGACAGGTCATGAGTTTTTTGACTTCTCTTCAGGATCATCCCATGCCGAAAACATACTCCAGATATTTAATGAATTTCGTGATAGCCGCTTATTCACAGATGTTATCATTTGTGTGGAAGGAAAAGAATTTCCTTGCCATAGAGCTGTGCTCTCAGCCTGTAGCAGCTACTTCAGAGCTATGTTTTGTAATGACCACAGGGAAAGCCGAGAAATGTTGGTTGAGATCAATGGTATTTTAGCTGAAGCTATGGAATGTTTTTTGCAGTATGTTTATACTGGAAAGGTGAAGATCACTACAGAGAATGTACAGTATCTCTTTGAGACATCAAGCCTCTTTCAGATTAGTGTTCTCCGTGATGCATGTGCCAAGTTCTTGGAGGAGCAACTTGATCCTTGTAATTGCTTAGGAATCCAGCGCTTTGCTGATACCCATTCACTCAAAACACTCTTCACAAAATGCAAAAATTTTGCGTTACAGACTTTTGAGGATGTATCCCAGCACGAAGAATTTCTTGAGCTTGACAAAGATGAACTTATTGATTATATTTGTAGTGATGAACTTGTTATTGGTAAAGAGGAGATGGTTTTTGAAGCCGTCATGCGTTGGGTCTATCGTGCCGTTGATCTGAGAAGACCACTGTTACACGAGCTCCTGACACATGTGAGACTCCCTCTGTTGCATCCCAACTACTTTGTTCAAACAGTTGAAGTGGACCAATTGATCCAGAATTCTCCTGAGTGTTATCAGTTGTTGCATGAAGCAAGACGGTACCACATACTTGGGAATGAAATGATGTCCCCAAGGACTAGGCCACGCAGGTGAGAAGACTGTTTTCAAATATAGTTAACAAAAGTTTTTAATATATCTTTAAACCTCCTGAATGCAATCTCAGTGTTGTCATTTATATGCACTGTCTACCTGTGGCTGTATATAATTTTAGATTTATTTTGGATTATATGTCACTAGAATGTCTTTCCTAGTGAATTCTAGATTCAACAGTAGCATTTTTTGTTATTGTTGTTTTGTGCTATCAAACAGTGTAGCAAAGGGTCTTTGCAACTGTGCATATCTCAACATATTTCTACTAATTTCTCTTAACCTTTGTAGGGCCCCAAACCATTCCACTTTTCTTTCCAAAGAGTCTTTGGATACAGGGTAGCTAAGATTTTAGTAGGCTCTCTTGGACTGCCTCTACTTATAAAAAAACAATTTGCTCCTGGGCACAGGGGCTCACACCTATAATCCCAGTACTTTGGGAGGCCAAGGTGGAGGAGCGCTTGAGCTCAGGAGTTCGAGACCAGCCTGGGCAACATAGCGAGACCTCATCGCTACTAAAAATAATTAGCCAGGCATGGTGGCACGGACCTGTAGTCCCAGTTACTCAGAAGGTTGAGGTGGGAGGACTGCTTGAGCCCAGGAGTTTGAGGATGCTGTGAGCCATGCTCTTACTGCTCTCCAGCCTGGGCAACAGAGTGAGACTCTGTCTCAAAAAAAAAAGAAAAAAAAATGTTTGCACATCCACAGACTGGCCTTTGTCCTAACACAGAAGCATGAAATATAGAGGTGAATTAAATAAGCTGGTATACATTGAGTGAATTCTGAGATGTAAAATCCAGGCCTCAAATATTACTTAATTGTCACAGTTATTATATTTAATGTCAATCTCAATTTTAAAAAATCTTTTTTCTGAATGTGAAAATTACATCATCATTATAGAGAATTTGGAAAATGTGTGCTTAGGGGGTAGAATGCAGTTAAATATTGTAGCATATTTGTATCTTCTTCCAGTATATTATTTCTATAAAATACTTATCGATTTTAATTCATAAACTATAGAAAAATAATCTCCATGCCTTAATAGTGGAAGGAATATTTATTGTGAATAAGCAAGAAATGCTTGTTATGAGAAATATTACAGTAAATTATCCTTTTAATCCTTTTAATATTTTTCTAACAAAGCTAATGTTGGTGTTGGTTTTTTTTTAATTGTGGTAAAAAACACATAACATAAACTTTACTGTCTTAATCATTTTTAATTATACATTTCAGTAATGTTAAGTATATTTACATTGTTGTGAAACTAGTATTTTTATTAGTTTATTATTGGTTTATTATTAAGCCATCTCCATTTTTTCTGTGAATTTACTATAGCATAGCTCATAAACCACATTTTTACTTAAATTTTGACTATCATTGTTTCGGAATGTTAAAAGTCAGCATACTGTGAGATAGCTTGTTTTTAAAATTTATACTAGTTTGAATAATGTATTAATTAAGAAAACTAAACAGCTTCAGAGCTGTGTGACTATTAGTTCTTCGAGAACTTTCATGAACACACAGTATCCCTCTAAAGGGAAAATCACTCCTTTTTCCAAGACAAATACCCCTGTAGCAGACTGAATGGTCTGAGGTCAGATGTGGCTAATAATACTCAGCCTGCATATCTCATAGGATTAGAGTAGGAACCAAGGGTTATATGTTGTAAAATCAAAATAAGACATTGATTACTAATATTTATAAAGACATAATTTGAATGCAATCAGATTGCAGCCTAAGGGTCCCATCACTCCTTTGAAGAGATACTTCTCCTAACTTACTTAATTATTTGATTTCCAAAAATGTATTTTATATCCAATTTTTAAGGGAACAAATCTATTTCCACAGTGAAACATCTATTTATAAATTGCAGTATCACCGTTCTTTAAGAGACAAGTATAAAAACCAAACTATAGTTCTGTTGAATTTGCAGACTCTTAAAAATACGATAGCAGATATTTATTTTATGTGGGCATTACATGAGTAATCCTTTATTTTATAACTCTGCTATCACCTTCTGTCCCTTACATTTATCTTTCACTTATCTGTTACTGCATGTTTGCTGTGGGAATTAGGAGACTGGAGAGACCACTGGGTGAAACAGAAGGATTTTATTTAGGTGGCCACCAACTTAGTGGATTAACATCTAAAGGCTGAGCAATGAACAAAGACAGGGCTTGACTTTTATTTATGCTGCTGAAGTGGAGTGGCTAGCCAGTGGCGCAAAATTTGCAGGGCGGGGAAACCAGGCTTGCAGAAGCAGAACAAAGGCAGTTAATTATACTGTGACAGGTTTTTGCAATTTAGGCATGTTTTGTGACTTTGCTGTGTTACAGAGAGAAAAACAGGAACGTATAAAACCTTTGCAAACTTGTAAAAATAGTTACAAAACTAATTAATGAGAGCAGAACAAAGAATGATGGTATGGGGAGAGAATTTTAGGGGGAGACTGATAAGAACTTGTTTTTCTCATACTTGCTTTTGGAACCCATTTTTTGGGGGCCTTTGCCTGGTTTTGCAGATAATGTTATAGCTCCAGCTGGACTTTGGATGTTGATCTGCTGAGTTGGTGGCCGCCTAAATAAATCCTCCTGTTTCACCCAGTGACCTCTCCAGTCTCCTGATTGCCACAACATGTTGGCATTAATCACTAGGAATTTCATTATCTGAACAATGTGTATTATTTGTACAGGTTCTCATCTTTCTGAGAAACTCCAAACTTCTTTGAAAGAGGAGTGATGTCTCCACTTCTTCGACAGCAGTTCATTCCTCTGACTTCTGCTCCAGTCACTCTACTGAAACTCCTCTCAATCAGGTCATCACTGACCTTCTATTTGTTATTTGCTAGCCTCTCTTCGGTCTTTATCCAGCTTGAGCTCTTTCGAATTTGATATTATTAATTGCCTTATCCATCTTGAAATACCTCCATTGGCTTCTGGAATGCCATTCTCCTCTTGGTCCTCCTATTTCTCCAGTTGCTCTTTTTCAATTTAATGGTTCTTACTCCTACATCTAGTCTGAAATATTATCTGCCTGATTCACATCTCTTTGTCTTCCCTTATGTACTTGCCTAGGTGACCTTATCTCATCTATTTTCATGGTTTTAATTACCATGCATGCTGTTGACTACCAAACCAGCCCAGACTTTTCTCTTTCATTCATTCATTTATATTTCTTTTTCAAATTTTATATATCTTATTTATTTTTTATTGCATGTATATATTTCTTTTTAAATTTTTATATATGTTTTTTAGTTGACTGTGCATCTTTTTAAAATAACAGGCAAAATAACATTAGCACATTTAAACTTAATAATAATAATTCATATTATCTAATACGCAATCTGTATTCAGACTCCCCCAGTCTTCCAAACTGTTCTTTAATAAACCTGGATCCAAGCTAGGATTAGTCATTACATCAGGTTATTTCTGTGAAATCTCTTTTACTTCAAAACAGTTTCTTTTTTATGATTCTGACTTGTCAATGGGGAAGTTGTCCAGAAAAATATTCTACCTTTTGGATCAGTCTCATTGCTTCCTTATGGCATCATTTAGCTGTGTTTCCTGGAAACTGGAAGTTGGTTCTATGAGCTTCAGTTAGATGAATATAAGTTAAATATTTATAGCTAGAATTAATCCTATGTAATGTGTATAATATATTGCATCATATTAGGAGTCACAGCATATCTGGGTATCCCACCATTAGTGATGCAGAGATTAACTCTGGTTTAGGGTGGTGGCAGTCTGATCCCTCCAATGTACGGTTAAGTTATATGCTCTATATCAGCCAGTGTTCCTTTAGTATCTATTCTGTGCCAAGTATTGTCCAGAGCTCAACCCATAATAGAAATTCTCCCTATATACCCACGTGTCTCTTAAATGACAGAGAAATCCCGAAAATGCATTATATTAAAAACAGTGTGGTGGTAGTTTCCCAGAAAGAGGACATAGGCCAATTTAAGAGCACGAAAGCTTTGATAATCTGCCCTGCCAGTTGTAAACCCTTAGGTGTGTGGAAAAAACAGTAGAGACTAATCACAGAAGGAGTAAAGCTTAGAAACAATGGCTGTAGGCCAGGTGTGGTAGCTCACACCTGTAATCAAGCACTTTGGGAGGCCAAGGCATGGGGGTTGCTTGAGCCCAGGAGTTTAAGACCAGTCTGGGCAACATAATGACACCCTGTTCCTACAGAAAAAAAAGAAAAAATTAGCTAGGCATTGTAGCATGTACCTGTAGTCCCAGCTGCTTGGGAGGTTGAGGCAAGAGGATCACTTGAGCCTAGGAGTTTGGGGTTACAGTGAGCCATGAGCAGGCCACTGCATTCCAGCCTGGGTGGCAGAGCAATACCCTGACTCAAAAAAATTCTACTGGCCAGGTGCAGTGTCTCACACCTGTAATCTCAGCACTTTGGGAGGCCGAGGCGGGCAGATCACTAAGTCAGGAGATTGAGACCATCCTGGCCAACATGGTGAAACCCCATCTCTACTAAAATGCAAAAAATTAGCAGACATGGTGGAGCGTGCCTGTAGTCCCATCTACTCGGGAGGCTGAGGAGGCTGAGGCAGGGGAATCACTTGAACCTGGGAGGCAGAGATTGCAGTGAGCCGAGATCGCGCCACTGTACTCCAGCCTGGCAACAGAGAGAGACTCCTTTAAAAAAAAATTATTATTAATTAAAATTTTAAAAATTGACATTCTGCAAAAATGCTGATATTATATAACTGCACTACATCCTCTGCCTTTATTCAGAGTGCCCTTAGCATCTTTTTTTTTTTTTTTTTTTTTTTTTCTGAGACAGGGTCTCACTCTGTTACTCAGACTGGTGTGTAGTGGTGCCATCATGGCTCACTGAGCCTAGGCTCAGGTGATTCTCCCACCTTAGCCTCCCAAGTAGCTGGGACTACAGGTGTACATCACCATCCCTGGCTTATTTTTTGTAGAAATGGGGTTTCCCCATGTTGCTCAGGCTTGTCCTGAACTCCTGGGCTCAAGAGATCCTCCCTCCTTGGCTTCCCAAAGTGCTAGGATTACAGGCATGAGCCACCATGCCAAACCACCCGTAGCATTCATAATTTCCTCTCTTTCCTCCTTTCTTCCTTCGGCCCTCTTCCTGACTCCCCAACATAATTTTGAAACTTGTTTCTAGGTCAAAAGTTTAATATTAGTATGGAAAACA
Source organism: Homo sapiens (assembly GCF_000001405.40). NCBI lineage: Eukaryota > Metazoa > Chordata > Mammalia > Primates > Hominidae > Homo > Homo sapiens. The sequence continues at coordinate 183,656,450 of NC_000003.12, forward strand.
TTTGAGGTAGAAAAAGTTCATATTAATACTTAGATGCATGTTTGGGCTCAGAAATACTTTTGAACTCTGTAGAGAATTAATATGGTAGCTAACTTAAACAGGTCTTAAATTTCATCTAATAAATACTTGAGTTACCTTTATGTGCCATCTCAGTATGCTAAGTGCTAGGCTTCAACCCTTTTCATCTGGAGAAAAGTAACTTACCTTTCTGCTTGTGATGGGCCTCTGTGCCCCAACCTCATCCCAATTCATGAATAAACTGATATTTACTCTGTGGTCCCTGACTGATGTTTCACATTCCTGACTATTGTTTAACAATCTGATTCTGGGCCGGGCGCAGTGGCTCACGCCTGTAATCCCAGCTCTCAGGGAGGCAAGAGGCGGGAGGATAGCTTGAGCCCAGGAGTTCGAGACCTGCCTGGGCAATATAGCGAGACCCCGTTCTCCAGAAAAAGGAAAAAAAAAAAAAGACAAAAAAAAAATAAGCGTAACAATCTGATTCTGATCTCTAGTACACCTAATTTCCATTTCTTGCCCCTGCTTTACTCCAAATACTGATTTCCATATTTCCCATACCAGCCTAAATATCAAACTTTTAAACTCATGATTGCTTGGTAGTGTGGTTCTGATGCTGCTGCTTTTGCATCCTGTCCTGATCCACATCCTTAGCACCTACCATAATGATTCCCTGGAAAGAGTCATTTCCCCTGATAGATGCTAATTTTCCATTTTGGTAGGCCTGGGCTGCCTACAAAATGAGGTTCCCAAGAGGAAACAAGGATGGCACTAAACTGGGCAAGTGTCTTCTGATATATTGACCATACATGGCAAGTTGTTCGTGTCTATGAAAAAAATTGATGCCCTTTGCCAGACTCCACTGAGCAACAGACATAGCTAAGACTTAATAAGTTCATCATTTTGAGGTTGGAATCAGCCATTAAGTACTTGTCTCTTCTTTCTGCTATCTCTTACCTGATAATCAGTTACTATATAGTGAATATAGGAATCTAATGGCCGTAATGAGGGCAAGCCTCAAGTTCTGTTGAAAACAAATGAGAAGACCAAGGAGTTCTAAATATATTTTTCCTTAAGAAATGGTGTTTGTCATTATTTAATAAATCCCTTCATTCCATATTTTGCAGGTGATAAAACTGAGGCACAGTTAACTCACTTGCTCCTAGTCACAAAGCTAGTTAGAACCACAGCCAGGGCTAGAAGTTAGTGTTCTGAATTCCTATTCCAATCCCACTGAAGAATACTATTCTCCTATATTATAGGATGAGTAGCCTACCATTTATTGTTCATTGTTTTGAACTCATTGAATTGTTTGAATTCATTGTTTTGAACTCAAATATTTTTACATAAAGAGTATACATTGTAAATCTCCCTCTTCTTAACCCTTCAGAGAACCATTGATTCTGCTTTCAAAGGATACCTTTATTACTAGTTTTTTGAACCTCTTTTAGAAGTATTCTTTGTATAGCTGGGCATGGTGGCTCACGCCTGTAATCCTAGCACTTTGGGAGGCCGAGGTGGGCAGATCACCTGAGGTCTGGAGTTCGAGACCAGCCTGACCAACATGGTGAAACCCCGTCTCTACTAAAAATACAAAAATTAGCTGGGTGTGGTGGTGGACACCTGTAATCACAGCTACTTGGGAGGCTGAGGCTGGAGAATTGCTTGAACCCAGGACTCAGAGGTTGCAGTGAGCTGAGATCGCACCATTGCACTCTAGCCTGGATGACAGAGCGAGACTCTGTCTCAAAAAAAAAAAAAAAATTCTTTGCATAGTTGTAGATGAATGCCTCCCTACTTCTTTTATGCAGATAGTAGGGTACAGCACTCACAGTTCTGCACCTTGCATTTCCCACTTAACAGTATCTTGGAAACTGTTCTGTATCATCACACATAGATCTCATTATTATTACTATTATAGAACATTTCAAACTTGTTCTTTTGAAAGAGCTATATGGTATCCTATTTATGGATATACCATAATTTATTTTATTTAATCAATCTCTTTATGGATATTTAGGTTGCTTCTAATTCATTTTTTTGCCATTGCAAGTGATACTTAGTGAATATTCTTGTACATTATCTTTGCATACATACACTGTTAATTTATAGTTTGAATTACTGGAAGTAGACTTGCTCAGTCATAGGATATGTGCATTTTAAATCTTTACAGATATTATAAAAATTGCCTTTCAATTTATACTTCAACAAAAATATGAAAGTGCCTACTTCTGCACTCCTTTGCCAATATAATTTGTTTACATTAGTTTTTGTAAATCTTTGCTACTCTGCAAAGTGAAAGTGGTATCTCATAATTTTCATTTACATTTCCTTCCTTCCTCCCATTTTTTTTTTTCAGGTTCTCGCTCTGGTCGCCCAAGCTGGAGTACAGTGACACAGTCGTAGCTCACTGCAGCCTCAATCTCACAGACTCCAGCAAACCTCCTGCCTCAGCCTCTCTCTCGAGTAGCTGGAACTACAGGCATGGGTCACCATGCCCTGCTAATTATTATTTATTTTTTGTAGAGACAGAGTCTCACTTTGTTGCTCATGCTGGTCTCAAACTCCTGGGCTCAAGTGATCCTCCCACCTTGGTCTCCCAAAGTGTGCATTTACTTTTTTAGTGTAGATGATTGAGCATCTTTTCCTGAGTTTGAAAGCCATTTGTAGGTTGTTGATTTTTTTCTGCAATCCATTGAACTCTAATGTATCCAAATTCTGATTGCAAATAGAAACAAACTCACCAGCTCAAGCATAAAAGGGAAATTTATTAACAGGATACAAGAGGCCAGGCACAGTGGCTCACACCTACCTGTAATCCCAGCAATTTGGGAGGCCGAGATGGGTGGATCACTTGAGGTCAGGAGTTCGAGACCAGCCTGACCAACATGGTGAAACCCCGTCTCTATTAAAAATACAAAAATTAGCTGGGCATGGTGGTGCATGCCTATAATCCCAGCTGCTGCAGAGACTGAGGCAGGAGAATGGCTTGAACCCGGGAAGAGGCAGAGATTGCAAGATCGTGTCACTGTACTCCAGCTTGAGCAACAGAGTGAGACTCCGTCTCAAGGAAGAAAAGGATACGAGAATCAGTGTCTTGTAGGACGTAAGAGCAAAAATTCAATAAGACCTCAAAGAAGACTGGAACAGGCTACTAAAAAGCTATCAGAAACCAAGCTGTGCCTTCTCTCTACCTCTTGCCTCTGCTTTTCTCTGCATGTCTGCATCATTCCCTCCCATTAGTCTGGCAGAATAATATATGTGGCAGAAACACATAGGTTTGGGGTTGACATATTACAAGTTCAGTCAGTCAGAGAGAATGAATCTCTCCTTCTCTTGGGGAGACATAATCTCTGATGTAGCCAGACAACATTTTGTGGATATTTACCTATGGTCATGGGAGCAGAATCACATAGCAGAAATGTGATGACTGAAAATCCCATCCTGTGCTAGGTTGAGCAGATGCCCAATAGCAACCGTTAATAGTAAGGTGGTGGTGGTGTTTTTTTTTCTTTTGTTCTTTCTTAACTTGCAGCAGGGTAGGAAAGGAGCAATATGTTAATTGGAGAAAATTTAGAGAATGGGAGAAGCAAAAAATGCTAATTAACAAATTAGCAAATTTTCAGCTCGAAGAGGTAACATTGTAAACCTTTGGCGTTTTTCTTTCTTTTTTTTTTTTTTTTTTGAGACAAGGTCTCCCTCTGTCACCCAGCCTAGAGTGCAGTGGCACGATCATGGCTTGTTGCAGCTTAAGACTTCCCTGGCTCAAGGGATTTTCCCACCTCAGCCTCCTGAGTAGCTGGGACTATAGGCACGCCACCATGCCTGACTAATTTTTGTATTTTTTATAGAGACAGGATCTCACTGTGTTGCTTAGGCTGGTCTCAAACCCCTGGGCTCAAGTGATCCTCCCCCTGTTTTAGCCTACCAAAGTATTCTCTCTTTTTTTCTGTATGAATTTATTATTTCATTTACAGGGTTGTAATCTATTTCATAGTCTGTTTTTACCAGTTAGTATATGGTGTCTTTCCATAACATGAGTATTCCATAACCCACCCTTCCCAACATTTGTTTTTAATTTTCTACCATTAAGTAAGATGAGCATCTTTGGTGGCTACATATTTAAGCATGTCTGTGATTAGTTTCTGATGATAAATTCTTAGATAATTGCCAATTTTGAAAAGTTGGCATTTTGCGTCTTTTGATCAATATAGCCATTTTCATATAGAAGCAGTCCTACCTATTGCCATTTCAGGTGGAAAGCCTTACCACACAAATTGATACTGTGTCCTCACCAAGTTTAAAAGATCTGGCCGGGAGCCGCAGCTCACGCCTGTAATACCAGCACTTTGGGAGGCCGAGGCGGGTGGATCATGAGGTCAGGAGATCGAAACCACGTGTTAGGAGGCTAACACAGTGAAACCCTGTCTCTACTAAAAATACAAAAGCAATTAGCCGGGCGTGGTGGCGGGCTCCTGTAGTCCCAGCTACTTGGGAGGCTGAGGCAGGAGAATGGCGTGAACCCGGGAGGCGGAGCTTGCAGTGAGCCGAGATTGCGCCACCGCACTCCAGCCTGGGCGACAGAGCGAGACTCCGTCTCAAAAAAAAAAAAAAAAAAAAAAATTCACTAGATGTGGTGGCATGTGCCTGTAGTCCCGACTACCTGGGAGGCTGAGGTGAGAGGCTCACTTCAGCCAGGAGTTGGAGTTGCAGTGAGCCACAATCTCGCCACTGCACTCCAGCCTTGGCAATAGAGTAAGACCTTGTCTCTATTTGAAAGAAAAACAAAAAAAGAATTAATGAAATAGAGTGACATGGCATTCACTCTCTAGAAATAGATTACATGGGTGTCCAGAATTTTATTTATGCTATACTATCATCTTTCCTGCCATTTTGTTTTACTTGCCATTATCAGCTGGAGTAACCTATTTCCTTTAAGGCCATTAGCTCCCTGCCTGAGATAAGTATTTCTCCAAGCTCAAGAAATAATGCTTTTATTGGGTTAACAGTCCGTGATGAGAACATCAGATATATCTAATTAAGCTAAAAACCATTTGGTTGCAAATAGGATATTTAATACAGGCAAAACTACTAGCTTGCTAATCCTTTCAGATAGACACACATTCTAGCAGACATTGAAGTTACCCTTTATTTATTGGTACTAAATGTTTTAGCAATTAGCTTCTCATGCTGTTTTCTCTTTCTGTTCCAAAGTACAAAAACAGATAACATATGTTTATTGGGCTAAGAAGTCTTGAAAAAGGCAAGCGAGTTTAAGCAAAGGGAAAGTATAAACCAAGTAATGTACAATAAGGAAAGGATAAAACAAAATCCTATGATATATAATCATTACTCTGGATTTTATATTAAGACAGAAGTGATTTAACTTCAGTGACTAGCAGTGTTTGTTTTGATTGATTAATAAATAAGACTTTGAGGAATATCACCTTTTTTGAGGATTTGTCTTAGATTTTAAGTGTGTTTTAGGAAATACTTATATGGAAAGAATGATAGATAAGTCAGTAGTTATACTACTAAAGTATCTGGTGCTGTGCTCTCTTTATTTTTAATACTTTTATTTTGGAATTACTTGGAAAATAGTAAATATTACTGATAATATTTAGGTCCTTCTGTTAATGTTTTACTAAATACTAGGTAAAGGTTATATAATTTCCTGGATTCCTAAAAGTACTTTTGTTTGCATGTATAGAGAAAATTCTTTTCTCCCATATTTATTTCTGATTTTATAACGGAAAAAGTATGCCTGGCATAGAATAGGTACGTGATTTGGTTAGTTGACATAGGTCTGAGTAAATGTAGCTAGAACAGCTCTGTTAAAAGAGACACGCCAATATTGCTTGTTTTTTCCTACTGTAATTGTGTAACAGCACACTGACTAAAATTACAAATCAGTGTCCTGATGTGGGTTTTTTTTTCCCCTCTATAAGTAAGAGAAGAAGGATTGTTGGCATTTTTCTTTGTGAGACTTAACTTGTAGCAACCATAAAATGTAACTATAAAACATTTTCATTTAGATTATATTTGTGAAAAATATAAAAGCTAAAGAATTTTAAAATTCCTAAACTATCAATTGAATTTTATGAACAAAAAATTGTGGATAAGCTTTTGGTTATTCCTGTCTCTATTTTAAATCTAAAAAATGAGAGAAGCCAGTGATTAACAGAAACATTAGAATTCTTTTAGTGGTGTTAAATGCTGTTTTTTGCATTCTAAAAATAGCTCAGGCTCATTATTGGTTTGGAAATTTGTAATGATAGAAATGGGGGGAGCCAAACAATTCAGAGACAACTATCTTTAGCATTTTGGTATATTCTTTCCAGATACATTTTTTAGATAGTATTGAATATGCCTAATGTACAGTTTTTCATCTTGCTTTTCTCCTTTAACATTCTTGTTATAAACTGTTAGCCTTTTTAGTGATTGCCCAACATTTTGAGTTGTATTACCTTAATTTACTTGACTTTGTATTTTAAAAACTAATTTCTGAACAAGTACATATACATATTCCTTTAAAGGGTGCTTGGATTATACTATGAATTAGTTTTTTAGAACTAGCAAGCTGATGAAAGAGCACCATTTTCCTACAGTTAGAAAAAAATGCATTATCTTACCTTGTGTGGTTATGCGTATCTGAATCACTGCAAAACTGCATTTGAAAGTCATCCTTAATATTGCCAGGATTCTGATTGGGTTAGATAGGATCTTTGGACTTTTTTACAATTTTCAGGTCAAAACCAATAGAAAAAAATAGCAACAGAAATTTTCTGTGGAATAATGATGTCACTAGCTCCCCTATAAACGTTCTCAAAGTAAGTAATTTCCAGGCTGTACCGTTTGGCACATGCACAGAGAAGAAACTTAACTGTTTATAATAGTGCGTGGTTTGTTTTTAGAGTTTTAAGAAAAAATCTGGAGTATATTTTAATGTAATATTATTATATTATTTATGTACGCTAATAATTATTATTTTAGGTCCACTGGCTATTCTGAGGTGATAGTTGTCGTTGGAGGATGTGAGCGAGTTGGAGGATTTAATCTTCCATACACTGAGTGCTACGATCCTGTAACAGGAGAATGGAAGTCTTTGGCTAAGCTTCCAGAATTTACCAAATCAGAGTATGCAGTCTGTGCTCTAAGGAATGACATTCTTGTTTCAGGTAAATATAGAATTATTACAGTAGCTACTTTTAATTTGGACACAGCTTCATTATTTTAAACATCAACAGTGTCTTAAAATAGTGAAATGTGAATACTCCCACTTGAGGAAGATCAGTTTACAACAAATAAAACCAAGAATGACTTTTTGCTCTTAAAAACAGGTACAAGGCCAGGCGCGGTGGCTCACGCCTGTAATCCCAGCACTTTGGGAGGCCGAGGCAAGCAGATCACCGGGTCAGGAGATCGAGACCATCCTGGCCAACATGGTGAAACCCCATCTCTACTAAAAAATACAAAAATTAGCCAGGTGTGGTAGTGGGCAACTGTAGTCCCAGCTACTCAGGAGGCTGAGGCAGGAGAATCACTTGAACTCGGGAGGCGGAGATTGCAGTAAGCCGAGATCGCGCCACTGCACTCCAGCCTGGTGACAAAGCAAGACTCCGCCTCAAAAACAAAAAACAAACAAAAAGCAACAACAAAAAAAACACAGGTACAAGATGACATGGAATGATTTACAAAAGATCCACCAGAAGATACCTTTAATCATGTCATATTTTAAATGCTCTCAAATGCATGTAGAATATGCTGTAATTTTTTAAACTTTACCTCTTTGCAAGTCAGAAGTACTCATAGAATTAAGCATTTCTAATTCACCCATGTTTTCTGAAATTCTCCGCAAAGTTTATGAAATAAGATTTGCTTTAAAATTCTTAACTTGAACTTCTTTATGATTGTGATATGTTACCTTTAAAATTAGAAAATAAAATGACAGACTTGTACAAAGTATAACTATAGTATCTATGATGGGAAGTCTGTTAATTGGTAAAATAATTTCACCAGCTTTGCAGATTATTATATATATTATCCACACTGAGAAATATAACAATACATACTTTATTTTTTACAATAGTATGCTTTTTGAAAAATCGGTCAATTAAAAAAAAAACCTTTAGAATAATACCATTATTTGCGTGCTTCTGATGTCTTACTCTTAAATTAACAATCTTTTATGTTTGTAAAATTCACATCCTATATTTAATTATTTTGGATCTATAATTATCACTTATCAAGATAACAATTGGTAAAGTTTAAATTTTCTCTGTAGAACTATTTCCATTAAATTTCAAGAGGTCTTTATTTATTGAGCTGAATTCTCAAATTCTTGAATTAGATGAATGAATTCCATGTTTTCTTTACCTATGCCTTGGTGGCACAGATCTCTTGGTGACAGCTATATCATGATAAATTATCGTGTGTGCATTGTTTTGCATTTCAAGGTGGAAGAATCAACAGCCGTGATGTCTGGATTTATAACTCACAGTTAAATATTTGGATCAGAGTTGCCTCTCTCAATAAAGGCAGATGGCGTCACAAAATGGCTGTCCTCCTTGGTAAAGTAAGAGAAACCACTTTTTATTACTATTGCTGGTACCTTTCCAAAGTAAATACCACAGCTGAATCTTTCATTTTACTCACCCTCTGGGTATTTTGGATTCAAATTGTATTTCCTTCCATTTCTAACCTCAATAGATAAACCAAAGATATAAACAATATGACACTGTACTTTTGAATGGATATTTTGTTCTCCTAATTTGGAATTCATGGCAGTGTAGCACATTTCTCTTCTCATGCATCACTGAAGTCCAAATGCCTAAGAAGCATTGGAAAATAAAGGAGTTACATCAAATACAGACAGGCCAATGTCTAACCCACGCAGTTTGTTTTCTTTTTACTAACTTTGCAAGTCAGGCAGAGATATATTTGTCCAAAGTCATGTATTTTATCTTTTTTATTTTAAATAAATATTAAGATAAACTCACTAACAGGCCAGGCACGTTGGCTCACGCCTGTAATCCCAGCACTTTGGGAGGCTGAGGCGGGCAGATCATGAGGTCAGGAGATCGAGACCATCCTGGCCAATGTGGTGAAACCCCATCTCTACTAAAAATACAAAAAATAAGCTGGGGTTGGTGGCGGGTGCCTGTAGTCCCAGCCACTCAGGAGGGTGAGGCAGGAGAATCGCTTGAACCCGGGAGGCGGAGGTTGCAGTGAGCCAAGATCGCACCACTGCACTCCAGCCTGGCAACAGAGCGAGACTCCATCTCAAAAAAATAAAAATAAAAATAAAAAAACTCACATTTTTAAAGAAAACCTATTTTTGACTGCAGCTAATGATTATTATAAACAATACATTATTTGGGTTCTAAACCATCTACTGTCTGTAGGAACCTGAGAATCAAACTTTTTTTTTTTTTTGAGACAAGGTCTCTTACTCTATTGCCCAAGCTGGAGTACAGTGGCATTATCTAGCTCACTGCAACTTCTGCCTCCCCAGTGCAAGTGATTCTCCTGCCTCAGACACCTGAGTAGCTGGGATTACAGGTGTTCGCCACCACACCTGGCTAATTTTTATATTTTTAGTAGAGGCAGGGTTTCGCCATGTTGGCCAGGCTGGTCTCCAACTCCTGAGCTCGTGATCCTCCCACCTCGGCCTCCCAGAGGGCTGGGATTATAGTTATGAGCCACCGCACCTAGCCAGTTTCCAAACTTTTTAAAAGCAACTACAGGTGGAGTTTCCAAAATGCTTGGGACCAGAAGTGTTTCTGATTTTGGATATTTTTTTTTTCTTTTGTTTTTAGACAGGTTCTCACTCTGTTGCCCAGGCTGGAGTACAGTGGTGCCATCACTGCTCACTACAGCCTTGACCTCCTGGACCCAAACTATCCCTTCTACGTCAGCCTCCCAAGTAGCCAAGGCCACAGGTGTACACCACAATGCCTAGCTAATTTTGTATTTTTTGTAGAGATTGGGTTTCTCCACATTGCCCAGGCTGGTGTTGAACTCCTGGGCTCAAATGATCTGCCTGCCTCAGCCTCCCAAAGTGCTGGGATTACAGGCATGAGCCACTGCACTGGGCCAAATATTTTGGATTTTTTTCATATTTTGGAATATTTTCATTATATTCATTGAGCATCCCAAATCAAAAAATCCAAGATCTGAAATGTTCCAATGAGCATTTCCTTTGAGCATTAATGTCATCACTCATAAAGTTTCAGATCTGGAACATTTTGGATTTCAGATTTTTTAAGATTTGGAAAGTTCAACCTGTATATTGTCTTTTAAAAAGTCATATCTAATACAAAAATTTATTACATAACAGATGAAAATACAACAGTTGTACCAAGGATTACCTTGGAGTCTTTAGCTTCTCCCTGCCCCCATCTCCATCTGCTTGTCCAAAACCACCTCAAATTAATGAACAACTAAAAGCAGCACACTTGCTTTCGCATATGTCTTTGACTGATCTCCTAGCACCCCTTTCTAAGAAGATTGCTGTCTCATAGGCCCTCCTATGGAGACAGTTAAGTACCACCAATAAAAAAACAAAGCTCTAGCTGAAACAGAAATGGTGACCAGGAACCCTTCTTGGTCAGCCTCTTACTAGTCCTCCTTCCTCTCTTTCCCCACAGGGGTTTCTTAAAACTTCTATACTAGGCCAGTCGTGGTGGCTCACACCTGTAATCCCAGCACTTTGGGAGGCCAAGGTAGGTGGATCACGAGGTCAAGAGATCGAGACCATCCTGGCCAACATGGTGAAACCCTGTCTACTAAAAATACACAAATTAGCCGGGCATGGTGGTCCGCACCGGTAGTCCCAGCTACTCGGGAGGCTGAGGCAGAAGAATCGCTTCTGGCGGAGTTTGCAGTGAGCCAAGATTTTGCCACTGCAGTCAGCGTTCTGTTAGGAATCTAATTGCACAGCAGTAGGTGAGCAGCCACTGAGCGAGCTTTACCGCCTCAACTCCACCTCCTGTCAGATCAGCGCACATTAGGTTCTCATAGGAGCATGGACAGCACATATGAGGGATATCTAGGTTGTGGCTGCTTATGAGAATCTAATGCCTGATGATCTGAGGTGGAACAGTTACATCCCCAAACCATCCCATCCCCGACCAGTCCCCCACCAGCCCCCCACCCAGACCTGTGGGAAAATTGTCTTCCATTAAACCGCTCCCTGGTGCCAAAAAGGTTGGGGACTGCTGCGTAGAATACTAGAGCTTCTCAAAACAGTTTATATATTTTTATTTTTTGAGATAGGGTCTTGCTGTGTTGCTGAGGCTGTAGTGCAGCAGCACAGTCATGGCTCACTGCAGCCTGGACATCCTGGGCTCAAGTGATCCTTCTACCTCAGCCTCCCTAGTAGCTAAGACTGCAGGCACACACCATCACACCTAATTTTGGTATTTTTTGTGGAGATAATGTTTTATCCTGTTGCCTGGGCTGGTTTCAAACTCCTGGGTTCAAGCCATCCTCTTGCTTCAGCCTCCCGAAGTGCTGAGATTACAGGCATGAGCCACCATGCCCAGCTCAAAACACAGTTTAAAAGCTGTTAATTCCTAACGACCTGGATCTAGTGTGCTGCTGCTGTCTACAAGGCCAATGAAATAATGAGGACCTTGAGACAGATTTACTGGAAATAAAATATTAATAGAATCTTTTCTAAAACCATTTGGTTTGTTAGTACTTACTATATTATATATAGTGTTTGAGGCTGTGCCTCAAGAAGGACAAAATATTACTGGAAAAGAGGGGCTAAAATAATCCAGGGGTTGGAAGGAGATGCTGATACAAAGGCAAATGAAAAGTACTGATGTCTCAAAAACCATGTATGTATTGGTAAACTCAAATTTATTTGACAAAATAGTGTACTTGACTTGAAGATACCCAAAGCTTAGAAGCACTAAATCAATAAAGAAAAGGAATCATTCCTACCTTACACAGCAAGTACTCAATTCATGGAAGTCATTTTGCTAAAATTACAATATAGATTTAATTCAAGCTTATAAAACATACTTAAATTTATAAATACTCTGTTTAAGGAAACCTGGGATGGTTTAGAATATAGAATCTTAGGGGAGCACTCCCCAGTGTAACTTAGAAGTGTGTCTTAGGCTGCAATCCTCAAGAAAAAATAAAAAATTACCGGGTGCGGTGGCTCACGCCTGTAATCCCAGCACTTTGGGAGGCCGAGGCAGGCAAATCACAAGGTCAGGAGTTCAAGACCAGCCTGGCCAACATGGTGAAACCCTGTCTCTACAAAAATACAAAAAATTAGCTGGGCATAGTGGCGGACACCTGTAATCCCGGCTACTTGGGAGGCTGAGGCAGGAGAATCACTTGAGCCTGAGAGGCAGAGGCTGCAGTGAGCTGCCTGCTGCACTCCAGCCCGGTGACAGAGTGAGACTCTGTCAAAAAAAAGAAAAGGAAAAAAATCTTAGAGTAGGAAGGGATGATGGAATAATGGAGAATATTTAATATAACTTGGTCATCTTATAAATAACCCCAAAGAGATCAAGTCACTTCCCAAGATTACACAAAAAATGATAAAGCAGAGGCAAAAGCTCAGACTTTTCTTAATCTAGAGGCCTTTTGTCTTGATGCTCATGGCATGTATTATATTTTAATTTACACATGTAGGAATACGTATTAAAGTTTAATCCTCAAAATTATGCCATGTGATAGATACTATGATTGTCTACATTTTAAAATTGAGGAAATATAGCCAAGCATGGTGGCGGGCACCTGTAATCCCAGCTACTCAGGAGGCTGAGGCAGGAGAATCCCTTGAAGCCAGGAGGCAGACATTGCAGTGAGCTGAGATCACGCCATTGCACTCCAGCCTGGGCAACAAGAGCGAAACTCCGCCTCAAAAAAAAAATTATAAAATTGAGGAAATAAATTTGAGTCTCCAAAAGGGTAGATAAATTGCCCTTACATTGGATGGCAGAGCTGGTGATCAAAGCCTGTGCCCTTAATTGCTACATCGTGCCACAGGTTCCATACTCCATATAGCTGTGTGGACTTTTGTAAGTTACTTAACCTGTCTGAGCTGCATAGTGTTGGGGACACAAACTCACCAACAGATTATTTTAACATAATGTGAGAAATGCATGATAGAAGTGGCATTGAGTACTGTGGAAATTTGGGGGTGCACAGAAAGATAAATTGTGGACAAATTTGAAGGACAAGTTATGAAATGTGGCCTTGACCCTTAGACATTCATTGTTGAAATATTAAGAGGAACTGATAAAGTATTTTAGGAAGAATAATCTGTGGTTTAGAGAGAACAAGAGTGGAGGCCAGGAGGTTATTTGAGAGGAATGAAATGTTGTGGACCCTCAAGTGGGTGATGGCAGCGGGAAACGTAAAGGAAGGGGTATATGTGAAAGATGCTGTGGAAGAAGACTCAGTGGGACTTAATAGTTAATTAGCTATGGAGGGAAGAGTTAATGATGACAGTCCATTAAGAGAAATGTGAGCTGGGCGTGATGGCTCACGCCTGTAATCCCAACACTTTGGGAGGCTGAGGCAGGAGGATGGCTTGAGAGTGGGAGAATGGCTTGAGGCCGAGAGTTAGAGACCAGCCTGGGCAACAGAGGGAGACCCTGTCTCTGTGAAAAATAAAAATAAATTAGTAGGGTGTGGTGATACACACCTGTGGTTTCAGCTACTTGGGAGGCTGAGGTGAGAGGATTACTTGAACCTCGGAGGTTGAGGCTGTAGTGAGCTGTGATCATGCCACTGCACTCCAGCCTGAGCAACAGAATGAGACCCATCTCCAAAAAAAGAAAAAGAGAGAGAGAGAAACGTGGATGTTAAGCTGCTGGAGAGCTTTGTTAGGTTGAAAGTTCCCTATATAAACCATGGATTTTTTGCATATAAGCCATTTAATAAATATCTTACTGATTGGTTCACCTGTCATATAAAGATACTAATTTGCCCTACCTTTCTCTTATTTGTGAAAAGAAAATGTACATAAAAGCTCTGTGAACTTTAAAGTTCATTTTGTGTCAAGTACTTTTCTAGGTATTGTACGGACTAAAAGAAAGGCCTGACCAGCACTCTCATAGTCTAGTAATTCTTTCCTAATATTTTAGTTTCACAGCTCTAATACTTTATAATAATCAAATATTTCATTACCCATAAGTGTGAATATTTAAGCTAAATTGTACCATTCTCAGTGTGAGCAGTATTACCCCCAAGGGGGCAAAGATTGTTTCTTAGAAGATGAAAAAAAATGTACCCTTTCTTGTGTAAAGAACAGATATACATACATTAAGGTAAATAGATACACAATTTCTCTGTGGTATTACAATTTTATTGAGGGAAGACTATTAGGAAGAAAATACCTAAAAAGGCTCCGTGGATTGTGATGGTGGTAGGGGATGATGATTTTTTAAAAGGTTCAGAAACTCTGAGCTAAATATATTGCAATTATATTTATTTAGCAAGGGCATTTTAAAGAGAAGAGATCCCTTAATTCTTTAGCCAACTACTTCAAAATTCAGACTTTTGATAATTAAGATTTTTCCATGTATTTTACATATAGGTATATGTTGTCGGTGGCTATGATGGGCAAAACAGACTTAGCAGCGTAGAATGTTATGATTCCTTTTCAAATCGATGGACTGAAGTTGCTCCCCTTAAGGAAGCCGTGAGTTCTCCTGCAGTGACTAGCTGTGTAGGCAAACTGTTTGTGATTGGTGGAGGACCTGATGATAATACTTGTTCTGATAAGGTAAGCCATGCACTTTTAAAGAAATTACCAATATTAAGTACAAGAAGGGAAATACAGAAGGCTTATCAAGTAGGTAGCCAGGTCACATAGTGTGAGGGGTCTTTTAAAAATTTTCTGGTACTATATGCTTTTGGAGAAAAACATTGAATTCTGGGTTGCTAAAGTGAGACTCTAGTATATCTAACAATTTGCTCTAACAAATGTGATCCAATCTTTTTGAAATGAGACTATCTGTGTAGAAGTTTTCTACTAAATAAATTGTTCTGAGCCTTTGCTGTCATCTACAAAATCTAAAAACTATTTATACAAAACACAGTTGAGAAGTGAATTAGCAAAGGGTAAGACATAGTAACTAAATATGCTGCTTCCAACTGGGTCATTTTCTACATACTTTTGAAGTATTTTTCAGAAAAAAGGAAAGGAAACCTCCTTAGTGTAAATAGAGGATGGCTCAAAGTTGTTCCGGTTCAGTAAACTTCTGGGACGAAAGAATATGTGCTATCCTGACATCTCAGGAAATGTTTATTCTGGAAAAAAGCATCTAATGCCTAGCTGGTTTAGCACTGTTAACTGAATTTTGTCAGTCTATTAATTCTTTTTCTAAATTCAGTTTAAAATAATGTGATCAAATGTTACTTATTTAGAATTTGTTATTTCAGAATTTGTGATAATTCAGAGCATACTGATTGAATTGAGGTTTACTTGTTTTCTTTTGAAGAAAGGACTCCCTAAAAGCATTAAGAAGTTATATTCAGATGTGAGGCATAGTTATCCTACATAACACAATTGTGAAAAGATTTAGACTGTTAATTTTAGTGGACAAACCTGGTGGCCATTCATTCTAGAAACAATCTGTGTGTTTGGTACTCTATTCTGCTTGATAGTAATAAATTTGCATTTTATTTGAGAATGTTCGTAATTCAGACATTTCACTATCAGGCTAACCTCTCTTAATTCTCTGAATTAATAGGATTTTATTTTAAATAATGTTTGTAGGTATTGGTAGATTCTTTATTAAGTACATTTCCATTTTTGTTTAGAAATTTTAATTATATATTTTTATATGTTATTAGGTTCAATCTTATGATCCAGAAACCAATTCTTGGCTACTTCGTGCAGCTATCCCAATTGCCAAAAGGTGTATAACAGCTGTATCCCTAAACAACCTGATCTATGTTGCCGGTGGACTGACCAAGGCAATATACTGTTACGATCCAGTTGAAGATTACTGGATGCACGTACAGAATACATTCAGCCGTCAGGTAATAACATAAAGCAGTACAAAAGAAAAATAAATCTAAGAGGGACCAAGTACATAATCATTATTAATACACTGGAATTTCAATTTTAAAATATTTCAGGCTGGGCGTGGTGGCTCACGCCTGTAATCCCAGCACTTTGGGAGGCCGAGGTGGATAGATCACTTGAGGTCAGGAGTTCAAGACCAGCCTGGCTAATATGGTGAAACCCCGTCTCTACTAAAAAATTATGGCCAGGCGTGGTGGTTCATGCCTGTAATCCCAGCACTTTGGGAGGCTGAGGCAGGCCAATCACCTGAGGTCGGGAGTTCGAGACCAGCCTGACCAACATGGAGAAACCCCGTCTCTGCTAAAAATACAAAATTAGCTGGGCGTGGTGGCGCATTGCCTGTAATCCCAGCTACTAGGGAGGCTGCGGCAGGAGAATTGCTTGAACCCGGGAGGTGGAGGTCGCGGTGAGCCGAGATCGAGCCATTGCACTCCAGCCTGGACAGCAAGAGCGAAACTCCGTCTCAAAAATAAATAAATAAATAAAAATAAAATAAAATAAAATAAAACAAAATAAAATAAAAAATTAGCTGGGTTTGGTGGCACACGCCTGTAATCCCAGCTGCTCAGGAGGTTGAGGCGGGAGAATCACTTGAATCTGGGAGGCAGAGGTTGCAGTGAGCCGAGATCATGCCACTTGCACTCCAGCCTGGGCAACAGAGTGAGACTCCGTCTCAAAAAAGTAAATAAATAAGTAAAATAAAATATTTCATGTTTGCTTGAATTATTTTATATATTTTTCAAAACTCCACATAAAGCATATGGCAACCTGTTTTGAACTCCTTCCAAGGGGTCATTTTATTGAAATAACTTCCTTTTTACCATCCCATGGAGAAGTATCTGTTACACTTGGGCTGTTCTTTTTTTTTTCTCTTGACTTTTTTCACAATCCTACTCCAGTATTTATCCCCTCTCTTTCATATTTCAGAAGAGAGGAATGTTCCCAAACTTGTTGTTTCTTTGGTTAGAGGCTGGGAAATCTGTTATTTCTGTTGTAAAGGAAATGGCTGTGCTCACCTTTCTTTCATCCATGTATTCTAACCGGAGCCCTACTCCCTACCCACACTGCCACCTCCCAAAAGGCCTTTTCCCCACCTTTTGATTCATGGCTCCTTTTCCTTCCACCCCCAAAATGCTTGATGGTTCTGATGCTGAAAATCTGGCTCTACACATACCACTCTAGAGATGTACTCTCAAAGGTCACTGCTAATAATCTCCTCACTCTTGTTCATACTCTCTTGTTTTTCTACCCAGTCCTTAAATATGTTCCTTGAGCCTGTCCTCTGTCCTCTTCCCAGTTTATACTCTTTCCTGAATCATCTCATTTACTGCTCAGCACTGATGTCTTCCAAGTCTGTATCGCCATCAAAGCCTCTCTCCTGTGTTCCAAACTCAAATTTCTAACTGCCTATTTGATATTTTATTTGATATTTTACATGGGTATTTCAAGATTTTAAATTTCAAATAGAACTCACCTTCTTCCCCAAACCTGTTTTTTCTATATTTCCAATTAACCTAGAAACTTAATTTATTAGATTATCTTTTTCTTCTCTTAAATTGAATTAATCTAGCCTATCAGTTCTCCTATTTTTTCCATTCCTATTGTTTCTATTTTTGTTCAAGTTCTTACCAAGTTTTACCTAAACAAACAAAAATACTCTAATTAGTCTTCCTTTCTCTAATAGCTTGTCTTGCTAGCTCATTTAGCATCAATTTTCTTTCTTTCTTTCTTTCTTTCTTTCTTTCTTTCTTTCTTTCTTTCTTTCTTTCTTTCCTTTCTTCCTTCCTTCCTTCCCTTCTTTCCTTCTTTTCTTTCCTTCCTTCCTTCCTTTCTTTCTTTCTTTTTTTGAGACGGAGTTTCACTCTTGTCACCCAGGCTGAAGTGCAATGGCGCGATCTCCACACACTGCAAACTCCGCCTCCTGGGTTCAAGTGATTCTCCTGCCTCAGCCTCCCGAGTAGCTGGAATTACAGGCGCCCACCACCAAGCCCAGCTAATTTTTTGTACTTTTAGTAGAAACGGGGTTTCACTATGTTGACCAGGCTGGTCTCAAACTCCTGACCTTGTGATCCACCTGCCTCAGCCTCCCAAAGTGCTGGGATTACAGGCATGAGCCACCATGCCCAGCCTATTATTTTTCAATAAATCTACTTATTGTCTCTTCTTTGATTGGAAACCTATTAAATAAAATCCAAAACTTTTACCACTTCATTCTAGACCTTCTATTGCCTGACCTTCATTTGACCTTTCAGCTTCACATTCTATAACTTTACCTCAGGTACCTTAAGTATCTGTCATTTGTAGTCTCTAAACAGATCATAAATGTTCTTGCCCTGGTTCATGCTGTCTTCTTATCCTGTAATGCCTGTTTTACCTTCTCTACTTGTAATTCTACTTATCTTTCAAGGACCACTTCAGTACAACAGAGTTTAACTGGGGCAGAATGGATCTATTTTGCTTTCTGATCTGTTAAAGCACTCATACCTCTTATGGCAATTGTATATTCCCTTATGGGTATAAATGTTTATTTCCTATACTAGAATTTAGTCTTCTTGAGGACACTATTTCTTCTAACTCATCTTGTATGTATCTTGCATTTATTTCTGCATAGTAAATATATATATATTGAATAAGTAAACAAATGAGGAAGTACCAGAGGGACTTAATTTTAAGATAATCTTATTTGCAAGATACATTAGAGATACAGCATAGATTATAAGGATAGTGAATAGGGTTTGAATATAAAACCACTTTTCTAAAGTTGTTGACATTGAGGTATAGTCTCCAATTAGTAATATATATGCAGTAACATTGCCCCAGTTAATGAAAGGGACATAATAGGCACTTCAGCTCCATGGTACAGAATGAGTATTACGTTTTCTCCCTCTCATATCACATGTAAGTAAAAATAAATCACATTTCTCCAGCTCAGGGACCTCCCCTGGAAAACCATTCTCCAGCCCTACAGAAGCGACAGTGTACCCTACTTGCATGAGAATCCTCATGTGGTCAAGTATTGAGACTTATTTCTAATTTTTAAAAAATCTAAGCTGCTTTTTATTGGTTTATTTCAGTGAAGATTGTAAAGAATGATGCATTTTTATTAAGAATTACTGCTCAAGCTGGGTGCAGTGGCTCATGCATATAATCCCAGCACCTTGGGAAGCTGAGGCAGGAGGATCACCTGAGGCCAAGAGTTAGGGACCAGCCTGGGTGACACAGTGAGACCCTGTCTCAAAAAAAATTTAAAAAAAAAAGAAAGAAAAAAGAAAAAGAATTACCATTTATTCGGAACTTTGCTATATTGTATAAAACGATAACAGTTTAGGAAGATAATTGCCAGTATGTAGCATATTGCAGGGCATACATGAATATTTTTTAACTAGGTTATTGAGATAAAACTGAGAAAAAAATTAATAATAGGACACACATGGCACATTTTCTCTAATTAAACAACATTCATTGACTTTAGAAATTTAAAGAAAATAAACATTTGGATCAGAAGTATATTAAGTCTAACAAAGACAAATAATTGAAGTTCAAATCTAGTACTGGGATTTAGGTGATTATTTTCTCTCCTCTGTTTATTGTTACCACCAATGCTACTAAATACATCTATGCACACATTGATCTCGGCTCACTGCAACCTCCGCCTCCCGGGTTCAAGTGATTCTCCTGCCTCAGTCTCCCAAGTAGCTGGGATTACAGGCGCATGCCACCACACCCAGCTAATTTTTGTATTTTTAGTGGAGACAGGGTTTTGCCATGTTGGTCAGGCTGGTCTTGAACTCTTGACCTTAGGTGATCCGCCTGCCTCGGCCTCCCAAAGTGCTGGGATTACAGGCATGAGCCACGGCACCTGGCCTTATGCACATGTTATTGATAGGTAATTTTTGAGCCGTGTGTGATTGTTTACCCTTTTAATGCCAACCGATGAAAAAGGATAAATCAAACTAATTTCATTGTATACAGTTAAATGAACCCAATACTGTTGCTTTTTAAAATGCTTAGAATATTAAATGCAAAAAAGAGCTGAAAAAAATGAGGTCTTTATTTTTTATAGTCCTAATGGACCCTGCCTATTTCTCTGTTTGTCCTTCACCATTTCCACGCCTCTTCTGACTTTGCATAATTCCTAAAAACACAGCTTATTATTCAAAACATATTTTGCTTTTTAACCTGTGTCAGGAACATCCTTTAAAAAAAATTGTGGGATTTTTTAAAAAGTCAGTGATGAAGACTTTTTTTCTCTCTCTTCAGTAGACCAGGTATTTAAAATACCATTAAAGATTAGAATAATTAAATGAAATCTGATTCTTTTTGTCTATTGTTGACAGTTTAACATTTTAAGCATACAAAAATAACGAGAGGGTTTTTTGGTTTTTTTTTTTTTTCTTTGCAATGTTAGGATCATGTTTCGTTTCAGTCTTTAAAAATAACATTAAAACTTTATATATTGATAAATTATTGTTCCTACTAGCTGCCCTTACTCCTGAATGAAGAGTAAGTTTTTCATACAGTATAAACAAACAGAGTAAATGGTATTTTACTAGCATGAAATAAGCTATTATATCGGATAGAGGTAATTTCCTGATATGAATACTTGGTTTCAAGGTTCTTTGCTTTATTTAACTCTGAGCATTATTATCTGAAATGGTATTAATTACCAGACCATGTAATTATATATTGTTTTAGAATCATCCTCAAAATAACTAGAGGTTCAATAGTGGGAACTAGCTTGTACCTGAAAACTAAGGTTTTTGTTTGTTTTTATTATATTCAGAACTTGAAGAATTTATAGAAAGCGCTTATTGTGCTTTAAATGAAAAATATTAGAGTTTGTTCCATAATTGGTGCAATTCATGGGGGTGTGGTATTCTGAATTAAAGTGTCTTTCACTATATGATAATAGGCTAAGTCATTCTGGGTGTCTATAAATTCTAATATAGGCATTTTTAAGTACTCACAAATTCTTTCAGACCTAAAGATAGTATCCTTCTATTATATAAAGCCACCAAGATTTAATTTCTTCTATAAGAGCAAAATTTATATAAAGCAAATTTGGTCAAGTAAAAATGCTTATTGAACTCATTGGTAGAAACTATTTCATTGTTGGTTATGTGGAACCAGGATAATAAGGTGCAATAACTCTCTGAATTAAAGTGAAACTTTAATTGGAAATGGAAGAATATCTGGCCTGCAGTATAACCAGATGCATGTAATAGTGAATCAGTTGTTAATGTAGGGTTTTTTGTTTGTTTGTTTGTTTATTTTTTTTGAGACGGAGTTTCGCTCTTATCACCCAGACTGGAGTGCAGTGGCACAACCTCAGCTCCCTGCAACCTCCGCCTCCCGGGTTCAAGCAATTCTCCTGCCTCAGCCTCCCGAGTAGTAGGGATTACAAGCACCCCCCACCACGTCCAGCTAATTTTTTGTATTTTTAGTAGAGATGGTGTTTCACTGTGTTGACCAGACTGGTCTCGAACTCTTGATCTCAAGTGATCCACCTGCCTCGGCCTCCCAAAGTGCTGGGATTACAGGCATGAGCCACCATGCCCAGCCAGGTTTTGTTTTTGAAGAATCACTCTCATCCTTGCAAGAATATTTGTTTTATATAGTAACTGTGTTATTGACAGAGAATAATAAAATTTAGCTTAGAATCCCATTGTGTGGGAAGTTAACTGTAAGATGTTATTTGAGACATTTCTATGGCCCAGCCAAGGCTCCTAATAACAGTGTTTTGTTAACTTAGTTATAAATTTTTTCCTCATTCATTCATTCAATTTTTGGGTAATCCCATATAATGAATATTGTTCCTACTCCTTGGTCATGTAACCGCCACTTTCTATAATAACCTTCCTGTAATAGGAGAAGCAAGCCAGGCTCTTTAAAGATGCTTTTGCTTAACTACCATTAAGTTAAAACCCTTTTATCAGTCCACATCCTACCTCCCACATCTTGGCCCCAATTACTAACATATAATCTTTTTTTTTTTTAACTTTTATTTTAAGTTCAGGGGCACAAGTGCAGGTTTGTTACATAGGTACACTGTGTCATGGGGGTTTGTTGTACAGATTGTTTCATCATTCAGTTCTTAAGCCCTAGTACCCATTAATTTTCCTGATCCTCTTCCTCCCCCAACTCTGCACCTTCTGAAAGGCCCGTGTGTGTGTTGTTCCCCTCTATGTGTCCCTGTGTTGTCATCATTTGGCTCCCACTTATAAGTGAGAACATGCAGTATTTGGTTTTCTGTTCCTGTGTAAGTTTGCTAAGGGTAATGGCCTCCAGCTCCATCCACGTCCCTACAAAGGACATGATCTCGTTATTTCTTGTGGCTGCTACTGACATAGCATCTATCTTGAAATTCATTTCATTCATGCAAAGTTGTCCAGCGCTTACACAGAACACAGAGAGCAGAGTTGGGCCAAAGGACCTTAGCTTTTATCATGTCTCCCTTTTTTTTGACTGTGCTAAAGCATTATTTTGCTTTTCTGTTTGTTACCAAATCCTTTATCTTCAATGGTTAATTTTTTGTTTATATATTTGGTTAAACAGGAAAACTGTGGTATGTCTGTGTGTAATGGTAAAATATATATCCTGGGCGGAAGACGGGAAAATGGAGAAGCCACAGACACTATTCTCTGTTATGATCCTGCAACAAGTATCATCACAGGGGTAGCTGCAATGCCCAGGCCAGTGTCCTATCATGGCTGTGTGACTATTCATAGATACAATGAGAAATGCTTTAAACTCTGAAGACAGGATACCTCACCGAAGAAGCCACACTGATCCAAGATGGGAGGTTTTAAAAACTCTACAGTGGGAACTTCACATATCTCCTTTGTGCCATATGCAAAAAATAGTAAAAATAATAATTTGGTGCCTTTCTCCTCAAAATATCAATCTTTCAAACTATAATAAAGCCTTTCCTATAATTGAAAAAAAAAACTTTTTTGTTAAAGGTAATGGTGGTTGTTACTTGGCCTTTGAAGAGTGTACCTTTGTAAGTATTTGTAAGAAGTCTATGTGAATTAGGAAATGTCTGTCTGCATACCTTTTAGGAGCGTGTGAATGGTGTCTTCACTTATTATGTATGTTTATCTGTATGTATATTCCTTATTTTGTCATATATGTAGAGAAAATTGCATGACTTGAGGCATCATTTAGGTTGAAGAAGTTAATGCTTAGGATGCATTCTAGGAGAAAAAATCAGTTTTAAAAACCTTTGTTGTTAACAAAGTATATCCAGATTGGTTAATTTTATTGAAGGGTTTTTTTCTGTAATTGATAAAAATGTAATGACAACAATTCAGGCATCATAAAATACTGAACTATTGTGACTTTATTCTTAGAATTGCTGTCTTACATTAAACATGTTTTTAGGGGGAAGTTAGGTAGGAGATAGAAAAATAAGTGCCCCTACAAGGGGGATTAAAATTACAAGTTAATTCCTAAGAGAAAAATGGAATGGCCTTTGAAGGAAAAATGACCCACTATGGCTCTCAAAGTTTTTATGCATCATCTCTTCAATCCTCTAAGAAAGCCTCTTTTCTTAACTTGATAAAGCAGTGGAAACCCATTTTGCAATATTGTTTTGTGAAAAACAGGGACAGACAGCCAGGTACAGAGACTCACACCTGTACTCCCAACTACTCAGCAGGCTGGGGCAGGAGGATTGCTTGAGCCCAGGAGTCTGAGGCTACAGTGAGCTATGAACGCACACGGCACCCTAGCCTGGGCAACAGGTTGCGACACTGTCTCAAGAGAAAAGAAAAAGAAAAATAGGGATAGGTTTTCCTTCCTAGCCCAGTAGAGTTTGACCTCATTAGTATGGTGCTTTGGGTGAGGACCTCTTCCTTGATTATCCCACTTTCTAGTGAACAGCTAAAATTCCTGAGAGTCTCTACTGTTAAGGTACCTTTAATAGGATAAAGCAGGGACCACCTATCTCAGTGGGTCCATTTTTCTTTTAAAATTAGTTATCTGAAAAAACTTAGCAGTAGTTCCCATCTTTAAGGTAAGTCTTTCATTTGGTCCCCATTGTGTAAAATACTAATCAACATTTTCAAGCTTCTGTACAACAGACTGCTTTTGTCTAGATTTCTCAACTCCACTTTATAAAGCTTATCAGTTTTCAGAGAGGAATGTGAATTTTTTTTCTAATGCAAATAAATGGATATGGCAGGAACTACAGCATAAGTGATTATTGTGATTCTGGGTGGACGGATATAATTTACAACATTTAGGGATGTTCTAGGTAGCCTGCTGTAGTTTGACTTCCAGTCACTGTTGTCTTTCACATTATAATTTGTATATTTCTTGTGATAGAAGGGATGATGCAAATATGTAATTAAAGTGTCACCAGATTTCTGTTAAAACCAAGGTTGAAATAAAAAGCCTAACATTGGTAAGCTACATTGTTTTCTCATTTTAGAATGATTCAGAGATTTCAGATAGACATTTTTTAAACTTTAATGCTTAGCTAGAATCTACATTCTGAGGAAAACTCTAAAAAACTTAAAAATTTTTAGGGAATTTTTATTTTTCAAATCATAATTTTAAAATGATAGATACCATTTTGTGATAACAACAATTCAGAAAACAATTTTCTATCCTCTTAGTTGAAAGAATGTAGGTACAGTTTGGATACTTGTACTTTAATTTTAGAGTAAACATCTGCATTATACTCTTATAGATAATAGAATTATTTAGTTAAGAAATTCTTTACAGTAAATGAGATAATGTGTGAAAAAGTATTTTGTAAATGCTGAGGATTCTACAAATGATAGTTGTTATTTTCATGTGTATTTGTAAGATCATGTCCATTTCATGAATATAGGACTTCACATAAAAAAAGACTTTCTCAAGACAACTTTATATTCTAGTATTTTTCTGTTGTAAAAAGTATTAACTATTTACTTTTATTTTGTTATACATTTATTTTAATATCCATGTGTTTATTATAGTAAATTTGAAATGAAATCCTGAAAAACAGAATTTTTTTAAACACAGACCTCACACCAATATTAATTTTTTCTCTACATAATTTAAAACTACATAAATTAAGTACTTAAAATTTATATTGAAGGCCACCAAGAACTTAGGTTGAATCTTAGAAAATTTAAATAACTATTTTTAAAGTTACCCAACTTAATATTTTAATTTTTTAATATTTATCTTCCTTTACTAATTCTTGATAAATAATAGCATTAGACTTGATAAAATAAAAAAGAATTTTAGAGTAGAATTAATATATCAAAAGGGGTATATCAACCAAATTGGTGTCAGATTGTATTCATTCTCTCATCACATAAAGATTTTTCTTTTGATAGGTGATGCTCATATGAACCTTTGGTTTAGAATCTATATATGTACATGTGTATGTATGTAGATAGTATGGTTGTATACACACATATATACCAAACACCATGAATTTTAGCAGTCTGTGATGATCAGCAAAAAAGCACATAAAGTAAAAATTAGTTGACCATGCTAAATTCAATTCTGGAATTTTTTTTTATTTGGGCATTTCTAGAACTTTTTACATTTGAAAGTACATGATGAGTATTAGTAACGATGACTTATGTATAATCAGAATCTTTATGACAATTTAGTTTTACAAGGTCAGAAGAGATGAGTTTGCTAAACCCAGCTGTGATACCTCAGTTGGAAAGGGAATTCAAAGGTATGCTTTGTAGAACAGAAAAGTATAGTTTTTTTTTCATGAACTTTAATCATTTTCTGTTTTTCCTCTATGTGAGTCAGCTACAAAAGTGGTCTAATTTTTACAACAGTAGAACTTCCTCCTTTTCTACTGTAATCTTCCCACTGACTTTACTGCACAGGTATGAAATACTAGTGTATTGGATCTTCAGTAACCTTTTTATTTCCTAGATGATTGAAATATAGGTATTTACTCCATTTAAACCAGGTGATAAGATGATGTAAATACTCAGGGAGGGTATTAACTTGTTACTTTTGCTCGTTTGGGGTGTAAAGTGCCATGACTGAATAATCTTCAATTCATGATTCTAGAGTAAGTTTAATTTGGAAAAAGGGGCTTCACACATGGTGGTGGTTGAACATTGATTCTTTTATACTTAAAAAGATGAAAATGTTTTGTGGACTGATACATTTTATCTTACTGAATATGAATTGTTTATGTATCTCTACTGTCAAATAGCCTTTTTGAAACTCAGGAAAGACAAAGGTTCAATTACACCACTTTTGTCAATAAGCAAACCAGGTATTTTTTTTTTCTCCTGTTGTCTGGATATGGCAATAGATTTTTTAAATTGCTGTGAGAACCCATATATGAAAAGAGAGGAGTTGAATTGTGTGTGCCTTTTATGTCTTGAGATTTATATGTGGAAAAGACGACATCTACTTCAAACTGTATTTTTTTCGTTTTTTTTTTTTTTTGGGGAAGGGGGGAGAACGGGGTCTTGCTCTGTCGCCCAGGCTGGAGTGCAGTGGCGCGATCTCAGCTGACTGCAACCTCCACCTCCCGGGTTCAAGGGATTCTGCCTCAGCCTCCCGAGTAGCTGAGACCACAGGTGCGTGCCACCACACCCGGCTAATTTTTTTGTATTTTTAGTAGAGACGGGGTTTAGTAGAGACGGATCACTCCTGACCACGTGATCCGCCCACCTCGGCCTCCCAAAGTGCTGGGATTACAGGCGTGAGCCACCACCCCCGGCCTGTATTTTCAGAGAGGAGAGCTTGGTGTTTTTGTGGTGCCAAGTGGTAAGATAATGTCTCTTTGAGGCTTCCTATGGACTGCCTTTATTTTAGTAAACTCAAGACACCAGTTAACCTCAACAGAGTTTTGGCCTTATTAGAATTTGTTGTGCATCTTATTGAAAGCCAGGTTTACATCACCTCACCCCATTATTCTTTTTAGTTAAATAAATTTACCATGCCAAGTAACCAGAATGGAGCAAATTGGTTGATCTTTAAGGCAGTAGGTTTGACTAGCTAGCTATCATTATTGTCACATCTAATGCTAGGCACCAGAAACCATTTGAGCCAGGAGTGTGAATGAATAATTCCAGAGACACTTTAGACATTTTTTAATGTTTTATATGAACATTTTACATTTGTGTGATTGCCTTAGATATTAAATTTTCCTAGTGCTGATAAAAACAGCAACATTCATAACTTATTTTATATATTGTTCCAAAGAAAAGAATTTGTTTTAATGGTTTCAAAATAACTGCACCTGAATTTGTTTATGTGCCTTAAGTTCTCTAGTGCTATTTCAACTTTTTTTTCAATCTAAATGAAGCTTACCTTAGATAAGGTTCATATTTGTTTCCTATAGAGTAAATAAACTTCCCCTTCTTAAATTGTGTAATAAGCACCAACGTGTGGTTGCTTGGCAGAATGAGAATGTTAAGGGAGATTGTTGGATGTTTGGAGTTTCATTATATTTTTTGTTTTTATTTTTTGATACCTAGGTGCTTTTTAAAATATTCAGACAAATATCTATCTTACATTGATTAAACCCGTGTAAATTCATTTGCAGTATCTACATCGAATGTCAAAAAAGTATACTTATTTTTGTTCCATACTTATGTACAATTTTTTCCCTCTTCAGGCTTTTTCATTTACCTTTTTGAAAAAGCACTTACTCTCCCCTTCCCTATCACCCCTCCCCCAAGGTTTCTTTATTTAAATTTTTATTGAGAGTTGTTGGAGCTCTAAGACAATACAAATTTAGAGTTGAACAAAAGTATAATCTGCTTTACAACTAGTATAGACCTAAGGTCATTTGCTTTCAATTAGAGGCTCCAGAGTCTTCATAGTGGAAAGAATGCTTTGTATTTAATTGTTCTTAGTTAAGTTGTAGCACGTGAATACTTACTTACATGTTTTGTTTAAATATACTTCTTGCATAGTTTAATTTTTTAAAAGTTGTATCTAATAAAATGTCTTTTAACCATTATTACTTGACTATATGGTTGTATTAAATTTTGTTTACGAAAAATTTGTTGTTCTGTTTTATTTTAAGTATATTTAAGGGGTTGTGCAAAAAAGAGATGGGGAAAATACTGGATATATTAATATATGTGTGTATTTACTGGTATGTCCATAAAATAACTGGAAGGATAAATAAGAAACTGAAAATATTAGTGTGTAAGAGGAAAGGAAATGGTGGCTGAAGGACAAGTAAAAATGAAACTTTACTGCATACGTATATGTGTGTAATTATAAATACATATAAAATCAATTTTTTAGTCTGAAACACACGAAAGTATTCCCTATTCAAAAAAAAAAATTTTTTTTTTCTTTTTTTGAGACGGAGTCTCACTCTGTCACCCAGGCTGGAGAGCAGTGGTGCAGTCTTGGCTTACTGCAACCTCTGCCTCCTGGGTTCAAGCGATTCTCGTGCTTCAGCCTCCTGAGTACCTGGGACTACAGGTGCATGCCACCACGCCCGGCTAATTTTTCTTTTTATATTTTTAGTAGAGACAGGGTTTCACCGTGTTAGCCAGGATGGTCTCGCTCTCCTGACCTCGTGATCCTCCCGCCTCAGCCTCCCAAAGTGCTGGGATTACAGGTGTGAGCCACTGCACCCAGCCTCTTCTATTATACTTTAAATTTTCTGTTTAAAAAAAAATGACCTGGCTGGGCACAGTGGCTCACGCCTGTATTCCCAGCACTTTGGGAGGCCAAGGCGGGAGGATCACGAGGTCAAGGGATTGAGAACATCCTGGCCAACATGGTGAAACCCCATCTCTACTAAAAATACAAAAATTAGCTAGGCATGGTGGTGTGTGCCTGCAGTCCCAGCTACTTGGGGAGGCTGAGGCAGGAGAATCGCTTGAACCCAGGAGGCGGAGGTTGCAGTGAGCCAAGATCGAGCCACTGCACTCCAGCCTGGGCGACAGAGCGAGACTCCGTCTCAAAAAAAAAAAATAAATAAAATAACCTGCTGTCTTAATGGAATGTGGAGGGAAATGGACTATACCTGCCTTCTGCTTCTCTGCTATTTATTAACTGATAATGGAGACAGAAGGGATAGTTTCCTCCTAATTATGTTAGGATATATTTTTTTTTTTCGAGACAGGATCTCACTGTGTCACCCAGATTGAACTGCAGTGGCACAATCATGGCTCATGGCAGCCTCAATTTCCTGGACTCAGGTGATTCTCCTACCTTAGCATCCCTAGTAGCTATAGGACTACAGATTCATGCCACCACGCCTAGCTAATTTTTAAATTTTTTGTAGATACAGGGGGTCTTGCTGTGTTGCCCAGGCTGCTCTCAAACTCCTGACTTCAAGTGATCCTTCTGCCTTGGCCTCCCAAAGTGCTGGGATTACAGGCATGAGCCACAATGCCCAGCTCACATAAATCTCCTATACAAAATATAGATATCAACATTGTACAAGGAGTATAAATTAAGAGTCAGAAAAATCATATGAGCCTTCCCAGCTATCAGATTATCATATCAATCAATATTAAGATTTTTTCCTTTAAAACAGACTGCCTGCATTTTGGGTCACAAAAACTCAGACTCATTCAATATACAAACTCTGGCTACCCAAATACTCTACATGGTCTTATCTATAGCAAATAGAATACAAAGCAGCAAGGAAAATTCCCTGATAGTTTCTTCTCTTTTTGTTTTTGTTTTTGTTTTTTTTATAATGAGAACAGTTCTTTAGGCACATTTATGATGTAGGGTCCAAGGGAAAACAAAAGGGAGATTAATAGGAGAAAAGGCATACACGTTTATTAATGTGCACAGGGAAGAATCACAACATAATTACCCCACTATGCAATGGGGTAGAGAATGTCATATACCCTTCTTGGGGGAAAGGGAGATAGGAAGTGTGGGTGATTTCAGGGAGGTAGTAAATGATTTTTTTTTTTTTTTGGGACGGAGTCTCTTTCTGTCACCCAGGCTGGAGTGCAGTGGCACGATCTTGGCTCACTGCAACCTCAGCCTCCTGGGTTCAAGCGATTCTTCTGTCTCAGCCTCCCAAGTAGCTGGGATTACAGGCATGCACCACCATGCCTGGCTAATTTTTGTAGAGATAGGGTTTTAGTAGAGATGGGGTTTCACCATATTTGCCAGGCTGGTCTCGAACTCCTGACCTCGTGATCCACCTGCCTTGGCCTCCCAAAGTGCTGGGATTACAGGTGTGAGCAGTAAATGATTTTTAAGGGAATTCAATGGGTCTGTAGAACTTTGAATGGCCTGGGACAAAAGTCTGTTGGGCCTGCCGAGTAGACAATGGTTTGTGACAAAAGTCTGTTCAGTGCGTTAACAGACTTCAGTCTTTCTTCCTGCAATATGAGTTCACTTAACGAAAACTCGGGGAAGGGACGAGCAGTAATTGTTTTCATCTTTGGTGGGTCGAGACTTTAGGTAGATAAGGGAACTTCGGAGAACAACTTCATCTTGTGCTTTGGGAGAGACAAAGGATTGAGAGACAGAGACCTTGAGGCTTCTTCTTCAGTTCAGCATGTCAAAGTGCCATATTTTGGCACTTTGAGCCCCAACAATGACTGTTCTGACATTATCTGCTGCTCAATTGGGGAACACCAAATCTAGATGAGTTTATTCTGAACATATGAATAAAGCAGAGAAGGAGGAACATAATGGTCATACAAAAAAGGATTTTGGAGATGTCTGTAGATATAAAAGTCATCATACATGAAGTGTATCTCCCTGCCAAAGTCAAGTTATGGAAGAGTGTTCTTCCCAACCAAAATCCCTTGTTTGCTGGCATTGGAGGAATGTGAGATATGATTATGCAGCAACATCCCACAAATCTGCCATTGGGTGGCCAATTGTGAAGATAGAGTAAGACTTCTAGGAACAGGGGCAACAGAATTGTACTCTGGGCAGTAATGAATTCATGAAACCTGATAAATGCAACATTATTTGTTTTGGACACACTCAAGTCTAGGCCACGAAACTCTTCTCATATTGGGAATCAGGGCTATTTACAGTCAGGACTATATCCCTTGACTGGGGAATTTATGGCCTATCTAGGCCATAAAATAAGAAAAGATTATGATGAAAGTTATCATAGGGTAACACAAGTAAATACCACCAAGGATATTAAAACTTCTGCCAACAAACAAACTCAGCAATAGTGTCAGTATCTTTCACAAAACAGAGCTGAAGTCCAATCTAAAATAATTGACATGGTTTTGTTGTGTCCCCACCCAAATCTCATCTTGAATTGTAACTCCCACAATTTCCATGTGTCGTGGGAGGAACCTGGTGGGAGGTAATTGAATTATGGGGGCGGGTCTTTCCCATGTTGGTCTCATGAGAATGAATAAGTCTCATGAGATCTGATAGTTTTAAAAAACGGGAGTTTCCCTGCACAAGCTCTCTTGTCTCCCGCTATGTGAGACATGCCTTTTACCTTGCGGCATGATTGTAAGGCCTCCCCAGCCACGTGGAACTGTAAGTCTAATAAACTTTCTTTTGTAAATTACCCAGTCTCAGGTATGTCTTTATTAGCAGTGTGAAAACTAATACTAATACAATACTAATACAATAATAAATGAATATATCTCAGTATTATATTAACTGGACACTTAAAAACTGATTAAAGATGTAAATAATTGTAACCAAATTAAAATCAGAAGTCTTCAGTCTTTAAAGACTTGACCCAAATGTTTAAGTAAAGCCATTTTTGTACACTCCCTGTTTTTACATCATCCATATTCCACCAGAACCAACTCATAAGAGACATGCTATTACAGCTAAAATTTCCTATTTTACCTTACATTTAGAAGTAATTTTCAGACATTTTTTTAGTCCACGTCCACAGGCTTCTTTTTTTATTTGTTTTTGAGACAGAGTTTAGCTCTTATTGCCCAGGCTAGAGTGCAATGGCACGATCTTGGCTTACTGCAGCCTCCACATCCCCGGTTCAAGCGATTCTCCTGCCTCAGCCTGCCGAGTAGCTGGGATTACAGGCATGTGCCACCACACCCAGCTTGTTTTGTATTTTTAGTAGAGATGGGGTTTCTCCATGTTGGTCAGGCTGGTCTCGAACTCCCAACCTCAGGTGACCTGCCTGCCTCGGCCTCCCAAAGTGCTGGGATTACAGCCATGAGCCAAAGAGCCCAGACTTCTTTCTTTCTTTCTTTCTTGTTTTTGAGACGGAATCTTGCTCTGTCGCCCAGGCTGGAGTGCAGTGGTGCAATCTCGGCTCACTGCAAGCTCCGCCTCCCGGGTTCACGCCATTCTCCTGCCTCAGCCTCCCAAGTAGCTGGGACTACAGGCGCCCCCCCCACC
This sequence comes from Homo sapiens, assembly GCF_000001405.40. Taxonomy (NCBI): domain Eukaryota; kingdom Metazoa; phylum Chordata; class Mammalia; order Primates; family Hominidae; genus Homo; species Homo sapiens. The sequence goes on from NC_000003.12 coordinate 183,688,803, forward strand.
ACACCCAGCTAATTTTTTTGTATTTTCAGTAGAGACAGGATTTCACCGTGTTAGCCAGGATGGTCTCGATCTGCTGACCTCCTGATCTGCCTGCCTTGGCCTCCCAAAGTGCTGGGATTACATGCGTGAGCCACCGTGCCTGGCTGGCATTCTTTTTTTTTTTTTAACAACTCCATTGAGATACAACTTTTTGCTATGAACATTTGTGTACAAACTTTGTGTGGACATATGCTTTCATTTCTCTTGGATATTTACATAGGCATGAAACTGCTGAGTCACATGGTAACTACATGCTTAACATTTTGAGAAACTGCCAAGCTGTTTGCCAAAGTGGCTGTACCCTTTTATATTCCTATCAGCAATAAATGACATTCTTGACATCTAGCGGCTCTATTTTTATGTAAAACAAATGCAGAGAAACCAACTAGTTCTAGCTATAGAAAGATTCCTTCTGGGATAAATATCCATTTTTTTAAAAATAAATAATAACATGCCCTGCCCCCAGTGTTTGTATTCTGTGGATACTGCACAATCCACATGGAGGATGTCTTAGTCCATTTGGGCTTCTACAACCAAAAACCCTAGACTGAGTGGCTTATAAACAACAGAAATTTCTCACAGTTTTGGAGGCTGGGAAGTCCAATATCAAGGCACCAGCAGATTCAGTGTCTGGTGAGGGCCCTTCTCCTAATTCACAGACAGCCATTTTCTTGCTGTGTCCGCACCTGGCAGAAGGGGTAAGGGGGTACTCTGGGACCTTTTAAATAAGGGCATTAGGCCAGCCATGGTAGCTTATGCCTGTAATCCCAGCACTTTGGGAAGCTGAGGTAGGAGGATCACTTGAAGCCAGGAGTTTGAGACCAGCCTGGGTAACATAGTGAGACCTTGCCTCTACCAAAAAATTTTTAAAAATTAGTTGGGCGTGGTGGTGCACACTTGTGGTCCCAGCTACTTGGGAGGCTGAGGGGGAGGATCGCTTGAGTCCAGGAGGTCGAGGTTGCAGTGAGCCATGATTGCACCACTGCATGCCAGCCTGGGCAACAAAGCAAGACCCTACAGTAAAAAAAATTAAGGCAGGCTGAGTGTGGTGGCTCACCCCTGTAATTCCAGCACTTTGGGAGGCTGAGGTGGGCGGATCACCTGAGGTTGGGAGTTCGAGACCAGCCTGACCAACATGGAGAAACCCCATCTCTACCAAAAAACACACAATTAGCCAGGCATGGTGGCGCATGCCTGTAATCCCAGCTACTCAGGAGGCTGAGGCAGGAGAATTGCTTGAACCCGGAAGGCAGAGGTTGCGTTGAGCCGAGGTCACACCACTGCACTCCAGCCTGGGCAACAAGAGGGAAACTCTGTCTCAAAAAAAAAAAAAAAATTAAAGCTGGGCAAAGTGGCTCATGCCTGTAACCCCAGCACTTTGGGAGGCCAAGGCAGACAGATCACCTAAGGTCCTAAGGTCAGGAGTTCGAGACCAACCTGGCCAACATGGTGAAACCCTATCTCTACTAAAAATACAAAAAAAATCAGCCAAGCATGGTGCCGCGTGTCTGTAATCCCAGCTACTTGGGAGGCTGAGGCAGGAGAATCACTTGAACTCAGGAGGTGGAGGTTGCAGTGAGCCGAGATTGTGCCACTGCACTCCAGCCTGAGCGACAGAGTGAGACTCCATCTCAAATAAATAAAAAAAAATTTTTTTTAATTTAAAAGGGTGGCCAGGCACAGTGCCTCACGCCTGTAATCCTAGCACTTTGGGATGCCGAAGCGGACGGATCACCTGAGGTCAGGAGCTGGAGACCGGCCCGGCCAACATGGTGAAGCCCCGTCTCTACTAAAAATACAGAAATTAGCCGGAAATCACTTGAGCCCGGGAGATGGAGGTTGCAGTCAGCTGAGATCATGCCACTGCACTCCAGCCTAGGCAACAGAGTGAGACTCTGTCTCAAAAAAAACAAAACAAAACAAAACAAAAAATTTAGAAAGGGCACTCCACCCTGAAGAACTTAATCACCACCCAGAGGCCCCACCTGCAAATACTGTCACATTGGGGATTAGGTTTCAACATAGGAATTTTGGAGGGCACAAACATTCAGTATATAGCATAGGAGAAGCACATTGCTTGGCTCTTTTGGGTTATGATAGGGTCCATCTACAAGGGTGGGATATGGTTTTGCCAAAATCTTAATAGGCCAACTAGACATTTGGTTTCTCATTTGGGCCTAGTTGGGCACAATCATTTATTTTTAACAGCCTGATTGTAATTCCTAGGCACTAACTTTTAACAGTTTTTTTTTGAGATGGAGTCTCGCTGTGTTGCCCAGGTTCGAGTGCAATGGCATAATCTCAGCTCACTGCAACCTCCGCCTCCCGGGTTCAAGCGATTCTCCTGCCTCAGCCTCCTGAGTAGCTGGGATTGTAGGGCGCCCACCACAATGCCCGGCTAATTTTTGTATTTTTAGTAGAGACAGGGTTGCACCCTTTTGGCCAGGCTGGTCTCAAACTCCTGACCTCGTGATCTGCCCACCTCAGCCCCCAAAGTGTTGGGATTACAGGCGTGAGCCACCAAGCCCAGACAACAGTTTTATTGGGGGTATTAAGAAGTGGAGTTCTCATTTTACAAGTCTAATTAGTATCTGCATTCAGGTGGGGGTATTTCAGCACCTTAAGCGTCCCCGGGGGTCCCATTCCTGTTAAACTTAGAAAGGGACGTTGGTCTTCCCAGGAAGGAGGCTGGGATACTGGGTACTTCTGGGTCAGAGTCTAGCAACAATTTTCCAACTGAGCCAGCCTCCCCCTCCCACTGTCAGGCAGAGCTTTGGATCCACCATCCTTCTCAAGCTTTCCTAGTTCCTCTGATGCCCTCTTCCCCCCACGTTGAGCCCCTCAATCTGTTGGGCAGCAGCTCCCAGCAGGAGGACTCTCAGCCACCGGACTTCTTTTCCAGGGTCAGCGTCAGCATTCCTGGAACCTTCTGTACTAAATTTAATAACAGTTAACTTTTCCACTGGATGCGGTGGCTCAAGCCTGTAATCCTAGCACTTTGGGAGGCCGAGGCGGACAGATCACCTGAGGTTAGGAGTTTGGGACCAGCCTGACCAACATGTTGAAACCCCGTCTCTACGAAAAAGACAAAAATTAGCAGGGCATGGTGATGCACGCCTGTAATCCCAGCACTTTGGGAGGCCGAGGCGGGCGGATCACAAGGTCAGGAGATTGAGACCATCCTGGCTAACACGGTGAAACCCCGTCTCTACTAAAAACTGCAAAAAATTAGCCGGGCGTGGTGGCGGGCGCCTGTAGTCCCAGCTACTGAGGAGGCTGAGGCAGGAGAATGGCGTGAACCCGGGAGGCGGAGCTCGCAGTGAGCCGAGATCGCACCACTGCACTCCAGCCTGGGCGACAGAGCGAAGACTCCATCTCAAAAAAAAAAAAAAAAAAAAAAAAAAAAAAAAAAAAAAAGAGAGAGATAGGGTCTCTCGTTATATTGCCCAGGGTGGCCTGGAACTCCTGGGCTCAAGCGATCTTCCTGCCCTAGCCTCCGGAGTAACTGGGACTACATGCACACACCACCACTCCCAGCTGTATCTTAATTGAATATTTTTCATTTTCTACTTGTCATGGGTATAGAGACATAATTCTCTGGTATCAGAAAATAGCAGTGTGAGTGAAACAAACTCACGCTCAGACTGGGATGGAGGAAGGTGTTAGGAAAACACTAGGGCTTGGTATGGGACCTTTGCCCTGAAGGTAATGGGGCTTCTCTAAGTAGGACTGCAGCTTTCCAGCTGCTTCCTGGTATGGCCGCTAAACTCTCAGGCCCTGGGGGCAGACTGCCTGGGTCTACAACCCAGCTCCACTCTTAGCTGTCTGACACAGCTAAATTACTCAACCTTTTCATGCTTCATTTTTCTCTTATTTAAAATAGGAATGATGGCCGGGCGCGGAGGCTCACGCCTGTAATCTCAGCACTTTGGGAGGCCGAGGCCGAGGCAGGCGGATCACGAGGTCAAGAGATTGAGACCATCCTGGCCAACATGGTGAAACCCCGTCTCTATTAAAAATATATTTTAAAAATTAGCTGGGCGTGGTGGCGCGCGCCTGTAGTCCCAGCTACTCGGGAGGCTGAGGCAGAAGAATCGCTTGAACCCAGGAGGCGGAGGTTGCAGTGAGCCGAGATCACACCATTGCACTCCAGCCTGGGCGACAGAGCGAGACACCATCTCAAAAAATAAATAAATAAAATAAAATAAAGTAGGAATGATAATAATAAAGTTGTTACAAAGATTAAATTTGTGAAGTGCTTGGAGCACTGCCTGGTAAGTAGTGTTATTAATAGCTAATATCCAATTATAACAATGTATGGGCTGGGAGCGGTGGCTCACGCCTGTAATCTCAGCACTTTGGGAGGCCGAGGTGGGCGGATCACCTGAGGTCAGGAGTTCAAGACCAGCCTGGCCAACATGGTGAAACCCCTTCTCTATTAAAAATACAAAAATTAGCCGGATGTGGTGGCATGCGCCTGTAATCCCAGCTACTCGAGAGGCTGAAGCAGGAGAATTGCTTGAACCTGGGAGACAGAGGTTGCGGTGAGCCGAGATCGTGCCACTGCACTCCAGCCTGGGTTACAGAGCAAGACTTCATCCCCCCAAAAATAACAATAAAATAAAAAATAACAACGTATGGCCAGGTTACCACAGTTTCTGATTTTCCATAGAAGCAGAAATTCAGGGTATTATGTGAAATTTGTCAGTGTTTGAAATGTTGGCTCATTTAAAACAAAATGTGACATCTGTAGGCTGTGACTACGCAATCTCTCTGAACTGTACTCTTTCATGGCAACCTCACCAGTGTTCATTAACTACCTGTTGACAACAGTACGTTGACAGTGCCACCCATCAGGTCTCTTCTGAGCCCCAAAGCCTTATGTACAGATTTAATATCTTCAGGGCTAGGTGTGGTGGCTCATGCCTGTAATCCCAGCACTTTGGGAGGCCAAGGCAGGTGGATCACCTGAGGTCAGGAGTTCGAGACCAGCCTGGCCAACATGGTAAAACCCCGTCTCTACTAAAAATATGAAAATTAGCCGGGTGTGGTAATACACGCCTGTAATCCCAGATACTTGGGAGGCTGAGGCATGAGAATCGCTAGAGCCCGGGAGGCAGAGGTGGCAGTGAGCCAAGATCGCACCACTGCACTCCAGCCTCGGCAACAGAGCGAGACTCTGTCTCAAAAAAAAAAAAAAAAAAAAAAAGTATTCGAGTGGATGCCTCAAACTTAAAATGCCCCAAAGGGAATTCTTGATTCTCCCACCCCCAACATTCAAATCTGTTCTTCCTTTAGTCTCCCTCCTTTCAGGAAATGACACCATCATCCACCATCAGCCACTGCTGGAAACGTATGAGCCAACCCCAGTTCTCCCTCCAGGCCCACCTCCAGTGGCTGTGCAGGTGAGTGCTGCCTAAGGGAGCCTGGCTAGCCAGGAGCCTAAAACCAGCCTCTAAACACTTGCCAAGCTCCAGAGCAGAGCTGAGTCTGCCTGGAGGAAGGGGCAGTTTATCTAAGAGGCCATTTTGACTTAGCAGAGGCCAGTCCCCTTCCCTTCTCTCCCCAGTCTCCTCCCAGTTCATCGTCATCAAGTCTTCTGGTATTTTCTCCATAGTTCTTGTATCTATCTCCTTCCCACCATCTCCACTGCCAGGGTAAGCCATCCTCATTTTTTTTTTTTTTTTGAGATGGAGTTTCCCTTTTATTGCCCAGACTGGAGTGCAATGGCACGATCTTGGCTCACTGCAACCTCTGCCTCCTGGGCTCAAGCGATTCTCCTGTCTCAGTCTCCCGAGTAACTGGGATTACAAGCCACCACGACCAGCTAATTTTTTTGTATTTTTAGTAGAAACGGGATTTCACCATATTGGTCAAGCTGGTCTTGAATTCTTGACCTCAGGTGATCTGCCCATCTCCGTCTCCCAAAGTGCTGGGATTACAGGTGTGAGCCACCACGACCAGTGCCACCCTCAATTTTTGCTTGGATGACTGAAATTGCTTTCCAACTGTCTCACTGCTTCTATGTTCACACACCTCTTCAGTCATTCCCCACCTACTCATTGGGGCAAATGATTTTTTTTTTTTTTGAGACGGAGTCTCACTCTGTCACCTAGGCTGGAGAGCAGTGGCATGATCTCGGCTCACTGCAACCTCCACCTCCCAGGTTCAAGCCTCCAGAGTAGCTGGGATTACAGACATGTGTCACCACGCCCAGCTAATTTTTGCATTTTTTTTTTTTTAGTAGAGATGGGGTTTCACCATGTTGGCCAGGCTGGTTTCGAACTCCCGACCTCAGGTGATCCACCCACCTTGGCCTCCCAAAATGCTGGGATTACAGGCGCGAGCCACCGCGCCCAGCTGCAAGTGATGTTTTTAAAAGGGCAAATAGGCTGGGTGTGGTGTCTCACGCCTGTAATCCCAGCACTTTGGGAGGCTGAGGCGGGCAGATTACGAGATGAGGAGATCGAGACCATTCTGGCTAACGCAGTGAAACCCCGTCTCTACTAAAAATACAGAAAATTAGCCGGGCATGGTGGCACGCGCCTGTAGTCCCAGCTACTCGGGAGGGTGAGGCAGGAGAATCACTTAAACCCAGGAGGCGGAGGTTGCAGTGAGCCAAGATCATACCACTGCACTCCAGCCTGGGCAATAGAGCAAGACTCAGTCTCAAAAGAAAAAAAAAAAGTTTCATTTTGGTGAATATTTGGGTAAACAGTTCAAAGTTGTAGTCTTATCAGAACTTTACCCTTCTTCCCCTTGACTTCCCAAGGCGGCCTACAGGATACAGGGGAAGCCTCAAGGCAGCGGTGGGAGGGGAGATCTGTGTGCGGGATTTCAAGCTATAGCCTGGGTTCTCACTGGCCTCTGCTGCTATGTCTCTGGTGACTTCTGGTCTCCACTGCCCTGCAGGCATCAGCTGCTGAGGTGGTTGGTTGGCAAGCTCATGACCTGTTGCTTTAGCACCTTCAGAGTTTGATGTCTCATCTTTCATCCCCACTCCTCCATCCCCGCTCCTCTCACCAGCTGACTTAGGGGTGCTTCAGCTCCACTGGTATCTTCAGTACTGCCTATCCTTGGGGTCTTAGCTACGTTCTGTAGCCATTCCCTGGCCATCAGCCCACCACAAGGCCTCTGCTTTAGGAAACCTGCCCCCTGGCACAGTGCCTATTGGTCTGTCCATGGCTCTTAACCATGCTACTTTCTGCATGCCAGGCAGGGAGCAACAAGAGAAGTCTGGAATTCTGACATACCTAAATGTGCAAGCTGCAGCGCTCCAGCAGCACTATTGCAGACTCCTCCCAACGCCATGGCCTGCTCCCAAGCCCTACTGTGTGAGCCTTCTCACAGACTTGGACAGCCTTCCAAGCTACACCAAGGGAAGTCAGCTTCTAGCTTTCTTGGCACTTATCTGGGTATTTCTATGCTTTCCACCTCACTGTTAAACCCTAAGAGTAGGGGAACACCAACACACTCATCCTGACCTGTGACCTCACCCCCTTCTCCATGAAATTTGTTTATCTCCCCAGTTCCTATTATCTCTTGAGTCTTAGCTTAAGGTTCAAGGAAGCCTTTCTTAGTTTTTTTTTTTTTTGAGATGGAGTTTCACTTTTGTTGCCCATGTTGGAGTGCAATGGCTCACTGCAACCTCCACCTCCCGAGTTCAAGTGACTGTCCTGCCTCAGCTTCCCAAGTAGTTAGGATTACAGGCATGCCCAAATACACCTGGCTAATTTTTGTATTTTTAGTAGAGACGGGGTTTCACCATGTTGGCCAGGTTGGTCTTGAACTCCTGACCTCAGGTGATCCGCCCGCCTCAGCCTCCCAAAGTGCTGGGATTACAGGCATGAGCCACCGTGCCCAGCCAGGAGGATCTCTCGAGCCCGGAAGTGTGAGACTAGCTGTGGTGATAGTGAGACCTGTCTAAAAAAACCAAAATTAGCCTGGGGGTGGTGGTTCACGCCTGTAATCCCAGCACTTTGGGAGGCTGAGGCGGGTGGATCACCTAAGGTCAGGAGTTCGAGAGCAGCCTGGCCAACATGGTGAAACCCTGTCTCTACTAAAAATACAAAAATCAGCCAGGCGTGGTGGCGCGCGCCTTGTAATCCCAGCTACTTGGGAGGCTGAGGCAGGAGAATCGCTTGAACCCGGGAGGCGGAGGCTGCAGTGAGCCAAGATCATGCCACTGCACTCCAGCCTGGCAACAGAGGGAGACTCTATCTCAAAAAAAAAAAAAAACACAAAAAACAAAACACCACTTATATTTATTATGCGTTGATAAAAACATTAAATACATTAAAAATTTGGTAACATGTATGTAAAGTATAAAAAAAAAAGTGAACTTCCTAAACCCACCACTCAGCTCCAGTAGTAAATCGTTATACAGTGAGAAGGGATTGAAGGGGAACAGAAGTTCCCCAAGACCAGTTGGGAGGCTATTCATAGTCTTGGGCAGAGAGATTACAGGGTCTTGGGTAGGGTGGTAGAGTTACAACGAAAGAGAATGTTGGCCTCAAGTGATATTTAGGTGGAAAACTGGACTTGGATTGTCACTAGCTAGTGTGACTGAGATAAGTCTCAAGCCTTCCCTGCCTCAGTTTCTTCATCTGTAAAATGGGCTAGAAATAACTACTGTTATTTTGTATACCCAGCACTTAGCACATGGGTTGGCACAAAGATGGCACACACAAACATCATAGTCACTATTGTGATTAATAGGGAAGCTCATACACGCCGGCAGAATGAATATTCTGTCAAACTTGGGGTTGAAATTCGCCATCTTCTGGGGCAGGAAAGTGATGGACGACTGTGCCTTTGCAAGAATCGACGCCCACACTGCCCAGGAAGTGCCCTCGCGGGCCGGGGTCCCAGCCCGGACCAGCCCCGCCCCGCCCCGCCCCGCCCTCATCCCTGGGAGCTCCGCCCCGAGGCCGCGCGCGCCGCCGCGCGCGCCCCGACGCGCCCAGCTGCTGACGTGCGGGGCGGAACGCGCCGGGCGGGCTCCACCGCGCCGTGTGCTTCCGCAGGTTGCGGGGGTCGCTGGGGCCTTGTGGCGGGGCAGCTCCGCGGGGCTTCGCCCGCTCTCTCACCTCGCCGTGCTCTCTCGCGGCGGCCGGCGGGGCCCGCGCTGCAGCCGGAGACCCGGAGAAAGGGTGAGTGTTGGCGGGCGCAGGAAGGGACCGGCCGGGAGCGCGCCCCGCTCTCCGGGGCATTGTTTGGGCGGGGGCGGCGCGGGCACGTGCGCGCCCCTCCCCCATCGGCAGGCAGCGCGGCAGCGGGACCCGGTGAGGCCCCGGGGCCGAGGGGAGGGCAGGGAGGATCCCAGGTGCGGGCCGGGGAGCCGCAGAAGCGGGAGCCTGGAATTGGAACGTGAGTTGGGGGCTTCCTCTTCAGCGGGGCGCTGCGCTGAGGGGATACGGGACCCCGAGCCACAGCGGCCGGAGCTTTTAGGATGTTAAGCTCTTGGCCTTGGAGGCAAGATTTGGCCCCAGCACCAGAAAGTCGTGGGTTTACCGAAAGGATCCTGGAATGCCCCTCCAACCTGTCGCCATCCCCACCGGGCCTCCCTGGGATGGAGGGGAGGGGTCAGAGAGGCTTTGGGGGTCCAGGGATGGGGCCGGGGCCAACGCGCCGGAGCTGCGGGCAGTGCGGGGCGGAGTGGAAGCCTCGGAAAGTGAGGACTCCTGCAGGAAAGGCTGGCTTGAAGGGCTGTGGCCAGACTGCAGAAGACAATGAGGTTTTCTCCATCATGAATGTGATTATGTTAAGAAATAGAAACCAGAGGAAGAGAAATGCCATCAGCAATCTTACAGGCCTGACACATCATTTTTTTTTAGTTTGATGTTGGCTAGTATTTTCATCTAAGCATTCAGCAGTTACAGAGTTGACCCACGTTTTCCATTCCCTTTTCTCGCTCACATGTAAAAAATGCGGTATAATATTATATAGAATTCAGCAATATCATTTCCCCTTTCTTAATGAGTAGAGGGTATTCAGCGTAGAAAAATTTAAAAATACAAGCAAAGCCAGAGAAAAATGCCCGCAGTTTTACGATCTAGAGATACTACCCTTGGATGTATATTCCTGTTTGTGTATACTCTTTAAAAGATAGGGCAGATGATGCCCTGATAAGGAGTTTAGTTTTTCCCGGGAAGCCTTTGAAGGTTTTGAGAAGGCGAGTAGCATGATCCGACTGCTATGTAGAGGAAGAGGGCTGGGGAGGAACCTACGAGGTCAGTTACTGTGCTCTTTGCAGTAGCTTGGACTAGGCCCGTGGCAGGGAGATGGGGAAGTATAAACAGATTTTTAAATGTTTTAAGGTAGAATGAACAAGACTTGGATTGGTGAGGGAATGGTGGGAATCTTTGCTTTTTTGATTTTTGTTTTGAGCAACTGAGTAGGTGGTGGTGCTGTTTACTGAGATGAAGAATGGAAGAGAGAAATTTGAGGTGGGAAAAACGAATTCTATTTTAGATGTATTAAATTTTAGATGCATGTTAGTTATGAAGTCGGTGTGTTGAGGCAGTTGGATGTAGAGGGCTGGAACTCAAGGAGGAGAGAGGCTAGAGCTAGAGATAAAAATCTGGGAGTGGCTGGGCGCGGTGCTCACACCTGAAATCCCAGCACTTTGAGAGACCGAGGCGGGTCGCTTGAGCCCAGATATTCTAGACCAGCCTTGGCTACAAGGCAGGAAGGACCCCGTCTCTTAAAAAAAAAAAAAATTGGGAGTGATCTGTACGTAGATGATATTCAAAGGTATGGTGCTGTGTGAGATCACTGAGGGGAAAGAGTGTGGAGAAGTGAAAAGGGCGCAGACACTCAAATACCTCTAGGTCTGGTAGAGGAAGAAGGTTGGGGAAAGGACGCAGGAAACAGCAAGTGAGGTAGGAGAAAAAGCTCCTACCAAAATGGCATGTATCATGGCAGCCAAAAGAGGTGTTTCTGGAAGATGTTGAATTGGTCCTTTTATCAGGGCTTCTGAGATGTTCATTAAGATTGTCAATTGAATTTGGCAACACGGTGGTTATTGGTTTTGGTCATTGGTCTTCCTGTCCATAGTTCTGGAAGTGGGAGGTGGGAACCGGATGTGAGGAAATGAAACTAATGAGTGCAAATTAGAAAAAAAGTGCCCCATTTCCATCTGCCCCAAAACTAAACTTAATCGATGAAAAATGGTGTCTTGTGTTTTTTTCATTTATTGATTACTAGTATGTTTGAACATTTTTTTCCCATTTATTGGCTGTTTGTGAATTTCTTTTCCTGTTCTCTGTCATCTTTTGTTATTTCCTAATTGATTGTCAAAAGTTCTTTAGATATTAAAAATAGGTAGCTTGACATACAGCATGCAGAGTTCTCCCCACATGTTTCTCAGTTTCAAATGCTTCATGTTCATTCAGTGGATGCATGATATTTTACTGTGGGTTATTTTTTATTATAAAATCCATAGGAAGAAGAGAATTAACATTTAGGTTGTAGATCTCTGAGTGTAGCCCACATACGATGTACATTACCCTGTATTTTCTTAGAATAGATTCTCAGAAATAGTTGGTCCTGTCCTCTTCTCATCAACTACGGATTTTTATTTGAATGTTCATTGCCACGTTCTTGGATTGTTCCCTATCTCCCTGCCTTTGGTCCTGCTCTGCTTTCAGTCTGTTTTCTGTCGTGATACCCAGTAGATGGTGGGAGTTGATGCAGTTTTCTCACAGAAAACAAGACTTGTGAAGCAGATTTTTTCTTTTTCTTTTCTTTTCTTTCTTTTTTTTTTTTTTTTTTGAGACAGAATCACAGTCTGTTGCCCAGGCCTGTAATCCCAGCTGCTCGGGAGGCTGAGGCAGGGGAATTGCTTGAACCCGGGAGGTGGAGGTTGCAGTGAACGGAGATCGCGCCACTGCACTCCAGCCTGGGCGACAGAGGGAGACTTCGTCTCAAAAAAAAAAAAAAAAAAAAAAGGCAGATACAAAAAGCCACGTGCTGTATGATTCTATTTATACGAAATGTCCAGAAACAGGCAAGTTTATCCACACAAAAAGTAGTTGCCAGGGGGATGAAGGGAGAGGAGAATTGAGAGTGACAATTAAGAGGTAAGTGGTTGCTTTTTGGAGTGATGAAAACATTATGGAATTAGATAGTGGTGATTTTTGTGCAACTTTGTGAATATACTGAAATCCACTGAATTGCACTCTTTTAACTGGTGTGTGTATATATATATGTGTGTGTGTGTGTGTGTGTATATATATATAAATTTTTTTTTTTTTTGAGAAGGAGTCTCGCTCTGTCGCCCAGGCTGGAGTGCAGTGGCGCAATCTCAGCTCTCTGCAAGCTCTGCCTCCCGGGTTCACGCCTTTTCCTGCCTCAGCCTCCTGGGTAGGTGGGACTACAGGCACCCACCACCTCGCCTGGCTAAGTTTTTTTGCTTTGTATTTTTATTAGAGACGGGGTTTCACCATGTTAGCCAGGATGATCTCGATCTCCTGACGTCGTGATCTGCCTGCCTTGGCCTCCCAGTGCTGGGATTACAGGCTTGAGCCACCGCGCCCGGCCGGTCAATATATATATTTTTTGAGACAGGGTCTGTCTCTGTCGCCCAGGCTGGAGTGCAGTGATGCAGCCGTAGGTCATTGCAGCCTTGAACTCCTGGGCTCAAGCGAGCCTCCCACCTCAGCCTACCAAGTAGGTGGGACTACAGGTACACACCACCATGCCCAGCTAATTTTTTTCTTTTTCTTTTTCAGTAGAGACAAGGTCTCCCTATGTTGTCCAGGCCGGTCTTAAACTCCTGGGTTCAAGCAATCCTCCTGCTTTGGCCTCCCAAAGTGCTGGGATTACAGGCACATGAGCCACTGTGCCTGGCCTAAAACAGTACCTTTTAAGTTAAGTGAATTATATTTCAATTAAAAAAGTATATCCACACTCTCAAATAAATTAAAACTTAAAAACAAAATACATAACAATCGCCAGTAGAAGCACTGCAGGTAAAGTTCAAGCCCCTCCCCACTGCATTCTCCTCACCCTCAGCTTTCATTACAACCACTTAACAGGTTCCCCACAGCTCACTCCTCAGACAAGCAGGATAAACAGCCCTTGCCTAGAACTAGTTCTACTTCTCCATGTCTGCAGTCATCAAAGTTCACATGCCTGAACATCTCACAGTTACTTTCCAATGGGCTCATATTTCACCTCTACCTTCTCCGCTTACCGAAATGCTCTTCATCCTTCAAGAATCAAATTCCGACTCATCCATGAAGTGAACTCCAGCCTTCGAAAGCTTTTTTTCCCCCTAACTACTACAGAACAGATGATATGGAAACAATCTGCATCAGGCCAGCCGCGGTGGCTCATACCTGTAGTCCCAGCACTTTGGGAGGCCAAGGCGGGTGGATCATTTGAGGTCAAGCGTTCGAGACCAGCCTGGCCAACATGGAGAAACCCTGTCTCTACTAAAAATACAAAAATGAGCCGGGTGTGGTGGTGCGTGCCTGTAACCCCAGCTACTTGGGAGGCTGTGGCTGGAGAATCACTTGAACACGGGAGGCAGAGGTTGCAGTGAGCCAAGATCGTGCCATTGCACTCCAGCCTGGGCGACATAGTGAGACACTGTCTCAAAAAATTAAAAAAATTACCTTAAAAATCTCAAACCCCTTAAACATCCCACATGCCTCATTCTTCCAGAAAAAGAAAGTTGAACCGGTGGGGTAAAGGAATGGTAAAAGTGGCCGGGTGCTGTAGCTCACGCCTATAATCTCAGCACTTTGGGAGGCTGAGGCGGGTGGATCACCTGAGGTCAGGAGTTCGAGACCAGACTGACCAATATGGTGAAACCCCGTCTCTACTAAAAATACAAAAAAATTAGACGTGGTGGTGTGCGCCTGTAGTCACAGCTACTCGGAGGCTGAGACAGGAGAATTTCTTGAACCCGGGAGGCGGAGGTTGCAGTGAGCCAAGATTGCGCCACTGCACTCCATCCTGGGCGACAGCAAGACTCTCTCTCTCAAAAAAAAAAAAGGGAATGGTAAAAGTTACCTAAAGTCAGCTTTCCAGGTGCATTAATGGAGAGAAGCAGTGGCATGGATAATTTAGAGGAGCTGTTTTATCCTACAGTCTTCTGTGTGCTAGTTTGCAAGGTTGTAGACAGCGTACTGGCCAGAATGGATTCTGGGGGCTGACCATATTAGCAAATTGTGTAGTCTTAAAGCCGTTTTATTTATAGGAAAGTTGGTGTTTTTGACCTGGAAATATATAAGACTGAAATAATGAGACAGTGTTTTTGAGCTCAGCTGTCTTTTGCTCAGCTCTTTACATGTTATTAGAAATGTCCCACATCACGTCAGTCCTAATGACCAGATCGCTCAGCTTCTCGCCATTCAGGTCCAGTATAAAATTTTGATTATTTTTACTTAAAAGATCTGTTTTTGTTTTGGATGCCAGATGAGTTAAAGAAAAAGTGATATGTTAGCCAGCAAATGGGAACATATTCAAAAGGTTTTGTGTGTCAGACCTGACTTAGAATAATTAGCATAGCATTTTTTTGTCGGTACTAACTCTGGTGAAAATCATAACAGAATCTTCTGTCTCCTAGAGTTCCCTTGGTCTGAGTCTGTCCTTTAATAGAGGTTGGTGCAAAAGTAGTTGTGGTTTTTACTTTTGCACCAACCTAATAGATAACTTCTCGTTCCTTCTGTTACAAAATGAGCATAACTTTGGAAAGACGATCAGGTGTATTTTGTTTTTTCAGTTCTTTGTATCAAAGGGAGGTGACAGTGTTAAGAGTAATGTTTAAATAGGTGGAGAAATTTTAATTGACATTGAAATATAGATTTTGATTTTTTTGATAGGGCTTCTGCATGCCTAATGATTTTCTCAGTATAATATTAAAATGGATATATATTCTTAGAGTGTACATTGAACAGTCTTTGGGAAGAGTGGATGGTGTTGGGGTGAAGCTGCTGCCGTATTTAGTTTTCAAAATAGAATTCAGGAAATGGATCATATGTATTTGGATTACTGAAAGTCAGTTTCATTAAAATGTTCCTAAAGGGGCCAGGCGTAGTGGCTCACGCTTGTAATCCCAGCACTTTGGGAGGCTGAGGCAGGCGGATCACCTGAGGTCAGGAGTTCAACCCTCCCTCTACTAAAAAAATAAAATAAAATAAAATAAAAAATAGCCAGATGTGGTGGTGGGTGCCTGCAGTCCCAGCTACTTAGGAGGCTGAGGCAGGAGAATCACTCCAACCTGGGAGGCAGAGGTTGCAGTGAGCCGATATTGCGCCACTGCAATCCAGCTTGGGCAACAGAGTGAGACTCCATCTCAAAAAAAAAAAAAAAGCTTCCTAAAGCTTCAACAGTAGACTTGTGTAGTACAAATCCCCTTCGTTCTAGATCTCCCCACTTTGGTTTTAGGATTTAGCCTTTGTTCGTTCTGCTTGTTTCTTTTTCTGTTGCTGGCAATAAAACTTTCCAGTTATGATGCATTATGCTTTTAATACCCTGCTGGATTGGATTTGTATGTGTATTTGCAGTGAAAGCTTGTTTGCCATTTTCCTCTGATGGTGACTTTTGACCACATTTCCATAGGTTTGGAGATACTGTGTTCTCGTTAGTTTTTAAATAGTCTGTTACTTTAGTTTTAATTTCTTCTTTGAGTCATGAGTTATTAGAAGAGTGTCTTATTTTCCATATCATGGTGAGCTAATATTAATTTTTATTAAGATCAGAATGTGGCTGTAATATTTCTACATTTTGCAGTAATTTGAGACTTTCTTCATATCTTACTGTATGATTTACATTTTATGAACTTTTTTTTTTTTGAGACAGAGTCTCACTCTGTTGCCCAGGCTGGAGTGCAGTGGCGTGATTTCGGCTCACTGCAACCTCCACTTCCTGGGTTCAGCAGTTCTCCTGCCTCAGCCTCCCAAGTAGCTGGGATTACAGGTATCCACAACTATGCCCAGCTAATTTTTGTATTTTTAGTAGAGACGGGGTTTTACCACATTGGCCAGGCTAGTTTCAAACTCCTGTCCTCAAGTGATCCACCCACCTTGGACTCCCAAAATGCTGGGATTACAGGCATGAGCCACTGCATCCGACCTTAATGAACTTTTATAGATATTTTTAAAAGATTTTTTTCTGTTGGGTTCAGAGTTGTGTGTATTTGTTAATTCTGGCTTGTTAATTACCAGATATATATCTATATCATCTTTTTTGTTTGTTGTGTTTGTTTTGTTTGAGACGGGGTCTGGCTCTGTCACCCAGGCTGGAGGTGCAACGGCGCGATCTCAGCTTAACTGCAGGCTCCATCTCCTGGGCTCAAGCAATCCTCCTACCTCAGCTGCCCAAGTAGCTGGGAGTACAGGTGCTTGCCACTACTCCTAACTAATTTTTGTATTGTTTGTAGAGACAGGGTTTCACTGTGTTGCCCAGGGTGGTCTTGAACTCCTGAGCTCAAGCGAGTCACCTGCCTCAACTTCCCAAACTGCTGGGATTACAAGCGTGAGCCACCACGCCCGGCCTATCATCTGTATTTTTATAAATTGTCTTAATCTTTTAAATTTTATATAGAGATGTGTGATTTCTTAAACTTTCCTTTTTCTGTTTGTTGTATGTATTTTGATACTATATTGTTGGATGTATAGTTTAAGATGTATTTTTGTGATTGTGCCTTTAATAACATCATCTTTATCATGTTATTTTTTTTGCCTTGAATTCTATTATTAATATTGCCTTGCTTACTGTCT